>NC_000001.11:24349163-25599163 GCF_000001405.40 Homo sapiens | reverse complement strand
TATCTCTTGTGATTCTCTGGGTTGACTGGGCTCAGCTGTATGGTTCTTCTGGGGCTGTAGTCATCTGGAGGCTTGACTCGGCTGGCTTTCCAAAGTGGCTTACTCACATGTCTGATGGTTGATGATGGCTGTTGCCTGGGAGTTCAACTGGGGCTGTTGCCTGGAGTGCCAACATGCAGCCCTCCATGTGGCTGGGGCTTCTCACAGCATGCCAGCTGGGTTCTGAGACAGAGTGTCTCAAGAGTGAGCATTCCAGTAGCTCTTAATTTCCAGGCTAGGCCTAGAATTGACGAGCATCAGTTCCACCACTTTCTTTTTGGTTAAGCAGTCACAGGGCTGGTGCCAATTGAAGGGAGGCAAAATAAGCTTCATTTCTCAATGGGAAAACTTTATGTTTCGCTTTAATACACCACAGTCAGTCTCCGTTTCAGATCACAGGAACTGCAGCAGCTTGTTTAGGAAGAAAGGAATTTAATACAAGGGAAAGGTACTTACACCAGTGTTGGGAGGGTTGGAGAGGCTGACTCTAGGCTGAGCTTCCAGAAATGATCCCCAGAAGAACACTGCAGAACTGGCCTGCCAGGGGAGCTGCAGCCACCACCATAATCAAGAAGCTGGGAAATCAGGTGGCCACCACCCCTGCCGGCTCCAGGAAGGACAGTACTCTACCCTGACCCATGCCGCAGAATGGGTGACCCAAGCTCTTCCCCTACAATCACAACACATGGATCTAGACGCTGAGCCCTCTGCAACAGCTGCTGTGGAAAAACAAATACCTCCTTGACTCTGCTTGTCCAAAGACCAGAGAAACATGGCCCCTGACTTAGAACATTAACATCCATGGTACATCTGATTGGTAGAGCCTAAGTCGCATCTGACCTGCACCCTTGGCTTCAGAGACATCTAGCTTCTGAGTCTCTCTAGTACAGGAAGACACACAACAAAAGAGGCTGAGCGAGCCAAGCTGTCGCCTCTTTGCAGTCCTGGGCCTTCTCTCAAGTCTCCCTGCCTCTTCTTGCTGCTACAGGGCTTTGCACACGCTATTTGCTTCTGTCTGTGATTCCCTTCCTTCTCTCTTCTTCCCCTCTTCCTTCGGATCCCAGCACAAGTATTTTCTCTGATCTTCCTATCATTTTATATATCCATTCTACAGACGAGGAAACAGGCCAAAACTGGTTAAGTAATTTGCCCAAGAGCACACCAGTAAACAGTGTAGCTGAGATTTGAACCCACACAGCCTGACTCCAGAGCCTGCTCTTAACCATCGCATGTTATACAAAGGTGAGTTCACCTGTGTTAAAAGGCCCAGGCAGGGCAGATAAACAAGGATGATGCTTCAGCAAATGCTGGTGAGAACAAAAAACTCAGAGTGACAGCAAGTGCAGGTGGAAGGTCGCAGGACAAGGTCAGATGCTAGAGAGCTTGGCCCTAGATCCCAGAGAACATCAACAGGCTGAGTTTCAAATGGAGCTGAGCTAGAGGAGTACAAAAATCCCCAAAACTGCTGCCCTCCACTCAGGGAGCAGAGAGCCATTTGCCCCATGTATCGGGGGAGGAAAGCATCCTGTGTCTCTCCTGCGTGGGACTGCCATTTTCAGTGGCAAAACCCACAATCACAGTGAGCAAAGTGTGCTCAGCTCTCACAACTTTAACAGAATTTGTAAGGCAAAGAGACAGCTATGAAGGGGAGGGCTGGGCACAGTGGTGCATGCCTGTAGTCCCAGCTACTCAGGAGACTGAGGCAAGAGTTTGGAGTTGTAGCATGCTATGATCATGCCTGTGAGTAGCTACTGTACTCCAGCCTGGGCAACATAGCAAGACCCTGGTTCTAAAATATGTGTGTGTGTGTACATATATATATATATATATATATATATATATATATATATATAATTTTTTTTTTTGAGACAGAATCTCGCTCTGTCTCGAGGCTGGAGTGCAATGGCACAGTCTCAGTTCAATGCAACCTCTGCCTCCTGGGTTCAAGCGATTCTCCTGCCTCAGCCTCCCAAGTAGCTGGGATTACAGGTGCCCATCACCATGCTCAGCTAATTTTTGTATTTTTAGTAGAGATGGGGTTTCACCATGTTGGCCAGGCTGATCTTTAACTCCTGACCTCAGGTGATCTGCCTGCCTCCCAAAGTGCTGGGATTATAGGCATGAGCCACTGGGCCCAGCCTTAAAATATATATTTTTAAAAAGAGGAAAAAAGGAGAAGGGAAGAAGCCATCATACAGGAGGGACTTAGGGTACAATTTTCACCCTGCCTGCCTTCCCTCAGCAGCCAGAGTCTCCCTCTGTCACCCAGGCTGGAGTGCAGTTGCGCAATCTTGGCTCACTGCAACCTCTGCCTCCCGGGTTCCAGCAATTCTCCTGCCTCAGCCTCCTGAGTAGCTGGGTTTACAGGTGTGTGCCACCACGCTCAGCTAATTTTTGTGTTTTTAGTAGAGATAGGGCTTCACCATGTTGGCCAGGATGGTCTTGAACCCCTGACCTCAGGTGATCCACCCGTCTCGGCCTCCCAAGATGCTAGGATTACAGGCATGAGCCACCATGACCGGCCCACATTTGATTTTTTCTTAAAGTGTAGTATCTCATCAGTTTATGAACAGCAAAATTGCAGCATTTGCCTTCCCTAAGCCAGATCTGGGAATTCCTGAAATAGAAGAGTAGCATTCCCTCTTCCCTGGCCACCACAATTCAGGTCCCTCTAAAGCCAGCAGATGCTTAGCAAATAAAAATGACAGGGCCAGGAGACCTGATTTAGTGACCCAGCTCTTCCACTTACCTACTATGAGATCTTAAGTAAGAACCTCTTCCTCCCTGAGCCTGCTGCCTTGTTCATAAAGTGAGGGCATTGGATAAGAACAAAGATTTTAAATCTTTTTCTTAGCAGCAAAATCTCTTGTTCAAAAAAATCTTACATACTCCTATCCTGTGGTTGAATAGGGATGTAGGAGCCAGGAGAGGTGGCTCACGCTTATAATCCTACCACTTTGGGAGGCTGAGGCCAATGGATCACTTGCGGTCAGAAGTTCGAGACCAGCCTGGCCAACATGGTGAAACCCCGTCTCTACTAAAAATACAAAAATTAGCCAGTAGTGGTGGTGCATGCCTGTAACCCCAGCTATTATGGAGGCTGAGGTAGAAGAATGACTTGAACCTGGGAAGCAGAGGCTGCAGTGAGCCAAGATTGCATCACTACGCTCTAGCCTGGGTGACACGGTGAGACTCTGTCTCAAAAGAGAGAGAGAAAAAGAAAAGAATAGGAATGTAGGACTCAGCAACTAGACCATTCCCAACCTCCTTCTCTGTGAGGCCCTTCTCCTTGAGTGAGAAAACACTGAATGAGCTGATGTCTAAGGATGCTTTGAGCCCTGTCATTTTAGAAATCAATACATACTTCCGGGAACTGGAGGATTTAGTTTGGGAAAGTAAAGGTTCCTTGCACTGTGACTAGCTCACCCTGTCACCTTGCTTAAGCACCTTGCCCACTCTAGACCTCAGTTTTCCCATCTAGAAACTGGAAGCACTGGACTTGGTTGTCCAAGTCCTTCTAGCTTTGAAACTCTAGGCCTCTGCCCTGGTAAGGTTGTGGGAAAAGAAGACCCAGGGAGGCGTATATGGGGGCAAGGGGTCAGGGACAGCAAGAATAAGGTGATTTTCAGAGATTCTATCCAGGAACAATCCAAGAAGCAACTCAGGTAGGACTGAGGGTTGTATGAAGCAATAAGACTCCACATTCAAATCAATTAAAGAGGTCATGGCCACAGTTTCTGTGTTAGAAAGAATAGGAGGAGAACTAGGGAATTGTATTATGTGGGACTGTATTTCGTGGGATAGATGGATAGATAGACAGACGGGTGGACAGATGGGTAGATGGATAGATGAATGGATTAACAGATGAACAGATGGATAGATGGATAAGTGGATAGAAGCTTGGGTGGACATATGGATGAATTGGATGGATGGATGGATGGATGGATGGATGGATGGACAGATGGATGAAAGCTTGGGTGGATGAATAGATGGATAGACAGCTGAATGAAAGTTTGGGTAGAAGAATGGATAGACAGATGAATGGAAGGTTGGGTGGATAAGTAGATGAATGGACAGGTGAATGGAAGGTTGGGTGGACAGATGGCTGAATGAATGGGTGGATGGATAGATAAATGGACAATGAATGGATGGACAGGCAGGTAGATGGAGGAAAGGATGGGGAATGTTTAGGAAAGTGGTTTGGTGGAGAGAGTGGGTACATATATTTGGCAGGTGGGAAGATGCTCAGATAGAGGGGCAGGCAGATACAAGTGGGTAAGTAGATGGGTTTGTGAATGGGCAGGCAGATAAACAGAAAGGTCAGTGGGTGTATGGGCAGGCAGGTGTATGCCCAGGTGATTGGATGGGTGGATGAGTGGATGAGTAGGTTTTACAATGTAAGGGAGTGAGAGGACAAAACTTGACTGATTGATTGATTGGCTTGTTCGTTTTCTTAGCTATTACCTCATTTCCTCTTCCATATCCTACTCCTATTCAGCCAGACACCTGAAAAGTTTACAGCAAGTTTCTCTATGTGTGGAAATTGTACCATTTATAAGATTATTTGGCCTGGTGCGGTGGCTTATGCCTGTAATCCCAGCACTTTGGGAGGCCGAGGAGGGCGGATCACTTGAGGTTAGGAGTTTGAGACCAGCCTGGCTCACGTGGCGAAATCCCATCTCTACTAAAAATACAAAAATTAGCTGGGTGTGGTGGCGCGTGCCTGTAATCCCAGCTACTCAGGAGGCTGAGACAGGAGAATTGCTTGAATGCAGGAGGCAGAGGTTACAGTGAGCTGAGATTGTGCCACTGCACTCTAGCCTGGGTGACAGAGCAAGACTCCCTCTCAAAAAAAAATTATTTTATGTAATTACTGAAATACAGTAATCTTAGAAAGAACCGAGACAGAAAGTTCCATCTGGTGCTACCATGTCTTTAACACTTTGTTGACACTTGTGATTCTCCCTTTTTAAAAAGAGAAAGTAGACTGTAAAATCAGAGTCTTAGGCAATGAAATATAACACTGCAAACAGTCCCTGACTTAAATGATGGTTCAACTTACAATTTTTTTGACTTTATGATGATGCAAAAGCAATGAGCATTGAGTAGAAACTGTACTTGGAATTTTGATTTTCGATCTTTTTCTGGGCTGGCAATATGTGCTTTGACTTGGAGCTGCAACTCACAGTCAGCCACAGGACTATGAGGGTAGACAGCAGATACTCCACCATGGACTGGGTTGCCAGATGACTTTGCCCAGCTGTAGACTATTTTAAGTGTTCTGAGCACATTTAAGGGAGGTGAAGCTAAGCTATGATGTTCAGTAGGTTAGGAATATTAAATGCATTTTTGACATAGGATATTTTCAATTTACGATGGGTTTATCAGAATGTAACCTCATGTTAAGTCAAGGAGCATCTGAATTTTGTTTTCATTTGGTTTAGTTTTACTGTTACTTTGTGTATATCATACAAATTAGGATAGTGTTACAGAGGGTTTCCTTTTTATATGAATGTATTTAAGTAAACTGATTCAGCTATAAGTAAAATATTAAGCAAATAGTATTTATTACCAGGACAAGAGATGCTGGATATGGCAAAGTTCCTGGAGCTATTTGCAGATATTTGTTCTGGGCATGTCATGTCCAGACTTAAGAGCCACTCCAGATCCTTCATGAGCCCACCCTGTTCTCCCCATTCTCATACACACCCATGAATCTCCTTTATTTTCTACCCACTTGCCAGACTCTCTCTTGCCTTCAGAACTTTGCACCTGTATGTCCCTCTATCCTGAACTCTCTACTTCTCTCTTTTTTTTTTCTTTGAGACAGAGTCTCGCTCTGTCACCCAGCCTGGCCTGCAATGGTGCGATCTCGGCTCACTGCAACCTCCACCCTGGGTTCAAGCAATTCTCCTGCCTCAGCCTCCCAAGTAGCATGACGGCACCCACCATCATGCCTGGCTAATTTTTGTATTTTTAGTAGAGACAGGATTTCGCCATGTTGGCCAGGCTGGTCTGGAACTCCTGACCTCAGGTGATCCACCCCCCTCGGCCTCCCAAAGTGCTGGGATTACAGGCGTGAGCCACCGCACCCGGCCCTCTCTCCTCCTCTTTAAGAGAATTCCTACTCAGCCCTCGGATCTCAGTTTAGATGTGGCGTCATCCAAGAAGCCTCGCCTCGTCCCCTCAGCAGGGCTGCAAGTCCTTCCTCGGGCTCACACGGCATCCTGCACTGCCTCCATCACAGCGCCCGCCGGCCCGTGCGGGAGACACAGCTGGGCCAGTTGCCTGCGCTGCTGAGAGGGGGCTGGTGAAGGACTAGGACGCTGTCCGCACTCACTCATTTGGCACAGTTTTACCAAATGCCTGCTTAGGTGCCAGGCGCTGTTCTAGGTGCTGGATATAGAGCGGTAAACAGGACAAACTTATTTATTTATTTTTAAAAAACGAAAAATGGGCCGGGCGCAGTGGCTCACGCCGGTAATCCCAGCACTTTGGGAGGCCAAGGCGGATGGATCACGAGGTCAGGAGATGGAGACCATCCTGGCTAACACGGTGAAACCCCGTCTCTACTAAAAATACAAAAAAAATTAGCTGGGCGTTGCGGCGGACGCCTGTAGTGCCAGTTACTTGAGAGGCTGAGGTAGGAGAATCGCTTGAACCCGGGAGGTGGAGGTTGCAGTGAGCCGAGATGGCGCCATTGCACTCCAGCCTGAGTGACAGAGCGAGACTCCATCTCAAGAAAAAAAAGAAAAATGGCCAGGCGCGGTGGTTCCCGCCTGTAATCCCAGCACTGAGGAGGCCGAGGTGGACAGATTACTTAAGTCCAGAAGTTCAAGACCAGCCTGGGCAACATGGCGAAACCCCCATCTCTACAAAAAATACAAAAATTAACCAGGCATGATGGCATGCGCCTGTAGTCCCAGCTATTTGGGAGGCTGAGCTCAGTAGGAGGACAGCTTGAGTCCCAGAGGTGGAGGTTACGGGAGCCAAGATCGTGCCACTGCACTCCAGCCTGGGCAACAGAGCAAGACTCTGCAAAAAGAAAAGAAAAAGAAAAAGAAAAGAAAAGGAGAAAAGGAAAGGCCAGGAGCAGTGGCTCATGCCTGTAATCCCAGCACTTTGGGAGGCCGAGGCTGGTGGATTGCCTCAGGTCAGGAGTTTGAGACCAGTCTGTCCAACATGGTGAAACTCCATCTGTACTAAAAATACAAAAAAAAAAAAATAGCCATGCGTGGTGGCGAGCTCCTGTAATCCCAGCTACTCAGGAGGCTGAGGCAGGGGAATTGGTTGAACCGGGGAGGTGGAGGTTGCAGTGAGCCAAGATCGCACCACTGCACTCCAGCCTGGGTGACAGAGTGAGACTCCGTCTCAAAAAAAAGAAATAAAAGAAAAAAAGAAAAAATAATGTATTTTGTCCAACTTCCCCTCTAGAATGAAGAGGGAATCAGATAAAATTAATAAAAACAAATGTATCTTATATACAATTTCAACTTGCAATAAGTCCTTTCAAGAAATTAAGGCAGGGTGCGGTGGCTCACGCCTGTAATCCCAGCATTTTGGGAGGCCAAGGTGGGCAGATCACCTGAGGTCAGGAGTTCGAGACCAGCCTGGCCAACATGGCGAAACTGTCTCTACTAAAAATTCAAAAATTAGCCGGGCATGGTGGTGCATGCCTGTAAATCCCAGCAACTCAGGAAGCTGAGGCAAGAGAATTGCTTGAGCCCAGAACCCGGGAAGCTGAGATTGCAGTGAGCTGAGACCGCATCACTGCACTCCAGCCTCGGAGATTCCATCTCAAAAATTAAAAAAAAAAAAAAAATTAAAACAGGGTTAGGGGATATTTTTAATGGATAATTATGGCAACAGCAGCTGCTGTTTTATTTTATTTTTATTTTTAAATTTTTCTCAGCATATTATACCTCTGTGTGGCTGCTAATTTTGAATGGGGTCAGATGAGGCCTCTCTGAGGAGGCGACATTTGTACAGAAACCTGAAGGAAGTGAGGAAAAGAGGAACAATGGAAGAACACAAGTGAAGCCCCCAGGGGCAAATCAGCATGGCATGTTTAAGGACCATCTAACTGGGTCTGACCGCACACCGCATCCCTGCATACCTGGGTCTGACCGCACACCGCATCCCTGCATAACTGGGTCTGACCGCACACCGCATCCCTGCATAACTGGGTCTGACCGCACACCGCATCCCTGCATAACTGGGTCTGACCGCACACTGCATCCCTGCATAACTGGGTCTGACCGCACACTGCGTCCCTGCGTACCTGGATCTGACTGCATACTGAAGTAGGGTGAACTTCCAGGATGCGGCAAGCCTGGGACTGTGGCACCCATTCTGGGGTTCAAGAAGGAGGCTCCCCTAGGCCTGAGAACATGTTCTGAGCAAACAGGAGGCAGGAAGTCTTCTTCACCAGCATGCCAGCCTACTCTGAGCCCAGCCTGAGAGACCGCCAACATTTGCAGAAATACTTCCTGTTAACATTTACCTTGGCTGATGTTTATTAATCGGGTCTATTAATAGACTTTTTGTTTGGCCTTTCCTAAGGAATAACTTCTAGAAGAAGCATTCCTACCCAATTATGCCCTGCCTTGCACAATGCTTTGGGTTTGTAAATTGCTCTTCCATCCTTATCTCTTGATCCATTCATTTACTTATCCATAGCACACAATTATTGAGCAGGGAACAAGACAGACTCAACCCCTGTCCTTGTGGAGCATATATCTTTTATGAGAGACAAGTGTGGAGGCCCCTGGTGGCTCATTTTCTTCCTGCCTGTGGTAGTTTAGCAGAGCTGGCTCTGCTGGACCAGGCCAGTCTGCAGGGAATAGCTGACATCAGCTTCGGCGGATAGCAGTGTTCTTGTGTGCAGAGGATTCTTCGAGACTCTTCCTGAGTCCTGGGCATGCAGCCCTGGGCCTTGGCGTATTAGTCAGGATCTCTGGAGAAACAGAACAAATAGGATACAGAGAGCTATACATATAAGAGGGTATTTATTTATTTATTTAGAGACGGAGTCTCCCTCTTTCACCAGGCTGGAGTGCAGTGGCACAATCTTGGCTCACTGCAACCTCCACCTCCTGGGTTCAAGTGATTCGCCTGCCTCAGCCTCCCAAGTAGCTGGGACTACAGGCGCGTGCCACCATGCCCAGCTAATTTTTTTGTATTTTTAGTAGAGACGGGGTTTCACCATGTTGGCCAGGATGGCCTCGATCTCTTGACCTCATGATCCGCTCGCCTCGGCCTCCCAAAGTGCCGGGATTACAGGCATGAGCCACCGCGCCCGGCCCGTAAGAGGGTATTTATTATGGGAGTTGGCCCACACAATTATGGAGGCCAAGAAGTTCCATGACCTGCCATTTGCAAACTGGACAGCCAGGAAAGCCTTGGTGTAATTCAGCCCAAATCTGAAGACCCAAAAAACCAAGAGCTTCAGTGCTGGAGGGCGGGAGAAGATGGAGGTCCCAGCTCAAGAAGAGAGAGAGGGAGAATTTACCCCTCCTCCAGCATTTTATTCTATATTCTATATTATTACTCCATTCTTTCATTCTGTGAGAGACTGGATGGTGCCTACCCACATTGGTGTGAGTGGATCTTCTTTACTTAGTCTATGGATTCAAATGTGAATCTCTTCTAGAAACGTCTCACACACCCATAATGATAATGGGTTTACCAGCTATCTGGGCATCCCTTACCCCAGTCAAGTTGATGCATAAAGTCAACCATCACACTCAACAAGCATACTCCTTAGTGTTGCTCACCCCCAGCCCTTGATATATTTCTTTCTTTCTTTCTTTCTTTCTTTTGAGATGGAGTGTTGCTGTGTTGCCTGGGCTGGAGTGCAGTGGTGTGATCTCGGCCCACTGCAACCTCCACCTCCCAGGTTCAAGCAATTCTCCTGCCTCAGCCTCCTGAGTAGCTGAAACTACAGATGTGCGCCACCACGCCTGGCTAATTTTGGTATTTTTAGTAGAGACGGGGTTTTGTCATGTTGGTCAGGCTGGTCTCGAACTCCCGACCTCAGGTGATCCCCCCGCCTCGGCCTCCCAAAGTGTTGTGATTACAGGCGTAAGCCACCATGCCCGGCCCAGGAAGACTTCTTAGAGGAAGGAACACTACATCTTGCAGATGCAGAAGTGGACATGGAAAGAGGAGTGGTCCAGGCAGCGGGGAGAGCACATAGGACCTAAAGACAAGATGGAAATGGCACTCTCAAGGCGCTCCATGACCCAAGAGAAAAGCAGGGCGGACCCACTTTAAGACGGAAAAACAGAACCTCTGTGAGGCCACTTTGAAGGGGTGGGTTGCCCCTCCACACCTGTGGGTGTTTCTTGTTAGGTGGAACGAGAGACTTGGAAAAGAAAGAGACACAGAGACAAAGTATAGAGAAAGAAAAAAGGGGGCCCAGGGGACCGGCGTTCAGCATATGGAGGATCCACGCCGGCCTCTGGGTTCCCTTAGTATTTACTGATCATTATTGGGTGTTTCTCAGAGAAGGGGATGTGGCAGGATCATAGGATAATAGTGGAGAGAGGGTCAGCAGGTAAACAGGTGAACAAAGGTCTCTGCATCATAAACAAGGTTAAGAATTAAGTGCTGTGCTTTAGATATGCATACACATAAACATCTCAATGCCTTCAAGAGCAGTATTGCCGCCCGCATGTCCCAACTCCAGCCCTAAGGCAGTTTTCCCTTATCTCAGGAGATGGAATATACAATCAGGTTTTACATGAGACATTCCATTGCCCAGGGACGAGCAGGAGACAGATGCCTTCCTCTTGTCTCAACTGCAAAGAGGCATTCCTTCCTCTTTTACTAATCCTCCTCAGCACAGACCCTTTACAGGTGTCGGGCCGGGGGACGGTCAGGTCTTTCCCTTCCCACGAGGCCATATTTCAGACTATCACATGGGGAGAAACCTTGGACAATACCTGGCTTTCCTAGGCAGAGGTCCCTGCGGCCTTCCGCAGTGTTTGTGTCCCTGGGTACTTGAGATTAGGGAGTGGTGATGACTCTTAAGGAGCATGCTGTCTTCAAGCATTTGTTTAACAAAGTACATCCTGCACAGCCCTTAATCCATTTAACCCTGAGTTGACACAGCACTTGTTTCAGGGAGCACAGGGTTGGGGGTAGGGTTACAGATTAACAGCATCTCAAGGCAGAAGAATTTTTCTTAGTACAGAACAAAATGGAGTCTCTTATGTCTACTTCTTTCTACATAGACACAGTAACAATCTGATCTCTCTTTCTTTTCCCCACACACACCTGACCCATCCAAAATAAGGTTACTGATATGCGGTGGACCCTAGATTTGAACCCCAGCTGTGACTGCACCCAGAGTCCTCCCGCCACGCCCACTCCCACCGTGGATAGCAGTTCTCAGTAACTCTTTCTCTTCTCGGGTTGGCCATTTCCATTCTCCACATTCCCACTCCACGCCTATGTGCACAGTTTCCACAGCTCCGCTCGGTGAAACACTAACTTTCCTTCTGGTTCCAGCACAAGTCCTGCCATTGGAAGGGATCTTGCGCTCCCATTTGGGCTAGGTTTGAGGTTAACGGTTGGTTTGTTGTTCGGAAATTAGGGGTTAGACTGTGGTCACAGGCACAGATCAGCTAAGGACGGAGGTCAGGACTGAAATTAAAAGTGAGTCATGGCCGGATGCAGTGGCTCACACCTGTAATACCAACACTTTGGGAGGCTGAGGCAGAAAGATCACTTGAGGCCAAGAGTTCAGAACCAGCCCTGGGCAACATGGTAAGACCCTGTCTCTACAAAATAAAAAATAAAATTAGCAGGGCATGGTGGTACATGCCTGTGGTCCCAGCTACTTGGAAGGATGAGGCAGGAGGATAGCTTGAGCCCAGGAGGCTGGAGCTGCAGCAAGCCAAGATCACACCACTACACTCCAGGCTGGGCGACAGAGTGAGACTCTGTCTCAAAAATAAAATAAAATAAAATAAACAAAATAGAAGTGAATCATGACAGAATTTCTGATCGGAGTCAAGGTTTAGTTAGGGGCCAGGATTAGAGTTTAGAGTATAGTAAGGGCCCAGCCTGGAACAGGGTTCAAAGAATTGTCTAAAAGACGAGGGCTCAGTTTTAGAGCAAGTTCAGGGCTCAGCCTGGAACCAGATTGAGGATCCATCCTGGAACCAGGATTAGGGCTCAGTCTGGGACTATGATCATGGCTAAGCATGGAGCTGGGGTCATGCTCACTCTAGGGTCAGCTTTGGGTCTCAGCTTAGAACTAGAGTCAGGGTTCAGCTCAGGCTGGGGCTCAGAGATGTGAATCTGCATCTGAGAGTGGATTGAGGACCATCAGGGCTCAGGCATCCCTGGTCAGGGCCCCCATCTGCTCAGGCCTGGAGTGTGAGCTGTGCCCAGAGTGGGAGTGAGGCAGGAGAAGCCCAGTGAGGGCAAAGACACACCTCAACAGAGCCCCCACCCCTGCTGCAGTGCTGTGCTCCAGACTTCCTAACTCAGCCCCCTCCCTGACCCAAAACACATACACACACACACACGCGCGCACACGCACACACACGCACGTACACACACACACATGCACACATACGCACACACATGTAGGCACACACACATGTGCATGCACACACACACACGCACACGCACGTGGGAAGCAGAGATCTAGGTATGTGGCCCTGGGAAATGCTGTGGCCCTGATGGACGCTGGTGTCTGCAGGGACCAGTCTGCCCAGATCAGATGCGGCCGCAGCACAATCAGCTCTCAGGCAGGCCCAGAGATGAGTGCAGGGACAGGGAGGGGCTCAGTCTGCAACTCTCTCCAGCCAGCCTATCATGAGAGCCCCTGGGCCACCCAATCTGAATACCAGTTCTTGGTCGCGCTTTCTCTTCTTTGGATTGGCCATTCCCATTCTCCTATCATGAGAGCCCCTGGACCGCCTGTCTTTAGAAGTCTGGGCCTCTACAAAAACCATCCACATTGCCTACAATTAGTCCCCTTGGACTGGCACTGCCCAGACCCCTGGAAAGATGATGGCCAGGTGTAGGGGAAACAGCCCTGGGCTTGGTGCTGGGCTCCTGGGTGCCACTGTCTTGCTTCCCTTCTCTGGGCCATCTGTAAAATGGGAATAAAACGACACTCTCAAGGAGGGTGGGTTATTTGACAAATGAAGAAACTGACAATCAGAGAAAAAGGAAGAATCTGACCGAGAGTCACACAGCCCAGTGAGGGGCAGTGTGGGGACTAAAACCCAGGCCTGCTGACAGCAAAGGCCTTACTTCTCTTGCCAATCAGGCCTCCTTTGTCTCAGAGGCTGACCTGTTCATGCCCACCTCAGCCCCTCATACAGGCTCCCAGGAGTAGGCAGTAGAAAGGGAGAAGGGGTGGGTAGGGGCAGGACAGACTGCCCCTTCCTTGGGTCTGCTGGGATGTCGGAGCACAGGAGAGTCAAATAGGCCCAGAGGCCAGTTCCAACTCTGGACCCAGGTTAAAACCCCAGCTTCCGTAAGGCACAGTGGCTCACGCCTGTAATCCCAGCACTTTGGGAGGCCGAGGCGGGCGGATCACAAGGTCAGGAGATTGAGACCATCCTGGCTAACACGGTGAAACCCTGTCTCTACTAAAAATACAAAAAGTTAGCCAGGCGTGGTGGCAGGCACCTGTAGTCCCAGCTACTCAGGAGGCTGAGGCAGGAGAATGACGTGAACCCAGGAGGTGGAGCTTGCAGTGAGCCGAGGTCGTGCCACTGCACTCCAGCCTGGGCGACAGAGTGAGACTCCGTCTCAAAAAAAAAAAACAAAAAATAAAAAACAAAAAACCCGGCTTCCCCACACACCTGCTGCGTGCTCTCAGGTGAATCGCCTCACCTCTCTGAGCAAGATGTGAACCTCCATCTACAAAAGAGAGATAATCAGAGCTACTTCCTCTTTTGCGATTATTAAATAAGAAATGCATAAACAGAAATGATCTATAAATGTTGCTGTTGCCACTGTCGCCACCGCCAGCCTCAACTCTTACCGCTCTGCCCTCAGTCTCAACACCCCACACCCACCGGTCTTCCCATCTCCCCATGTGCCACACTGCTTCTTGCTTTGGGACCTTGGGACATGCCATTCTTTTGACCTGGTCTGACCTACAAAAGTCACTTCCTCAGAGCACCCCCAGATGAGATCAGAACATTCTCTGCCCTGCCCTTTGTAGCACTTGCCAGGACTGTAACATGAGGCTGGGGTTATAGGTGGAACAGGATAGCAGCAGGAACTTTTCCATTTGCCCCAGAATTGACAGCTGGGGTTCAGAGCCAGGGTAAAGAATTGCAGAACACCCCAAATCCTGAAGACAGGCCCCAACACATAGGGCCAGATGCTCCCTCTAGGGCTTGCCGAGAAGGCAAGACTGGCCCTCCCATCCCTCTACTTCTAGATTTACGTGGGGGAAGGGATTCTTCAGGGATATGAAGCTTCAGCTTCATATGGAAGCTGTGGATTTTCTCTCCTCTTCCCCACCACCCAAGACCCCTCTCAACCAAGCCCAGTGGGAGAGGCACCAAGAAAATCACATGTTATTATGGAGGTAGGAAGGTCCCTGCTGAGAGGCAAGACTGGCATCTCCCTCCTGGGGACCTCTGCTGGTGTGGCCAACTTGCTCTGTCCCTGGGCCTGTCTGAGCAGGGGAAGAGAGTAGTGGAGAGAAATGGCAGGGTGGAAGGTGCTGGCAATAAAGCAGTCCACATGCCTGCCATTTGCTGAGGCCAGCAGAGAACACAGAAAAAAAAAACTGAACTTGTACCATCTTTTGGGACCCAACCAAGAAGACACCCACCACACAAGGGGCCCCAGCAACAGGAACCATGGGGCGGACTGCTGCAGGCAAGCGCAGGGGGTTGGGGGGCATTGGAAGAGGTTATCTAGGAGCCAGATAACCACATCAGGTGACTGTGGAGGCTGAGGCCCCCACGGGACCTCCAAAGAGCACACACATGTTCCCACAGAGCCAGCGTTCAGACACCTGCCACGCGGAGGACCTTGGCAGCTGACAGGCTCAACCCACAGACAGGAGCACGGTCTGGGTGGATGAAGAAGGAGATATTGCCCGTCAAGCCCCTGTTCTCTCAGCCCCTGTGCTGGAGAAGCCAGATGTTAAAAATAGAGAGGGAGACACGAAGCACTGGCATGTGCTACAACGTGACGAAACTTGAAAACATCCCACAGAGCGAGAGAAGCCAGACAAAAGACCACACATGTCATAGGAATCCATTTATATGAAATGTCCAGAACAGGCAAATTCACAGAGACAGAAAGCAGATTAGTGGTTGCCTAAGGCTCGGGGGTTGGGAGTGCAGAGACATGGTGGAGGATGGCATAGGGGTTTCTAATGGATAGGGATGGGAAACTACAAAAGGTGTAACATACATATAATGGGCATACCAGAAAGAGATGACAAAGAGAAAGGAATGGAAGCAATATTTGAAACAATGATAACAGAAGTTTTCCAAATTTATGTCAAGCACCAAACTACAGATCCGGGAAGCTCAGAGAATACCAAGCAGGATAAATACAACAACAATAACAAATCTACACCTAGCATATTATTTGCAAACAACAGAATACCAAAGATTTTTTTTAATCCCAAAAAAACCTGGGCTCAGTGGCTCACGACTATAATCCCAGCACTTTGGGAGGCTGAAGTGGGCAGATCACTTGAGGTCAGAAGTTCGAGACCAGCCTGGCCAACATGGCGAAACCCCATCTCTACTAAAAAAGTATAAAAAATTAGCCAGGCATGGTGGCAGGCTCCTGTAATCCCAGCTATTCGGGAGGCTGAGGCACGAGAATCACTTGAACCTGGGAGATGGAGGTTACAGTGAGCTGAGATGGCTCCACTGCACTCCAGCCTGGGCAACAGAGTGAGACTCCACCAAAAAAAAAAAAAAAAATCCCCAAAAAAGCCAAAGGAAAAAAAACACCTCACCTACAGAGGAGCAAAGATAATTATATCCAACTTCTCAGAAACCATGCAAACAAAAAGAGAGTGGAATGGAATTTTTGTTTTTTTTTTTGAGATAGTCTCACTCTGTCCCCCAAGCTGGAGTGCAGTGGCACGATCTCGGCTCACTGTAAGCTCTGCCTCCCGGGTTCAAGTGATTCTCCTGCCTCAGCATCCCAAGTAGCTGGGACTACAGGCCTGCGTCACCACGCCTAGCTAATTTTAGTATTTTTAGTAGAGACGGGGTTTCACCATGTTGCCCAGGCTGGTCTCGAACTTCTAACCTCAGGTAATCCGCCCACCTCGGCCTCCCAAAGTGCTGGGATTACAGATGTGAGCCACCGTACCCGGCTCATTGTATACTTTAAATGAGTTGTATGATATGTGAATTATATCACAATAAAGCTGTTATTTTTAAAAGGATGGGGATTCAAGTCTAAGGTGATGAAAAAGTTCTGGAGATAGACAGTGGGGAAGGCTGTACAACAATGTCAGTGTATGTAATGCCATTGAACTGTATACTTTAAAAAGTCAAAATGGTAATTTTTTTTTTTTTTTTGAGATGGGGTCTCGCTCTGTCGCCAGGCTGGAGTGCAGTGGCACGATCTCGGATCACTGCAACCTCCACCTCCCAGGTTCAAGCGATTCTCCTGCCTCAGCCTCCTGAGTAGCTGGGACTACAGGTGCATGCCACCATGCCCAGCTAAGTTTTGTATTTTTAGTAGAGACGGGGTTTCACCGTGTTCGCCAGGATGGTCTCGATCTCCATATCTAGTGATCTGCCCGCCTTGGCCTCCCAAAGTGCTGGGATTACAGGCGTGAGCCACCACGCCCAGACCATTCTACCATAATTTTTTGAAATAAATTTTAAAATAGAGCGGGGGAAGTATCTTAGAACCAGATAATGCATCCCCAAATATTGGAGTCAGTGGGCCAAGGACGTACCAACTCAGTCAATGTCTGATGAAAGAATGAAGAGCTTCCCTTATTTGAGAGACAAGAAAACTGAGGCCCAAGGGGAAGCCATGGCACTGCCCAGGGCTGCACAACAGGGCCAAGGCAGAGATCAGGACCAGAACCCAGATAAGTTCCACCCCTGGGAAGCCCAGGCCTGCGCTGGGTGGGGCTGGATTTCACCAAGCCCCTCCCCCAGCTGTGCACATCTGTCCATCTCAGCGGGATGAGGCCGTTGCCCAGGAAGCTGGCCAAGGACTCAAACATCCAGGACAGAACAACAGAGGCGCTTCCAAGGGGCAGTATTGGCAGCCTCATGCTTGAACCTGAGCCCTACGGGGCTGCCCCCTCCTGCCTGGCTCTGGGGGCTGTATTCCTAAGGCCACACTTTGTCTCTTTACCCCAAATCCTCCTACCTCAGCAGGAGTACCGGGATGCGGTCCAGGTCAGCTACTGCCTGGGGGAGGCACTCAGCAGGTCCCTGCCCCTCCCGGGGTCTCCATTTCCCCTTCAGCATAGTCAGGTTTCATCCAGCTCTGCCGGTCCCACTCCTCAAATCTGCGCAGCCTTTGCTGACACTGCTGTCTTGGAACACTTAGCCCTTCAGGTGCCCTAGTTGGAGGGAAGAGACGCCCTGCCGTTAGAAGCCTCAGCCCAAGGTGGGAGACAGGGCCCTGCACACAGGAGCTCCCGATGTGTCAGAGGAGCGAGAGTTCTGCCCTTCAGAGCTTCCAGCCTGAAGAGGGAAACAGACCACCCCGGATTCAGCAACTCCTGGTCTGATGGGGGAGACCTGAACCATCACAGGAGTCTCCTGTGTCAGTGCTTGGGCCCTGTTTGGTATCTCTCTTTTTCAGAAACCCTCTCCTCTCCCTGGCTCAAGAGGCCAGGGGCCCATACCTACCTCTCTGCTTCTCAGAATTCAGCTGCCCTCCTAGTTTACTCAGCAGTGCCCCCGCCCCAGGCTGCTGGCTACAGCAAGCATCACGACAGAATGCCCATGTGCTGAGGCCCGGCAGAGAACACATGTTCCTCACACCCCATTTGCTTTTGGTGAGAAGCTCTCCAGCCCAGCACGGCACCCTCTTGGTCCAGGACCGGCCCCCAAGCAGGCCAATGGCAGTAACATCTAGAATTAGGAAGTACTCAGTCTAGACAGGCCCTTCCTGCTTTTGCTAAGGCCAACAGACTAAGGCTGGCCTCAATTTAGGGAAACTCCTCCAGAGCCTGGTTCTGAGCCTTCCGGGATTCATGGTGTCCTGCCGGGTTCTCACAGTACCCCAAAGCCTGGGGTTACTACTGATGAAGAAACTCAGAGCCTGGTCCCCATCTATAAAATGGGGTTGATAAAAGCAACACCTCTTGAAAGATAATTGTGGGCCAGGTGCAGTGGCTCACACCTGTAATCCAGCACTTTGGAAGGCCAAGGCAGGAGGACTGCTTGAGACCAAGAGTTCGAGACCAGCCCGGGCAATGTAGTGAGGCTCCATCTCTACAAAAAAAAATTAAAAAGTTAGCCAGGTATGGTGGCTCACACTTGTGGTCCCAGCTACTTGGGGGGCTGAGGAGGGAGGATCACCTGATCCCAGAAACGTCAAGGCTGCAATGAGCTGTGATTGTGCCACCGCACTTCAGCCTGGGCAATGTGAGACCCTGTCTCAAAAATAATAATAATTGTGAAGATTAAATTGAGATAATGAAGCCAAAATGTTAGCACAGTGTCTAGCCAAGGTGAATAATTTCTAGCTTTTGGTTTTGTTTTGTTTTTTTCTCACTCAGCATTCAAACCCCCTTTTTAATTTAATTTTTTTGTTTTAGAGACATTCTGTTACCCAGGCTGGAGTGCAGTGGTGCTCCTTAGCCTCCCAGAGTGCTGGGATTACAGGCAGGAGCCACTGTGCCCGGCCTCGAGCCTAGTGAACCTTACAGGAGACAGCTCTGTCTTCCCATGCAGAAGCTGATGTTCACCCTAGTCAGCTAGGAGCAGGCATGACACCGACTCCATCCACCAGGAGCCTACCCTGAATCTGCGGAGAACAGACAGAACAGACAGAAGCAGACATCTTCTGTAGGGACACCCTGCCTGTGTCCTGACTGCCAGCCTCCCTCGACAGCTGTTCTCTCTCTGAGCCCACTTCTCCAGCCGATTGCCTGAGCTCCTTGGTGTCTTTCCAATAAGTTCCTTTCTGCTTAAATTAGCGAGGGTCAGTTTCCATTGTTTTCAACTCAGAAACCTGGCGGGTTTGGAAATTGGTTGGAGGGGGTGGGTTTCGAGCTCCATACCCTTGGGGAAATGATGATCTGGTCTAGTCAGAGCTGAAGGAAGGGAAAATCCAGTTAGCGTTCAGGGATGAGAATCTAGCAGCTGTGGTAATGTAGTGGTGAAACAGCTAATTAAGTTATATTAATTAATTAAATTATGGCCTGTGGCCATCTGGGAAAAAAGTGCCATTGAAGGCAGAGCTTCGAGGGTCTGAGTCGACACTGCTATTGAACACATGAATGGCACGAAGATTTCAGAGATGGGGTAGCTGCTTCTGTGGCACTGGGCGATTCAAGGAAAAAAGAATAACAAGCTTAAATCCCTACATTCTTGGCTCAAGGCATGGACTGGAGCCTAGGAACTTTCTATAACTGTGCTGAAAACAATTCTCTTATCTTTGATGGCAGCAGGATTAAGTCTGTGAAAAACCAAATGTAAAATCTGACCCTTAGCATCACCACGTGACAGCGGCAGCTGAGCTCGCCGCCTCCTCTTCCTCTGCCTGCTGCCTAAATCCTATCAGTTCCTCTGGGTTGCTCCTGGGTTTTCTTCTCTTCTTGCCCTGCAGCCCTGCAGGGTGTGGGACGCATTTGGCCTCAAGTAACAGAAAGCTGCGCACGTGGAGGTGGATCCTGGTGCAGATCTGTGTGCAGGTGCTTTTCACTCCCAGCTCTGCTGTTCTCAGGGCTGGCCTCATCGAGTGGGGTGCTGGAGCTGGGTCTTTCTGCCTTGCAAGAACAGACTGTGTGCATCTTAACTCCAGGTTAAGTGATGTCATGTTGGTAGCCTGACATTGGCCATGGTGGCCATATTTATACTAGGAAATCGACAAGCGCTACAAGTCAAGGCTTTAAACAACACATGGAGAGGTGGCATACTGCATACTGTTAGCTTCATCCCAGATCTGGTCCTCTGAAGGGGTAGCATGGGTCACGTAAGACAAAGTAACAAATTTAAGAAGCCATGTTTCTCATTTCTGCATGCCAGCATAATTTCACAAGCCCCTGATTCTGTGACAACGTACAGCTCTCCAGAAAGATGCTTTAAAGACAAAACCCTCACGTCTCTCACCTGAGTCACTATATTCTTTAAAAGATAAATGGCCCCACACCAGGCACAGTGGCTCACACCTGTAATCCCAGCACTTTGGGAGGCCAAGGTGGATGGATTGATTGAGTCTCAGGAGTCTGAGACCAGCCTGGGCAACATGGTGAAACCTCATCTCTACAAAAAATATATAAATTAGCCAGGTGCAGTGGCATGTGTGCCTGTCGTCCCAGCTATTCAACAGGCTGAGGTGGAAGGGTCGCTTGGGCCGGGGAGGTTGAGGCTGCAGTGAGCCATGATCACACCACTGCACTGCACTCCAGCCTGGGCGACAGAGTGAGACCTTGTCTTAAGGAAAAAAAAAAAGACAAACGATCCTAGTCCTTGCCTTTTCCTACACATAAGGTAATGATGTCTAACGGGGTTAGTGATGATGCCTCTGTAATCTATCACCAGATGGACTCCTGCACCCAAATTTCAATGTGATTTTGCACTACCGAACCTCCACCAGCTGCATATCAGCAGTGGGCTCAAATGCCGTGCCGGAGTTGTCTGACAAACCCTCTCTGGAGGGCTGCTTGAGGGCCGTAGGCCTCTGTCTATAGTCATCAGCAAGACTTCTGTATAAAACTAATTTTAATGCTTTAAAAGCTTGATTTTTGTCTTTAGTCAACGGTCACCCGCTTCTTTGTGTGCTGAGGAGAGAGAGACAGAGAGAGAGAGAGAGGAAATAACTCTCCCAGTGTTCCCTGAAGAGCCAGAGCCCTGTTGGGGTGAGATCTCTGAACAAAACTGTCTTTTTCAGGGAATGAGGAAAGAGCAAATGGAGGTGGGGGGCTCACCCACACCTGCCGCTTCACTGATGACAGAGCTACGTCCCCAGCCCAGATGCCCCCTGAGCTCCCGACCTGTGTAACTGATGACCTGCTGGAGACCTCCACTGCGACAATCCTAACAACAGTCCCAATAGCTGGTGCACACGCACTGACGTGGGCCAGGCACTGTTCCAAGTGCTCTCTGCAGCTCCTCTCATCCACACAAGAGCCCCACTATCACCCCCATTTACAGATGGGGAAGATGAGGCTCCGAGGGTGGCATAACCTGCCCAGGTCACTTGCCAGAGCCAACTCACGGTGATGCCGGGACCTGAGCCTGCCACCCGGCGCCAGGCCTCTGCTATGCACCCTGTCTTGTCCCCGCCAGGTGCCTCAAATGCTCCGCCTTCCCTCACACCTGCTTGGAGCCCTTCCCCTCCTCGTCTAACTTCAACACAGTGAGGTCTCACCGCAGGCCTCCCTGCTGTAGAAAGCCTTCCTAACCGCACACCAGGCTCGACGCTCATCTCTGGCTGGCATGTGACTCTGCCTCCTGCACTGGGCGTGGTAACTGTCTGGCTCCTCGTCTGTTCCCTGCATGAACCTCGAGTTCCTTGAGGGCAGGAAACCAGCCCAGGACCTGCCCACAGGGCCACCTGGTAAGGAACAGGTCAGGGAAAGCCCAGCCCAGGTCCTGGTGGTCCTGGCACGTCCCCTCTGCCTAGCCATCCAGGCTCGCATCCTGGCAGCCCCTCCCCCACTCCACCTCCCAGCTGGGTCTGCTCCTCACACTCAGCAAGGCTCTCCTCAGCTCCGTTCATCAGCCTCCTTCCTGCTCTACTCTTTTATTAAGATTCTAATTAAATAATTCTAATTAAATGTAATGAGCTGATTCCACAAATTTATTGCAATAAAGCAGCGTTCAGGACATGCTTCCTCCCGATCTTTCTCAGGAGGTGAATGCGGGGATGGCACAGGGTCTCTGCTGCCTGGGGTGACTAAGTGGGGCTAGGACCGACTGCCACGCTCGCAGGAACATCGCCATGGAGAGCCGCCCCAGGCTCCCTGCACCGGGCAGAAGCTCCTCTGCTCTTAGAGACAGCAGGTACAGGCCTGAACCCCACCGCTGGCTCCTCCTTGGGTCTGTGTCTCAGGCCACTCCTAGTGCCTCTGCCTGATGGCACCACGCTGCCACCTCCACATCAGGAGGGGCAGCCTCCTTCTGTGTGACCTTAGCCAAGTCCCACCCCAAATCTGGGCCCCATCTCAGTTTCCACTGAAGGGCAGGCCGGATGGGGTGGGAGAGAGCCTCTGTGAAAGATAAAGTGGATGGTGTGTTGGGTTAGGATTGGCCTTGAATCTTGGCCCCGTTCCTTTCTGGCTGTGTGGCCTGTGGCAAGTTGCTTCATCTCTCTGAGCCTCAGTAGTAACAGCCACCACTGGCCGGGCACCCAAAGCCAGGCGCTCTGCTTTCCTTTCACCGTCTCATACTGCTACTTTTGTTTTTATTTTGTTTTATTTTGTTTTTTGTTTTTTTGAGATGGAGTTTCACTCTTGTTGACCAGGCTAGAGCGCAGTGGCACGGTCTCGGCTCACTGCAACCTCTGCCTTCTGGTTTCAAGTGATTCTCCTGCCCCAGCCTCCCCAGTAGCTGCGATTACAGGCATGTGCCACCACACCCGGCTTATTTTGTATTTTTAGTAGAAATGGGGTTTCTCCATGTTGGTTAGGCTGGTCTTGAACTCCCGACCTCAAGCGATCCACCTGCTTTCACCTCCCAAAGTGCTGGAATTACAGGCGTGAGCCACCACGTCTGGCCTACTTTTGTTTTTTTTGAGGAGTCTCACTCTGTTGCCCAGGCTGGAGTGCAGTGGCACGATCTTGGCTCACTGCAACCTCTGCCTCCCGAATTCAAGTGATCTTCCTGCTTCGGCCTCCCGAGTAGCTGGGATTACAGGCACATGCCACCATGCCCGGCTAATTTTTTTTTTTTTTTTAATAGAGATGGGGTTTCACCATGTTGGCCAGGCTGGTCTCAAACTCCTGACCTCAACTGATCCGCTCACCTTGGCCTCCCGAAGTGCTGGGATTACAGGCGTGAGCCACCACACCCAGCCTCATGCTGCTGCTTTTGAAGTCAGACTGCCTGGTTCAAATCCTGGCTCTACTAGTTCCCAGCTGAGTGACCATGGGCAAGTCATGCCATCTCTCTGGGCCTCAGTTTCCTCTTCTGCAAAATGGGGCCTGTACCCATTCCAGAGAGTTATTGTGAGAAGCCCATGGGGTCGTTTGTGTAAAGCTCTTAGCCCAGGGCTGGGCACATACTCAGTGCTCATTTAATCTCCACAGTAGGCCCAAGACGCCGGTCCCGCCTCTACAGATAAGGAAACGGAGCAGCCATTTGACTAAGGTTTTTGAACTAGGAAATGACAAAGTGAGATTTTTGTTTGTTTGTTTGTTTGTTTTTGTAAGACAGGGTCTCATTCTGTGGCCGAGGCTGGAGTACAGTGGTGCAATCACAGCTCACTACAGCCTTGACTTTCCAGGCTCAAGTGATCTTCCCACCTCAGTCTCCTGAGTAGCTGGGACTACAGATGCATGCCACCATGCACAGCTGGTTTTTTTTTTTTTTTTTTTTTTAGTAGAGACAGGGTTTCTCCAGGTTGCTCATGCTGGTCTCAAATTTCCGGACTCTAGTGATTCACCTGCCTCAGCCTTCCAAAGTGCTTGGATTACAGGCATGAGCCCCTATGCCTGGGCAAAAGTGGGATTTGAACCCAGGTCCTTCTGACTTCTACCTCCATGCTCTTTCCACAGTGCTGGAGTCCTGGCTTTCCCAGGAGGCCCCCAGGTTTAGAGATCTGACTCTTCCTTGGGGCTGGCAAGGCCCAAACATCATACAGTCTTCCCACCCGGGTAGTGAGAGCCCTGGTCCAGCCTTGCGGCCCGAAGAAAGGGTCTCTGAGTTTAAAGCACTGCATTTGGGGACCGGGACGGTGAGTCGTCCCTACCTCAGCTGTTAGAGACCGCTGGGGAGGAGACCCTGAACCCAAGTATCCAAGAAGCACAGGCCAGTCCTACTGGGTCCTGGGTGCTGTCTGTTTCCATTCGTTCCAAGAACTACAGCTGAGCTGTGGAATGTCAAGTGAGCATGAAACAGACAATGACAGGCCAAAGTCAAAGACACCCCTCACTGCTGCCCACTACGGACAAGCAGGAACCCACAGACGCACAAGGAAACACACAGGCCTCTCACCCTTGACTCATGTACAGACCTTCAGGTCTACACGCTCCTGGCACATACAGGCCCACGGAGCCAACACAGGCTCACTCATGCACACCCAGAGAAATGATATAGCATGCCCAGAACACTCGCTGCATCAGCCTCTTGCTCGGCTGGCAGGGACCAAGAGACACCAGCCCTCCACATCACACGGGGATACACCAATCTCTGACTCAGGCTACTGCCAGAGGCCCACAGACACCCACAGGGCTCCCGACACACAGATTTGGGACCACCACCAAACCCAGGCAGCTGGCCATGCACACATCCTTTTCTTCAACAAATCTGGAAGCCCCCCGCTCAGACAACAGAGCAGGAGGACATGGGGTTGCCTTTTCAACCTTCCATCTGCCCGCTTGCAAGCCCGGAGGTTGCTCTCTCTTGGGCTTGACCCTGGATGACAGCCTCAGTATCCTAGAGCCTCAGTCTCTGCATTGCCCCTGGCTGTGCAGCCTTCGTGTCCTCGAGACCCCACACTGAGCCCTGCACAGCAGGTCTGAGCCTTGCCACCGCCCTGTGGTCCAGGCCTGCACCTGCTCTGAGCCCATTTCCCAGTCCACCTCCTTCCTCCCTCCTCTCCAGCCTCAGACTTCCTCCTGCCCTTGGCACATTCCAAACTGCAATCCTGGGGCTTTGCGCTTGCTCTTTGCCCTCTCAGGTGCCCTTTCTCTGGGGCCTCCCTACCTCCTCCAGCACTCTGTCCAACTCTGACCACCCCAGGTGCAGCAGCGCTGCCGGCCAGGCCACTCCCCTTCCCCCCACCGCCCTTTTTCCTTTGGAGTGCTTACACCACACCTATTTTTACGTATTTACAAATATTTATACATATTTGGGGGAGCGTCAGCTCCATGAGGATGGGGATTTCTGCTGTTTTGTTTGCTGCCATGTTCCAGACGCCTGGCATGCATCCTGGCATGTGGTGGGCACTCAATCACTGGGCATTGGATGAATGAGCCTGGCTCAGGGAGAGGCAGGAGCAGGCCCCGCCTGTGTGAAATAGCCCCGGGGTGCTGTCCTAGCTTTTCACATCTCGATCAGGTCAGTTCATGGCCTCACATGGCTGTCCTAAGGATTACGTAACGTGTGCAAAGCCTCGGCATAGCTCCCGACATAGGTGTGGCAGCCAGGTTTTCTCCGGGCTAACCTCCCTCAGCTCCTTTTACCCTCCCTGCCCCCCAACAGTGTTGGGGTGGTGGGGTGCCAGGGGGTCTGCTGCATCTCAGCACCATTTCCCTTCCCTTCCCTGTGCCCTCCTGAGCCGCAAGGGCTGATGCCTGCAAACCACCTCTTCCCAACTTCCCTTGCCAGCAGCTTCCGGCCAGCTCTGCCCCGGGATGCAGCCACCGGGACCTACAGGAGCAGCAGCCGCCAGATCCCTGAGCCCCTGCAGGGACCACCTGCACCCTCGCCCTGCCAGGGCTTTTGTGATCTGGTGCTCTTCACTAAATCCCTTCCTACTGGAAACAGCTAGACTGCAACGCTTTCC
The DNA here is from genome assembly GCF_000001405.40 of Homo sapiens. Taxonomy (NCBI): domain Eukaryota; kingdom Metazoa; phylum Chordata; class Mammalia; order Primates; family Hominidae; genus Homo; species Homo sapiens. The sequence continues at coordinate 25,573,294 of NC_000001.11, read as the reverse complement.
TCACTAGACAGTAGAGTTTGTTGAGTTTTTCCTGAGGGCATAATGTGGTGGTCTCAACGTGGCGGGGCCTGAGTGTGCACCTGGGTGCATCAGGGGAGCTGGTAAGACACAACTTGTCTCCTCCCCACCTTGGCTACCCTGGGTGGGCCTTACCCCTGGGGAGAAACTGGTCTTCCCCACCCCCATCTGACCTCCCCCCGCCCCGCAAAGCAGCCCCTGTTTGGACTGCACCTTTATCCTATTTAACAGGTGAGGAGACTGAGATACAGGCTACTAAGTTGTTTCTGCGGCTAAAAATCGGCCGTCTGGGATTGAAAGCCAGTCCTGACGGCTGTGGCCCCAGAGGCTGCACTCGGAACTGCAGCTCCATGCCCCCTCTTCTAGGTGTCTGGCCAGCAGCCTGAGCTGCAGATGAGACTTCAGCGTCCTTGAGGGGGACAGTGGAGAGACGGATGATGAGCTGGTGCTCATTACATGCTCAAGAATCCACCAAGGTCCTTTCTCCAGCCTCTTCTTACCAACATCACATCCAGTTCCCTGCAAGCACATGGGCCCCTTCTAGCAAGAGTGGGAGGGACTTCTCTCTCCTTTACTCCAGGTTGATGGAGGACTGGGCATGGAGTCGGTGGAAAATACAGCTCAGATCCCAGCTCTCTTAACTGCCTGTGAGTCCCGGGCAAGTCCTGTGCCCTCTGCAGGTCTCAACTCCCCATTATAAGCTCAGTGGGTGGGCTGGGGAACCATCAGGGGCTCTCCCAGCATTAACATTCTAGAATCTCACTTTGAAGACAGCATGAAAACCAAGATCTTGGTTGGGGCAGAGGGTGGACCACACAACATTTTACCAAACCAGGCTGGGCATGCCATGCCATCGGCTGTGTGTGACGGAGACCCAGAGTGCCTAAGCCCAGTGCACCCAGTGCACACTGGGGAGCTGTCACAGGAAGGGTCTGACAGCCGGCAAAGTGGACTCCCAGGCTGCAGGGACTCCAGCGCTGCCTGCTGAGCCAGGGCTGCCCTTTCTCACAGCTCTCATGGGAGCCAGGCTGTTCTCCCCTCCTGATGAACTGACTCACTGATGGCCACTCTGTGCCAGGTGCTAGGCTGGGCACTGAGGCCATGGGGCAAATCAGACAGGCATGTCCTCAGGGAGCTCCCAGGCTAGCACATGCAGTCGCCAACCATTCTACCCTTCCTTTGATGCCCAGCAGGAATATGCCCCTCTTCTAAGAGCCTGACCTGGCTTCCCCAGCTGCCATACCTCAGCTCTGACTTCCAATGTCCCGCTGGCCTACTGCAAGCCCAGCTCATGCCCGGGGACTTTCCAGGGCACCATGAACTATAACCCCTGGACTGCGAGGGGGTCAAGAGCAGCTGTGCCTCAGTCACCCTGAGACAGGCCGTGCTGGGGCTCAGCAGGTGCAGTCAGAATTGCTGTCTGGCAACAAGGATTCATGACACAGCCCACATCTGTCCTGGCCACAAACGCACCATCTGATCCAGTACCTCTGTGCTGGACACTTGGCTAAGGTTACTCTGGGCTGGGTTCAGAAGTTCCTAAGCAAGCAAGGTCATCCTGATTTGCCAATGTCCCAAGTGACCTGCAGAGGCAGGGCCACCCAGCACAGTGGGGAACACACTGGCTCTGAGTCCCAGGCCTGCCTCCTAATAGCTGTGTGAGGCTGGCTGATCATGTAACCGCCACAGGCCTTGGTATCATCATCTCTAAAATGGGCTAACAATACGTGCAAGCACAGGGGCCGTGCAGCAGCTTAAACTAGCTGGTACGTGTGGATGCTGCTGGTGTTCAAGATGTGCACCCTCCTTCCTGCCCTTCCGAGGCTGGCATTCACCTCCCAGAGGAAGGCTTCCTTCTCTGAGGGGCACCAATGCTCACTGTGGGCCCCACTGGCAGGCTGAGCAGTGCCACTGGGGACAAAGCAGGGTCTCAATGCAATGAGACATACCCCTGTGGAGTTCTAAACTAGGCATGTCCAGAGAAGTGGCCCCAAAGGGCAGCCACTGGGGAAGAGGTGGGATCTGCTCTGGTGTCTAGCTAGGAAGTCAGCCTCTGCCTGTGGAGACACCCACTGGCCAGCAGCTTCCAGTGTCTTCCGTGGTAGCTGGGGCTGCTGGCGAGGCAGAGCAGGGCACACCAGGTCGGTTGGGGTTTGCCTTGATCTGCACGGAGAGGCACTGTGCAGTGGAAATCCGGAGCGCTGGGGTCAGAGAGCAGGGTTCAAATCCCAGATCCCCGAGTGGATGTGAGACTTTGGTCAACTTGTTGATCCTCCTTCACCCTCAGCTGCCTCATCAGGAAAATGGGACTAGGACCACCTACCTGGTAGCATGTGAGGTTGCAAGGACTAGTATCACCAGTGTTAGGTGCAAAAGACCTAACAGGCCCAAGGGTTACTTTATTTTTATTTTTATTTTGAGAAGGAGTCTCATTCTGTCGCCCAGGCTGGAGTGTAGTGGCCCGATCTCGGCTCACTGCAAGCTCCACCTCCTGGGTTCATGCCATTCTCCTGCCTCAGCCTCCCAAGTAGCTGGGACTACAGGCGCCCGCCACCACGCCTGGCTAATTTTTTGTATTTTTAGTAGAGACGGGGTTTCACCGTGTTAGCCAGGATGGTCTCGATCTCCTGACCTCGTGATCCGCCTGCCTCGGCCTCCCAAAGTGCTGGGATTACAGGTGTGAGCCACTGCGCCCGGCCGGGTTACTTCTTAATATACAAACGGGCACCTCCTCTGATGAGCACCTGGGAATGGCCGGAGGAAGACCAGGCCCCAAGCCAGCCCCCCAGATGTGAATCTGCCCCTATTCCCTAGCCAGGCTTGTTGAAAAGTCCCCAGATGTACATGGGATGGGATCTCTTCCTGGGAGAGCAGACCCCAACATCCACCCAGTGAAGCTGAAAGTCACGTCAAATCTGAAAGGCGACTTTGTTCTCCCTGGCTTCATCCCTTATGCATGAAAGAGCAGACGGCTGGCGCTCAGGATTCATAATCCGAGACATCCGGAGACTAAAGACATTGGCCAAATTTAAACCGAAAGATAAACTTGTTGGGTGTCTTTTCAGATTATGAGGGAAAGAAGAAAGGGGAGGATTTCTTAGTCATCCATGAACCACTGAGAATTCACAGGGAGTCAGCCTGATGCTGATATGAGGGCTCTGCCTCTGGGTTCTGGACGCTTAAAATACCAGTTTCAAAGGGATAAAGAGATACATGTCCAAGTGGACCCCCACAAGCCACAGCTGAGGGGCAGAGGCCTGGGGAATCTCCGGAGAGTGGCTGAAAGAACCTGAAGAGAGTGGCCTTTCTGTGAGGGTCACCGCACAGGTCAACAGGTGGTCTCGGGCAGCATATGGCCAGACTGGGCTCCTGGGAAGCCAGGACATGGCGGGGTAAGGGCCACACAGGTTGGCGGCTCAGCTGTGGCCCCGCCCAGCACTTGAAGCACAGCTGCCTTCCTCTCCCAGCCCAGTGTCCTCAGCAGTAACGGGAGCTAATGCCATCTGCCATCTGCGCTCAGCACAACCGTTGCAATATGGTGCAGAGCTCAGCACAACACCCGGCACATAGTAAGAGCTCAGTTAACACTGGTTGCTAACTATTTTACTTTACCATTTTTAGACATATTGAGTTCCAGTTGCCTTTGGTTCTGAGATAACCTGAATGCACAAGTGTTCTACCAACAATGTGATGATGGTCACCACTGAGTCACACAAAACCCAGGGTGGTAAAAAGCGGGGAGGTCATTGCACCATTTTCACAGACGGGAAAATCAAGGCTCAAGAGGTGACTGATCAAGTGTCACAGCCTCCAAGTGGCAGAGCTAGGGCTAGACCCTGAGTCTCTCAAGACACTGAAATACTTCCCACCATCCCCCAACACACCCAAACCACACATCCTGAGTTCATCTGGGCCACGCCTGGACCCCTGTCCCCAGTACTGAGACCCAGGCCCAGTCCACGTTCAGCCCGGAGCAAGTCTGTGGAATGATAAAGTGTTGCGGATCCAAAAAGTGATGGAAATAATGGACATCCTCTCTGTGGAAAACGCCCACGTGGACACGTACACAACCTCATGCACACTGCAGGGGACTCACAGCCTGGCCACAGTCCCCCGCCGGGGCTCTCAGACGCTTCAGCCGATGCACCAGATCCCTGGTGTAGCCTCCATGAGTCATCCAGAGGTGACCTCATCACACACACACCCAGCTGCTGGGTGAAAAGGGGGCCCCACTGGGCCTTCAACCCCAGGAACCTAAGACCATCACCCCCACTCAGTGCTGCCCCTGGGCACGCGGCCCCACCCAGCCTGTGGTCACTGCTGCTGCCATCCCCAAAGGGCAGGAGCCGCCGGACGCTGCCGCCAGTCTACTCCACCTGATGAGCGTTGCTTGAGTTTCAAAACGAGAACATTTATTATTTGTTTTTTCCTCATTAAAGTTTCACAAATAAAGCACAGCAAGACTTGTCTGCAGACACACAGGAGGCACACGGACAGCCCGTCAACCAGAGATGGAGACGAAGGCCAGCGTGGCTCTCACAGGGCAGCGCTTCTCAGAACCCCTGGCCCCCCTCGTGCCAAGGCTGGCCTGTGTCAGGCCTCGCCCACGCCGCCTTATGACAAATAGAGGCCGGTGCCAAGGAGGTGGCTACAGAGCAGGGGCAAGGAAGTTATCCTCATGTTCTGATAATGACCCTGCAAATCCCACCCCACCCTCAGGCACCTCCGTCTAAGGTGTCCGGTTACTCCAGGTAAGGAGGTTCCCAGGAGGGCCGTGTTTTCCCTAGGGCTGATGAAACTTGCTCCGACAAGCCAGGCCACTGGGAGGCACCTCAGGATGGAAAAGATGCTGGAGGCTTTGCTGGCTTTCAGGATGCCGGGAGCCCCACGGGGGCAAAAGGGGAGGAAGGAAAGCGATTCTAAAGACAGATTGCTGCTGGTCTGTCCCGACCCAGGGTCACAGTGTCAGCAAAGAGAACAGCATGATTCTGACAGGGTTGGATTTTGTTTCACCCTCGGAATGAGCAGACTTCAAACACTTGCATTTTCACGGAAATCAACAAGAGAGACAGCTAGCAGGACACGAGGCTCCTGCCAGTTCTGTGTGGAAAGGCACCAGATGGTTTGTTATGAAACACATTTTGGTCAGAAAATAGCTGGGGTTTTTTGGTTCCTGGGAGGACAACAAAGCTAGAAGAAAAGGAGGTGTGAGTTGCGTGAGGAGGAGGCAGAGAAGAAAGCAGCTTTGGCATCAGACCTGGGTTCTACTCTTCACTCTACCCCTCCACGCTTGAGGCCTGTTTCCTCATCTGTAAAGTGGTCATAGAATATTTCCAAATAAATCTAGGTGTCAGGTTTCACACATCATCCCAGGAAGTATGGGGAGGCGGGGCGCAGACACTCAAACGGACACACAGAAACCAGAGGAAGAGCACAGCCTTGCGTGGAGGGGAGAAGGCAGGCAGGGGCCCGACGGAGGGCGGTCACAGAGATGATCCCCGTGTCAGTCCCTGGGAGCAGGGAGCAGCCAGTTACACTGGTTCCAAGCACAGGTGGAGACCATCCACGGGGACCTTGGGCCCCTTCTCCTGGAGGAAGGGCAGAAGGAAAGCTGGACTCAATGCAGCACCATGGAGGAGCCCTCAGGGTCACACCTGCTGTTAATGCTTTAAAGTGCCAAGCTGTATCGTCTTTGGTCAGGAGCTGCCCCTTAGTCTCTAAGAGCCTGGGGTCCAGGGCTCAAACCCCCGCCTGCTGGGCCCTGAGGAAGCAGAGCAGGAGGACACATTCCCCTTCTGCGGCTGTGGGTGCTCTCCTGTGCTGGGGGGTGGGGGGAAAAATCACTGAAATCCAACAGCTTTCAGGAAGCAGGATGCCCCCAGGGAAATTTGGGTCCTTAGAAAGAGAGAAGGGACTAGAAATGCTTTGGTCACAGTCCTGATACCCACAGCCAGGGCAGAGCTTGCTCCAGGAGAGCAAGCGGGAGCCGATTACAGCACTGCACATGTCACGCAGCAGGAGACGTGCCTGACGCAGACTGGCTTCTGAGCATAAGCCAGAAGTCACTGAATAAATATTCAAGGCATCTTTTGGTTCTCAGAGAAAGAGCAGGGCTTAAAAGAAAAATCTCTCCCCTGCCTGACTGGCTGCAGCTCTGATCTTCAGGCTGACAATGCTGAGGGCTGGGAGAGGTGGCAGGCGGGCCCCAGAACTGGCTCCCCCGCAGCAGGTGGCTTTGGTCCATCACGTGTCAGGGCCGCTTGTGTCCGGCTGGCCCCGGGCCCTCAGAAGCTGAAGAGGTCATCCTGCTCTGTGCCGCTGCTGTCAGGCTTGTCCCAGTCGACAGGCGAGAGGCACTGGGCGTAATGCATGTCCTGGGCTGTCAGGCCAGTGTCCAGGACCTGAGGGTTTGTCCGAGACTGGGCAAGCCTGGAAGGCAGAGCTGTGTGAGCCGAGAGCCTGGGTGAGGGCTGGCGCGCCCCAGGGTCAGACGCGAGGGGGCACCAGTGGGGAACAGCAGGGCACATGGCCCAAGAAGGAAGCCCCCGGTGCAGGGGAGGTGGAGTAACCTCAGATCAAAGCACCTCCCCTTGAGAGTCAAACAGCTCAGAAAAGTCAGGGGCAGCCAGCGGTGCACCCACCCCCGGGAGAGGCCAGAGCACCCACTCTGTGCCCCAGCTCAGTCAGGACATGCCCAGGAAAGAGGAGAAGGGGCTGGTAAAGGGAGCAGCGGGGGTGGGGGTGGGGTGGGGAACAAGCTGTGGGAGGGAACACGGAAGATTCTTTGGCTATAACTGTGTCAACACCGTGCTGTTCGAAAAATAAATTTACAAAGGGAGACAACCTACATGTCCAAAAGAATAGGGGAGAGTCAAGTAAATTATAGCAGCTTCCCTTAAGAGAATGTTAGGCAGTCAATGGAAGAGGTGTTTACGAGGAGCTTTTAACAGCCTGGAGCAATGCTTCTGACACATCGCTGTTAAGTGAAAAATCAGGATCCCAAAATGCAAATACGATGAGCTGATCAATGCAAAATAATGTATATGTATAGGATTAGCATGAATTAAGCCCAAAACTCTGGGCTGTGGGATTACAGGATGGTGTTACTTTCTGTTTAATGCTTTGCTGATTTTCAAAATTGTTAATAAAGGGCACATGATGCTCAAAATAATGTGGAGAAAGCAAACAAAAGATTTTCTTCAGAGGGCAGGTGTCGTCAGCCAGTGAGGCAGGGAAGGTGTCACTGTCGCCCTCGCCCCAGGCTGGACCAAGGGGTTTCCACTAGTCCCTGGCAAGAAGGAGGCAAGGAAGAGGAAGGAGGAGGCAGGAGGGCAAAGACCCTGACTCTGTCCCCACCCGCTGGACCAAAAATCGCTGACTCCAACCCCAAACAAAGCCCCTGATGTGGGAGGGCTGTAGGAGGCTGCTGAGGGTCTCAAGTGAGAAAGGGAGGCCTGACAGACGGGGACCCAGGGCTCGGAACCCTGACCTGCCCAGGCCTCTCCTCAGCCACAGCCTTCTCAGTGGCATGTCCCCAAGCTGCAGGGGGCCACAAGGATGGCCCCTGGGAAAACGGGGAAATGCCACCAAAGGCTATACCAAAACACCTCCTCACTGTGCCTGACCTTCCCTGCTATGGAACGCTTCACGAGCTTCATTAAACACTTTCTCCCTTCCCCTGTTCATAAACACAGACCTGTGGAGGGAGCAAAGCCTGTAAAAAAAAAAAAAAGCCCATTTTTGAAGGCCACGCCTCCTCAAGTCGGAGGAAATCAACTTGAGCTGCAGTGTGTTTCGCTCACCTCAGACTGCGGCAGAGCAGCCACCAGGAATAGTTTTTGACTCAACAGTAAGAACTTTCTAACAGCTCTGGACAACGCTGGAAGGGGTTTCCTCCCCAGTGAGCTCCCTGCCCCTGGAAGCATTTGAGTGGAGGGATGGGACTGTTGCTCTGGAGGGGGTCTGAGTGGCTTGTGTTCTTAATCAGGGGAAAGGTCCCCAGGAGAAAGGGCAGCAGGGCCAGCCCACGCACACCAGGCCCCCTACCCAGCACAGGAAGCTAGCATTACCTCGAAAACGCTTCATCCAGGCCATCATCCAGCTCCTTGGGGAAAACAAAGCAGGAGATAAGAACTATGTTTGGGGGAGCCCATGCTCACAGCTGGGGCTTGTCCCAGCCCTGGGTAAGCTACAGGGACTCAGGACACAAGCTCAGGGTGGGCGCCTGGAGGCACGGCCTCAGGCAGGCCTCCTGCCTGGGTGCATCGCCAGCATCTCAGCCCAAGGACCCAAAGCTGGAGACGTGGGAGAGGAGAAAGGCCATGTCCCAGGGTGTCTGGAGACCCAGGTGGGTTCAGTGCCCTGGTCCATGCTACCTGCCCGTGAGACCTTGGGCAAGTCACTGCTCCACGTTGAAACTCAGCTTTTCCTTCAATAAGAGGAGGGCATTGGACCTGATGACTTCTATGGCTTTCAAATTCCAAAAGGAAGAGGGTGGGGAAGGGAGTTTTCTTGCCTTCATTTACTTCCAAAAGCCAAGCCAAAATTCCAAGTTCATGAGGGATAACTGATGCCAGGAGTCCCACAGCCTCAGCAGAAAAGCGACAGGTGAGGTCCCTCCATGGCCTTCTGGTGAGGATGGGCAAGTGGCAAGGGTGGTTCCCAAACAGCAGAGAACAGGCTCGAGGGACACCAGGGGAGCCCCCAGTACCCAGATTTTTAAAAATTAAAGAGACGACAAGTTAACATGTGATTCTGCAATGGATCCTGGGCCAGAAACAGGACACTGAAGGGGCACCTGGAGAAATGTGTAAGTTCTATAGATTATATAACAGCACAGTATCGTGTTTGTTTCCTGATTCTGACCAGTGTAATGTGGTCATGCAAGATGTTAACAATTGGGGAATCTGGATGACGGGTGAACAGGAATTCTCTGTACTAATTTTGTAACACAGTCTGAAATTATTTCCAAATGAAAAATTAAAATTAAATTTCAGGTTCCTCGGGGAGATTCCGTTGGCAGAGGTCATCACCCTTACTGAGATGAAAAAGCTGAGACAGAGAGGTCAGGGGGCTTGCCCTGAGTCCCTGAGGGAGTCAGGGACCAAGCTGGTGACTGCCCAAGTCTCTGGGTCCTCATTCAGGCGGCTGAGGGGGAGGGGTGGTAGGAGCGAGCTCTGCCACACCAAGAACAAGGGCGCCTTTGGCTGGTCTTGTGGTGGGCAGAGCCGTGGACGCTCAGGCCAAGAGGCCAAGCATTGTGAGGAGACAGCTGTGCTGGGAGCCAAGCCTGTTGGGGATGCAGCCTCAGGTTCAAAAGGGACATTGTTCATCCCCTATCCTGCGCCTGGGCACTACCGGGCTGGGTCTGGTCCTCCCAGAGGCCCACAAGTCACGGGTCCCAGGGCCTGGTCCCTGGAGCAGCCCCAGGCTCACCCAGAGGTCAGGCTGAGGATCACCGATCTGCTGGCCACACAACCACTCACCCAGACAACACTGCTGCCACTCAAGGCTTGTGGCCGCGGCACCTCGTCCATGTTGGTGGTGTTGGCGCTGACCGTGGACAGCGGGGCCTTAGCTGTCTCCTCTAAGTCCAGCAGGTTCCCAGTGGCGACCACTGTGAGGGATCCGGTCAGGTTGTCAGTGGGAGATCAGCCTCTTCCTTCCTGGCCCCCTCCCTGGGCTGTCCTGGCCCTGACCCTCCCCTCTGATGTGGCCTTGCCCAGGCCTCCCAGCAGAGCCCGGCCCTGGCACCTCCCCACAGCAGATGCGCAGCTGCCCACAGAGTGAGAACCTGACTAATGGCTTAGACTGAAACTTTTGTATTCACAATAGTTAAGTTTTCTTAAGCAACCACACAATACTATGTTAAGTATATAGAAAGATAGACGCATATTTATATATTTGCATAGGGACATATCTAGAAGAAAATGTACTAAAATGAGTTATTTCTTCCCCTTATCTACATTTTCTAATTGATCTGTAATGAACGTGTATTATTTATTTAACAAAACACAAGTGAAAAACCAAGAGGCTCTCCCAGCCCAGGCAGGAGTGGGACCCCCCTGGGTGAAGCGCAACCCCAACACCGCATGGCCAATCCCCCTTCCCCGTCAGGACTCACAGCTCTTCAAGGAGGGGGTGCAGTCTTGGCGGGCCCCCAGGACGTCCCCTCCCTCTTGGCTGGCTTTGTCCCTCTTCTCTTTCTCTGCAGGACCAAGGCACAACATGTTGGAGCCTCAGACCCCAGCACTCTGTCCCCAGCAATCACCGGGCAGGGGTGATTAGCGGTGGCCAACCTCAAGGGGCAGTTTCAGGTTTCCAGCCGGGAGGAAAGAAACCTTTCGGATGTCAGTTAATCCTCACAAGCACCTTTGGGGAGGGAGACGGCTGTTCCCATTTTTCAGATGGGAAAACCGAGACTCTGAGCGGTGAAGGGACCTGCTCACAGTCACAAGCCAGGTGGGTGATGAGGCAGGAAGTCGGTCCAGGTCTGACCCCAGGGCCTTTATGTGTCTCCCCACCTCCCACCACACCCACAATGTAGATGCAAAGTCTCACCTTCCTTGGACACCTGCCAAAACTCAAAGGCGACTTTGAAGGCCTGGGCTACGGTGAGGGTAACAGCCTGTGCCTGAAAACAGGAAGTGGGGATGGGGAGGGGTGCAGTGTCAGCCAGGGCAGAGCAAGTCTGCACTGGAGGGCTGGGGCCTCCAGGCCAGGCCCCCTGGCTCCCTCCCTGCAGCTTCTGCAGCTCCATCCCAGGCTCTGGAATGCCTGCTGGGCAGAGCAGGGTCCTGGCCCTTCCCAGGTCTCCAAAGCAGCCTGGGGTGTCATAAGGCCATAGCCTCGCAGAGGCAGTAGAGTCCCCATCTTTACTATCTCTGGCCCCACCAAAGTTCTCACTCTCACTCTAGGGCCCCTGCCTGCAAAGGCTGTTCTTCTCCAGGTCTTTTCCTTCCCCTTTGGGCTTCCCTGAATTCAATGAACTGTGAGGCTTACTTCCTCCAAGAAACCCTCCCTAATTACCTGTGGACTTAGCCCTTGGAATTGGAGAACAGAAAAGCCAGAATTGGAAGGGCCCAGCCATTGCCCCAAATGAGCCACAGCCAGAGAGGTGAAAGTTAGGTTCCGGTTGGGACCATAACTGGATCCCACAAAGAGAGTAGAAGGCTTGTCAATTTCCTGATAGGAGCAAGATGTCAATGAAGGCCCGGGGACCAAAACCGGTCAGTGCTATAACCCACCTGTAAGGAAGGGCCACACCTCGGCCCTTCACCCCAGGGGAACTCTCCCTCACCCCTCCAAACCCAACTCAGATGTCACCACCTCTCCTGTCACCAGTCCCAGACTCCTCGAGCCCCACCCACCTCCCTCTGGCACTATGCATGTGAAAGTGTCACTGGCTCCCCTGCCTGTGTTTCCCCCAGCTTTGTGCACCCTAAAAGCAAGAATCAATCTGAACACCCCTGCCCTCGGGAGCAGGCCAAAGCCTCCCAGAGGTGGCAACAATGCTGGGTGAATTACATTCACCTGAGGTGCAGGCCTCATTCCACCCAGGACCTATCCCCAGCCCATATTCATCTCAACACCTTCCTCTCTCAGCCATTCCAGTCCAGGGTTAATCAGCTCAGCTTCTGGGAGTGGAAGTCCCAGAGTTCGTAGCTATAGCCGGAAACATCTAGCTTCCTTCTGAAGCCCTGGCTGAGAGAAGAAAGCACCAGCCTCTTTCAAGTCTACAAGTTCAGGCCTCACCAGCCTCAGCCCCGCTCCCTGCCCTCCCCCAGACAACTCAATTTAATTGAGAAATGGACCTGTGGCCACTGCCTTTAAAACTCCTTTTAAAAAAATATTTAAAATTCCTAAACAAACTGACTGATCCGTGCCAATTACACTTCACGAAAGTATAAAACCTCATTTGAATGTCTCCAACATTTACATTTTTGATGGAAGTACAGGCACTTTATGGCAAAACTTAAATATGGTAATTAAGTATGAAACTCTTCGCAGCTGTTTACAATTTAAGCTGTCATATCTGAATCAAGTTTAATAGACCCAGTTACCATTGAGAATTGCCCATGAACTAAAAATATGGGCTAATTACCAGCCCAAGTCAGATCACTATCCACCCAAGCAAGGGCTGGACACCCAATGTGGCAGGGATATGAAAACGCCATTATTTAAGCCTGCTGGAAATCTGGAGACACAAGCTTAGACTGTAGTTGCATAAATCTGATTGTTCACTTGCATACATTCCTACCTTTTTGCCCTGAAGTCCCAAGCTGTAAGTTAAACTGAATACAACCCAAGAGGTGGATGTGTGCAGGTAGCTGCAAGCCCAGGCTGGGCAGGGACTGGGAGTGGGGTGGGCCCTGCTTCCTGGGGTGGCTGCAGGGATCCGAGGACCAGCATTAGGTGGAGGGACTGCTCAGGCCTGCCCAGGCGGGATGCCCACCCCTCCTGACTGCCTCTGGCCTTCGGGTCTGCCTTATTATCCTGAGTGGATGCTACCTTGCCCAGTTTTTCACATTCCTTGTTCCCAGGAACCAGGCTGCTCATGGCTCAAAAGGGGCCAGAAACTCAAACCAAGACAGCCACATGCCCCCCAGCAGCCCTGCTGCCCCAGAAGCAAAAACCTTGCACAAGGATCACTCCAAGATGCCAATGGTCATGGGGGAGGGAGCAGCCTGGCCCCGTGCTGCCTGGGTGGAAATGGGGGTAGCACTTTGCTTACCATCAGCCCAGGCCCAGCACCTGCATGACACCTTCACTTTGGAGCCCAGAGGCCTCCCGGTTGGGCAGATGGAAGGGATTCCCTGGAGGAACCCTATGCTGGCTGTGCCCAGCAGCACCAGGGAGGGGAGACCTGGGGTGGCTGTGCTGCCCCAGAGTTGAACGGACTGGTGGGTGATGTAGAAAGGAGCCTTTCTCCCCCAACCTCAATGGGTCATGAACTCATTCCGGCAGCCCAGCCAGGAAGAGTAGGGATGTGGAGGCCCCCAGCCACAATGACTGACGTTTTGTCAACATCCCGATTCAAGGCCCTCAACATCCTGATTCAAGGCCCTCAACATCCTGATTCAAGGCCCACTGCAAACGGAAGCTGCCTCACCACCCACCCCAGGGGAACCATTTCACTTCGCCCCTCTGCGTTTGCACGTGTGTTAATCCCATGCTGGTGTGCACTCCCCACCCACCACCCCACCCCCTTCTCTCGGCCTGGCAAACTCCTCCTGGCTCCTCAGCCTTCAAAGCCCCATTCAAGGTGTCTGTCTCAGGGAAGTCTCACTGACTCTAACTTCAGGGAAGTTAGTGAGATTTACTACCACCCCAGAACTAAGCCCCCCTGGGTTCCAGGTACTGATGCTGGGCTGTTCTCTACCGCCTTGGATGTTTTCTCCATGGCTCAGGCCAGGACAGACGGTGCCAAACCTCTGTGGCGGAGCTGCCAGCAGGTGCGGAGGCTGACGCAGCTATTCCATCTCCTGCCTCCCCCAAGAACACTTCCACTTAGCCCAAGAATCTAGGATTTCCAACATGTCTAGGCCACCAACACACTGTCAGCCTGGGTTGGGCTAAGACCTTGAGGTAGCAGGTGATGTATTTACACCATGCTGGGCTGCGCTGTCTTGGAGAGGGCTCCGCAGGGCCCCTGAAGCAGGGAGGCCAGGTAGCAAAGGGTAGGGAGATGGATAAACCACTCCAGCCATCAACCCAACCTGAGAAGAATACACTAAGAAAGATGAAGAGTTTGGGTGTCTGGCAGGGGCCCTTCTGCTGCCTGGTCAGGGCTCTGCAGTCAGTGGCTGAGCAGCGGCCTGGCTCTGTTTTCCTCGTAACTGACCTCATGGCCTGAGGGTAGGCTGATTTCACTCAAGTCTGTGTGAAGTTCTCTGACCACAGGCCAGGTCTCCCTTGTAAGAGCTGGGCCTGCACCTCTCTCTTACTCCCAGACCCCTCATCCCAGAGGAAGCCTCTGCACCGTCGAAGGCCCCTCCCACCCAGGGCCAGCTGTCCCTGCCCAGGGCCTGCCCTGGTCAGCGGGCAGGAAGAGATGAACAATGGGGACATAAGGAGCTGTATTTTTAAGTCTGTGTGGCCTCCTAAAAGACAAAGCCACGAGTCACATCTGTGGGAACTCACAGGAGATGCCACAGCAACTTGGAGCCCTGGGACCTCACGAGGCAAGTGGCCAGTGACACTGAGTCTGCAGGAAAGAAACAAGGTGTTCAAAAGAACCCGGGGCCTTTCAGAACAACCCTGGAGGTCACTGAGGCAACCTTCTCATTCTGCTGATAGGCAAGCAGCCCAGAGAAAGGCAGGATCTTCTCCAAGGTAACACAGCAAATCAGCCAGGAGACCGCTAGACTGTCTCCTCCTACAGTGCCTCTTCCATGACACCTGTGGTGGGCTGAATCGTGTGTCCGCCCCCAAGATGTCCACATCCTAATCCCTGAGACCCGTGAATGCTGCCTTACACAGCAAACGGGCTTTACAGAAGTGAGTTAAGGATGTGGCGATGGAGATTATCCCAGATTACTCAGAGTGTCCAAATGTCATCAGAAGGAGTGCTGAGCGGGGTAGGAGAGTCAGAGCTAAAAGCAGCAATGTGACGATGAAATCAGGAGACCAGAAGATGCTACATTGCTGGCTCGGAAGATGAGGACAGGCCCACAAACCTGGAAATGCAGGTGATCAGTCTCTGGGAGGTAGAAAAGGTAAGGAAATGGATTCCCCCCAGAACCTCCAGAAAAAAACACAATCCTGCCGACCTAGTTTAGACTCCTGATCTACTTCTGTCACAGAATACATTTTTCTTCTCCATAAGAGAATACATTTGTGTTTTAAGCCACTAAATTTGCGATCATTTGTTACAACTTACACAATATCTAAAGTGTGTCCTGATGGGCAGCAGGAAGCCTGGGGACCACAAAGACTGTGATGTACCTGACATGTCCTTTGATGACAGGGGAGGGAAGGGGATCTTGTCTCCTAGGTTCCAAGGGCTATAGGGCATGGGGACTGGGGCTCAGAGCTGTCAACAGAGGTTAACAGGTGTCAATGCTACATCAATGGATGTCAGGAAGCACCTTATAGGGAGAATGCTCAGATCCTGGGGGTCTCAGAAACAAAAGCTGCAATGCCAAAGGTTGACCCACTCCACTTCTTGCCCCCAAATTCAGGACAAATCCCCCGTGACCACCAAGGTTCCCACTCATCCCAGCTAAGATGTGGTCAGGGGGTGTCCTGGAAATGAGACAAGGAGCTCTGAACTCCCCAGTCACGCAGGGAGGGGAAGAAACGTGGGTTTAAACCCCCACTCTAACCCTGACAGCAAGATAGCTGGCCTCTGGGAGTCTGTTTCCTCATTAAAACTTTAAAAAAAAGAAGAAAAAAAAATGGAGAGAGTAACAGTTGCCACCTTGCAGAGCCGTGAGAATTAAACGAGTGAAGACCTGGAAGCCTAGCACTAGAATGCACACACAGGAGGCACCGAGAGACGGTCACTGTCCTCCACACTCTGGTCACAGCTGGAATGAACTCACAGGAGGCACCAAGAAACAGCCATTGCCCTCCACACTCCAGTCACAGCAAGCCTGGTTCTCTGACGGCTCTCGCCTTTGCCTTCCACCCTAGGCCCCCCTGATCTCCCATTTCCGAGGACCAATCACCAGAAGGCCCTGCATCCCTAGACCATATTAAAGACAGGAGATCCAAAACAATCTCAACCCAGCAAATCCCGTTACAGAGAGAACAGGCCCAGACACACACTGGGGACATGGGCCAGCTACTGCCCACACAAAGCTGACCGGCGGTTCACCTGCCTGCCTGCAGCCCCACCACTGTACCCCTTAGCTCTCGGCACCCACTTGGGGTTCCCAGAGATTTCACCCTCTTCTTAAGTAATGGTCACCTTT
This sequence comes from Homo sapiens, assembly GCF_000001405.40. Classification (NCBI taxonomy): domain Eukaryota; kingdom Metazoa; phylum Chordata; class Mammalia; order Primates; family Hominidae; genus Homo; species Homo sapiens. Next base: position 25,557,359 of record NC_000001.11, on the reverse strand, counting down.
GGGTCCTGCCTCCCACACCAGACAGCCCCCCACCCAGAGCAAGGCTGCCAAGGCCACTGGACCCTGTCCCCGCCCCAGCCCTCCCCGCTGACCATCTTCCGCTTGGTGCAGAGGAAGGCGTGGCACTCGAGGCTCTGGTTGTGCTGGCTCTGGGCGATGTATGCAAACACCTTGTCGTGCATCTTGTCTGCTGTGCAATAGGAGATCCTGAAAGGCAAGGAGGAAGCATCACCAGACCTGGCACAGGGGCCTGAGCACATGTGGGAAGCCCTGCAGGGCAGCTCCCCTGAGTTGCAGAGAACCTGCTATTCCCACTCCACCAGGGCAGACTCTGGGAATCCAGCCTTGGCCTCCAGGCTGGGTACCTAGGCCATCTGTGCAGGAGGGGCCCAGGCCAGGCAGGAAGGAAGGAATGGGGTAAAGACTGGAAGCAGGGCACTTCCCCCTCTCCCTCCCATCCCACACTGAGCCACACCCCAAAACAGTAATAGCTGAACCCTTACCACATACCAGGCAATGTGCCAAGAGCTTTCTAGACCTCACCTCATGTGATTCTCAAAGCTACCCTCTGAGACGGGTTCTATCACTATCCATGTTTTTCAGATGAAGTAAACTGAGGCTAAAGACCTGAGCCCAGACCTGAACTCACTTGTAGGACTCCAGAGGCCATGACTGCCATGCTGCCTCTTAAGGCTGTGTGCCAACTGGCCAGAAGGGGAAGCAGAAAGCAGGACACTCCCCTGCTCACCAATGCCCTTCACCTGGCCTCCCCCACCCCACCTGCCCTCCGATCCATGCCCCTGCCCAGAGGTCTGGTGAGATTCAGGTCCATCTCTCTCAGGGTGACTGGGACACTTGCAAGTTCTGGAGCTGTGGCCAGGGGTGAAGAGCTGGGAGTAGGGGTGGGGTGCGTGTGTGACGAGGACCCAACAAGGAGCCCCAGTGGGCCCGGGAGGAGACACACAGCAACTCCCTCTGCATGGAGCACCCTCTCTGCCCCCAGTCGCACCTGTAACCTAGGGGCCACCCGAGCCCTCGGCCTCCCACCCTCCCTCACTTGTCTGGTCCCTCCTCGTTGCCTCCAGTCAGCCTCAGAGTCTCAATCGGGGAGGGGCCGGTAGCCCAGAGGTGGGGCAGGAGCACCACAGACTCACCCCTCAACCCAGAGGTGGGACAGGAGCGCCATAGACTCACCCCTCAACCATGTGGCCCCAGCTTCAATCACAGGCATCAACACCCCGGTGGGCAGAGCGTGAAGGTGTTAGGTCCCTGCCTACCTCTTCTCCATCCCAGGGGGTCCAGCTTCCTGCTCTAAATGTTACTGGGTCCTTGGTAACAACAAACTAGATCCTATTATTCTTCAAGCCCCAGCAAGGTGCCGCCTCCCCTGGGAGGCCTTCCGGGATTTCCCCAGGCAGATCTCCTCCTTGCCTTTTTGGAACACTATGCTCTATCTCCTGTTTCCTCCCGACTATACCCAACTAGAGTGGAAGCTCCTTGAGGGCAATGAGCAGGATTGGAGTCCTCATCTGGCACAGACGTTGGCAGAATAGGTATCTGAAACTGTTGACTAAAGGAAGGCAGGTATGATCAGGCCGGTGAGAGGAAGACATCAGCCAGACCCCCACAACACACATCTACTGACCCTACTACTGGCCTGTGCACCAACGGGCTGAGCCATCTGCTTAGAGACAAAGCAAGAGGGTGGAGGGATGCCAGGCAGACGGGAGCCTGCTGGACAGGGCTCTGGCCCGGATATCCTAGTTCCAGTTTAGCTACTACCTCACTGTGCAGCCTTAGGCAATTCCCTCTCTGGGCCTCAGCTTCTCCATCTGTAAAATGGACCTGAGCTGTCCCTTCCAGTTCTGAAAAACTACAACTGACCAGCCGAGAGAGGTGGGGATAGTCTGAGGCTCTAAGGGCTGACCAGAGGACCCACTAGAGAGACCATCTATACTCTGACTTCAGACCTTGGCTGAGGCCTCCCTGGAATGTCTGGCCAGATACCCAGAGCTGAGCTGCTGCATTCACAGCAGAAGGAAAAGGCAGTGACTCTGCAGTTCTCTGCTCCAAGCCCGACTCAGCGGCATGCTGGTGGGGAGTAGGGGGGAAGGGCACGGGTGGGCTCAGCTGTCTTCTGCAACTGGTGATGATGACAGCAGCAGCTGCCACTTAACCAAATGCTCATCATGAGCCAGGTGCCGTGCACTCCACGTTTCCTAACAGCGCTGTGCAGCAGGATCTGTTCCCACCCCCATTTTACAGATGAGGAAACTGAGGCTCCAATGTCACCCAGGTAGGAAGTGGTAGAGCCTGGATTCAGATGGGATACTCCACCCACTGCCCCAAGTGGCAGAGTGGATGGGCCAACCCCATGCTGAGCGTACCTGTATATGGACACGTTCTCAATGAGCTGGTTGGTGAGGTTGTCTGTCAGGATAATTCCCCGTGGCGACACCTTCAGAGTCACCTTCTGCAGCTTCTTCCCACTGGCCTTAGCCTTGGGAGCAGACAGGAGTCAGAGGAGTCTGCCAGCCTCACTTGAGACCCACCCTCATGGCTTACACTTCACTGTTCCTAAGCCCCAGGCACGGGGCCCATCTCAGCTCAGGTGACTGGCAGCAGTGTGGGCAAGACCACTCAGCCAGCACCTTCTTGCAATAGAAACAGGAGCAGCATCTGCTGAGCACCAGCTATCTGTCAGGCACCGTGGACCTGGAGTCATCCTCCCTCTCCCCAGAGATGGACTCAGAGAGGCTAAGGGACTTACCCAAGGACACACAGCTAGAAGGGCCTGCAGACTCGGCACTGAATGAGCTAGCACAACCCAGCAGGATGACTCCTGAGTACTCTGCTCCATCCATTGAGCTGAGGGGTCTGAGGCCACCAAGGGAAGTGGATTTAAAAGGCCCACCCTTGCTCAAAGTTAGGGAGGGGGCAATCTGCTCTCTGATGGGCTATGCTGTCTCTCAGGCCATTGGGCAGGTAGTCAAGGGAAAGCAAACTCCCCACCCTTCCTGGTGCTGATAAGTCACCAATGCATTGGTAGGGAGCCTGAGCTGGGGGTGGGGAGGCTGGAAGAGGCCATAATGGCTGGAGGGAAGCCACTAACCGTGACCTTGCAAGTCCAATGGTTCCCCTCTGCCAAGGCCCAAAAGCTGGATGGAAGGAGAATGAAGGGCAGGGCCAGGCTCAGACACACCCAACTGGAGTAACAAGCTGGGACGAGGGCACCCTGGGAAGAAGCTGGTCCTTGGTCCCTGGTTCCCCCACCCTTCCTGACTGGGGTGCTCACTGTAGCCACGATCCTCTTGATGGCGGCGGCCGACAGCTCCTCACCCTTGGGCTGCTCCACTAGCGTCATGCCCAGGTACTTGAGGCTGAACAGCATCCCCTCCAGCAGCGTCTCCCGCGTGTCTGTCCAGTTCTCAGGCAGCTCTGGGGTAGCACAGGGTAGGCCCTCAGACCCTGCGGCTCAGGGCCCACCACCAGCAACAGCTCTCACCAGCCTTCTTTCCTAGGAAACCCCAGCAAGGGGGATGGGGGTCTCCCCCACCACTACTGCCACTCTTTTTTTTTTTTTTTTTTTGAGACTGAGTTTCACTCTGTCACTCAGGCTGGAGTGCAGTGGTGCGAGCTCAGCTTACTGCAACCTCTGCACCCCAGGTTCAAGCGATTCTCCTGCCTCTGCCTCCCGAGTAGCTGGTCTCGAACTCCTGACCCCAAGTGATCTGCCCGCCTCAGCCTCCCAAAGTGCTGGGATTACAGGCATGAGCCACCGTGCTGGGTCTGCTGTCACTTTTAATAAAGGGCTAAAGCTTTCCGGCACATACCAAGGCTCCATGTAAGCAGCTTTACATAAAATGTTCTCATTAATCCTCCTAAGAACCTATGAGGTCAACGCTTTAATCAAACCCATTGACAGACAAAGACACGGAGGCCATGGAGGCTCAATCACATAACCAAGTCCAGAGAGCCAGGAAGTGCAAGAGCCAAGTTTCGAGCCCTATTTTCAAGCCCTGAGCCCTCTTTACTTCAATGCTACCACTTGCTGAGGGCAAATCATACCATTTCTTACTGAATCCTTAGTGCAATCCTGTGAGACAATGATTCTACAGATTAGGAGACTGAGGCTCAGGGAGGCAAAGTCATGAGATGAAGGCCACATACAATGAGTCGGACTTCAACCCTGAGCGGTTCCCATGGCCCCAGCCTGCACTGCTTTCCTCCCTGTGCGCATCCGTAGAGACCAACAGGGGCATGTGGGAGGCTGGGCAGGAGACAGTAGCCCAGGGAGAGCAGGGAAGGGTAAGGGTGGGTGGGGAGAGGAGAAGGCGATTTCCCAAATCGGAGAAGGTTCGAGACCCACTCTGCTTCCCACCCCCTGGATGGTCCTAGGGAAGTCCCCTCTCCTCTTTGGGACTAACATTCCCCCCTCTCTGGGCTGTGACAATGGTGCAGAACAGAGTCCACAAGGAGAGTTCTCTAAAAGCACCAACCACACAAATGTCAGGAAATAAGGGGATGAGCCTGCCTCACTGGGTGGGCAAATGGACCAGGAGGGACACGTGGAAAGAGCGCCCCACCACGTAGGTGAGGGCCCCGTGGAGGCAAATGGGCATGAGGGCAAAAGCAGGCTGCACTGACAGTTTCTGACCATCCCCGGCTCCTCGGAAGGAGGACATGAAGAAAGATGAATGAACACCTCACACTTCCACCTGCCAGAGCCCCTTCCTGTCCCCTACCTCTCTGTCCCATTTTACAGAGAGGAAACCCTCACAGATGCTGTGCTTGTAGGAGGTGTTTGTTATGACTGCACCATTTTACAGATGAGAAAGAAAACTGCTCTTCAGCCTCACACACAATCTTGTTGAGGACAGAGCAGGATCCAGCCAGGAATCAGCTTCCAGGGGCCACGAGAGGTAGCCAGGGCCAGCTTCCCTAGACCATCCCCCAGGGAGGGGCTGGGAGATGTCCTGGGCCCTCCCTACCTCCTCCTGAGGCCTTCCTCACTGGCTCTGATTGAAAAGCCACAGGAAGAAAGTTTGGGTATTGCTAGTTCCAGGGCAGCTGAGGCTCTGGCAGGGATGTGGGCCCCTACTACAAGGCTCAGCTTGGTTCTGGAGTTCCGGCTCTGTCAAGAGCAGAAGTCTGGGTCCAGGTGGCATCACCAGGTCCCCTACCCAGTCTGGATCCCTGCTGCCCCTCTCAGCTCCTATCCTAGAGCCCTGGGCCTCCAGGGGCTCTGGTCCCCCTCTCCACAGCCAGAAGGAGCCTTGTACACCCACATTTCTCTGGATTTGCCTTGAGCAAGCCACTGTCCCTCTCTGAGGCCATTTCTTCATCTGAAAGAGGGTGCGGGTGTCAGGGCTGGGGAGGGTTATACAGGAACTTACAGATGTACCCAGTTCCCCTCATGTCTTGAGATCAGGTGAGCAGGGACTTACTGACTGTCATCTAGAACCTGGCATGCAGGTAGCGCTCAATACTCGCTCAAGGAAGAAATGACGAGGACAACCCCATCCCATCCCCAGCCCTGGCCCCAGGCCCAGTGACCCTCCAGCCCTAGATCTCATCCCTGGGCCTCCACCCCAACATGAGGCCAGGTCTCCACTGAGATGACCCCAAAGCCCAACATGACCTTATCCTCTGTCCCATCAACCACAAGCCTATTCCATTTGATCCTCCAAAAGAATGTGAAAGTCCCTGAGATGTCCCCAGTCCTGGGTTGAGTGATGGGGCCCTGGAGCAACTCAGACACAGACCCTGCTCTCAAGTTCAGAATAACAGCACCATCATCAGGGAAAAACAGCGCTTTCATATAACAAAGATGCAACAATAATAAAGCCATAGCTATTACCATCACCTCTAACACTCACAGCCACCTTGCAAGCAGGCATTCTCTCATTCCCATTTTACAGAGAGGAAACTGAGACTCAAAGGACTGACTCTAAAGCCCAAGCTCCTGACCATGAGACCATACTACTTTATCATGCAGCAAACTACCTTAATTCTAGCAAAAGATCAGGTTTTTGGAGGCGGAGGCATTTCTTCTCACCTGGAATTAGGTATTCCTAATACCTAAGGCTTCCCCTCTGCAGGCTAGGATACCCAGGCCACCAATTTCAACCTGAGACCCATCTAAGCAAGGACAGCAATGGAAAGAAGTGCTACTGTGCCTATGACCCGCACCCTTGGCAGACATTGATAATCAATTGCAGCTCTACTTCCCTCTGATCCTTTCTCAGCACAAGGCCCCAGGCAAGCAATACTAATTGATCAAGGTTTGAACATCTCATTATCCATCCCTACCCCTGGCAAACATTCTCCACTCTCCCTCTCCAGCCCCCATTTTCATGTCCCCATTCTCCCATTTCCTCTGGTTCAGCCCTTTCCTGGCCCCTTTCCAAAGTCACTTCCGCTCCCTCCATTCCAAAGAACCAAAGCCTGCCAAGGTCACTGGTGATCTCTCTGCTGTCAAAACATTCCCTAGTCCTCCCTGACCCCTGAAATGTTCAGCATTTTTCTGCATTCCTCCTTCCCTGGCCTGACCCTTCCCCTCCTCTAACCACGTCCTTACAGACTGGTTGCCACTCATCAGCCTTAGGCCCTCAGCTCAAGCCCCTCACTTGATGATACAACTGAAGCCCAGACAGGGATGGGACCTGTGCAAGGTAACATGGCAAGTCAGAGGGACTCTCCTCACCCCACCCAGTCCACTATAGACAATCCCCACAATGACCAGTGACTGTGAGGGAATTTTAAGTTTCCCCGTCTCTTCTCCCACAATATCCCTACATACCCCCTACCCCAAGAAGCTCCAACCATGCAGAGCTTCTTCCTAATAATGTAATATTTACTGTCTAACTTCTTTGCCTTTGCTCAAGTAGTTCCCTCTATCCTAAATGCCCTTTCTTCACTTGATCAAACCCCACACATCCAACCTCTTCCAGGAAGCCTCCTTTGAGGCAATATAGCCTCGTGGTTAACAGCAAGGCCTTAATCCTAAGATATCAGCTCCAATGCTTCATGTCTGAGTCATCTTGAGTGAGCTCATTACCCTCCCTGAACCTCAGTTTTTCATCTTTAAAATGGGGGAAACAACAGCTCTGACTCCTGGGGGCTGTTGTGACCCTTGGATAAGTTTATAGAATTTAGCAGAGAGGCAGGCCCATCGCAGTTGCTCAGTACACCTTCCAGTGGGGCCTCATCCCTCCTGTGGGCGGGCTGTTGGTGCCTTTCTTGACTGTAAATCTCTTCTTCCTCCTGCAGCCACACCACCCACTGCCAAGCACTGCCTACACGTCTCTTCCCTTTAAAGTACCTGCCATTCATGTCTGCTTCCCCAGGACCTGGCATGGAAGCGTGCGCCTGCCCAATGTGGCCGTCCAGTCTGGTCCTGTTTCTCCCTTGTACCCCATGTTCCCAGGCCCCACTGAGATGCTCCTTTCTCTCTAGGAAGCTGCTTCCCTCCTGTGGTCTGTGCACATGACTCATGTCTTCACTAGAGCGTAAGGCCCCTCATGCCCACACCCTCCCCACAGAAACCAGCACCTGGGAGCTCTCAGTGAAGGCCCATTGGTAGGGCTCAGGGCCACACCCGCCACCCGCCCTACTCGCCAGCCACAGCCGGAGGCCTTATTGCCGGGAGGAGCCCACGGCTTCAGGAGGTGCTCCCAGAGGCCCCTGGGCAAATACAGGCCTGAGTGCACAGCCCTGTTCCGGTCCTAGTTATTTTTGGCCCTGTAGTGGGTAATGACTGCGCTATTTTAACGTTGCAATTTTACAGATGACCTGCTGCTGGAGTTAGCTGGGGACAGACCATATGCCTGGTCTAAGGTCTAAATTACAGCTGTGAACACGTGTTCTTTCCTTGTTAAGGTCCCCCAACCACCCGGGAGTCAGAGCTGGGCTGAATGCCCTTGTGCCCGTTCTGCTGCTCCCAGAGACCCTGCCTGGCTGGTGTGTCTGCAACATCAGAGCTGCAGCCAAACCCAGGGGCCAGGGGAGCCTCCAACCGGGGCTCTGGCCTCCAGCCTCCCCCAGCCTGGTGGGGAGATGGCCTCAGAGGCCAGAGTGACAACATCTCAGAAGAGGGCTCAAGCTCTGCCCTGACCTGGAGTGTAGCTGCTTCTCTGGGCTGTAATTCTATCTGACAAATGGGTTCATCCCCTCAGGAGCGTCACCAGAAGTTTCTGGACGTGAAAAGTACTAGGAAAATTTCAGAAGTCAAAGCTGTTGAGATTGTTATCAAAAGAAAATAATTTTTAAAATGACAAATTGCAGCAGCTACCATTTCCTAAGTACCTACTTACACAGTAAGAGAAAAATATGCTATGGGCTGTGGAGTTCATAGTCACTGAACCTCCCTGGATCTCAGTGTCCTAACTTTAAAACAGGGACAAGACAGGCACAGTGGCTCATGCCTGTAATTCCAGTGTGCTAGGAGGCTGAGAAGGAAGGATTGCTTGAGGCCAGGAGTTCAAGACCAGCCTGGACAACATGGTAAGACCTCGTCTCTACAAAAAATAATTAGCTGGGCGTGGCAGTGTGCACCTGTAGTTCTAGCTACCCAGGAGGATCCCTTGAGCCCAGGAGGTCGAGGCTGCAGTAAGCTATGATCATATCACTGCATTCCAGCCTGGGCAATAGAGTGAGACCTTGTCTCAAATAAATAAATAAATAACAGGGACAATAGGAGTATCCACCTCAGCCAGGCGTGGTAGCTCATGTCTGTAATCCCAGCACTCTGGGTGGCCAAAGCAGGTGGATCACTTGAGGTCAGGAGTTCAGAACAGCCTGGCCAACATGGTGAAACACTGTCTCTACTAAAAATACAAAAAAATTAGCTGTGTGTGGTGGCAGGCGCCTGTAATCCCAGCTACTTGGGAGGCTGAGGCAGGAGAATCACTTAAACCAAGGAGGTGGAGGTTGCACTGAGCCAAGATCCCACTGCTGCACTCCAGCCTGGGCAACAGAAGGAGACTCCCTCTTAAAAAAAAAAAAAAAAAAAAAAAAAAAAAAGAGTATCCATCCATGGGGTTGTCTTGAGGATGAACTGAGTTCACACCCGAGGTGAGCTTAGAAGCTTGTCTGGTACATACCAAGTATCACAAGTGTGAGCTACTGTCATTACAGTGGTCAAATGCAAAGAGATTTAACGTGTCCATGACCATTCTCATATTGAGAGAAGAGTCCAGGATAGATCAGTGTTCCCATTTCACAGATAAAGAAGCTCAGAGGAGTTTGACCATGGCTCATAATTGACAGCACTGGGACTTCAGTCCATACCTGCCTCCTGCAGCCCAAGCCCCTTGCTGGGGTCAGGCAGAGCCCTGCAGGGCTGCTCAAAAAGAGTATCTGACCCTCAGTGGGCAGTGGGTGACCTCTGACTCCTTCAAGCCACATGCCCCTCACACAGCCCCCAGACCCGGGAGAAGCAGAGTCCTAGCCTCCAGTTCAACATTCCCTGCACTTGCTGTTCCCTCTAGCTGGAACACTGTTCCCAGACTCCTCCCTCCTGGGATTCACCGGTGTGTACCGAGTCACCTTCTCAGAGGGACCTTCCCTGGTGCTGTCAGTGGCCGCCCTTATCCTCCCTGCACACCATTTCCATGTTGTGCTGACTGCCAGTACCTGCCACTCTGCCTGCTGGAGATGCTGAGGCTGGCGCAGACTGGGGAATGAAGATCTCCCGACCCCAGGAGTCCTCTCCACCGGGCTTCCGGGAACTGCCCCTCCAGTGGAACGGCTCTGAAGAGCACGTTCTACACTGCCTCCCACAGTTCCCACAGCGGGGTTAAGCTCCAGGAGTCCCTGGTGGTAATTTGCTTTATTTATTTATTTATTTATTTATTTATTTATTTATTTATTATTTGAGACAAAGTCTCACTGTGTCCCCCAGGCTGGAGTGCAGTGGCGTGATCCCGGCTCACTGCAACCTCTGCCTCCCAAGTTCAAGCGATTCTCCTGCCTCAGCCTCCCAAGTAGCTGGGATTACAGGCCTGCACCACCCCACCCAGCTAATTTTTATATTTTAAGTAGAGATGGGGTTTCATCATGTTGGCCAGGCTGGTCTCGAACTCTTGACCTCAGGTGATCTGCCCACCTTGGTCTCCCAAAGTGCTGGGATTACAGGCATGAGCCACCGCGCCCTGCTGGTAATTTGCTTTATAATGCCCACTTTGTGGACTCCCCTCCCTTCTCACTTGTCCTAACAATATTTCCTGCCATCTTGTCCCAAATAAATGACTTGCACTCCAATCCTTGTCTCTAGAGGAACCCAAATGAAGACACCATCCTATCTTACAAAGCTGTCCCATCATTTCCTCACCCTGCTTTATTTTTATTTGTCCTGCTACCAATGTCCACAACCACACCACTGATCTACACCCTTGTTGTGGTGCACCAGACTGTAAGCCACAGATGTCCAATCTTTTGGCTTCCCTGGGCCACACTGGAAGAATTGTCTTGGGCCACACATAAAATATACTAATACTAATGATAGCTGATGAGCTTAAAAAAAAATCACAAAAAAACCCATAAGAAAGTTTATGAATTTGTGTTGGGCCACATTCATTTGCAATATCCTTTATTATAAATATTATAAATATGATTATATCCTCCCTCCCTTGCCTTCCACCATGAACTAGCTTTACTGGAACCTGCACCTCCTATTTCTTCACCCCTTCTCTCTGGGTAAGCACAACCCACAAAATAACCGGAGGGCCTGAATGATCCCAGTACCTCTGGAAAGAGTGCTGAGGGGCCAAGGTGAGCCCCTCTTCCAGGCAGCTGGAAGGAAAATGCCTGGCCAGGGACTGAGATAAAATATTGATGTCTCCCCAGGGGATAGGAAAAGCCATGTGTGGGAGAGGAAGAGAGCCCTCTTTCAAGGTCAGGACAACCAGGAATCCACTGCAGGCATGAAGCTGGGTGGAAAGAAGCCTGGGGTGCTGGCTTTGCTGTGTGACCTCAGGCAAGGTGCTGCCCTTCTCTGGGCTTCTTTCTCCACAAATAAGCAATGCTCATGCTAATCCTAGTGAGGACCTTGAGGAGGAGGAGCAGGTCACAACTGAGAGCAGGGTTCGAGTCTAACTTTAACTCCACTGGCTTCAGTTTGGCCTCAAAACTCAACCACAGGGACCAGGTCCAAGGCCAGGCTGGGTCACAACCCTGAGCAAGGTGACCCTAGCACCCCCACCCCCACATACCCCATGGCCCCTGCTCTAACCTGTGGCCACTGCTGTCAGAGGCTGCCAGCCCAGCGTGGGGTAGGTGGGGCCTGCTCCCAGCTCCTCCCATGGCAGAGTTCACCAAGCACACTGGTAAGACCCCTGCGCTAGGAATGTGGAGCTCTGCCTCTTAGATGCTCTGTGTCTGGAGCCAATGACTCCAATGCTCAGAGTCTCAGTTCCTTTGTCTCTAAAATGGGTCTGCTCTGTCACCTCACAGGAGTCAATGAGAGAATGGAAGCAAAAACAGGTTGTAAAACAGTTACAAAAGCAGCAGTTACCATTTACCAAACTCCTCCTCTATGCCAGGCAAACGCAATTCCACTTGATCCCCACAAACAGCTGGAGGCAGGTACTACTGTTATTTGCAATTTACAGGTGAGGAAATTGAGACTTCATCACGAGGGACAGGTGGGGCTCGGCCTGCCCTCCTTCAGATCCAGAGGCTCCAGGACAGCACTTTGGGCTTACCAGGGCCTGGAGGAGGGGGAGAGGTGCTCCTCTCCTTTCCTCCAAAGGTGCAGACAGGCTCGGGGCCCCCAAAACCCATCTCACCACAGTACTAATCATGCTGGCAGCGTCCCAAGGATAGGCAGGGGGAAGAGGAGCAGGGGAGAAGAAAGCCACCAGTTAGGAGGGAGCATTATTACCAATAATCTCCTTGATACTCCTGCCAGGTAAGAGTTTTTATCCCCATGTTGCAGATGAGGAAACCGAGGATCAGAAAGGACAAGTGACTTGCTCAAGATTGAAGATGGCAAGAGAAATTCTCTTCCACATCCAAAGCGGCTACCTCTTCCACGTCCCCAGATTCAGAGATATTTCTTTCTAGCCTCCCTTCCCTTGCCAGCCCCCCTTCCTTCAAAACCACTTCCCTGGGGGCTGCCCCACCACCCTCCCTCCCTCATTCCTGGAGAAAACCCGCAGGATTCTCCCACTGGAACAGATGGCCATCTCAGAAGTCCTGGTCAAATCTTGCCAGTTTTTAAAGGGTCTATTTTGGGATGCAATCAGTGTGATAAACGGTACATCCCCTGGCCTAGTGGCCCAGCCCTAATGGGTCTCTGACCCCACCCCCCACCAGCAGGCACCACCCCACATTCCCAATGCCAATGCCAGTCTCAGCTGGGAGGCGGCCACAGCTGAACAACAGAGTGGGGCCAGAGGAGGAGGGAGGCGGGCCCTCTAGGCCCAGACACGCTGGCACTCCTTGGACCAGGGAGCTCGGGCTCCCCTGGCAGAGCCCTGTAAGGCCAAGAGGGGATGGGATGAGGGGGTGCTGTACTGTCAGTTGTTTCCTGATGAGGGGAGAAGCTGTGGCCCGAAGTAGGTGGCAGGGAGGTGGGAGTGTGCAGCAGTCCTGGGCTCTGGCTCCAAAACCAGCAGGAAGGTGTGTGTGACCCCAGGCAAGCCACTCTCTTCTCCCTCCCAAACAACGAGACCTGCGCTAGGCTGGGTCTTCTGGCTTCAGGGGAAGGTGCCAGGTGACAAGTTCCCTGAGCGTAATCAGAGACTGGGGGAGAGAAAGGGGGGGAGGCCCCTCCCAGCCTCCCAGACGCCCCAGGGAGAGGTGGCGGCGAGTCTGTCGTTTGCCTGGGCACCCAAGGGACTCTGGAAGCCCGAGGGGAAAGGTGCGAGAGAAAACAGGTTTCAAAAATAGTCGGGACGCCAGGCTTGCCACCTGGACCCGGCTAGAGGAAGGGACGTAAGGGTCTAGATCGCCTGATGTGGGGCTCTCCCGAGGCACCCCAGGCGGGGCCTCGTTCCCAATTTCAAGTACGTACCTGCGACCCCGGGCTCACACCTGGATGGGTGTCTGGGCACCCGGAGTCAAAAGTTGGCCCGGTGGGTCGGGCAGGGGGCGGGAGAACGGGCCAGTGGGCTCCTGACCGCCGCAGCTGCTGGCTGGGGCGCAGGGGTGCGGGACGGGGGCGTCTTCCCAAGCCCCTGCGCCCTCTCCTCCTCCCCTAGGCACCGACGACGAGCGCCTGCCTCCCCCTAGCTGGCCAGGACAGCAGGGCGGGAGGTGCCGCGGGTGGCGGGGGCCTCTTCTCCCAACCTGCACCCCACCCCATGCCGGCTGCACCTGAGGACCCCGAGCTCGGGCTCCTTCCTCAGCGCTGCCCCTCCTCGCAGCGGCATCGAGCGGCCGGCGAGTAGGTGCACAACTTGACCCCGGCCGACCCCCTGCCCCGCAGGGCCGGGAAAGGGCCACGCCGGGACCGGAGCGCCGGTGAGGCCCCGCCTCTGCCCAACTTGGCCGCACTCCGGGCGCCCGCGGAGGCCCCGCGCGCCTCTGCCCGATCCCGGCCCGGCCCGGCTGACGCGCGCACACTCACTGCGGTGCCGGCCACCGCCCCCCCAGCTCTGCTTGGCCAAGCTGGGGCTCCGGATCAGCGCCCGCCCCGCCGACTTGAGCGCGTCCATGGCCCGCTCCGGCCGCCGCCGCCGCTGCCGCAGCCAAAACTCCGTCAGGAAAAACTTTCCGCCCGGCCCTGCGGCGCGCGGGCTGCGCGCTCCTCCCCTCCCAGCGCCAGCTCCGCCGCGGCGTCCGACGGGGCGGGGCGAGAGAGGACAGGCCCCGCCCCCAGACGGGCCGCGCCCCCGACGGCCGGTCTCGCCCCGCCCGGTCCCTGTCCAGGCTCCAGGTCCAGGCACCAAGAGTTTCCGAGGCCGCCCGAAGGCGCCAGAAGATAGCAAATCGCAAGCCCTAGACGCCCCCGCTTTCCTCCTTTTCCCCAATCCCCACCCCGTAGGGGCCTGAGGGCCTGAGAGCAGCGGCCTAGGATTTCCAGTGACCATTTTACAGATGGGGAGACTGAGGGCTCCTCCAGTGGTGAAAGATCTTGTTCAGGGACAAAAGCAATGCGATGTCCAGGGCAGTGGGAGACTTAGGAAATAGTGGAGGCTGTAAGCCAGGGATATCCAAACTTTTGGCTTCCTTAGGCCACATTGGAAGAAGAAGTGTCTTGGGCCACACATGAAATACACTAACACTAACGACAGCTGATGAGCTGAAATATATATATATACACACACACTCATGTTTTTTGTTTTTCTGTATTGTTTTTTTTCCCCTGAGACAGAGTTTCACTCTGTTGCCCAGGTTGGAGTGCAGTGGTGCGATCTCGGGTCACTGCAACCTCTACCTCCCGGGTTCAAGCTATTCTCATGCCTCAGCCTCCCGAGTAGCTGGGATTACAGGCATGCACCACCATGCCTGGCTAATTTTTGTATTATTAATAGAGATGGAGTTTTACCATGTTGGCCAGGCTGGTCTCGAACTCCTGACCTCAAGTGATCTGCCCGCCTCAGCCTCCCAAAGTGCTGGGATGGCTGTGAGCCACCACACCCTGCCCAAAAAAATCTCATAATGTTTTAAGAACCTTTACCAATTTGTGTTGGGCTCCATTCAAAGCCGTCCTGGACCTCACATGGCCAGTGGGCCACAGGTTGGACAAGCTTGCAGTATAGACCCTTGTTAGGCGCAGGGTCGGTATATAAAAATTTGCCTTTAGCAAGTCCAGCCAGGCACTTTACTCATCCTCGTAGCTCCCAGGCTGCTCCCTGGCACCACCTGAGCATGCTGGGCCACCCCATGCCCCCGCAACTTCCCAGGTAGCCTCACAGATGGTATGATCTGGAACGTGCCCCTGACACTGACTTGCTGTGTGACCTCAGGCAAGTACTTCCCCTCTCTGAGTCTTGTTTATCTGTGAATGAGAGTCAATGCTATCTCTAGTGATCCTTCCAACCTGCCAGGGTCAAGAATCTGCATGACCTTGACCCTGACCCCAAGCTGCTTCCTAGGAGCATTCGGAGGGCAGTCTGAACCCCAGAATTGCTCAGGCACAGATGTTCTAACTCCAGGATTGGAAGGATTTGTTCTAACTCTCTAGGATGCCATGCCTTCCTTTCAAACTGTGCCAAAAGGAGCCAGAGGGAGGACACACACATCCAAGCCACAGCCTGGCTTCTTTTAGAAGGGGGTGCCTCAGGCAAGGCCAACTTCAACCTCTGTAATTACTCCTGGCTCAGAAGCCAGCAGTCCTCTCTGTGTCGGGAGAAAGATAGTGCTGTGCTGTCCCCAGCTGGATAGGGCGGCCTCACTGACATTCCCCTGTTTATAAACCAAGTGCTTTGTTAGCCAGTCTGTCCTTGGCTTCCCCAGCAACACTGCTTAGGTGGACCCACTTTACAGATGACAGCCCTAGGTCAGGGAGGGAAGCATTCACTGATAGTCTCCGAGAGTCAGAGACTGGGATCAGACTCAGGCCCATAGGCAATGGGGTAGAGTATAATGCCAGGGGTTAGAACCCAGCTGTCCTTCTGGTGGTTGTGAACTCACCCTTCTGAGCCTCATCTGTAAAAGGGACAACTATATCTATTTCACAGGGCTGTCCTTAAGGACTAAATAACAGGAGTTGGAATGGCTGAATCCTGTTCTTGAGAACCCACCTTTAAAGTTGCCTCCTCCAGGAAGGCTTCCCTGACTACCACCCATGGATTAAGTTTCTCTTTGTGGGCGCCCACAGTCCTGAACTTTCAGGATTGCAAGCACTACTGCTGCCTGTTTATACTCCTCTCATCTCCATTAGACTTTGTACCCTCCAAAAGCAGGAAGTTTTTCTGATTCATTTCTGAATCCCAAATGCCTAGTAAGGGGTCCAAATGGAGTTGGAACACAGTCAGTGTTCCTGTCCTTCCTCCCTCCTTTCCTCCCCTTCTCCCTTTCTCCAGCTTTTCACCAAACCAGGCTGCCTTCTGCAAAAGGGCTGTGGCAATAGGTAGATGGGTCCACAGGGCTGAGTGCCCCCAGCTCACTTATCCCAAGCCAGCTAGATTCTGGAATAGTAGAGAGAGCATTCTGAAGCAGGGAGGAAAAGTGATCACCCAGGGCAGACTGGCCAAGGGCAGCTGGTGGTGTCCGGCTGGCAGGGGGCACCATATGGGCCTGATAAGCAGGAAGGCCTGGGAACGCTGCGTGTGCAACGAGAACTGTTTACCAGCCTTTGCAGTTTCCCGGAGATGGCTTGCTGCGAGCTGTCAGCCATGTGTCCCCTGCAGAGGGGCAGCCTGCTAGTGCCCCTTCTGCCAATCCCAGAAACAGAAGCAGAAACAGAAGGTCAGAGCTGCGAGTGGCCTCCTCTGAGGTCACTGTGGCCAAACCCTCATTTCACAGATGAGGAGCCTAAGGCCCAGAGAGGGACAGGGACTTACGCAAGGTTACACAGCAAGCCAGGAACAGATGCCAGGTCTCCTGCCTCCCACCTTGGATGCTTATAACAACGAGGAGGAGGCAAAGAAGTAGGGCCGCGTGCAGTGGCTCGTGCCTGTAATCCCAGCACTTTGGGAGACTGAGGCGGATCACCTGAGGTCGGGAATTTGAGACCAGCCTGACCAACGTGGAGAAACCCCGTCTCCACTAAAAATACAAAATTAGCCGGGCGTGGTGGCGCATGCCTGTGATCCCAGCTACTCGGGAGGCTGAGGCAGGAGAATCGCTTGAACCCAGGAGGCAGAGGTTGCAGTGAGCCGAGATCACGCCACTGCACTCCAGCCTGGGCGACAAGAGCGAATCTCCGTCTCAAAAAAAGAAAAGAAAAGAAAAGAAAAAAATAAGTCCTGAGATTCAAGAGGGGCTTGAAAGGGGATTTTTCTTTTCTCTTTTGTTTGGTTTTCTGTTTATCTGCTCTAACTTTGTAAACATTTCTGCAGTGATCATGTTCCTTTAGTAATCAGAAAAAGAACAATAAACGGGGTCGGGGAGCTACCTATAAGAATAAATGGCTTTTGTCTTTAGTCAAATGGCATCAGCTACAATCTTACTAATTTCTTCCTCAGTGGACCCACAGGACCCCAGCGAGATAGTGGATGCCAAGGAGTTGACAGGGCTGTCAGCCTCTCTCCAGCCATCATTTGGGCTTGCAGTGGGACCAAGACAAAAGCCTAAGCTGGGATGAGAGTCCCTGGTTTCCTCAGGTGGTCTGTCCTCCCTACTTCCCTGAGCCAATCCCTTCCTCTGTTTCTTCATCTGTAAAATGGGAGTTATTAGTGGAAGACACCAGAGCGCAGTAGTGAAGCACACTGATGCTGCATCCCGGGATCCAGGCTTCCCTATTTCTTTACTGCATGGCCTTAGGCAAATTATTTAAATTCCACAGGCCTCAGTTTCCTCTAAAATGTAAAATTGGTGCAATGGACTGAATGTTTCTGTCCTATCAAAATTCGTATGTCAAAATCCTAACCTTCAAGGTATCAGCAGATGGGGCCATTGGGAGGTAATCCTTTCATGAAAGCAGAGCCCTCATGAATGGGATGAGCATAAAGAAGACCCCAGAGAGATTCCTGGCCCTGTTCACTCTTACAGTGACAAGACAGCCATCTATGAACCAGGAAGCCGGCCCTCGCCAGACCGAATATGCCAACACCTTGAACTTGAACTTCCCAGCATCTGCAACTGTGAGAAATACATTTTTGTTGTTTATAAGGCAGCCGGCCTTTGGTATTTTTATTAGAGCAGCCTGAATAGACTAGAATAATGGGGATTACACCTCATGGAGTCATCATGAGGATTAAAAGTTAATGTAGGCTGGGTGCCGAGGCTCACGCCTGTAATCCCAACACTTTGGGAGGCCCAGGTGGGTGGATCACCTGAGGCCAGGAGTTTGAAACCAGCCTGGCCAACATAGTGAAACACCTTCTCTACTGAAATACAAAAATTAGCTGGGTGTGGTAGCAGGCGCCTGTAGTCCCACCTACAGGCTGGGACATTAACAAAAGTTAATGTTTGTGACATGTTTAGAATTCTGCCTGGCATATAGTAAGTGATGTATATGTTGCATATATATATATATATATATATACACTTTTTTTTTTTTGAGATGGAGTCTAGCTCCATCTTTTTTTTTTTTTTGAGTTGGAGTCTAGCTCTGTTGCCCAGGCTGGAGTGCAGTGGTGCCATCTCGGCTCACTGCAACCTCCGCCTCCCAGGTTCAAGTGATTCTCCTGCCTCAGCCTCCTGAGTAGCTAGGATTACAGGCACCCACCACCACGTCCAGCTAATTTTTGTATTTTCAGTAGAGACAGGGGTTTGACCATGTTGATCAGGCTGGTCTCGAACTCCTGACCTCGTGATCCGCCTGCCTCGGCCTTGCAAAAGTGCTGGGATTACAAGCATGAGCCACCATGCCCAGCCGCATATTTTAATAAAACTAAAATTGCTTTCCTAACTGGGTGAACAATGAAGATGACATGGCTGGAGTACCTATGAATATCATAATTCTTGGCTGGTCCCCAGGGAAGGGAGCTCTCTCTCCGGGTTGGAACCAGCATAGCCCAGTCTGAGGGGCAGGCAGGCTAACATCACACCTTCAATGGACAGGGTAGGGTTGCCCCATCCTAGCTGGGGCCCAGGTCGGAGACAGTACTCTCCTAGGGAGTCAGAGGGAGCCTGGGTTACTTACCGGTGAGTCACAAGCCCCAGGGCTCTGACCTTTTACCCCAAATGCAGGGCCTTTCCTGCCTGCTGTGCCCGCTGACCTGACCACCCCAACCAGTTGCCTCTGAACCCGTCCTCCCTCAGACCCTTCCCATGCAGCTGCTTCTTCCAGGAACATCCAGCCAGACTGCTTCAACTCTCCTGGCCTCTCTACCTTTGCCCTGAACAGCTACTTGGCCTCCTCCCTAACACCCATGATCACAGCCACCCACACACCAGTATTCTCTCCCCAACACACACACACTCCTAAACAACTGTTAGACCTTGGAGCTCCACATACCTTGGCTCTAAAACAAATCCTCCATGTATGTATATGTAACCTTAGCTATCTCTGAGCCTCAGTTTCCTCATCTGTATAGTGGGCATAATACCTACCTTAGAGGGCTTTGTAAGCCTTCTGTGGGATAATATATGGAAAATGCTTAGTCTAGTGCCAGGCGTGTGGCGAGCGCTCAGTAAATGGTAACAGGGTTGGGCACGGTGGCTCATGCCTGTAATCCCAGCACTTTGGGAGGCTGAGGTGGGTGGATCATCGCTTGAGCTCAGGAGTTCAAGACCAATCTGGGCAACAAAGCAAAACCTTGTCTCTATAAAACAAAATTTAAAAAATTAGCCGGGTATGGTGGCACACATCTGTGGTCCCAGCTTCTCAGGAGGCTGAGGTGGGAGGATCGCTTGAGCCCAGGAGGCAGAGGTTGCAGTGAGCTGAGACTGCGCCACTGAACTCCAGCCTGGGCGACAGAGACACTGTCTCAAAGAAATAAAAATGAAGATAAACTTTTTTTTTAAAGGGTAACTCTGGTTATCATTATCATGATTATGGTGAGCCTGTTTGCCTCTTCCAGCAGCTGGGCGTGCCTCAAGCATGGGGGCTGGAAATCAGCATTCATTCCAGGGGCTCCTAGAGCTGCTGACCAGTGCCTGGCACAAAGGAGATGCCCCATACACATCCAATGGCTTAATTTCTGTCTCTGGTTCTTATAGTGTCTGGCAAGTGGGTGAGGAAGGATGAGAAACAGCAGCCCCTAATGGGGCTGGGGAGGTGCTGCTGAGGGGAGCTCCTCGGTACCTACCCCTCCAAATAGCCCTCCGTGGTGGGACCAGCAGCTGTCTCCTCCCCCAGCCTAGCATCCACAGGGAGATCTCTAGGCTGTGGAGCCACTGAGCTAATTAAGAATGACAAAGCACCGTGTAATTGCCAGCAATTGATGAGTCCCCTGCCTCCTGCCCCCGCTTCCCTCGTCCTCCTTGGCACTGTCTGGCCTGGAGGTCACTGCATAGACATGGAGGCAGGCAGAGTGGTGTGACTGAGGACAGGCTGGTGTCAGGAGACCTGGGGGCTGGCCACCTCTGCCGCCCTCTTGCAGTGGCACTTTGGGCAAGGAAGTTCCCTTCTTAAGTTGGCTCTATTTCCCTTTTTCTGTCTACAGGGATCTTGACCTTGTGCTGAAAGGAGGTAGGAGGAGGGACAAAGTGAAGGGGCCAGGCCAAAGAGGACTCTGCTAAGGGGTCTGCTGCACCTTCCAGACTGGTTGAGTACAAGGCAGACAGCCTCAGGTTTGAGTCCCAAGCCCCACTCAGCAGCTGTGTGATCGTGGGCAGCCCACCTACCTACCGTCTCCATGCAGCAGGTTCCTCAGCTCTAAAATGGGACTCGCCTGAGAGCACTTAGCTCTTACTAGGACAACCTGCATGTGTTCTGAATCTGGGCCTATAAAGAGACCTCTGGACAAGCCCAATGCTATCAAAGAGAGTGTAGATATTAAGGGTTGAGAACTTTTAGAGCAATTTGATAGAGTAATTTTATGTCTGTTGAATCTCATTTTTAAAATTAGGCTTGTGTTTTTCGTCATTTTATTGTATTTTTCTAGTAATTCGTTTTCCTTGTATTTTACAAAAGCATTGGTCTGTGACAGAAGAGAAATTCTTTTAAAAATGGTCCTGCTCCACTGATGCTTCGAGAAGCATTACTTAGTGGACTTCATAAAACAGACATTGGTGGCAATCTTGCCATAATATCTATATAGTTCCAGGGTTTGATTTCCAGGAACCTTCAACTTCTCCAAAGCCTGTGAGATAAAGACCAAACCCCTTAGCCTGGCTTTCGAGGCCCTTCTCACTGAAGTCCCCACCCACCTTCCCATCCCTCGTCCTCCCCAGCCACATAGCCTTGTGATACTACCCTGTAACCCCTTCCCCTAAACTTCCTGTGTCCTCCTACTTCTCCATGCCTTTGCTGTTCCTTCTACCTGGAATGCCTTTCTCCAGTTTGCCCTCCAACTGGCAAACTCCTATTCATCCTTCAAAGCCCAGACTAAATGTCACCAATCCTGGGAAGCCTTTCCCAATGCCACTCCAGCACTCACCCCAGGTGGGGTTGCTCCCTTCTCCATACTTCACATGGAGCATGTGTGGGGACAGGACATCGCTATGGTTAAGGCTACAGGCTCAGCAGTCAGAACAATGTGGGCTTCAGACCTGACTTTGCCAGCTGCACAATCCTGGGCAGGTGACTTAATACTGCCGAGCCTCATTTTCCCGTCTGTGCAGTGGAGTCTAGAGGTGATACGTGAAAAGTTTCCAGCACCATGGCACACGGTAGAGACCTCAGATACGACAGCTGCTGTCAATGGTATCCCTTTGGTTCATAACTTTCCACATTGCTTTTCTGTCTCCCTACTAGGCTGGTTGCTACTTGAGAGGAGGCGTACTTGAGAGTGTCTGATTTGCCTAGATGTTTCCTGTGCCCAGCCCAGGGCTCGCACAGAGCCATGCGTTGAGTGTGGGTCTCTGGGTGCTCCCTGCCCCATGGTGCTGGCAGCTTGCTACCTTGTCGGTGGCGTGCTGATTAACCCAATTTCTGATTTGTACTGTTTGCCAATTTCCATGATGCAAATACACCCACCACGGCCAATTTCAAGTTACCAGAAGTTTAATAACCATCTTGCAAAACTGCTAAATATTGAACAACATGCTCATTTGAGCCACCTGGCTCCCGCACCCCTCCGGGTGTGGCTATGCCGAGCATAAGACGAACCAGAGCAGGCTTGGGTCCTGGTTGAGGGACCGGCTGCCTCCCATGCCCTCTGCCCAGCCAGCACATTGAGGGCCACCCAGGGAAGGGCCATAGGGTCAGTCATGCCCCACACAGAGGCCTTCGCTCATCTCGCTCCCCTAGGCCTCCAGCCCCGTTGTTTTCTGAGATAAAAGCTGTGAAATTGTTCATCTGTCTCCTCCCGCAGAAGGAAGAACAGAGGCTGGTTAAGGGGCCTGGCAGATCCATCCATCAGTGGTTCTTGGGGGCCTGGGCAAGAGGGTGCTAGCCATGCAGGCCACAGGGCCCAACTTGCAATAGCCCTGTCCCCACAGCTGTTGCAAGCGAATCAAGTTAAACCTGGTCACAATGGGGATCAAAGAAAGCTTGTGCACAACCTCCTCTAGCCTCCTTTCCTATGACCCCTTTATCTCCCAGGCTCAGAAGGGTCCCCACTTGGCATCTGCCATTACTGTCCTGCAATTCTTCATAACTTCTTTTTTTTTTTTTTTTTTTTTTTTGAGACAGAGTCTCACTCTGTCGCCCAGGCTGGAGTGCAGTGGCGCGATCTCAGCTCACTGCAACCTCCACCTCCTGGGTTCAAGCAATTCTCTTGCCTCAGCCTCTCCAGTAGTTGGGACTACAGGCACGCACCATCACACCCAGGTAATTTTTGTGTTTTTAGTAGAGACAGGGTCTCACCATGTTGGACAGGCTGGTCATGAACTCCTGGCCTCAGGTGATCTGCCTGCCTCGGCCTCCCAAAGTGTTGAGATTACAGGCGTGAGCCATCGCACCCAGCCAATTCTTCATAATTTCATCTTTGAATTTGTGTTTTGTACATGAAGTCTGATGGGACAGTGGAGCATGCCTAGAGTCTTTAGAGCCTCAGCTTAAGTGTGTGCCAGCTCCGCTGCTGCTCCCCTTCTGTTAGCACCTGTTCGCCTCCTATGCCTAGCTCCACTCTGCAGCTGTGCTGTCTCCTGTGCCAGGCAGGACCCTGGGCCCAGGCATGGGGGAGGGGGGATGGTTTGGAATCAGGTGCACACACCCTTCGTCATCTGGGGCAGGGCATGGCAGCAGCTCTCCCCACCCTGGGCTGGCAGCACCATGGCACATCTGGTGGGTAGCTGGCTAGAGGCCACATCTCAGCGGGGGAAAGACACTGATCCAGGGACTCAGCACATCCTGGCATGGAGGTTTAAAGACCCTTGGGGGTGGCCCATCTGCCAAGGGTTGGGGAAGTGGACCCGTGGGAAGGAGAGGCCCGGCTTGGCTTCAACACACCCTACTCACACCCGGCGTACCTTGCATCAGTCCAGTGTCTGTCTAGAGGGGAGCCTGGGAGAGTTGAGTGCTCACAGTAGGGTTCACGTGGACAATTTGACCACTGTCAGGCTCCAGAGAGTGGGCGTGTCCTCCACTGTGGGGTGGCGCCCCTGGGCACCTATGAGGGTCTTTATGAGTCTTCCTGTGCCCAGAAGCACTTTCTCACCTGTGCTGAGGGGATGGCCTCTTCCTCCTTCCAATCTTCCTGCATCTGACTTATGTCTGTCTCTTCTGGCCGGCTTGAGGCACCCTCAGGGATGAGCCATGAAAGAAAAATTGAGTAATTTCTGTGATTCCACACACAAGTTAAAGGCTCTGATATTTGCATTGTAAACTGACATTGCATAATACAAAGATGAATGGTAAAATTCATGCTAATAATTTAAATTTTTAATTTTTCCTTACTTAGAACCACATAAATAGCCAATAAAAAAAACACAGTGACAAGAGAAAAACCTCAGAAGAAAGAAAAAAAATTATCCGTGTACCTTCTTTTTTCTTTTCTTTTGTTTTTTTGTTTAGTTTTTTTGTTTTTTTTTTTTTTGAGACAGGGTCTTGCTCTGTTGCCCAGGCTGGGTGCAGTGGTATGATCTCAGCTCACCTCCACCTCCCCAGTTAAAGTGATTCTCCAGCCTTAGCCTCCCAAGTAGCTGGGACTACAGGTGCGTACCACCACACCTTGCTAATTTTTGTCCAGTCTCAGCCTCCCAAGTAGCTGGGACTACAGGCACATGCCACTACACCTGGCTAATTTTTGTATTTGTAGTAGAGACTAGGTTTCACTATGTTGGCCAGGCTTGTCTTAAACTCCTGACCTCAAGTGATCCACCTGCCTCGGCCTCCCAAAGTGCTGGGATTACAGGCGTGAGCCACCGTGCCTGTTTTCTTTTTTTTTTTTTTTTTCCAAATAGAGACAGGATCTTGCTTTGTTGCCCAGGCTGGTCTCAAGTTCCTGGGCTCAAGTGATCCTTCTGCTTCGGCCTCCCAAAGTGCAAGGATTACAGGCGTGAACCACTGCACCTTTACCTGCCCACATGTACCTTTAATGACCCCTTTTGTCTGCTTTTTGAACAACAGGCTCACACACATTTTCATTTGGGATTGGGCTTTATAAATTATGCAGCTGGCTTCATCTGGTCACTCCTGATCCCTCTTATCCTGTGGTTGTTTTGTTTTAAATAGCGTGTATTGCATCCTGACAGTCTATATAATTGATTTATTTTTTAAGGTTGTTGTTTATGGTCTGCTCCTGCCACTAGAATGTGGACCCTTAGAGGATGGGGTTATGAATGCTGGGTTCAGTGCATAGCCCCAGGGCACGGAGGAGTCCAGTACACAGTAGGTGCTCAGTAAACATCCTGGGAGTGTGGCATGATGAATGCTCTCCAGCCTGACTTTGGTCCCTCGTCTTTCCACTCCCCAGCAGTCTGGGCTTCAGTCCCTTCCCTTGTCCGTTTCGCCCATTTTGGTTCCGATATCTCACGTCAGAACTTGGTGGTTCCAGCATTCTTTTCCAGACCTGAGTGATTCAGCCTTTCTGCTTCCTGCCAGCCCCAGGACTGTGGGTGTGAATGACAACTGCCCAGCAGGCTGCAAGGCGCTCAGCCTGGACCTCCGGGCTTCCCTCCTTCCTGGGATTCCTTAGGTCACTTCCATCGATTGTCTTTGGCTGCAACTTCTTGAGTTAATCTCTCCATGTTGGAAAGCTTCCCTTGCTGGTTTCCCCATCTGCTTCCAGCTTCAAGTCCTTTTTGGCTTCAAAACCACATGCCTGTGGTTCCAGCTACTGAGGAGGCTGAGGTGGGAGGATCGCTTGAGTCCAGGAGGTGGAGGCTGCAGTGAGCCGAGATCGCACCACTGCACTCCAGCCTGGGCAACAGAGTGAGACCCTGTCTGAAAAAAAAAAATCAAGAAACTTGGGTTCTGCTCTGTGTATTCCATCCAGGGCAAGTCCCTGCCCCTGTCTAATTTCCTCACGGTGTCTACAGGGTCATCACTAGCATATTTGATACCCATGTCAGAACTACTGATAGGTTCCCTCACCAATGGACAAAACACAAACAGGTGTCCCTTCCCCTATGCTGAGACATACAGCATGGAGACAGGCTGTCTTTCAGCCACCCTACCCATTCACTTTATGCCCTTGTGCAGTGCACAACCCACACAGCTGTGTTTAGGCAGCAGTCTTGCCAATCAGCCTCCCTCAGATGTATTTTCCCAAGGCCGTAACTGCTATGAGAATGGGTCTAAGCATCAATGACCCCCAGAAAACCCTTCTTTTTTTTGAGATGGAGTCTTGCTCTTGTCACCCAGGCTGGAGTGCAATGGTGCACTCTCAGCTCACTGCAACCTCCACCTCCCAGGTCCCAGTGATTCTCCTGCCTCAGCCTCCCAAGTAGCTGGGATTACAGGCGCCTGCCACCACGCCTGGCTAATTTTTGTATTTTTAGTAGGGACAGGGTTTCACCTTGCTAGCCAGGCTTGTCTTGAACTCCTGACCTCAAGTGATCTGGCCGCCTTGGCCTCCCAAAGTGCTGGGATTACAGGCATGAGCCACTGTGCCCGGCCAACCCTTCTAACCAGCAGGTTTTCTTTTTCTTGGGTTCTGCAGTAGGGCTGGGACTAGTGTGAGGCCTGGGATACGAAAGTCAAGACTCACATTCAGGGCTCGCTGAGGATGAGAGTGCCTCCGTAAACCTTGCACACAAGGCACCTCGCTGGCCTCACCTTCACCCTGGTCTGTTCTATGGATTCCCAACAGCTATAGGAGGTGGTGGCAGTGTTTTAAAGGAAAGTGCCAGAAAACCACCTCAGACTCACAGAGGGCAGCTTCTTTCAGCAGCTGGGAACCACGGAGGAGGCTGACTCTGCAAGAGGAACCCAGGGCAGGAGACAGTCCAGGGAGTGGGTGCCAGGGGAGGCGCTGTGCCAAGAAGTCAGCCTCGCCTAGAAGGAGGGTGACCTGCCGCCCTTGGGAGGGGAGCGAAGGGAGGGCCGGATAATCAGCCCCCTTGCTTGTGATCGAGGAGTGAAGGGAGGGCTGGGTAATCGGCCCCCTTGCTTGTGATTGAGAGGTTTATAGGAAAAGTTGTGGGGAAGGGGGTCGGGAACAGAGAAGGCCACGGCAGACCCGGGCTCTGCAGGCTGTACTCACACTCTGGGGAGGACACAGGGTCCAGGGGGACAGCCCGAGCAAGGCCCGGCCCTCACTCAGGAGTGGCCTTCTTGGCCCCCAGCACCCTTCCCTCCAGTTGCTTTGGAGACGTGGAGGCTGACCCCCTGATGCTTTGAGATACAAGGCCACCTGTGAGTCAGTTACCATTGTCAACACCCGGAGAATACCAGGACTACTGTCTCACCTCCCAGATCCCAGAAACCCTTTAGGCTGTGTTTCCCAAACCGCTAACATCCAAAATCACTTTCATCTTTGCCTGCACTGATAGCTATATAGTGTGTTTTGGAAAACCCACTCCTCTTTACTTAAATAATTATTTTCAAAGGAAACTATGCAAATAGAAAACAGCTCAGTTGCCATAAACAGATGCGGGTGTTGTTCTTTCTGGCTGGATTCTGGTGCCCCCAGGACTGTGAACCCAGAGCCAGTCTCTGTTCAAAGAGGAGGTGAAGAAGGCAGAAAGATAAAGACCCGCAGCCCCGCAGCCCCGCAGAGGCTCTCCCCTCTCACCAGGGATGGAATCACTTTGTCCCTTGTTGTGGAGGCTGTGCCCACATGCCTCATGAATGTGTCTCCTCCTTGTGAAAAATGTTCCCAGGGGAGTCGCAGACAGTGGCTGGAAGAACTACCTTTTGCGGCTGGGGAGGGGAGACCGCTGGCTCTGGGAATGGCTGGGACCTGAGCACTCCCCCAGCCTCAGCCTTGTCCCCCCGTCTCAAGTGAGCAGCGGCTCTCGTGACAGAGGTGTTCAGAGGCGCTTCACATGAGATCGTCTGAACCCTGCAGTCCCGGGATCCAACCTGATCACGGGTGCAGCCTCCACCAGGCACTGCAGGAACGGGAGGCTGGAGGAGGCCCGGGCCCTGCCCTCTGGGTCTAGTTGGGGCTACAGGATGGCGCAGGCCCCTGGAGATGGCATCGCTAAGGGAAGGAACAGGAGGACCCTGAGCGGGTGGGAGGGCGCTGGGGGCTCGAGGGTGGGCTTGGTGCGGCTGGGCGGGGAGGGAGGGCAGTGGAATGAGCCAGGTGTGTGGGGGTGGGCAGAGGGGGTGTTGAGGGTCCCTAGACAGAGCAGAGGGACCAAGCCCCCAGGGTCTCCCACACCAGTGAGAAAAAATAGGACTGACTCCATCAGGGGGCACCAAGGGATTCTGAAGAGGAAAAACTAACCAAGGCGGTGTTTTCAGAAGAATGCCCCGCACCTGCAGTGCAGCGTGCCGTGAGCACGCCCCTCTTCTCAGTTATTCCCTGGGGCAGATGCCGTAGGCGCCTCCATCTACAAATGAAGAAAGGGACCCCCCTGCTGAGGCCCATGGTGGAGCCAGGGTAGGAGTCCTGTGGCAGGAGCATGGGCAGCGCCCCCATCCCACTGCAGACAGGACTGGGCACCCCTTCCTTCTTCTGCTCCAGTGGGTGAGGTGTGCCAGCAGGGGGGCCGGCTCTCCACAGCCCCTCCCTGACCGCCAAGCCACTTCCCCTGCTGGGAAGGGAGAGGAGGGGAGCTGTCTCTGCTGTCCCCTTGCACTGCGTAACACACAGCGCACCACAGCACACACAGTATACACATGACCCACAATACACACAACATGCATGCAACACACACACATGACACATACACACCACACACACAGGCACTATACACACAACGTACAATACACACACAACACATACACACAACATAAACATACACAAAGCACACAAACACACAACACATGCACACACTAAACACAACATACAACACACACAACACATATATACAGGCACAACACATACATACACACAAACGCATATTCTCAACACAACACACACACATACAATACACCACACACAACACACAACACAACACACACATGCACATACTATAGACAAAACCCACAGACTCCCCATCTGGTCCATGCCCAGGAGCTACTCCACGGAGGGAGGCAGCAGGCTGGGAGAGCAGAGGGAGGGGCTGCCCTCCATCCGCTACCCCCCAACCCCCGCTTCAGGCCCCACTTCATCAGAGAAACTTCTCTGTGCCCCCAGGCCAGGGCAGGGCTCCCACACATGGTTCCCTGTGTGTCCACAATGACCAGTCTGGGCGGTGGCGATGGAAAGCTTGATTGTGGGATTGTTGGATGCCTGTCTCCCCCTCAACTGTGAGCTCCATGAAGGAAAGGCCTGTGCCAGTTTTGCTGTCCCCTTAACCTCAGCCTGTGGTATAGGAGCTGGCACACAATGGGTGCCCAATAAATGCACGAACACAGAGCCCTTGGAAGAGGGGAAAGGTTGGGCCTCAGGGAGCTGCGGTCCTGGCTGCCGCAATGGCTCCCAGAGGGCT
This sequence comes from Homo sapiens, assembly GCF_000001405.40. Taxonomy (NCBI): domain Eukaryota; kingdom Metazoa; phylum Chordata; class Mammalia; order Primates; family Hominidae; genus Homo; species Homo sapiens. The sequence goes on along the minus strand of NC_000001.11, from coordinate 25,528,766 downwards.
GGTTCATCTCAGGGTCCAGCCCCATCCCTGACACGGGAACCCCAGTTCTGTGAGCCTGGAGCGGGAGGAGGGGTGTTTGCAAAGGGAAGCCCATGAATTTGGCATGGCTGCGGTTTTGTGGTAACGGCTGTCTCCATGATCAAAACATGGCGTGTAATAAGGATGGCACTGGGACCTTCCCCTCGTGATTTCAGCTTCCCGATCCAACCAGCCCTCTGTCCTTCCACATCCTCATACACCAGGCGGGCCATCTGCCTGGTGCAGGGGTCCCCTGGTGCTTGCCCAGCCCTGTGGGCCTGTCCTCTGGCGTGCCAGCAGCAAGGAGGGCACTGGGTGGCTGGGCTCTTGGTCTACTCTTGCTGTGTGACACTGGCCATCTCTCTCTCTGGCCCTGGCTTTCCTCATCACTGAATGGAAGGGGGTGGATGCTTGGCGGCCAAGGGCTTCCCCGCCGGGCATCTCATGGGGTCTTGGGGGCAGCAGTAGATGGGCCTGGGGAGACCCGAGAGGGGAGGACACCCCTGTCATGGAACGGATGTGAGACCAGTTCCCTGTAGGCTCCAAGCCCAAGCTGCACACGGAGGGCACGGGCACAGCTTTGGGAGTGACGGCAAGAGCGCACGGGCTGGACACCTGATGCTGCCTGCCCGCCAGGGCCTGGGGCTGCAGAGAGGAGCAGAGGTAGCCCGGCTTCGCCCTGCCCTCAAAGGGTTCCAAGGCCGGGGAGACAGACCAGTCCACAAGAAGTGACAACACAAAAACTCTAGTGGGCGGCTGGCAGTGCTTGGGTGGGGGCGAATAACTCTGTAGCGGGGAAGGGAATATTCCCCATCATTTATTTATTATTTCTTTTCTGTGGTTTTAATATTATTGAGATATAATTTACATGACATAATGTTACTATTTTAAAGTGTACCGTTCAGTGGCTTTTCATACATCTACAGTGTGGTGCAACCGTCCCCACTAGCTAATGCCAGGACAGTTCCATCACCCCAAAAGGAAACCCTGTATTTTGCAGCGGTCACTCCCATTCCCTCCTCCCTCCAGCCTCTGGCAACCACTAATCCACTTTTGGTCTCTATGGAGTTACCTATTCTGAACATTTCATATGAATAGAATTCTATTCTACGTGGCCTGTTGTGACTGGCTTTCTACTTGGCATGTTTTCAAGGTTCATCCATGTTGTAGCATGTCTCAGTGTTGTTCTAGGCCACCAAGATGTGGGGGCTCTTGGTTACCGCAGCAGAGCCTGGTCCCCCTTCTAACCAGCCTGGCCCTCGGCGGGCAGGGTCCCACACAGCCATCGTGCACAGGAGTGAGTCCAGGCTTGCATATGCACAACACAGCTTGGGTGTATTTTTAAAACAATTAGTTATGTGCCAAATTGGATAAAAACCGAGATCAAGCTGTGCGGCTCGAGTTTCCAAGTGATCGGCATGTACATTTTGGGAGCTGATTTTCATGAGAAAAATCTGTCTGCATAGTGGCTGAAACTTTACCTAGGCGAGGCTTTCTCCTGGATCAGCCTCATCTTTGAGAATATCCATTCAATCGGCAGATAATCAGAGCCAACAATGAGTACCTATGGAGAACTTACTAGATACCATGTTGAGCGCTTCTCGTATATTTTGTCTTCCTAACCATCCTAAGGGATAGGCACTGTCATCATTCCCATTTTTCAGATGAAGAAACAAAGGCTCAAGAGAGGTTAAGAGATTTTCCCAAGCTCCCACAGCAAGTAGGTGGAAGAGGCAGAGTTTGAACCCAGGTGGGCCTGCCTCTGAACTCACACTCAACTCACCATATTTGGCCTCTGAGGTCATCTTGATAACCTGCAACTGACTCAGCATCCACCTGTGTCTTGTGCTGGAGTCAGCAGTCAGATCCTTTAGGGTGACACACATCATGCTTTGGTAGACAGAACCCAGGATTAAAAGTTGGGAGTCCTGGCTTTAAGTTTCAGATCCAGCTTTAATTTACTCCATGGCTTACGGCAAATTCCTTCCCCTACCCTCAAGGTCCCAGTACCCACATCCATGGAATGGCACATTTGGACGAGATCAGTGGTTCCCAGTGTTGGCTGTGCATCTGAACTCCCTAACGAGCTGGTTAAAAATAATGATTTCTGGGCCAGGCGCAGTGGCTCATGTCTATAATCCCAGCACTTTGGGAGGCAGAGGCGGGTGGATCACTTGAGGTCAGAAACTCAAGACCAGCCTGGCCAACATGGTGAAAACCTCTCTCTACTAAAAATACAAAAATTAGCTGGACCTGGTGGTGCGTGCCTGTAATCCCAACTACTCTGGAGGCTGAAGCAGGAGAATTGCTTGAACCTGGGAGGCAGAGGCTGCAGTGAGCTGAGATCATGCCACTGCCCTCCAGCCTGGGTGACAGAGCGAGACTCTGTCTCAAAAAATATATAATAATAATAATAATAATAATAATGATTCCTGGCTGAGCATGGTGGCTCATGCCTGTAATCCAGCAATTTGGGACACCGAGGCAGGAGGATCACTTGAGCCTAGGAGTTCAAGGTTGCCGTAAGTTATGTTCATGCCACTGCACTCCAGCCTGGACAATAGAGCAAGACACTGTCTCTAAAAACAACAACAACAACAACAACAACAATAATGATTACTGGACTCTTCCCCAGACCTGAAAATCTGGCCTGGGAACCTTGAATCCACAGGTAGATTCACACCTGAAGCAAGCATTAGGAACCTTGCCTCTAGGGGCACTTCAACAGCTGAGCCTCTGTGAGGTTATGGAGGCAGAAGAGACCAACCCAGTAACCCATTCCAGGCAATCTGAGTCAAACACCAAAGAAAATTGTCTCTGAAAGAATCCAGAAGATAAAGATGTCAGGTTGGACCATGGACATTGGGGAAGTAGAAACTGAAGCTGGCTTTGGTTTATTTTCATGACTTCATCTCTCCCTTGCAAGAAAATCACATTTCCAGCTAAACCACACTTCCTGGCCCCTTTGCAGTTAGGAGAGGCCCATAAAGTAGGTAACTGATGACCAATAAAGTAGGTAACTGATGAGCATCAGTTCCAGACATGGCCATGAAACTCCTGTGGGATCCTCCGTGCTCTCTTCCTCTTCTGTGGTCAGCTTGGAAGTGAAGTGTTGATGATGGTAGCATTTACAAAGGGAAGGAATTGGGGTTCCTGTGGCTGCAAGGAGCAGAACACCCCTGCTACTTGCAGTGGACTGCAGGATGAGTGAACAATAAACTTAGATTATGTTGAGTCACTGAGATTATGGGGCTGTTCATTATAGCAGCTAGTGGTACTCATCCTGACTAATACAGTCTGGAAGAAGTGGGACCGTAGCAGGCTCTAAAGAGGCGAGTAAGATTTGGATACATGGAGAGAAGGAAAAGCGTATTCCAGAGGGAAGAAATAGCAGGAGCAAAGGGGTGGGAGTAGGAACAGGTGTGATGTGTTTGCACCCTAGAGAGAAATTCAGCCTGATTGGCACAGAGGGCTATGCTGGGTAGGAGTTGAGATCAAATATGTTCCAACTAGTGGGGTGCTAGAGCCAGCTCATACTGGCTCATGAGAGCCAACTGTGAGCATCTTTGCCCAGCTCTGTGTTCAGTGACATTGCTTTGGTAGCTTAAAATTGGCCGTGGTGGGAGTATTTACACCACGGCGATTAGCAAACACCCAAGTCAGGGCTTTTTTCCTCCCTTCGTTAACCATTTATCAGCACACTGCTGACTGCAACCCACACGAGGAGAGATCCTGCCTATGTGGGAGGCAGTGAAAAGAGCAAAGATCCAGGAGCCGTGTCTAATCCTGCTCCTTCTGAGCCGTGTGGCCTCGGGCAAGTGTATGTCACTTCTTTCCGCCTCAGGTTCCTCATCTGCAAAGTGGATCTAATAGTACCTCCCTCATAAGGTTGATGCGAGGATAAGTAGGATCACGTATGGGGATTGCTGCCTTAATCACTTCAGCATTGTTCCTGTGCACGTGGCACCTCCTACTCCAAGTCCCTGGGACTCTCTGGGGACCTTCTCTGGCCGTGAGGCAGGTCCAGCCTCCTTACAGAGGATGTCGGAAGGGCAGGGGAGCTGCTGTCTTTCAGAGCAGTCCTCAACCAGAGGTGGGTGGGAATTGGTGGATAAATGCCCCAGCTTTCTCAGCCCTTGATTAGGACAATCCGAGGCACATCCTGTCCAGTTCCCAGTGGACTCCAGCAGGGTTGAGCCCCAGCGTCCCTGGCCATAGCCAGTTCGCCAGCACAGCCTGAACTGGTCCTGCCTCATTTCCCCACTTCCCACCTTGCTTCTTGGGGTCACTGCCCAAGGGAACTACCTGCTCTCTCATCCTTGTCTCCGGGTCAGCTTTTGGAGGACCCCAACCCAGCAGCAGCCAAGATGATCAATAACCAGAATTGCCTCTTAATGCTACTGAAATTTACACAGTGAGGCCACACGTGCTCCGTCCCTGCAGTGACCCCGCAGGTAGCGGGACCCATGTACTCCACTTTACAGATGGAGAAACTGAGGCTCAGAGAAGAGCAGTGATTTGCTGAGGTCATCCCACTGTCAAGCAGAAGGGCTAGCACTGGGCTGGCTATTTCCCATGGGCTCAGCTTTGAGTGGCTCTGGGTCCCCGGAGGACCTTGAGCTGGCTGGGCAGGTGGTCCCTGCCCCTCTGATGCTCTCCCTGACTGGTTGGGCTGACTCTAGCCCCTACGTGGGGCCTGGAACAGTGAAGAGCAAATGGGCTGGTAGTAAGAATGGCTGGTTATTAAAACCATCTATCACTCAGAAGGCCTGACCTCATTCTGTCCCAGGAAAGCCAGTCCTGCCTGGGCTGGCCAGGGGGTTACGGTGGGGTGGAAGGGGTGGGGCTGACCCAGGAGGAAAGGGTGGGCGGGGGCTACGCAAGGCCAGAGAGTAGCTTGGGTGGGATGAGGTCAGAGACAACTGCTGGGTATCTGTGTCTCCGCAGTGTGAGGGTAGCCAGTGCCCCAGGGACAGTGAGAGGAGGCGACAAGGCTAGTGTGATGCACCTTTGGGCCGTGGCCTGAAGAGGGGACCCTTGCTCAGGAAGAAGGGGTGGGTCCCTGCCTTTAATTCCCTCATCACTGCCTGAGCCATGCAAGTGCTGAATCCACCAGATCCAGGTTCCCAAGTGCCAGAAGACGGGGATCGGGGCAAAACGGTGGCTATGACGTGAACCCTGAATGTGCCAGTGAGTGGCCACTATTAGTGAGTACCAACAATGTGCCACGCATTTGTGTTGGGCACTCAATACACATCTCATTTCACTCAGGTGAATGGTTAGGGGCCTGAGTTCTGGAGGAAGAAGGTCCTGGGTCAGGATCCAGGCCCCCACCATGGGTATCTGTGTGCTTTGGTGAGTTGCCTCGCCCTGCTAGCTTTACTTTCCATTTCCACACCTGTAAAGTGGAGTAACAATGGCACCCGCCTCATGGGAAGGATGTGGCGAGGATTTGGTGATGGATCATGTTCATCATGCTCAGCTTAGAGCCTGGCACGTGGGACACTTATTAATTGGCAGCAGAGATGATGACAGGGGGCCCTACTCTGTCCAGGGTGCTGTGCCGAGTGCTTTTCATGGATTATCTGATTTAAACTTCATAACCACCCAGAGGCGGTGGGACTGTGATTGGCCCCCCTCTTACAGGTAAGGAAGCCAACTCAGAGGGGTGAAGTCTCTGACCCAAGGTCACACAGCTGCTGGATGGCAGAAGTGGGATTTGAATCTAGGTCTCTGCCTTAGAAGCCTGATTCGCAAAAACCCCTCACCCTTCTTCTTACCACCCCGTACCCTCATATATGAGGTTAATAACTCACTATGGTTCATCTCTCTGGTCCTTTAAGAAATACTTCTGGGTGAGGCTTTACTGGAGGCTCAGAGAGGGCAAGGGACTGGCCTGGGGCTGCAGAGCTAAATGGTGGCAGAGCTGGTCCTAGGACCCAGGCCCTCTGGCTCTCTGGCCAGGCCTCATGCCCACCCATAAGAGATCATTCAGGACCCTGGATGTCATTTCCATCTCTGCTCTGCTCTCTCGAGGTGGGGCTCTGATCTCCCATCCCTGTCCCCGCCTCACTCCTTTGTAGAAAGGTTCCAGGCCCCATGGGAGCTTCTGGGCTTTTCTTCCTAAGGCCACTGAACTGTGGGATTGAAGCCTCATTCTTTTCTCTTCCATCGATAGGTAATTTGCCTGGAACATGTTGAGCACTTTAAAAATTTGGTCACATTGCAGTGTCTGGGTTACCATGGTGACCTCACTTTGAATTTGCTTCCCAGGGGAGGCTGGTAATAATTAATACAGCACTTAGTGCTGGCTGCCCGCAGAGTGTGGGGGAGGATTCTGGAGTCCCCTGGGATCCGCTTCCCTAGGGGGAGCACTGCTTCCTCCTCTGAGCAGGATCCTGGGGTTCTCCAAGGAGAAAGTGGGTGGGGGGAGAGGACCTGCCCACCCTGCCCACCCCTTCGGCAGGCCCAGCAGCCATGCTGTCAGAGCTGGTCTATATCGGGATGGGGAATTCAGGGCTCAAGGGAGAGTGTGTGACTTGACCAAGGCCACACAAGATCCAGACAGCATCACCATTGGGTGGAAAGCTGATTTCCTAAGCTTTAGGACAGAGCTCCAGTGATTGCCAAGTTTGAGGAAGCCCAGCTCCAAAACTTCTCCCCTTCCAGAATGCCTGGAACACAGTGCAAATGCCCCAAGCTGGGGGTGGAGTGGGGAGGTCAGGGTGGGTGGGAGGCAGTCATGGCCCATTCAATGCGAAGTGGGTTCTCAGATGACCCAGGGTGTTGGGGACCAGGCTCAGAGGAACTTTGGCGGAGGGAACTGGAGAGGTTGGGATGGGGAGAGGAGCCTGAGAGGGAGGTCCTACAGGACAGGCCTTAGACATTTCCGGCAAAGGGTGGAAGAGCAGTGAAGGGGCATTCTGCTTCTCATGATCTTCTCCATTCCTCTCCTCCCCAGCATTTCTTGGTCTCCACCCACGCCAGTTCTTGTAGAAAGAAGAGTAGAAGGACGTGTAACAGAAAGAAGAAGAAATCTCTGTTAGGGCTGAGTGCAGTGGCTCATGCCTATAATCCCAGCATTTTGGGAGGCTGAGGCAGGAGCATCTCTTGAGCCCAGGAGTTGGAGAGCTGCCTGGGCAACATAGTGAGACCCCATCTCTAAAACAAAAAACAAATTAGCCAGGCATGGTGGTATGTGCCTGTAGTCTCAGCTACTTGGGAGGCTGAGGCAGGAGGATTGCTTGAGCAGAGGAGAAAGAGGCTGGGTGACAGAGTGAAAATGTCTCAAAAAAAAAAAAAAAAAAATCCAGGCTGGGGATGGTAGCTCACGCTGTAATCCCAGCACTTTGGGAGGCCGAGGCAGGTGGAACACCTGAGGTCAGGAGTTCGAGACCAGCCTGGCCAACGTGGTGAAACCCTGTCGCTACTAAAAACACAAAAATTAGCCAGGTGTGGTGGCACATGACTATAGTTCCAGCTACTCGGGGGGCTGAGGCAGGAGAATCGCTTGAACCTGGGTGGTGGAGGTTGCAGTGAGCCAAGATTGTACTCTAGCCTGGGTGACAAGAGTGAAATTCCATCTCAAAAAAAGAAAAGAAAAAGAAATCCAGACTGCATCCCACTTTTTCCAGATGGGGAAAGTGAAGCTCAGAGAGGCCTTAGAGATGTAGAGAGACCACAGCCAATAAGTGGTCAGCTGGAGATTCAAACCCACATCAGTGCATGTAGCATCTGCACTCTTAACCTTTACCCTCGGGCAGGGTTCTCTCCCTGATCCACATTCCCCTTGGGGCCTGAGCCGAGGGCTTGGGGAGTTTAGCTCTGATGTAGAGTTGGAGGGCAGGATGGGCCTGAGGCAGGAGATGGGGAGGAAAACTAGGCTGGCTTCTCTGCTGGAAACTGGAGCAGGTGTGGCTGAATCAAAAATGCTGGAAGCTTGGGAGCTCCAACCATGGAAGTGGGTTTTAGTAGAGGGTTGGGGAGAAGGGGAAAGGGGAAAATGGCTTTGGTATCTTTGCTCACGTCCAAAAACAACTGAGTTTGTGGTGTACCCTTGGTCTCAAAGGAAAACAAACCTGTGACTTTAGTATGCTGCCACCAGGTGGCGGTGTAATGTGGCTACTCATATCACAGATTCACCTCTATTAAAATAAATTGCACTCATTTTTCAAAAGGATAAAAGTCTTTAAAGAATTAGATTTATATATTATTTCACTTGATTCTTAAAAACTAAGGTAACATTTTAGGGGAAAATGCCTGAGATATAGTTTGGTTCATTCTTCCCTGATCCTTAACTTTCATCTACCTACCCTAAGCCTGGGCTTTCTGGTGATCTGTCTGTATGGTCCTAGTCAACAGCCAGTGAAGCCCACCCCAAAAGTTTTCATGCCAACTCGAGAAGCCAGAAAGAGCAAGGGACACAGTCAGCTCTCATCCTTCCCCTCAATTAGCCCAATTCTGGAGATAGCTGCCCACCACCCCTAGGCTGCCTAACTTCTACATAGACTTTACATATATTGTGGCTCTCCTCCCACTGGGTTTTAATTCCGTTTTTTTTTTTTTTTTTGAGACGGAGTCTTGCTCTGTTGCCCAGGCTGGAGTGCAGTGGGTTATCTCGGCTCTCGGCTCATTGCAACCTCCACCTCCGTGTTCAAGTGATTCTCGTGCCTCAGCCTCCCAAGTAGCTAAGACTACTGGCGCACACCACCATGCCCGGCTAATTTTTGTATTTTTAGTAGAGACGGGGTTTCACCATCTTGGCCAGGCTGGTCTCGAACTCCTGATCTCAAGAGATCTGCCTGCCTCAGCCTCCCAAAGTGCTGGGAATACAGGCATGAGCCACTGTGCCAGGCCTGGGTTTTAACATGACTGTCCGCCACACCAGAAGGTTAGTCCCTCCAAGCAGAGACCATGACTCATTCATCTGCTACTGTTCTAGGTCTTAACCACAATGGCCGGCACATGGGCGATGATCAGCAGTTGGTTGAATGAATAAATGAATTGCTATTTCACAGCTGAGGAAACTAAAGTTCCTGGAGAGAAATAATACCAATAATAATAATAATAATAATAATTGGCATTTGCTATGTACCTACTATGTCCCAGACATATATTAACTCTAGTTTCCACAACAATTCTAGGATACCATTATTATGCACATTATGCAGATGAGGGGACTGAGGCTGAGAGACATTTGAGATGGGGGAGGGAGCAACTGAAGGGGACCCAAGTCCAGTTCAGTAGCTCATTTGGGAGAGGAAGTTGAGGGCAGGCATCACTCATCCTGCTGTTCATTTATTCAGGACAAGTTTACTGCAGTTAGATGTCCCTGCTAGGCCTGTGGTGGGTGAGCACACAGAAGGGATGAGTGCTCATCACTCTGGCTGAGGCAGGAGGCAGCCTGAGTCCAAACCTCAGTGCCTTGGGCCAGGCCTGGTAGCTCACGCCTAGCAGTGCTTTGGGAGGCCGAGGCAAGGGGATCACTTGAGCTCAGGAGTTATGAGACCAGCCTGGATAACATAGCGAAACTCTGGCTCTCCAAAAATAAAAAAGTTAAAAATTAGCCAGTCGTGGTGGTCCATGCCTGTAGTCCTAACTACTCAGGAAGCTGAGATGAGTGGATGGCTTGAGCCCTGGAGTTGAAGACTACAGTGAGCTATGATCATGCCACCACCCTCCAGCCTGAAAGGTGACAGAGCGAGACTCTGACCCTAAAAAAATAAAAAACGGGCCAGGCGCGGTGGCTCACGACTGTAATCCCAGCACTTTGGGAGGCCGAGGCAGGTGGATCACGAGGTCAGGAGTTCAAGACCAGCCTGGCCAAGATGGTGAAACCCCGTCTCTACTAAAAATACAAAAATTAGCTGGGTGTGCTGGCAGGTGCCTGTAATCCCAGCTACTCGGGAGGCTAAGGCAGGAGAATTGCTTGAACCCAGGCAGCAGAGGTTGCAGTGAGCCGAGATCGCGCCACTGCACTCCAGCCTGGGAGACAGACTGAGACTCTGTCTTAAAAAAATAAAAATAAACAAAATAAAAATAAAAAAACACTGTAATCCCAGCACTTTGGGAGGCTGAGGCAGGTGAATCGTGTGAGGTCAGGAGTTTGAGACCAGCCTGGCTGACATGGTGAAACCACGTCTCTACTAAAAATACAAAAATTAGCCAGGCGTGGTGGTGGGAGCCTGTAATCCCAGCTACTCAGGAGGCTGAGGCAGGAGAATCACTTGAACCCTGGAGGCGGAGGTTGCAGTGAGCCGAGATGGCGCCATTGCATTCCAGCCTGGGCGACAGAGGAAGACTCCGTCTCAATAAATACATATAAATACATAAATTAAAAACAAAAAACCTCAGCACCTCGTGTACAACCTGAGAGGCTGCGCCCCCAGCAGCTTTCAGCAGCTCTCTCTGCAAGGTCTCAAAAACTGCTGCCACCATCTTAAACTTAATATCCTCGCGCCACGTGGTCCAGGTATGTTTGTTTGTTGGGAGAACAGGGAAACCGCTCTGGCAGAAGGCCAGGGAACGTCTCTTTGCATCCCATTGGTAGCGCCTCATTAGGTCAAGCGCTACTCCTGAACCAATCAGGGGCCTGAAGCATGGCCTCGTGGGTTGGCTCCGCCCCCACACGCGGGGAGTGTTGATTGCAGCCTCAGGCAGGTTGGTGAAATGAGAGGTGATGGGATGGAAAAGAGGAGGCGGCCACATTGTGTACTCGCTCCCTTTGCACAAAGCTGCGACCTTCCCCACCTTCCTCAAGGGAGCTGCTGGGTGGAGACAAGCCAAGAGCTCCGAGTGCAGGAGGCCCCCTTCCACCCAGCACCCTGTAGCTGTGAGAGCTTGGCCCAGGCCCAGCCTCCTCACCTGCACGGAGCTAAGGTGAGGGTCCCACTGAGGCAGGGCACGAGAAGGCACCTCGCGCACAGTAGCCCCCTTTCCAACCCGCGTGATATTCTGATTGGCCTACATCTCTCTCCCACTGCCAATCCGTGCACACAGCCCCTCTCCCTAGGCCTCTCCCAGCTGCGACGTGGCAAGAGGAGTCCCAGAGATGTGGGAGACTGGCCGACTGACGGCAGCCAAAGGCTGACCTGCTGCGCACTTCCCTGGATCGGTGGCAGGGGGCGTGTCTCTGAGTGGGTGGGGACAGGCCTCCCCCAGGTGTCAGCAGCATCTCCTGTTTTTCGTGTCCAGCACCTGCTTACCATTGCGGTAAGAGTGTCCCAGTTTTTTCTTGGGTATAGGGTGCCCAAGTCCAGTCCCAGCCATAGTCTGTGTCATGTTCCACAGTGACTGGTTCAGGGGTGGCCAGAGCCAGGCAGAGTCAGTCTGAGTGGCTCTTAGGACTTTTGCTTGTTTACCATTGGAGGGAACCTGGCTGTAGAACTAGAGGCTGCCAGTACCTTCTTGCCACCAGGTAGAGAGTGACAATGAAGCCAACACTCAAAGGAGACATAGCTGAGGCAAGACCGGGGAGAAAACAGGTCTGATGGTGACACCTGAGCCCCTTTGTCCACCCTTCCTGAAGCCAGCTGTACCCTCTGGAGTTTTCAGTGATATGAGCCAATTAACTTCCTTTGCTTAAATCCCATTTGATTTGGTTTTCTGTTGCTTGCAACCAAAAGATCCTAACCCTAACCCTAACCCTTGGTGATACCATCTCAGCTTGGGGTACAGAAGAGAAGGTGGAGGTGGCAGGGAAAGATTGGGATTCAGGGTCTCCTCCAGAGAGCTTCCAGGCCACGGGGACAGAGCTGGACAGAGACCCCTTCCTTACAGCCAGGCTGAGTGTCAGCCACATAAGGCCCTGGTACAAGCCTTGGAGGGTGAGGCCTCCCAGAGTGGGTGTTGGGTGTTGGGTGTTGGTCATGGCAGCTGCAAGTGGTCACTCAGGTTCAGATGCCTTCCTGGACAGCTGGGGAAGACAGGTGTCAGCAGCTGTGGAGACAGCACTCTAACGGAATGGGGCAGCTGCGTGGCCAACATCAGGAGCAAAAACTGGGGTGCAGTGGGGGGAAGAGGCTATTCAAGGGTAGCATTAGGGACTCCCCAGAGTGACCTCTTTGTCATAGCTCCTTCAGCCCCTACCTCAGAGCCTCAGTGTTTCCTGCCCACAAGATAATACAGCACATTGGGAGGGGGTGACATCCAGGGGGTCCTGACTTCCTAGACACCCTCACCCAGTCTTGGGGACTTGTAGGACAATCTTGTGATTGAAGCACCCAGGCCCTGGAGCACACCAGCCTGAGTTTAAATCCCAGCTTCTCCACTTCCTGCCTATGTGACCCTGGGAAATGTTCCCTGCCTCTCTGAGCCTCAGTTTCCTCATCTGTGAGGTCAAGGTAACTCTCCCAACCCCCCAGGATTGCTGTAAGAGTAATGAGAAGGGCACGTGGGGTCTGGCATGAGGGAGGAGCTTTGAAAGCTTTTCTCTTATTGGTGTCTTCAGGACTGGGCAGGCTCTGAGGAGGAAGAGAGGCAGGAGTGCAGACTACGGATGGAAAGAGGATCCGGAGGCTGCCAGTCAGATTCTAGTGCTCTTTCCCTCATTCAGCAAACATTTATTGAGCACCTACTATGTGCCAGGCATGATTCCAAGTGCCAGGGATACAGCAGTGAAAAGAGATAAAAACCCCTGCCCTCATGAAGCTGACATTTCTGTCAGGGGAGACAAACCACAAAGTAAGAAAGTAAAAATAGCAGGGAGTGGTGGCTCACGCCTGTAATCCCAGCACTTTGGGAGGCCGAAGCAGGTGGATCACCTGAGGTCAGGAGTTCCAGATCAGCCTGGCACACATGGCGAAACCCCATCTCTAATAAAAAAAAAAAAAAAGAAGAAGAAGAAAAAAATTAGCCAGGCGTGGTGGTGCGCACCTGTAATCCCAGCTACTCAGGAGGCTGAGGCAGGAGAATTGCTTGAACCCAGGAGGCAGAGGCTGCAGTGGGCCAAGATCGTGCCACTGCACTCCAGCCTGAGGAAAAAAAAAAAAGAAGAAAGTAAAAATTAAAAATACGATAGATGGTGATAACAAATAATATAAATTAAATAGAATAAAAATATGATAGTGCCAAATACTGAGAAGACTAAAGCAGAGAAGAGGGATAGAGACTGTCTGATTAGCTGAGATGGTAACATTCGAGTGCCGATCATAAGGGGTGAATGAATGAGTGAGGCATTCTAAAAAGAGGGAACAGAACTGTCACAGCTAAAGGGAACCTAAGGAAACATGACAACTAAATGGAATGTGGCATCCTGGATGGGATCCTGGAGCAGAAGGCTATTAGATACAAACTAAGGAAATCTGAATTAAGTATGGACTCTAGTTCCCAACAATATATCAATATTGGTTCATGAATTGTACCAAATGTACCTTTAATGTAAGATGTCAGGAATAGGAGAAACCAGGTGTGGGGTTTATAAGAACTCTTTGTACTATCTTCTCAAATTTTCCGTAAATCTACAATTATTCTAAAATAAAATGTTTATCCAAAGTGGGGAGGCAGCAAGTGCAAAGTCCCTGGGGCAGAAGCGTGCCTGACGGAATCAGCAAGAGGCACGAGGGAGAGTGGGAGGAAGGAGGTTGGAGAGGCAGGTGGAGAATGGACTGCGTTCAGGCTGCTGGGACATTCTCAGGACCCTGTCCTTTGGGTGTGGAACCACTGGAGGCCTTTAAGCACAGGAGTGACACGATCTGACTTGTATTCCAACAGCTTCCTCTGGTGGCTTTGTTGAAGCTGTGTGGGGCCAGGACTGAAGCGGGACAGTGAGGAGGCTCCTGCGGAAGTCCAGGCAAGAGGATGGTGCACAAGACCAGGACGGAAGCCATGGAGGAGGTGAGAACCGGGCAAGTTCTGGAAACATTTTGTAGGTGGAGCTGACCATGTGCTGACAGGTCAGATGTGGGGTGTGAGAGAAAGAGAAGAGTAAAAGACAACCCAAGGACAGTCTGAGCAACTGGAAGGATGGAGTTGACATGAAATGAGACGAGGAGGATGAGGGGAAATGAGGAATGGGTTTAAACATACTGCACCTGGCCTGGTGCGGTGGCTCACACCTGTAATCCCAGCACTTTGGGAGGCTGAGGCGGACGGATCACAAGGTCAGGAGATTGAGACCATCCTGGCTAACACGGTGAAACCCCGTCTCTACTAAAAAATACAAAGAATTAGCTGGGCGTGGTGGTGGGCACCTGTAGTCCCAGCTACTCAGGAGGCTGAGGCAGGAGAATGGTGTGAACCCGGGAGGCGGAGCTTGCAGTGAGCTGAGATCGCGCCACTGCACTCCAGCCTGGGCAACAGAGCAAGACTCCGTCTCAAAAACAAACAAACAAACAAAAAACATACTGCACCTGAGACGCCCATGAGCTGTGAGTGGAAACGTCAGGAGGTGAGAGATCAAAGCTGGAGATTATGAATGTGGAGTCATCAGGAAAGAAACAGTGTACGCCATGCCACCTGGGATGAGGGGTGAAGTCAGCTGGGGGAGGGGTGAATGCAGACAGACACGTGCACAAAACACCATTTTATACACATAGAGATTTGCATGCATTTGCTCATTTCATCCTTTCAAGAAGCTCCCCAGCCCACTCCTTGTCTGTTCCTCCTAAAAGACTCAGGCAGGATGAATGAAGTGGTAGGTGAAGTACTAACCAGCCCAGTGCCTGGCAGGTACCAATTCACTGAGTTCTTACAGTAAAGCCTGTGACCTTTGGGATGTCATCATCTCCACTTGGCAGATGAGGAAAGGGAGGCATTTGGCCCAAGCTCTGTCCACCTGACAAAGCATCCTGGGGGGTTCACATCACACCTGCTCTGCTCTCACAAGGAACTCAGTTTACTGAAGTCAGGGCCAGTCAGTCTGCACAGCAGCCTTAACCACAGGATTTGCAGCAAGGCCTGCCGCTATGCCTGAAGCGCCCCGCTGGGCCAATTCCTTTGGCTCTTGAGGACATTTCTGGCTTCTAGTGGGCTGCTAGAATGATGCACTCTCAGGAGAGGAAACATATTAAGTTGTCGCTTCCCACCTGGGGGCCCAGATGCCTGGGAAGGTGGTAGTGTATACTCCTAGGGCTATTTTTGGTATTTCAAAAAGCATGATAAGGCTGCACAGGTGACTTGAAAGATTGACTCTCTTTGCAGCTCCACTGGCCATGTTGGTCAATCAGAAGTTCTATGAGCAATTACGCCCTGGACTAATACAATATTTGTAATGAATTAATGCATACAGTTAGTTTATTTGTTGGCAAAATCCTTAAGAAATTGAGCTTCTGGAAGATGAAGATAATAAAAAGGGCCTTCGTGGCAGAAAGGCTAAAACTCTTTGCTTTGAGCTTTGGCCACTGGAACTGTTGATGTGGTGAACATTTGTGGAGTTCTTGGCCCCTCCAGCCCAGTGGTACTTTGGTTTCTTTTTTGTAAAAGCTACCAGTTTCTGGCCAGGTGTGGTGGCTCACGCCTGTAATCCCAGCACTTTGGGAGGCCGAGGCGGGTGGATCACCTGAGGCCAGGAGTTCAAGACCAGCCTGGCCAACATGGTGAAACTCCGTCTCTACTAAAAATACAAAAATTAGCTGCGTGTGCTGGCGGGTGCTTGTAGTTCCAGCTACTTGGGAGGCTGAGGCATAAGAATCGCTTGAAACCAGGAGGCGGATATTGCAGCGAGCTGAGATCGCACCACTACACTCCAGCCTGGGTGACAGAGCAAGACTCTGTTTCAAAAAAAGTTAAATTAAATGTTTTAAAAAGCTACCAGTTTCTGTGTGCAGCCTTGGAGGGGCCACAGCTCTGTCTCCTGCCATGAAGCCAAGGGGGCCTGTCTTGGTCTGTTCAGGCTGCTACAACAGATACCATAAACTGAGTGGCTTTTAAACAACTAAAATGTATTTCTCACAGTTCTGGGGGCTGGGAAGTCCAAGATCAAGGCATTGGTAGATCTGGGGTCTGGTGAGGGTGCCTCCTCACTGTTCACATGGTGGAAGGGGCAAGGCAGCTATCCTGGGCCTCTTTCTTTTTTTTTTATTTTATTTTATTTTATTTTATTTTTATTATACTTTAAGTTTTAGGGTACATGTGCACATTGTGCAGGTTAGTTACATATGTATACATGTGCCATGCTGGTGCGCTGCACCCACTAACTCGTCATCTAGCATTAGGTATATCTCCCAATGCTATCCCTCCCCCCTCCCCCCACCCCACCACAGTCCCCAGAGTGTGATATTCCCCCTCCTGTGTCCATGTGATCTCATTGTTCAATTCCCACCTATGAGTGAGAATGTGCGGTGTTTGGTTTTTTGTTCTTGTGATAGTTTACTGAGAATGATGATTTCCAATTTCATCCATGTCCCTACAAAGGCCATGAACTCATCATTTTTTATGGCTGCATAGTATTCCATTGTGTATATGTGCCACATTTTCTTAATCCAGTCTATCATTGTTGGACATTTGGGTTGGTTCCAAGTCTTTGCTATTGTGAATAATGCCGCAATAAACATATGTGTGCATGTGTCTTTATAGCAGCATGATTTATAGTCCTTTGGGTATATACCCAGTAATGGGATGGCTGGGTCAAATGGTATTTCTAGTTCTAGATCCCTGAAGAATCGCCACACTGACTTCCATAATGGTTGAACTAGTTTACAGTCCCACCAACAGTGTAAAAGTGTTCCTATTTCTCCACATCCTCTCCAGCACCTGTTGTTTCCTGACTTTTTAATGATTGCCATTCTAACTGGTGTGAGATGGTATCTCATTGTGGTTTTGATTTGCATTTCTCTGATGGCCAGTGATGATGAGCATTTTTTCATTTGTTTTTTGGCTGCATAAATGTCTTCTTTTGAGAAGTGTCTGTTCATGTCCTTCGCCCACTTTTTGATGGGGTTGTTTGTTTTTTTCTTGTAAATTTGTTTGAGTTCATTGTAGATTCTGGATATTAGCCCTTTGTCAGATGAGTAGGTTGCGAAAATTTTCTCCCATTTTGTAGGTTGCCTGTTCACTCTGATGGTAGTTTCTTTTGCTGTGCAGAAGCTCTTTAGTTTAATTAGATCCCATTTGTCAATTTTGTCTTTTGTTGCCATTGCTTTTGGTGTTTTGGACATGAAGTCCTTGCCCATGCCTATGTCCTGAATGGTAATGCCTAGGTTTTCTTCTAGGGTTTTTATGGTTTTACGTCTAACGTTTAAGTCTTTAATCCATCTTGAATTGATTTTTGTATAAGGTGTAAGGAAGGGATCCAGTTTCAGCTTTCTACATACGGCTAGCCAGTTTTCCCAGCACCATTTATTAAATAGGGAATCCTTTCCCCATTGCTTGTTTTTCTCAGGTTTGTCAAAGATCAGATAGTTGTAGATATGCGGCGTCATTTCTGAGGGCTCTGTTCTGTTCCATTGATCTATATCTCTGTTTTGGTACCAGTACCATGCTGTTTTGGTTACTGTAGCCTTGTAGTATAGTTTGAAGTCAGGTAGTATGATGCCTCCAGCTTTGTTCTTTTGGCTTAGGATTGACTTGGCGATGCGGGCTCTTTTTTGGTTCCATATGAACTTTAAAGTAGTTTTTTCCAATTCTGTGAAGAAAGTCATTGGTAGCTTTATGGGGATGGCATTGAATCTGTAAATTACCTTGGGCAGTATGGCCATTTTCACGATATTGATTCTTCCTACCCATGAGCATGGAATGTTCTTCCATTTGTTTGTATCCTCTTTTATTTCCTTGAGCAGTGGTTTGTAGTTCTCCTTGAAGAGGTCCTTCACATCCCTTGTAAGTTGGATTCCTAGGTATTTTATTCTCTTTGAAGCAATTGTGAATGGGAGTTCACTCATGATTTGGCTCTCTGTTTGTCTGTTGTTGGTGTATAAGAATGCTTGTGACTTTTGTACATTGATTTTGTATCCTGAGACTTTGCTGAAGTTGCTTATCAGCTTAAGGAGATTTTGGGCTGAGACAGTGGGGTTTTCCAGATATACAATCATGTCGTCTGCAAACAGGGACAATTTGACTTCCTCTTTTCCTAATTGAATACCCTTTATTTCCTTCTCCTGCCTAATTGCCCTGGCCAGAACTTCCAACACTATGTTGAATAGGAGTGGTGAGAGAGGGCATCCCTGTCTTGTGCTGGTTTTCAAAGGGAATGCTTCCAGTTTTTGCCCATTCAGTATGATATTGGCTGTGGGTTTGTCATAGATAGCTCTTATTATTTTGAAATACGTCCCATCAATACCTAATTTATTGAGAGTTTTTAGGATGAAGGGTTGTTGAATTTTGTCAAAGGCTTTTTCTGCATCTATTGAGATAATCATGTGGTTTTTGTCTTTGGCTCTGTTTATATGCTGGATTACATTTATTGATTTGCGTATATTGAACCAGCCTTGCATCCCAGGGATGAAGCCCACTTGATCATGGTGGATAAGCTTTTTGATGTGCTGCTGGATTCGGTTTGCCAGAATTTTATTGAGGATTTTTGCATCAATGTTCATCAAGGATATTGGTCTAAAATTCTCTTTTTTGGTTGTGTCTCTGCCCGGCTTTGGTATCAGAATGATGCTGGCCTCATAAAATGAGTTAGGGAGGATTCCCTCTTTTTCTATTGATTGGAATAGTTTCAGAAGGAATGGTACCAGTTCCTCCTTGTACCTCTGGTAGAATTCGGCTGTGAATCCATCTGGTCCTGGACTCTTTTTGGTTGGTAAACTATTGATTATTGCCACAATTTCAGCTCCTGTTATTGGTCTATTCAGAGATTCAACTTCTTCCTGGTTTAGTCTTGGGAGACTGTATGTGTCGAGGAATTTATCCATTTCTTCTAGATTTTCTAGTTTATTTGCGTAGAGGCGTTTGTAGTATTCTCTGATGGTAGTTTGTATTTCTGTGGGATCAGTGGTGATATCCCCTTTATCATTTTTTATTGTGTCTATTTGATTCTTCTCCCTTTTTTTCTTTATTAGTCTTGCTAGTGGTCTATCAATTTTGTTGATCCTTTCAAAAAACCAGCTCCTGGATTCATTAATTTTTTGAAGGGTTTTTTGTGTCTCTATTTCCTTCAGTTCTGCTCTGATTTTAGTTATTTCTTGCCTTCTGCTAGCTTTTGAATGTGTTTGCTCTTGCTTTTCTAGTTCTTTTAATTGTGATGTTAGGGTGTCAATTTTGGATCTTTCCTGCTTTCTCTTGTGGGCATTTAGTGCTATAAATTTCCCTCTACACACTGCTTTGAGTGTGTCCCAGAGATTCTGGTATGTTGTGTCTTTGTTCTCGTTGGTTTCAAAGAACATCTTTATTTCTGCCTTCATTTCATTATGTATCCAGTAGTCATTCAGGAGCAGGTTGTTCAGTTTCCATGTAGTTGAGCAGTTTTGAGTGAGATTCTTAATCCTGAGTTCTAGTTTGATTGCACTGTGGTCTGAGAGATAGTTTGTTATAATCTCTGTTCTTTTACATTTGCTGAGGAGAGCTTTACTTCCAAGTATGTGGTCAATTTTGGAATAGGTGTGGTGTGGTGCTGAAAAAAATGTATATTCTGTTGATTTGGGGTGGAGAGTTCTGTAGATGTCTATTAGGTCCGCTTGGTGCAGAGCTGAGTTCAATTCCTGGGTATCCTTGTTGACTTTCTGTCTCGTTGATCTGTCTAATGTTGACAGTGGGGTGTTAAAGTCTCCCATTATTAATGTGTGGGAGTCTAAGTCTCTTTGTAGGTCACTCAGGACTTGCTTTATGAATCTGGGTGCTCCTGTATTGGGTGCATATATATTTAGGATAGTTAGCTCTTCTTGTTGAATTGATCCCTTTACCATTATGTAATGGTCACTCAGGACTTGCTTTATGAATCTGGGTGCTCCTGTATTGGGTGCATATATATTTAGGATAGTTAGCTCTTCTTGTTGAATTGATCCCTTTACCATTATGTAATGGCCTTCTTTGTCTCTTTTGATCTTTGTTGGTTTAAAGTCTGTTTTATCAGAGACTAGGATTGCAACCCCTGCCTTTTTTTGTTTTCCATTTGCTTGGTAGATCTTCCTCCATCCCTTTATTTTGAGCCTATGTGTGTCTCTGCACGTGAGATGGGTTTCCTGAATACAGCACACTGATGGGTCTTGACTCTTTATCCAATTTGCCAGTCTGTGTCTTTTAATTGGAGCATTTAGTCCATTTACATTTAAAGTTAATATTGTTATGTGTGAATTTGATCCTGTCATTATGATGTTAGCTGGTGATTTTGCTCATTAGTTGATGCAGTTTCTTCCTAGTCTCGATGGTCTTTATATTTTGGCATGATTTTGCAACGGCTGGTACTGGTTGTTCCTTTCCATGTTTAGCGCTTCCTTCAGGAGCTCTTTTAGGGCAGGCCTGGTGGTGACAAAATCTCACAGCATTTGCTTGTCTGTAAAGTATTTTATTTCTCCTTCACTTATGAAGCCTAGTTTGGCTGGATATGAAATTCTGGGTTGAAAATTCTTTTCTTTAAGAATGTTGAATATTGGCCCCCACTCTCTTCTGGCTTGTAGTGTTTCTGCCGAGAGATCCGCTGTTAGTCTGATGGGCTTCCCTTTGAGGGTAACCCGACCTTTCTCTCTGGCTGCCCTTAACATTTTTTCCTTCATTTCAATTTGGTGAATCTGACAATTATGTGTCTTGGAGTTGCTCTTCTCGAGGAGTATCTCTGTGGCGTTCTCTGTATTTCCTGAATCTGAACGTTGGCCTGCCTTGCTAGATTGGGGAAGTTCTCCTGGATAATATCCTGCAGAGTGTTTTCCAACTTGGTTCCATTCTCCCCATCACTTTCAGGTACACCAATCAGACGTAGATTTGGTCTTTTCACATAGTCCCATATTTCTTGGAGGCTTTGCTCATTTCTTTTTATTCTTTTTTCTCTAAACTTCCCTTCTCGCTTCATTTCATTTATTTCATCTTCCGTTGCTGATACCCTTTCTTCCAGTTGATTGCATCGGCTCCTGAGGCTTGTGCATTCTTCACGTAGTTCTCGAGCCTTGGTTTTCAGCTCCATCAGCTCCTTTAAGCACTTCTCTGTATTGGTTATTCTAGTTATACATTCATCTAAATTTTTTTCAAAGTTTTCAACTTCTTTGCCTTTGGTTTGAATGTCCTCCCGTAGCTCAGAGTAATTTGATCGTCTGAAGCCTTCTTCTCTCAGCTCGTCAAAGTCATTCTCCATCCAGCTTTGTTCCGTTGCTGGTGAGGAACTGCGTTCCTTTGGAGGAGGAGAGGCGCTCTGCGTTTTAGAGTTTCCAGTTTTTCTGTTCTCTTTTTCCCCATCTTTGTGGTTTTATCTACTTTTGGTCTTTGATGATGGTGATGTACAGATGGGTTTTTGGTGTGGATGTCCTTTCTGTTTGTTAGTTTTCCTTCTAACAGACAGGACCCTTAGCTGCAGGTCTGTTGGAATACCCTGCCGTGTGAGGTGTCAGTGTGCCCCTGCTGGGGGTTGCCTCCCAGTTAGGCTGCTCGGGGATCAGGGGTCAGGGACCCACTTGAAGAGGCAGTCTGCCCGTTCTCAGATCTCCCGCTGCGTGCTGGGAGAACCACTGCTCTCTTCAAAGCTGTCAGACAGGGACATGTAAGTCTGCAGAGGTTACTGCTGTCTTTTTGTTTGTGCCCTGCCCCCAGAGGTGGAGCCTACAGAGGCAGGCAGGCCTCCTTGAGCTGTGGTGAGCTCCACCCAGTTCGAGCTTCCCGGCTGCTTTGTTTACCTAAGTGAGCCTGGGCAATGGTGGGCGCCCCTCCCCCAGCCTCGCTGCCGCCTTGCAGTTTGATCTCAGACTGCTGTGCTAGCAATCAGCGAGACTCCGTGGGCGTAGGACCCTCCGAGCCAGGTGCGGGATATAATCTCGTGGTGCGCAGTTTTTTAAGCCGGTCCGAAAAGCGCAATATTCAGGTGGGAGTGACCCGATTTTCCAGGTGTGTCCGTCAGCCCTTTCTTTGACTCAGAAAGGGAACTCCCTGACCCCTTGCGCTTCCCAAGTGAGGCAATGCCTCGCCCTGCTTCGGCTTGCGCACGGTGCACGCACCCACTGACCCGCGCCCACTGCCTGGCACTCCCTAGTGAGATGAACCCGGTACCTCAGATGGAAATGCAGAAATCACCCGTCTTCTGCGTCGCTCACGCTGGGAGCTGTAGACCGGAGCTGTTCCTATTCGGCCATCTTTCCTTTTTCCTCCTGGGCCTCTTTCATAGAGCCACCCTCATGACCTAATCACCCCCCAAAAGGCCTTGCAGGTGAGGATTTCAACATAAGGATTTTAAGGGTACACAAACATTCAGACCGCAAAAGGGCCCTGAATCTCCTTCCCTCAGCTAGTGTTCTCCAGCCCAAGATTCAGCCAAGGGGAGGACATATGACTCAAGTTTGGACTCTTTGTCTATATCAGTTTTTGCTCTGGTAACAAACAGCCCCCGAATCTCAGTGACTTAAGACCAGTAACACATATTTTTTGCTCCCACGTCTGAGGGCGGGCTTTGACATGGCTCACCTCTCACCCAGCTGTGGCCCCTCTCTGGGAGATGCTGTTCTCCCGCAGAGAGGAGCAAGAGGCTGATGTAAAGCACTCAGGTGCATTTCAGGCTGCCCACACCTGGCACACGTGATGCCCACTCACATTCCATTGACCAATGCAAGTTATATGGCCAACTTGGACGCTGAGTAGAGTGGGATGGATCAACCTCGCTGCAGGGATGGAGTGGATAATTGGGAGCAGTAGCACACATCTACCACCATCCCCCGACTTTGACTTGAGAAGCTGGGACATGGACTCACTCAGCCACGGGCCCTGCTGAGCAGCTCCTGCCTCCAAACTGCCCATGCTGGCTGGCTCCTGTCTTTCCCATATGGCCTCTTCAGCCCTCTCGACAGCCCCATATGTGCATGCCCCGTCTCTTTTCATTCAGTTCCTCTTTGGGCTTATACTGGCCGCAGTCAGCTTCTGTGGCTTGCAATAATAATAATTTAAAAAACCCTCATAAGCTGACACATAGTAACCACAAATTGGGGTGATGCTAGCAGAATTCCTTTTTGGAAACGAGAGGGCTAACAATTTATATTTGCAGACAGTGCGATAAATGTGGTTGACAAGGGGAATCCAGGACAAGGGCCTGGAAGGAAGCCCAGGGGCCAGAAGAAGAGACACGAGGGTCTCCACAGGGGAGGTGGGAAGACAGCAGAGACCAACTTTGCTCATATCTCCACTTGGCCAGCTAAAAACATTTGAAGTCCTAGCCCCAGCCCCAGCCCCCAGACACCTGCATGCATCCTCTGAGGTCCCAGGCCCCAGCAGGATGGAGGCTTCCTCTTACTCCCCTCTAGTTCCCAGTTTCTCAACCCTGACTGCATATTAGAAACCTCTGGGGAATTCAAACAAACAAAGCCCGGGTTCCTCCCCAGCCCAGTTAAATCAGGCGCTCTCAGGGTGGGCCCTGGCCATGGGCATTTTTAAGAGCTCCCCAGGTGACTCTAATGAGCAGCCAGGGTTGAGACCCACTGCCCCACTTCTCCTGAACTCTGCAGTGCGTGGAGAGGCCAAGGGACTGGGAGCAAAGCCAGAAACAGGAAAACGTAGGCACTTTACAGCCTTAGGTTCCTATTTAGCAGCTTCCAGACATATTTTGTTTGATCTGCAGATAATACATTTGAGCTAACATTTAAAAATTGGGAGATTTCACATTATCCAGATTCCTTTTGTTTTTGGTTGAAAAATCTCAAGTTCTGGCATCTCAGGGCTTCTGCAACACATGACTTACACAGATGACAGGCCGAGTCCTCACAGGTAACCATCTATTCCTCGGTCCTAAATCCCTTTCTTGAGCACTCGGCCAACTGTGATCCCACTAGACCCCTACGCCTAGGCAGATACCTCAGCAGGACCAACTGAGGGGCCAAGTGCCAGCTGGGGGCTTTCTCCTCACCCCACGCTGCTCACTCCAAGTTCCTCTTTGGGTTGGTTTTTATTATTTTGGAGTTGTTGTTTTGGCTTTTAGTCACATTTAAAATGTGTTTTAAAAATCATTTTTTTGTTATATGAATTTTAGATAATTTGGAATATACAGTAAAGTATAAAGAAGAAAATGAAAATCACCTATCATCTTAACTGCCTTTTGGGTTCTGAATACACAAAGATTCTACGATGTTCTGAAAGGAAGTCCCCACTTCAGTGTGATGGAAGCCCTGGAAGCCTCCAGTGGGAACCATTTGTTCCATTGCTTTTTTCCTTTTTTTTTTTTTTTTTTTTTTTTGAGACAGAGTCTCACTTTGTCACCCAGTCTGGAATGCAGTGGTGTGGTCTCAGCTCACTGCAGCCTTGACCTCCCAGGTTCAAATGATCCTCCCACCTCAGTCCCCCAGATAGGTGCGACTATAGGCACACTACCACACCCAGCTAATTTTTGTATTTTTAGTAGAGATGGGTTTCCCCATGTTGCCCAGGCTGGTCTTGAACTCCTGAGCTCAAGCGATTGGTCCACCTCAGCCTCCCAGAGTGCTGGGATTACAGGCGTGAGCCACCCTACCCAGCCTGTTCCATTTCTTAAAAGTCAGGACATTCAACACTTTCAAAAGGCTGATCCATCTGACCTTTAATATTTGTCAGAGACAGACTCTGAGAACCCACCTTATTTTTTAGATCTGCATTTCTTCCTAATACATAATAACAAAAATTACAACTAGAAAGAAATCTTTTGGAAAGAACCTCTGCTGGGTGGCAGGCGGGGAGCTGGCAGCTGGAGGTGAAACAAGACCTCTGGCTCAGGTTGCATGTGCCCTCTGGTGGCAGCTGGGGGGTGGCTTTGGGCAGGGCTGTGTCAGCCCTCACGCTCAAGCCAGTGGTTCTCAAGGTGGGGCCCAGCCTCACTTGGGAATGTGTTAGAAATGCAGTTTTTCAGGCCCACCCCCAGACCTCATGAATGAGAAACTCTGGGGTGGGACCCAGTAATCTGTGTTTTCGCAGGTGACTTCAGGCTGTTCTGGTGAACAAGTTTGAGAATGATTGTTCTAAGGAAGTATGGGCCTGGTACTGGAGAAATGTGCCAACACGGCCTAGGGCTCCAGGAGCAAAACCCTGTCCTCCGTGCAGAGGAGGACAGGGAAGGGAACGGCGAAGAACAGGATCCAGGATATGCTGGTGCCAGGCCAAACGTGGCTCATGGAGGTCCCTGCCCACACTCACCTGCACCTCCCTCTCAACCCGAAGGCTGCAGAGCTGGGAAGCGGGCAGAATGGACCTCTCTCAGAGCAACCGGTCCAGGCTCCTTCGGACGGGGTTTAAAAGGCCCTGCCACGTGTGTGAAGCTAAATCTGGGATTCTTAGGAGAAAAATCAGGGTATCACAACAGAGTGGTCCCAGAACCCTAGAAAGCCCATCCTGAGGGGAAATAAGACTTGAACCTCAAGCAAAGACAGGAACCAAAAGCAAACGTTGAGATGGAACAAACAGAAACACTTAAAATATGCTCAAGGAGGGAGGAGAGAAAAGAAGTGTGGCCCCCTTGGTCAGATGGAAAGGAATTCTCTGAGACATTCAATCACCCAGATACCTTCCAGGAGGAAATGCTTTATAATTCAATTACTGTCAACAGAAAAAATCCCCACACTGACTCACAACGCAGCAGTACTGGCTCTTGTGGAAGTTGGTCTAAGGCTCCAGAGGGATGAAGCATGGACAGGCCCCCAGCAGGCCCCTGCTGCGAGGCTTCCAAGACAAGTGATTGTTCGCAGCACATCTAGCTGGTAAAGACATCTTTTTGCACCTGGCTAAATCAAGCAGGAGTTTGTAGAGAAAATCTGACAAAAAAGCAAGGTTTCAGACAGGCAGATGGGAGATGTCATAGTAAATATGTTACTTCAAATTTATCCCTCTCCTTCTAGAAACAATTCTGTTTATACTTGTCATTCTAATAATACTATTACAGAGATGCTCTGATTCAGTCAAGACACGGTATTTCAGATTACATGTCTAATCTAAAACCTTAATCACTCAATAAGTATTTACTGAATACCTACTATGTGGCAGTCATTGTTCTAGGTTTTGGGTTACAGCAGTAAATAAACAAAAATCTTTGCCCTCATAGAGCTTACATTCTAATGGTGAGGAAACGTAATAAACAAAATAAGTAAAAAGGAGTAAGGCTTAGAGTTCATCTTCTGCATGGCCTCTCATCATTAAACTCTTTTTTTTTTTTTTTGAGACAGAGTCTTCCTCTTGTTGCCCAGGCTGGAGTGCAGTGGCGTGATCTTGGCTCACTGCAACCTGCCTTCTGGTTTCAAGCGATTCTCCTGCCTCAGCCTCCCGAGTATCTGGGATTACAGGCACCCACCACCATGCCCAGCTAATTTTTATATTTTTAGTGGAGACAGGGTTTCACCATGTTGGCTAGGCTGGTCTCGAACTCCTGACCTCGTGATCTGCCCACCTTGGCCTCTCAAAGTGCTGGGATTACAGGCGTGAGCCACCACGCCCAGCCCAAATTTTTAATTCTAAATTTTCAAAACCTGTGTATCAGCTTTTTTCTGGACTAGAAGAGAGAGGGTGACAATGTTTAGAGTCTTCATGTTAGGAAAGTCAGCTCAGGATGGGGCTTCTAAAATAATATGCAACTGAATTACCCATTCACATCTTGTAAAATGCAGATTCAGATGGGTCTGGGCAAGAGCCCGATGCAAGCTCACATAGGACACCGGTGCTGCTGGGCTGCAGTTGCAGACCATGTTTTTGAGTGTCACGAGTTTAGGAGTCAGGCTGTTAAGGATGCAGCAGCCCCAAGAGCAGGAATTCTTAGCCAGGTCCTGCCCTCCTCATGATTCCTTGCGGCAGGTCTGCGCTTCCACCTGGGGGCGCTGTAGATGGTTTTCAGGGTACCCTTTTGCATCATGTCACCCAGTCTCCATAGCAACTCTGTCAGGTGAGGAAACGGCACCCTAGAGAGGTTAAGGGCAATCACAGAGCCTGTGGAGGCAAAGCTGGGAGTTGACTCCCATCCCTGTCTGGAGGGCTTGGCTGGGCCCTAGGGCTCTGCATGAAGGATGAGGGGGATGCCTTTGGGCAAGTCCTGTGAGGCCTGGGAAGAGGCCAGCTCAGCAGTAAGTGTCTTTGAGAGTCATATATAGCCAGGCATTTATGGGGCTCAGAGGCCCTTTAATCTAAACAGGCCTAGCTACTCTGGCCAGTGGCTTGGGGGTAGGCTTCTGGTTTACCTCTTTAGTTCTCTGCTGTGGTGTGAATTTCAAAAGCAGCAGTGAGGGCAGCTGTCAGAAATGTTCAGCCCTCCCAGGTGGCTCTTCACAGCCCAGATTAACACAGGCAGGGGAGAGGGATGGCAGGAAAAAGGATTATGCCCTTCCTGCAGGCTGGGAGTCATGAGGAGTTGTTCATTCTCATTCCATAGGATCTCTTGGAAAGATTGCCACATAGACAGCTATTTCCTTATGTAAAGTTGGGAGATGTGTCAATAGAGAGAGGTTATTCGGCCAGTCAAAACACACTCAGCCCACTCGTCCTCTAAATATTTAACCATCTAGAATGGCAAACACTGCTTTATAGCATGTAATAAATTATGTACTGAGATGTGGAGCTGCTTTATGATGGTGTGAGACTCCATCTCAAAAAAAAAAAAAAGAAAAAGAAGCAATGAAACTTGAAGATCTGAGTTTTCTCTCTCTCCTAGTCTGTCCCCATTAGTGCATCATGATTATAGCCTTTTGATTTTCATAGTTAATTGCTGCTTTATCATGGGCCTAAAATAACAAAGACAACAACTGGAGATTTCCTTGGTGGAAAAGAAAGTGCCAATGAGAGTTCTGTAGGCAGACACATTCCTTCAGGGAAGGCAAAGGCGAAAGCCAAGGCAAGCCAACATGTTCCCCCTGGGGAATTCTGCTCATGATATTAAGTGTGGAGTGTCTGCAACAGACTTGATGGCCAAGACTCAGAAAGGCTATCTAGCAATAAGGACAGAGGGTGAGGTGCCAAGAGCAGAATTTTCCAAAACTAGAGCCAAGATCAATTGTAACAATGGCCAAGGGAGGCAGTTGGCTTCTCAGAAGATGAAAACAGACAAAGCCTCTAAAAACAAGGGAGGATGATAAAAGTGTAGGTTAGTTCAGGATCTATAGCAGATAGGAAACCCAATAGAGTATTGGTCACTAAGTGGCCAAGCAAGATTCTAGAAAATAGAAGGCAAGGCATTGATGAAGGAAATTTGCTCTCAAGATTTTCTCACCAACTACCCCCCAACTCCACCCCTAACTTGCTTTCTTAGGAAAGGAGGGTTGTACCAGAAAACAAGTCAGCCTTGGCTCTAATCAGATGCCAGAGAAGGGAGAAAACAAATGAGAATGGACATGTCTTATGCACAGAAACCAAACCAACTTGAGATCCTGATGGGTCTCCCCCAAATCCTGGGTCTGCCCCCTACCCAGGGATCGGCTGTGTGGGGGGACCCCCACCTGATGCAGGCCGAGATGAGAACAAGATAGCAACCGGCTAAGCCCCACTCAGAACAATCTACCTTGCTGTGCTCTCCTGAAAGTTAAAAAGGCAGAAAACTAGTTTTATCTGTAAGAAAATGTTTATTCTTTTGAACCCCACAGGAAAAAAAAAAAAGAATGCAGCCAAGACCAGTATTTAACGAAGTGTCCCAAAAGGCAGCAAAATGGGGGAAACCTCAAAACAAAGTCAGTGACAATTTTCCATGTTTTTGCACAAAGAAGAGAAAATCTATGACAATTCTGAGTAACACTTTCATGGTGACAATTACACAAGATGATTCAAAAATGCAAAATGGCAGCAACATGCACACCTGGCTAAAGCTAGAAGTATTTTTTTTAATCTCAAAATAAGATCTGTGATTTAAAGGATGATTCTTTTTAATACTTCTATTTTACTGACTTGCTTGTCCTACTTAATTTGCTTTAAATGAGACGTACATGCCAATTAACAGGAAATTTTAGAAGAACTATGTCCTTCCAGAATCCATGGCAAGGAAGCAAAACCAATTTATTTGGTTTCTTAATTTTTCCTAGTTTCCAAATACAATTTTGCATTGCCCCCACCCGGTCCCTCCCGCCACCCCCACCCTGATTCTTAAACACTTCCAAAAGTTGCCTGTGCAAACACTTTTCTACCCATGTATAATACACATTTGAAACTGAAATCTTTGTGCAGAGTTTTGAGTTTAAGAGTCTTAAAAAAAAAAAACCCTCCTTGGCACAAGAGCTGAGGAATAGTCAAGCTTCTTTTAAATCATCAAACACAAAATGATGAAAAGTGGAGAAAGCACAGTTAAATGAAATGAAAAAACAAAACAAAAAAAAAAAAACCTAGACCCGCAGCTTTTATTAGCCATCGTTACAGTCTCTCGTCCACAAACACTGCCCAGCTCCCTTCCCAGGGCACTTTACTGGAGGCAAGTGCAAAACACTGTGGTGCTTTCTATTCAAAGAAACAGAAGATGTAGCTGTGGTGGTAACGGACAGCCCAGCTACCCACCAGTTTTACAGCAGGATCCGCAGTGAGCTTGATACAGATAGAGGATAGATGACGGTAAAGGGGGAAAAGAGTTTAAAATTATCAAGTTTCCTCTTGAAATGTCTTTTCCCAAGGCACTGTGAAGAAGACTGCTGCTAGCAATTTTCTAGGACTAAACACACCGATGGGAATATAAATATTTCAAACACAACCCCTGTTACATTCTTACAGCTAGTTTCATCACTTAGGTCTCTTCTTAGCTTAAATGATGCTCCTTGAATCTGTTTGGTCCTTGGAGGGGCAATCCATTTTTGTTTTCTGTAATATTGACAATCACCTTCTTTAATGCAGCTATAACATCAAAGCTCTGTTAGGTTACTTAACCCTTCACTCTTAAACTAAAAGTTTTCATTATCATCTCACGTGAATCCAATGTGCAGGTTTTGCTTGCTTATTTAAGAATAAAACAAAACAAACATAAAGGGTTGAAAAACAAAAACTCTGCTTTTTTTTTCTTCAAGAGGAAACTATGTAAGAATACATAAAAGGCAAAGTTGGCTACTTGAAATCCAAGAATGGTTTTAATGTGTTGGCCGAGAAAAATAAACTGTAAAGTTCTGTGAGGTCTTCTAAAAATTTACAAGAAAAACTGATGGGCAGTTCTAATCAGACTTGGATGTTATCTTTTCCCCCCTTTTTAAAAATGACAACAGATACAGTTCCACAAAATACAATAGAAACTGTTTTTTTATCTTGACTGCCAGAGACGCTCCTTTGCAATGCCTTCCGGTAACCAAATTTTTGGGCACAACACACAGCTGGCCTTCATTTCTTCAGGGGCTGGTAAACAGAGGCATTGGGGTCAAGTCCAGAGGGGCTGGTCTCCACAAATTTGGAAGAGTAGTGGGGGGAAACAGGGCTCAGGGGGCTGGTGGCGGCACTGTATGTTATGCTGGGCATGACGGCCATGACTTCGGCTATCTTCTGTTTTAGGTCCTTGATTTCCTGATCTTTCTGAAGGATTTGTCCTGTAAGATCAAAGACCCACCATTAGTGAAAAGGGAGGCCTCACCCAACACAATGTCCCCAGGGGCCAATCCCTAAGTAGATTCGGTTCAGTGTGAACAGCTCCAGGTTCAGTGATTTATAAGAGCAGGCAAACTTGTCCTGTAATGGGACACAGTAAATATTTTAGGTGTCGTGGGCCATATACAGTGTACTTACTATCTTTGTCATCTTTTCTTCCCAGCCATGGAAAAATGTAAAAACCATTCTTCATCGGCAGGCAGTACAGGCATAGGTGGCAGGCCAGATTTGGCCCATGGGCCACAGTTTACTGATTCTTGGCTTAGAGCTAAGAAGGGATTCTGTTCATATAGGTGTGGTTGATGTAAAGAAGTCAGTTTCCAGGAACCACGTTTTGAACATGGCAGTCAGCTATGACAGCGTAAGAGGGCTGGCGATTTTGAACTCTGGCTCCACCTCTTGAGCTGGAATTTTTTTGAGAGGACAGACTATCTCTGAGTGTCAGACCAAGGAATACAGCATAACCAAGGCCTCAGACTCAGTCACAGTAATACGCTTCTGCCACCAGGTTCTCTGACAAAACAGAGGAAGCTCTGTGGCTGCTGTACTGGGAGGAACGCTAGTGTGACCCACATCACTTGCCCTTGCTTTAGCAACATCACCCTATTTAGCCTTCCAGCACACTTGCCCTCACTACGCTTCAGTTTCTTGATCCAGTCAGCTCCTGCCTACCTCGGGCCACTTCCTGTCCTGTGTATCTCCTGCTTTCTTTGTGAAGCTAGCTAAATCTTGAGGATTCTGTTTCTACTTCCTCAGCAAAACTTTCCCTGAGCCTCCTGTCTAAATTAGCTTCCTACAACTCCTAAATTCTTTTTTTTTTTTTTTGAGATGGAGTTTTGCTCTTGTTGCCCAGGCTGAAGTGCAGTGGCGAGATCTCGGCTCACTGCAACCTCTGCCTCCCGGGTTCAAGCGATTCTCCCGCCTCAGCCTCCTGAGTAGCTGGGATTACAAGCATGTGCCACCACGCCTGGCTAATTTTGTATTTTTAGTAGAGACGGGGTTTCTCCATGTTGGTCAGGCTGGTCTCGAACTCCCAACCTCAGGTGATCTGCCCAACTCGGCCTCCCAAAGTGCTGGGATTACAGGTGTGAGCCACCGCGCCCGGTCTAACTCCTAGATTCTTAACACACCCTCCACTTCCCTTTCTGTCACTTATAATGACAAAAACTAACACATAGGGCTTCATATATGCCAGGCATGCTAAATGCTTATGTATACTAACTCATTTCTTTCTTACGACAACCCCATGATGGGGGAATTATTATTATCCATTTTATAGATGAGGAAACTGAGGCATAGAGAAGTTGAGTGACTTGCTCAAGGTATACAGCTAGTGACAGAGCCAGGATTCAATTCCCTGCAGTCTGTTTCAAATGTACACTCCTACCTACAGCATTCTTCAATCTCTGGCAACTATTCATTTGGTGATGATCTGTGTCCATCGTCTCTCTGCTGGACCATGAGTTCCATGAGGGCAGACACTGTGTCTACCCTTTTTTTTTTTCCATTGTTAGCTCCCTATTGCCCAGTCCAGTAAAAAGTGGAGTTCTACAAGTTGTGTATCTTGCTCAAAGTCATTTAGTTATCAAAAGGTAGGGCAGGATTTAAACCCAGGACCACTTTGTTCCAAAGCCTCACATGACTTTCATCATTCTATGTAGCTTCCTGGTCTTCTAGGGAGACCAGAAGAAAGACATGATTGGTATATGTAAAAGCACTTAGAACACTTAGGAGTAGTCTTTCAGAAACTTAAATGCTGGCCAGGTGTGGTGGCTAATGCCTGTAATCCCAACACTTTGGGAGACCGCGGTGGGTGGACTGCTTGAGCCCAGGAGTTCGAGACCAGCCCGGGCAACATGACAAAACCCTGTCTCTACAAAAAATACAAAAATTAGCCAGACTTGGTGGTTCACACCTGTAATCCTAGCTATTCAGAAGGCTGACGCAGGAGGGTCACGTGAGCCCAGAAGGCGGAGGTTGTAGTGAGGCAAGATTGTGCCACTCTACTCCAGCCTGGGCGACAGAGACCCTGTCTCAAAAAAAAAAAGAAAAAGAAAAAAAAAAGCCCACAAAAATGCTTAAAAAAGAAAAAGGTTGCATTTGAGTTGCATTTATTTTGAGATTGCTCATGGGTCCTATAGAAGACAATAATCTATTTGGAATATAAGAAAGCTTGGCGGTATATTTTTTAAAAGGATGTAGTAGAGATGAAAGCCATTTTGGTTTTGTTTTGTTCATTTTTTTTGAGATGGAGTCTTGCTCTGTCGCCAGGCTGGAGTGCAGTGGCGTGATTGCTACTCACTGCAACCTCCACTTTCGGGGTTCAAGCAATTCTCCTGCCTCAGCCTCCCGAGTAGCTGGGGTTACAGGCGTGTGCCATCACACCTAGCAAATTTTTGTATTTTTAGTAGAGACGGGGTTTCACTATGTTGGCCAGGATGGTCTCGATCTCTTGACCTTGTGATCCGCCCACCTTGGCCTCCCAAAGTGCTGGTATTACAGGTGTGAGCCACCGCGCCTGGCCTGAAAGTCATTTTGGAACCAGGATGTATCAAATGATATAGAGAGTAGGAAGGAGAAAAGCAACAAGAGGTTTGATTTAAATTACAAAGTTGGGTTCTTATTAGAATATCCTGAGCACAACCCTGTAGGGAGGGAGTGGGGAAGGCAGCAGTGAGAGCAGTAGAAAGGAACTGCCCCCCTCACTTCCTTCATGTCCCCTAAGCTTCAAGGAAGCATCAAATATCCACCTTCTCTTTGAACAAGATAAGCCTCAGATGAATAAAATACCTAAAAGCATCTGATATATAAGCCACTGTATCTTTTTCCCTGCCGATTTAAGTTTGATTTCTTTAATCAGTAACAGGAAAACATACCCAGTGCTTTGGAAAAAGTTCTTTTGGCTTCTTTGTCACTTCAGGAGGATTTCTGGGCTGACAGCAGAGCACACAGTCTGAGCTGGGAAGCCAAGCTCCTCTGGCTACTCTGAGGCCAGGTGCTGCTTCACGCCAGGGGGAATCTTTTCCAAGTTTGCAAAACCAAGTAAACAGGGTTGAAGCACTGAGGGGTGGCCACTCCTCAGGGAACTAAGCCAGGCAGGCAAAAAAAGTCAGTGTAAGGTCAGAAGCTCGGCTTCAAAGCAGGATTCCTGGGAACCTTCTTAAATGCCTTTCCTCGAGTCCACAGATTAAAGCAGTGTGATTCTCAAACTCCTTCTCTTGCTCAATCACCTGTGCCATCCCAAGCCACTCCTGCGCTTCACTAACTTCTCACAACTTCTAAATCCAACCCCTTACTCCCAGGGGTTTGGGCCTCCGTCTTTGGTTTAGGCCCAAAGTTCCCACTGACTGAGGAATATTTCCTACTTGGGTTTCTGGGGAGTACCTTCAAATCAAAACATCCAAAACCAAACTTATTCTTCCTTCACTCCTTGTATCTGTTCTGCTCTCCCTTCCTTGGTTCCAACAACTTTGTCCTTCCAGAACTCTCAGGAACCTCCACTCTCCACTCACCTGTCTGGCCCGTCCGCCCTCCCCATACTTATCATCTCTTAGATAGAGGACAGTGGTAGCTTCCTCACAGTCTGTCTCCACTCAGTCTCACCCCTTCCATCGGTCTTTCACATGCTATAGGAGGGAGATTTCCCGCTTAACAGTCTGAACACGTCCCCTCTTTCTTCCTTCAGGAAGATCTAGGGAATACCCTCTCTAGTATGGCTTCGTTCATGGTCCCCTACCCTCCCACTCTTTCCTTCCCTGCCCCCAGCTTAAGGCTGCCGGACTGCTCACCTGAACATCCCGGCACCTTCTTTCCTTTGCTTATACTACTTCCTCAGGCAACATGTTTTTCCCTGGCATTCTCTGCTCTTGAAATTCATCATCAAAGCCCACTCAATGCCCCCTCCTTCACGAGGCCTTCCCTGATCTTCCTCTGGCCTTTCTAGCCCCCTGCCTCTACCTCATGCCTCTACTTTTTTGCTGGGCTCACCCTAGGTCAGCAATTCTCAAAGTACAGTCAGGGTCCACAGGCTCAAAACTACCTTCATAATAGTACTGAGACATTACTTCCCTTCTTCATGCTCATTCTGTCAAAAGTGTAAGTGGAGTCTTCTAGAAATTAGGTGGAGTGTGAAATCACAACAGAATGAATGTAGAAACAGAGATAAGAAACTATCTGGCCGGGCACGGTGGCTCACGCCTGTAATCCCAGTACTTTGGGAGGCCGAGGCGGGTGGATCACGAGGTCAGGAGATCGAGACCATCCTGGCTAACACGGTGAAACCCCATCTCTACTAAAAATACAAAAAATTAGCCGGGTGTGGTGGCGGGCGCCGTAGTCCCAGCTACTCGGGAGGCTGAGGCAGGAGAATGGCGTGAACCCGGGAGCTGGAGCTTGCAGTGCACCGAGATCGTGCCACTGCACTCCAGCCTGGGTGACAGAGCAAGACTCCATCTCAAAAAAAAAAAAAAAAAAAAAAAGAATCAAACTATCTTCTGTTAAGTCAGACATTAAAGAGATCTGCTAAATGTAAAATAATGCCACTTTTTTCAGGAATTTTTTTTTGTTTTGGAAAATAAGAGTTTCAAATTAAAAAGTTATTTATATTAACATGTAATATGTTTGTATGTTATTTTTAAATGAATAATAAATTAATTTGGCTGAGCACAGTGGCTCATGCCTGCAATCCCAACACTTTGGGAGGCTGAGATGGGAGGATCTCTTGAGCCCAGGAGTTCGAGGTCAGCCTGGGCAACAAAGTGAGACCTCGTCTCTAGAAAAAAAACAGAAAAAAAAAAAATTAGCTGGGCATGGTGGCACATGCCTATAGTCATAGCTACTAGGGAGAGGCTGAGGTGGGAGGATCACTTGAACCCAGAAGGTCGAGGCTGCAGTGAGTTGAGACTGTGCCACTGCACTCCAGCCTGGGTGACAGAGCAAGACCCTGTCTTGAAAATAAATAAATAAATGTTTTAAGTTTTAATTTCTAGTAGGTAAATATTGATAGATATAATCCACTTGAAATAAACCTCTTTGGGGTAATAATTTTAAGAGTGTAAAGGGGTCCCTAAGACAAAAGTTCACACACCATGTTGTATTCATGTTTGTCTCCCCCAGAGCTTCTAGGACAATGCTTTGCACAGAGTGTGACTACTCTGTCAGTCCCTGTTGAAATATTCTTTATTTTAGACACAAGGTCTCGCTATGTTCCCCAGGCTAGTCTCAAATTTCTGGGCTCAAGTGATCCTCCTGCCCTAGCCTCCTGAGCAGCTGGGACTATGGGCAGGCACTGACACAAACCACCATGCCTTGCTTGAAATATTCTTCTCTTTCCACTAAGTCAACCATTTGAAAATTCTTTTCAGTACTCTATTTTATGCAGTACTCTATTTAGTACTCTATAGAGTACTCTATTTTTTCAGTACTATACTCAATTTAGTACTCTGGTTGGATAGCTAATCAATTTCTTGGACAAAAATCCAAATTTATTTTTCTCAGGTCATGCCATGCCTCTGTTCAGAAGCCTTCCAGTGCTCCCCTATGGCACTCACGGTAAAACCCTAAGTTCTTTCCATGGGCCTCAAGTCCCATACAGTCTGACTGCTGTTACTCCTGTCTGCTCTGACAACTCTCCCCGTTATCACACAGGCTACAACCCCCACCCTCTGCCTGCAGAGTACCCACGCTCCCCCTGCCGGGCTTTTCACTTGCTGCCCCCTCCCCGGAAGTGCTTTCCTCCAGCTCTTTACACGGCTCACTCCTGCTCTCTTCCTTTGGGTCTCTGCTCAAATACTACCTACTCAAGGGATTTTCCATGATTGCCCTGTTAAAAAGGGAGACCCCTGCCACATACGTTCTGTCTCGCCATGGCTTTATTTCTATCATTGCACCAACTGCCACCTGACATACTCCCTGCTGGCTTGTTCATCACCTGTCATCGCCAGGGCTGTATTTTCAAGTCATCTTATGGTGCTTGGCACAAAGTAGGTCTCAGTAAATATCGGCCAAGTAGATGACCATGGCCTACTCTCCAGACTCTCACCTGCAGCTCCCTCATTTGTATCCTCTGCTTCAGCCAAGCAGGCTGGCTGCAGCTTGGAACACATCAAGTCCCACTAGCTCCCAGCCCTTGCCTAAGCTGTTTCTTCTGTGTGGACCCCTCTACCCCTCACCCTCCACCACACTGCTGCTTCACTGGGCCAACTCCTCATCATTCAGGCCCACCTCAGACATCAGCTCCCCTGGGGAGAGGCCCTCTCCAATTCCCCAGACTAGTTTCGTCCCTGACTCTTTCTATGTTCCCTCAGGCCCCGTATATACTTATACCTAAGCACCTTTTGATGCCTCTGCAGTTCTCTACTTCTTCAACAACACTGTGAGCTCCTTGAATGTAGAAATCATACTATTCTCTGTATGCCCTGCACTTGACATGTTCTCATCTCAAAATATGTCTGCAAATGAATTAATGTGATGGTTCCTATATTTCAATGTTGGGCACTTACCAAGACTCTTGAAGAGAAAACTGAAATGCCCCTTGGTTGAGAGCTCTCAGGAGAGGTCTGGCCTGTGCATCCCTGTGCATTATCAGTCACACCACCTCACCAGGGGCCCACGTTCTCCTACCTTGGGCAATCTCGAGCTGCCGCTTTGCATCGCCCAGTGCGGAGAACAGGTCCAGCTTGATTCTCGTCTCTGCACTTAAGCTGTTCTCCAGGTGCTGTGTTTTGTCTTGCATGGCTGAGAGGGCTGACATTAACACCTCAGTGTCCTTCTCATTTTCCTTATATTTCCGAAGCTCCTATCAATATCATCAAAACAGCAATGCTACAAGGTAGTTTTGGCATCGATGTCTATAAATTAGCCTGAAATCACAAATTAAATCCCACTATTCTTGGTCTGGCCACTAGAACACAAAATCTGGTGTTTCATGGGTTTAGGCAAGTGCTAAATGTGTTTATATGGCAATAAGCACATACAAAAATATTTAGAAGATGATCATTTGACTGTGCTGGGCATGTGTCTAGAAAACAATGGAATCTGCTTCCAAATAAAACACTTTTCTTATAAGCTTAATTCAGAACCACAGAAAACATTTTTCCTTGCTGGCCACGTGCAAATTATCATAATGCTGTAATCGAACTTGCCAAAACTCAACCTGCATTAATAATTGTAAAAATGTTAATTATTTTGACAGGGCATACTGCAGAATAAGCCCACTTTAATGTAAACAATTAATATATACAGATATTTGAATTTTTCTTTTTAACAGAAAAATCCAAACTTATTACAGAGAATTTAGGAATATAGAAAAATTCAAAGAAGAAAATGAAAATTACTCATAATACCAACACTAAAAAATTTAATATTTCTTTTAATCTTTTATGCATATGTGTATCTTTTAGCAGAAGTGAAATATTAAATGTACAGTTTTGTACATAGTCTTTTAAAAACTAAATGATTTTAACTATTGTTTGAAAATAAAATTTTTATTGGCTGTACAATATTCCTGAATGTTTACATACCAAAATTTAAATGACTCTCCCATTGTTAAGACTGTTTTCAATTTTTTTGCATTTTTATACCACTACGATGAACATCTCTGTACATCACTCATTGGTGAGATTTTAAAATTGTTTACCTTAGGCTGGATTCCTAAAAAAGGTAAATACTTAAAAAGTGCAAGACCTTTTCCAGAAAGTTACATTTCTACCAGCAATGTATGAGGCCTATTTTGTTGCATCCTCACCATGATTGATATTCTCATTTAAAAATCATCTGCTAATTTCATAGGAGAAAAATGATATCTACTTTTAATCTGCATGTCTTTGATGATTGGTGAGTTTATATTTTTATGATCTTATCAGTCACCTGTATTTCCTCTGAATTATTTGTTCACATCCTCAGCCTATTTTGCTATATATATGAGCTTTCCTTAGCAACTTTTATGAGCTACGGATATGTTGAGAATATTAATTCCTTATTTATAATATTTGTTGCAATATTCATACCTTCCCCAATCAATTTTTTCATTTATTATTATGATTTTTGCTTTGTGATTTTTTCCCATTGCTTGTATGTTTAGAAAATCTTTCCCTTGTTTCAAGGTCAAGTATATTTCCACCTAGTTTTTAAAAACTCATTTATTCTTTGTTTTTTCTGCCTTCAACTCTTCATCTGGAATTTCTTTATATGTGGCATGAGATGAGTTTCTAATTTTTTTTCTCCAGTTATTTAGCTATTCCAAAGCCTTTTACTGACTAATCGTTACCTTTCCCATCTATCTCTGATGCCACCTTTACTTTTTTTCGTATTTTTTTCGGTACTGTACTCCAGGCCATCATTCTAGTCCACTGACTTGACAGTAATTTTTCACTTGTCCCACCTGGCTCAAATTACTGTAACTTTACAATATATGACATTAGTTTAAATGACAAATATTTGGCTAAAGTATACACAGCCCATAAAACAGGCTACGTCCATAGCACTAGCACCTTTCCTATCATTCACTGCTATGAACAACAATCTGCAAGGCTCAGAGCCATGCAGGAGGGTCAGTCCCCTGGCAATAGAAAGAGGGTTGGGGCTAAAAGGAGGTGTGTAAGTTTCAAAGGACACTAATCTGGCCTATAACCTGAAAAAGTTAAATGAATCTACAGCAAGTTAAATCCTGGTATAAAACATACCAAGGGATTGTCAACATTTCTGGTTTGTATTAGAATCTGGCTACATTAATATGACTTGAAATGAGCTGGACAAGATTAGAACTTCAAATCTTTTTGTCACATAGAGATTTTTCAGATGCAATGAGATTTGATCTATATTAAAAGGCATCATCTCTACACTGCAACACAGAGCACAAGTTTAGCATAAAAGTGGAATTCAAATACAAGGGAAGTCTTTTGTTCCCCCCTTACCTGGACTTTTAGTTCTAGTTCTCTGATTTGGTCTTCTTTCACCTTCATGTCCATCGTGAGCTTCTTGCCCTCTGCTTCTAGTTCTCTGATCCGATTCCGTAAGGTTTCGGTGCATTCTCCCCTTTTGAAAAAGAAGAGAAGGAAATAAAGTGATTTAAAAGACTATAGGTTGGGGCTGGGCCCTGTGACTCAGGCCTGTAATCCCAGCACTTTGGGAGGCCGAGGCAGGCAGATTATTTGAGGTCAGGGGTTCGAGACCAACCTGACCAGCATGGTGAAACCCCGTCTCTACTAAAAATACAAAAAAAATTGGCTGGGCATGGTGGTACATGCCTGTAGTCCCAGCTACTGGGGAGGCTGAGGCAGAAGAATTGCTTGAACCCAGGAGGTGGAGGTTGCAGCGAGTCCAGATCGTGCCACTGCACTCCAGCTTGGGCGTCCGAGTGAGACTCCATCTCAAAAACAAATAAATAAATAAATAAATAAAATTTTAAAAAAGACTATAGGTTGGCCGAGTGCAGTGGCTCACGCCTGTAATCACAGCAATTTGGGAGGCCAAGGCAGGTGGATCACTTGAGGTCAGGAGTTCAAGACCAGCCTGGCCAACACAGTGAAACCCTCTCTCTACAAAAATTAGCTGGGTGTAGTGGCACACATCTGTAATCCCAGCTACTCGGGAGGCCGAGGCAGGAGAATTGCTTGTACCTGGGAGGCAGAGGCTGCACTGAGCTGAGATGGTGTCACAGCACGTTAGCCTGGGTGACAAAGTGAGACTCTGTCTCAAAAAAAAGAAAAAAAAAAGACTATAGGTTTACTTGTATTGTGGGATTTATATTTCTTTTAATTTCTTTTATACTCCAGGGTCTGTCAGGTTTTAGCTTTTGGCTCAGTCTGCTCAGTTCTCTGTGTCCTTTGATAATTTCAATAATACTCTAAAATAACTGGGCTGGGCATGGTGGCTCATGCCCGTAATCCCAGCACTCCCAAGGCCAAGGTGGGAGGACTGCTTGAGCCCAGAGTCTGAGATCAGCCTGGGCAACACAGAGAGACCCTGTCTCTACAAAAAATTTAAAAAATAGCTGGGCATAGTAGCACATGCCTGTAGTCCCAGCTACTCAGGAGGCTGAGGCAAGAGGACAACTTGAGCCCAGGAGTTTCAGGTTATAGTAAGCTATGACTGCACCATTGCACTCCAGTCTGGGTGACAGAATGATATCCTGTCTCAAAATACATACATATATACAATAATTATTACTGAGTGTCTAGATGAGCCAGACACTAAGGTACTTTACCCATACTACCTTCTTCAATCCTTATAACAACCTAGGGTATATTTATCCCATTTTCCAGATAAGAAAACTGAGGCTACATAGATAAAATACTAGTTCAAGGTTACCTAGCTTTTAGGTCTTAGAATAGGGATAAGAACTGAGATTTTCTGGCTTCCCAATCCAGCAAACTTCCCACCAGGCCATGAGACTTGAGACAATACACACAAAGCCAGATAGAACTGAACATGTACTATGTCCAGCAGGGGGCGGTGAACTAGAAAAAAATTTTCCCCCCACTTTTGAGGGGCTACGCATTGGGACTTTTGTCTTTCTTGTCATAAAGTTGCCACAAGACTGGAGTAAACAGAAAAATAAGGGCACACTGTTGAGCTGCTTCTCAGGGCTATCATAAGGTTGAGCTAAAAGAGATGATGGCAATGGCCAGTCCAAAGCTGGTACTGTCTAGGTTCCAGAAACAGCCCAATGAAGAAAGTAGGTGTTCTCTGCCTACCAAAACGGAAGGTCCAGTCAGAGATTTATGCCCTGAGATTTACTGAATAAATTATGGCAGGCCTGGTGTGGTGGCTCACGCCTGTAATCCCAGCACTTTGGGAGGTCAAGGTGGGCAGATCACCTGAGGTCAGGAGTTCGAGACCAGCCTGCCAAGATGGTGAAACCTCGTCTCTACTAAAAATACAAAAAGTTGCTGGGCACGGTGGCAGGAGCCTGTAATCCCAGCTACTTGGGAGGCTGAGGCAGGAGAATCGCTTGAACCTGGGTGGCAAAGGCTGCAGTGAGCTGAGATCGCGCCACTGCACTCCAGCCTGGGTGACAGAGTTAGACTCCGTCTCAAAAAGAAGGAAAAAAAGAATAAGTTATGAAAAACAAGGACTATCCAGGGATAAGATAAATAAGCTTAACTGGAAGCAAAAGGGATTTGGGGTAGACACTGAAATCAACTTACTGATTCTCAGGCATGGGAGACACTAAGCAATATCGTTAAGGAACTGCTATGTCCTCCTGAGTGGAATTTTTCAGAAAGGGCAGGTGCTGTATGAATTGAGGAGAGAGGAGAGCAGTCATCACTAGATGACTGTTCAAGAACATCTCCTGCAAGTTTAAGTGCTTCAGAATGCAAATACATCTTCAAACAAACAAACAATCCCACATTGTAGGCAGGCTAGTCAAGGGCCTTGTAAGTCTGTATAGATGCTGATGGGCCAAGCCAGCTCAGCCATCTGCTGGGGGGAGGCAGGATCACACAGGAGAGAGTTCTCACTTGCTGTTATTTCCTAAAAGGTGAAATGATTCACCAATTATTCTGCAAATGCCAGAACCCACAAAGAAGGCTATCAACATGCCAAAAGTTAAATTACTTAACTTTAATTACGACAAAGCAAAATTCAAGGAAAAATTACAGTTGAATTATACCACGTAGATACAAATTAGGATGGAATTTAAAAGTGAAATAAATAATAATTTACCCTCGCTCTATATCTGCAAACACC
The DNA here is from genome assembly GCF_000001405.40 of Homo sapiens. Lineage (NCBI taxonomy): Eukaryota > Metazoa > Chordata > Mammalia > Primates > Hominidae > Homo > Homo sapiens. The sequence continues at coordinate 25,486,514 of NC_000001.11, read as the reverse complement.
TAACTGATTCCCACATGCAGAGGGACTTCACTAGTCAAGAAAACAAAGGAAAAAGTGATAAGTGAAGTAGAAGCAAAAAGAAAAAAAAAGCTCTTAACTATCTAATAGTTTTTGGAATACTTGCACACAGGGGTACTTTCCAGTGGTATAGGAGGTAGTCCCCAATTTTCATTATGCCATAAATGTAATTCCATCTAGTAGAGACTTATGTTTCACTTTTTTTTTCCATTTCATTTGACAGTTTGCTGATATCCATTTGAGCAGCCAGTACACAGTGCTTGGGCAACCAAGATTTTATCTTTCTTCCATTTTAAGATAAAAACTTCAGAAACACATATACCTAAGAGTGGAGAGTAATGATAGCTCTCTAAAGGGAACGAACTTCCAGATAGAATCTCTCAATGCATTTAGTAATCATCAGTCTGACAAAAAGTGACTGGAAACCTTTTTATGAGCAGTACTTTGCCTCCCAGGTATGGGAAACATGGTGATTCCCTCATCCCACTTTATAGATGAGGTCACTGAGGGATAAAGCTGTTATAAGATAGTGCAAGCTTGCACACATGGAGTTTAAACCAGTTAATAAAACAGTACTTAAAAGCAATCCATCCGTGCATGATTGCTGTACGTCCAATCCTGCCCAAGGCACCAAATTCCCATGTCTTTGTTGGTAAAGGAAAGCCAACCTTGGATTAAACACTCAGGTGACATGGACATACCTAGATGCAGCAGCAAACGCAACAGCCCGGGCAGCAGTGGCTTCTTCTAACTTCTTCCTCTTTTTCTCTTCCATTAACTGTTTCTCTACAAAACTTCGGGCTTCCTGCTCAGCTTTTAGCTTTTTCTCCAACTGGCTGATATTCTGCTTGTCTTTTTGCTTCATTTGCACAGCATTATGTAACCTATATGGAAATGATTGTCATATAAAGTCTTAAAATTACAAATGCCCACTATAAACCCTTGAGAAACATCTCTTTATCACCTTAAGGCCAATTAAACAGGAGGTTTGAACAGCAAATCAAAAATGTCAATGCCCAGAATGCCTGAGGAAAACACACTGTTATTCTTTAATAATTCCTAAACACCAATAAACAAGCTGCCTTACAAAACAGAGATTAAGACCTAGCCTCTGCTCTGTTCAAGTAAGTGATCTACAAAAGGTCATCCAGAAAACAGGGTAAAACAAATTTTGAACAGAGGGGAAGATAATTGTAGAACTAATTCTAATGTTCCAGAGCACCCTGAAAGAACTTCAGTCCCACCAAAGAACCACTGATGGGACCAGCCCCAGTGAAACTAAGGTAAGGGGTGGAAAGGGGAAGGTTTTTATTTTTCCTGAATACAATTTTGCTGTAGCCTACTACAGCTTTTCCTTTCCAGCTCAGGATGTTTGCTCACAGTGTCCCCAAATCCTCTTTTAGAGTCACAGGATGCTTAATTTCAGATAGAAATTTCAGCCATATTTCCTGCTTACTACCACCCCCAGCTTTACCTATCAGCATGAGGTGAGTTTATCACTGGGATGTTCTCTACATATCAATGCTAGAACCACCACAAATGCTGGTCAGAGGCAATGGAGAGGTTATTTGCCTGTAATGCCCTAGCTTTTGAGTTACATTCCTTAAAAATGTTGAACTCCTCTTTCAACAGGGAAAGCCCAGAAAGCCAACAGCCTGTAATGATCATCACTACCACGGGCACACATTGCTGGGAGATTTAAAAAAAGAAAAAAGGACAGACCTACACTGAGTTAAGAAGTAATTCCAGAATGAACTAATCAAAAGCCTAAATGAATTCACACAGAAGACCTGGCTTTCTGCCTGCCTTTTCAAATAAAATCAAAGTTCAATGTCATCTTTTAGTTCTGGAAATAAAAGTAAATATAGTCAAATCCTCTAGAAATTTTCACTCAAAGGAGCAAAATTTTCAAAATGTGACAGAACTACTTCTTGTCAATTTTACTATCCAAAAACTCAATAACTATTTTAAACTAAGAAGTTATTAAATGAGAGAAGACAAAAACAGTAATATTAATAAACTGTTTTGTGGCAATGAAATAAGTTTTTATAGATTTTATAAACATGTTGAATATCTGGTACTAAATAAAGTATTTTAAACATTTTATTTAAAAACCTCTCAGCAGGTCTCTGTCACCATAAATCTTGTGCTCCAACCCCTGGCAACAGGAGAAGCAGTGAAGCTGCCGGGCTTACGGCCAAAGGCCTGAAAGGTGCACGTACTTGTTCTGCAGCAGCTCGTTCTCCTGCCGAAGCTGGCCCATTTCTGAGCGGATCCCTCGCTCGGTGCTCGAAAGGGAGCTGATCTGACTGCGGAGCTCTTGTTCCACTTGTCTGCTGGCTTGCAGGTCAGCCTTTAACTTTTTAATGTCTTGTTCCAGCCTAGGAGAATGAGAAATGCAGCATTTTCATCTAGGTGAGGGCACCCACAGAGCTGGGAGGGACCTGGTGGGGGTCCTGGACTGCTGGGTGAATGGCAGAAAAAGGACCCCGCTGGCAGTTCCTGCCATGATGAGGACTCCTGTCTGCAACTGGGTTAATTTTGTTGAATGATTCCACCTGGGTCCCTACCTCTTCCTACTGGGGTGTAACTTTCAACTTCCCCCTGTTTATGAATAGTGACAGGTGAGTATGGTGCTTGTGAATATCCATCCGAGCTGCTGATAAAGGAGAAAGGGACAGCAGAGAGGGTGGCTGAAGACTAAAGGCTCCCTTCTGGTGGCTTTTCATGCCCTCAGCAAGGGAAATATGTTCAAACAACTAGCACATGACCTACCACTTAATGCTTTGTGATATTTTGATAAATCAGAATCTACTGTCTGAGACTGCGTCCCACCATGGGCCTAGAAGAAAACGGTCTGCGACGACCTCCAGAAATTGCAGCATCCTTGCTGAATGACGTTCACAACTCTGGTGATTGCGGCAGAAGAGCTCACGAGACTCAATAACAATGAAAAAAGGAACAAATTACATGCTCTAAGAATCATAAGAGAACTCCATCTGTAAAATGAAGCCTATCTTTTCTCGTCAATTCCTTACTCTTGTTCCATCTATTTTCTTTACTGCAGTAATAGTTTCACTTTAAGTGACAGGTATTGGAGACCTACTATGCATATGTAGTGCTGAAAATGGTCAACAAAAACTATCGGCCAGGCGCAGTGGCTCATGCCTGTAATCCCAGCACTTTGGGAGCCCGAGGCAGGCGGATCACCTGAGGTCAGGAGTTCAAGACCGGCCTGGCCAACGTGGTGAAACCCCATCTCTACTAAAAGTACAAAAATTAGCTGGGCATGGTGGCGCGTGCCTGTAATCCCAGCTACTCAGGAGGCTGAGGCAGGAGAATCACTTGAACCCAGGAGGTGGAGGTTGCAGTGAGCTGAGATCATGCCACTGCACTCCAGCCTGGGTGACAAGAGTGAGACTCTGTCTCAAAAAACAAAAAACAAACAAACGAAAACTATAAAATCAAGTCTCTTTCTTCATGGGAAAACTTCACAATTAGGAACAAAGAAATAGGAACCAAGAAATACATAATTTAAATGATTAAACAATAAGACAAGGAAGGCCATGATTAAATATATGCCAGAAGGAATAATAACAACAGCTACTATTTAATGAGAACTTATGGGCCAGGCACTGTTCTATAGGGTTTAATCCTATAATCTGTACAACTATGGGCCAAATGCAATTCCTATTCCCATTTTTACAGATGAAGAACTCTAGGCTAGGAAAGGATGCAGCCCAAGGTCATCCAGGCAGTCTAGCTCCAGAGTCCATTCTCTTCACCATTAGGCCAAACTATAGCCATGTCATCCACAGCATGGTAGAGGAAGAAGTGCTATGTGAGTCTGAGGAGAGAAGACTGGGAAAGGCTTTGCAGAGCAGGTAGAGATTGACTTGGGCCCTGATGTTTGGATAGGATTTGGAGAAGTAGAAGAGGAGGGGACATTCTAAATGAGGGGAGAAATGTATTAAAAAACTCAAAGGCAGGAACAGCCATAGACATGTGCGGGCAAGCCATTAGTCTGGCTTCTGAGAAAAGCTTGTACTGGGGAGAGAGTAGGAAAGGATAGAACAGATCTGGTAGATAGGACTGTGGAGAGTGGTGCTGAAGGTCAGGTCAAGGATGGCTGCCATGTGAGCTGCAGTTGAGAATGAAAGAAAAATTAGATCTACAGAGGCTGGATCTCAATAATTTTGTAGTTATTACTTTCATTTTTTAAATCTCTTCCTACCACAAACTAGGAATAACAATATTTATTTAGAAGAGGCTTTTTCCATCAGGATACAAACTCACAAGTAGGTAAAGTCAGTTTGCTCTGATGAGATTCTTGTTCATGTCACTAATTCAACATACCAACAGAACCAAGATTTCTGAAGGGCAATGGTGATCTCTTTGGAACTGTCAGCTCCAAAGACTAAGTCTTAGAGACATGTTTTATTAAGCACTAAATCCCCAGAGCCCTCCACAGTGATCAACGCTTACTCAATAAATGTTGCCTGACATAGGGCAGCTTTATTTACATATCTACCTTTAGGCAACTTTAAAAAACCCCCAAAACCCCAAATCATAAAACACTGACAGTCACCCTGCAGGTGCAAGTAGCCAGTCCTCCTGTCCAGTGCCTGGGAGCATGGCCTAGAAACCTTTTGTTCCAAAAGCACCGCTGGGTGTCCTGACAGCTTGCTCCCCAGGGAAGGGTCACAAGTCGACATCACACCACACTTTCCCTATTGCCAGAGTTATTCCAGTTGAATGTACTCTCAGAACTGCTCTAAACAATTACAGATCGGCATTTATACCATCACCATACTGTCTCTCATTCACTCCTAAGTAGCCCAAAGAATATATTCCGAAAGAGGTCAATGCTGTCAGGCTATCCTCTTTGAGAAATTTGGCTGAAAATGTGTTAGGTAATTTGTCTTTCTTCAGAAGCTGATTTCACAGTCTGAGGATTGCATTTTCAGTAGAAAGGGTGAGTTTTTAGGTGAAAATAGGGGCTAAGCCTGGTTTAGTAACAGAGTTTAGGATCAGGGTTCTACATTCAGCTCTGGCGCCAACTCTCTGACCCTGCACAAGGTGTGTAATCTTCCAGGCCTCAGTTTCCTCATCTACGGCTGATAACTCTAAAGTTCCTCCCAGTTTGGGCTAGGATTTCTAGGCCTGACACACTTACAGATGGCTGCTGATTTGCCTCTTTAGATTAGCAAACTAAGCTGCATCATATGCAGATGCACAGGAATCAAGTTCCACACAACCAGTCGCTGGGGAAAAACATATGCCACAGTTGGGAATGAAAGAAAAATTAAATCTGTAGAGGCTAGATTGTGAGAATTTTGTAGTTGTTACTTTCTTTCATTTTTTAATCTTTTCCCACCACAAACTAAAAATAACAATATTTATTCTGAGCGAAATTTTAGAGTTCCTTGAAAAATGTAAAAATCCAATGAGCTAATGCAGTTATGAGACCAAAAAGCATAAAATATCTAGATTATAACTTCTGAAGACCAAAGAACATGAAATATATATATATATATATATATATATATATATATATATATATATATTTTTTTTTTTTTTTTTAACCAAGTCTCACTCTGTTGCCCAGGCTGATCTCAGCTCACTGCAATCTCCCCCTCCTGGGTTCAAGCAATTCTCCTGCCTCAGCCTCCCGAGTAGCCGGGATTACAGGTGCCCACCACCACGCCCAGCTAATTTTTATATTTTTAGTAGAGACGAGGTTTCGCCATGTTGGCCAGGCTGGTCTCGAACTCCTGACTTCCTTCAGGTGATCCACCCACCTTGGCCTCCTAAAGTGCTGGTATTACAGGTGTGAGCCACCGTGCCCAGCCAACAATATATTTTTTAATGTGAAGCTTATATAAAAATTTTATCAAAGACTAACAGTGGCACAATACAACAAAAATAAAATGAAGTGGTTACAGGAATGTGTTCACTTTGTGAAAATTCATAAATGGAACACTTGATTTGTGCACTGGTGTGTATATATGTTATACTTCAATAAGAAAAGGTTTATTTAAAAAATAAAATAATCTCATAAGACACAGAACTAAAATACTTCAGGATTTTCATAACTGCTACCATGAATTTTGTAAAACTGAATTATTTTCCAAATTGTGAATTATTTTCCAAACTGCTGCAGCAAGCCTGAGAGTTAACACCAGCATTCCCAGTTTAAGAAACACTGCTCTACAAGAACACTGCCCAATGGCTAATGGCATGCAGGATAACATAAAACAGTAAATGGCAAAATTCTCAGCAATTTTAAAAAATTTATGATGGACAATTTTTCATTAGCTGTCTACAGAAAGCATTAATTTGCCTTGAATGTCCATTATATATTTTAAATCTTTACTAAGGTAGGCAGCAAAATGATTTACCACCTGCATTGAGTTTATTTTTGATACCCAGTCACAGTATCAAAAACTGAATAAACAATGGAAAAGTATAAATAAAAATATAAATAACTCATAATCCTCTTATCCAGACGAACTGCTCACTATTTGGTGTACCTCTTTTCTGTATGTTTTTTTCTATTTCTTCGTACATGTAAATATATTTAATATTGGTGAGAGAGTACCACATATACAGCTTATAAATCACAAGTACCTTCTCACACTATTAGACATTTTCCATAAATAATTAATTGCTGACTAATATTCCATTGTATGGACGTACTATACAATCCTATTTTCTAAGATATATCTCAATTTTTGCATTTGCCCAATAGAAAAATGTATGTCATGAGTTTTGAAAGAATTATGTGTGGCCAGGTGCAGTGGCTCAGGCCTGTAATCCCAGCACTTTGGGAAGCTGAGGCGGGCAGATCATCTGAGGTCAAGAGTTCGAGACCAACCCTGCCAACATGGTGAAACCTTGTCTCTACTAAAAATACAAAAAAAGCAGCTGGGCTTGTGCCTGTAGTTCCAGCTACCAGGGGAGGCTGAGGCAGGAGAATCGCTTGAAGTCAGGAGGCAGAGGTTGCAGTGAGCCAAGATCACACCACTGCACTCCAGTCTGGGCGACAGAGAGAGACTCCATTTCAAAAAAAAAAGAAGTATGTGTTAGCAAATTGAACTGAATCAAGATAGTTGAGTGCTAGAAGCATTTATTAAACAGATAACTACTATTTGTCTTAATGGCATACTTAACCCTTTGGTGCTGAAGTTCAATACTTTATAGGTAAAATACAGATATATAATTTATTAGTGTGAAGTACAAAGAAGTTTTTATTAAGTGGTGTTAAAAGGTTAATGCAAAATCGCCAAATGTATTAATATGATTTTATTAAAATGTCATTAGCTGAAACCTAAATTAAAAGCAATGATCAGGAAGAAAACGAGGCAGAAGTAATAGATTATAAGCCTTGAAACTAATCTCAGCAGACAGGGATAGAGAGAATGGAGGAAAACATCAAACCCCTTTTATCTGAGTTAAGGGCCACACTCTTCCCTAGACTATAGAATTTTAAGGGATAAAAGAGTAGTTTTCTCCAGAAGAGCTACAATCTCATTTAAAAAAAAAATAATGGGCCAGATACATCTGGACCAAGCTTTAATAAGGCTTAGTCAGGAAATAAATGCACTTCCTTCTTGCCTAATTCTTGTGGAACCAGTTTTCACCCTTACAAAGGCCTGCCCTGTGGCATCACCACTTTGGACACAGACAGGGCCCATGGCAAAGCTGGAGTTTATATGTACAATAAATATGTCCATTTTTGTCCAACTGAACAAGCCAGGGTTCTAAATTATTACACATCAGGTCCAGGCAACTTTTCCTACTCACTTTACTGATAATTTCAAAAGATAGCACTCAACTTCTAAGGGAGTTGTGAAGCTACCTCTGAATCCTATTATCTAACTCACAGCAAGAGTTGGGACCCATACAGCAGCACTTTCTCAGGTCCCTGTGTCAGATGCCAGGCTGACTTCAAAGCAAAAGTGTCAAGTTTAAGGATCACTCTTACTCCAAACCTTAACTATATCTCACCTTCTCCCTAATCCTACCCAATTAAGATAAACTGTAATGTAAATGATTAATAATTATTTAAATTTAATTTTAAGAGGAAGAGATTTACATTTTAATAAAGGGCAATCTGCTAATTGACCAAAGGAATGAAGTTCAAATGTTAGCCTTTCAGACAGGCTAAAGAGGAAAAATATCTTTGAGTATCTGGAAGAACACCTGGTGGTAAAATAAATACAGTATTTATTTATTGAAAAAATTTTTTTGAGACAGAGTCTCGCTCTGTCGCCCAGGCTAGAGTGCAGTGGCATGATCTCGGCTCACTGCAACCTCTGCCTCCTGGGCTCAAGTGATTCCTGTGCCTCAGCCTCCTGAGTAGCTGGGATTATAGGCCTGTACCACCATGCCTGGCTAATGTTTGTATTTTTTGTAGAGATGGGGTTTTACCATGTTGACCAGGTGGTCTTGAACTCCTGAACTCAAGTGATCTGCCTGCCTTGGCCTCCCAAAGTGCTGGGATTACAGGCCTGAGCCACCACGCCCAGCTGAAACACAGTATTTAAGTATTAGCTTTTAGTTGAAATGGGTATTGTTTTTAAGTATCTGAAAAGGTAGGGAGATACTATGTCTAAATGTTTGTAATTCTTATCTCTTGTGAATTACCTGAATTACAGCCCACACCACTATGCCTTCACTGAAAGTTTAAAAGTCTTCAGTGGCTACTGCCAATAACTTCATGGTTTTAAGCCTGACTTCAGCTTTATGAGGCCTGACTGAAAGCATAGGGGAAGTTTAAGGCATCAGGGCAGTAAATTTCCCCAGGAATCAAGTCTTATAAAAAAGAAGCAGACCTTTTTCTCAGCCAAGACTTCACCTAGGGGTGACTATGAGTCACAGCCCATACCCATTCCAGAAAACCACCTAAAGATATATGTCTGTGGGCTGCAGGTTGGACCCCATGAACCCCTGGGGATGATAAGGAGCCTCAGCTTTGCTGGTTATCTATGAACTCTAAAGAGCAAGTGACAGAGAGGCTCTAGGCTCTGCAATACAGAATTTACCCTGCTGCTTGCTCTGTAGGAGAAGGGGCTTCAAAAAGTCATCTCCAAATTATACAGCCAACTAATTGAAAGGTAGGTTTTCTAACAAACCCTTCACATCAGCCAAAATGACCCACTCCTTGTTTTCCAGACATTTTCTGCCTTTTACTATGTTACCTCTTTGGGAGGAATGGCCTCCATTTTTCAATCTTACCCATTCTTCAAGGCTCAGTTAAAAAACAACAAAAATTAAACTCTCCAGCACACGGTGCCCAATATCTCTTCTCCTTCTAAAACCCTAAAGCTCTCCATGTTAGTGTTTCACATTTGGCATCAAACCATCGCCCTGTGCTGGGCTTCTTTTTGTTGCTGCTGTTCTGATGTTTAATCTTTTCCTGTGACTGTATTGTATTTCTAACAAGACTATAAGTTCTTTGAAGCCAGGGACTGTGCTACAAAATTAGAAGCTGGGACTGTATTTCTAAAGTTTCTTCCAATCCTTATAGATCATGTCACTAATCTTCACTCTGTGTCTATCTCCTCAGTGCTCACAATGGAACAGGGTCAGTGTTACGACATAAGAGGCTCTGGAAACCTATCTACAGCAGACCATCTGATTTTTAATTTAAATAGTGGCTGAAGGGAACAGGGGTAAGTGGGCATTTGCTTTTAAGGAAGGCAGGTGCACATGAAAAGAATTAATGAAGAGCAACTGCTTCATCTCGATTAGTACCTAGTTCCATTAGGAGTTCCCCTGGTACACATTAATCATACAAGACAAGACTTGTTTAAGGACCACACAGCTGTCTGTGCAGAAAGTTGAGCTCATAAATCAAAGCTCTGTCCTCAGAAGAAATACTGATTACCCTCTATACCAACTCCTCCCTCTCTCCTTTCCAGGTCACTCACACTGACAGGACAGGTAGCTTGGGTCATTCACAGAAAAATGTATTTTAAGAATATGGTAGATATATCCCATCTTAAGTGAGGCCTACACTAACATGACCCTGCTTCAGTGTAGCAGGTATAAACCACAGATTTGGAAATACTGACATGAAGCTGCCTCTGGTGTCACTGTAGTGACTACAAGGCATAAGTGTACAAAAACAAGCAAGAGCTTGATGACCTGATTACTAGGTGAAGCCATGTTACAAAGTACTTTATGTCTCTGCTCCATAATCTGTCAAACACAAAAGGCAAACACATTAATTTTCCTAAAGGAATGCAAAGAGAGACAGAAAAGAATTCTAGAGACTTTCACACAACTGGTCATTTAGGGAAATAGGGTACTTACTGACTTCTTAAAGTTCTTCAAGAATAAAGCTGTGAGTGCCAAGAACTAGTCATTTTAGTAAGGTCCATAAAGGAATCTAGTCAGATTTGACAAGTGTGTATCAGCAGTCATTAATATTCATATCTTATGTAAAAGCTTGTCTGTTGTAATAAGAAAAAATCAGAAGCACTTAGATAGTCAACAGAAGGGTGGCTAAATTACAGTACATTCATATTTGATTGTCATTAAAAAATTAAATCATTAAAAAATCACCAATGAAGAATATTCAATGACATGGAAGAATGCTCATGATAGAGTCTGTGAAAAATAAAAGCTACAAAACATACATAGTATGAGCTTAATTTTGTAAAAAGAATATATATGCAAGAGAAAAATGCTGGGAGGATATAAAATAGTGGTTATCTCTTCCTTTTCAAAATCAGATATAATATGCATAACTTATTTTTAACATTTTAATTATTATTCGATAATTTTAAAAGAGGATACTACTAACCTGCTCCCCATTCTGTTCCGCATTCACTGACACTCTCAGATTTGCCCATGTAACAGGGCAGTTTCAGAACAACCCAAAACCTTAGGGAAAATCCAAGTCTCTTACTTTTTTTCCTTTTTTTTTTTTTTTTTTTGTAGAGCCTGGGTCTTGCTATGTTGACCAGACTGGTCAAGCTAACTCCTGGACTCAAGTGATCCTCCCACCTCGGCCTCTCAAAGTGTTCAGATTACAGGCGTGAGCCACCATGCTCAGCCAACATAAACTTTTTAGGTCACTCCAAAAAAGGGGAACTTTAACTTTCTGATACAGAGAATGCCTGTTTTTTGTTTGTTTGTTTTTGAGACCGAGTCTCGCTCTGTTGCCCAGGCTGGAGTACAGTGGCACGATCTTGGCTCACTGCAAGCTCTGCCTCCCGGGTTCATGCCATTCTCCTGCCTCAGCCTCCCGAGTAGCTGGGACTACAGGCACCCGCCACCTTGCCCGGCTAATTTTTTTGTATTTTTAGTAGAGATGGGGTTTCACCGTGTTAGCCAGGATGGTCTCGATCTCCTGACCTCGTGATCCGCCCGCCTCGGCCTCCCAAAGTGCTGGGATTACAGGCGTGAGCCAAGTGCCCGGCCGAGAATGCCTCAGTTTTTAAATCTACCTCAACTACTTCCTATTCATCTGCTCCTATCAAAATAATAGTTTTTCTAAATTTAGATTCTCTAGCTGCAGTTTATTGTCCTGTTTGTCCTGCTCTCTTTGGAAAGATCTCTTGGTTACGTACAACACTGACTGCAGGAGAGGAGGCACTGCTCTGACTTGAGACTTCACTGTACCACACGCTACAAGAAATGGTGCTGCGAAGTTCAAATTCTAAGCCAACCCTGTGTCGTCTGTGAAGAAGCAGGACCCACATCCTGAGTTTTGGTGTATTTTGTGCTCTGAGAACACAGTAGAAAAATATCTTGATGTAGAAGAAGTTACCAGTCCTAGACACAGATGGAGTAAGCAGCTCTCTGCACAGTATAGTTTGAGGAATGCCAGAAGGCCCCAAACCACCCTTATCACAAGGCTGTCCCCTCTCCTTCTAAGCGGTATGAAAGCCTCACAGTCAGGTGTGGGAATTTAACAGTAAAGGGAGTGGTGTTTCACTCTAGAGAGGTACCATCAACATGGCCTATTTTCTAGGAGCACAGAAGACTGAAGAAGAAAAAGCAAAAAGGTCCCATTAATATATGGCAGATTAGTTCATAGGATTTACCAGGTATTCCCTAATAGAAAAGTCCTTGCTAAAGGAAAGTCAAGTTTTCACTGGTGGGGCCAGAGGGCTAGAGGGAGCAAAACACAAGTATAACAGAAAAAGTGAGGCACAGAGGTTGCAAACTGGTGAGCCAATATAGCCCATAAACATGTTTTGTTTGACCCTCCTCCTACATGATGTTAAAAAAAAAGTTTTTTAACTGAGAGGTTTCACGTAAAGATATTTTCAGCATCTCCCCAAAGTATCAGAAGACTTGGCAACATTGGGCCTACAATCCCCCATGGCAACAACTGGCTGTCCCCTTTGGAAGGGTTTATGCTCCCCAAATGCTAGGTGTCAGGTTCAGTACTGAATGAGAATGATGACAATGCCAGACTCCAGAGTGCTCACCCTAGCCTGCCTCACTCACTCCTGTAGGAGTCTGAGTCTGCAATACTTGCTCTGGAGCAGAGTGTGGGGGGAGTAATGGTCCTTTCTAATTCATTAATTTGTGTTTCTGTTTTGAATCTATTGGAACACTCTAACAAGAAAAGTGAAATGTACCTTGTGATAGAGGAGAGTTGTCATTCTACCTATAAAAAAGAAACTGAAAGTTGGTTTTAAAGATCTAAGAGGTACCCAAGAGATTTGCAAAGATGAAATATACCCACATTGGCTGGCAAAGTATCCAAATAGCCAGTTTCTAAATGATAGCATGAATAATATTTAAAGAATATGGTTCCTTTTCCTTGGGGTTACCTTCCCTTCAGGGAATCCACCCCTAACCCCCTTAGATGAAAAACTAAATTCATTATATGCCAACAGAGGTACTGACTCAGAATTTAACACAAAGCCTTTCAAAGTTTTGTAATAGTTCCTTCTCAATTCTAGGGAGTAAACTTTCAAACAGCCTATCTAGAAATCAGTTTTGATAGAATGAACTCTCGGGACTCAACATAAAAATTTTTTTTTTCATGTTTATGTAGAAGCCCCCTCCCCAATAACCTACATGTTACTTCATAATTTATCCATACACCATAATCACCTTCCTGTTTGGCCTCTTAGATATGGAGACATTCGGTAAACTGTTTGCTTAAATTCACTTATGCCTAGTTTCTAAAATGCCACGTTTTTCAAGCCACAAAAAACCCTGTTTAAGTATAAAATCATGCCTCTATTACCACATTTATATCCCAGAATACGATAGTTTTAAATTCCTGCAATGGTTAAAATAAACTCAAACTATATTGTATATTAATATAAACAGAGTCAAACTATAGGTATAGAAAATATTATGGTTATAGCAGAAAATGAAAATTAATCAGGTCCGACAAAGTATATCTGCTCAGACATAGTGCTAGAAAAACATAAATCAAAAACATGTTTCCACAGAGACAGAAAACACACTAAACTTACTAGACAGATGTCTCTACTACTTATTTTTTCCCACTTGATAATTTCCAAATAATTCAGCAGCAGCTATAGCCAACATATTCAATTTAGTCTAGCTAGAACATCTAAGTGTCTAGTTTTCACAGTTCCCATTCTAAAATTTCATACATTTTTATTATAATTTTATATCTCAGCTAGAATAATGCTGTTCCGAAAAATTATTTTATGCCTCACAGAAGTAGAAAGGCCGGCTGTGGTCGCCATCACTCAGGGAGGGGTCAAGCAGGTGACTCTGCAGCAATCTGTCAGCACCCTGTTGTGTAGCCACCTGTAGGGAAAGCAGCTAGGGGAACCCCCAAAGCCTGAATCACTGTCTACCAAGATCAGATTTTCTTCCGCAAACTACTCCTGACACAAGCAAAATGCATTCAAAGCAGAAGAGAACAAACAAATTTAACATTCTCTCTGTAGCATTAGAGAGAAAGCAGCCAAACACATATTCTAACCTGGAGGATCTCCTTGGAGAGAAGGTTGGAACAGAAACATGGATGAAGCTGGAAACCATCATTCTCAGCAAACTAACACAGGAAGAGAAAACCAAACACCGCATGTTCTCACTCATAAGTGGGAGATGAACAATGAGAACGCATGAACACAGGGAGGGGAACATCACACACCGGGGCCTGTTGAGGGGTGGGGGGCTAGGGGCGGGATAGCATTAGGAGAAATACCTAATGTAGATGACGGGTTGATGGGTGCAGCAAACCACTATGGCATGTATGTACCTGTGTAACAAACCTGCACATTCTGCACATGTATCCCAGAACTCATGCACATGTATCCCAGAACTCAAAGTATAATATATATATTTTTTTAATGTGGGATCTGAGCTGTATTTCCAGCTACCACAAAGACAAAGAATGATCTGGGACTGGCGAGGAGAGAGAGGGCTAGACCCACCAGAAAAGATGAATAAGACAAGGCAAACTGAGATTATCTTCCCTGTTCCTGGCTGAGATGAGGCTTCTGTCTAGATTCCTTGGCCCTGAAGCACAACCAACCCCACTGCCAGAGCAAATGCCTTTTTTGACAACAGTGTCTCAGAGGACTTTTCTCCTCTTTTCCCTTGTAACTTCCAGAAATTCTTACACCTCTTTCAAAGCCTTGGGAAAAACTACTGACGGAGTGCTGGATTTTAAAACTTTCTGTGAAATACCAAGAAAAGGGGTTTGGAGCAAAGAGACTTTCTATTTAGAAATAAAATTATTAATAACCTCAAAAATAACAAAGAGTTTGACACTGGATGTGCAGTCCTCGATTGGGTCTAATGTGATATTCAGGTTTTCTAACTTCAAAAGCCTTTGAGTTGCACTGTGATAAAATTACTGGGTGCCACCCTCCCTGCTTCCTAGTATTTTCCCTGCACAAAGGTAGCATTTATTAATTCAACAAGTATTTACTGAGTATCTACTCTGTGCTAGCCAAGCACTGTGTACTGTGACAAACCAGTGAAAATAAGTTCCCTGTCCTTACTGAGCTTACATTCTATTATGGTATAATAAGCATGTTATAAAAACTTAAACTATGCAGAAATAAACAATGCAGAAAGTAAATGTCTCTGGCAGCCAACTACAATTGACCATCTGGTATATATTTCAAGTAATTTTCTGTGCACATGAGAAATATATCTACCCATATTTTTCTTTCTTTCTTTTTTTTTTTTTTGTTGAGACAGAGTCTTGCTCTGTCGCCCAGGCTGGAGTGCAGTGGCACGATCTCTGCTCACTGCAATCTCTGCCTCTCAGGTTCAAGTGAGTTGCATGCCTCAGCCTCTTGAGTAGCTGGGATTACAGGCACCCGCCACTGCACTCAGCTAATTTTTGTATTTTTAGTAGAGACAGAGTTTTGCCATGTTGGCAAGGCTGGTCTCGAACTCCTGGCCTTATGTGATCCACCTGCTTTGACCTCCCAAAGTGCTGGGATTACAGGTGTGAGCCACCGTACCCGGCCCTACCCATATATATTTTTAATTTTTTTTAAAGACAGGTTCTCACTCTGTGGCCCAGGCTGGAGTGCAGAGGTGCGACCCTGGCTCACTGCAACCTCTGACTCCCAGGTTCAAGTGATTCTCGTGCCTCAGCCTCCTGAGTAGCTGGGACTACAGGCACATGCCACCACGCCCAGCTAATTTTTATATTTTTAGTAGAGATGGGGTTTCGCCATGTTGGCCAGGCTGGTCTCAAACTCCTGACCTCAACTGATCCACCTGCCTCAGCCTCCCAAAGTGTGGGATTACAGGTGTGAACCACTGAGCCCGGCCCCTACCCATATTTTTCCATGGATTCATACTATACAATCTGTTTTGCTACCTGCCCCCTCCCCACCCCACTTTAGCAGACAATCTTGGGTTCCTTTAATTACCTTAAGATGGGCTTGCACCTTTCAAGATAATTGTTTGTTATCTTTCCCACTTAACTACTGTGGTTCCCCACTAAGGACTCATCAGGGCCTTGGGAGAAGGATGGAATCCTCCATGAAAGGCCACCTGCCCCTGGGTTACCAGTCCAGGGAATGCTCACAGGCTCTGTCTCCTAAACTGACCGCTCTGTCTTGCTTCAACCCAATGGTCAGGTCCCAGCTTTGGATTCTATTCTTGCTTCATGCCTATTAACAACCTTGGGCTACATGCTCTGAATCTTCTTCTCCACCTTCTGTTGCAACTTTCTCTCTTGCCCTGGAGCTAGGAGCCAGCCTCAACCACTCCTAACCCTGACCCAGGCCAGTTCCCTACAAGAGATAAAGAATGATAGAAAGATAGATAGTAAATAGCATTAGCCCCCAAATTTGCTAGTGGCTTTGAAATGTTTCTCTAAGATCACAAAATAGGGACATCTTGGATTCTCTCTTCACTTTGCTCTGTTTTATAGTTATTCACACCAAATCATATTGAATCCACTGATTATGAAAAATCAGTATCTAAAAATATAGTCCTTTCTATTCAACAAATGTGTAATTTTAAATTGGGTGTAGACATCTTATAATGTGGAGAAACAAAAAATAAGTACCCTAAAACATCTACTTTAGTTTTTTCCTAAACTGCAAGACCAAATACACCAAGGAGTCTTATAAAAGTCAGAGGTTGGCCGGGCGCGGTGGCTCATGCCTGTAATCCCAGCACTTTGGGAAGCTGAGGCGGGTGGATCACAAAGTCAGGAGTTCGAGACCAGCCTGGCCAATACGGTGAAACCCCGTCTCTACAAAAATTAGCCAGGCATGGTGGCGCACGCCTGTAGTCCCAGCTACTCGGGAGGCTGAGGCAGGAGAATCACTTGAACCCAGAAGACAGAGGTTGCAGTGAGCCGAGATCGGACCACTGCACTACGGCCTGGGTGACAGAGCAGGACTCTGTCTCAAAAAAAAAAAAAAAAAAAAAGTCAGAGGTTACACAGCAGTATTAAATGCTGGTAGCTGGAAGACAAGGTTAAATTCAGAAGTATGAAAGTCTGTGAATTCCTAGTCAAGCCACATTTGAGCAATGTGTGCCATCAGGAAAGTCTAGTCACAGAGGAAAGCTGATCGTTTTTAACATTTGCTATCTTCATCTGCCCTTTTAAGGAAAAAAGGGCAGATTCATGTTTTAAAATCATAAAACATAAATACAAGGTTTAAGTGGGCTAGAAAGTACAATGAAGGGCAATGACACTTTGCTCACTCACCAACTTAAACCAGAAAGGAATGAGTCACAAAAACTCGTATCACAGACAACACAATACTAATCAACATACTCACTGATGACTAGAACATTACATAGCTTATTTATAGATTATGTTGTTATCAATATATATGCTCTAAAAATATTTCTCTAGATTCAGATTTGTTAATTTAAATTAGTACTTGAATATGAGTATAAGTTAAACACTTCTCAGCCAGGTGTGGTGGCTCACGCCTGTAATCCTAGCACTTTGGGAGGCCAAGGCAGGCAGATCACTTGAGGTCAGGAGCTCGAGACCAGCCTGGGCAACATGGTGAAACCCCGTCTCTACTAAAAAAAATAAAAAAATTAGCCAGATGTGGTGGCACTGCCTGTAATCCCAGCTACTTGGGAGGCTGAGGCAGGAGAATTACTTGAACCTGGGAGGTGAAGTTTCCCAGATGGCGCCACTGCACTTCAGCCTGGGCGACAGAGTGAGACTCCGTCTCCAAAAACAAAACAAAACAAAAAAACCAAAAAACACTCCTCAGTGTAAACAAATGAGTTAAAATCTCCCAAAGTGCCTCTCTATGCCTCCCTCTTCTCTGAGGCAGGTCTACCAGTTGCTTAGAGATTCCTGAAAAAATCCTGAGCAATGTTTTCCCCATTTCCTTTCAGGCTCTCAAGTCTCTAAACAGAACTAATTATGGGAGCAAACCAAGTTATAAGTAATATCATTTTGATGTGCCTAAAATAACCAAATGAATTTGGAGCGGAATAAAAGAGTGAGTATTCAATATATTACACTTTACCCAGATTTCCATATTCTCCTTAAGAAAAGGCACTTTCTTTTCCATGGCTTCAAAATTTCTAGGAGCTCACCATCATGGCAATGTGCACACCCCAGGACTCTAGGCCTTCGAAGCAAGAATGAGGAACCAGGTTAATGGTGGCCTCTCTGCAGGGTAAGTTGATGGTTACATCTCTGGTCTCAAGTCTTCTAGTTCAGGGCTCTTAAATCTGCTGCTGCCAAGCTAAGCCTACTCCAGACATAAAGAACAATTCCCATGCTGTGGGGCTCTAGGCTGTCTGGACCAGACCAATTCCCAAGCTAGCCCTAACCAGAGTTGAAGTCTCAGAGATCCTGTAAGCTTTCAAGGACACAAGCAGCTGGCTCCCTTCTATTTAGAGATAAGTAAGTACACTCATGTGTCTTTGGCAAGAGCAAGAATTTTTAACACACAACAGCACCTCTCTAGTAGAAAAAAAAAATCTGAAATTCTAACCAATTTTTCTACAGATTTTAGCCATGAGATCCTAGAATCTCATTCTAGTGCCAATCCTTGGGCCAATGTTAGTTGTATTTGCATTCAAAACAAAAAGCCAAAAAAATATAAAGCAGAAAAAGCAAGCAAGTTGATAAAAATTTTTTAAAGTACTATGGTGTAACAGAAAGGGTTCCAGAAGTCAAAAAACTTCAGTTCTGGTCCTGGCACCGTCACCCTAGCTTGGTCACCCACACCAGCCATGTAATCTTCTAGGGTTCATTTACTTCATTGATAAAAATGAAAAACAACAGAGTTCAAGGAAGCTGGTCTAGATAGCTCTTAGATCTCTTCTACTTGCAAAAAAAAAAAAAAAAAATCATCATTCTAATTTCTACTCAGTTTTATTAAATGGTACTCTACCAAGCAAACTCTGGATACATTTCCTTTATGACTCTTTATACCAGATACAATTCAACTACTTTAAAGGGTTGATACCATATTAAAAATAAACACTATAATAAAAAAGATGAATCTGTCTTAACAAAAAAGGCAGTGGAATGGAAATAAACAGAGAAGAGACGTTTGCTTTAACATTTCTGCAGATTATGGATCACTTAGTATTTTGTTAACTCAAAGTGTTAAATTCTCTCCCTTAACAAGGAAACTGAAAGAAGTAACAATTGCCGACAAGAAACCACATGGTCTTGGGCTGTTTTGAGAGGGAACCTTGTGGCAAGTACAAACAAAATTGTTGATTCCTCTGCAGGCCTTGAAACTTCAGGACAGCAGTTCAGGTGTCGCACCCTGCTCTGCCTGATCTTAGAGAGTGATTTCTTTTTTATTTTTTTTTGAGAAAGAGCCTCGCTTTGTTGCCCAGGCTAGAGTGCTGTGGCATGATCTTGGCTTACTGCAACCTCTGCTGCTTGGGTTCAAGCGATTCTCCTGCGTCAGCTTCCCAAGTAGCTGGGGTTAAAGGTGTGCGCCACCATGCCCAGCTAATTTTGTATTTTTAGCAGAGACAAGGTTTCACCATGTTGGTCAGGCTGGTCTCAAACTCCTGACCTCAAGTGATCCACCCGCCTTGGCCTCCCAAAGTGCTAGGATTATGGACGTGAACCACCGTGCCCGGCCGAGCATGATTTCTGAATGATCGCACTGGCCTGCCATGGAATATTCCATCCTATGTAAAAATGAGTGTTAGACTAAGTTGAGAAAATGATTTTTATATAATTTAAGTGAAAAAAGCAGGACACAAAAACTGCACAAACAACTCTAAAGGCATGATCTATGAAAGAAAAAATTGACAAGCTAGACCTCATTAAAATAAAAATTTCTGCTCTATAAAAGACACTGTGAAGAGAGTAAAAAGCCTCAGACTGAAAGTATAACATTTGCAAAAGGCATTTGATAAAGGACTATTATCGAAAATATACGAAGAACTCTTAGAACTCAACAATAAGAAAACAAACACACTGATTTTAAAATGGGCTGAACTGGCCGGGTGAGGTGGCTCACGCCTGTAATCCCAGCACTTTGGGAGGCCGAGGCAGGTGGATCACCTGAGGTCAGGAGTTTGAGACCAGCCTGACCAACATGGAGAAACCCCATCTCTACTAAAAATACAAAATTAGCCGGGCATGGTGGTGCATGTCTGTAATCCCAGCTACTCGAGAGGCTGAGGCACGAGAATCACTTGAACCCAGGAGGTGGAGGTTGCAGTGAGCCAAGATGGCACCATTGCACTCCAGCCTGGGCAACAAGAGTGAAACTCCGTCTCAAAAATAAATAAATAAATAAAATGGGCAGAACTAATATCAAAAAGACAAAAAATAACACACGTTGGCAAGGATGTGGAGAGAAGGAAACCCTTAAACACTGCTGGTGAGAATGTAAATCAATTCAACTTCTATGGCAAACAGTATGGAGATTCCTCAAAGAATTGTAAGTAAAACTGCCACTTGATCCAGCAATCCCACTACTGGTTAGCTACCCAAAGAAAAAGAAATCAATGTATCAAAAATATACCTGCACTTGTATGTTTACTGCCACACTAGTCACAATAGCAAAGATATGGAATCAACCTAAGTGTCCATCAATGGATGACTGGATAAAGAAAATGTGGTATACATACACAATGGAATATTGTTCAGCCATATAAAGAATGAAATTATGTCTTTTGCAGCAACATGGGTAGAAATGGAGGTCATTATCTTAAGTGAAACAAGCCAGATGCGAAAAGCCTGATATTACATGTTTGTACTCATAAGTGGGTGCTAAAAAATGTGTACACATGGACACAGAGTTGAATGATAGACAATGCAGACTCGGAAAGACGAGGGGGTAGAAGGAGGGTCGATAATGAGAAGTTGGTTAACAGGTAAAATGTATATTATTTGGGTGAAAGCCCTGACTTGACCAATACACAATCTATGCATGTAACAAAATTGCACTTGTACACCATGAATTTATACAAATTTTAAAAGTGGGCTAAGACTTTAACAGACACCTCACCAAAAAAAGATGCACAGATGGTAAACAAGCATATAAAAAGATGTAACATCATATCATATGTCACCAGGGAAATGCAAATTAAAACAACGAGATACCACTATCCACCTATTAGGGTGGCCGAAATCCATAACACTGACAATACCAAGTGCTGGCCAGGATTTACAGGAACTCCCATTCATTGCTGGTGGGAATGCAAAATGGTATAGCCACTGTCAAAGACATTGTGGCAGTTTCTTATAACTAAACATACTCTATGATCCAGCAACTGTGCTCCTTGGAATTTATCCAAAGAAGCTGAAAACTTATGTCCACCCCAAAACCGGCACATAGATGTTTATAGCTTTATTTATAATTGCCAAAACTTGGAAAAAACCAAGATGTCCTACAGCAGGTGAATGGATAAACTTGCGGTATATCCAGACAATGGAATATTATTCAGTACTAAAAAGAAATGAGCTATTAGGCCAGGAAAAGACACGGAGCAGGCTGGGCATGATGGCTCATGCCTGTAATCCCAGCACTTTGGGAGGCCGAGGCAGGTTGATCACTTGAGCACAGGAGTTCAAGACCAGCTTGGGCAATATAGTAAGTTCCTGTCTCTATATTAAAAAAAAAAAAAAATTGCCTGGGCGCAGTGGCTCATGCCTGTAATTCCAGCACTTTGGGAGGCCGAGGTGGGTGGATCACCTGAGGTCAGGAGTTCAAGACCAGCTGGTTAACATGGTGAAACCCCATCTCTACTAAAAAACCGTCTCTACTAAAAATACAAAAAATTAGCTGGGCATGGTGGTGGGTGCCTGTAATCCAAGCTACTTGGGAGGCTAAGACAGGAGAATCACTTGAACCCGGGAGGTGAAGGTTGCAGTGAACTGAGATAGCATCTTGCACTCCAGCCTGGGCAACAAGAGCAAGATTCCATTTCGCGGAGGGGGGGGGTGGGGGAAGAAATTATAGACGGGTGCGGTGACTCACGCCTGTAATCCCAGAACTTTGGGAGGCCCAGGCAGGCAGATCACCTGAGGTCAGGAGTTCAAGACCAGCCTGGCCAACATAGCGAAACCCCATCTCTACCAAAAATACAAAAATTAGCCGAGTGTGATGGCAGCTGCCTGTAATCCCAACTATTCAGGAGGCTGAGGCAGGAGAATCGCTTGAACCTGGGAGGTGGAGGTTGCAGTGAGCCGAGATCACACCACTGCACTCCAGCCTGGGTGACAGAGTGAGAACCCATCTCAAAAAAAAAAAAAAAAAAAAAAAAGAGAAGAAAAAGAAATTATAGAAGACATGGAGGAATCTTAAATGCACATTACTAAGTGAAAGAAGTCAATCTGAAAAGGCTATGTAATATCATTCCAACCATACGACACTCTGGAAAAGGCAAAACTAAAGAGATAGTGAAAAGATCAGCACTTCTCAGGGGTCAGGGGAGGGTAGGGATGGATGGACGGAGCACAGAGGATTTCTAGGGCAGTAAAACTACTCTGTATATTATACATTAGGTAGATACATGCCATTATAAATGTATTCAAACCCATAAGACTGTTTAACACTAAGAATGAATTCTAATGTAAACTGTGGACTAACTGATAATGATGTGTCAATGGAGGTTCGTCTGTGTAACAAATGTACCACTCTGGTGGGGGATGCTGACAATGGGAAGGCTAGGCATGTGTGGGGACAGCAGGTATATGAGAAATCTGTATCTTCCACTCAATTTTTCTGTGAACCTAAAACTGTTCTAAAAATTAAAATCTATTTTAAAAAACACTATAAAATGCTATGATGACAACTATATATAATTAGCCTAAGAGAAGACAACAAAATTTTAACAGCAATTTGTATCATGATTGTGGGACTATTTTCTCTTCCTTTATCTAAAATTGTAATGATTTTTTTCACACTTAAAATATTTTTAATTGACCACTGAGGAAAAATTTTAAACCAACCTTATTCTAATTTATATTATTCCTTTGCAACTTAGTACTTAGTTAAAACAACTGATCTTCCTCATTGCTTTTTCTGTTTTTGACTAGAATTTTTCTCATGTTGGAATCAAAACCATTTTTGGCTTCCAACATTAAGTCTGTTTTTAAATATCTTAGGTAAACAATTCAGAAATCAAGCTGGTAGAAAACAGGGTCATTTTGTAAGGTATATGTTTCTAAAACCAACAGAGTACTCCAGACTGCCTTTGGCAAGTTCCCAAACTTTCTAGGAAAGGACCCTATAGGCAACACCTATTTATTCCCAGGTTCCTCACCTTCCTCCACATTTCTTTACCTTAGCAATCTACCCAGCATCTTCTGCTCCACTTTCTCCTGTATTTCCTTGTAAAGCAGAGCTTCTTCCATTCACCCAGTTCCTTGTCACCATATATCATTCATTGATTCAACATTCACTAAGCACTCTATTTTTGTAGAGAGATATTAAAAATGAAGAGAACCAGCTTCTGCCCCCTGGAACTCACAATCTAATAAGGGGGAAAGATCGTCAAAACAAGTGACTACTATATGATGGACGTCAGCACACTTTTTCTGTAAAGGGCCAGACAGTATATACTTTTGGCTTTGCAGGCCATAGTCTCTGTGGCAGCTATTCAGCCCTGCCACTGTAGCACGAAAGCAGCCATTGATATGATGTAAATGAATGAGAGTGGCTGTGTTCCAGTAAAATTTATTTTTACAAAAACAGGCAGTGGGCCAGATTTGGCCTGTGTGCTGTTGTTTGCTAACCCATGGTATACAGCATACTAAAGAATATCCCTGGAGCTGAGAGAGCTTGAGAAAGACCTGCCAGACTGCCCGCCCTTTTACAGGGAATAGCCA
This sequence comes from Homo sapiens, assembly GCF_000001405.40. Lineage (NCBI taxonomy): Eukaryota > Metazoa > Chordata > Mammalia > Primates > Hominidae > Homo > Homo sapiens. Next base: position 25,462,771 of record NC_000001.11, on the reverse strand, counting down.
TCAAACCTTAATTGGACAGCCAAACCGAGCTATAAGAATTCTCCTTGAAACTGGTGGAGCAGTAATGAATTTTCCCCCCAAAAGTCACTGAATTGGTTTCTCAAAAATAGCAGTTCTCACCCACAGTTTTCAGACAGACATAGCTGTAGAATGTGTTGCAATTAATCTATATTATTACAGTAGAGTTACTGGTTAGTTAATATAGTACTGGTTTTCAAATTTTGTCTTCAACACTTAGAAAAGGGTAGATCAACTTAGGGACACACGGACAGAAAGACTGGAACAACAGACACTAGGGACTTGAAAAGGAGGAAGAGAGGGAGGCAGTCAAGGGCTGAAAAACCTTCCTATTGGGTACTATGTTCACTGTCTAGGTGATGGGATCAATAGAAGCCCAAAGCTCAGCATCATGCAATATGCCCTTGCAACAAACCTGCATATGAATGCACGTGTACCTCCTAAATCTAAAATTAAAAAAAAAAGGAGAGATCAGTTTTATCGCTAAAGCATCCCTGGGGAAGTTTGTTGGCCTGAAACTGTGCACCACCCCAAGTATGCCTGCAGAAGCAAACAGTGCATGTACATACTGTCAGCCCTGTATGTTTGCATCAGAAGGGGTCTTAGAGACTGCTGAGTCCAGGCTGCTCCATCTGGATAACAAACCCACTCTCTAGCTAACAACTCAAACATGTCAGGTTTGAATCAGTCACAATCTTATTGACATGGATCAAAACATACATGAAGTCAAATGAGGAAACAGAGGCGACGGCTAAGGAAGGGTGGGAGGAAGTAAGATAAGACCTCCTCCAACCAAGCTGGATAATCTGCTCAGATAGAGGCTTTTCCTTTTAAACTCTTTCATTGCTGTTCATCATAGAAAAATGTGAAAATGTATGAAAATAAAAAGAAAAAATAAATGCCCAATACTATCAAGGGATAACAACTATTGTTAACAATTTGGTTATTTTCCCTTTAAATCATTTTTCTATGTATATTAGAAAAAATTGTTTTTCATTAAATTGCTTTCTCCTTTATTCATGAAATGCTTTGACATACTTCCCCATATTCTTTAATATGGCTTGAAAGTATGATTTTATAGTATCTATATGAAAAGTTTATCAAATGGATGGACCATAATTTATTTTAAATTTCTCCCATTATTGGATATTTACATCACCCTTTTTTTTGAGGGGGGGGAAGGAAGAGAACCAACATTTATTGAATGCCTGTACCTTAACAACAGCACTATTCTATTAGTTTTATCTCAACTTTCCAAGAAATGGAAATCAGAGGGGTCAAATAATATGCCCAAGGCCACTCAGACAGTAAATAGAAGGTCCAGGATCCAACCAAGGTGTGATTTAAAAACCTATATTCTTTGCATAGTATTCTTTATTTTATTTTATTATTATTATACTTTAAGTTTTAGGGTACATGTGCACAATGTGCAGGTTTGTTACATATGTATACACGTGCCATGTTGGTGTGCTGCACCCATTAACTCGTCATGTAGTATTAGGTGTATCTCCTAATGCTATCCCTCCCCCCTCCCCCCACCCCACAACAGTCCCCGGAGTGTGATGTTCCCCTTCCTGTGTCCATGTGTTCTCCTTGTTCAATTCCCACCTATGAGTGAAAACATGTGGTGTTTGGTTTTTTGTCCTTGCGATAGTTTGCTGAGAATGATGGTTTCCAGTTTCATCCATGTCCCTACAAAGGACATGAACTCTTCATTTTTTATGGCTGCATAGTATTCCATGGTGTATATGTGCCACATTTTCTTAATCCAGTCTATCGATCCCCTTATTTTTTATAACATTAAAAGTTGAAAATAATACCATGGGAGCTTATAAACCTACTTAAATATAATGTTGTCTATTAGTCATTTGATAGTAAGTAGTTCTCCAAAACAGAGTAATACCTGGGACACTGTAGGTCAAGGCAGAGTACGCATTAGTGACCACAAGAAGCAGCATACTCCTTAGGTGTAGGCACGGGGGCACTGGACCCATGTCATCATCTCCAGCTTACTGGACAATTAGCCATCTGGGTCCTTGAACTTCTCTACTAAAAGCAGATCAGATAGTAGAGTCAATCAATATCACAAACCATCATTTAGTAATAGCTTGACCGCTATTACTAAACTTGTGTCAGCCTGGGCAACATGGCGAGATCTCCTCTCTACAAAAAAATTAAAAAATTAGCCAGGCATAGTGGCATGCGCCTGTAGTCCCAGCTACACAGGAGGATGAGGTGGGAGGAAAACCTGAGCCTGGGGAGGTAGAGTCTACAGTTAGCTGTGATCACGCCACTACACTCAAGCCTGGGCAAAACAGTGAGATCCTATCTCAAAAAAAAAAAAAAACATGTGTAGGAGAAAGGATGGTAAATAGCTGTGACAGATGTTTTGTGTATAGCATTTAGTGAATTTGTGGGATATTCCTCTGAAATAGAAGGTAAACTAATTGGTCTTTCTCCCATGGGCATCTGGAGGAGAGTTCTCTTCCACGTGTTTTTTCTGCTGGGCACAATGGCCAGAATGTCCTAACAAATGGATATGGATGCCAGCCAGGCAACAGCAAATAGCACACTTCCAAAAGTAGCCTGGGGGCTGTGAAACCTCTAGAGCCTGTATTAGTAGAACCCAAATATACCTCGCTTAGTTTAACTGCCAATCAGAAAATTAAAACAAATTAATAATCTAGTTCATACCATTTATAATGCTGGAAAGCCTCCCTCCTAGAATAAACGGACTGCCTAAAGGGCTGCCTAAAGCAAGCCAGAGAAAGAAGAATATAACTTACTGGAAGGGGAGAGTTTCAATTGCCCTCTTGAGTTACATACACACAAAAAAGCTCCAGTTTAGATCTCAGTTTCCAAATTAAAGATCTGAGGTGAAAGGAACATATTTGTGTTTGCCTAACATAAGCCATATAAAATATAGTAAAATTAAGTCTGAGCCAGTCAATGTAATAAAACAATGTTATTCTTTTATGGCCGGGCACGGTGGCTCACATCTGTAATCCCAGGACTTTGGGAGGCCGAAGCAGGTGGATCACCTGAGGTCAGGAGTTTGAGACCAGCCTGGGCAACATGGTGAAATCCTGTCACTATTAAAAATACAAAAAAATTAGCCTGGCGTGGCGGCAAGCACCTATAATCCCAGTTAGTTGGGAGGCTGAGGCAGGAGAATCACTTGGAGCCAGGAGGCGGAGGTTGCAGTGAGCCGAGATCGTGCCAGCCTGGGCAATAGAGCAAGACTCCGTCTCAAAAAAAAAAAAAAATTCTTTTAATTAAAATGAGAAAAGCAACATTCCTAATTAAACTTTGTGTCTAACACTGTTTCTCCATGGATTTTTGTGAAAGAGATTGCTTTTCAAATCTAACTTTCCCAGAGTTATCTAGGATAATTCATATTCTAAGTGCAGAAAAACAAACAGAAAAACAAAACAAGCACAAAGTAGTAAGGACAACTTTCTCACCCCTCTCCTGCAATGTATATCTGTTTGACAGAGATTTGCGTGAACAAGCACAAACTCTTCTTTTTGTGTTTACGCCAAGAGAACTCTGGACATGCAAACAGAAAAGGACAAGGACCAAAGAAGTGCCTTACAACACGACTAGAAGAATCAAGTTACAGGTCAATTTGTCACATGTGGGAAGTAATCAGTGTCACTCATTATTCAGAACACTGCAAAGAGCTGAAATCAATGCTTCAACACAATAACACAAGGTGGCCAACAAACTCATGTAAAACACCACACGTCACTAGTCACAATATCTGATTACAAACAATCCCTACAGGCCCATATGGGAGTATGTCAAGAGTATGTCAAGTTTACTGGAAAGTGTTAGTAAGGATGCAGCATGTGCACTTACCTGACCAGTGCGTCTGGTTTGCTTAGCTGGTTATTAGGAATACAGTTTTCCATTAAGTCCTTGTGTGTACTTGGGCTCTTGCTAGTGCATTTCTGCTTCTTCTCATTTTTACTAGATGAGGAAGGAATGCTCCCATTTGTGGCGCTATGACTTCGAGGTGAAGAGTTCACAACTCCACTGGCATTTTTGTAATTTTTTGAGGAAGCAGTGCATGAGTCCTCTTTCAAGAGATTTTCTGTACTTCCCACAAGATCATTATTTAATCTTTTACTATTGATATGGTTTTCCATATACTCAATCTCTTGTATTTTAGAGTCTACAGGTTGTAGAATATTGTTGTTATTTATTCCAAGGTTGTGTTTTTTGGCATCCTTGTCCTTTTCTTTCCCTTTTTCTCGGTATTCTATCTCTGGCAAAGTTGTGGAGAGTTTTTTGTTGGCTGGGATACCTCCATTGTGGTGTATAAGGATCGAAGAATCCATATCAGGTAATCCTTTGGCTGCTACAATACCAAAAACAAACCAACAAACAAAAAGCCCCCACCGGAATATTTAGTTGTTTAACAACACAGATTAATTCAACAAACTATTATCTACACTTAAGAAATTCACATTAGTTTGCACACTCATTATACGCTAATCAAGAAGCAAATCCTCATAGTTTACTAGAAGATGTAGGAAAAAATAGAAGAAAATCCAAATACATTTGAGAAACTCTACATTTAGAAAATCATCATCATTTATGAAAATGATGGCCACTAAAGGTCTAGTCTTGAAAACAAGATCAGGGTTTTATAATTAGGTCACACTTTGTGTATTAGTCAAATCAAACTCGCCTATCACTGAGGTGAGAGGACAAAGGCAGATCCTAAGAAGTCATATTTTTTTAAGTGCCTGGAGTAAACGAACTGTTAATAACTTTACTGAAAAGAAAGAGGTTAAATGAAACAAAAGAAGAGGAATAATTTTAGGATACAGGACATCTATCCTTTTTCTGGACTCTAGTGTTGAGGTAATAAGGAAGTCTGTATCATTTACCAGACCACTCAGAAAGAATTTTGTGTATTGGGTCTACACATTCCAATTTATTAAGGTCTACTTGAAGAGATATTTTTGCACCACATCACACAAAAAGAAAATTTTGAAATATATTAAATAAAAACATGACCTCAAACTTTCAACTTTCAAACCAATGGAAACTAGCTACTGCCAATTATCTATTTCTATTGGTCAAATGCCCATGAGAGAGATTCCATTAGAAATGGTTCAATTTAAAATCTGCATTACATTATATGAAGCATTTAGAACACGACCTATCCATCTTGGCTCTATTCAGAAGACATCTGGCTTCTGAAGTTCAATTCTACATGTCTACATCTCCATTGTGCTTATACTTTGGTTCTTGGCTTGCTTCAATTACCAGTTCACATAGTTCCATAGTATTTTGTTGCTGAGAATATATATTTTAAAATACGTAAAACAGGCTGGGCATAGTGGCTCATGCCTGTAATCCCTACACTTCAGAAGGTGGAGGTGGGAGGATTGCTTGAGATCAGGAGTTTGAGACTAGCCTGAACAACACAGTGAGACCTCATCTCTACAAAAAAATAATTAAAAAAAATTAGCCAGGCATGGTGGCACGTGCCCATGGTAGCAGCTGCTCAGGAGGCTGAGGAGGGAGGATTACTTTGCTCCCAGGAGTTTGAGGCTGCAGTGGTCCCTAACTGTTATCACTGCACTCCAGCTTAGGCAACAGAGTGAGACCCTCCCTGTCTCAAAAAACTAAATTTAAAAAAAAATCAGAATTAAAATATAAAAAAGATATAAATATATTTTAAAATAATAAAATAAACATATTTAAACACATAGTCTTCAGACAGTATGTAAAAAACTTCATTCACCATCTGTATTTCATTGACCAAATAAAACAATGACCCTGAGGAGGAACACCATTAGACAGAAAAAAACAAAATCCTAGCTACTTTTCCAGAAAAGAAAATTCTACCAAGAGACAAAATAATGACTAGCCTATTGAGCCAACAGCTTTAGGGTAAAGACCTACCTTCCTCGGCCTCTTTTTCTTGCTTCTGTAGCATCTGTTGCTCTGGAGGGAGAGCTTGTTGAAGAAGTTGCATGTAAAACTCGTTCTCTTTTTGTACTTCTTTTTGCTTCCTTAACCGCATTTTGTAGCTTACGTAACTTTTGAAGCCAAACCCCAAAGTTACCACAGGGTACCCAATACTAGAAAGAAGACAATCCAGCCAGTAATTGTAGGTTTAAAATGAACCACATGTGCCTCAAGCACATGAGAATACCTATGGCTTAAAAATTAAAAATAAATTCTAATTGATGATGGTAGTTGAGAAGAGCATTCACTAGACACACAAATAAATGTAATGTCTACTGTGGAAATCAGAAGCAACTGGCACACAGAACAAAACCCCCAGGAACAACAGGACTGCTAGACCGTAAGACGACACTTCCCATTAGACGTTGGCATTCTTCAAATTAATTCAAGGAGTCACCACAGTGACTGTCAGATACAGTGGCTAATAATGCCTTTGAAGAAATATTGAAGAAACTGCCTTATGCATTAGAACTTAGGCAGATACCTGTACCCTTTTTTTTTTTTTTTTGAAATGGAGTCTCGCTCTGTTGCCCAGGCTGGAGTGCAGTGGTGTGATCTCGGCTCACTGCAACCTCCGCCTCTCGGGTTCAAGTGATTCTCCTGCCTCAGCCTCCTGAGTAGCTGGGACTACAGGCCTGCATCACCATGCCCAGCTAATTTTTGTAATTTTAGTAGAGACAGGGTTTCACCATGTTGGCCAGGATGGTCTCGATCTCTCGACCTCGTGATCCACTCGCCTTGGCCTCCCAAAGTGCTGGGATTACAGGTGTGAGCCACCACGCCTGGCCTGTATGCTTTTAAAAACTAAAAGGGTAGAGACTTTACAGGTAGCCAAAAGTAAACATAAGTGTTAAAAAAAAAAATCACAAGGACATCATTTGATTTTCAATACTAGAAGGCAGGGTCAAATTCAGGTGACTAATTTAATCTTCTTGCTGCCTGAGGGGTACTGTCACCAGCTATTCCTTGAAGATTGGTTCACAAACACTCTGTCATATATAAATTCTGTCATACATAAATTCAAGAATCATTTAAATAAGTATCCGATATGATCAGTGCCAAGATTTGGTTTGTATCACCAAATTAAACCAGCTGTACTTAGAACTCTAATCTCTGGGATAGAAAGTTAAATATTTTCATTGAACTTACCAGCCTGCCTAACATCATTTCAAAGCCTCTGCAAACACTGTCAAGCCCATATAAGTTTCACTAACATGAAAATGTATCAATTTATAATTAGTCTAAATGTGGTCTCACTACAAACTTACGGTGACATGTTTTACTGACCAAGTTCATTTAATTTACTTGTTTGTAAAAAGACTAAAAATACTGGAAACAGTATTTTTTTAGTTGATTACTGTTTATTTTGGTTTCTGCCATAAATATTAGTAAAAATTGGTGTGTTTAGGAGAAACATACATTAGGTGGTAAGTTCCACAATAGATCTAAATAAGAACCAAGCTCATTTTTCAAAAATGTTTCATGGTTAAGATTAAATGAATAATATCTTAATATTCATTAACATAAAGAGAAATAATATTCATTCAAAAATTATTAATAATATTCTCTTACTTTTATAAATAGGCTAAGGAAATTCTAAATTATTTTAAGTTTCATGAATTAGCCATATATTTCATCAAGACCTTCTGGAATCATTACCTGATTATAATAAACATAGCTAACATTCATCAGACACCTATGTGCTTGGCATTAAGTTGAATACATGTATCACTTCAGTTCCTTTTTCCCATGACCCAGTGAGGCAGGTAAGAAAACCATGGCTTAGAGGCAGTGACAAGGCAACACAAGCTGTCAGAGGACAGAGCTGGGATTCACTCATCTGCCTGAAAAGGGGGGGCTCATGGTCTTTCCAACCATGCTGTACTGCTTTCTGGATCCATGTAAAATTTCTAAGAATAAATTTACAGTTGAACTTAACATTCTACAGTGAAATGAATTATAGACAAAGAATATATATAATACTGGCTGGGTGCACTGGCTCACACCTATAATCCCAGCACTTTGGGAGGCTGAGGCAGGTGGATCACTTGAGGTCAGGAGTTCGAGACCAGTCTGGCCAATATGATGAAACCCTGTCTCTACTAAAAATACAAAAATTAGCCAGGTGTGGTGGCACGCGCCTGTAATCCCAGCTACTTGGGAGGCTGAGGCAGGAAAATCGCTTGAAGCCGGGAGGCAGAGGTTGCATAACCAAGATCGTGCCACTGCATTCCAGCCTGGGTGACAGAGCAAGACTCCGTCTAAAAAAAAAAAAAATATATATATATATATATACACACACACACACACACACACACACACACACATATATATACATACACACATATACACACACACACACATACATTTATGTAATACTTACCAGTGAGCAGCAAATGGACGACAAAGGTCTACATGAAAGTTTTTGAGATCTTTAAATCTAATGGCTGCTTCAATATAAACAAAGAGGATCCAGAGAGACACTGTAGGCAAACACACTCCCCTTTCTGTGAGAAAGCAGCAGAGAGGCAAGCATTAATAAACGATATAGTAACTAACAGATGGATTGTTTGGGAGACTAATTTGACGACAGTAACTTTCATTAAGACCTTCACCTAAACTAAATTAAAAGGCAAACTGATCCAAACTGAAAGCTTTTATATGACAAATGATTCCACAGAATCGCTGACAAAAATAAAAGACAAACATCCTGGCAAAAAATATTTACAATGTATGTAAAACAAAGGATTCATAGCCCTGACATACAAAGAGCTCCTACAAATCAATAAAAAGCTAACTAAAGAAAATAATTTACGAGTCACAAAAGAATACAGATGGCTAAAAAACATAGAAAAAGATGTTAACTACTGATTAGAGAAATACAAATTAAACCAATCAGATTCCATTTTCTTAACTATTAGATAAAATTTTTAAAGACAGATAATAGCATAGGGAGGGTATGGGCAAAGGTTCATTTTCATACTCGGCAATAATATAAATTGGGACAACCATTTTAGATAGCAATTTGGCAGTATATTTAAATTTAAATACTTGTACCTTTCTTTTACCCAGAAATTCCACTTCTTTTTTTTTTTTTTTTTTTTTGAGGGAGTCTCACTCTGTCGCCCAGGCTGGAGTGCAGTGGCGTGATCTCGGCTCACTGCAAGCTCCGCCTCTCAGGTTCAAGCAATTCTCCTGCCTCAACCTCTCAAATAGCTGGGACTATAGGCGCCCACCACCACGACCGGCTAATTTTTTGTATTTTTAGTAGAGACAGGGTTTCACCGTGTTAGCCAGGATGGTCTCCATCTGCTGACCTCGTGATCCGCCCACCTCAGCCTCCCAAAGTGCTGGGATTACAGGCGTGAGCCACCGTGCCCGGCCCAGAAATTCCACTTCTAAGAATCTACCCCATAGAAACATAAAAGAGTCTTGAGATAAATACATAAAAATATTCACTGGGCTGGGCGCAGTGGCTCACACCTGTAATCCCAGCACTTTGGGAGGCCGAGGAGGGCGGATCACCTGAGGTCGGGAGTCAAGACCAGCCTGGCCAACATGGCAAAACCCTGTTTCTACTAAAAATACAAACATTAGCCGGGCGTGGTGGCAGGCGCCTGTAATCTCAGCTACTTGGGAGGCTAAGGCAGGAGAATCGCTTGAACCCGGGAGGCAGAGGTTGCGGTGAGCCGAGATTGCATCATTGCACTTCAGCCTGGGCAACAAGAGCGAAACTCCATCTCAAAAAAAAAAAAAAAAAATTCACTGTAGGGCCAGGCGTGGTGGCTCATGCTTGTAATCCCAGCACTTTGGGAGGCCAAGGTGGGTGGATCACGAGGTCAGGAGTTCAAGACCAGCCTGACTAACATGGTGAAACCCCATCTCTACTAAAAACACAAAAATTAGCTGGGCATGGTGGTGCACACCTGTAATTCCAGTTACTCGGGAGGCTGAGGCAAGGGAATTGCTTGAACCCAGGAGGCGGAGGTTGCAGTGAGCCGAGATTGCGCCACTGCACTCAAGCCTGGGCAACAGAGCGAGACTCTGCCTCAAAAAAAAAAAAAAAACAATTCACCGTAATATTATTTGCAATAGCAAAAATTTAGAATTTAAATGTTCATCAACAGGAAACTGTTTATGATAAATCTATATAATGAAATATGTTGAAGGTTCCTAAAGAATGAGGAAGATCTGCATTGTCATGGAATGACATAAAAAAAATAATCCTTAAGTAAGAACAAGTTGTAGGACAAAGAAATGTTTCTGACACTTAAGTACTGTTCAAAAAAATTTTTTCTGAAGCACAAACTCATATTCCCTTTGTAATTAAAAACAATTTTCAAGGGAGGAAAAAGCAACTTGCAACAAAATAAGATGCAAATAAAGGCAAATGTCCACTGGCTTTTCGAATCAAAATCTGCAGGCTAGGTCCATCTATATCAGGACATGACTAATAACGGGATATTTATGAATGTGGACTACATGGGCACGAGGGGGAAAAAATCAGTGACCTGAAGGCTTTTTGCTAAGGATCTTTGGGATGAAACTAAAGAAAAATCATAGTATCTTCAAACTAGGAAGATCATTTTGTCTAACTTCCTCATTTTGTTGAAGAGTAAACCCCAGAGTTTAAATAAACTGGGCCCAAGTTCACAGAGACAGTACTAAATCTGCTTCTAAGGAGAACCTCCCTTAGTCCTAGTACCTGAGTGAAGTTGTCACTGGATGCTCTGTGAAGCCAGCTAATGGTCTCAACCACTCTTATGAATTTAACATATCAAAAATAGGTACTTTTTTTCCTTTTCTTTTTTTTTTCTTTTTTCTTTTTTTTTTGGAGACAGAGTCTCGCTCTGTCGCCCAGGCTGGAGTGCAGTGGAGTGCTGGAGTGCAGTGAAGTACAGGTGCAATCTCAGCTCACTGCAACCTCTGCCTCCTGGGTTCAAGCGATTTTCCTGCCTCAGCCTCCTGAGCAGCTGGGATTACAGGCACACACCACCATGCCTGGCTAATTTTTGTATTTTTAGTAGAGACAAGTTTCGCCATTTTGGCCAGGTTGGTTTTGAACTCCTGAATTCAAATGATCCACCCGCCTTGGCCTCCCAAAGTGCTGGGATTGCAGGTGTGAGCCACTGTGCCCAGCCCAAAAATAGGTATTTTCACAATGTAGGAGGAAGAACAGCAACCCACAGAACAATGCATTTTCAAAATCATTTCAAAATGCATTTTCAAATATTTATCTGCCCTATTCTCTATATTAATTTATAAGGTTATTATAAACATAATAAGCACATTACAGAAAAAAATAGAAAAATTAGACAAAATACCTGTATTCTACATCTATGAAATAAACAAAATCACATTGAAAGCATTTTTGAGCAAGTATAATAATCATATTGTACGTACAGTTTTATATCCTGTTTTTTTCCCCTCTTAACCACCAGGAAAAAAGCTTATGCTACAATATTATTCTTTGTAATCATATGTAATTTCATCAACCATTCCTAATATTGTCAGGAAATAATTTTAAATTTTAACAACTACCCCAAGTTATAGGAATTGCACTCATATTTGTCAGCCCAATAAGAGTAGTTTTTTGTTTCGTTTGTTTAAGCACTAGTCATCCCAAATTAAAACATATTTCATAACTTAGCTATTCCAATATGCATTTCTGAGCCTAGGGCTAAAGATGGGCCAGTAGCATTTTATGACATTAGCTACACTGCTGCCCTGTGGGTCAACCACTGAACTAGTTTCCAATAGGTTCTATTAATAGTTATATGGTTAGTTTCTTCTCCACTACTAAGATATTACTAAAGAAATTTAAGAAATCGCCACAGCTCATCAAAGTCACAGAATATTTGAGGTGGAAGGTTCTTTAGCCATTATTTAGATTACTACACCTTTATATAACAGAGAAGCTGAGACCTAGGGAGAGTGACGAGTGTAAAAGGCAGCTCACTAGAAACTGAGGCCCAGGATAAGAAAATACAAATTAAAAACTGGTGGGAAGAAAAATCACTTTAATTAGAGGAAAGCAGACTAAAGAACCTTCATAGTAGCTTATAAATCAAGTCAGATATGAAAGAGTGTGAAACATGGAGAAAATCATGCTCATAGCAGATACTTTAAAAAATACAGCTCAACTGTGTCTTCTACATGGGCCAACATCATTATCTTAGCAGTTCTGAGAAGAGGATGAATATTGGTCCAGACAGCTTTTATTATTATTTGGTGCTCCCTCTCTGGTCAAAATCCTACAGGTTGTAGCTAGGCCCAAGAATCAAGTTTCATGCAGCTTTGCAGACAAATTTGACTCTGACAGCCAATCCTCAAATCCTAGTGCATACCAAGCTCTGGCTTTCACGGTGGGCTGAGGCTGTCAAAATATCTCATCTGATCTTAGTCTGAAGTGACAGAAGTATAGCTCTAAGAAGTAGGGAGCTCTACTCTAGTCAGAACATACCTGCCACAGTGTAGAGAACCACTGAGGCAGGCAGACGAGGAGGGTGAAAGTGCTTAAAATATATAAGGAAAAGATGATGAAACCAGAGGTGTTCTTGCCTACAGAAAAGACTTAAGAGGTTATGACAGTGTCTTTAAATCTCTAAAGAAATGTTAACGTGGAAGGGAGATTACATTCATTCAGTGTGGCTCTAATGCAGAGGTTCAATGTTTGGGATTGAGGCGATGGTCTGGTAGGGCCCTTAATATTTTTTTTATTTTGTGTTGTTTTGTTGTGTGTTTTTTGAGATGGAGTCTCGCTCTGTCACCCAGGCTGGAGTGCAGTGGCGCAGTCTCAGCTCACTGCCACCTCTGTCTCCCGGGTTCAAGCGATTCTCTTGCCTTGGCCACCCGAGTAGCTGGGATTACAGGCATGTGCCACCACACCCAGCTAATTTTTGTATTTTTAGTAGAGGTGGGGTTTCACCATGTTGACCAGGTTGGTTTCAAACTCCTGACCTCAGGTGATCTGCCTGCCTCAGCCTCCCAAAGTGCTGGGATTACAGGCGTGAGCCACTGCGCCTGGCCCCCTTGACATTTTAAGGAAAAGTTTTATACATTCCCTTATATTTTTCTGGGAAAGCCTCTTTAGATCCTCTAAGAAATCAGCAAGCTGTGGCTTAGTCCAGATACTTAGGAGGCTGAGGTGGGAGGATCATTTGAGCCCAGGAGTTCAAGTCCAGCCTGGGCAACATAGTGAGACCCCATCTTAAAAAAAAATAGAAATTTTTAAAAAAGAAATCAACGAGCCCAAAAACAGTGAAGACATACTGGGTCAAAATTTAAGGAAGAAAATTCTGGCTTAATATGAGGAATAACTTTATTTTATAGCTGCCCAAAAACAGAGTAGGGTACCAGGAACAGTAGGTAAGTTCCTTGTCACTGTAGGTTTTCCATCAGAGGTAAAACCACCACGTGTCAGGGATGCTGTGAGGATTCTTTTGCCAAATTAAGGGTTCATCTAAATGACATTCCTTTCAATGATGAAATTCCATGAACATTTTTTTTTCTTTTTTGGCACATGGCTGTCTTCAAGTATACCTACATAGAAATCAGTCCAACTATTTTTTTTTTAAAAAGATATATTCAGAGTGAGAGCTGGTACCTGCAATGCCTGTAATTAAAATATCAAATCATAACAGCTTAAAGTTTGTATTCAAATAACGAAAAAAGATATATATTTTTGAAGGTATATTATAACCTATTAAGAAAAGAAAACTTTAAAATGTCCACATTAAACTCAACTCTAAATAATGTATTCAAAGAAATAACCACATTTAAAAATTTGAATCTAAGATTTCTATCCATCTAAGAAATCATTAAGACTTACCTGTGTGCCATACGTACTGAACCCATACATATGTGCTAGCAGCAAAAAAAAGCCACTGTATGGGGATGAACAGCAGGCATATTATATTTGACGTGAATGCTACACAAACAAAAAATACTGAGAAGGCCTAAAGGGAAAAATAAAACAAAATAAAAGATACATCTTAGAACCTGTTATTTTCAACCACACATTGTTAAACACATGTTGGACAAAATTATTGAAACTGCTAAGAGATAACTTGGTAACTGTAAAGCAAATTCACAAAAGGAAATTTTAAACATTTAAAATCAACCATATAAAAAGTAGCGGTTACTTTAACATTAAAGAATACTAGTACTTTATGGTCCTCAAATCATGAAAAAGAACTGGATCAGAATGAGCTGAGGTGGGAACACAGTGAATTCATTTGGATTCCAAATAAATGTGGGTTACCTGAAAGAACTAGAATTTTTTTTTTCTTTTTTCTTTTTTGAGATGGAGTCTCGCTCTGTCACCCAGGCTGGAGTGCAGTGGTGCGATCTTGGCTCACTGCAACCTCCACCTCCCGGGTTCAAGCGATTCTTCTGCCTCGGCCTCTTGAGTAGCTGCAACTGTAGGCACTTGCCACTACACCCAACTAATTTTTTGTAACTTTAGTAGAGACAGGGTTTCACCATGTTAGCTAGGGTGGTCTCAATCCCCTGACCTTGTGATCCGCCCGCCTTGGCCTCCCAAAGTGCTGGGATTACAGGTGTGAACCACCACGTCTGGCCCTGAAAAAACTAGAATTTTAATACAGAAAAGTCTTCTCTCTCCTCACAAACCATTCCTAAAGAGCTTCATTCTTAAAAGACAGGCTGTCTGGAGCACAGATGAACCATAATATTAGTAAGAAATATACTGATGCTATTAGGTTGGTGCAAAAGTAATTGCACCAAACTAATAATAATTTTAATAATGCAGCTTTCCTCTGGACACCACTACCGCCAATAGAACATAAGCCGAAACTATCTTTTTAAAGCATAGATTTGCTCTGACCAAAGCACCAGGCCTGGGTGGGAGTTATAGTTTTAAGATGTGGCTGTAGAACACAACAGAATTAACACATTAATCAAGGGAACAAGCCCAGGCCTATGCTTGCTCCAATCCAGCAGCTGTCTAAATGTGGTTTGGGGATTTCTGGGGTGTCTTTGAGATCCCTCCAAGGGCTCTTTGAGGTTAAAACTATTTTCATAACAATACTAAGATGTTATCTGCCTTTTTTACACTCACTCATGCATATGGTGGAATTTTCTGTAAGTTACATGACATGTGATACAGTAACAGACTGACTTCAGAAGCAGATATGAGAATGTAGGTGTCTTCCATTGAGCCAAATATTAAAGAGATTTACAAAAATGGAGCCACTCTTCTATATTCTGTTTGTTTTAGAAAATATAACTATTTTTCACTTAAAAATGTAATTTCTATTAACGTGTAATGGGCTTATTATGATGTTTAAGTGCATTAATAAGTGTGTATTTTAAATTTTTCTCAGTTTTAATTTCTAATACAGTAAATCTGGATAGATATAAGCCACATTAACAAAGGCTCTCTGGAGTCCTCAATAGTTTTTACGAGTGAAAAGGGGCCCTGAGACCAAAACGTTTGAAACACTACTCTAACTCCAATCCAATCACTAACCTAGCAACAGGGAACCCAGAAACACTTCAAAGCAGGACTGAGCAATTTTTTTTTTAAGGTAGGAACGGCCTTTATGGTTGCAATGGGAAATGGAAGAGGAGGGAATATGCCATCCCCAGACTAGGTTGCCGCCCTCCAAAAGCCTGAGTAATTATTGCTTCCTCCACTGTTCTGTTTCACTGGAATGGGAGAGGAGGAGAAAATGTAACTATTTGATCAATGGGTTTAGACAAAATAGTTTAGAGGTCAATTTCAGTTAACAGACCCTATTAGCTAATCCTAACATAGTTACCTGAGTATTGCTAATAACATCTACTCTAAACAGCTGAATGGTCCCCACACATGGAAAACATGTATTACCAGA
The DNA here is from genome assembly GCF_000001405.40 of Homo sapiens. Classification (NCBI taxonomy): domain Eukaryota; kingdom Metazoa; phylum Chordata; class Mammalia; order Primates; family Hominidae; genus Homo; species Homo sapiens. The sequence continues at coordinate 25,446,908 of NC_000001.11, read as the reverse complement.
CATACCAGTCCCTGGTATCTGAAGGAATCATAGACGCTTCTGATGAAAAGCCAGAATGGCCACAGGTATTCAAATCTGAACTCCAGGACAAAATCTGCTAGGAGGACAAGTGCCCACACCACCAGGAATTTCAGGTATAAAAATGTACTGCAAAATATAAAAATAAAGAATTAATTTAAGGTCATTTGTGAATAACTAGAAATAGAAAATTCACTGTTTCTGTTTAAAACGACAAAAAAATACCTCCATATATCATGAAAACAATGGAGATAAAGCACAAAAAAGAGATGCTGCCGTGGCCCATCTGCATTTTAAATGCTCTGGTGTTCATTCTCAGACCCAAAACTATCAAGATAAGATGATACCAAAAACGCTTAATTCTACTTAAGATGGAAAAAAACCATTTAAATCCCACCACTATTTTAAAAATGTGCTAAGTGTCTGACTTCAAAATACTGCAACACTCTCAAAATTACAGCTTTCAAGCTGTTTTTCATTAGAAGAAAATGTCACAGTTGAAAGGCTTCAAATTTGCTGTTTCCCCACCCCTATACATCTGTTTGAAGAGTCTTTGAAATTCTTGACGCACATCCTTACATGCTTAAAGAATTCTGTCTTTTTTTCCCCCTTTTTTCCTCTTGCCTCTGTATATAGTATTCATCTGCATTAACCAAACAAAAACCAAATGACTTCCCCAAATAGACAGAAACAAACTTAGGGAGCAGATGCTAATCACTACCAAGGGCTGTGAAGGCATAAAAATGTACATTAAAGAAAAAACTCCTTAAACATCTAAGCCATGCTCCAGCTGAGATATAAATGTGTGTTCCCAGTTCCCTCTGGACTTGTGTTAAACAGAAACACTCAGACAAGCCAGTTAGGACACATATGTAACCACTGCAGTAGGTCAAACAAGGACACAGAAAAAAAATATTATTTTTCATATACTCTATAGGTCAATTTTCCAGTTCATTAGTTGCATAATGGACAATAGAATCCTTTAGATTCTACTTGTTAACAAGCCTCTATTTCTGTGCTCCTAATCCTGCCAATTCTGGAGGTCAAATTTAGGTATTAAAAAATATTTTCCACAATATACAAAATGGAAATACCTAAAATTCACTTTCATTTGGGATAAAGCCTTGCACGGTATTTTGTAATACAAATATTCCAATACTGATGTGATCAAATTAGTCATTTAAAAAAACAACAAAATTGAGATTTTTAATAAATAATTTTGAAATATATTCCAATAAGATACAAAAGACTTACATACTTGGAGGAAAAAAACAAAAACAAAAGCAAGAACTTAAAGTAAAATAATAAAAAGAAAAGAGAAAAAAAGAAAAAAGAAAAAAAAAGTAGGATCCAGCATTGAGGATTTATTTTGTGCCCTTTGAAGCCATTCAGGCAAGAGATGTCAAGAACAGAAACATTTGACCCTCAATGATACAGTATTCACAGTGATACATAATTTGTCATCTAGGGTCGATTTCTAATATTTATCCTTAGAACTTCTTTAGGTTTGATAATAAGTTTCTACTAAGAGGTATGCCATAAAGGAATCCAAAGCAAATCACAAAAGAACGCAATCTTTTTTTTTTTTTTTTGAGACAGGGTCTTGAGCTGTCTCCCAGGATGGAGTGCAATGGCACGATCATAGCTCACAGCAGCCTCAATCTACTGGGCTCAAGTGATCCTTCTACCTCAGCTTCCCAAGTAGGTGGTAATATAGGCATGCGCCACCATGTTTGGCTTTTTTTTTTTTTTTTTTTTAATAGAGATGGGAGTCTCACCATGTTACCCAGGCTGGTCTCAAACTCCTGGGCTCCTCCTGTCTCACCCTCCCAAAGTGTTGGGATTTCAGGTATGTGCCTGGCCAGAACACAGTCTTGAATCCTAAGTCCCACCTTTTAGTTTCATTTCACTAGAGTTCTGCTGGCCAGATGAAGATAGAGCCCTCGTAATTCTCACTCATTAAATCCATAACTGACCTAGTGGAGAGCAATGCACATTTTATTACAAAGAACAAACGAGGGCCAGGCACAGTGGCTTATATCTGTAATCCCAACACTTTGGGTGGCCAAGGTGTCCAGGAGTTCGAGACCAGCCTGGGCAACATAGTGAGACCCCATCTGTACAAAAAATTTAAAAATTAGCCAGGTGTAGTGGCACACACTTGTAGTCCCAGCTACTCAGAAGGCTGAGGTAAAAGAATTGTTTGAACCTGGGAGGTCCACGCTGCAGTGAGCCACGACTGTGCCACTGCACTCCAGCCTGGGTGACAGAGCAAGACCCTGTCTCAAAACAAAAACAAAAACAAACAAAAAAACACAACTGACTCATGCAGGTATTCGGGAGCACAAATCTAGTTTGAAACTAGATTTCCAAGGTGCTTGACTTTAAAACTAAGAGTTTTTTTCCTTGTGTCTAGAACCCTTTCTACGTTTTGAAAAAGGAATAACAGCCTCTCCACCATGGTTTCAGAGCACTTTTTAAAAAATGGCATAGCTAGAAGCAGTGGTGTGCACCTGTAGTCCCAGCTATTTGGGAGGCTGAGGTAGGAAGATCATTTGAGCCCAGGGGTTCAAGTCCAGCCTGGTCAACAAAGTGAGACCCCCATCTCTTTATTTATTTATTTATTTATTTAAAGACTGAGTTTCACTCTATCACCCAGGCTGGAGTGTGGTGGCATGATTTCAGCTCACTGCAACCTCCACTTCCCGGGTTCAAGTGATCCTCCTGCCTTGGCCTCCCAAGTAGCTGAGACTACAGGTGCACACCACCACACCACACTCAGCTAATTTTTGTATTTTTTTAGTAGAGACGTGTTTTCACCATGTTGGCCAGGCTGGTCTCAAACTCCTGACCTCAAGTGATCTGCCCGCCTTGGCCTCCCAAAGTGCTGGGATTACAGGCGTGAGCCACTGTGTCTGGCCAAGACACCATCTCTTAAAAAAAAAAAAAAAAGGGCATGGAAATATATTATTTTTCCTGATTAATCCTTTTCCCCATGGAGCTATCTCTGGAATGTAGCTGAATGAGACATGAAGGGTACCCCATCAGGTCTAGTCCTTACCATTCCCAAAGTGGAGAAGAAAGAGTACCACCAATTGCTTTCTGCCCAAAATGCCCCCAAGGCATGGCAGGATCCCAGTCAGACCCCAGTCAGATCCTGCCATGGCAACACTCCGCTTCACTATTTAGATAGGATTATCCAAAGAATGGTAGCCTGTTGAATACGTACTTTTTAATAATTCAATCATTTAAAACTAACGTAGTTCAAAAATTACCATCTTTGTTAGTGACTATTCTTTTTCAATTGCATAACTTTAAGGCGGGGTTCCTTTTGATACATTTCTTTTCAAACAACTGCTTTCATACCTTTGATGTTCCTTGACACCCAGTTCTTACTGAGTCACAGTTTAGAAGTACAGGTATCTAAGAAAACTTGATCTTTTACAAACGTATGCCATACCCTCAACTTTCCTCTGGCTCTCCTTTCAGGCAGGCCTGCCTCCAAAATCAAGAGACAACCTAATTAACAAACCTTTCTCTAAGACTAATCTTGAATTCTATTAAGTCATTTTAGTCTTAGAGGTTTTAGAAGTTTAAGACAGCTGCCTGATTCAGTATTCACTTAGCCCTCTCCATCAGTAAATCATGCCTCTTATCCTTCTGTAGGTACATGTACAGAAGTTAAAGACAAGTAACCTAAATTAATTGCTCATCACAGTAAAAGCCCTAATTCCTCTCCTTTCATATTCTGAAGGTCATAAGATTTTTGCCAAATCTAAAGAGATGACATTCCAAGGGATGAGAAAATTAGACAGGGATTTAAGCCATCATGGCATTCTAAAATATTTCTTTTAAACCATGAAGAAAATATGATTAAATATAAAATACTTTTATACACAGTTCATTATATGACTCATGGCTAATTTGATGTTACCTTGATTCTCTGATCCAAATAAATTTGCTAATAACTATACTGTATCTTAAACAAAATTTTAAAGCATAACTGCAACAAAAAGATATTTTCCAAAATAATATATTGAAACAAGGGCAAATGAATAACATCTTCTGATGGTCTTGTAAGCTTCCGAGTGCCAATGAAATTAAGCAGTCTTATGCAATTGTTAGGCTTAATGGTGGTGACTCTATCAAAGTGAATATTATCTATAAGGTTTCCCCCCATTCTATTCCTACCTTTGCCATTTACAACCATTTTTTTACCTCAATCCATTTAGCAGTACTCTCCATCCATAGATTAATCATCTATGATTAATGAGAAGCAGTATTCAACATTCTTCTTATTCCAAGTAAAGTGCACCTTTTCTCCAGTATCTCTAGCTGCTTATCATCTAGATCATTTTCTGGAGCCCACACAATTACCACCAGCTGGCCATCAATCCTTAGTACCTGACCTTTTCCCTAGGCAGACTAATGGCCATTTAGTTCATTTGGTCCTCACTACAGAAATGAGTCTGTGGAATATTTTACTGGCTCTGCTAGTAGCCATCCATCTCAATCCCAGCTTTCCTGTCCTCTCAGTAATGGCAACTGTGAGTCACCTTTTGCATTCAGTATCTGCCATACTTCCTAGACCAAACTGCTTTATCTTTTCTGTTATCCAATACCTCTCCCTACTGGACATCACCTCTAGAACATTCGTTCAGCCCCTTATCTGGCTTGTACTCTACCTGAAGTCTCACACTGGCCATTTGTTAATTACAGCCTTGCTAATCAAAGTATTGGTCTCTGGACTAGCAGAATCACCATCACATATTAGCTTTTTAGAAAAGCAGAATTTCAGGACCTATTTAATCTAAGCCTGCATTTTAACCAGATCCCTAGGCTACTTGCGCATACAATCAAATTTTAGAAGCACTGGTATATAACATAAATTTCTCATTGTCATGGAATTTCCACTCAATTACAGGATGTCTCAGAAAAAAGACAATGCCCTAATCAGATAATCCGTACTTATCACCAAATGGTTGACTGTCCTTCTCATAACTGGGAACATTCAAACTGTTCAGGGTTAGTTCTTCCATTTTTCTACATTTCTTTCTGAGTCAAAGCCAAGATCCCTACCTAAGTACAATTAAAACTAAATGAAGCACTTCCATAGCTACTCATCCTTCGGCACACAGCACAAATATCACTTCCTCACAATAAGCCGCCCTAACCCCAAAGTAAAGACTAGGACCCCATTACATATTCACGTAGCATCCTGTACTATAAGAACACTGAATCACAATGATAATTAAATAATATTTTGTGTAATTAACTGTTCGGATGTAAAGTCCACAAGAAAAAAGGAGCTGCCCATTTTGTTCCCTGTTTTATCTCCTTAGTGCCCAGCACAGTACTCTGACTACAGGATCTTAACTATTTTTTTTCTCAAAAAATATTTGTTGAGGCCGGGAGCAGTGGCTCACGCCTATAATCCCAGCACTTTGGGAGGCTGAGGCGGGTGGATGACCTGAAGTCAGGAGTTCGAGACCAGCCTGGCCAACATGGTGAAACCCCGTCTCTACTAAAAATACAAAAAAATTAGCCAGGCAGATGCCTGTAATCCCAGCTACTCTGGAGGCTGAAGCAGGAGAATCGCTTGAACCCAGGAGGTGGAGGTTACAGTGAGCCGAGATCATACCACTGAGCTCCAGTCTGGGCAACAAGAGCAAAACTCCGTCTCAAAAAAAAAAAATGTTGAATGAATGATCTGTAATGTAGAAAAGTGTTTAGGACTGACAGTAGGACTTTTACCAAAGCACATACTTACAACGAATATAGAGGGAGAGATGACACACAGGTGACTGACTGGGAAGGTGTCTGGACAAAGCAACAACAACCAAGATAACCAATGCAGCTTCTGCCTGAACGATTACCATGAACCTGCTCCCATCTGTTCTGAATGTTCTTCACTATGAAGAAACTAATTTAATAAGCCTTGTTCTGGGTGCCAGACTATCACTCCATTTGGCCTACCTGCCACTGGCTCTGACGACAGCGGTGGTTCTCAAAGTATCTTCTAGTAAGCCAGACACTAAAGAGCTATGCAAAAATGTAAAACCACACCAGTCTTCTCATGAATTTATTAATTTATTGTTACTTTTCTTTTTTTTTTTTTTTTTTGAGATGGAGTCTCACTCTGTCGCCCAGGCTGGAGTGCAATGGCGCAATCTTGGCTCACTGCAACCTCTACCTCCCAGTTCAAGTGATTCTCCCACCTCAGCCTCTCAAGTAGCTGGGATTACAGGTGCCTACCACCATGCCTGGCTAATTTTTGTATTTTTAGTAGAGATGGGGTTTCACCATGTTGACCAGGCTGGTCTCGAACTCCTGACCTCAGGTGATCCGCCTGCCTTGGCCTCACAAAGTGCTGGGATTACAGGCGTGAGCCACTGTGCTCAGCAATTTATTGGTACTTTTAAGTGAACTAATGTTTTAAATTTTTCTATTTTAACTTTTTTCTTTCTTCTTTTTTTTTTTTTTTTCCCAGAACTGGGGTCTTCCTTTGTTGCCCAGGCTGAAGTGCAGTGGTACAATCATAGTTCACTGCAGCCTCAACCTCAACCTGGGCTCAAGTGATCCTCCTATCTCAGCCTCCAGAGTAATTAGGACTACGGGCACATACCACCATGCTTGGCTAATTTTTTTTTTTTTTTTTTTGTAGAGATGGGATGTTGCTATGTTGCCCAGATTGGTCAACATAGCAAGATCCTGGGCTCAAGTGATCCTCCTACCTTGACCTCCCAAAGTGTTGGGACTACAGGCATGAGCCACCACATCCAGCCAGTTTTAATTTCTAATACAGTAAATATTGATAGATATAATCCATATAAACCAAATCTCTGTGATATTCTCAATCTTTTTTTTTTTTTTTGAGACAGAGTTTCGCTTGTTGCCCAGGCTAGAATGCAATGGTACGATCTCGGCTCACCGCAATCTCTGCCTCCTGGGTTCAAGTGATTCTCCTGCCTCAGCCTCCCAAGTAGCTGGGATTACAGGCATGCGCCACCATGCCCAGCTAATTTTTCATTTTTAGTAGAGACGGGGTTTCTCCAAGTTGGTCAGGCTGGTCTCAAACTCCTGACCTCAAGTGATCCACCTGTCTCAGCCTCCCAAAGTGCTGGGATTACAGGTGTGAGCCACAGTGTCCAGCCTCAATCATTTTTAAGAGTGTAAAGAGATCCAGAGACAAAAAAATTTTTTGACAAAAAAAAAAAAAACAGAAATTTGTGTGTGAGCCTTAACATAAAATAAACTGGAACCACTGCTGCATTCTGCAGGCACCTCCTTGTATAAAATCCAAAAAAGGGGAGCAGGCTGAGAAGACCAAGCTGTTCTATATTTCTTTTTTCTATTCTAGGCCTCCTGCATACTGCAAAGGGAACCTTTCTAGTGTCAATTACACACACACACACGCGCGCGTACATGTGCAGCCACTGCAATGACAAATCTAACAGTGTGAAATATGCCCTTTTTTGTTTGTTTATTTTTTTCAGAGACAGAGTCTTACTCTGTCTCCTAGGCTGTAGCGCAGTGGTGTGATCATAACTCACTGCAACCTCCAACTCCTGAGCTCAAGCGATCCTCCCACCTCAGCCTCCCAAGTAGCAAGGGTGACAGGCAAGAGCCACCATGCCTGGCTATTTTTTTTCTTTAAAAATAAATAAATAAATAAATAGGGTATCTTATGCCTTTCACTAAGGTGTAAGTACTTTGTACTATTTTTGTGACTTTTCTGTTTAATTAAATCTAAAATTATTTCAAAATGAGAAGTTAAAAAGAAGCAACACATACTTGTTATTAAAAAGGTAATATAATGTATAATATAAAAGCCCTTAGTAGTCCTGCCCCAAGATGATTGCTGTTATATAATTCATAAATATAATTTGCTTTTTCTATATAAACAAATGTGTTTCTTTCTTAACAAAAACAGGTTTCTGTTTGACATGTCCACTTCTTTTTTTTTTAGTTTTTTATTTTATTTTATTTTTCTTGAGACAGTCTCACTCTGTTGCCTAGGCTGGAGTGCAGTGGCACAATCTCGACTCACTGCAACCTCTGCCTCCTGGGTTCAAGCAGTTCTCCCAAGTCTCCCAAGTAGCTGGGATTACAGGCGCATGCTACCACGCCCAGCTAATTTTTATATTTTTAGTAGAGACGGGGTTTCGCCACGTTGGCCAGGCTGGTCTTGAACTCCTGACCTCAGGTGATCCACCCGCCTCGACCTCCCAAAGTGCTGGGATTACAGGCGTGAGCCACGGGGCCCAGTCATGTCCACTTCTTTATATAGAATTTCCCTTATCCATTTTAGCAGCAACATAGAGTTCCACATAGAATTTACACTGTTCTCTGCAGTCTCCTAACTTCTGTTTCTGTACTCTTTCAATAGTGCCTTGCAGCTTTTTAGTTCTCTATTCCTCAGGTTTGTTTCCTATAAAATGGCAATACCTACTCTGCCTATTTCACACTTGTGAGGATAAAATGAGATAATATGAAAACATTTGGAAAAGTTACAAGTAAGACAGAAATGTAAGGTGTGATTAAGCAGATTATTACTATCAATTATATGAAGCATAATTTTGATTCCCTTATGAAATGAATTTCTAATGTTTATATAATGTTAACAGGTTTTTTTAGAGCCTGTGAGTTGTTTTCTCTCTCCGCCTATGCTTCTTCACCCCTCCCCTTCCTCAACCCCATAGACTCCACACTGTTAAAAGTATTCTTGAAACAGAAATTCTAAAACTCACCACCTGCATTAGGTTACAATACCTGTCCTTGATATCTCTGTGGTCTATACAGACCTTTATAAAAATGTTATACTACAAAACCGTGAAAACCTTTTTTAGCGATTTCCATTCTAGATTTTTTTTTTCCTTTAAATTGGGGGCTGATTATGGTGGCTCACGCCTATAATATCAGCACTTTGGGATTATATTAACCACCACGCCCAGCCAATTCTCTTTTTTTGACACAGGGTCTTGCTCTATTGCCCAGGCTGGAGTGTAGTGACACGATCATGGCACACTGCAGCCTCAAACTCCTGGGCTCACGTGATCCTCCCGCCTCAGCCTCCCAAGTAGCTGGGACTACAGGAATGTGACACCACACCCAGCTAATTTTTTTGAATTTTAGTAGAGATGAGGTCTCGCTATGTTACCTAGGCTAGTCTTGAACTCCTGGACTCAAGCAATCCTCTTGCCTTAGCCTCCCAAAGTGCTGGGGTTACAGCCATCACACCCGGCCAAAAATTCTTATTACATCTGAGCAAGACGACTCAAGCCTCAGACAGTATCTCTCTTTTCTGAGACAGGAATCCTTACTTTGGACATGAACATAGTATTCATTCTCTTTAATGTTCAACTATTCTTGCTACAAGATAGGCAAAGTACTGATTTTAGTACTCAGCTATTTATTTGGTTTTTAAAAGTGTTGGGTGGGTGCGGTGGCTCATGCCTATAATCCCAGTACTTTGAGAGGTCAAGGTGAGTGGCTCACTTGAGCCCAGGAGTTCAAGACCAGCCTATACAACACGGCGAGACTCCATCTTTATAAAAACGCAAAAACGCAAAAAAAAAAAAAAAAAAAAAAAGCCAGGCATGGTAGTATATGCCTTTGGTCCCAGCTACTCGGTCAGCTGAAGTGTAAGGATCTCTTGAACCCAGGAGATGAAGGATACAGTGAGCTGTGATCTCGCTGCTGGACTCCAGCCTGGGCGACAGAATGAGACCCTGTCTCAAAAAAAAAAAAAAAAGTGTTTTGAAGATGAACAACGTAACAATATGATTCAAAAACAGAATGAGATTATTTCTAGCCACTCCTCTGTGCTGAGTGGGAGATCGGTCCTAAACAGCTCAAACTCATCAGTGATATGAACAGATATATGAAAGTGGAGTAGTCACACCATTTTAATCACTAAATGCAAAAGCTCTGAAAAAGAGAAGGCAACAGAGGAGATGGGGTGAGGGATACATTATTTTTGGTGCCACAATCCCATGACTCAAAGTGGGCATATCATCCTTAAAGGCAGCAGAGAAAAAAATATAAAGCAATCAAGGTCAGTACTATGACTGTCTTCAAAGGCCAGGGAAGACAAGTGCCTTGGAAGGCTCATCAGCTGAGACAATTTGATGTCGGTTAAATGTCAAATTAAAGATACAGAGCCTCAATATTCTCTAAAAGTTGATTAACTTTTTTCAAGCTTCCATTGCCAGGATGCAAGGTGAGAGGCTTTGAAAAGTCACTACTTAAGCATCTGAAGAAATCCACAGTGGAAAAAGTCTAACAAGGATATGTGTATCTACTGTTGTATGTACCATCCTACTTATGCAGCTTGCTGGACAGCCAACTTCTTTTTCTTCTGGACTTAATTCTTGAGCAAGAGCCAAGTAAAATAATTATGCCCAAATCTAGTAAGCCTGGGGATAAACTAATCAGTATATCTGAAGAGCACACTAAATTTTATGAAGAAAAGTAACCTAATTACAGTATTTCACTTAACTATGTTTGTGAAATTTCTACTTGCCCTCCAAACTCCACAAGATGGTAGCCTAGAAACAGATAAAACAAAGTGCACTTTATATACATAAAACCCCAAAGGGTTAACAGTATCAGTGGGGAGATCTGGGAGAAATGGCCAAAGAAAAAGATTCTAGGAACATAAATGCTTACAGAACATGGACTGGGTCCATGAGATATATACAAGCATATAACTAGTAAGAAAATGTAAATAATTATTTGTTAAACCTACCATTAAGATCAATCTCTAAATCTAGTGAGGTTCAAGAGAGGCCATGAGGAATCGATGTGAAGAAAAAGGAGACTATCAATGATAAAACAGGAAGCTTTTAAGCAAATAATGTGAAGTGAATCACGTTCTCTCCTGTTCCCCTCCTCAACCCAGCAGCAATTTAAAGGGATTTTCAAAACACCTAATGAAACTAAACTGCCAAGACTGCTCAGACAGGAAGAATCATAATGAAAGTTGGAGGAAAGTGCTTTTTCATCCCAGTGTGGCCGATTTTTAAAGTGTATTTTGTGAAAACCACAAATAGAAGAGTTTAGCTAATAAACACTTCACTGCACAGGTTAGTGAAAACATTTCAATTTCTCCTTCCCCAACACTCCTCTAAAACAATACAGAATCTATCACTTTCGTGCCAGGTCCAGGATTGTTAAAGTTAAAGCCTACCAAGATTACCAAAATGCTTTTAGGCTATGAGATTGCAACACAGGTATCTGGGGTTTCAGTTGCAGAACACATGTACAATCAAGGCAGCCAAGGGTCATGACAGCCTGCAGTGACTTTAATAAGCATAGCCCAAAGGAGTCTAAAACTAGGCTTAGAAAACATCATTAAGGAGGCAGAAAAAGCAGTCAAATGAAACCTCTGGAGATCAGATGTAGACAAGGGTCTGAAAAAGGAAATTGGGAAGTTGAGAAGAATGCAAAATTTAATCACTTTAAAAAGTCACTTTTGAGGAGCCCCAAGGACCAGAGAATTTTTCTCTGAAATAAAAATGGGAAATAATAACATATACACCAGTGCTGAGTTCTTAGTCCTAGTTTTAAGGCATTAAGCTGCAAAAATATGACAGTCAGGTACAATACTGCACTGCCTAAGCTTCACACAGCACTACAAGCAGAATCCAGTACATGAAGACAGGAAGCAGTCTTAAATACACAGTGAAAGGGTACTTCCTTCAGCCACCAGTAACACAGATATAAAATCATTCCCAGAAGCTTAAAACATATACCTTACTTAAAATTCGTATTATATTTACTTGCATAAATAACCATTTAACTGTAGCGATTTGGAATATATGTATACTTTAAACATAAATGTTTCTGCCTCCTTCTTCTACTTACCACATCTTATCTCCTCATTTTTATATTATAAAGTCAGTAATTCTCTGAGGGAAGGGAGTGGAAAGTATGGCAGGGTGAGAGGTAGGGGTAAACCATACAGAATCCCCTTAAGGCTTTTAAAAACTACATAGTACCCTAACCTCACCTCACCTGGAAAATCACTGCCTGCAATGAGATATTACTATCGGGAGTGTCTGGTGCACATGTGTCTAGGCAGACACAAGGAGAGAACCCAGCCCAGAAAACCAAAGGACCTTAGAAATATAAGAGTTAGGTACTTAATAACTTATGTTCATAATTTTTAAAGTACTTTCATATCTATCTCATTTGAGATAGAAAAGACTCCCTCATATAGTGGCAACTGTCTACTTTATCATAAAATAGCACAGAGCAAAATACAGCTGTTAATGTGTCAGATGAACCACTAAAACAGTAAGCTAAAATTTAGCACAACAGAAATATTTTTACTTGAACAGAACTTAAAGTTCTTTGGAAACTCTAAACCACTGTACAAATTTAAGATGGTATTACTACGGCCTACTAGACTGTAAACTCCTTGAAGACAATGAGCCATGTGTTATCCTGTATCCTCCGCAATTCCCTGAACAACGTAGGCACTTCATGAATGAAATGGACTAGCTTATATTCATTTATTAATTTACTCACTCAACATTTATTGAACACTGAATGTCGACTCTGTCAGGCTCTGGGCTGGGTCAGATTTTTTTAAAACTACATCGAACTTTAGCCCCTAGTAAGATGAAAAGATCACTATTCCTATTTCCTTTCTCCTATTTTTAATTATTAACTGGACTAAAATATTTCTATAGCATGTTTCACTTTTCAAATGATGTTTTATATGTATAAATGCAGATTACATTAACATAATGTCTAAAATTAATTTTCCTTGCATCTCACCCCGAAACAGAATTCCAAGACAGCCATGATACTCACAATAAATGATATCATTTGACAGTCACCTCAGTAACAGTTGTTGGACTGCAGCCCATGATTTAAAAGTGAGTCCACAACAGGATTTTTTAAAGCAAGACCAAACAGCAACTGACCCTTTGTTTTGGCTACTCAACTTTTGTTTACAGTTGCACCAAATCTTACAGTATTTCCTGCCTCCTTAAAAAATTAACCACACGTTAAACTGTGATAGCAACAACATGGTAAATAGTATCTGTAAACTACACTAGGATTTATAAAGCATTTCACAAACTGTACATATCTCCTTTAGTCCTCAAAACTCATTTGAAGGTGGGAGAACTGGGGCTCAAAGCTGTGGATGCCCTGTCTGCCTAAAGCAGCAGAGCTGGGATTTTGAGTCTGATCCTGGGTCTCCTGATTCCTGCAGTCCAGTGCGCTTTTCACCACAGCTGCCTCCTTCCTATGCCAAGGCTCAGAAAGTTGTACAGACTGAGAACATGAAAATAGTAAGTCCATGAAAGGTTTGGCTATGAAACAGTAGACAGTGGTTATCAAAACTGTCAACACGGCCCCAGAAAAAAAACAAGGCTCTCTGTTTAATGAATCCAAAATTGGCCACATGTTGTTGAGAAACAAAATGGGCAATAGATGGTGTGAAAAACAACTTAGCATAGACTTAAATTTGATGATCACCAGAAATTTGATATTCATGAATCCTCAAGCATTCTAGTTTATAACCAGTCCACTCATCCTGTTTGCTTTAGAAATAACAGGAAATTTTTCTAAATCTCTTTAAAAACAGAATTGGGCAAAAAAAAAAAAATCTTGTTCTTCAGTCCAATACTCCATAATATAAACCAAGAAACAGATAAGTGAGTTGAAACGCTCATTTGATATATGATACTCCAACCAGGAAAGACAGTTAGAAATACATTTAGGTCTTTTATTAACATTTAACTTAAAGAATGCAAAACAGAGAAGCATAAGAAGATTTAAGGCTAATGCACTGTCGGTTTTTAAAATTTTGCAGATGAACCTCTGAATAACTTGCAAAGAGTATTTACAATTAACCTTTAGGGTAAGAAAATTCAAATTTCAAAAGCCATCAGTAAGATGATAAATCTTCATTAAACGATGAATTCACTTCTTCACATCGATTCACACTGAGTAGCTATTATGGCGCAGGTTGTAAACTGGGTCTATTTGTTCAAGTACAGAGAAATGGAAATACAGCAGAAAACACGTAAACAATATGGGACTCTCAATCTTCTTGCTATAAATGGAGGTACATCATCTTATGTTACTGTAAATAGCAGCTATTCAAATGCCACAGTTGTGCTAAGTCTACCAACTCGGTTTAATATCCCTTTCCTATTTTTATGTTACCATTAATGTTAAGTTGGTCAAATATTTTTCAATAGCCAAAGGGGAAAAACTTTCTTTAATTCAAGAATGTATAGTGTATGTAACGTGAATTGAAGAGACCTTTCCTCCATCTATGTGTAGAAAAAATTGTTTGCTTTCACAGTTCAAGTTAAAATGGTCAAGTTCGATTCATCCAGCATAGATTAGAGTCTGTTTTACTCACTGCTCTATCTTCACTGATTAGAAATGTTCCTGGCACATAGTATATATAACTGATGAATGAATGAATTACTCCTATGCTCTATGGCTCATTTTATAAGAATATACCCAAGAAATTTTTACTTTGATTCCTTAATGCTTTTAAACTTGAAGAAAATCCCCAGTGTTTACATCAGTCAGCTGCTTGTGGAAAGCAATCATTCCACATCTGTAAACAAGAGCATGTGCAAGGTGTACAGTTATGTTAAGACAACTTGGGTGTCATCAGCTACCTCACATATTTCTTGAAATCCCACAGCTAGAGAAGCTAATTGTAAAACACCATGAGGACTCAATTAAGCCTACATCCACATGCTGAGAATTCTTCTTTGTAAACTAATTACTTCTCCACCGAAATCTGTATCAAGGCAAATACCATTTACAAGTAACATTCTGAGAAGAACCAGAAAATAACAGTCGTACACAAATCGACTTGGGGAAGCTATGATAGTAAGTTGCCCCATGAACCTGTTGTCTTTCTCTACCGGTGGACTGAATTCAATTTCTATTTAAAGGGACACTGCTTTTCTTGCGGATGAAAAAAAAAAAAAAGAGTTTGGAGAAAATCCCTTTTTAAAAACGTTCAAAGCAAGCTATCTGCTTGGAATTGTCAAAACAATATTTGCTGAAAAACTGGTCATCAGACCCTTCCGAATCTGGAGCAGGGCCACAGGGCATGATTTGGGGGTATCAGCTTCAGCCCTGGGTGCCAAGTTTGAGATCCCATATGGGAAGCAGAAGGTGAAAGAAGTGACAGCATGGCCCCAGGCCAGTATGCTGGCAGCTTGGGGGAACGAGGGGCCACAGTGGGCTCTCAACTTTGTCAGCCTCCCCCACCCCCCCGCGCTGTGGTCCACGCGCCTCCTGGCTCCGGCCGGCAAGCCCCCAGGCCACCGGGGGGCTCGGGGGCCAGCGGCGGCCAGTCAGAGGTCCCGGAAGCGGCCCTCCCGGCCCAGCGGCATGGCCGGGATGCTGAGGAACGCCGGGCTGGTTGGGGGCTCTCCGCCCCTCCCCCCGGCGGGCCCGGCGCTTCCAACGGCGGCGCGGCGGCTCCCTCAGCCAGCGCCCGCCGCGCCCTGCCCGCCCGGCCGGGCCGACCCTCGCCACGCCCCGCGCACCCGGGGCGGACCCCGGCGGGCGGGCCAGCGGCTCCGGGGCCAGCGCTCCTTAGGAGAGCCCCCGGCGCGGGCGTGCGGCCTACTCGGGGTTACATAACGGGGCCAGGCCCCTCGGAGCTGGAGGGGGACCGCAGGGCCCGCGCCCGCGGAGTGGGGGTGCAGCCGCTCACCTGCCGTAAATGCCCTCGGTGATCCGGTTCCGCTTTAGGGGGCGGCGGAGCTTACTGCAGTCGGCGTTCCGCCGCTTCATCCTCCCGCTGGGGGGCCGGGTGCCCGCGCCGCCGCCGCCGTCTCTCACCTCAGCTGCCGCCGCCGCTGGCCCGCCCCGCGTCGGGCCTGGACTCTACCCCTGAGGCCGGTCACACAGACATGGAGCCAGCACCCGGGGGGAGGGGGTAGCACGGGGAGGGGGGGCTCGGAGCCTCCTCCGCCTTCGGAAACAAAGAAATGACAATTCCGGGGCCCGCCCGCCCAGCACCAGCCAGCCGCCTGCCCCGCCTCCTCGGCTCCGACGGACGGCCCGGGAGGCCAATAGAAGCCACCGGTAAACCGCTGTCGGCCAATCCCAGGGCCCGCTGAGGCAAAACTGACTCTAGAACCCGCCCCTTTGAAGGACGGAAGAATGCGCCAATCATTATAGTGTCTGGGTCCCCGGCTGAGCCTATCAGAAAAGATTTAAATAGAGGCTTATAAATAGGCCCTATAAATATAACATCCTATATTACGCCTTGTTGCGAAGGTATGCTTTATTATTATTGGGTTGCGTTTCATTGTATTGTAATCCCTACTAGAGCATACCGTACGGCATGGCATTGTAGGCTCTCGTCTAGCAATGTATGAAATCGGAAGGCCCGGGTTTGCGGCATGTGCGGTGTCTGCGCTGACGTGCGCTTCAGCCAGTCGCGTCATTATGTAAGGGAGCATCCCAGGAACAGCGCCGGGGACCCTTCTGCGGATGCTGGAGAGCTCGGCCAGGCCGACCGCGTCAGCGCGCACCGGGGGTACGAATGACAAAGCAAACCCCACACGCACACAGACACACACCCTGCCAGCTTCCCGCGACGTGGTGACAGCGCGCCGGCCAATCGGAGGTGGCGGCCCCGCCCCGGGTTACGCCACGGGGCGGAGCCGTGGGGGCGCGCGACGTAGCGCAGAGATGCCCGGGGCGTGTGCGGCGGTGCGGCCCGGGCTCCACGTCCACAGGCTGGGCAGCGCTGTGGGCCCCGCGGGCGCCGAGTCCGCAGGACCCGCGAGGGCACTACCGCGAAGCATCGGCCTCCGGGCCGGGCCGGGCCGGACCGGGAGCCTGCTCGGCGGGTCCGGGCTCCTGCAAGGCGGGGACGCGGGGCCGGCGACCCTTCACGCTTCGTACTCATTGAGCGCCGATTTTATGCCAGGCACCGTGCTGGGTAATTTGCGTGTATTTGCTCATTTACTCCTTATAACTCCCCTGCCACGTACGTATGGCAAAGTAACACTTAGAAAAGTCCGCATGGTGTTTTTTTTTAAGAGAAATAAAAAGAATGTTTATCATTAGAGAAAACTGGGGAAAATGTAGGAAAGTGGCCGAAAAGGAAAAAACACCAATGAGTCTCATCACATTAACACAAATACAGTTGACATTTTATTGTATTTGCTTGTTTTCCAATTTTCCCCTATGGATGATAATGTTACTATTGCTATTAAATAGAATAGTGGTCATACTAGAATAGTAGTCATACTAGAATAGTAGTCATACTGTTTTTAACATAAGCATTTTTACATGTTTTAATGCAGCTTTTATAAATATTTCTGAAAATATTGCAGAATGTCCTATCCAGTAGCTTTATCAGTGTAATCCCTCAACGACAATGGGGCAGTTAGTCTTCCAGTGCATTTTTAAAACTTCCCAGGAAGGGCTGGGCGCGGTGGCTCACGCCTGTAATCCCAGCACTTTGGGAGGCCGAGGCGGGTAGATCACGAGGTCAGGAGATCGGAGACCATCCTGGATAACATGGTGAAACCCCATCTCTACTAAAAATACAAAAAATTAGCTGGGCATGGTGGCGGGCACCTGTAGTCCCAGCTACTCGAGAGGCTGAGGCAGGAGAGCGAGACTTTGTCTCAAAAAAAAAAAAAAAAAAAAAACTTCCCAGGAAGTAGATGCCATTTTGTTTTGTCCTGGGTTTCACAGAACTCTCTCTGGCCTGTAATCACCCCTCCCTTAATCAACATCTACCCCAGGGAGAAACTTTACACCAAATGCGTTGTCCTCAATCATGACTCTGTGTTACTTTCTTCTGCTCACAAACCTTCAAAGATCTCCCAGTGCCTGGAAGAGAAAACCCATTCTGTTTCGAAGGGCATCCAGAGCTGGTCACAGTGGGGACCCACCCTCCTTTTCCAGGCTACGCCAGGCAAGCAAACCGTTTTTCTCACTATCCTTAAATCCACTGCAACCGATCTTTCCCCCTTCCTGCCTCTGCCCCAACACAGTATCTCTGTCAGTGCCGCTTCTGGTGTGTGGTTTCTTAGGCAAGGCTTATCCATCCACTTAGGCAAAAAGCTTCTTGGAGATCAAATCTATACCCTGCAGAGATACAGTTAAGAAAAATGGCCAAAGTACTTGCTTTTTCAGAGTAGGGCTGAAATTCTAGCTTGGCCACTTACTAGCTTGGACAAGTTACTAAATCTCTCACAGTCTGTTTCCACTCAGGTTTGTTTTAAGGCTTGGAGGACAATGAGCCTTCAGAGCCAGACAAGCAGTAGGTAACAGAAAGTAACTGCTGTTAGCAGTATACTTGTTTCTCATGCCTTAATTCTACTTCAGTATATTGATCAAGTGGCACCGGGTGGCCAAGAAAACAAACTCTGTGAGCTCAAAGTTTCACCAAGGCCTGCCCATCATTGAGAAAGGATATGAACAGAATGCTATGTGTGGAGCAGTAGAAAAAAGCCTTCAGCTGCCAAGGCAGATTGGTTCACTGAGGAAGATACAGGTGGGAACCAAATCAAAATGGAAGCTTAAAGGCGTTGGGGAGCGCAGGAACAGGTACATGGTAAAGTCCGGGCTCCAGCCTCCATGGGAACCCCAGACTTGAATATCCCTCATCCCCATGACTGCAGTGTTCCAGATTACCTGGGCCAGAGACTAAGTGGGATGGTTAGATGAGTAAGCCAAAGAAAAGATGAGAGGCACTGGGGACACATGCCAGCTTTCTGAGGCTCACTGTCTAGCCTACTATTAAATAGACCCTGACAGGGCATCTCATGCTGTGGCAAAAGTGCGGAGTGGCTGGGAGCAATGGAGGTTGTGGCTGAGAGTTACTGTTGAGCTCTAGGACTATGTGGAAGCAGAGAAAGGGCAGAGAAAATCTGAGGGTGATGGCTGACAAACAATCTGAAGGTCTGGAGGTCTAAGTTCCAATCCCAATTCACATGGCAACTCACTAGTGTCCTTGGTTGAGTCACCAGCCCACCCTGTGCCAAGATCTCCTCTGGAGGTGGTGCTTCTAGTTCTATGTTTAGAAGCAGATTGTGCTAGCTCCATTTTACAAATGAGAAAACTGAGGCTGAGAGGAAACAAGGTCACATAATAGGTGTGGTAGAGCAATCTAGCTCAAAGCACAAGCTGAGCAAGCTGTGGTGCCTGTATATAGCTATTGATGGGTAGAGTTGGGGTGAGATGATGGGAATGGCCTTCTTGCCAAGACCCAAGGAGAGGCCAGAGCAGGACTGCCCATCTCCATACTCTTCCTCTTTCACTCCTCCAGACCCAGCTCTTTTTTCCATGACCCACTCTAGCACAAGCCCTTTTGGCTCCAGCCAAGTGCCAGCCTTTTTCCTCTGAGTCCTGAAATGGCCCTTTGGGATTCTAAGGGCACAGAAGTGGGCCTCCTGCCAGAAGGCCCCAGCTCCCCACACCTTCACCAGTCAGGAAGCAGAGATCAGCAGTGGCCATTTTACAAATGAGTGAAACAAGGAAGGGAAGTAATTTGCCCTCATTCAAAAGACCAAGGCCTACAGAGGAATTTAGGCTTGTCCCTCCTTCTGGGACTTTCTGATGAAGGGATTTGCACTTGGGCTTCAGCTGAGCCCAGAACAGCTCTAGAGGCCAGATCATTAAACCCTGTTTCACATATAAGGAAATGGTATTCCCACCTCTGTCAGCCCGTTCAATCCCCGCAAGCCCACTAGCTGTCTTGAGCTTTGTTCCTGCCCTGTAAGAATCACAGAAAAGTCCAAACATTTCGATGGCCACCTCTTAACACATGTACCTGTATCCCCTAGAGAAACCTATTTTTTTTTTTTTTGAGATGGAGTCTTGCTCTGTCACCCAGGCTGGAGTGCAGTGGTGCATTCTCAGCTCACTGCAATCTCTGCCTCCTGGGTTCAAGTGATTCTCCTGCCTCAGCCTCCAGAGTAGCTGAGACTATAGGCACACGCCACCACGCCTGGATAATTTTTGTGTTTTTAGTAGAAATGGGGTTTTGCCATGTTAGCCAGGCTGGTCTCAAACTCCTGACCTTAGGTGATCCACCTGCCTTGGCCTCCCAAAGTGCTGGGGTTACAGGCGTGAGACACCACACCAGGCCAGAACCATGTTAATGGAAGATGTTCACTGTAGTGTTTAGAACAGGGCTAGTTTGGGAGAGGACTGACCAAACACTTTATCACATATCCTTACCATGGAAGTCAGTGTGGCATGGAGGATGATTATACACAGCACTAACTATGGCAGCCGCCACTCCAAGTATCAGATACATTTTGTTTTAATCCTCACAACAATCCTATGAGATAGAGATTACTAGCACCATATTACAGATGAGGACACTGTGGCACAGAGGAGTTAAGGCACTTGCCTAAGGTCACATAGTAACAGAGTTGGGAATTCAAATCCAGGCAGTCTGCTTTCAGTGCCTGGGCTCTTTAACCACCATGTTATATTGTTGTAGAAAGATTTTCCTGGCTTGGAAACTGCTTATGATATAGAGTTCATGAAAATAGCAAGTTACCAAACAGTATGTGCTGTGTAATCCCATTTTTGTAGGGAGAAAAACAAGGCCTAAATCGACAGGAATAGAAAAACATCTGAAAGGATATACACTCAAAACATAGTGCTGGTTTTTGGAGAGACTGAAATGGACATTTTATGTTAGCTTTATGCATCTGTATTTTCAAAGTTTCTACAGTAAACTTGCCAAGCTTGTGTGATAATCATAATTGCTAACATTTATGGAGTGTTTTCTACACATCTGACACTTTATGCACTGCCTCGTTGAATCTTCACAACAACCCAGTGAGATTGACACTGATTTTCTGCCTTTCCAGATGAGGAAACAGGCACAGAGACACTGACTGTTTTACCCAAGGTCACACAGCTCATTCCAAAGCCAGAATTTGAACCAGGTTGCCTAACTCCAAAGCTCATGTGTGTTAAATCAATGAACGACTGACTTAGCTGCACTTTAGCCAAACGTGCCCAGAGCAAGGTCACACCCTTGGCGTGGACACATTTCCAGGGAGGGACCGGAGGACCTCCTACCTCATTGGTCACTGCCAGTGACTGAGCTTGACTCAGGTAGGAGGGCATGGCAGGTATTCTCAGGGAGTCTGGTGTTTACAGAAAAGTCATGATTACACGTGAAAGCTGTGGGCTCCCTGGCTTGATTCACCACACCTGCAGGAAGCCTGGCTGCTCAGACCAGCACGCCGTGGACATAGCACCACTTGCTCAGCTTCATTTCCGTAACTCAGGCTGCCAGGCCTGCTGACAAATTTTCACGTTTGTAATAACCCTGTGAGGAGACCAGAGTACATCTTACTTGACTCATAAGGAAATTGAGACTGGGTGATTTAGTAACTTGGGAGGCAGAATTGCAAAGTGATTAGCAACACAAGCCATGGTGTCAGATGGATCTGGGTTAGGTCCCACCTCTGCCGTTTATTAGCTGTGTGGCTTTGGGTACTCACGCCACCTCTCTGAGCAGCAGTTTCCTCTTTTGTAAGCGTAATGATGCCTACACTCACAGGCTTGAGAGGAAGATCCGATGAAATAGCATATGCAAAATGATTGGTTCCGTGCTTGGCATTCCAGAAATGGTAGCTGTTATTCAGCCAACAAATATTTATTGAGCACCTACTATGGACTTCCCTGGTGCTGAGGATACAACAGCAACCACAGCAGTCAAAAGTCCCTGTCTTTATGTTGCTCAGATTCTCATAGGGGAAAGCAGATAATGAACAAATACACGGCCAGACGCAGTGGCTCACGCCTGTAATCCCAGTACTTTGCGAGGCCAAGGTGGGCAAGTCACCTGAGGTCAGGAGTTCGAGACCAGCCTAGCCAACATGGTGAAACCCTGTCACTACTAAAAATACAAAAATTAGCGCAGTGTGGTGGCTCATGCCTGTAGTCCCAGCTACTTGGGAGGCTGAGGAAGGAGAATCGCTTGAACCTAAAAGGCAGAAGTTGCAATGAGCCAAGATCGTGCCACTGCATTCCAGCCTGGGTGACAGAGTACTCCATCTAAAAAAAAAACCTAAATACACAAGTAAAAATATAGACTTCGTCAGATGCTAGTAAGTGCTGTGAAGGAAACTAAAAGGGGAACACAAGGAACCCTTGTCAAGGGGAGCAGAAAGGGGAGTTGATGCTGTCCTTTTAAATAGGGCAATCAGAGGCCAGGCACAGTGGCTCACACTTATAATCCCAGCACTTTGGGAGTTCGAGGCAGGTGGATCACTTGAGGTCAGGAGTTCAAGACCAGCCAGGCCAATGTGGTGAAACCCTGTCTCTACTAAAACTACAAAAACTAGCCAGGTGTGGTATCGCGTGCCTATAATCCCAGCTACTCGGGAGGCTGAGGCGGGAGAATCGCTTGAACCTGGGAGGCGGAGGTTGCAGTGAGCCGAGATTGTGCCATTGCAGTCCAGCCTGGGCAACAAGAGCAAAACTTCATCTAAAAAAAAAACACAGCAAAAAAGGGCAGTCAGGGAAAACTTCCCTGAGAAGGGGATGGTGGAGTACAGATCCAGGGAGGTGAGGTGGGGAGCAAGCCAGTACAGTTGTTCCTTGACTTTCGATGAGGTTATGTCCTGATAAAGCCATGGTAAGTAGGAAATATTGTAAGTCAAAAATGCATTTAATACACCTAACCTACGGAACATCATAGCTTAGTGTCACCTACCTTAAACATGCTTAGAACGCTTACATTAGCCTACGGTTGGGCAAAATCATCTAA
The DNA here is from genome assembly GCF_000001405.40 of Homo sapiens. Taxonomy (NCBI): domain Eukaryota; kingdom Metazoa; phylum Chordata; class Mammalia; order Primates; family Hominidae; genus Homo; species Homo sapiens. The sequence continues at coordinate 25,424,125 of NC_000001.11, read as the reverse complement.
CACAAAGCCTATTTTATGATAAAGTATTGAATATCTCATGTAATGTACTGAGTACTGTACGGAAAGTGAAAGACGGAGTGGTGGGATGGGAACTCTAAGCACGGCTTCCACTGCATGTGTGTTGCTTTCGCGCCATCATAAAGTTGAAAAGCGTTAAGTCAAACCACCGTACGTCGGAGGCCATCTGTATCTGGTAGGAGGAGTGTTTCAGACAGAGAGAACAGCAGGTGCAATAGAGTGCTTTTTTCCCAGCATTTTATTATGAAAAATTTCAAACATCTACCAAAAAAAGTTGAAAGACTTGTACGGTGAAAAGCCATACATCTCACAGCTAGAATCAACAATTAACATTTTACTGTATTTGGTTTTTGACTTATCTATCCTAGATCCCTTGTGCTTTCTGTAGCAGGTGACCTGCCTTGAAGATTTAAAGACAGAATATCGGGAAATGTAGTCAGAAAATGGGGCCTTTTATAAGAGTCAGAGGGGAAGAGCAAAAACTCTGCTTTCGAGAAATCTGTCGGGAGAGGCCAACTGCAGGGATACCTCCCTTTTTTAATGAAAGCATTTCTGTTCTGCGAGGAGCGGGATCCTCTTGTCAAGCAGTCAGTCCCTGCTGCTTCCTTACTGGGGCAGGATCAGGACGCACAGGGATTTGGAGTGCCTTGGAACCAACCACCACCCACGCTGTTTGCCAGCTGGTAAACATGCCTGTCAGGTCTAGGGGTTGGCATTGCCTGGAAATCTTTAGTGTTCATCTTGCTGACATCTGGTGCCCTCGGGTAGGTAGGTGCAGTTGGCTGCCTGGTTTACAGAGCTTGTACTGGGCCCAGGTTAGCAGGGGTCACATCCCTTTATCCCACTGTGCAGGGGAGTTCCTTCTCAGGAAACCCAGTTTATAAGAAGTACTGACTGCCAGAAATAGAGCAGAGATCAGAACCAGGAGGCAATTGTGAGAGGAATGGAGACTTCTGACCTCTGGGGATTGGGGTACCCTCCCCCTTAATTGCTGTTGGGGTAGCAGAGGGCTTAGAAGCCCATGTTCCTAGACTTTTAGAATTGGAAGAAGACTTAGAAGTAATCTAGGCTGGGGGTCCCCAACCCCCAGGCTGTGGCCCGTTAGGAACCTGACCGCACAGCATGAGGGGTAGGCCAGCGAGCACTACCGCCTGAGCTCCGCCTCCTGTCAGATCAGCAGCGGCATTAGATTCTCACAGGGGCACAAACCCTATTGGGAACCGCGCATGAGAGGGATCTAGGTTGCGTGCTCCTTAGGAGAATCTAACTAATGCCTGATGATCTGAGGTGGAACAGTTTCATCCCCACACCATCCCTCCAACCTCACCCCGGTCCATGGAAAAATTGTCTTCTACAAAACCCGTCCCTGGTGCCAAATAGGTTGGGGACCCCTGATCTAGGCTACAGTTAAGTGGTCAAACACCCAGGTCCTGAAGTTAGGCTGCCTGGGTTTAAATCCCAGCTCTACTGCTTACTAGCCCTGTGACCTTGAGCAAGTCACTTAGTTTTTCTGTGCCTCAGTTTACTCATTTGTAATAAAAGCTTAATAGTACCCATCCCAGTGTCATGAACTAAGTTCATATATGTAAAGTGCTTAGAATGGTGCCTAGCAAGTACTTAGTAACAGTTAGCTCTGAAAATGTATAAAGCAAAATTAACCAATGTTTTAGTGGTTTGCAGCCAACTTTTTTCTATGCGTGTGCTAACATATTATTTTATAAGAGTGGGAATATATTGTACATGCTGTTATATAACTTGCTTTTTCACTAAACAGTCTATCCTCTGTGTCAGTTTTGATAAAAGCGTTTTCCTCTTGCTTTTCCTGCATATGTTCAGAACCATCATATTGGTAGCAAGTTTCATGTCCTGCAGTTTTCTTAACCAACCCCCTGCTAGCGGACATTTAGGTTAGTCTCAGTTTTTTCCTTCTGTAAATAAAGCTGCACTGAGCAAGAAGTGACCGATGCCAAGTGACTAGATGACCTTAGGTATGACCTCTCTGGGTCTTGGTTTCTTGGTCTAAAAACAAAATGACAGGATTCGACTGGGTGATTAAAATCTCCTCTGATCTACATAGGAATTGTTTTCAAGACATTTCTGCATTCCTCTAGTGACAGGGTGCTCACTACCTCATGAGTATTTCAGTGGACAACTGTAATGGTCAATAAAGTATCCACTTTCCACCTTCCACTTCCCTGTAGCTCCTGGCCCTGGCTTTATTCTCTGGGGCTCCACACATTCAGTTTACACTCAGTGGCCAGTGGCTGGGGCCATTGTAGAAAATGAGGAAACTCCAATTCCTTCCTTCTTTTCTTCCTCTTTCATCCCTTCCTCCCTCCCTACATCCCTCTCTCTCTTCCTTCCTTCCTTGACACTTACCATGTACCAGACCTTCTGCCAGGCACATGGATGGGAGCACAGTTCCGGGAAGTTGGCTGCAGGGTTAGAACTAAGTCCCAAGCCCCGTAAAGCTCATGCCAGGGGACTGGACTGTCCAGTACTGAGGGATGGGGATGCTGAGGCTGGTGGCCTTCCTCAGATGCACTGTAGTGCCCCAGGCAGAGTCCTGGGCTGCCCTGTGAGGAGGTGACCAGAGGTAGAGCAACTTCACCCTAAGGCTGGATCAGGATCCCCTCCAGGTTTTTACTAGAGCCAAACCCACATCTCCTTTCTCTTCTGCCACCCCCCCTTAAAATGCTTAGAAACACATAGATTTAAATACAAGTTCAAATGTAAGTAATTTCAACTGTGTAACTATGAGGAGTCAATTCTACGTGGGTCCTATCTGTATCCTCCCCAGGGCTCAGCTCCATTCTTTGCTTTCATTCATTCTCATTCAATACATTGTTGTTAAGAGCTCACTGGGTGCCCTCTCTGTCATGTAGTAAGGTTTTAAAAAGAAAGCCTCTTCTGAGCTTCAGTTTCCTTATTTATAAAATAGGAGTATTGATCCGTTCCTTGCTTTTCTTACAAGGATATGCTGAAGATGACTGAAGTACAGAGTAAAGAAGGATTATGTTTGGGTGTCAAAGGAATAGAATGCCCTCTTTCAAACTGAGCACAGCAGGAACCTGTAACAGGAACACAGCAACTTGTTGAATGAATGACAATATTGGAAAACATACATTTCCTCCCCTCCCCATCATAGTCCCTCTGCTTCCGTGTTAACTCCATAGACAGGCCAGCACAGCCAGCCTTGCAGCCTGAGATAAGGCCTTTGGCGGGTGTCTCCCCTATCGCTCCCTCAAGCCCTCAAGTAGGTGTTGGAGAGAGGGGTGATGCCTGGTGCTGGTGGAACCCCTGCACAGAGACGGACACAGGATGAGCTCTAAGTACCCGCGGTCTGTCCGGCGCTGCCTGCCCCTCTGCGCCCTAACACTGGAAGCAGCTCTCATTCTCCTCTTCTATTTTTTTACCCACTATGACGCTTCCTTAGAGGATCAAAAGGGGCTCGTGGCATCCTATCAAGGTGAGAGTTCATTGGAACAGTGGTCACAGGAGCAAATAGCAGGGGCAGGGGCGGGGGAGGCCTATGGTTCTCCAGGGGCACAGATGTTCCTTTCTACAAAATCCCGAGGAAAAGATTCCCCCATCTTCTTCCGTAGATTGCACCGAAATTCAGTCAACAATGTAAGCTTTCCTTTAGAAGCAGCCTGGGCATGCCCTCTTCTGTGAAGCCTGCCTTGATTTTTCAGCACAGTGAGAGGCATCCTCTTTGGTGTTCCTCAAATTCCCTCTACCAAATGGTCTTCATAATTCTCTGCTTCTCTGCTTCCCCTTCTCTCTCCTTAGTGGCAAGGATTTTTTTTATTTTTATAGATTTAGGGGATACAAGTGCAGCTAGCTTATGCAAGCAATTTCATGTTGTTGGGTTTTCGGGTTTTGTTTCCTTTTTGTGGCCTCTCGCTCATTTCTTATTTCTTTTTGAGACAGGGTCTCACTCTGTTGCCCAGGCTGAAGTGCAGTGGCATGATCATGGTTCACTGCAGCCTTGACCTCCTAGTCTCAAGCAATCTTCCCACCTCAGCCTCCCAAGAAGCTGGGACCACAGGAGGGCACCACCATGCCTGGCTAAATTTTTTTTTTTTTTTGGTAGAGATGTGGGTCTCCCTGTGTTTCCCAGACTGGTCTCAAACTCCTGGACACAAGCGATCCTCCAGCCTCAGTCTCCCAAAGTGCTGGAATTACAGGCGTGAAGCACTGTGCCCAGCTCTCTTGCTCATATCTATACTAGTTTTCTTTTGGAAGCTTCAGCCTGTTGCTACCCCCCACCCCCACCCCCACCGACCCCAGCTTTCTTCTCACTTAGGGGCTGGGAAGTCTGCATGCTGTCTATAAATCCAGAACCAGAAGGTATGGCTGAAGGGGAGGGTAGGATGATGGTTATTTTATATTCAGCTAAAAATATTCCCAGACTGTGATGAGACAACTGTAAATAAGACAGATGTCCACAATGGTGTGACTTTGCTTTTTTAAAAATATTGAAATGAGTTTCAGGCATCTCAGTGGGCTGATAGGTTGTTGATAATGGACAGGGCCTCCTTGAAGAATGTCCCTGAGACAAAGTTGAAGCTTGAGCCTGGTTGAGTGCTTGCTTGTTCCTAGGTTGATATGAACGGCTAGTTAACTGGAAGCAAAGAGAAGTCATCCTGGGGGCCATGGCAGTGACAAGTAGGACTTAGGGAGGGAAGCCCTTATACCATTTAAGGTGCTGGCCCAGAGAGGAGCCTTCAGTGACAGACAAACAAGAGCTGGCACAATTTTAATTCATTTCAATTTACTTTAATTCATTTCAATCCAATACAATTCAATGCATTCCATTCATTCAACCATGTATGACATCCAATGTGGGATCCAGACACATGATGATTAGAACTGATATTTATGAGCACTTACTATGTACCAGGCACTATTCTACATGCTTTACATTGAACCCTCACAATAACCCAATGAGGTGGGTACTATTATGATCTTCGTTTTTCATATGAGGAAACTAGGCATATGGATGTTGAGTAATTTGCCCAAGGTCGCTCAGCTAGCAATAGCACAGCGTATTTAAATTTAGCCACCCTGGATTTAGTTTCCTTACACTTAACCATTATGCATCATGGCCCCATTTTACAGTGGCGTTGAGTCATTTGTCATATAACCCAGTAGGTGTAGCAGCCACTATTCCAACCCTGTAGATTGACTCTAGGGTCCATGTTCTTTACCCCTGCACCGTGCTACTAACGTAGGTACAAAATGTCCTCAGAAACTCACTTTATATGGAAGCTCAGAGGAGGGTCCACAACCCAGGCAGGGGAGACGATGGTGTCAGGGGAGGCTTCTGGAGGGAGGTGCCTGCCCAGCCAGCTCTTGAAGGCTCAGTAGGAATTACCTGTGGGACAAAGGCGGGTCATCCAAGTGAGGGCACAGTGGGTGCCATTGCGTGTGCACACACTAGAGCAGACTGAGCTTGGGCTTAACATTGCATTGCCCTGTAGCCTAAAAAGAGAAGCAAGGGGCTGGGCGAGGTAGCTGACACCTGTAATCCCAGCACTTTGGGAGGCCAAGGCTGGAGAATCACCTGAGGTTAGGAGTTCAAGACCAGCCTGGCCAACATGGCAAAACCCCATCTCTACTAAAATTATAAAAACTAGCCGGGTGTGGTGGCACACGTCTGTAATCCCAGCTACTTGGGAGGCCATTACACTCCAGCCTGGGCGACAGAGCAAGACTTCATCTCAAAAAACCAAACAAAAACAACAACAACAACAAAAAACAAAGAGGAGAGCAGGGACTGGGTGTGGTGGCTCATGCCTGTAATCCCAAACACTTTGGGAGGCCAAGGCGGGCAGATCACCTGAGGTCAGGAGTTCGAGACCAGCCTGGCCCATATGGTGAAACCCTGTCTCTACTAAAAATACAAAAATTAGCCGGATGTGGTGGCACGTGCCTGTAGTCCCAGCTGCTTGGGAAGCTGAGGGAGGAGAATTGCTTGAACCCAGGAGGTAGAGGTAGCTGAGCTGAGAATACGCCACTGCACTCCAGCCTGGGTGACAGAGTGGGACTCTGTCTGAAAAAAATAATAGTAATAAATAAAAATAAACAGGGAAGCAGTGGGTGGTAGACTCACTGGGCTGCATACGGAGTTTGGCTTCAGTCTGAGGTCCGAATAGTAAACAGGAGCGCGACAAGTTTGGGTTTGGGTCATGGCGGATGCCATGCCAGGGCTGGTGTTGGGCACAGGGGAAGGGGCATGGCTTGAGACACAAGACCAGCGTGGAGGCTGTAGTGTAGTATTGACCCGAGGGCTTCAACCTTCTGATGGTGTACACACCATTTTTTGAGCATGTACCATGGTTATATGTTACACTTTAAGTATTACTACATTAATATATTTTGTATGTTATAATAAATACATACAAATTAGGAAAATTGAAAGAGATCAGAATGAAATATATAATATTTTCAAATTACTAATCATAATGGTGTCAATCTCCAGGCAGGGTCCATTGCTACAGTTGACGATAGTGGATGAAAATTCACTCCTCAGAGTCTTCTTGATAATTTGAAATTGTCTTGATTGACTTGTCAGATCTGATTAGATCGACATTTTTTAAATCTCGAATGTGACTGACAGCTTGTACAAGGAGAAGTTTCACTCTGCCTTTCCTTTTTGTTCACTTGACTGCCATTATTTCTCTGCTTCCAATCTGTGTTTTTCTGCACGAGTTGGTTAAGCCATTACTTCATTTTGTGAAAGTTTGTTGAGTTAAACTTAGGTAACTTAATCTGTCAATCCACTTAATTGAATTCAGTCCTGGTAAACTATAATAGATTATTCAAACCTGCCAATTCTAAAAAGACATTTTGAGACAATCAGGAAATCTGAATATAGCATGAATATCTTACGATATACAAGGATTATTGTTAATTTTGTTAGGTATGATAAAAGCATGGTGGGTTTTTTTTTTGTTTTTGTTTTTTAAGGCTCTATCTGTTAGAGAGGCACATTGAAATGGCATGATATCTGGGGTTTGCTTTCATACCAGAAAAAAGAAAAAGTAGAGAAGGATTATAGAAACAAGATTGGTCTCATGTGACAATCATCAGAGTTTGGAGATGGGCACGTAGGGTCATCGTGCTGTTCTCTCTGTTTTCATATATGCTTTGAAAGTTCTGTAATAGTTAATTAAAAAAAAAAAAAACACCCTGGCTGAGCACTTAGGGAGGCCAAGTGGGGAGGATTGCTTAAACCAAGAAGTTCAAGACCAGCCTAGGAAACATAGGGAGACCCCCCCCCGCCATCTCTAAAAAAAAAAAAAAAAAACTGTAAAATTTAACCCAGTGTGGTGGCACATGCCTGTAGTCCCAGCTACTCAGTAGGCTGAGGTGAGAGGCTTGCTTGAGCCTGGGAGCTTGAGGCTGCAGTGGGACGGGATTGTACCACTTCACTCCAGCATGGGCGACAGAGCAAGACCCTGTCTCAAAAAAAAATGAAAATATTTGAGGTGAAGCGAGACTGTAATAACAAATTTAAAAATATAAATAAAACATAAAGGCTGGGTGCGGTGGCTCACGCCTGTAATCCCAGCACTTTGGGAGGCCAAGGCAGGCAGATCACGAGGTCTGGAGATGGAGACCATCCTGGCTAACATGATGAAACCCCATCTCTACTAAAAATACAAAAAATTAGCTGGGTATGGTGGCGGGTGCCTGTAGTCCCAGCTACTTGGGAGGCTGAGGCAGGAGAATGGCGTGAACCCAGGAGGCGGAGCTTTCAGTGAGCTGAGATTACACCACTGCACTCCAGCCTGGGCAACAGGGCGAGACTCCATCTCAAAAAAAAAATGAAAATAAAAATAAATAAAACATAAAACCCTGCCATTAGTTGCAACATGAAGAATATAGAGAAATGCGTATCAAATCCTTCTCATTGGACCAATATTCCCTTAGGGCACCTTCCAAAGCTAGGAGACTCAAGGCTGTATGACATCCTGAGCAAGTGAGGGGTGGCTTCTGGGTGAATCTGAATATTAAATATTTGCAGAATTGAAAACTTCACAAAGTACCTTTAGAGATAGAATAGCCTAGATCCATGTTTCTCAAAGTGTGGTCCCCAGACCTGCTGCCTCAGCATCTCCTGGAAATTTAGTAGAAATGCAGATTCTCAGGCCCTAGGCCAGACCTACTGATCAGAAGCTCTGGGCCTGGGGCCCAGCAATCTGTGTTTTCACAAGCCCTCTGGGTGATTCTTCTGTGCGTGAAAGTTCGAGAATTCCTGGAGCTAGACTGATTCAAATCTTGCCTCTGTATCTTAGAGACCTTGGGCAGATTAGTCAACCTCTTTCTGCCTCTGTTTCTACTTCTGTCAGAGGATGATAGTACTTGTTTCATTAAGTTGTTGAAAGGATAAATGAATTGACACACATAAAGAGTATTAGCTTTTATTATCAAAAGCTTTTTTTTTTTGAGACAGAGTTTTGCTCTTATTGCCCAGGGGAGTGCAGTGGTGCGATCTTGGCTCACCGCAACCTCCGCCTCCCAGGTTCAAGTAATTCTCCTGCCTCAGCCTCCCGAGTAGCTGGGATTACAGGCATGCGCCACCACGCCCGGCTAATTTTGTATTTTTAGTAGAGACGGGGTTTCTCCATGTTGGTCAGGCTGGTCTCGAACTCCCAACCTCAGGTGATCCACCCGCCTCGGCCTCCCAAAGTGCTGGGATTACAGGCGTGAGCCACCATGCCTGGCCCAAAAGCTTTAATTTCTTAATTTTTTAAATAAAATAAATAAAACTAGAATTGCTTGTTTTCTTCCAGCTACCCTGGTGATTGTATTGAGCATTTTCTGGGGTGTGTGTTCTTTGCTGTAATGACTACTGGTCTGGATGACCTGTGATGAGACCAGATGGGCAGGGGCAGTGGAGGAGATTCTAGAGATATTTAGGAGATAAAGTCAGCTGTACTTGATGAAAAGAGTGGGGAGTTAAGACTGGCTGCAGATGTATGATTTGGCATAGAGAGGTGCCAGTTCCTGAGGTGAGAGACAGAAGGGGAGGGACAGGTTGTGAGGATGAATGAACAATGATATGTTCATTCTGGGCTTGGAGTTAAGGGGCCTATGATATGCTTAGGGGAAGCAGAGAGTATCAATTACCTATTGCTGCATAACAGCCACCCCAAACTTAGTGGCTTAAAATAGCAACCTTTTAATTTACTCATGATCATGATTCTGTGGTGCAACAACTGGGCTGGGTTCAGCTGGGCAGTTCTTCTGTTAGTTTCACCCAGGGTCATTCATGCATCTGCAGTTTGGGGTGGGATGGCCTCAGATGACCTCATTCACATGTTTGGCAATTGGTGATTCACTGGGGGCCATTACTGTAACAATCGCCTACCAGGCAGAGCTTCCCTAAGGCTACCAAACTGGGAGACTATCCTGGGTCCTGTGCTGTGGATACCACTCAGTCCCCCATCCCCACCCCATACTCCTCAAAGGCAGAGAGAGGGGCTACTAGAAGACAGAGGAGTTTTCCCAGTGACATGTAAACACTCCAAACCCTGGCACCTTCCACACTGCAGCTTTGGTCTGCCCCTTTGGGAAATCTCTGTTTTTCTTCCCAGGCTGCTGGAGGGGTGAGAGTCGCCGGTAGAGTAGAGGCTGTGGGCGAGGAGGTGGCGGCCTCCTGAGGCTGCAGTGGTCTTTCCAGGCAGCAGTGGGAGCACAGGGTGGAGGTCAACCCTAGAGCCTGGGGGAGTGAAGCTGGTTCTGCCTTCAGAGCTCTTGGTGCTGAAGTTTCTGCAGGCCAGAGGGAGGGGCAAGAGTGGGAGGGGGTGCAGATCCAGAATCACAGAGGCAGCTGACCGGAGGAGGCAGCTGCCCAAGGGGATGGACTCAGAAGGCCAAAGTGCTGTTATCCAAACGAACTCTTTGCAAGTGGTCTCTTTGCAACAGGCCTGGGGGAGAGCAGTCTTGCCTAAAGTCACACCGCTAATCAGCGGCCGGCACGGGGTAACAGTTACTAACACTCACTACGTACCCAATGCTGGGCAAAGTGACTTGCATGAGCCAGCGAGCTCAATGCTCATGGCAATCCTCTGAGCAGCTGGCATTGTTTCATCTCAATTTTACAGCTCAGGAAGCTGGGACACAGAGGAAGAGCCAGGCTCTGAACACTGACAACCTGATTGAGAGACCCACACTGTTCATCACCGTTACGCTATATATGCTGTATAGAAAGGCAGGATGGCATAATGGTTAAACCTAGGTAGGTAGGGTTTGAATCCTCCTGCTACCATTTACTAGCTCTGTGACTTGGACTAGTTATAGCACCTCTCTGTGCCTCCCTTTCCCCCTCTCTAAAATGGGGATAATAAATCGTACCTCCTACCTGAGGCTGTTGTGGGCTAAGTCTGTAAGGCACGTAGAACAGTGCCTGGAACGTGGGGTACTGTCTATCTGTGTGCCTGCTGTTACAACAATGGTGAGTATTGCCTTATCTCTCGCTGCTGAACTACCAGGTTAGACTTCTTTCTGCAAGTCATGAGGCTTTCATAAACTTTTCCTGAAGGCTTTCCGTAGAATGTACAATTCCCCTCTGGGCCCAGGCATGGGCGCCCGGGTAGGACATCCACTTCTTATCACCCCTGAACACCTTAGAGCCCATCAGCTTATCAAACCAGCAGCTGATGTGAGTGCAGAGCAGACTGTGAGAGGTGGAGGCTGATACCAGTGAGGATGCTCCAAGCTGGGACCCAGCCCTGAAGCGGGAGCCCAGATAATGGACGGGTGGAAATGGGCCTGGAGCCCAAGAGAGGTGGGAGGATGAGGGGGCAGGGGGAGGAGAAGCCTGAAATCAAATGTTATTTCCTGACCAGTTTGGGGTGCATGAGCTCTGTCAACAGCTCATGGAAACTGCTGCCCTAATTTCATCTTGTTGGCTGAGGCACAATTCCTCTCTCAGGGACAGTGTAGAGCCTTGGGGAGGAAGGCCCTGAGCGCATATACCTGGAATCAGGGAATCGGGATCAGGGGCAGCAGCTGTGCCCGATAAAGCCCCCACCCAGGATCCTCTGACTTCCTCATCTCTCTTTTTTTTTGAGCCGGAGTCTCACTCTGTCATCCAGGCTGGAGTACAGTGGTGCGATCTCGGCTCACTGCAACCTCAGCCTTCTGGGTTCAAGCGATTCTCCTGCCTCAGCCTCCTGAGTAGCTGGGATTACAGGCATGCGCCACCATGCCAGGCTAATTTTGTATTTTTAGTAGAGACGGGATTTCACCATGTTGGCCAGGCTGGTCTCAAACTCCTGACTTCAAGTGATCTGCCCACCTCAGCCTCCCAAAGTGCTAGGATTACAGGCATAAGCCACTGTGCCCGGCCTTTTTTTTTTTTTTTTTTTTTTTTTTTAAAAAAAGGGTCTCCCTCTGTCGCCTAGGCTGCTGGAGTATAGTGATGTGATCGTGGCTCACTGCAGCCTTAACCTTCTAGGCACAAGCCATCCTCCCACCTCACCCTCCTGAGTAGCTGGGACTACAGGCACTTGCCACCACGCCCAAGTAATTTTGTATTTTTTGTAGAGACAAGGTCTTGCTATGTTGCCTAGGCTGGTCTTGAACTCCTCAGCTCAAGCAATCCTCCTTCCTTGGCCTCCCAAAGTGCTGGGATTACAGGTGTGAGCCACCACACCTGGTCTGACTTCCTAATCTTTAGGGCCCCAACTCTGCCCTTATCCAGGCAACTCTCCTCTCCCCATCTTCCACTAACTTCTTTGGAATATTCCAGAGCTGTAAAAGCCTTAGAGAGTATCAAGTCCAACTCCTATGTGTTACAGACAGGGAAACTGAGGCCTAAAGAGGGTAATGGACTTGCCTAAGATCGCTTAGTGAGGTGAGAGAAGAAAGAGCTAGAGACAGCCTAGCCTGTGCAAGGACATAGTTCCAGGCATTCAGAGCTGCGCTCTGCTGCCGGCATGTTTGGGGCCTGGTAGTTAGTTCACTGCTGAACTACCAGGTTAGATTTTCTTTCTCCAAGTTGTGGGGCTTTCATAAACTTTTCCTGAAGGTCTTCCTTACAATGTACAATTCTCCTCTGGGCCCGGTCATGAGCGCCCCTCACAGGCTCTCTCTGGTCCCCTTCTGTAAAATGAGAGGAAAATGGAAGAATTGCTCTACTCATGGAATCTTCAATAAGTCTGGACCCTATGCATATAGCATTGCTACAAAATGGCAGATGCACTTTAACAATCGTGTTTAATAAAAGGTTGGATTTGCATATCTGAAGTGGGGCATGCAGTCTCCAACTGAACACAAGCCTCACTGCTCCCACATGTGCACTGCACCTTCATATACATATTTCCTGCTTGGCTCCTGAGGGAATTTGAGTAATCCCAAGAGGAACCCCTGTAGAAAATGTCCCCTGGTCACACACCCCCATTCCTAAGGATGCAAGCAGGAGATAGAAACATTCCCTGCACCTCCCTCCTTGCTGTCAGAAGAAGTGCAAAGAGTTGAATCCTTCCTAATGCCCACTTCTCACCCACGCCCCAAATCCCCAGGTCCCGTGGAGGTCCTTGGGGGTCTCCTATATCCTGGTGGTGTCAGGTTGATTTGGAAATGTCAGTGTCCTCCCTTGTCCTCTCTGGCAGACCCTGGGTGTGTGTACGTTTCAATGGAAGTGAATTTAAATGTACTTTATAAATCAAAGACTTTTTCTGAGACTTTGGAGAGTTCCAGTAATGAGAGCTTCTCATTGTTATCAAAGCCAGGGCTGGAGACCAGTGGCAGGTGAGTTCCTATTGCTGTGATTGTCATGATGATGTTGATGAACAGCCACTATTTATTGAGTGTTCTCCATGTGCTAGGCACTGTACTAAACATTATTTCCTTCGGATGTCCCAGAAACCTCTCAGGTGGCTCTAATTACCCTTATTCTGTTGATAAGGAAAGTAAGCAACTTAGAAGACCACAGGGCTATGAAGTTGAAACACGTAAATTGATATTTTATTTTATTTATTTATTTATTTATTTATTTTGAGACAGAGTCTCACTGTGTCGCCCAGGCTGGAGTGCAGTGGTGCGGTCTCAGCTCACTGCAACCTCCGCCTCCTGGGTTCAAGCGATTCTCCTGCCTCAGCCTCCCGAGTAGCTGGGATTACAGGTGCCCGCCACCACATCCAGCTAATTTTTTTGTAATTTTAGTAGAGACGGGGTTTCACCATGTTGGCCAGGCTAGTCTCGAACTGCTGACCTCATGATCTGCCCACCTCATCCTCCTAAATTGGTATTTTTATATGTCCAAAAGAGTCAACTGGTGGCAATTTAGTGAGGTTTAATCTAATAGGAAATGATAGAGCTGGGATCGAACAGAGCTATGTGAACTCAAAACCTATGCTTCCCCTTCCACCTTTTCGAAAAACATTGTCTAGGCTGGGCACGGTGGCTCATGCCTGTAATCCCAGCACTTTGGGAGACGGAGGTGGGTGGATTACATGAGGTCAGGAGTTCGAGACCAGCTTGGCCAAAAATTAGCCAGGCGTGGTGGTGCGCGCCTGTGGTTCCCACTGAAGCACAGGAGGCTGAAGCACAAGAATCACTTGAACCCGGGAGGCAGAGGTTGCAGCAAACCGAGATCGCACCACTGCACTCCAACCTGGGTAACAGAGAGACTCTGTCTCGAAAAAAAAAAAATTGTCTACATGCTGGTTGCAGAAAATTTAAACACTAAAACTAAAAAAGTAAAACATCTCCCAAAGTTAGAGACAATATTCATGATGGGAAAAAAAAAATTCTTCAAGATTTCTCTCTCTCCAGTCATTTATTCATGTGCGAAAACAGTTGGTGATTATTGATAAGAAGAGGGAGGGCAGATGGTGTGGTAGTCCAAGGCACAGGCTCCAGCAGATTATCTAGGTTTAAATCTTGGCTGTAGGCCAGGCCCTGTGGCTCATGTCTGTAATCCCATCACTTTGGGAAACCGAGGTGGGCAGATCACTTGAGGTCAGGAGTTTGAGACCAGCTTGGCCAACATAGTGAAACCCCTTCTCTATTAAAAATACAAAAATTAGCCGGGCACGGTGGTGGGCACCTGTAATCCCAGCTACTTGGGAGGCTGATGCAGGAGAATCACTTGAACCCAGGAGGCAGAGGTTGCAGTGAGCCAAGATCTCGCCACTGTACTCCAGCCTGGGTGACAAGAGTGAAACTCTATCTCAAAATTAAAAAAAAAAAATCTTAGCTCTACCCACCGGGGCAAGTTACATAACGCCTCTGTGCCTTGGTTTTCATATCTGTAAAATGGTGACAGTAACAGCACCCATGTCAAAGTGTGGTTGTGAGAACGAAACAAGATAGTCTATGTAAAGTGATTAAAACAGCGTAGGCACATGGTAAACGCTTAGGAAATGTAGGCTGTTATAAAGCTCAGAGATGTTAAGTAACTAGATCAAGACCACACAGTTAGAGAGTGCCACAGTCTTGATTTGAACCCAAATTTGTCTCGTTCTGGAGCTCAAGCTGCTAACCCTTTTTCAAAACTGGAATTAAACCAAAGTGCTCACCCTCCGCTTTGCTGGGCCCCTCCCTGCCCTCAGGTGCATCTCTTCCACTCACCTGCCACAGCAGCCTCTGCTCAGGGTCTGAGACTGGGAAAGGTGAGGGCTACCCAGGTGGCCCTGATGTTTTCTGCCAGCCAGCTCACCAGGTCCCTCGCAGCAGGCGGCAAAGGGAGGGAGGTTTGCTGTGAAGATTATGTGGTTCCCAACAACAAGAGCACTGGGCCTATCTCTGCCCTCTCTTTTCTGTGTGTCCTGGGACAAGTCACTTGGCTTCTGTGGCTTTATTTTCTCATGTGCCCAGCCAGGGGGTTGGCCCTCATATGCAATAACAGCAGCAATGACCTTTACTGAGTGTCCATGTGCATCAAGCACGTGTACTTTACACTTGTTCTTATTATTAGGTTTAATAATAGAATAATTGCCACATTTACTGAGCACTCATTATGGGCCAGGCCCTGCCCTAAGTGCTTAATTAGCTTTAGCTCCTCTAATCCTTACCTTATCCCCACACGGCATGTTATGTTATCCCCATTATTCAGTTGAGAACATTGAGGCTCAAAGAGGCAAAGTAACTTGACCAAATACTTGTAAACGATCTTGCATGCCCCTTCCAGCTGCCATTTAGTAAGACTCTAATTTCATACCACCCTAAATCTCGTCTGCTTCCCCCTCCTCCTTCTCACCATCTCCCCACCGAGCAGTCGGCCAAGATCTGACCGTGATGGCGGCCCTTGGCTTGGGCTTCCTCACCTCAAATTTCCGGAGACACAGCTGGAGCAGTGTGGCCTTCAACCTCTTCATGCTGGCGCTTGGTGTGCAGTGGGCAATCCTGCTGGACGGCTTCCTGAGCCAGTTCCCTCCTGGGAAGGTGGTCATCACACTGTTCAGGTATTGGGATGGTGGCTGGATCACTTCTGGGTCATAGAGGGAATGGACCCCGAAAGGACAGGTTCCAGAAGATCTGGGATATTGCCCCCTCTCTGTCTAGCACCAGTGCTGTGCAATATTTAGGACATCCTTATGCTAAAAGATTATTCATTGTTTAAAATTCAAATTTAACTGGGCATCCTGTATTTTACTGGACAGCCCTACTCTGTGTATCACAAGGAATCCAGGCCTACATTCCTCCTGCATCCTTTCTTTCCTGTTATTGTCGATTATGATTTTGTAAAGTTACATAATCAGTATAAGTTTATGGAAAACGTAAGAAGGAAACACGTTAGACAGAGAGAAATAGACATGCCACACCTAGAGAGACATTCTATTTTTTTTTTTTCTTTTTTGAGACGGAGTTTCGCTTTTGTTGCCCAGGCTGGAGTGCAATGGCGCTATCTCGGCACACCACAACCTCAGCCTTCTGGGTTCAAGCGATTCTCCTGCCTCAGCCTCCTGAGTAGCTGGGATTATAGGCATGTGCCACCACACCTGGCTGATTTTGTATTTTTAGTAGAGATAGGGTTTCTCTGTGTTGGTCAGGCTAGTCTCAAACTCCTGACCTCAGGTGACCGGCCTGCCTCGGCCTCCCAAAGTGCTGGGATTACAGGCATGAGCCACCGCGTCCAGCCTGAGAGACATTCTCTTGAAAAGAAAGGACTTTCAGCCCCCTAAAGCTACTAGACAAGAAATAGCCATGCCTTTATTTTCATTAAATTACCTGTGCTTTGTTTAGATGCCTTTGTGTGAAATGCTAAGAACCATCACAACTAATGTATGGTGCCAGAAGTCAGAATAGTGGTTACCTGGGCAGGAGGTGGATATTGATTAGGAAGGAACACAAAATAGCCCCATGGGGTGCAGAAAATGTTCTCTGTGTTCACCTGGGTGATGATTACACATCAAGCTATACACATTTTAAAAGGGCATTGGCACTTAATAGAAGGAACTAGGCTAAATTTTTTCCTGAAACATTGTTTTGTTTTGTTCAAACCTCTGAATCTCTCAGCTCCCCAGATGATGGTAAACGTCATCCTAGGCATCTTAGGGACCTCTCAAGGCCTCTCAAGGCCATTCCAGCCTCCCCTTCTAAGACCCTGCTAAACCTCTGGGCACTGCTGTTAAACATTTCTCTATGAGCCAGGAACTGTGCTGAGCACTCCACAAATATTATTTTGTTTAACTCTTCCAGGTAGGGATCTAACCTGGTATACAGGTAAGGAAGTGGAAGCTCAGAGAGGGCAAGGCACTTGCCTAGGGCCACACAGCTAAGTGGTGGAGATGGCTCTAACTTTTTTTTATAACCTTTTCCACATGCTCCAGAGTGGTCAGAACATGAAACACAGTCTAGCCAGCTCCTGACTGGCCCTAGAGGAAAAAAACTGTATGTATTTTTCTTTTTTAAAAGGTTTAGAGGCTGGGCATGGTGGTTCACGCCTGTAATCCCAGTACTTTTGGGAGCTGAGGTGGGCAGATCACTTGAGCCCAGGAGTTTGAGACCAGCCTGAGCAACGCAGTGAGACCCTGTCTCTGCAGAAAATAGAAAAATCAGCTAGGCGTGGTGGTGTGCACCCACAGTCCCAGCTACTTGGGAGGCTGAGGCAGGAGGATCACCTGAACCCAGTGAGGCTGAGGCTGAGTGAGCCATGATCGTGCCACTTTACTCCAGCCTGGACAACAGAGTGAGACCCTGTCTCAAAAAACAGTTTTAGGGGCCGGGCGCGGTGGCTCATGCCTGTAATCCCAGCACTTTGGGAGGTGGGGGTGGGCAGATCATGAGGTCAGGAGATGGAGACCATCCTGGCTAACTCGGAGAAACCCTGTCTCGACTAAACATACAAAAAATTAGCTGGGCGTGGTGGCGGGCGCCTGTAGTCCCAGCCACTCGGGAGGCTGAGGCAGGAGAATGGCGTGAACCTTGGAGGCGGAGTTTGCAGTGAGCCGAGATCGTGCCACTGCACTCTAGCCTGGGCGACAGAGCGAGACTCTGTCTCAAAAAAAAAAAAACCAAAAACAACAGTTTTAGGCCAGGCGCGGTGGTTCATGCCTGTAATCCTAGTACTTTAGGAGGCCTAGACAGATGGATTACCTGAGGTCAGGAGTTCGAGACCGACCTGAGCAACATGGTGAAATCCTGTCTCTACTAAAAACACAAAAATTAGCTGGGCATTGTGGCAGGCACCTGTAATCCCAGCTACTTGGGAGGCTGAGGCAGGCGAATCACTTGAACCCGGGAGGCGGAGGCTATAGTGAGCCGAGATCGCGCCATTGCACTGTAGCCTGGGCGACAGAGTGAGGCTCCGTCTCAAAAACAAAACAAAACAAAAACCATCTTAGAGTTAATTCCCACCGGGATTCAATACACACACACACACACACACACACACGCACGCACGCACGCACGCCCGCATACACACACTGCATCCACCTGGAAAGTGACAAAGGGCACCCTGGGGGGAATTCAAATGGTGGTGGCCCTGGTTTGGTGTTGCTGCCTTAGCTTAAGGTCACACCAGCCTTCAGCCTCCTGCCCCACAGTCTAGGGCTGCTCCCTTCATCTGATGTCCACAGGGACCTGTTCATTCTTGACTCAATCCAGGAAGATGAGAAGGGAGAGAAGTCACTCGCAGCCTGAGTGAACTCCCTTGCTCCACCCCTGACTGCTTGGATCCCCCTAGGGGTGACCCCTGCTGAAACTGGCTCCTTCCTGACCGGTTCCCGTCAGGGCTGTGCTGATGGGTGGTGCCCAGGCCTGCCCCTGGGGACGGGGTACTCTCCCTTGGCAACACTCCAGCTTGTGCCACTTGACTTGGGACTGATTTGGTTCTGTTTTGAGTCCCTTCAGGGGAGGGGCCTATCTTATTCAACGTTGTTGTTTGTTTTCCTCACATACTGATAACTTAGCAAATGGCTATTGGAACAAAAATGAAAATAAATGGAACCCTGAAGTGGGATGTTTTAAATTTTTATTTATTATTTTTTTAGAGACAGGGTCTTGCTCTGTTGCCCAGTCTGGAGTGCAGTGGTACAATCATAGCTCACTGCAGCCTCTGCCTCCTGGGCTCAAGTGATCCTCCCACCTCAGCCTCCTGAGTTAAATTTTTTTACAGACGCCTGCTACCATGCCCGGCTAATTTTTGTGTTTTTAGTAGAGACGGGGTTTCACCAGGTGGGTCAGGTTGGTCTCGAACTCCTGACCTCAAGTGATCCACCCGCCTAGGCCTCCCAAAGTACTGGGATTACAGGCGTGAGCCACTGTGCCCGGCCTAAAACTGTGTTTGAGACAGGGTCTCACTCTGTTGTCCAGGCTGGAGTGAAGTGGCATGTTCATGGCTCACTCAGCCTCAGCCTCACTGGGTTCAGGTGATCCTCCTGCCTCAGCCTCCTAAGTAGCTGGGACTATGGGTGCACACCACCACGCCTAGCTGATTTTTCTGTCTTCTGCAGAGACAGGACCTCACTGTGTTGCTCAGGCTGGTCTCAAACTCCTGGGCTCAAGTGATCTGCCCACCTCGGCTCCGAAAAGTACTGGAATTACAGCCTCCTGAGTAGCTGAGACCACAGGCACACACCACCACGCCTAGCTTTTTTTTTTTTTTTTTTGCTTTTTGTAGAGATGGAGTCTCACTATGTTGCCCAGGCTGGTCTCAAACTCCAGGCCTTAAGCAATCCTCCCACCTCAGCCTCCCAAAGTGCTAAGATTACAGGTGTGAGCCACCATTCCTGGCCTTAAAAGTGTGATATTTTTAATGTATTTTGAAATCTGCAGGACTCTCCCTAGAAGATAATAGCAATAACCAACTCCTTTATTGTGCTTGACGTATATCAACTCACTTTGCCCTTACCGTGGCTCCAGAGGCATTGGGTCCACCTTATAAATGGAGGCACCAAGGCACAGAGTGATTAAATAAGTTGCCCAGGATCACACAGCCAGAAAGTGTCTGAGTCAAGATTCCAGCCCAGGCAGCCTAGACCTGAGAGCACGCTCCTAACCACTGCACATCACTGTCTTAGCACCTCCTCAGCACAAACTGGCCCTTGAGGAATGAAATACCGCCGCCGGCACACACGCTCCTGAGTTAAGCCTTTGTCAATGAAATGAACACCCACTTAAAAGGAATAACCTGTCCAGGCACGATGGAACATTGAATAACCCCTTATTCTAAATTCCTGGTCCCTGTAAGACTCCTTCCCCATGCCCTTGCCCTTTTATGACCTTCCCCTAAAGTCCTTGAGGCTTAAGCGGGCATAGTCTGCAGCAAACACTGGGGAAGCTGAGTCCAGACTTCAGAGCACAGGCTTTGGATCTAGGCCAGCTGGATTTGAACCTCACATTTGTGATCAGCTGGCATGACTGTTTCCAAAAAGTCCATTTTAATCCTCTACGTGACCCTCTGTAAAATGGGGATACTGAACGGTGAGCTAGCACGATTTTACAGAGAGTGAATTTTTTTTTTTTTTTTTTTTTGTGAGACAGAGTCTTACTCTGTCGCCCAGGCTGGAGTGCAGTGGTGCAATCTCGGCTGACTGCAACCTCTGCCTCCCGGGTTCAAGCGACTGCCATGCCTCAGCCTCGAGAGTGGCTGGGATTACAAGCATGCACCACCATGCCCGGGTAATTTTTGTATTTTTAGTTGAGACAGAGTTTCACCATGTTGGCCAGGCCACTCTTGAACCCCTGGCCTCAAGTGATCCACCTGCCTTGGCCTCCCAAAGTGCTGGGAGTACAGGCATGAGCCACTGCGCCCAGCCTTATAGGGTTAAAATTTAAAAGAGGTGATGCTGTTACAAGCCTGTTTTACAAAATGCTCTTATAATAAATCATTATCATCACTGTTGCTGTGGTTGTAGCATCATCATCATTAACTCCCAGAGGGAGGAGGGAGTCTCAGAGCAAGCTGCTCAGGGGAGACTGGATGTCCATGGATTGTCCAGCTCAGTACCACTTCCTCCAGGAAGTCCTCCCTGATAAGTCCAGTCAGCATCACCCTCTCCTTCCAATGAACCCCACTAGCCTTGTGATATCACAGATATTCTTAGTTGACAGGCTCATGGTGTATGTAGCCTGTCTAGATCATAAGTACATTTTTTTTTTTTTTGGATCATAAGAACCTTCAAGACCAAAATAATTTTCTCCTCCTGAGCATGCTCATTGGTCAAGGGAAGGAAGGAATCGTAATAGTGTTAATAAGGCTAGTGTCTTTTCAGGAGTTGGTTCTTTGTGCCAGTCTTGGTGCTAGACACACCGATAGGAAGAATACTCCTTCACATCCCCAGGACACCAACATGGGATACGTTTGATCATCATTCTTAATTTGCAGAAGGAGAAATAGGCTCAGTGAGATGAAATAGCCACTCCAGTGGCAAGGCTGGGACTGGAAGCCGGGCTTGTCCTGATTCCAAATCCAGTTTCTTTCCACTGCCACGGAGAGGGAGAGAAGGGACAGTGGCCCCAGATGAGGATGGGGTGACTGGATGTGGGCAGGCCTGCGGGGGAAGAGTGCCCTCTGTTGAGCATCCGAATGATGGCAGCAGAAAAGAAGACTGGGCAGAATCCCAGTTATCAGATCCCCTGAGGGAACAGTCACCCCGATCACCCTCAGTCAGATGAGTGTGTGTAGATCAATGCCTCATAGATGAAGGCACTGAGGCACAGAGTGGTTAAGTCATCTGCCAGACCACATGGCTCAGGGTGCAGAGGCCACCTTAACGGGAGAAGAGATGGTCACTCCACTCTGCAGCATCAGCGCCCAGGTGGGTAGAAATCTTGTCTTCTATTTCCACAGAAAGTAAGGTGCCCAACAGTGTTTGTTGAATGAATGAATGAATGAATGAATGAGTGAGAGGCATCCTTCCTTCTCAGTCATCCTGGCTCTCCTTCTCACCCCCAGTATTCGGCTGGCCACCATGAGTGCTATGTCGGTGCTGATCTCAGCGGGTGCTGTCTTGGGGAAGGTCAACTTGGCGCAGTTGGTGGTGATGGTGCTGGTGGAGGTGACAGCTTTAGGCACCCTGAGGATGGTCATCAGTAATATCTTCAACGTGAGTCATGGTGCTGGGAGGAGGGACCTGGGAGAAAAGGGCCAAAAGCTCCATTTGGTGGGGCTTCCGGGGTTTTGAAAAATAAAGACAACCTGTAATCCCAGCTACTTGGGAGGTTGAGGAGGGAAGATCACTTGAGGCCAGGAGTTTGAGACCCGCCTGGGCATCATAGCAAGATCCTCATCTCTAAAAAGTAATTTTTTCTAAATTATCCAGTTGTGGTGGCATGCACCTGTAGTGTCAGTTACTCAGGAGGCTGAGGTGTGAGTTGGAAGGATTGCTTGAGCCCAGGAGTTAGAGATGAACCTGGGCAATATAGCAAGACCTCATCTCTAAATAAATAGGTAGGTGGATAGATAGATAGATAGATAGATAGATAGATAGATAGACAGACAGACAGACAGACAGACAGACAGACAGGCTGGGTACAGTGGCTCACACCTGTAATCCCAGCACTTTGGGAGGCCAAGGAGGGCAGATCACCTGAGGTCAGGAGTTCAAGACCAGCCTGGTCAACATGGGGGAACCTCATCTCTACTAAAAATACAAAATTTAGCTGCGCATGGTGGCAGGTGCCTGTAATCCCAGCTACTCAGGAGGCTGAGGCAAGAGAATCGCTTGAACCCGGAGGGTGGAGGTTGCAGTGAACTGAGATCGCGCCATTGCACTGCAGCCTGGGGGACAAGAGCAAGACTTCATCTCCAATAAAAAAAAAAGAAAAAAGAAAAGAAAAGATTGATAGATAGATAGATACCCAAATGAGGTTACAAAAGTGTGGTCTGTGCAAATGTTTAAACACAACAAACCAGTGCCTTTAACTACTACAGTATAATCCTGTAGGATTGTGCTATTCATGATGTAATTATGGTTGTATAAAAGTAATTAATTCTCAGAGCCTCACCAGCAGTGGGTCCAGCAAGTTTGTACAGCCAGCATCTTCTTTCAGTCAGTGCGTGTCAGTAACTGCACATGTCCTCTCATTGGGAGAGCCTGTCGAAAGTCTAAGTTTGAAGGCAGCTGTGAAGGTAAGGCCAATCCAAATGGCTCTCCCAGCTCCTCTGCTGTAACCCTGACCCTGAGTGAGGACATAGCCAACCTTCCCATCTCATAGGTGAGAAGGCTGATGCCTGGAGAGGGGAAGGGACTGCCCAAGATCACATAGCAAGATAGTGGCAGAACCCAAGCGAGAACCCACAGTTCCAGCCTGGCTTAGAAGAAAGTGCACTGGACTTGGAGTCAAAGGCTGGGGTGTGCATCCCAGCTCTGCCATAAATCCCTGTGTGACTCTGGGCAATTTAACCTCTTAGAGCTTTAGTTTCTTCGTCTGTAATATGAGGGTAGCAGTAC
This sequence comes from Homo sapiens, assembly GCF_000001405.40. Classification (NCBI taxonomy): domain Eukaryota; kingdom Metazoa; phylum Chordata; class Mammalia; order Primates; family Hominidae; genus Homo; species Homo sapiens. The sequence continues at coordinate 25,401,248 of NC_000001.11, read as the reverse complement.
TACCACATAGGGTTTTGAGGGAGTAATTGAATTAATCACATGAAATGATGCACGTTTACAAAAAAAAGCATGAAGCCCCTTTACTGTGCCTCAGTATCCCAAAGGACTTTGGATTTACTCTGAGAAATACAGGGAGAACTAGGGAGTGTTGGGCAGAGGAGAGCTATGATCTGACTTATGTTTTAAGATACTCTGGCTTCTGGGTTCAGAAAAGACTGAAGGGGCAAGAGAGGAAGCAGGTGGAGACCAGAGCAGCAGTGATGGCCATCATCCAGACTCAGACTAGGACAATAGCTGTGAGGGTGGTGGGAAGTGATTGGATCCTGACTATATTTTAATAGCAGAATTGACAGGATTTGCTGATAGACTGCACGTGGGGTGGGAGAGGGTCAAGATGACTTCAAGGTTCTCATCTGGCACAACTCAGCAGCTGCTGGTGCCATTTACTGAGATGGGGAACATTGGGGTGGGATAGATCTGGGAGGGAAAACCCAGAGTTCAGTGTCGAATGTGGTAGCGTTAGGGTTAAGGTTGGGGCGGGTAGAGATGTGTATGAAACATCCCAGTGGAGACACTGAATGGAGATGTACAAGTCTGAAGCTTAGTGGAAAGGTTAGGGCTAGGGATATAAATTTGGGAGTTGTTACAATACAGATGGTGTTTAAAGCCATGAGACCCAAGGAGATCACTCAGGAGTGAGGATAAAGAGAGATGGGAAGAAGTCTGAGGACTGAGTCCTAGAACACCCTGCATTTTAGAGGGGGGACATGTGTAAGAGCCAGCAAAGGAGACAGAATTGTGCTTGGAGAGGCAGGAGGAAGCCCAGGAGAGCGTGAGGTCCTGGAAGGCAAGGAAAGAGAGGGCCCCAGGTGGGCTGAATGCTGCTGAGAGGTCAAGTCGGATGAGGGCTGGGAAGTAGCCATTGGATTTGACAAGGAGACCTTGGCATGCATGGTTGTAGAGGAGGATGAAGGCAAAAGCCTGGCTTGACTGATTCAAGAGCAGGAGATGAGAAAGTGGAGACAGCATGCAGGGGCAGCCCTGCCAAGGACTTTGCTCTAAAGGGGAACAGAGAAATGGAGGAGAAGCAGGAGGGCAATAATCCGATAGAGAGGAAAAATCTGATGATACAGAAGAGAGATGAACTGCAAGAGTCAAGCCTTTGAGTTGGAAAGCAGGAGTGGGATTTTGAGCACTGATACCTTTAGGCCGATGCAGGGACAGTTCATCTTTTTTAAAATTATTATTATTATACAACATTTTATTTAAAAATTTATTTTCACAGAATACATTTTCACATTAGAGATTCCCATTGTGCGAAAATAACAATTTATTACTTATAGTTTTATATTTGTGGACAGATTGTTTTAGAACAAGTAGAATACATTTGAGAATTAAATCTCAGTTTACAATGGGTAATATTTTGATACGTCTATGGGGAAACTTGCCCTTAAATGGAACTTCTGTATCTTCAGAAGCACTCCAAGCGTTTCTTCCTAGGATTTAGAAATTTATAATATGAGATATCAGCATTTCCTAATTTTAAAATTTCCCTAGTATATGTAACCATCGGTAGGTGGTATCTACCGACTAGAGAGGGAAGTTTTTGAAAATTAAACACTGTCTAATTTTCTGCAAAGTTTTTATTCATGAATTAAGAGTATTTCCCTTAGTCCATTATTCCCAAGGCAAATATGGAAGTTTGATCATATGCTAATCATACTAAAGCTGGATTCTCTTTAAGAGATTGAGAAATTAAAAGGCAAAAGCTGATATATCATGTTTAGTTATACTGTGAGTCTTATAAGAAGCTGGGAGGCAACCCCATTAACTCACCAGAATACAGAACTCAGTCTCACAACTTAAATATAATTCCTCTCAAACCTTTTCCTCAAAGTTAAATTCTGAAAATAATCTTGTGATTAAGAGAAGAAGGCTGTCCACCAATGGACTTATCTGTTATTTCTTCCTTATTGTGAGCTTAATGGCATGACAAAGCAGAGGCAAAGAGGCATACATCAATTCTTCAAAGTAGGAAGTCAAAAAGGTCAGAGCTTCCACAGCATGGCAACAGCTTTGCAGATGCCCACATCGTGATAGTTGAAATAGCAAAGCCCAGCAAAGGTTAAAGCTGAAAATGCCAAAAGCCCTGCCTTGGCAGCTTTCTGCGAGGCATCCCCATGAACATAGTCAGTAACAACTTGTCCAAGGCCCCAGTGACCATGAAGAGTGAGGGCTGCAGCCAGGGAATAGTCCGTCGCAGAGCAAGGATTCAAATAAGCAGCCGGAAGCAGACCCGGGAGCAAAACACTGACAACCCTCTCGCTAGTCCAGTGGAGAGATGCAGCCTTGGAGCCAGAATGGTGGCTCGGTGACAAGTGTATGTGCTGCACTCCACACCATTCTGGGATAGGTCGGTCCTGAAGAAATGCTGAGATATGAGCAGGTCTGACCACTGGAGTTCGCAGCAACAGAGCTCGGCCTCCTTGGGCACCGCAAACGGCACTCAGCCTCCAGAGAACCGCCATCTCGTTCCTGAGGCGGAGAGTTCATCTTAACGAGAGAAATGGCAGGGACTGTGAATAGGCCGGCAGATTTGGTGGCGGGTGCCACAGGTTCAGTCTCCTGCAGGGAGAGGAGAAAATGCCTTACTAATTCCTTGTATTTTCTCAGAGAAACAAGAGGCACCGTCATCAGCCTCATGTGAGGGTGGGAAGGAGGGATGGGGTTTGCGGAGAGGGAAAGTGTGGTATGGTCATCTGTGGGAGTGGAAGAGAGTGAGAGGGCTGCAGGGGTGCAGCGGGACTGCAGGCTGGCACCAGGGTCCCTAGGGCTTGTAGTTGGTGGAAAGTGCATCAGTGACCAGGGCTGTGTGCAGCTGCTCCAGGCAGGTGTGGAAGAAGCAGAGTTGAACTTGCCCAGCCTGGAGTGCTGCCCAGAGTGAGCCCAAAGCCCAAGGGAGACCAGAGATGGGGCTGTTTGCAAAGGAGGAAGTATAACAGTAGCCCACAAAATCTGAGCTGGTTAAGAAAGGAGAGAGAGTGAAAATGGGGAGCCCAGCCTGGCAGCCTGGGTACACATCTCAGCTCAACCCACACTAGCTGAATCCATTTGGGCCCCTTCGTTGACCTCTCTGTGCCTCAGTTTCCCTATCTATAGAATGGGGATAAGAATAAGGCTACTTCCTAGGGCTGTTGTGAGGATTGAACAAGTGACCGAACACTTGTTCAATTTTGAATACTGTTCTAAAGCATTTAGGACAGTGCCTGGCATGGGGTAAGTGTTGCGGCAGTGCTGTTATTTTCATCATCACCATTGTTCTCAGGCTGCGTTGATTGGAGCTGCTGAAGGGAGGCAATTTAAGGAAGTGAGCCGGACAGATAGGAGGTGGTGGTGGTTATCAGGTGCGATGCTTGAAACTGAGGCTTCGGAGGCAACAGTTACTGGTAATGACAAGGTCTAAGGCTTGACAGTGGGTGGCAGAAGTGTAACGCAGGGAAAGAGACGAGCGGTCAAGGAGCCGAGAGGGAAGGAGTTGGGTGGACTAAGATCATTTGTGGAAGAATGATGGAGAGAAAGGCTGAAGGGCAGGAACTGACATCATCAGTGACCAAGGGGCGGCCAGGAGGCTGAGACCGCAGCAAGAAAGGGAGAGTGTGATGGCATCTTCTTCAAGGGAGCTGGGGATGTTTGGGGTGGAAAAAAGAACAATGGTCTGGGAGGGAATATGGGAAGTTTTTTTTTTTTTTTTCAGATGGAGTTTCGCTGTTGTCACCCAGGCTGGATGGCAATGTTGCAATCTCGGCTCACTGCAACCTCTGCCTTCCAGGTTCAAGTGATTCTCCTGTCTCAGCTTCCCGAGTAGCTGAGATTACAGGCACACACCACCACGCCTGGCTTACTTTTGTATTTTTAGTAGAGACGGAGTTTTGCCATGTTGGCCAGGCTGGTCTCAAACTCCTGACCTCAGGTGATCCACCCGCCTTGGCCTCCCAAAGTGCTGGGATTAGAGGTGTGAGCCACCGCGCCCAGCCTGGAAGTTTGTATTTATTAATTTTTGGTTGTCTTCATCTGTGTATGTGACTTTAACCCCTAAATACTTCAGTGTACATTTCTTTTTTTTTTTTTTTTTTTTTTGAGACAGAGTCTTGCTCCATCACCCAGGCTGGAGTGCAGTGGTGTGATCTCGGCTCACTGCAACCTCCGCCTCCTGGATTCAAGCAATTCTTGTGCCTCACCCTCCCGAGTAGCTGGGATTAGGGGCATGCCACCATGCCCAGTTAATTTTTGTATTTTTAGTAGAGATGGAGTTTCACCATATTGGCCAGGCTGGTCTTGAGCTCCTGGCCTCAGTTGATCCACCTGTCTCAGCCTCCCAAATTGCTGAGATTACAGGCGTGGGCCACCATAACCGGCCTCAGTGTATATTTCTGATGCAGTTGGGTTCTGTATCCCCCTCCAATCTCATCTCGAATTGTAATCTCCACGTGTTGAGGGCAGGACCTTGTGGGAGGTGATGGGATCACAGGGGTGGTTTCCCCCATGCTGTTCTTGTGACAGTGAGTGGGTTTTCAGGAGAGCTGATGGTTTGAAAGTGTGGCACTTCCTCTCTCTCTTTCTCTCTCTCTCTCACCTGCCACCACGTAAGATGTGCCTTGCTTCCCTTTCACCTTCCACCATGATTGTAAGTTTCCTGAGGCCTCTCCGGCCATGCCAAACTGTGAGTCAATTCAGCCTCTTTTGTTTATAAATTACGCAGTCTCAGGAAGTATCTTTATAGCAGTGTGAAAACAGACTAACACAATTTCCTAAAACAAGGGGACATTCTCTTACATAACCATTGTTCAGTTAACAAAAATGAGAAATTGACATTGATATATTATGATTACCTTATTCTCATTTCACCAATTTTTTCAATAATATCCTTTCTAGAAAAAAATACATATTTTTTGTGGTCGAGGATTACATCTTGCATTTAGTTCTCATGTCTTATTAAATTCCATCAATCTGGAACAGTTTCTTCATCTTTCTTTATCTTTCATGACCTTGACATGTTTTGAAGTTTCGAGCCAGTTCTTTTGTAGAATGTGGGTTTGTCTGCTGTTCCTCATGATTAGATTGTGGGTATGCATTTTTGGTAGGAATTCTCCAAGAGCCGTGTGTGCCCTTCTTAGTATATCATATCAGAAGACATGCTATCAATTTGCCCCATTACTGGGTGTGTTAACTGTGATCATTGGGTTAAGATGGTACCTGCCAGGATCTTCCACTGCAAAGTTACTATTTTCCCCTTTGTAATTAATAAACATCTTGTGAGGAGATAATTTCCTATAGAAATCCTGTTGATCATCCAACTTTCACCCACTGATTTTAGTGTTCATTGATTCTTCCCTGAATAAATTAGTACTATAATAATTGCCAATGGTGGTTTTCTAATTCCATCTTTCCTTCAATAGTTGGCATTCTCCTGTAAGGAAAAGCTTTCGCTTCTCTGTTCATCCACTCATCTATGTATTTGTTTATATTACCATGGACTCCTGGATTCCGGTTTACACACTTCCATTTTCTGCCTTTTCTCTCTGCTTAATATAAGGATTAATGAGAACTCCCTGATTCCCAGGAAGAAAATGTCACCAGAGCTTTCTTAGGTGGAATGAAGAGAATTCAGTGTAAGAACCATAAAGGTGTATCTGTGTAGTATGGACAGTTTTAAAAAACAAACAAACAAAAAGAACCTCCAAGGGCAGGAAGTGCTGCCAGACTCAGGAGGGCACTAGAACTGACTATGAGAAGCCACTGAGATCCCAGGTAGTCTGTGCTCTCCATCTTTTGGCTCTGATTCTCTCTGTACATCTAACATCTCTGTACACCAGCTTTCTCTTTAGCGAAAAACGTGTCCCCTCCACCCACCCATCCACCTCCACTTGTTCCTGCATTTCTATGTCCCAGATCCTGCAGAAAACAACTCTTTTCTCTCAGTTAGTCTCAATTCTGTAGTCCAGGGAGAGAGAATCTGATCAGTCCCCTGGGTCATTTTTCCACTCTGGTCCAAGCAGCTACAGCTGGCATGGGAAATAGTTCACACAGTAAAAACATGGCTGTCAAGAAGAGGAGTAAATTTCAGAGGCAGAACACTCCCTGTGAGCCCGAACCTCTTCCTGCTTTGTTGCAGTCTTCATAACGATTGCTTTAAAAGACTGCATTGATATAACATCATCTCTCTTCTCTGCATCTTTGACTTGCTAGCTTAACTGGTCTAGAGGAGGGCTTAGCACTGATTTTCAGTATTCATTTTCCTCAAAACTTCAATTCAGCCTGGGTTTCTTCAGCAGGAGGGCTCGGGGGAACCAGAGCCAGGGACCAGAGTCATTTCAGTGCACCAGCTCAAGAAATGAATATTCCAGGCCAAGAATCCCCAAGTGTTCTTTCTGAAGTCCTTCCTGGTGGAGCTCAAAGAGATGAAAAACGCAAGCCCGCTTTTCAGTTCTTATCAGGAAACTGCATAGACTTTCCTCTTTATGTATGACTGAGGGCTTTTTACCATCATTTGTTCACTTCACAGATATTTATTTGGTATTTACTATATACCAGGCACTCTTGTGGCAGTGGAAAATACAACTCTCGTGGAACATCTGTTCCAGAAGGAAAGACTGCCAATAAGCAATAAAATAGGCAAAAGATATAGCATGTTAGAGAGTGGTAAGTACCACAGAGAAAAATAAAATGGAGAAAAGAAACACGAAAAGTTGGGGAGAGAGGACAACTGTTTGAGGGGGTGGCCAGGGGCAGCTTCATCTCATCAAGGGGGTGATTTTTTTTGAGTACAGACCTGAAGGTAACGAGTGCACAAGCCACATGGGTACCTGAGAACAGCGGCAGAACAATGGCAGGGTGCTGGGAGGGCTATTTACCACCCATGCTGTTTAGAATTGTCAGCACATGGTGATAAAAAAAAAAATAGGCTGGGTGCGGTGGCTCATGCCTGTAATCCCAGCGCTTTGGGAGGCCAAGGCGGATGGATCACTTGAGGTCAGGAGTTCGAGACCAGGCTGGGGAACATGGTGAAACCCCGTCTCTACTAAAAATACAAAAATTAGCCGGGCACAGTGGTGGGCGCCTGTAATCCCAGCTACATGGGAGGCTGAAGCAGGAGAATCGCTTGAACCCAGTGGGTGAAGTTTGCAGTGAGCCAAGATGGCACCACTGCACTCCAGCCTGGCGACAGAGCGAGACTCCGTCTCAAAAATAAATAAATAAATAAATAAAAATAAAAAGCAGACAGACTTTTTAGTTGGCTTTAGAATTGTTAGACACCCTCTGCAGACAAGGCACCCCGATTGCTTGCACCCAGGGTGGACTACTCCCTCCATCCTGCCCTTGTTACACCCTGGCTGGGGGTCAGCATTTCAGGCAGCTGAATGACCCAAAGTGGGAACACGCTAGTGGGTTTGAGGATGAGCAAGTGGAGGAGTGCAATAGGAGGTGACGCCCGAGAGGTCAGGTGAGAGTGGATCCTGCAGGGTCGTGGCAAGAACCTGGACCTTGACTTTGAGTGACATGGGAGCCGCTGGAGGCTTCTGAGCAGAGGAGTAACATGATCTGACTTGCATTTTATTTTATTTATTTATTTGACGCAGTCTCACTCTGTCGCCGAAGCTGGAGTGCAGTGGCGCCATCTCAGCTCACTACAGCCTCTGCCTCCCAGGTTCCAGTGAATCTCCTGCCTCAGCCTCCCAGGTAGATGGGATTACAAGCAAGCATCACCACGCCTGGCTAATTTTTGTATTTTTAGTAGAGACAGGGTTTTGCCATGTTGGCCAGGCTGGTATCGAACTCCTGACCTCAGGTGATCCACCCACCTCAGCCTCCCAAAGTGCTGAGATTACAGGCTTGAGCCACCACGCCCGGCCTGACTTGCATTTTAACAGGGTCACTCTGTCTGCTGTGTGGAGAACAGTCCGCAGGAAGACAAGGGTGGAAATGGGGAGACCAGTTAGGAGGTTACTGTAACAATTTGGGGTAGCGGTGATGGTGGCTTAAACCAAGATGGGGTCAGTGGGAAATGGTGCTAAAAATCCTGCCAATTCTGGGTATTTTTAGAAAGCACAGCTGACAGCTTTCTCCAGTAGCCCACTAAATAAGTTATGAAGCATTACTAAAATGTGATAGTCATGATGCAAAATTAGAATATATCTAGAATCTCCCGAAGACCTTAGTTTGGTATTACAAGAAGTCTGGTTGCTTCATGTTGCAAAATTTATATCACTCATCACTCCTGCAGAGTTAAAATTCCGCTGAGAAGTAGGAATCAGTGAAGTGCGTGTCCATGTGGGTTTTTGCCACACCTAAGTGAACCTTGGTCAAAAGCATATAAGAGCTACTGATAGGCCGGGCGTGGTGGCTCATGCCTGTAATCTCAGCACTTTGGGAGGGAAGGATCTCTTGAGCCCAGGAGTTCGAGACCAGCCTGAGCAACATAGTGAGATTCCATCTTTACACAAAATTTAAAAATTGGCCAGGCATGGTTGTGCACTCCTGTAATCCCAGCTACTTAGGAGGCTGAGGTGGGAGGATTGCTTGAGCCTGGGAGTTGGAGACTACAGTGAGCTGTGGCCACACCACTGCACTCCAGCTTGAGCAATGGAGCAAGACTCTGTCTCAAAAAAAAAAAAAAAAAAAAAAAAAAGAGGCCGGGCACAGTGGCTCATGCCTGTAATCCCAGCACTTTGGGAGGCCGAGGCGGGTGGATCGCCTGAGGTCAGGAGTTTGAGACCAGCCTGGCAAACACGGTGAAACCCCATCTCTACTAAAAATACAAAATTAGCCCAGCGTAGTGGCGCATGCCTGTAATCCCAGCTACTAGGGAAGCTGAGGCAGGAGAATCGCGTGAACCTGGGAGGCAAATGTTCCAGTGAGCCGAGATCGTGCCATTGCACTCCAGCCTGGGCAAAGCCTGCTGGGTTGGGCTGGGTAAGCTCTGAACACCAGTCTCGTGGCTTCAAGTCACACCTCCTAAGTGAAGCTCTGAACTTTCTCCAAGGACCATCAGGGCTTTCCCCTGGGCAGAGGATGCCGACACTCACTGCTCTTACTGGGTTTTATTGCAGACAGACTACCACATGAACCTGAGGCACTTCTACGTGTTCGCAGCCTATTTTGGGCTGACTGTGGCCTGGTGCCTGCCAAAGCCTCTACCCAAGGGAACGGAGGATAATGATCAGAGAGCAACGATACCCAGTTTGTCTGCCATGCTGGGTAAGGACAAGGTGGGGTGAGTGGTCTCATACTTGGGCTGAGCAGAATGGCTCAGAAAAGGCTCTGGCTGAAAAAATCTCCCTCCTTTACCAACTTCCCCTGGGTGTCTGAAGCCCTTCCATCATGATTCACTTCTTTGAGTAGTGTTTGCTAAATTCATACCTTTGAATTAAGCACTTCCTTTTAGGGACCTCTCTTCATTAATATCCACTAGAAAGGAGAGACTCATTATGTGTGAGTTTCAATAAGTTTATCCAATCCCTTTGTTTTCAACTGAAAGGAGGGAAACGGACAAGTGAAGAAGGTAGGGCCCAGGAGTGAAGGAACAAGGGTGGGAATAGTAATAATGTTGTACTTTGAAAATCTACTGGGAAAATGATGAACTTAGACTGCTGGGAGAGGCTAATAGAAAATCGGGCAGTGAGCTTGATAGTAGGCAAAGGACTATCAGGCCACGGGGTCAAGTTAAAGCAGCACATTCATTAAAAAAAAAAAAATAAGCGTTTGGGCCAGGCGTGGTGGCTCAAGCCTGTAATCCCAGCACTTTGGGAGGCCAAGGTGGGTGGATCACCTGAGGTCAGGAGTTCGAGACCAGCCTGGCCAACAGGGCGAAACCCCATCTCTACTAAAAATACAAACAAATCAGCTGGGCATGGTGGTGCACGCCTGTAATCCCAGCTACTTGGGAGGCTGAGGCAGGAGAATCTTTTGAATCCAGGTGGTGGAGGTTGCAGTGAGCCAAGATCGCGCCACTGCACTCCAGCCTGGGCAACAGAGCAAGAGTCCATCTCAATTAAAAAGAAAAAAAAATTAAAATAAGCATTTGACCATCACAGAGCAGGTTCAGGAGGCCTGGGGTATGCAGATTTCAACCCTCTTGGCCTTTGTTTCCTTGTCTGTAAAATGTGGTTAGCTGGTATCAGCTTGAGAGCTCGGAGGGGAGACGTGACTTCCCCATCTAACTCTAAGTGACAAGGCTGAGACTCTCCAGCCCTAGGATTCTCATCCAAAACCCCTCGAGGCTCAGACCTTTGGAGCAGGAGTGTGATTCTGGCCAACCACCCTCTCTGGCCCCCAGGCGCCCTCTTCTTGTGGATGTTCTGGCCAAGTGTCAACTCTGCTCTGCTGAGAAGTCCAATCCAAAGGAAGAATGCCATGTTCAACACCTACTATGCTCTAGCAGTCAGTGTGGTGACAGCCATCTCAGGGTCATCCTTGGCTCACCCCCAAAGGAAGATCAGCATGGTGAGCAGGGCGCTGCCCTTGGGCAGCACTTGGGTCTAACAGGACTAGCACACATATTTATGCCCCTCCCCACCCCAGGGCCAGCGTGGGTTGGGAGAGGGCATGCCGGGTGGTGGAGCTGTGCCTGCCTCTACAGTGGAGCTCTAGGAAGAATGCTGGGTGGTCACAGGGGGCCTGGGACTCAGGAGACTGTCCAGTGATCAAAGGCTTTCTGGGGGGAGTGATTAAATCCATCCATGCTAACATGAAACAGACCTGAGTTTGAACCCCGTTTCTGCTAGTTGCTCAAGTCAGTCACCATGAGCGAGAGTCAGCAGCAACAGACTAGACTAGAATTAGCCAGCCTCTCTCTTCCCCCCAACAAATTTCAAGAATGGAACCATCAGAATCAGAAGTAGAGAAGTATGTGACACTAGCCATGTGGCTCTGGTCAAGCCACTTCAACGTTTTGAGTCTCAGTGGCCTCATCTGTAAAGTGAGAATTAAGAGATGGTGCATGTAAAGTGCTTAACGGGGAGTAAATGGTAGGCAAACATTAGCTGCTGCTATTAGTACAGAGAGACAATGGTGTGTGTGAGTCTTGTGGGCAGAGATGGGTGAGAGGGGAGACAAAACAAGTTCTCATGATGATGGGGGCAGGGGGTCCAGCTGGTGGTGTCGGAGGGAAGTCTGGACAGACCAGTGGTGGGGCTCGGGTGGGAGGCACTGGGGGGGCTGGAGTGGAAAGAATGTGGCCACAGATGACAGCTTCACAGCAGAATTCAGTGCTAAGAGGAAGTGAGTGGCCATGAGTTCCATGGTGACAGAAAGTCTAAGACACCTAGCAAGGCAGGAGTGGGTGTCAGCTCAGGGAAGCTCAGAGGCTAAACCTAGGTGAGAGCTGAGGGTGTCAGATAAGAGCAAGGCAAGGCTCCGGTTCTGGAGTAGTGAAGGACATAGCAGAGCTATAACCCAGGAACAAGGCCCAGCTTATTGGAACTGGGACCAGTCACACAGGGTGGCACAGGCACCAAGTAGCCAATAATAATAATAAAAACAATAACAATGATTTATGTCTATTGGGCATTTATTCATGTTCTATGCCAGACACTGGACTAAGAGCTTTATATGTGGAAACTCATTTAATCCTTACAATAACCTTATGAAGAAGGTACATCCAAAACCCCATTCTTCTAGGCCAGGTGCAGTGGCTCACACCTGTAATCCCAATATTTTGGAAAGCTGAGGCAAGAGGATTGGTTGAGGCCAGGAGTTCAAGACCAGCCCAGGCAACATAGCAAGACCCTGTCTCTAAAAAATAAAACAAAAACCCATTCTTCCCGCTGTCCAGGGACACACCACTAATGAGTGTGATGGGTGCCTAGGATGCTGAGCACCTGGACTTCCCAGCTCATTCCCTAAATGCTGCACAATCAGGGTAACTGTGCCCTGAGCCTAAGAGGCAGTAGTGAGCTGGCCCACCGTGTCCACTGATGAAGGACACGTAGCCCCAACACAGGGGAGAGGTGGTTTCAGGATCAGCAAAGCAGGGAGGATGTTACAGGGTTGCCTTGTTCCCAGCGTGCTGGTCACTTGCAGCAAGATGGTGTTCTCTCTCTACCTTGCTTCCTTTACCCACACGCTATTTCTTTGCAGACTTATGTGCACAGTGCGGTGTTGGCAGGAGGCGTGGCTGTGGGTACCTCGTGTCACCTGATCCCTTCTCCGTGGCTTGCCATGGTGCTGGGTCTTGTGGCTGGGCTGATCTCCATCGGGGGAGCCAAGTGCCTGCCGGTAAGAAACTAGACAACTAATGCTCTCTGCTTTGGCTGAAGGCCAGCAGGACGCTGGGACCTGATGGGCCACTGTGCAGTGCACAGCTGCATTAGGCAGGTGTTGGTGCATTCTCTTATTGGCTTCAACGCCTAGCGAGGGATCCATCCTGGCTCGGTGGCACATTTGTTAAGATGCTGGGGAGCAGGTGGCAGAACCCATTTGAGCTTGCTTGGGCACTGGGGAGAATTTGTTACCAGGCTACAGGGGTGTCACAGAACTCAAGGACAGGGACTGGAGTGTTGTGGGGAGCCCAGAAGCCCCTGTTTTACTTCTTTCTTTGCTTTTCCTGAATATCTGCTTTATTCTTACTCTATAGACCTGCTTCCTCCTCTTTCACCCCACATTGTGGGGTGTAGTCTTTTGCTTCAAGAAAGCAGCCTGGTGGATGGAATCTCTTGGCCCCAATCCCAAATTCTCTGGAGAAGGGGCTCTTTGGTTTAACTTGGATAATGTTGTCTTCAGCTGGGGGTGGGCACATCGTGCATATGTGGCTGCTGCCGGGGAACCACGTGGATGATGTGAGAGGAGCAGCACCCAGAAGAGGGAGTGCTGGGCTGATGGTCCAGGTCGTGTCCACTTCTGATTGTTTAATTCTTCTTCTAAGTGGATGGATCTTTCTCCAATACTCAGCAAATCCTGATCGTTCCAGAATACTTCATTATAGCCAATTGGTTATAATGTGCTTCTCTAAGAGAAATATTTAGGGACAACAAATCTTCATGGGTTTGAAGACTTGATGGAGGAAAAAGGAGTAGATTTTCGAAGGCTGGATTTGGATGAACAGGGGCTATTCAGGGAGTGCATTCCAACCTAAAATTAGGAAAAACTGGCTGGGCGCAGTGGCTCACGCGCTTTGGGAGGCCGAGGCGGGCAGATGGCCTGAGGTCAGGAGTTCAAGACCAGCCTGGCCAACATGGTGAAACCATCTCTACTAAAAGTACAAAAATTAGCCAGGCGTGGTGGCGGGCACCTGTCATCTTAGCTACTCAGGAGGCTGAGATGCGAGAATCACTTGAACCTGGGAGACAGAGCTTGCAGTGAGCCGAAATTGCGCCACTGCACTCCAGCCTGGGCGACAGAACAAGACTCTGTCTTAAAAAAAAAAAAGTGTTTTATATACAGAGTGGAATATTATTTAGCCATAAAAAGAATGAAATCCTGTCATTTGCAGCAACATGGATGGAACTGGAGGTCATTAAAAAATAAAATAAAATAAATAAGGAAAAACGTATCAATACTTCGATTGACCAAAACCAGGGCAAATCTGATTTTCATCTTTGCAAGGGGAACAAATTTCTTTTATCTCCTCTGGCTTTGAAACCCTGAAATGAAAGGAGGAAGGGCAGAAAAAAGAACACATAGCAAGTTACCATCAGGCTCAGCGCCCATCGCATTCCCTGAGCTTGTTTCCTTGACTTCATCACTGGCAGGACTATTCAAAAATGATTCCCTCATTCATTCATATATTCATTCATTCATCATTCCTTCATTCAACACATACGTTTTAACACTCATCTTGCTTTTCAAGCTATAGTTTAGTGAGCGAAATGGATACACAGAATACAGTGTGAGAACAGCTACAGGGCACATCTGAGCTAGCCTGGGATGGGTCCGGAAATGCTTCCTGGAGCAGAGGAAACGGTTGACAGCCAAGTGTTGACAGAGAAGTAGTATTAGCCAGGCAGAGACATGGGGAATGTATTCCAGGCAGAAGGCACAGTGTGTATGAAAGCTTATTGGTAAGAAGAGTGTGTGGCCCAACCAGGAAACAGACATTCTGAAGGCATAGGGTCCACCCAGGAGCATGGTGAACCCAGATCCCTGAAAGATGGGAGGTGCTCAGGCACACTTCCTGGGCTAGTTGAGGGGTCTGGATTTTTATTTACTTATTTTTTTATTTATTGAGACAGAGTCTCGTTCTGTCACCCAGGCTGGAGTGCAGTGGTGCAATCTCAGCTCACTGCAACCTCCACCTCCTGGGTTCAAGTGATTCTCCTACCTCAGCCTCCTGAGTAGCTGGGATTACAGGTGCCCACCACCATGCCTGGCTAATTTGTGTGTGTGTGTGTGTGTGTGTGTGTGTGTGTGTGTTTTGTTGTTGTTGTTGTTGTTGAGACGGTGTCTCGCTCTTTTGCCCAGGCTGGAGTGCAGTGGCGCCATCTTGGCTTACTGCAAGCTCTGCCTCCCGGGTTCACACCATTCTCCTGCCTCAGCCTCCTGAGTAGCTGGGACTACAGGCGCCCTCCACCACGCCCAGCTAATTTTTTGTGTTTTTAGTAGAGACGGGGTTTCGCCATGTTGGCCATGCTGGTCTTGAACTCTTGACTTCAGGTGATCCACCCACGTTGGCCTCCCAAAGTGCTGGGATTACAGGCATGAGCCACCGTGCCCGACCTGGATTTTTATTCTGAAGACTAATGGGGATCCTAAGGAAGGAACCAGCCTGACTGAATTTGCATATGTGTCCACATCTGCTGGCTCATGGCTGTGTGGGAGGCTGAGTGATGGGGAGGAAGGATTACTGAGTAGGGATCTAGAGGTGTGGCCTCATGCTTTCTTTCTAACCAGCTGTGTTGTCTTTGGGATGGTGCTTAAATTTGGGCTAGACCAGTGGGTCTTGGTCACCCCCCAGGGGACATCTGACAATGTCTGGAGGCGTTCTTGGTTGACACAGTGGGGTGAGGGCTGCTACTGGCAGCTCGTGGGGAGAGACCAGGAATGATGCTTAACATCCTACAGTGCACAGGGCAGCCCCCATCACAAGGAATTATCAGCTGAAATTGTGAATAGTGCCTACACTAGACCCTTGCTACTCATAGTGTGGTCCGTAGATGAGCAGCATTGGCATCACCTGGGACCTTGTTAGAAATGCTCTTAGACCCCACCCCACATCCACTAAAGCCAGCTCTTCATTTCAACAAACTCCCCATTGATGTGAGTACACATTCAAGTCTGAGAAGGGCTTCTTTGAGGTGAGCCTTAGTGCCCATCCCCATTTGGTGGCGCCGGATACCAAGGGTGTGTGAAAGGGGTGGGTAGGGAATATGGGTCTCACCTGCCAATCTGCTTATAATAACACTTGTCCACAGGTGTGTTGTAACCGAGTGCTGGGGATTCACCACATCTCCGTCATGCACTCCATCTTCAGCTTGCTGGGTCTGCTTGGAGAGATCACCTACATTGTGCTGCTGGTGCTTCATACTGTCTGGAACGGCAATGGCATGTGGGTCACTGGGCTTACCCCCCATCCCCTTAACACTCCCCTCCAACTCAGGAAGAAATGTGTGCAGAGTCCTTAGCTGGGGCGTGTGCACTCGGGGCCAGGTGCTCAGTAGGCTTCGGTGAATATTTGTTGGCTGATTTATTCAGAAATTATGTCCAGCCCCTACCTTGGATGGATTTATCACCTCTCCAGGCCACCTCTTCTTTCCAAATAGGACCACCTAGGTATAGACCAAAGACACGAAATCTTCTGTGACCCCACAAACACAGAGCAGGTCAAATAGGCCCAAGCCAATTGAGACTGTGGTTCAGGTCGTGATGCAGAGCTTTGCTGTGGACGTGCTCCCACTGCGTACTAGCTGGGCATGCGGCTTAACCTTTCTCAGCCTCAGTCGCCCCCTTGTAAATGGAGATAAGGATACTATCTCCCCTCACAGGGCTGTTGGGATGCTACTGGATTTAATAAGCTAATGCAGGGACATGCTAAGCACAACCCATCCCTGAGGCCCAGAGAAGGGTGGGCCTCGGCTGAGGTCTCACTGTGAGGTGGGAATGTGGGCCTCCAGACCAGAGGTAGGTCCTGTGGCCCCTAGACAGTGGACAGCAATGGTCAGTTTGACACACCAGAGCCCTAGCCATTACTTCCTGGATGTTGTGTGAATATTTTCTGGACATGGCTTATATAAAATGAAAAAGTGAATTGGGCACGATATAGGGATAGATTTTTAGAGATGAACTGATAGCATGATGATAATCATATTCACTGATAACATTTACTACTGTTATTGACTGCTTTAAAAGTGTTGGGCATTGTGCTAGAAACCATTATATGCATTATCTCCTTGAATTCTCACAACCGCCTACTGAGGTATTCTCAGACTCTAAGAAATGAGATTTAAGAGAAGTTATCTGCCCAAGGTCACCCGGCTGGAACCTGGCTGTAAAAATGGCTGAAGCAGGTGATGAGGAGCTGATGTGTTTGGACGTGTCTCAGAGAAATCATGGAGGCGCTGGGGTTCCTTCCGGTTCTTGGATGCCTTCTACAGAGACAACCATAGCCCCAAATTATAGGGATCACATATCAGTGGGTGAGACATCCTTGCTTGGGATGAGGAGGGGATGAGCTGTGTGAAGCAAGGTGCCTCTGTAATGGGTTCCAGTGATGTGTCTGCCACTGTCTTAATAACTGTGCAATTCTAAGCAGAACCTTTCCTGTCTCTGGGCCTGAGAGTTCCCCTCTGTAAGATGAGGACTTGACCTAGCAAGGTCCTACTCAGATGCCTGTAGAGAACAGGCAGGGGAAGTTAGAAAAAAAAAAAGCCAGTGAAGGAAGGGAGCTCTTCAGCTTGCACCCACCATCACAGTGCAGGGACCCAGGCTCAGTGTTGCCAGATCCAATGACTTCTCAAGAGCTCAAAATCTAGAGTTTTGCATGTGCTCTCCCAAGTACTGGCAGAAAATTCAAGATTGTTAGTAACACTGTGTGGCTAAATTCTGCTTGTGGGCTGCCTAGATTCCCAATTCTGTGATTCTGTGGTTCTCTGGAAGCATTGGTTCTCCACAGCACCTGCATCACTTGGAAACTTGTTAGAAATGCAAGCCCTACCTACGGCCCCACCCCAGACCTACCCAGTTAGAAATCTGGGGGTGGGACCTATCAGTCCATGTTTGAACAAGCCCCACAAGTGTTCTCTTGCAAGCTCAAGTTTTAGAACCACTGACCTATAGCCAAAAAAGAAAAAGCCAATCAGTGGTTTGCTGGTAGAGGATTAACTTAACAACTGGCTTTCCATGAAAATAAAGCCTTGATTGGTAGCACTTGCAATTTCTATGGTACAAACGCTTCCCACATGACTGAGTTCAAGCTATCAAGGAGACGTCACTGCACATGGACTTGGGAAGAGATGAGAACAATCAGCCCACTGAGCCTATGGGAACTGGCTCCAGCACATCCCTGCAAGTCAACTCTCATCAGGGTGAGTGAGTTGAGGACCAAGAAGCAGTTATCCTCTTGCCTTTGCAGGACCCAGGCAAAGGGAAGGGCATAGTGACAGTGATGATCTCTCTTCCGGAAGTCTTTGGTTTGCTGAGAGTAAAAGGCGTGGGCTTCACCAGTGGTGAAGCCAGTCATGCAGCCTTAGTCCTGGTACTCAAACTCCCTAAATCTCAGTTTTCTATCTGTAAAATGGGAAAATAAGTCCTATGTCACAGGGTTGCTGTGCAGATTTAGCAATAGAACATAGCCCCGTTCTTTATGATGACTGATGCTGCATCAGTATGGGGACATCTCTATGTAATGGAAAGATGGAGAGAGGATTAAGTGCAAAGTCACAGCACTTAATGGGAACTGTGGATTAGCTACTTGGTGGCATTGGGCAAGTCAGTTGACTTTGCATTAATTCCACAAACAATATTTCCCAATTTCCTATTCAGATGAGCATATGTGACTGAGTCAGATGCTGTGATCAGAGCCAGGATGGAGCATTTCCCACAAACTGTGGGATTTTTAAGTGATGGGAAGGCACACTGAAATGGCATTGAATCATGCAGTTGCAGATACTCTTTTTCAATTCTCAGTCCTTTGATTACATCAGGGAGAAAAGAAAGTCCCCACTTGGGCTGAGAATCTCTGCACCCTTCTAGCTCTTGTTAACCACTCTTTTGAATAGCAGAGAAAACCTCAGACTGCCATATCTGGGAGAGATTTTAGCAACATTTTGTTTTCATTGTATCTCTTTTTACAGCTACCTCCCATTTCCCTTCTATTTCAAGCTAGTAACACAGTTTTCTTTTAAATTCATTTATTTAAATGTAAAAATAAGTCTATTTGGAGAAAAAAAATTTTTAATAGCATCTCTGGAATGCCAGTATGGCTAAATTCATGAATGTTGTCCTCAAATGCTGAAATCTGGGAAGCATCTGGCCAAGCTTTGTGGACAGGCCTTCCTAGTTTGAATCCCAAGAGCCACTCATTCCGAGCCACAAAACATTGGAATTCTTGGTTCACTTCCCTAACCTGAACTTGTCCTCTGTGAAATAGGGACATTAATAGCTCACTCACAGGGCTGCTGTGAGGACATGTGTTGAGCTGAGGGTCTGGCCAGGGGAGACCCTGTGCAGGGAGACTGTTATCATGGTGATGGATTTCTGCTTCATTCATTTCTTTTTCCAGACAGCATCATATAGAATGAGTTGTGGGGTGGCAGTCAGCAGGTTTGGGTTTATCCTCTATTCTGCCACTTATTACTTAAAAAAAAAAACCCAACTTATATAGTATAAGCTATATCCAGAAAAGTGCAAATATCATACAAGTACCATTTGATGAATCTTCTGATATCCCCACATAACCAACACCCAGAACCTCTTCTTGTCTCATTCCAGGATAACCACTAACCTGACTTCTAACAGCATCAGTCAGTTTTGTCTGTTTTTGTACATTATATATGTGATGGTTTGAATGTGTCCCCCAAATTTCATGTGCTAGAAACTTAATCCTTCAATTCATATGTTGATGCTATTTGGAGGAAGGGCCTTTGGGAAGTAATTAGGATTAGATAAGGTCATGGGGTGAGGTATGATGGCACTGGTGACTTATAAGAAGAGAAAGAGAAATCTGAGCTGGCATGCTCTTGCCCTCTCACCGTGTGATGACTTCTCCATGTCATGATGCAGCAAGAAGGCCCTCACCAGATGGTGGCACCATGCTTTTGGACTTCCCAGCCTCTAGAACTGTGAGCTAAATCAATTTATTTTCTTTATAATCACCCAGTTTGATATTTTGTCATAGCAACAGAATATGGACAAAGAAAGAAAATTAATGCAAGAAGTAGAGTTTTTACTGTAACAGATTCCTGAAAATGTGGAAGTGGCTTTGGAACTGGGTGATGGGAATAGGTTGGAAGAGTTTTGAGGAGCAGGCTAGAAAAAGCCTGTATTGTCAAGAATGGAGCATTAGGCCAGGCACGGTGGCTCAGACTTATAATCCCAGCACTTTGGGAGGCCAAAGCAGGTGGATCACCTGAGGTCAGGAGTTCGAGACCAGCCTGGCTAACATGGTGAAACGCTGTTTCTACCAAAAATACAAAAAATTAGCTGGGCACTCTGGCGCACACCTGTAATCCCAGCTACTCAGGAGGCTGAAGCAGGAGAATCACTTGAACCCAGGAGGCAGAGGTTGCAGTGAGCTGAGATCGTGCTATTGCACTCCAGCTTGGGCAACAAGAGCAAAACTCCAACTCAAAAAAAAAAAAAAAAGAAAAAGAAAAAGAATGGAGCATTAAAGACAGTTCTACAGTTCTGGTGAGGGCTTAAAAGAAGACCCCAGAACTAGGGAAAGTCTGGAACTTCTTAATGGTTACTGAAGTCGTTGAGATCAGAATGCTGATAGAAATGTGGCTGGTGAAGGCCATTCTGATGAGGTCTCAGATGGAACTGAAGAACCACGTGTTGGAAACTGGAGCAAAGGTCATCCTTTTTATAAAGAAGCAAAGATCTTAGCTGAACTTTGTCTGTGCCAGAGTCATTTATGGAAAGCAGAAAATCCGTAGGTCACCCATGTTGTAGAGAATGAAAGAACATTTTCAGCTGAGAAAACTGAGAGTGTGACCAAGCTACCGATTGATAAGAAAACTAGTACACATAAATTAGCCAGGCGTGGTGGTGGGCGCCTGTAGTCCCAGCTACATGGGAGGCTGAGGCAGGAGAATGGCATGAACCCGGGAGGCAGAGCTTGCAGTGAGCCGAGATCGCGCCACTGCACTCCAGCCTGGGCGACAAAGCGAGACTCCATCTCAAAAAAAAAAAAAAAAAAAAGGAAGAAAGAAAATTAGTACACATAGAACAAAGCCAGAGGCTGTTCATCAGGACAAGGGAGAAAAACTCCAAAGCCATTTCAGAGATCTTCAAGACTGCCCCTCCCATTACTGGCCCAGAGCTCTAAGAGGGCAGAATGGTTTGGAATGACCAGCTGCTGCCCAGGGCTGCCTTGGGTCTCTGCTCCCCACATTTCTGGTGCAGCATTCCTCAGCCATCCCAGCTGTGGTTCAAGTGGCCACAGGTGTGATGTGGAAGGTAAAAGTCATAAACCTTGGCAGCATACACATGGCACTAATTTTGCAGGTGTGCAGAATGCAAAAGCTGAGGGGGCATGCCTTCTCCCACCTACATTTCAAAGGGTGCTGTGAACGGCCACCCCAGAGAGCCCCTAGTAGAGCAAGGTCTAGTGGAGCTACAAGGGTGGGGCCACCGCCAAGACCCCAGAATGGTAGAGCTATCATAGTGCAATGCCAGCTTGGGAGAACTGCAGGCATGAGACTCCAACCTGTGCGAAGTGCAACATGGGCAGAACCCAGCAAAACCACAGGGGCAGAGCTCCCCGAAGCTTCGGGGGTCCAAATTCCATAGTGTGTCCAGGAGGTGGCACACAGAGTAAAAGATCATTCTGAAGGTTTAAGGTTTAATGTTGTTTTCTATGTTGGGTTTTGTACTTTCCTGGAACCAGTTACCCTTTTTCCCTTGCCTCTTTTTCCTTTTAGAATGGGAATGTCTGTCCTATGCCTGTTCCACTGTTGTATTTTGGAAGTCAATAACTTGTTTTGACTTTACAGGCTTACAGCCAGAGGGAATCTCCCATAGAATGAATTGTACCTTAAGTCTCACCCACATCTGATTTAGATGAGACCATGGACTTTGGAATTTTGAGTTGGTGCTGGAACAAGTTAAGACTTTGGGGGTTGTCTAAGTGTGGTGTTTCATGCCTGTAATCCCAGTGATTTGGGAGGCTGAGGTGGGAGGATTGCTTGAGCCCAGGAGTTCAAGACCAGCCTAGGCAACATAGTGAGACCTGTCTCTACAAAAATAAAAATAAAAAGTTAGCCAGGTATTGTGGCATGTGCCTGTAATTCTAGCTACTCAGGAGGCTGAGGTGAGAGGATCACTTGAGCCCAGGAGTTTGAGGCTGCAGTGAGCTATGGTCGTGCCACTGCATTCCAGCCAGGGCAACAGAGTGAGACTCTGTCTCTACAAATAAGATTAAATAAACGTAGCTGGAGATGGTGGCACACGTCTGTAGTCCTAGCTACTCAGGAGGCTGAGACAGGAGGATTACTTGAGCCAAGGAGTTTGAGGCTGCAGTGAGCTATGATCATGCCACTGCATTCCAGCCTGGATGATAGAGCAAAATCCCATCTTTAAAAAAAAAAAAAAAAAAAAAAAAAATATATATATATATATATATATATATATATATATATATATATATACTTTGGTGCTATTGGGATGAATTTTGCATGTACGAAGGACATGCATTTTGGGGGCTGGGGCAGAATGCTATGGTTTGAATGCATCCCTCAAATTTCATGTGTTGGAGACTTAATCTCCAAATTCATATGTTGATGAAATTGGAGGTGAAGCCTTTGGGAGGTAACTAGGATTAGATAAAGTCATCAGGGTGGGGCCCCTATGATGAGACTGGTGGCTTACAAGAGGAAGAGAGACCTGAGCTGACATGCTCTTGCCCTCTTGCCATGTGATACCCTCTGCCATGTTATGGCACAGCAAGAAGGTCCTCAACAGATGCCAGCAGCATGCTCTTAGACTTCCCAGCCTCCAGAACCATGAGCTATATATAATTATTTTATAAATTACCCATTCTGTGGTATTCTGTTATAGCAACAGAAAGTGAACTGAGATAATATACATGGAATCATACAGTAAGTCTGTGCTTTTGTATGCTTCTTTTACTCAACATTGTAGTTGTGAGATTCATCCAGGTTGTTAAGCATTGCTGTACTTTTTTTCCACTGGGATATAGTGTTCTGTCATGCTTGGGTCTTAATTTATAAAGGTGACTGAGTGGCATTTTCTTCCAGTATTATTGGAAGGAAAGTTTTGTTGTTCACAGTTCCCCTGTAAAAAAGAGGCAGAACACGTCTTGCAGGGCCACACAAAACTGTGTCATCCAGGGACCAGGCAGCAGAAAGAGAGGGGGAACTGGGCCTATGCCTTTATGAAAAAGAGTGGTGGGAGAGTAACTGGGTGAGGGCATCCACTAATGGGCAGGAAGTGAAAACACATATGTTGGAATTTGTAGCTGAGGGGTTTATAATATGAGTTTCCCATGCCTGAGAAAGCTGACTTGCAAGAAAACGAGATAAACAACTTTGGCCATTAGTGTGGCCCTGTCATAAATGAATGCCGGATAGACAAATCGAGAATCTAAGAAAAGATAGTTGGAACAAGTGTTCCATTGTGTGAATGCAGCAGAATTTATTTATCCATTATTGAGGAGGATTTGGGTAGTTTCCAGTTTGGAGCTATTATGAATATTCTAGTATTGCTCCTCTGAACATTCTAGCACTTTTGTTTTTGGAGCACACGAATGCACTTCTGTTGATTATATGCCTAGAAGTGAAATTGTTGAGTTATACAGTATTCACACAGTCAGCCTTAGTGGCTACTGCTAAACAGTTTTCTCTAGTAGTTTGCGCCAATCTAATCACCAGTAGTGTATAGAAGCTCCTTTTACTCCACATTTTGTTAACACTTGGTGTTTTCCTTCTTTTTGATTAGTCATTTAGCAGTGAAACCTATTTTTTACATTTTGATATCTCCAATAACTAACTAAATGGAGCACTTTTAATATGCTTTTTGGACAGTTGAATATCTTTTCTTGTGAAATGTCTATTCAAGTTAGTTTGCCCATTTTCTATTGTGGTGTTCTGTCTTTTTCTTATTGATTTTAGGAATTCCTTACATATCCTGGATATGAATCCCACTATGTGGCTTACCTTTTTCCTTCTTTCTTTTTGAAACAGAGTCTCCTTCTGTCACCCAGGCTGGAATGCAGTGGCGCTATCTCAGCTCACTACAACCTCTGCCTCCCAGGTTCAAGCAATTCTCATACTTCAGCCTCCTGAGTAGCTTAGATTACAGGTGCATGCCACCATGCCCACCGAATTTTTGTATAGACAAAATAATTTTTGGTAGAGACAGGGTTTTGCCATGTTGGCCAGGCTGATCTTGAATCCTAGCCTCAACTTTGGCCCACCTTGGCCTCCCAAAGTGCCAGGATTACAGGTGTGAGCCACCATGCCCAGCCCACCTTTTACTTTCTTAATGGTGTCTTTTGAACAAGGAGGTTCTTAATTTTAATATAGCCCAATTTATCATTGTTCCCTTTATGCTTAGTTCTTTTATGTCCTGTTTAAGAATTTTTGCAGCCAGCTCGGTGGCTCACACCTGTAATCCCAGCACTTTGGGAGGCTGAGGCTGGCAGATCACAAGGTCAAGAGATCGAGATCATCCTGGCCAACATGGTGAAACCCTGTCCTTACTAAAAATACAAAAAATTAGCTGGGCGTTGTGGCTCTTGCCTGTAGTCTCAGCTACTCGGGAGGCTGAGATCACGCCACTGCACTCCAGCCTGGTGACACAGCAAGACTCCATCTAAAAAAAAAAGAAATTTGCAAGGTCATGCATATGTCCCCCTGAATTTTTTTCTAAAAATCACTTAATTTTAGATCAATGAATTGAGTAATTGACTCCATTTTTCAGTCATTCAACAAACATTTCCCTGAGGTTTTGATAACCTGAACTGTGTTTGGAGCTGGGGAGGAAGCAAACTATTGAATATATACAAAGATGGCAAAGATGAGGGCCTGGAGCTTGCCACACGGAAGGGGGGATGGCTGCCTGAATGGTTGGGCAGGTAGTTGTTGACATCTGCACTCCCTACAAGAGCAGCAGGGTGGCAACTCTTTTTATCTTTTTAATTTATTTTTCTTTTCTCTTTTTTTTTTGAGATGGAGTCTTGCTCTGTTGCCCAGGCTGGAGTGCAGTGGCGTGATCTCAGCTCACTGCAAACTCCACCTCCTGGGTTCACACCGTTCTCCTGCCTCAGCCTCCTGAGTAGCTGGGACTGCAGGCACCTGCCACCACTCCCGGCTAATGTTTTGTATTTTTAGTAGAGAAGGGGTTTCACTGTGTTAGCCAGGATGGTCTCCATCTCCTGACCTCATGATCCACCCGCCTCGGCCTCCCAAAGTGCGGGGATTACAGGTGTGAGCCACCACACCCGGCCTTAATTTATTTTTCTAGTCTGCAGGTAATTCTTTTTAATTCTCTCCACTCTCCTATGATCTTATGAGGTAGGGACTGTGATTATTTCTCCCACTTTATAATGAACAATCAGTAAAGACAGGGAAGATAACCAAATGACATACAAGGTGGGGTCCACCCCATGAGGCTGCAGGCTTGGAGCTTTCCTTTGTCTTAAAAATGAGAACATGAGCTGCCCACCTGTTGAGACAAGAAATAGGAAAGGCTTAAAAAACTGGCTTGTTGTGTACAACTATCCGTGGGGCTGCAGTGAACGGGCTGGCAGTGCCCAGGTGCATGCTGAACCCTGGGACAATCACATTCAGCATCCAGGGGCCCCCGTAATAGCTTAATGTTTGAATTGAACCCCTGGGGTTGCCTTGAAGGAGAGAGATCCTGGAAGTATGTTCAAGGGGTAGGGATGGGCAGGGGAGATGGGTCTGAAAGCCAAGCTCTACCCCACCCACCTTGCCCCAAGAGAAATAGAACCTTCATCTTTAATTGCC
The DNA here is from genome assembly GCF_000001405.40 of Homo sapiens. Classification (NCBI taxonomy): domain Eukaryota; kingdom Metazoa; phylum Chordata; class Mammalia; order Primates; family Hominidae; genus Homo; species Homo sapiens. Next base: position 25,376,109 of record NC_000001.11, on the reverse strand, counting down.
TAACGAGAAAACTGGGGCTGGCCAGATGTGGTGGCTCATGTCTGTAATCCCAGCAATTTGGGAGGCCAAGGCGGGCAGATCACTTGAGGTCAGGAGTTCGAGTTCAGCCTGGTCAACATGGTGAAACCCCGTCTCTATTAATAATACAAAAATTATCCAGGTATGGTGGCGCATGCCTGTAGTCCCAGCTACTTGAGGCACAAGAATCGCTTGAACCTGGGGGACAGAGGTTGCAGTGAGCCGACCACTGCACTCCAGTCTGGACGACAGAGTGAGACTCCATCTCACAAACAAAAACAGAAAAAAAAAAAAAAAAAAGAGAGAGAGAGAAAACTGGAGGCTCTGAGAGGTTAAAGGACTTGCCCAGGGTCTTGCAGCTAGTAAGTGACAGAGCTGGGACTTGAGCTTGGGTTTTCTGACTCCTGGTCTGGTTCATTATCCATGAGGTGCTGGGAACTAAAATAAGCCACAATCTTGGAATCTCCGTCGCCTCCCTCCCTCCCACATGTCTGCGTGGCTTTTTGGGAAAATGCCAGGGGAATGTACCAGCCAGGGAGAGGACCCTTGTTTTCCTCATGGCCCTTCCTGGCAATGGCACTACTGACACCGACAGTCCTTTTTGTCCCTGATGACCTCTGCTGCCTGATGCCCAAGTGACCACCTCTGCTTTGTCATTTCTAGGATTGGCTTCCAGGTCCTCCTCAGCATTGGGGAACTCAGCTTGGCCATCGTGATAGCTCTCACGTCTGGTCTCCTGACAGGTCAGTGTGAGGCCACCTTTCTTCCACCATTGCCAGGACACAGCACCCACGTCCAGAGCGCACCCTGCCGTGTGGCTGGATGTCTATGTGCCCCATCTCCTTCCCTGAGGATCACATAATTTCAGAATTGGAAAGGTTCTTAGAGGTCACCTGCTGCTAATGTGGACTGTGAGGCCAGGGCAGGGAAGGGACATCCCTGAGGTTATAAGTAGGGTGAGTGGCAACGTTGCAGACTTTTGAACCCAGGGCTGGTGATCACACTCAGTTTTGCACAGAAGCCCGAGAAAATCCTTACACCCAAAAGCCTACCTTTTATTTCTGAGGACACCCATAATACTATTTTATTCAACAGATATTTATTCAATATCCACTATGAGCCAGGCACTGGGGACACAGCAGTGAGCAAAACAAATTCCCTGACCCCATGGAATTGACCTTCTAGTGGGGGAAGGTATTAGCAATAAATAGACAAATAAGTGTCTACTACGCCAGATGGGAAGAAGTGGCTGTGAAGACAGAGCAAACTAGAGAAACATAGAGTCAATGTGGGATGGGGTGTTCTTTTAGGGGGGTGGTCAGGGAAAGCTTATCTGAGTAGTTAGCTTTTAAGCAGAGACCCCAATGAAGAGGAGGGAGATATGCGATGCATTTAGTTAGGGGAAGAACATTCCATGAAAATAGGATAGCAAGTGCAAAGGCCCTGAGACAGCAGCATGCTTTGTGTGTTGAGGGAACAGTAAGGAGACCAGTGTGGTTGGTGTGAATGGAGTGAGAAGGAGCAGCAGGGGTTGAGGGCAGAATGGTAGTGAGGAGCAGGCCCTTATAAAAGATGGGAAGCCACTGGAGATCTTTCAACAAAGGGGAAAAGTATGTTTCTGTTCTTGCAATACAATAGAAAAGCAAAAAATCTAGGGGAGTTGCTAATTAGCCAGTTTTACTTATATGCCAGGTGAAAATATGTGGCTAGGTGCAGTGGCTCATACCTGTAATTGCAGCAGTTTGGGAGACCGAAGTGGGCAGATCATCTGAGGTCAGGATTCAAGACCAGCCTGGCCAACATGGTGAAACCCTGTCTCTACTAAAAATTAAAAAATTAGCCAGGCGTGGTGGTGGGCACCTGTAATCCCAGCTACTTGGGAGGCTGAGGCAGGAGAATTGCTTAAACCCGGGAGGCAGAGGTTGCAGTGGGCCGAGACTCTGTCTAAAAAAAAAAGAAAATACACATTCAGGCCAGGCACAGTGGCTCACGCCTGTAATCCCAGCACTTTGGGAGGCTGAGGCAGGTAGATCACCTGAGGTCAGGAGTTCGAGACCAGCCTGACCAACATGGGAAAACCCTGTCTCTGCCAGAAATACAAAAATTAGCCAGGCGTGGTGGTGTGTGCCTGTAGTCCCAGCTACTCGGGAGGCTGAAGTAGGGGAATGGCTTGACCCCAGGAGGTGGAGGTTATAGTGAGCCAAGGTTGCACCAGCCTAGGTGACAGAGTGAGACTGTCTCAAAAAAAAAAAAAAGAAAGAAAATATACATTCCATCCAGAACTTGTTATTCTACAAGCAAACATCTTTTATTGGTTAGACACCCATATATGTGTCCCTAAGCAGGAGGTGGATGCCAAATAAGAGACAAATGGCGTAAGACACTATGAGTTGTGTGGTGACATTGGGCATGTCACTTCACTCCCTCTGAGCCTTGGTTAGCTTCTCTGTAAAATGAAAGGATTATGGTAACTAAGCTGGCTTCCTTCCAGCTTTAACAAACTGTATGGAGGTACATTTTGGAGTTACTTGGGTAATTTTTGAGTGTGAGATTGGCTAGAATTGCTTTAATATACCAATGTCTGGCCTTAGCTTTTGGCAGAGTCTGTGTGAAGAAGCAGAGGCGGAGTAGAGTTAATTCCGTAAGTTAACGTTCAGTTCGTGGCAGCTGGCAATCCAACCCTGGGAAAGGCTGCCGGATTTAGCAAAAATGCAAGGTGTCTGTTTTTAAATTCGCAATGAATTGGGTATCCTGCATTTTATTTGGCAACCCTGTCCTGGGACTCACACTATTCACTGTTATCACTGGTATATTCGAAGTGGTGCTGACTTGCCCTCTGTCTTGCAAAGTACCCGGGGGTCTTTTCTTATGCTTCACTGGAGTCAAAAAAGAGAATAGAGGAAAAGACAATCATATTGTTCCTTTAAGAGTTAAGACCAACAAGCTTTCTTCTTTACATGTTGTTTTTGACATGAGCAAACTGGTGATTAAAAACAACTTGGGTGGCTCATACTTGTAATCCCAGCACTTTGGAAAGCTGAGGTGGGAGAATAGCTTGAGGCCAGGAGTTCAAGCCAGGGCAATCCTATAGTGAGACCCCATCTCTACAAAAGATACAAAAATTAGCCAGGTGTGGTGGTACACCTGTAGTCCCAGCTGCTCCGGAGGCTGAGATGGGAGGATCAGTTGAGCTTGGGAGGCAGAAGTTGCAGTGAGCTGAGATCGTGCCACTGCACTCCAGCCTGGACAACAGAGCAAGACCCTGTCTCAAAAAAGGAAACAAAACAACTTGGACAATGGAAGGGGGAGAAAGTTCCTCAAGAAGCCAAAATTGCACCAAATGGACTCCCAGAAGCCAAGCATTTAACTTGTTAATTGAGCCCTCTGTGGGCCTGTCTATACTTATTTAAGGAACAATCCTATCAAGCATAGTTATTGGGTTTCTCAGCCCAGGTAGATTAGAAATAGCAGATTAGAGGTGGGCTAGGTTTCTAGAGGTAAAGTACACCAGCAGAAGTTAGAAGTGAAAGCAAAGAGCCTAACAGAGGAAGAGAAATTCTTTTTTTTTTTTTTAGACGGAGTTTTGCTCTTGTTGCCCAGGCTGGAGTGCAATGGCGCTATCTCGGCTCAACGCAACCTCCGCCTCCTGGGTTCAAGTGATTCTCCTGCCTCAGCCTCCTGAGTAGCTGGGATTACAGGCATGCACCACCACGCCCGGCTAATTTTGTATTTTTAGTAGAGACAGGGTTTCTCCATGTTGGTCATGCTGGTCTCGAACTCCTGACCTCAGGTGATCCGCCCACCTTGGCCTCCCAAAGTGCTGGGATTACAGGCATAAGCCACTGTGCCCGGCCAACAAATTCTTAAAACTGGACACAAGAACACAAAACGCTTGGGCTGCTGAGAGATTAGACCAACAACCCTCCACGGCTACAAACCTTTTCCACGTTATATGGCACGTTATAAGTGGGTGTTCCTAGTGATGGTTCTGATTTTTTTTTTAAAAAGTCTAAATATGTTTAATGTTGTCTCAGAAGACAAAATATATTTTAGACAGATATTCCTCAGTGATGAGTAAGCCTCAGCTATCTGGAAAATTCATGCAGGCGCCAGAGATCATTACTGAGTAATTCAAGCTAATAACTGCGTCATGCTGGTTGTACCCTGCATGCCAATATCTGCTAAAAGCAGCACCACGAAAGGGAAATACGAATCTCACTAAGCACTCACCCATTCTTGTTAACGACACTGGAACTGATCATCCTTAATAATACACAGATAAATCTATCAGGAGCATTTCCTTGCTTCCTGTGAAAGGAAGTACTCATTCCATGTGTCCTGTGAAATTCAGCCAGCTTCGGGAAGCTGGAGGAATACATATGGCCAAGCTACCTGGGCAGAGAGTAGACAGGGAATGGAGGTTGGGCACAGTGGCTCACACCTGTAATTGCAGCCCTTTAGAAGGCAAAGGCGGGCAGATCACTTGAGCTCAGGTGTTCAAGACCAGCCTGGGCAACATGGCTAAACCCCGTCTCTGCAAAAAATACAAAAAAATGAGCTGGGTATGGTAGCACACACTTGTGGTCCCAGCTACTTGGGAGGCTGAGGTGGGGGGGTTGCTTGTGCCTGGGAGTTTGAGGCTGCAATGAGCTGTGATTGTGCCACTGCACTCCAGCCTGGATAACAGAATGAGACCCTGTTCCAAAAATAAAAAATAAAATCAAAGACACTTAAAAAGATGGGGAAAAGGAAGGACAGGCACTTAAGCAAGTTATAAGCTACTTTCCTAACTACACAAGTGGAATCTTAAGCTGAGGTTCCCAGGAGTTGACTGGAGCCAGAGAAGACAGACCTATAGGAGCACCCAACTGGAGTCGCCCTCCATAGTAGCCCATATGTCTTACATGGATCAGCTTTCGTGGGGCCCTTCTACTCCGTCTGGGGAAGGGCGTCAGATCTGTGGCTCTCATGTACTGCTCAGTACACTGCCATTCCCAGTTCTTTTTTTCAAAAAAAAAAAAATTGTTTACAGAATCGGCCGGGTGTGGTGGCTTATGCCTATAATACTAGCAATTTGGAAGGCTGAGGTGGGTGGATCACCTGAGGTCAGGAGTTCGAGACCAGCCTGGCCAACATGGTGAAACCCCATCCTACTAAAAAAAAAAAAAAAAAAAAATTAGCTGGATGTGGTGGCAGGCGCCTATAATCTTAGCTACTTGGGAGGCTGAGGCAGGAGAATCGCTTGAACCTGGGAGGCAGAGGCTGCAGTGAGCCGAGATCATGCCACGGTACTCCAGCCTGGGTGATAGAGTGAGACTCTGTCTCAAAATAAATAAAATAAAATAAAATAAAATAAAATAAAATAAAATAGTCTACAGAATTAAGCTGGTCCAGGAATGACAGGGCGTCCATTTATTTGTCTTTCAATTGTGGGAGAAAAAGGATTTCTGTTGAGACACTGTCGTTTTGACACACACAATATTTTGATTAATCTTGAGATTAAAAATCCTGTGCTCCAAATCTTTTAACATTAAATTATGCATTTAAACAGGTTTGCTCCTAAATCTCAAAATATGGAAAGCACCTCATGTGGCTAAATATTTTGATGACCAAGTTTTCTGGAAGGTAAGATTTTTCACCTATTAACGTGATAGATTTTGAGTGCATGAACTTAAAAACATACCTGGGTATATATGTTGACTTGCTGTTTATGAGTAAAACAAAAACAAAAATGGAGTAAGGAGCATTGCAGGAGGAACTAGAGGAGAAACAAATCCATGATATGCATGTGTGTGGGGGAGGGTGGCGGGGAGGTGGTAAAGGTCACCATTTCCCTGATACCTCAAATTCATTCAGAGTCAGGGATGAGACAGCTTTCACTGGCCACACTTCCCCTCCCGCTATCTGCAGTCCTCAGCGTAGCCAAATAGTTTGACATGCGGGTGACAGAACCCCGCAATGCAAAAGCTGGAAGAAACCTCAAGCCTTGGAGTCCAACCCCTTTTTTGACAGATGCTAAGAGTGGAGACATGACTTATCAAGATCTTACAACTGGCTGGGCACGGTGGCTGACGCCTGTAATCCCAGCACTTTGGGAGGCTGAGGTGGGGCGATCACCTGAGGCCAGGAGTTCGAGACCAGCCTGGCCAACGTGTCAAAACCCCATCTCTACTAAAAATACAAAAGTTAGCTGGGCGTGGTAGCACATGCCTGTAATCCCAGTTACTCAGGAGGCTGAGGCAAGAGAATCGCTTGAAATCAGGAGGCAGAGGTTGCAGTGAGCTGAGATTGCGCCACTGCACTCCAGCCTGGGTGACAAGAGCTGACACTCTGTCTCAAAAAAAAAAAAAAAAAAAAAAAATTCTTACAGTGTGTGAGTATCCAGGCTGAGTCCTGAACACAGCTCTTGATAAATGATAACAAGCAGGCACAAAAAAATTGTAGTACAGGAGTCTGAGGTCACTTAGCAAAGGGACATAAAGTTCAAACAGCTCAGCAGCTGCTGAGGGTCCCGTGTTACATTGTAGCATTTGTTGTTGTGACTGGGCTAGAAAGAAGGTGAAGAAGGTTGGAGCTCACTCCCTGCCTCCCCTCCCACTCTCCTCCCTTTGACCTACACTCATAGTTCACGCAGCACTCTGATGTGTCCCCTTAGGCCATCCTCTAGTCAATGCTGTGGGTAGGCTGGACCAGCAGGGACCAGTATTGTCACAGCAAGTCCAGGCCAACAGTGGTCAGGCTGCTGCCCGGTGTTGTGCCTTTGTGAGTGGCAGATCCAAGACCGGAACCCAGGCCTTCTGAGTCCCAGGCCAATGCTTGCCCCACCCAGCATCCAAGATGTTGCTCACTAAAGAGACAGAGAAGCAGCCTTATTATGGGCCTGGACACCTGTGCATGAGGGGTCAAGCAGAGAGGACCTGGGGAGAGACCCTGCCCCTTCTTTTCCTTCTCCTTCCTCTCCTTTCTCTTCTTCTTCCTCTTCAAATAGCTTTTTGAGGTGTAACTGGCATACAATCAATTGTACATATTTAGGCTGGGTATGGTGGCTCACGCCTGTAATCCCAGCACTTTGGGAGGCCAAGGCGGGTGGATCACTTGAGGTCAGGAGTTTGAGACCAGCCTGGGCAACCCGGTGAAACCCCGTCTCCACTAAAACTACAAAAATTAGCCAGGCGTGGTGGCAGCTGCCTGTAATCCCGGCTACTCGGGAGGCTGAGGCAGGAGAATCACTTGAACCTGGGAAGCGAAGTTTGCAGTGATCTGAGATCATGCCACTGCACTCCAGCCTGGGTGACAGAGCGAGACTTTGCCTCAAAAACAAAACAAAACAATTGTACATATTTAAAGTGTTGTAACCAAGTGAGTTACAGAGAAACACCACACTTTGAGCCTAATTCAGGAGTCCTTTATTAGCCGGCGACCTAGAGACGACTAGTGCTCAAAATTCTCTCGGCCCCAAAGAAGGGGCTAGATTTTCTTTTATACCTTGGTTTAGAAAGGGGAGGGGGAATTGAGCTGAAGCAATCTTACAGAAGTAAAACAGGCAAAAAAGTTAAAAAGACAAATGGTTACAGGAAAACAAACAGTTCCAGGTGCAGGAGCTTTAAAGCCATCACAAGGTGACAGGTGCGGGGGCTCTGGGTGCTATCTGCCGGACACAAACGCAGGGGCACTAGAGTACTATCACCCGGGCAAATTCCTGGGAACTGCGGACACAGCTTGCCACAGTACCTTATCAGCTAATTGCACTCTTTGATGTGCTGGGAGTCAGCTTGCACAAGTTAAGTCCTTGAGGAAGGGGGTGGGTAAGGAGCCCTTAACGTCTTGCAAATGAAGGAGCCGAATGGAATCCCTCCGGCTTTCTTAGCTAAGAGAGAGTCAATCAAGTTAATACAAGTTAGGGTATCACAAAAGTATATAATTTGATACATTTTAACGTATTTATACACTGAAGAGACCATCACCACCATCAAGACAAGGAGCACACCCATCACTTCCACACACTTCCTCCTGCTCCTTTGAAATTCCTCCCTTCCTACCCACCTGGTCCCACCCAAAGGCAACCACTGAACTACTTTCTGTCACTAAGGTTTGCGTTTTCTGTAATTTTTTTGTTTGAGACAGGGTCTCACTCCGCCACCCACACCGTAATGCAGTGGCACCATCATGACTCACTGTAGCCTCAACCTCCCCAGGCTCAGGAGATCCTCCCCCCTCAGCCTCCTGAGTAGCTAGGACCACAGGTGTAGGCCACCATGGCAGGCTAATTTTTGTATTTTTTTGTAGAGATGGGGTTTCACCGTATTACCTAGGCTGGTCTCGAACTCATGGGTTCAAGCAATCCTCCTGCCTTGGCCTCTCAAAGTGCTGGGATTATAGGCATGAGCCACTGTGCCCAGCCCTCTGTAATGTTACACAAAGGGAATCATGCAGCACGTACTGCCCTTGGTCTGGCCTCTTTTGCTCAGCATGATTATTCTGAGAATCATCCGTGTTGTTGCGTGTAACTGACTTCATCAGCTTCTCTCTGCAGCTGTCAGCTCTTGGCTTCTCCCAACAGCCAATCTCTCTTTATCCCCTGCAAGTGTTCTTGCCTATTTAGCAGAATCAAGGTACTCTATCGAAAAGACTCGGAAAATTGGTTTAATCTATTCATTCATTCCTCAGGTATTTATCGAATAACTATTCTATACCAAGTACTATGCTAATCAACCAAGGACAGCACAAACAGGAGAAATCTCCAGCTCAGTCACTTGAGTTGCAATAAATATTTGCTGGATAGGTCAGGTGCAGTGGCTCACACTTGTAATCCCAGCACTTTGGGGATTACTGAGACGGGAGGATCTCTTGAGCCCAGGAGGCCAAGGCTGCAGAGAACCATGATCATGCCACTGCACTCCAGCCTGGGTGACAGAGTGAGATCCTGTCTCTGAAAAAAAATATTTGCTGGATAAATTAAGGAAATCTGACGAACCCCATCAGTAGCCATTGCAGCAACAGGTAAACTAGAACGAGTGTGAATTTGGAATGAGGAAACCCGATGTTGGCCATCATTCTGTAATGTCATGTATTATGTAATGTATTATATATTAATGTATGTATTATGTAGGCAAGTTCCTTGACCTCTCTCACTGGTAACATAAGAGTAGTAATCTTTGTGCTACTTCACTGGGTTATTTCAAAGATCAAGTGAGGTAATAATGTCTGTAACAACATTCTGTAAAATGCAAACCGCCACATGAATGTGAAAGTTTATTACTAGGGATTTAGCCAACCACAAGGGAATGTGTGAGCATAAGAGCTATCATATTGCAAGCCTACAGTTTCTGATTTTGTGCTAGGTGCTTTTCCACATTACCTGATTTTATCCTCACAACAGTCCTGCATAAAAGTAAGTATGTCGCCCAGGTGCGGTGGCTCATGCCTATAATCCCAGCACTTTGGGAGCCCGAGGTGGGCAAATCACTTGAGATCAGGAGTTTGAAACCAGCCTGGTCAACGTGGTGCAACCCTGTCTCTACTAAAAATACAAAAAAAAATTAGACAGGCGTGGTGGTGGATGCCTGTAATCCCAGCTACTTGGGAAGCTGAGGCAGGAGAATGGCTTGAGCCCGGGAGATGGAGATTGCAGTGAGATGAGATTGCGCCACTGCACTCCAGCCTGGGTGACAGAGCAAGGCTATGTCTCAAAAGAGAAAAAAAAAGTAAGTATCTCAGTCTTGAAGATGATGAAATGGAGGCCTAGAGAGATTAAGTAACTTGCCCAAAATGACAGAACTAATGCATAGAAAAGAAGAAATGTGATGTCTTTTGGCTCCAAAGACACCCCACATATGCGTTGGTTACAGTTACTAGAGAAAAGTTATTCCACCCCCACCCCACCCCCAGAAATCTTCTGACTTGTTTTCTCGCAGTTGAGTAGGACCATTTATTCGGCAGTGTACCATTCTCAGCTTGCAGTTGAAAGCCAAATATCCATTAAAGAGGCAAGGATGCAAACTTGCTAAGCTGATAAATCCAGGGGTGATTTTTTTTTTTTTTGCAAACCATCCAACAAGACATTTTAAATACTCATTGAATTTCATAGAACTGACTGCCAGGATTGGAAAGACATTAAAGCCAGCTCAGCCACTGCCTCGCTGGTTGGCCAGACCACGCCTGGCACTTCTGGGAGGGAGCACTCACCACCCCCCAAGGGCACCCATCTCATCCTCCGAAGGTTTATGAAAATGCACTCATCATTTGCTAATTCATTCCACTACGTGTATTACCTAATTTGTGACACGATGTGAAGTACCAGAGAGATAATTCTAAATAAAATATAGTTATGGGTCTCAAGGAGCCAGATATGCTAATCTCCTATCCTCCTGCAGTTTACAGTGGTCCTCACCAGATACTTATTTACAAAAATTCAGTTTATTATTTATTTTTTTGAGACAGAGTCTTGCTCTATAGCTCAGGCTAGAGTGTAATGGTGTGATCTCGGCTCACTTCAACCTCTGCCTCCCAGGTTCAAGTGATTCTCCTGCCTCAACCTCCCAAGTAGCTGGGACTACAGGCACCTGCCACCACGGCTAATTTTTGGAGTTTTAGTAGAGACAGGGTTTCACCACGTTGGCCAGGCTGGCCTCGAACTCCTGACCTCAGGTGATCTGCCCACATCAGCCTCCCAAAATGTTGGGATTACAGGCGTGAGCCACCATGCCCGGCCAAAACTTCAGTTTATAACACAATCTTTCACGTGTCTTCTGCTTTCATTAAAAGAATAGACAGTTCCCTTCTTTATTTCAGTTTAATAAACCATGGATTTTATTTCATGCTTTGCAAAACACAAGGGCTCACTGACATGCACTTCTTAAACTAATTCTGGCTGGTCGCCTGTAATTCCAGCACTTTGGGAGGCTGAGGCCGACAGATCACTTCAAGTCAGGAGTTCAAGACCAGCCTGGCCAATATGGTGAAACCACGTCTCTACCAAAAATATAAAAAATTAGCCAGGTGTGGTGGTGCGTGACTATAATCCCAGCTACTCAGGGGCCTGAGGCAGAAAAATCACTTGAACCCGGGAGGCGGAGGTTACAGTGAGCTGAGATCGCGCCACTGCACTCCAGCCTGGGCGACAGAGTGAGACTCTGTCTCAAAAAATAAATAAATACAAATAATGTAAAATACGAAACAAGCAATCCTGGCAGTAGCTGCTGGAATGAGAGGAGGGAGAGGTCATAGGGAGGTCGGGGACAATGGAGCATGGAGTTGTGTTGGATTTGGCTAAGCAGCAGGAAGTGCAAGGCATTCCAAGCAAGAGGAGGGGGGCAGGTGGGGAGCATCTGCAAGAACAGAAGCAGCATGAGCAACCTGGCTCGGCAGTGTGTGAAAAGGCTGAAAGGTGGCTAGAGCCACTTCAATTTCATCCTTCAGGCAAATGGGAAATTCCCAAAGGTTTGAGTGGGGAAGCAATGCCTACAATGAAAGTTTGAGAGTGAAGCAGAGTGATCGAATTAAGCATGTAGGCCGAGTTCTGAAATAACTGCAATGTGCTGAAGATCATCCATTGGCTTCTGAATGAGTATTTGCAGTTTATTTTTTAAAATGATTTTATTGCCAAGAAAGATAAACACTACTGTTTTGGTACAAAAACATAACAAAATGTGTTGAGTCCCTCTTGCTGTTTTACGCGAAGTTTTAAAAATCTACTCTTGTCACAGTGGTATCACCCCTACTTCTGATTTCAAATAAATGTTCTAGAGACACAGTAAGGGCCCAACAAACGCTTGTTCAACAACACAAGGAGAGCCAGCTTTTAAAGTAGGAAAACAGGCCGGGCGCCGTGGCTCACACCTGTAATCCCAACACTTTGGGAGGCTGAGGTGGGCAGATCACTTGAGGTCAGGAGTTCAAGAACAGCTTGGCCAACATGGTGAAACCCTGTCTCTACTAAAAACACAAACATTAGCCAGGCGTGGTGGTGCACACCAGTAGTCCCAGCTATTCAGGAGGCTGAGGCAGGAAAATGGCTTGAACTGGGGAGGCAGTGGTTGCAGTGAGCCGAGATCGTGCCACTGCACTCCAGCCTGGGGGACAGAGGGAGACTCCATCTCAAAATAAAACAAAACAAAACCAAATCATACAAAAACATTAGCTGGGTGTGGTGGTGCATACCTGTAATCCCAGCTACTTGGGAAGCTGAGGCAGAATTACTTGAACCCCTGGGGGGAGGTTGCAGTGAGCTGAGATCTTGCCACTACACTCCAGCCTGGGCAACAGAGTGAGGAGACTCTGTCTCAAAAAATATATATATTAAAAAAAAGAAAAAAAAAAGTAAACTAGGAAAACACATCAGCAGCCTGCCAACAGACTCCCCTAGCCTCGGTGAGGGCCAGTGTTCTGGGAGGCAGATCTGAATTCTAGTCCTAGTTCACCCACTGGCAGGCTGGTGCCCTTGGGCAGGTCGCTTCTCTGGGGCTCAGTTTCTTCCTCTATAAAATGAGATCAAATCCCATGTTCTAAGAGTTTGTGCTCTGGAGTCAGACAGATCTGGGTTCTACCACTGCCAGCTCTGTGATCTTGTAGCTTCAGTCTCGTCATCTGACATGGAGATAACAGTAACTGTCTCACTGTGTTGTTAGGGTTTAAAGGAGATAATGTATGTGAAATGTTAGCAAACAAGTGTTAGCTACCCTGATTTCCGGTTTCAGAGTTCTGTGGTCCCAGTTTATGCCACATGCAGTGACGTTGTATGGTAGGCTGTGGTGTGGCACCACTTCAGAACTCAGCGCATGCACAGCTTGCAGAAGAGAAGGCCAGAGGAGACCTAAGAAGGCTCTTCGAACACTTGAAAGACCGGCATGTAGGCCGGGCGCAGTGACTCACGCCTGTAATCCCAGCAGTTTTGGAGGTCGAGGCGGGTGGATCACCTGAGTTTGGGAGTTTGATACCAGCCTGACCAACAAGGTGAAACCCCGTCTCTACTAAAAAATACAAACATTAGCTGGGCATGGTGGCGGGTGCCTGTAATCCCAGCTACTCCGGTGGTTGAGGCAGAATTGCTTGAACCCGGGAGGCAGAGGTTGCAGTGAGCTGAGATTGCATCACTGCACTCCAGCCTGAGACAAGAGCGAAACTCCATCTCAAACAAAACAAACAACCAACCAAACAAAACCAAAAAAAAAACTGGCATGTAGAAGAAAAATACTTTTTCTCTACACTTCTCCAAAGAATTTAACTAGGCCCAGGGGAGGTGCAGTATAAATTTCTAACAATCTCAACTGTCTGCCAAATGGAATGAGCTACTTCATATGGCAGTAGTGAGTCCTCTGTCTTTGGAGGCATTCAAATAAAAGCCAGATGGCCATTTATCAACAATCCATGTAAAACGTTAGATGAAATAAAACCTATATATCCAAGATCTCTTCCAATTCAGATTTTATGAAAGAATTTCTAAGGTCTTTGTAATGAGACATTTAGGCTGTTTCAAGAGATCAAGCCAAAATCAGTATGTGGGTTCATCTGCAATAAAAATGTTTGTTTTGCTTTTACAGTTTCCTCATTTGGCTGTTGGATTTTAAGCAAAAGCATCCAAGAAAAACAAGGCCTGTTCAAAAACAAGACAACTTCCTCTCACTGTTGCCTGCATTTGTACGTGAGAAACGCTCATGACAGCAAAGTCTCCTTATGTATAATGAAACAAGGTCAGAGACAGATTTGATATTAAAAAATTAAAGACTAAAAACTTAGTTTAAGAGTCAATTTAATAAGTTTAAAATAAATGTTTAGTTTCATTAGGATGATGCTATCAATATTTTCTTGGTTACAGACACATTATTAAAGTTTTGGGTTAATTTTATTGACAATTCTTAAGATTCTTTCTCATGCTTAATAAAGCATGCTACTCAGTTAACTCTTGTCTACATCAGCAAAGCAGATAATACAAAACAGGAAAATTACAAATCACTGATACTTAGTCCTTGTGGGAATCATGCTTTTCTCCCAGCAGTTTTACAAGGTGGCTGGCATTCCCTGAGCATATTCTGAATTGCACTGTGGGGAAAGAGGTTGTGCTCAGTTGTAGGGTGGGGGGATGCACTGCCTGAGGATTAAAAAACTAGTTCTGTGACCGTGAGGAAGTCGTTTAAATTTCCATGGTCTGTTCCCTCCTATGTGAAAAGAGAAGGTGGGCTTCAACCTCTAAGATCTTCTCCAGTTTTCACATTTTATGGACTTTTGTAGAAAAAACATCAGGAGTTCATGTGGGATGACAGCAAGTCATTTCTTTGAGGAGAGTCTTGATCACCAGGCAATATTCACAGTGTAGAGACTGTCAGATGACCATGGCTAGCATGGAAATGAGACCCACACATTTAAATCACCCAGCAAATATTCCGAAGGCTAATTGTAGCACATTTTATGAAAGACATTTCAAACTGTGGTCCTGAAGAGTGTATCCCATCTTGCAGAGGTGGGGAGCCTGGGGGGACAAGAGTTCTGAAGAGGAAGAGACAACAAGAGTTCCCAGTAGCTAATGTTTGTCATTCTAGTTGACCGTGCTGGTCTATTAGGCTAGTGGTTCAGTACACAGATGAAATGCAACATGGAACCCAGTTTATTATCAGAACAACTACAAAGAAATTGTCCCCTGTCTAAGACTGGAGTGTCAAGTCTCTGCCCTTTTTTCCTTTCCTTCAATGGTGGATGTGGAGTGACTGTGCATCCCACCAGAACCACGTGTCATGGCTGAGTCACATCTTCCTGCCCTTGGAATGAGAGGCACAGCGGAAGACCTTCCCATGGAAGGGACACAGGGAGCCTGGTGGCTGGACCATGGTGCTTCTCTCTTCCAACACGTCCACTCACCCCTTGGGAGACCCTCAAAAGCCAGTTACATTACATGTTCACAGAATTTTTGGTAAAAGTAAATACCAATTATAGTGAGGAAGAATTTTGACCACGGAATATTTTAAAAACTAAAAAATGTTTATATTTCATTTAACATTTGACACAGAAGAGACCACATTTGAATAAACACATTAAATCTTCAGAGCACTTTCATTGTGGTTTTGGACCTCAGATATGACAAATACTTACATTGACAAATCCATAATTTCTTTTGTAATTTCTTTTTATTTTTACAAATTATACCATGATAAAATTTGACAAAAATTATTCATGTGAAAGTTTCCTCTAACATTTTATAAGTTAATCAAGTGCATACCACAATAGATTTTTGGTTGTTGTTTAGGTGTTCTCGTGATTTTAGTATTACACAACTTTAAGCTGAGACTACACTCAGAAATAAGTTTAGAAAATGGCATTACAAAAGGTTGGGAGTGAGCAGTAAAAAAACAAACAAACCCATGCAGGGCTGTTGTGCTGTGGGAAATCAGATGTGTTCACTGCCATAAGTCTTCAGTGCGGCCAAACTTAAAAACCAGCCCTCTGTGAATAAAACAAGAAATATCACATGACTCCCTGAATTTGAGAAAAGAGTATGTGAGATTTCGAGAATGGTGTGAAACAAACAACGAAGAATAATTGATGAGTTGTAGAAGAAATTTTGGTACGAAATGTATCAAAACAGAAACTGATCATTCTAAGGTAGTGAATTCTTCCATTATGTTCAACTGTGCTATTAACCACCATATTCCCAACAACCTTAACTTTCAAGTACTGAATACACATGTGACTTTTAAAAAGTTACCAGTGTTTACTATGTAACCATTATATGTCTGATTTTTTTTTTTTTTTTTGAGACAGAGTCTTGCTCTGTCGCCCAGGCTGGAGTGCAGTGGCGTGATCTCGGCTCACTGCAAGCTCTGCCTCCCGGGTTCATGCCATTCTCCTGCCTCTGCCTCCTGAGTAGCTGGGACTACAGGCACCCGCCACCATACCCGGCTAATTTTTTGTATTTTTAGTAGAGATGGGGTTTCACCATGGTAGCCAAGATGGTCTCGATCTCCTGACCTCGTGATCCGCCTACCTCGGCCTCCCAAAGTGCTGGGATTACAGGCGTGAGCCACTGTGCCCAGCCCTATACGTCTGATTTTATCAAATTCATTCAACAAACTGTTTTGGTGCCAGGGCTATAAATAAGATACAAAGCCACTGCCCTCAAATTGCTCTCATTCTTGCTAACGTGATGTGGTAAGTGTGGGGGTGGTTGGGGAAGGAGACTTATATAACAAGTATTAAGGGGGCACAGAAACACAGAATTCGGTCACCCTGAATAAGTTAGAAAAGGATTTACAGAGGTGGTAATATGTGAGATGGGCTTTTGTGGAAAAACAGGGGTTTGAATGGGAGATTGGTAGGAACAAGACCTAGCGGGATGATGAAGGCAGGTGTTTCGGGGACAGGAAACAGTACATCAAAGGGGAAAGAGGCATAAAAAAGCATGGGGCTTCTGGAAAAGCCCAGGAGACTAGTATGACAGGAATTTGCCCTCACAGAGCTTACAGTCCAGGGCAAGCTTGTCCAACCCACAAAGCATGGGCCACATGTGGCCCAGGACAGCTTTGAATGAGGCCCAACACAAATTCGTAAACTTTCTTAAAACATTATGAGATTTATTTTGTGATTTTTTTTTTTTTTAAAGCTCATCAGCTATTGTTGGTGTATTCTATGAGTGCCTCAAGACAATTCTTCCAATATGGCCCAGGGAAGCCAAAAAATTGGACACCCCTGGTCTAGGGTTTCGGTGAGGGAACGTCTACAGTTGTCCTTAAGGCTTCAATTTAAAAGAGGCAAGAGCGCAACTGTATGCATAAAATGATACCTGAGGTGTTAACAGAACAAGGAAGAATCCACCATGGCCAGATTATGGTTGGCCATGAGGAGGCAGGGAATGGACACAGCCAGGCTTTGGAAAGCCAATTGCCAAGGGTGGCAAATTACCCACAGGTGCCTTAGATGAGCCAGAGTGCAGACGCCTGCCTGCATGCTCTATGGGGCTGCCTGCCTGCATGCTCTATGGGGATGCCTGCCTGCATGCTCTATGGGGCAGCTGGTGCGCAGTCCCAGGCACCAAATGAAATGGGGGCTATGAGCCAGACACAGTGGCTCATGCCTGTAATCCCAGCACTTTGGGAGGCCAAGGCGGGCAGATCGCTTGAGCCCAGGAGTTTGAGACCAGCCTGGGCAACATGGCAAAACCCCGTCTCTACAAAAAATACAAAAATTAGTCAGGCATGGTGGCATGCGCCTGTAATCCCAGATCTCTGCTCTTCTAGTTAATATAGGATCTACTGCTGTAACAAAGAAAAACTGAAGTTGGTTATTAGAGGCCTCTACTGTCCAAATAGCTTAAAAGAGATGCTGTAACTTCAGAATACTCGTCACAAGATATGAACTCTAATCGGAAGAGTTTCCTGGGCAAGAGCCAGGGACCAGTCCCTCCTACACTGTCAAAATTACCTGGGGTTCAATCTGCTTACAGGATACAAGGTATAACCCAAAGAGGCTGTGCATCTTGTCACATCTAAGTTTACATTTTTATTTCCAAACTGATTTTACAAAATGGCAAAAATGCCTGGTGATGGAATAGAATAGGTGTGAATACCAACTGGTGGCTCTTTCTGAAGGGCAACTATTACTATTTCAAGAGGGCTTCAGTAAACATGGGATTTTTGTTTCTTTTTTGGAGGTGGGTGGGAAGGGAAGGGGAAGGAAAGGTCCTGTAATATACATCAGATTCCTAGCCTTTTTTGGATTAGGGGCTTCTTTGAAAATCTGATGAAAGCCACAGACTATCTCTTTCCAGAAATACACAAAACACCAATTTCCTGCATATGGAAATGTCTGGTGATACCTCACCTTCAGAAGACTACTGAAAGAATAAAGGTTAAGAACTCTTGGCCAGGCACGGTGGCTCATGCCCGTAATCCCAGCACTTTGGGAGGCCGAGGCGGGTGGGTCACGAGGTCAGGAGATCAAGACCATCCTGGCTAACATGGTGAAACCCTGTCTCTACTAAAAATACAAAAAATTAGCTGGGCGTGCTGGCAGGTGCCTGTAATCCCAGCTACTCGGGAGGCTGAGGCAGGAGAATCACTTGAACCTGGGAGGCAGAGTTTGCAGGGAGCCAAGATCACGCCACTGCATTCCAGCCTGGGCGACAGAGTGAGACTCCCTCTAAAAAAAAAAAAAAAAGAACTCCTGATGCAGGCTGGGTGTGGTGGCTCATGCCTGTAATCCCAGCACTTTGGGAGGCTGAGGCAGGCAGATCACGAGATCAGGAATCAAGACCATCCTGGACAACATGGTGAAACCCCGTCTCTACTAAAAATACAAAAAAAATAGCCAGGCGTGGTGGCGTGTGCCTGTAGTCCCAGCTACACGGGAGGCTGAGGCAGGAGAATCACTTGAACCCGGGAGGCGGAGGTTGCAGTGAGCTGAGATCGTGCCACTGCACTCCAGCCTGGGTGAGAGACTGAGACTCTGTCTCAAAACAACACACACACACACACACACACACACACACACACACACACTGGGTGAGAGACTGAGACTCTGTCTCAAAACAACACACACACACACAACACACACACACACACACACACACACACACACACTCCTGATGCAGAGGATTAAGAGCTGTTGAGCTGTTTTGTTTGTGGGGTTTTTCGGCCAGTGATGGGGGTAGGTTGTGGGGGCTGGTTGGAGGAACAGCATGGGTAGAGAAAAGGGCAGGCCCTAAATTTCTAGGAAAGATGAACATCAGAGAAGATTACTGATAAAAGCCTTGAGGTTTTTAGAGGTTTTCGTCATCTTTTCATTTGTAATTGAAAGGGAAGGATAAAAAAATGTTTGGGCTTTTCCTCCACACCTCAAATCTCACTCACAAACTCTACGATATCAAGGACAGAAGAATTATAAAATATATCAGAAACCAAAATTTAAGGATAAATGGTTTTAGGCAGGCTTTCACTTAAAGCAACTGTTAGAGATCTAAGTTTAAAATGAACATCACCAGTGTTATGTAACTAAATTTTCATGAATCATAGTTACTCACTCATTAAAAGGGGGCGTGGTAGCAATCTTAAAAATTAATATATGCTCCTAAGGTTGGCAGCAAACCAACTCATCTATTTAAAATATCCTTCTCAACCTTACTCTCCATGTTTTATGAAAATATCATGGGGGAGGGGCATTGGATGAGTAATTAGGCAACTAAATATAGAAAATGATATAAAAGAAGCTATTTTAAAAAAAAACAAACAAACATAAAGAATGCAAAACAAACTTACCCAAAAAAGATGAAGGCATTCTGGAAAAATACAGCAATTCCAGGGTATACTATGTCTTTTTCTGTAAAAATAATTGCAGTGTTTAGAGGGTTATGATCTCAAAACATTTAGTTTCAGATATATTGGCAAATACCAGTTTTCCTGCCTAGAAGAATTGATTTTTCTTAGAATTAGGGTTGGCTTGAGTATTAAAAGACATAATGTGTAACAGAGTCTAGCATGGCTTTAGTAAATGATAGCTCCCTTAGTTCACTTAACAAATATTTACTGGGGGCATACTGTATGCTGGCCCTATTTAATACTGAGGATACTGCAATAAACAAAACAGGTAAAATTTTTTTTGCCCTCATGGAACTAGAGAATATACTGAATAAAAAGAAGATAAAATAATGCAGGAAAGGTGGAGAAGTGTAGTGTGACATTGGACACAGATGGCCAGGAAGACCCCATGAGAAGGTGACACTGGAGTAAGGACACGCAGGAAGTGGGGAAGAAGCCATGCACACGCCCTGAGGGAGCACGCCAGTGAATTACAGGAACAGCCACGTAGGCACAAGAGGGAAGAGCAGGGACAGGGTAAAGAAAGAGGGCAACTGGGCAGCAGAGACCTGGCAGTCACAGTGAGGACTCTGATTTTTACTCTGAGTGAGACGAGAAGCCACTGGGTTGTGAGCAGAAAAGTGATCTGAGATGACATATTTTAAGAGGATCCCTCTGGCTGCTGTGCTGAGGGTAGATTAAAGGAGGCAAGAGAGGAAACAGAAACCAGTTAGGAGGCTCTTCCAGGAAATCAGGTGAGAGATTATGATGGATTGAACCAGGGTGGTAGCAATGGAGAGATGGTAAATGGTGGTTAGACTCAGGATATATTTTACAGCACAGTCAACATGATCTGCAGATAGATTGGATATGGGGCGTGGGAGGAAGACAAATGTCATCTTTGACAGGCCTTCACCATCTAGGGCTTTTGGCCTAAACACCTGGAAAGATAGAGTAGCCAGCCATTAACTAAGATTGGAAGGACTGCTGGAGCAACATTTTTTTCTGATTGTATCTAGAAGTGAAGTTGAAATTCTCATAAATTTCTACTACTGGAATTGTTAATGACTGCTCATTGACAGAGGCACAATAAATAGGTGAACTGTCAAATTTTTCTCATTTCAGAACAGCTTTGGTTAATCTGATTAACATAACAGATGGTTTGCATAGGTCTTCACCACTATTTCACGTTAAATAACCATTACCACTAGAATGGCTTCTAAAAATGTTATAAAGCCAACTTTATAAAATTACAGATCTGCTGCTAATAATTCTCAAAACATAACCTTGCTCCAGAAGCTTTCAGGAAAATAGCCTAAAATTATGAGATAAAGACATTCCTATAAAAAGGGACCCTGTATTAATAGTTGTATCTGGGAAAGAATTATCAGTAATTTCATTTTCTTCTTTTGAGTTCTTTTATATTCTTAGTTTTCTATAATGAATAAGCATTATGCAATTCCCATGATAACAAGGTAATTTTTTTCCTTTTTTTTTGTTTTGATTTTTGAGAGGGTCTCCCACTGTTACCCAGGCTGCAGTGCAGTGGCGTGATCGCAGCTCACTGCAACCTCCACCTCCCAGGTTCAAGAGATCTCGTGCCTCAGCCTCCCAAGTAGCTGGGATTGGAGGTGTGTGCCACCATGCCTGGCTAATTTTTGTATTTCTAGTAGAGATGGGGTTTTGCCATGTTAGCCAGACTGGTCTCAAACTCAAAATATATACATTTTAAAATATATAGATGGCTGGGCGTGGTGGCTCACTCCTGTAATCCCAGCACTTTGGGAAGCCAAGGCAGGTGGATCACCTGAAGTCAGGAGTTCAAGACCAGCCTGGCCAACATGGCAGAACCCTGTCTCTACTAAAAATACAAAAATTAGCTGGACATGGCGGCAGGCGCCTGTAATCCCAGCTACTTGGGAGGCTGAGGCAGAAGAATTGCTTGAACCTGGGAGACGGAGGTTGCAGTGAGCTGAGATCGCATCACTGCACTCCAGCCTGGGCAACAAATATACATATAAAAAACAGATTTTATAGCAGCAAAAGAACAACTAACTTATAATATCATGTGAAATGCAAACGGGGGATAAAAATTATGATAATAACTAAAAACATAAGAAAAAAGGAAATAAACCAAAATATTGAAGAGTGGTGAAATTATTATTACTTCTTTTTCTTTTTTTCTTTTCTTTTCTCTTTTTTTGAGACAGCGTCTCACTTTGTCACCCAGGCTGGAGTACAGTGGCACAATCACAGCTCACTGCAATCTCTGCCTCCCGGGCTCAGGTGATCCTCTCACGTCAGTCTCCCGAGTAGCTGGGACCACACATGCACGTCACCATAGTCGGCTAAATATTTATTATTTGTAGAGATGGTGTCTCCCTATGTTGTCCAAGCTGGTCTCAAAATCCTGGCCTCATGCAGTACTCCCTCCTTGGCCTCCTGAAGTGCTGGGATTACACTGCACCCACCCTTTTTTATTTTCTACAATTTTGGTAACATGATTTTAATAATAAATTACACATGGCTAGGCCTAGTGGTTCACACCTGTAATCCCAGCACTTTGGGAAGCTGAGGCAGGCAGATCACTTGAGCCCAGGAGTTTGAGACCAGCCTGGGCAACATGGTGAAGCCCCATCTCTACAAAAAATACAAAACTAGCAGGGCGTGGTGGCATGCGCCCGTCATCTCAGCTACTCAGGAGGCTGAGTGGGAGGATTGCTTGAGCCTGGGAGGTGGAGGTTGCAGTAAGCTGAGATTGTGCCACTGCATTCCAGCCTGGGTGACAGAGCAGACCCTGTCTCAAAAAATAAAAAAAATAATTAAAATAAAATTAAAAATACAAATATTTGGAAATATCTATTACTCCCATCTATGAGATTAAATGATTTTAATAAAAATTTAGGAAACATTATTTTAATCTACAAGTTACATTTTATTCAAATAAGTGTTAAAATATGAGCAGAATATATATAACCTGGTCCAGTTTTTATAAATCATTAATACTGTATTTTTACTATGACACCCATAGCAATTTTACCTGGACCATTAAATGGGTTTTCTGTTTTTCTAGGGTCCCTCAAGGTGAAATTTCTCCCAGGGTCTAACAGTATACCTTTTCCTGAGCTTGCCTTAAAGTGGCCTTATATAGCAGATGTATATTAAATGTTAGTTTACTTTTCTGTCTGAAAGGAGGTGACATCATATTACCAGGGAGGCTTAACTGAATAAATCTCAATTCTGGGATGTTAGAGCTTTGCACAGATATTCTGAAAGTCAGAACTTGTTAGGCCAGGCTTGAGGCCAGGAGTTCAAGGCCAGCCTTAGCAACATAGCAAGATCCATCTCTATAAAAAATTTAAAAATTAGCTGGGTGTGGTTGTGTGTGCTTGTGGCCCTAGCTACCTGGGAAGCTGAGGTGTGAGGATGGCTTGAGCCCAGGAGGTTGAGGCTGCAGTGGGCCATGATCATGCCATTGCACTCCAGCCTGGGTGATAGTGAGACTCTTGTCTCTAAAAAAGAAACAAAGCTTGCTAACTAGCTAGATAACATATGTTCTGCTTTTGAGATTTTTGGAAGCCAAAGAAAAGCAGTGTTTAGAGCTGTCTCATCCCTTCCAGGCTCTGGATAAGAAGAAAAATGACTGAAGAAAGGAATACTAAAAATATATAAGACAAAGAAAACCAAACACTGTCGGTGGAGGGTGGGGGGTCCCGGATATAAATGCATCGCTAGTAGTTGGCCCAACTATAGGAAAAAAATTTTATTCTAAAATAACCAACTTTAATGCAAAATTCCAGTATTCCACTGAAGTAAATTGTAACCTATGTTTTCTCTTACCTTTAGCAACATAACCTCCAAAAAGAATCCACATAGATGCAATCAGAGATCCAAAGGCCAACATGAAACCAACGAAAAGCCAAATGCGAGCACCTTCAAAGAAATAATATTTTACCAGAATTCTTTCTTATAGGGCAGTACAATTAACTTTCAAAAAGAAAATAAAACCCAAACAGAAAAAAAAAAAGTGCAACTGCCATTAAAGTCTAACGTGAGAACAGTAAAGGATGTGTTAAACATCTTCATCAGTGTACCTGTTGGCCTTTTTCTTCTTGGTTGGTCTGTATAGATTTTTAAAAATTATTTATGAGTCTGTATAAGTGCATATACTTACTTTCCCCAACTGCCTACACTGAGAAAACCTATACTCAACCTTCCTATAAAACATCTCATAAAATCTGTTTCACCATATTTAGAGGCTCATTCTCCTTATGCTTTTATATAGACAATGATCCCACATTTTTTTTTTTTTTTTTTTTGAGGCAGAGTCTTGCTCTGTCTCCTAGGCTGGAGTGCAGTGGCGCAATCTCGGCTCACTGCAAGCTCCACCCGCCCAGGTTCATGCCATTCCCCTGCCTCAGCCTCCAGAGTAGCTGGGACTACAGGCACCCGCCACCACGCCCAGCTGATTTTTTGTATTTTTAGTAGAGACGGGGTTTCACTGTGTTAGCCAGGATGATCTCGATCTCCTGACCTTGTGATCTGCCTGCCTTGGCCTCTCAAAGTGCTGGGATTACAGCCGTGAGCCACTGTGCCCGGCCGCTCCCAGATCTTCCAAGAGTACTTTCAAACAGTAACACAGACATACAGTAAAAAATTCATATTCAGTGACATACGAATCTCCAAGCTACCATATTTCACTTTCAGGGAAGTTAGGCAGCAAAATAAATTCAAATTTACTGTGACTAGAACTTAGGAAGGTTGCATTAAAATTATGTTAACAGAGGAGGACAGGCAACTTTCAAATCACATTAACATGTTTATGAAGATTTGCTATAAATAAATGGAGTCATGACTGCCTAAAATGAATTCTGATAGGGCCTCTTTAATTTGCATAAATACATTTTAATAAAAACACTGCCTACACTCAATAAAGCACGGCAAATAGAATGTTATATATTAATTCCCAATTTCAAGCCCAAAACATAAAACAATAGATTCAAAATAATAAGCTGTTACTCACAGATATATTAAAACAAATAGAAAAGTGGTATTTCCATGTGAAATACTCATCTTAAGGATTTAAGCATGTATAATAAGATGCTGTTTGCACCTATTTACCTGTTTGACCCAGACAACCTTCACTGTAACTATCACCTCGGACTTGTCCATTCGATACTGCATTAATCCTGTATGAATAAAATAAAACCAAGAAATCAGGGTCCATGACACCAATTACCAGAAACAATAATCTACAGTTTCTCAAATGTAAGGTTAGGCCTGAAAGTCTTTTTTTTTTTTTTAAAGATACAGGGTCTCACTCTGTTGCTCAAGCTAGAATGCAGTGGCACAACCATGGCTTACTGCAGCCTTGAAATCCCAGGCTCAAGTGATCCTCCCACTTCAGCCTCCTGAGTAGCTGGGATTACAGGTGTGCACCACCACACCCAGCTAATTTTTAAAAATTTTTGTAGAGACAAAGTCTTGCTATGTTGCTCAGGCTGGTCTCAAACTCCTGGCCTCAAGAGATCCTCCTTGCCTTGACCTCCCAAAGTGCCACTACACCTGGCTCATAAGCCTTCAGTTCTTGAGTAAAGAGTTCATATGACTGGTCTCTTCAACCAGATACTCCTTTTTTTTTTTTTTTTTTGAGACGGAGTCTCGCTCTGTCTCCCAGGCTATAGTGTAGTGGCACGATCTCGGCTCACTGCAACCTCTGCCTCCCAGGTTTTACGCCATTCTCCTGCCTCAGCCTCCCGAGTAGTTGGGACTACAGGCATGCACCACCTATGCCCGGCTAATTTTTTTTGTATTTTTAGTAGAGATGGGGTTTCACCGTGTTAGCCAGGATGGTCTCGAACTCCTGACCTTGTGATCCGCCCGCCTCGGCCTCCCAAAGTGCTGGGATTACAGGTGTGAGCCACTGCGCCCAGCCAGATACTCTCTAGAGCAGTGGTCATGGGCCCCAGGCTAGCGGAATCAGCATTACTTGGCAACCTATTTGACAAGAAAATTCTCTTGGCCCTAACCCAAACCTAGCAAAGCAGACACTCTGGGCATGGGGCCCAGAAATCTGAGTTTTAACAAGTCTTTCAGGTGAGTCTCGATTGTTAAAATTTGGGAACGAGGCTGGGCGTGGTGGTTCATGCCTATAATCCCAGCACTTTGGGAGGCCAAGGTGGGCGGATCACCTGAGGTGAGGAGTTCAAGACCAGCCTGACCAACACAGAGAAACCCCGTCTCTACTAAAAATACAAAATTAGCTGGGCATGGTGGCACATGCCTGTAATCCTAGCTACTTGGGAGGCTGAGGCAGGAGAATTGCTTGAACCCGGGAAACAGGTTGTGGTGAGCTCAGATCGTGCCACTGCGATTCAGCCTGGGCGACAAGAGTGAAACTCCGTCTCTTAAAAAAAAAATCGGGAACAAAATTCTCAAAATTTTCTTTTGCTAAGATTGGAACAGGTAAAAAGATAATTTTGCTTGGTTCTATCTGATATTCCATTTGTATGTATCAGACATAACATGTACTCATGTATGGCAATGGCAGAGGGAGAAAATGGGCCCTGGATAATCCAAATATTTCTTAAAATTGGCTTTGGAATAAATTTTTTTGTAGTAATTTTGTACTGATATCAAATGTTTGGAGAAATAATTATATTTCAAACAATACAATAACTTTTTGCTCTGAAGATATTATCGAATAGAGATTCAAGTGGTAAAATCTTGTTTTTTAAATCCTTGATACAGGCTCTAAACATAAGGTGTTTTACTAACTCTTCATAGCATACCACTCTAAATTGAGATAGGCTTGCTTTCTTTAGAAGTATCCTTTGAAACATTCCAAATGTCATGGGAAAACGTTCACAATACATCAAGTTAAAGTTACAAAACATTATACCTATGATATATATACCCATTTAGTTGTGTGTGTCTAACACTAGAATATAAGCTTCATGAGGACAGGAGCCATTGTCTGTCTTGTTTCTCATTTTCATTCTCAATGCCTAGCACAAGGCTAGGGGCTTCGCACATAGTAGGTGCTCAATAAATGTGTTTAGGTCAGGCCTGGTAGCTTGTGCCAGTAATCTCAGCACTTTGGAAGGCCAAGGTAGGAGGATTGCTTAAGCCCGGGACTTTGAGACCAGCCTGGGCAACATAGTAAGACCTTGTATCTATGAAAAAAAAAAGTGAATATAGGAATCCTAGTTTTTTTCACAGTAATATGATGTCTTAATTTATTCATACAAATCTAAGTTTCAGAATGATCAAAATACTCAATTATTTTCAGTGATCTCTGTACAGTACTAAATTATTTTGTATATAAAATAGATACATTAAAAACAGGTTTCATATATAAAAGTAAAACACAAATAAATGTTCTTGGGTTACTGGTTCTCAGCTCGTTTTCCTTGCTGAGCCATCTGAATAAACTTCAGAGCCCTCTGTGAGCCACCACAATCCTGTCTTCACTATTAGGGACACTTTGGAATGAACAATCTCTATTTGTTCTCTGCTATGATTATTTTTATGTATGTTCTCCAATTTATAGAAAAGTTACTAGTTAAATAATCTTTTTACTGAAACGTCTGGTATTTGTCAACATGATGCTCCATAACTGGGGGCTATAGGTGTGCTCCTGGTGTTGGGGTGTAGCTGTTCTGGGCACTCTTAGCGGACAGAGCTGCCACACTGCTTCTCCTGCCCCATCTGGACAGCCTCTTCACCCTGCTCAGACTCCAGCATCCCATGTAGGGCTGCCTTCTTCCATCCCACGCTCCGCTGCATGGATCCCCTCCTCACCCTGCTCAGGATCTGAGCCCATGCTGAGCTGCCCCTTCCCACCCTGCCTGAGCCCAGCAGCCTGCTCTGGGCCACCACAACTTGTCTTTCTATAGAGGATGCCTCTCATGCTTGACCTCACCTAATAGTTTTTGGACTGAATTTTTCCAGGAAGAGGAAAGGAAGTGGAGAAGAGTTAAATATTACTTTTAAAACATATAGATGTGTGTTAGAGAAAGAGAAAACAGAAGAGAACACTGGTAGAATATCTGTCAAAATGTTATAGTTTGGTGAGATTATAGGCAACTTCGTTTTTGCTTATTGGCATATCCTACTTTTTTTTTTTTTTGAGATGGAGTCTTGCTCTATCGCCAGGCTGGAGTGCAGTGGCACAATCTCAGCTCACTGCAACCTCCACCTCCCGGGTTCAAGCGATTCCCCTGCCTCAGCCTCCTGAGTAGCTAGGACCACAGGCGCGTGTCACCACACCCAGCTAATTTTTTGTATTTTAGTAGAGACGGGGCTTCATCATGTTGGCCAGGATGGTCTCGATCTCCTGACCTCGAGATCCTTCCACCTCGGCCTCCCAAAGTGCTGGGATTACAGGCGTGAGCCACCGTGCCCGGCCTACCCTACATTTTTAAAATTAAAAAATACAGAGTAATACACAGAACATTTATTAATATTTTTAAAGCCACAAAATCAGAGAACTTTTGTAATAAGAGAAAAAATAATAAAGTCATTAATGAAAGAATAGCTGCTTTTTGACTCCTATCCATTTGAATTATAATTAACTAACAGTTTTTGTTTAAAATTATGGCCTGACACTATCTGACACTATAATAAAAAGATGTAAACTGAAGCCAAATAGATGATAAACATTTATAAAGACATGAAGTCAGCTCTGCTATAATTATGTTAATGCAACAGAATGTAAGTTTAGCAGGAAACACGTTTGAATAGTACATTCAAGCTCATATACAGCTATAATTCCCCTCCATAGTCAGACTTGCTACTGCTTCAAAATGGAACAAAATAATTTTTTAAAGATCTGAGAACAAAAGCAGGACAAAAATACAATCACAAAAATAAAACTTTTAAATCTAAACCAATGTTGAAATTTAGGTGTCAGCTTTCTAAAAGAATTCTAACAGCATCATTATTACGGTAAAATAAATTGCAACAAGATGGAAAGAACTAGAAATAGCTGCATACTGGCTGAACTTCAAAGAAAAAGACCACAGCCCTTTGCTATCAGTGGCTTCTGAAGTCAGACCTTTACTTCTGCGAATGAATAACTACTCTGGCACTGACTCCATGCCAGGCACAGTCAAACTGGCTGCCCTTAGCCACTTGCTTTACTCTGAAAATACAAGTTACTGTGTTTACACTTAAGTAACTGTAGCAAAATTTAAAAATGTGTGTAATTTTCAACTTGGATTACCTGGAAGCCTGTATGAGATGACTCTACAACCTAAATTAAAAGTCTACAGAAGGCCGGGCATGGTGGCTCACGCTTGTCATCCCAGCACTTTGGGAGGCCAAGGCAGGTGGATCACCTGAGAGGTCAGGAGTTCGAGACCAGCCTGGCCAACATGGTGAAACCCTTCCTCTACTAAAAATACAAAAATTAGCTGGGCACAGTGGTGGGCGTCTGTAATCCCAGTTACTCAGGAGGCTGAGGCAGGAAAATTGCTTGAATTCAGGAGGCAGAGGTTGCAGTGAACCGAGATCATGCCACTGCACTCCAGCCTGGGCAACAGAGCAAGAGCCTATCTCAAAAGAAAAAAAAAAAGGTCTACAGAAAGCTGATGGACAATGGTAGAGGTCAGGATGGGGGCTATACAGGTGTGATGGAAGTGCTGATTGAGAATGTTCTGGGGTGATGTTTTAAATCTTGATCTAGATGCTGTTTACATGGGTGTATATATAAGAAAAATTTGTTGAGATGTATATATGACTTGTGCACTTTATGTATCTCACTAAATGCGTTTTTTGTTTGTTTGTTTGTTTTGAGACAGAGTCTCACTCTGTCTCCTGGGCTGGAATCCAGTGCCGTGATCTTGGCTCACTGTAATCTCTGCCTCTCAGATTCAAGTGATTCCCCACCTCAGCCTCCTCAGTAGCTGGGACCACAGGCATGCACCACCATGCCCGGCTGATTTTTGTATTTTTTTGTAGAGACAGGGTTTCACCATGTTGGCCAGGCTGGTCTTGAACTCCTGACCTCAAGTGATCCGCCCACTTTGGCCTCCCAAAGTGCTGGGATTACAAGTGTGAGCCACCATGCCTGGCCAGAATGCATTTTATATTACATTTTTAAAATAATAAAGGCAGAGAGCACAGTGACTCACACCTATCATGCAGCACTCTCGGAGGCCAAGGCAGGAGAATCACTTGAGACCAGGAGTTCAAGAACAGCCTGGGCAACATAGTGAGATCCTGTCTTTACAAAAAAACTGTTTAAAAAATAGCTGGGTGTGGTGGTATGTGCAAGTAGTCCTAGCTACTGGGGAGGCTGAGGCCAGAGGACTGCTTAAGCCCAGGATTTTGAGACAGTAGTGTGTTATGATCACACCATTTGCACTCCAGCCTGGGTGACAAGCGAGGCCCTACTTCTAAAACATTTTTTTTTTAATTTAAAAGGAAAACCTGATTCTTTTGTAGTTCTTAGGCACGATGATTGGGTGTTCATGTGCATGTTTGAGATGTGCCTCCCTCAAACCTTGTTCTTACATCAGCACCTTACACGTCTAACATGAAAAGAAAAGAAAAGAAAAAAAAGAAAGGCCCACAGAGAGAGTTGATCCCTAAAGGAAGCATTCATAATTAAGGAAACAAAGGCCCTTAGAAATTAAAACATGAGAACTGAAATGCAAAAATGTTTAACAGATTGGAACATAAAATAAAAAGATAAAGAGATGAGAATTCTAAGAAAACATATCGGCCGGGTGTGGTGGCTCACGCCTGTAATCCCAGCACTTTGGGAGGCCGAGACAGGTGGATCACTTGAGGTCAGGAGTTCAAGACCAGCCTGGCCAACATGGTGAAACCCGTCTCTACAGAAAATACAAACACCAGCCAGGCATGGTGGTGTGTGCCTGTAATCCCAGCTACTTGGGGAGGCTGATGCAGGAGAATCAATTGAGCCTGGGAGGTGGAGGTTGCAGTGAGCAGAGATCATGCCATTGCACTCCAGCCTGGGCGACAGAGCAAAACTCCATCTCAAAAAAAAAAATAAATAAATAAACAAACTAAAATAAATACTTTTTTCTTTTAAATTTATTGAGACGGAGTCTCCCTCTGTCGCCCAGGCTGGAGTGCAGTGGTGTGATCTCGGCTCACAGCAACCTCTGCTGCCCAGGTTCAAGTGATTCTTGTGCCTCAGGCTCCCGAGTAGCTGGGACTACAGGCACGCAACACCGTGCCTGGCTAATTTATTTTTTAGTTTTTGAGACAGAGTCTCACTCTGTCGCCCAGGCTGGAGTGTAGTGGCATGATCTCTGCTCACTGCAACCTCCGCCTCCTGGGTTCAAGCGATTCTCCTGCCTCAGCCTCCCGAGTAGCTGGGACCACAGTCACGTGCCACTATAGCCGGCTAATGTTTTGTATTTTTAGTAGAGACAGGGTTTCACTGTGTTAGCCAGGATGGTCTCGATCTCCTGACTTCGTGATCTGCCTGCCTCGGCCTCCCAAAGTGCTGGGATTACAGGCGTGAGCCATTGCGCCCAGCCTTTTTAAATTATTTTTAGTAGAGATGGGGTTTCACCACGTTGGCCAGGCTGGTCTCAAATTCCTCACCTCAGGTGGTCTGCCCGCCTTGGCCTCCCAAAGTGTTGGGATTACAGGCGTGAGCCACCATGCCCGGCCAAAGTAAATACTTCTTGTATCCAAAAAAAAAAAAAAAAAAAAGAAGATGTGGTAACTGGAAAAACAGTGGATTCAACCCTGATCAACAGGGGAGGGAAGTCCCATGGTGACAGTGCTGCAGCAGGCTTACACAGTCATTAATTCATAATGAAACAGACAGATACGGGCTTCTGGGATGTTGATTTCTAAAACAAAAGAAGTTATAATACATTAAAGAATATAATTGAGAATTTGGGAAAAAAATAAAGATGTGATAATAGTAGAAAATGCAAGAAAACAAAGAAAAGGCAGCTAGAAACTCTAGGAAAAACAAAAAACTGAACAAGGCTACTACATTCCACATAGTAACTGTCCAAATTAGAACTGCAGCATTCAAGAAGAATAAAATGAATCCTAAAGAAAATATACATTCTTTCTACCAACAACCACCAAAAAAAAACAAAAAACAAAAAACAAAAAAAAACAATCAGAAACTCTAGGAAAGGTCGGGCACAGTGGCTCACACCTATAATCCTAGCACTTTGAGAGGCCAAGGCAGGTGGATCGCTTGAGCCCAGGAGTTCAAGACCAGCCTGGCAAACAAGGTGAGACCTCGTCTTAATTAAAGAAGAAAAAAAAAACTATAGGAAAAAACAATACTAAATAACAAAGTCACAGCCCAAGTA
The DNA here is from genome assembly GCF_000001405.40 of Homo sapiens. Lineage (NCBI taxonomy): Eukaryota > Metazoa > Chordata > Mammalia > Primates > Hominidae > Homo > Homo sapiens. The sequence continues at coordinate 25,344,497 of NC_000001.11, read as the reverse complement.
TGAAGCAAACTAAACGATTTTATGAATTTGAGAAACTGGTAAGAATACAAGAATATTTTCAAAATACATTGATAAATTTGAGAAGCACAGAGTCATGGTGCTTATACTATTTGGCACTGCAATAAATTTTGTTTACCGGTTTTAAAAATTTTTCAACAGGAATGCTCCTATTAAAATATAAGGTCATTTCATTCCTCTGCTCGAAACCTTCCAATGGCTTCCATTACACTTACAATGAAAGTAAAGTTCTTATTTTTGTGATGGGGTCTTGCTCTGTTACCCAGACTGAAGTGCAGTGGCACAATCATGACTCACTGTAACATCGACTTGACTTCCCAGGCTCTGGCAATCCTCCCGCCTCAGCCTCCGGAGCAGCTGGGACCACAGGCATGCCCTACCAATTTTTGTATTTTGGTAGAGATGAGGTTTCACCATGTTGCCCAGGCTGGTCTCAAATTCCTGAGCTCAAGTGATCCACCCACCTCGGTATCCCAAAGTGCTGGAATTACAGGCATGAGTCACTGCATCCAGCTGAAAGTAAAGTTCTTATAATGCTTCTCAAGGCCCTATACCATCTGTCCCTCTCCACCACTTCTTTGACCTCATCAATTTCTCTTTCCCTTGATCTTGCTACTGCAGTTATACTGGTCTCCTTGCCGTAAAGCCTTTGTACTTGCTGTTTCACCTGCCTGGAATGAACCTCTCTTATATATCCCCATCCCCTGGTCAGCTCCTTCACTTTCTTCAAGTCTTTACTCAAAGTCACCTTCTTAGTGAGACCTTCTCTGACTCTGCTGAAAATTTCTGGCCACGTGTGGTGGCTCACACCTGTAATCCTGGCACTTTGGGAGGTCGAGGTGGGAGGATCACTTGAGCCCAGGAGACCAACCTGAGCAACATAATGAGACACCCTCTCTATAAAAAAAAAAATTTTTTAATTTCTATCCCTCCTATTGACATCCCTTTCTCCTTTGCACTTATTTGCACATATCTCCTTTCTCTATTTTTTCTCCTTTGCACTTATTTTAAATGACAAAAAGACATGGATTTTTCCTGTTTTACTAACTACTATATGTCCTGTACCTAGAGCAGAGTCTGGAATATAAAAGCTTAATAAATATTGTTGAAAGAATTATCCCTTAGACAAAATACACAGTTTCGGACTTAAATATAAAGCTATAAACCCTGGGGGTATAAAATAAAAGAATAGCTGAGAGAAGCTGGGAGGGAGTGGAGAGGTACACAAAAAGAATAAAGAGGACTGCTGCTTTTCTGTATAAGTCCATCTCTACTGTGTGACTTTTAAATCATGTCCAGTGTGTTAATCTGATAATATTTAGAATTTTAAATCTATGCAACTATATTTGAAACATTTTTATTTTGTGGCAAGCTATGTAAGTAATGCCAATTACGATGACACTTACATTAGGAAGGCTATGGTTGCTATAACACCACAGGCATGGTATGAGTGGTTGAAATCTTTCATGGTGGGATAAATAACAGCTGCATCTATGATAATCCACCAGCCTGTAAAAAACTAAAACAAAGGTGATACCAATGAGAAATCATAGCAATTCTGTATCTCACTGGCTAAAAGCAAGGTATTTAAGTGAGGAGATCCCTTTTAATACATTTCAAAAATGTTCTAGCTTTTTCCCACATGTAATTTGCACATGGCCTAATAACTGATTAGGTACCCTTAAATCTGAGAGCAATTTATATTTATTAACATAACTTTTCTCTAAGCCTACTTCAATCATTATTTAATTTTTATCATAATAAAGCCTTGTAATCTAATTTGGTGAACTAGAAACCAGTTATCTCATGGAGGGGGAAAGGAAAAAAGTGACTCCAATTCCAACTGACAGAAGTGTCCTGTTGATATATGATAAACTTCCAGAGAAATATTCCCCAAAATCAAGAAAAAAGCATTCAAATTAATATGGAGAACAACTATTGTTCACAGAATTTTAGCTATCTTCTTGGTGTGAAATAACAGCTCTGAGGTTCTGCTTTTGATGAATTCCAGTGCAGTCTAAATATGGTTTCAGGTGTGATTTTAAATTTAATTTAAACACCAGATTACAATTTATCTAATTGAATTTGGCTCTAGATATTATCAAGGGCAAAGGTATAACAAAATAACGCCAAAACTTCAAAAACAGTTTTTATCATCTGAGCAGATATTTACAATAAAATTATATTAACCAAATTCTGACAAGTAGCCTAGAAGATTTTAAAAGTAACCCCCTTTCCTTTCCTATCCCCACACCAAACCCTGACTCAGTTAGCTCTGGCAACTGACATCTTCTGGCAATTATTTTAAAGTAACAATTTTAGGCTAGTCAAATTACTTTTATCAGGTTACAGACAGATCCATACTCGATTAATAACATTTTTAATGGCTAGCATGAGTACATATGCCTTTCTTTTTACCCTCAGCTCAATGTATTTAAGATATTTTCTTCATAGACTAAAAACTCAAAGCTTTTTGGCCAGGTGCAATAGCCTGTAATCTCAGGACCTTGGGAGGCCAAGGCCAGTGAATCACTTGAGCCCAGGAGTAGGAGACCAGCCTGGGCAACATGGAGAGACCTCATCTCTACAAAAAAAACAAACAAAAAAAAAAACAAAAATTAGCCCGGTGTGGTGGCCTTCATCCGTGGTCCAGGCTACTCCGGAGGCTGAGGTGGGAGGATCACCTGAGCCCGGGAGGTCGAGGTTGCAATGAGCAGTGATTTCACCACTGTACTCCAGCCTGGGAGACAGAGTGAGACCCTGTCTCGAAAATAAATAAATCTTAAAGCTTAAGAAAAAATGGCTTGGTGCGGTGGCTCATGCCTGTAATCCCAACACTTTGGGAGGCCGAGGCAGACAGATCATCTGAGGTCGGGAGTTCAAGACCAGCTTGACCAACATGGAGAAACCCCGTCTCTACTAAAACAAGAGCAAGGCCAGGCGCGGTGGCTCACACCTGTAATTCCAGCACTTTGCAAGGCCGAGGCAGGCGGATCACGAGGTCAGGAGATCGAGACCACGGCGAAACCCCGTCTCTACTAAAATACAAAAAAATTAGCCGGGCGCAGTGGCGGGCGCCTGTAGTCCCAGCTACTCGGGAGGCTGAAGCAGGAGAATGGCGTGAACCCCGGGAAGCGGAGCTTGCAGTGAGCTGAGATTGCGCCACTGCACGCCAGCCTGGGCGACAGACTGAGACTCCGTCTCAAAAAAAACCAAAAAAAACAAAAACAACAACAACAAAAAAACAAGAGCAAAACTCTATCTCAAAAAATAAAAATAAAAAATTACTCTTTAGAGCCTACGACACCATATGATCATAAAAAACTAATAGCAGATCCCTTGAGGGATCTGAAGTGTAAATAAGAATTTTATTCTGTAAATTACTTCCACACAATGTATTTTAATGAGTTTCCTTTTTGTTTTTGCTTTTTAAAAAAAAATTTTAAGGGGCCATGCTAATCTTCTCTGTATTATTCCAATCTTAGTGTATGTGTTGCCAAAGCGAGCACTTTTTTTTCCCTGAGACTGAGAAGAAAGTTAACTGGATTATGGAGAAATGCAATCACATCTATTGACTGGTTTTGACCTGACTGCGTCTTAAACACTTCCTTGTACCTTAATATACTCATTAAAAGGAGATATAATCCATATAATGAACAAATGTTTTATTATGCCATTTTTACCATGCAGTTAAAACAACCCAACCACTTGTTAATCAAATTTTAAACCATAAACTCTTAAAGTGGAACTAATAACTCTCCACAAACAACAAAATATCAACATGGTCAAAGTGGTCAAAGATAAAATAAATAGTACATATTTTAAAACATCCTGCAGAATTCAAAACCCATAAACACAAACGCACCAAAAAATAAGGCCCAAATAATCAATGACACTTACTAGTACACCAGCAGCAATGGAAGCAATAGTATTGCGCTTTTCCCCCCAGTCAATGCATTCTGAGCATCTCAAGCCCTCTAGAAATCCAGACATTTTTTTCAGGTCACTTAAAAACAAACAAACAAACAATTAAATAAGTACTTCCATTTACTTGCTTCAAGCCCGAAAAATAATTAATAGCTCAGGAATAATTAGATAAAAGTGAAATTACAAATGCTTTATTTTGGTTCCACATACTTCTTCAGAATATTTGATTTAGTTTTTGATGAATTTCCACATTATAACTTTGGAAAGTAATATCTGGATTCATTTAGTATCTTTTTTAATGTAAAAAATGGTTTGGGGGCCGGGCGTGGTGGTTCATGCCCGTAATCCTACCAATTTGGGAGGCTGAGGTGGGTGGGTCACCTGAGGTCAGGAGTTTGAGACCAGCCTGGCCAACATGGCAAACCCCATCTCTACTAAAAATACAAAAATTAGCCGGGGGTGGTGGCGCATGTCTGTAATCGCAGCTACTTGGGAGGCTGAGGCAGGAGAATCGCTTGAACCTGGGAGTCGAAAGTTGCAGTGAGCCGAGATCGTGCCACTGCACTCCAGCCTGGGCGACAGAGCAAGACTCTGTCTCAAAAATAATAATAAATAAATAGAAATAAATGGTTTGGATATATTTAAGCAGTATTAACAAAGGTGGGTCTCCAAATATTGAAAAAATTTTAACTACTGGTTGACCTCCTCCTGAAAATCTGTCACATCCTATTATTTCTAAGTAGGTATTAAATTAGTTTAGGTGGTACTTTTAATACCAAGTATATGATTACTAATCCACAGGAGCTCTTTTGTATCATTTTGATTCCAAACTTATTAAATGAATTTGATATTTACAGTCCAGGAGCACTAACATTAGTAGAGAGACAAGTGATAAACTTTGGCTCTGAGTGGAATTACAGATTCAAATGAAAAATATTTCTCTAATTTACATATTTTATCACAGAACGTGTGTTTCTTCACACCTAAATCAAGAAATTAAACACTGCACTGCAGTTCTTACCTCTACCCACATCATTTCCTTTCACTTCATTCATTATTTTTCTTTCTGCAAGCCTGCCTTTTGGTGTCATTTCTATATAAAGAACATCCACTTTAATATCCCTATCTCTGATCCTAACGGGTGTTTCCAGCCAAAAGCAAGCACAGAATCGTGGTTAATAGTAATTCAGATTACAAAAATCCAACTGCTATTTAAATATAGCCGACCCAAGCTGTCTTTACAAATTATATAAAACATTCCTGTAAGCCGAGCAGTAGAGACCTGAGATACAGCCATGTTATCTCTATTTCAGAGTATGAAAAAGCCTGAAATACATATAACTTGCGAATAACAACACCCAAACTCCTACAGCGAACTTGACTTCCTTAAGATACTTTGTAGCCAGCAATTATGGTTGTCCAAAAATATGACACCCTACAATAGAGCAACGTCTCCCATTTTTAACTTCTCTTTTAAAAATTAAATATTAAAATATATGATTACAGCCAATGCTAAGATGCCTTTGGGACAAGTTCAATTTAGGAAATTCACTCATTTGATTCTTCCCCGGGAAGAACTGCAATTCAATAAGTGTTATTTTCGGTTCATCCCAATGGCCCCACCCCGAATCCATTTTTCTTTGCACGACGACTGGTACGCTCAAGCCAGACCCCGCCCTCCAAACTCTGGGACTTTTAGGTCTCGAGGGACGCCGCTGGAAGATGGGGGAGCCACCTTTAGCCGGGGCACCCCTCGCTGAGGGAGCTGGCCGGGTCACGCTCCTTTCTCGGGGCTTCGGCTTGTCCAGCTGTGAAGTGGGGGATCGGGGGATTTTCCAGGGATCCTGGGGTGTCCCGGGGGAGGGCGCGGTCCCCTCTCCGTCTTGGCGGGGTCTGGACGCCGTCGCCTTCTCCTGGCGCCGCCGGACCCAGGAGAGGAGAGGTCCGCGGCGGCTCAGCCCGGGTCTGCGGCTTCCGGGAGGGTGGCGGCAACGAGCCTGTGCTGTGGGCACCAGCCCGTCAGACGGCCCCGGCTCCGAGGCCTCTCCAGCCTGCGGCCGCTACTCTCTTACCCCCACTCCCCGCCCGACACTTACGTCCAGCCCCGTCGTGCAGTGGTTCCGGAGCCCGGTGTCGCGCCGCGCCGGCCCGCCTCACTCCCCCGATTTTAGCCAAGAAAACAAAACGGCCACAGCCTCCAGACACCCGGATGCAGCAGTACCATCCACCCGGCTCAGTCGCGCATGCGGACACGGGGCGGAGGGCGGGGCGCCGGGTCCGGAGGGAGCCACGCCCACCACAACAACGCGTCTGCGCATGCCCGGGCGCTGGGTTCAGGGGCTTTCCGCCGCTCTGGGTTCACAGCTGGACGTCGGGAGTGCTAGTTTGGAGTACGCCATTTGAGAGTAGGCGTGAGAAGTTGCTCTGTGTGCTGAGCGTTCTAAAGGAAGGCGTCCGTTGGCCTTCGTACCCGTCTTGAGTGAGGTGACGAGTGTTTTCTAGTACTGGGGTCGGCCGCGCAGCCCTCTCAGGGGTGGGTGGCAGGAAGAGTGCCGGGTCCCGCGTGGTGCAAAAGGTGGGTTCAGGTTTGCGGCCACACAGCGCTACTCAGGACTTTTTAGTCTTGTTTATTTTCTCCGTGCCTGTTCCCGCCCCCCGCAGCTCCACCTCTGGGAGAGGGGCGGGTTCAGCTCCAGGAGGCGGGGACTTCCCGGCTTGGCGTGGCTGGGGTGTCCCGTGGACCCCAGTCTCGGCGCGGTGACCCACTTATGGGACTTGGCCTTTCTTTGTTGTTTGTTTAAGGCAGGGTTTCTCAGCCTGGGCACTACTGAGGTTTTGGGCCGGCTAATTCTGTCTGGGTTGGGGAGGGTGCTGTCCCGTGCTTCGCAGGTTGTGTAGCTGCATCCCCCGCCTCTACCCAGTGGATGCAAGTAGCAGCCCCAGTGAACCAAAAATGCCCCCAGACTTTGCCAAATATCCCCTCCCGGGGAAGATCGCCTCGCTTGAGAACCACTGTTGGAGGAGAGCCTGGGTTTTCGGGAGGTAACCGTTTACAAAGGGGAGAACGGTAAGAAGCCGGAAGCAACGATGACTTAGCTACGTGAAAGACTTGCGGCCGGGCTCGCCCCTCTTCTAGAAGCCGTCAGTTTGGGTCTCGCGTCTGGAATCACCGTCAAGGAGTCAGATCCAGCCCCGGAGAGGGAGCAGGGTCGAGGTCTCCTTGCAGAAGGCGCCACCGCAGGAAGCACAGGCGCAACGTGCGGTCTCCCTAGCGGAGGCGCTCGCGATCCTGCAGCCGCCGGTCCGGGAGGTGCTCGGTAGCCCTCCTTGGTGCCTGTCCGGTAGCTGGTCACTCTCGGGGGAAGGTCGTGTGCAGAAGGGCACATGCGATCACACAGAGACGGCGTTGCTGCGGCTTTGACCCGATGGTGCACCCGAAAGAACACAGAGGGTGAAGGGAGAGATCCAGGAAGTGGTCGCGGAGCAGAACCCCCCTTCACTTCAGTTAAAAAGGTGGGTCAATTGTCGTTAAGAGATACGCACAGGTTCATCTGATTGACATGTACGGCGGCAGTATATGAGTGGGATGGGAACCAAGGTGACTGTTGTTTCCTTTGATGGATGAAACTTTCATCCCTTTGGGTTTTTTTGTTTGTTTTTGGCGGTGCATTAGCCGATTAGTAGATAAAACTGCATGACAATCTATAGCCTGTTTTTAAATGGACACGTTCTTACCACTCAGGAGGTTTATCGTGATTGTTTAATGTCTCAGGGTGGAGGAATCTAGTGCAGGCAGTTCTTAATGAAACCTTTTAAATTCCCGTTAGTGACTTAACATTAGTTTACCAGCTCTGAGCAGCTTTAAACAAACATCCTCTTTTAATAGCTAATGAGTGCGGGAGAAAAGATACTAACTCCTTTCTCTTTGCGTTTTTTGCCCCTACCCTTTTTTCTCTTTTCTGGCCTTAACATGATTGTCAAATATTTATAAATATGAGTGAGCATCTTTATATTACTCTTACTAATAAGATACATGCTTAATTTGTCATTCTTTACCTTTTTGGGACTTAATGAATGTTTGTCTTTTGTAGATAAAATGGAGCTGCTAGAAATAGCAAAAGCCAGCCACCCATATTAACCCCTCCATTTTCCCTATAATTAATGGCTTTCATTATTGTGGTATATTTGTTACAATTACTGGACTAATATGATACATTATTATTAACTGACATCCACATTTTATTCAGATTTCTTTAGTTTTTTGCCTAATGTCTTTTTCTGTTCCAGGATCCCCTCCAGAATACCACATTACAGTTAATTGTTATGTCTCCTTAGTCTCCCCTTGGCTGTGTCAGTTTCACATACTTTCTTTGTTTTTGATGATATAGATGTGAAGAGTACTAGCCAGGAATATTATAGGTATTGGGTTTTTTAAATGTATGTGTCATTTCATGATTAAAAATCAGTTGCGGCCAGGTGTGGTGGCTCAGCACTTTGGGAGGCTAAGGTGGGAGGATTGCTTGAGGCCAGGAGTTCAAGACCAGCCTGGCCAATGTGGCAAAATCCCATCTCTGCTAAAAATACAAAAAATATAGCTGGGCACGGTGGCACACACCTGTAATCCCAACTACTCGGGAGGCTGAAGCACAAGGATTGTTTGAACCTGGGAGGTGGAGGTTGTAGTGAGCCAAGATTGTGCCACTGCATTCTAGTCTAGGCAACAGGTGAGACTCTGTCTCAAAAAAAAAAAAACAAGTGTGGATTACAGTATCTGTTGGGCCTACTATCGTAAAACACATACACATGCATGTGCACACACAAACCTCCAGGCTATCACTTCAGTGCCAGCCAGCAGCATTTCTTACTCTAACCACTGCAACTGTGTCCCTGCTTCATCTTGGGGCTTCATTCTCATATATTTTCTTCACACAGCAGCCACAGAGAAGCTTTTACAATGTAAACCAGAGTCTATTACTTCTGTTCTCCAACTACTTCAGTGGCTAAATTGGTACCAGTAGAGTGGGGTGCTGCCGTAGATACTCAAAAATGGGTATGTGACTTTGGAACTGGGTAACAGGCAGGGTTTGGAACAGTTTGGAGGGCTCAGAAGAAGACAGGCAAATGTGGGAAAGTTTGGAACTTCCTAGAGACTTGTTGAATGGCTTTGCCCAAAATGCTGATAGCACTGTGGACAATAAAGTCCATAGGCTGAGGTGGTCTCAGACGGAAATGAGGAACTTGTTGGGAACTGGAGCAAAGGGGACTCTTGTTATGTTTTAGCAAAGATACTGGCGGCATTTTGCCCCTGCACGAGATATTTGTAGAACTTTGAACTTCAGAGAGATGATTTAGAGTATCTGGCAGGAGAAATTTCTAAGCAGCAAAGCATTCAAGAGGTGACTTGGGTGCTGTTAAAGACATTCAGTTTTATAAGGGAAGCAGAGCATAAAAGTTCGGAAAATTTGCAGCCTGACAATGTGATAGAAAAGAAAAATTCCCATTTTCTGAGGAGAAATTCAAGCTGGCTGCAGAAATTTGCATGAGTAACAGGAGCCAAATGCTAATTCCCAAGACAATGGGGAAAATGTCTCCAGGGCATGTCAGAGGTCTTTATGGCAACCCCTCCCATCACAGGTCCAGAGATATCAGGAAAAAATGGTTTTGTTGGCCAGGCCCGGGGTCCTCATGCTGTGTGCAGCCTAGGGACTTGGTGCCCTGCATCCCAGCCACTCCCAACCATGACTGACAGGAGGCAAGGTAGAGCTTGGGCTGTAGCTTCGGGGAGTGCAAGCCCCAAGCCTTGACAGCTTCCATGTGGTGTTGAGACTGCGAGTGCACAGAAGTCAAGAACTGGGGTTTGGAAACCTTCGCCTAGATTAAAGAGGATGTGCGGAAATGCCTGGATGCCCAGGCAGAAGTTTGCTGCAGGGGCAGGGCCCTCATGGAGATCCTCTGCCAGGGCAGTGCAGAAGGGAAATGTGGGGTCAGAGACCCCACACACAGTCCCTACTGGGGCACCACCTAGTGGAGCTGTGAGAAGAGGTCCTCCAGACCCCAGAATGGTAGATCCACCGACAGCTTGCACCGTGTACCTGGAAAAGTTGCAGACACTCAATGCCAGCCCATGAAAGCAGCTGAGAGGGAGGCTGTACCCTGCAAAGGTACAGGGGCAGAGCTGCCCAAGACCATGGGAACCCACCCCTTCCATCTGCGTGACCTGGATGTGAGATGTGGAGTCAAGAGGAGATCATTTTGGAGCTTTAAGATTTGACTGCCCCACTGGATTTTGGACTCTCATGGGCCTGTAGCCTCTTTGTTTTGACCAATTTATCCCATTTGGAATGGCTGTATTTACCCAATGCCTGTACCCCCATTGTATCTAGGAAGTAATTAACTTGCTTTGGATTTTATAGGCTCATAGATGGAAAGGACTTGCCTTGTCTCAGATGAGACATTAGACTGTGGACTTTTGAGTTAATGCTGAAATCATTTAAGACTTTGAGGGACTGTTGGGATGGTGTGATTGGTTTTGAAATGTGAGGACATGAAATTTGGGAGGGGCCATGGGTGGAATGATAGGGTTTGGTTGTGTCCCCACCCAAATCTCATCCTGAATTCCCATGCGTTGTGGGAGGGACCCAGTGGGAGGTAACTGAATCATGGGGACAGGTCTTACCCGTGCTGTTCTCGTGATAGTGATAAGTCTAACAGGATCTGATGGCTCTATAAGGGGGAGTTTCTCTGCACAAGCTGTCTTTGTCTTTGCCTGCCATCCACGTAAGACGTGACTTGCTCCTCATTGCCTTTCGCCATGATTGTGAGGCCTCCCCAGCCATGTGGAACTGTAAGTCCATTAAACCTCTCTTTCTTTTGTAAATTGCCTAGTCTGGGGTTTGTGAACAGACTAATACAATGGCTTTTCACCTTGCAGAATAAAATCCTACGAGATCCTCATGCTCTAGCTCCTGGCCAGGCCACCTCCTCAGGAGTTAGATCACTTATCCGTCTCTCCCTGGCCCACCCTTCTCTGTCACATGGCTTCTTTGCTGACCGTGATACACACCACACTTGTCTTCTCTACCTGGAAGTTGTATTCCCCATACCCACATGGCTCACTTCTTCACTTCATTCAAGTCTCTGCTCAGATATTAACCTCTTCAGAGAGCCCTTCCTTCACACACTGTCTTGCATAGCAGCCTCTCCTACAAGTTGTCTTCTTTCTCCTTAACTTTTGTGATGGTTAATTTTAGGTGTCAGCTTGACTGGATTAAAGAATACCTAGAGAACTGGAAAGGCATTATTTGTTAGTGTGTCTGTGAGGGTATTTCCAGAAGAGATTGATATATGACTGAATGGGCTAAGAGGGAACCATCCGCCCTCAACGTGCAGTTGGCTTGGAACAAAAACGGAAGAAAGGCAAATTGGTCTTACTCTCTTGGAGCTGGAATACACGCTTCCATTCCTGCCCTTGGATTTCAGGATCCCAGGCTGTTGGGTCTCAGGACGCCAGGACCTACACCAGCCTTTCCGTCACCGCTGGGGTTCTAAGGCCTTTGGGCTAAGAATTATATCATCAGCTTTCCTGATTCTGAGACTTTGGGACTTGGACTGAGCCATGCTACCAGTATCCCTGGGTCTCCAGCTTGCAGACAATCTGTTGTGGGACTTCTCAGCCTCTGTAATCATGTGAGCCCTTTCTAACTCATAAACCCTCTCTTATATATCTATGTATCGATTGGCTGTGTCTCTCTGGGGAACCCTGACTACGTATACTTTTGTTTGAATTCAAAGTATTTATCCCTACCTGATATTACATCCTATATCTGTTTGTTTTCTGTTTTTTCCATTAGAATACAAGTTTCATGGGGACAGGGACTTTATGCATTTGTTTACTGCTGTATCTTAGGCTCAAAGTTGGCACTCAATAAATATTGGTTAAATAAGTGAATTACAAGCAGGTTGGATTATTAGGTAATATGGTTCGCAGTGTGGGACTCCTGAACTCCAAGATGTCTTTGAAAGTAGCCATTTTTTTTTAATTTCTAATGGTTTAGTCAGACTACGGATTACTTAATAACAGGGACTATAGTTCATTCATGGATATATCCCCAGAATCAGGAACAGTTTCTAGAATACGCTTGAGTGCTCAATAGACATAGCTATTATAGTTAATTGAAATGGAATTGGCAATGTGGGAAATAAGAAATCACATTTTTGGCCAGGCACAGTGGCTCACACCTGTAATCCCAGCACTTTGGAAGGCCGAGGCAGGAGGATCACTTGAGGTCAGGAGTTCGGGACCATCCTGGCCAACATGGTGAAACCCCATTTCTACTAAAAATACAAAAAGTAGCTAGGTGTGGTGGCGTGTGCCTGTGATCCCAGCTACACGGGAGGCAGAGGTGGGAGAATCGCTTGAACATGGTAGAGGTTGCAGTGAGCCAAAATCATAACACTGCACTCCAGGTTGGGCAACAGAGCAAGACTCCATCTCAAAAAAAAAAAAAAAAATCTGCTGGGCGCGGTGGCTCATGCCTGTAATCCCAGCACTTTGGGAGGCTGAGGCAGGTGGATCACGAGGTCAGGAGATTGAGACCATCCTGGCTAACATGGTGAAACCCCGTCTCTACTAAAAATACAAAAAAGTTAGCCGGGCGTAGTGGCGGGCGCCTGTAGTCCCAGCTACTCCGGAGGCTGAGGCAGGAGAATGGCGTGAACCCGGGAGGCGGAGCTTGCAGTGAGCCGAGATCGCGCCACTGCACTCCAGCCTGGGTAACAGAGCGAGACTCCGTCTCAAAAAAAAAAAAAAAAAAAAAAATTAGCTGGGCATCTTGGCGGACGCCTGTAGTCCCAGCTACTCGGGAGATTGAGGCAGGAGAATGGCGTGAACCTGGGAGGCGGAGGTTTCAGTGAGCCGAGATTGCACCACTGCACTCCATCCTGGGTGACAGAGCAAGACTCTGTCTCAAAAAAAAAAAAAAAAAAAAATCACATTTTTCTCAGAGCAAAGTCTTTGTGATACTAAATCTGGATAAACGCAGTGGAACACTGAGGACGTTTATGCATAAGGACAGTAATCACGAAATTATCTTTGTATACATTGTCCATTAATGACTACTGCTATTTACTGAATTGAGCTCCCTCAGATTCATCTTTTGAAGCCCTAACCCCTAAAGTGACTATATTTGGAAATAGGTGCTTTAAAGAAATAATAGTTAAGGTCAAATGAGGTTATGAGGGTGGAGCCCTAATCTAATAGGACTGGTGTCCTTATAAGAAGAGGAAGAGGCCGGGTGCGGTGGCTCACGCCTGTAATCCTAGCACTTTGGGAGGCCGAGGCAGGCAGATGACAAGGTCAGGAGTTCGAGACCAGCCTGGCCAATATGGTGAAACCCTGTCTCTACTAAAAATACAAAAATTAGCCAGGCATGATGGTGGGCACCTGTAGTCCCAGCTACTTGGGAGGCTGAGGCAGGAGAATTGCTTGAACCTGGGAGGCAGAGGTTGCAGTGAGCCGAGATCCATCGGGCCACTGCACTCCAGCCTGGGCGATAGAGCGAGACTCTGTCTCAAAAAAAAAAAAAAAAAAAAAAAAAAAAGGAAGATGACACCAGAAGTGTAAAAGCAGAAGACAGGCTCTATGAGGACACAGGGAGGAGGCAGCCATCTGCAAGACAGGGAGAGAGGTCTCACCAGAAACCAACCTTGCCGGCACCTTGAACTTCCAGCCTCCAGAACTATAAGGAAATAAATTTCTGTTGTTTAAGTCTGAGTGGCTAAACAACAGTTTAAGCTGCTGTTATGGTAGCCCAAGCAGACTAATACAACGCTTAAGGATTTCAGTCACTGAGTGGAACCACCTTAGAATGTGAAAGACAATGAGGATATACACACAGCCTCCTTCCCCTGTGTTTGGAGGGTGGCTTCAAATTCCTTCTGTTTTATGTGCTGTGTAGGAAAAAAAAAATCTGTAAAATTATGTGAGTTTGTAATTGATAGATTGGTTCTCTTTTGTGCAAATAGTGCTTATAGTTTAAAAGTCCTAGAAAAATTAATTCACAGTCACATTTTCTGTATGCAACTACATTTATGTAAGTGAAAACTTGGTAGTTTGTTAGCTTGTTCATTTTTATTTTTCAAGTATTATGTAAACAAAAAGAACCTTGGTCTGCCAGAATTTTCAAAGAAAATTGGCAAAACAAGATTTCCCATAGTAACAACCATACATATAGCTATGTTCAGTGACTAAATGGTGTTTATGTGTTTCTTAAGCAATGGAGTTCATTTTGACCAATTGTCTGTTAAGAAGTGCCTAAGAAAACCGCTTATTCATTTTCCACATCCTGTTTGGCAAAGTGTGACACATAGCAGTAGAAAACAATAATATAATCTTGGGATGCATATGCAATCAGTGCACAGAGAGCTGTCGTATCAGCCTTCAGAAGAGCATTTAAACACTGCCACACGCTGTCCGTCTGTTTGTCCTGCAACCAGGTTCTCCCCTTGGTCTCAATGGAAGCCTGAATCACAAGCACTGCCACGTTCACAAAGCTGTTAATTCTTCAAAACACCAAATGGTATTCAAAAAGGGAAGTATAGGCTGGGCACGGTGGCTCACACCTGTAATCCCAGCACTTTGGGAGGCCGAGGCAGGCTGATCATGAGGCCAAGAGATCCTGGTGAAACTATCCTAGCCAACATGGTGAAACCCTGTCAAGTAAAAATGCAAAAATTAGCTGGGTGTGGTAGTGCGCACTTGTAATTCCAGCTACTCGGGAGGCTGAGGCAGGAGAATTGCTTGAACCTGGGAGGCGGAGGTTGCAGTGAGCCGAGATTGCGGCACTGCACTCCAGCCTGGTGACAGAGTGAGACTCCGTTTCAAAAAAAAAAAGTATAAAAATCTGAAGACTCTAGTGGTATAATCTAATTAAGTTTCTATGAAGCACATGATTGCAGTCATGTCAAAGCAGTTTCTATGAGCACACTGTTATCTGTTAAAAAAGCAAACAAGGCTGGGCACAGTGGCTCAGGCCTGTGGTTCCAGCACTTTGGGAGGCCGAGGCGGGCAGATCACTTGAGGTCAGGAGTTTGAGATCAGCCTGGCCAACATGGTGAAACCCCATCTTTACTAAAAATACAAAAAATTAGCCAGATGTGGTGGGTGCCTGTAATCCCAGCTACTTTGGAGGCTGAGGCAGGAGATTTGCTTGAACCCAGGAGGTAGAGGTTGCAGTGAGCCAAGATGGTGCCATTGCACTCTAGCCTGGGTGACAGAGTAAGACTACATCTCAAAAAAAAAAAAAAAAAAAAAAAAACAAGGAATAATAATAAATTAACCTTAGCTTACTGGATGACCACCATCATATATGCAGTCTGTTGTTTACCAAGATGTTGTTATGTGGTACATGGCTGTATTTTATTGTTGTATTCTACAGTGCATAATAAATGGTGAGATTCTCCTCAAAGAGTGGCAGAGAAAGGATTCAACTCCATTTTCTCTGACTCCAGTGCCTGCGCGAACATTGGAGACTTTGCTGTCATGAGCGTTTCTCACGTACAAATGCAGGCAACAGTGAGAGGAAGTTGTCTTGTTTTTGAACAGGCCTTGTTTTTCTTGGATGCTTTTGCTTAAAATCCAACAGCCAAATGAGGAAACTGTAAAAGCAAAACAAACATTTTTATTGCAGATGAACCCACATACTGATTTTGGCTTGATCTCTTGAAACAGCCTAAATGTCTCATTACAAAGACCTTAGAAATTCTTTCATAAAATCTGAATTGGAAGAGATCTTGGATATATAGGTTTTATTTCATCTAACGTTTTACATGGATTGTTGATAAATGGCCATCTGGCTTTTATTTGAATGCCTCCAAAGACAGAGGACTCACTACTGCCATATGAAGTAGCTCATTCCATTTGGCAGACAGTTGAGATTGTTAGAAATTTATACTGCACCTCCCCTGGGCCTAGTTAAATTCTTTGGAGAAGTGTAGAGAAAAAGTATTTTTCTTCTACATGCCAGTTTTTTTTTTGGTTTTGTTTGGTTGGTTGTTTGTTTTGTTTGAGATGGAGTTTCGCTCTTGTCTCAGGCTGGAGTGCAGTGATGCAATCTCAGCTCACTGCAACCTCTGCCTCCCGGGTTCAAGCAATTCTGCCTCAACCACCGGAGTAGCTGGGATTACAGGCACCCGCCACCATGCCCAGCTAATGTTTGTATTTTTTAGTAGAGACGGGGTTTCACCTTGTTGGTCAGGCTGGTATCAAACTCCCAAACTCAGGTGATCCACCCGCCTCGACCTCCAAAACTGCTGGGATTACAGGCGTGAGTCACTGCGCCCGGCCTACATGCCGGTCTTTCAAGTGTTCGAAGAGCCTTCTTAGGTCTCCTCTGGCCTTCTCTTCTGCAAGCTGTGCATGCGCTGAGTTCTGAAGTGGTGCCACACCACAGCCTACCATACAACGTCACTGCATGTGGCATAAACTGGGACCACAGAACTCTGAAACCGGAAATCAGGGTAGCTAACACTTGTTTGCTAACATTTCACATACATTATCTCCTTTAAACCCTAACAACACAGTGAGACAGTTACTGTTATCTCCATGTCAGATGACGAGACTGAAGCTACAAGATCACAGAGCTGGCAGTGGTAGAACCCAGATCTGTCTGACTCCAGAGCACAAACTCTTAGAACATGGGATTTGATCTCATTTTATAGAGGAAGAAACTGAGCCCCAGAGAAGCGACCTGCCCAAGGGCACCAGCCTGCCAGTGGGTGAACTAGGACTAGAATTCAGATCTGCCTCCCAGAACACTGGCCCTCACCGAGGCTAGGGGAGTCTGTTGGCAGGCTGCTGATGTGTTTTCCTAGTTTACTTTTTTTTTTCTTTTTTTTAATATATATATTTTTTGAGACAGAGTCTCCTCACTCTGTTGCCCAGGCTGGAGTGTAGTGGCAAGATCTCAGCTCACTGCAACCTCCCCCCAGGGGTTCAAGTAATTCTGCCTCAGCTTCCCAAGTAGCTGGGATTACAGGTATGCACCACCACACCCAGCTAATGTTTTTGTATGATTTGGTTTTGTTTTGTTTTATTTTGAGATGGAGTCTCCCTCTGTCCCCCAGGCTGGAGTGCAGTGGCACGATCTCGGCTCACTGCAACCACTGCCTCCCCAGTTCAAGCCATTTTCCTGCCTCAGCCTCCTGAATAGCTGGGACTACTGGTGTGCACCACCACGCCTGGCTAATGTTTGTGTTTTTAGTAGAGACAGGGTTTCACCATGTTGGCCAAGCTGTTCTTGAACTCCTGACCTCAAGTGATCTGCCCACCTCAGCCTCCCAAAGTGTTGGGATTACAGGTGTGAGCCACGGCGCCCGGCCTGTTTTCCTACTTTAAAAGCTGGCTCTCCTTGTGTTGTTGAACAAGCGTTTGTTGGGCCCTTACTGTGTCTCTAGAACATTTATTTGAAATCAGAAGTAGGGGTGATACCACTGTGACAAGAGTAGATTTTTAAAACTTCGCGTAAAACAGCAAGAGGGACTCAACACATTTTGTTATGTTTTTGTACCAAAACAGTAGTGTTTATCTTTCTTGGCAATAAAATCATTTTAAAAAATAAACTGCAAATACTCATTCAGAAGCCAATGGATGATCTTCAGCACATTGCAGTTATTTCAGAACTCGGCCTACATGCTTAATTCGATCACTCTGCTTCACTCTCAAACTTTCATTGTAGGCATTGCTTCCCCACTCAAACCTTTGGGAATTTCCCATTTGCCTGAAGGATGAAATTGAAGTGGCTCTAGCCACCTTTCAGCCTTTTCACACACTGCCGAGCCAGGTTGCTCATGCTGCTTCTGTTCTTGCAGATGCTCCCCACCTGCCCCCCTCCTCTTGCTTGGAATGCCTTGCACTTCCTGCTGCTTAGCCAAATCCAACACAACTCCATGCTCCATTGTCCCCGACCTCCCTATGACCTCTCCCTCCTCTCATTCCAGCAGCTACTGCCAGGATTGCTTGTTTCGTATTTTACATTATTTGTATTTATTTATTTTTTGAGACAGAGTCTCACTCTGTCGCCCAGGCTGGAGTGCAGTGGCGCGATCTCAGCTCACTGTAACCTCCGCCTCCCGGGTTCAAGTGATTTTTCTGCCTCAGGCCCCTGAGTAGCTGGGATTATAGTCACGCACCACCACACCTGGCTAATTTTTTATATTTTTGGTAGAGACGTGGTTTCACCATATTGGCCAGGCTGGTCTTGAACTCCTGACTTGAAGTGATCTGTCGGCCTCAGCCTCCCAAAGTGCTGGAATTACAGGCGACCAGCCAGAATTAGTTTAAGAAGTGCATGTCAGTGAGCCCTTGTGTTTTGCAAAGCATGAAATAAAATCCATGGTTTATTAAACTGAAATAAAGAAGGGAACTGTCTATTCTTTTAATGAAAGCAGAAGACACGTGAAAGATTGTGTTATAAACTGAAGTTTTGGCCGGGCATGGTGGCTCACGCCTGTAATCCCAACATTTTGGGAGGCTGATGTGGGCAGATCACCTGAGGTCAGGAGTTCGAGGCCAGCCTGGCCAACGTGGTGAAACCCTGTCTCTACTAAAACTCCAAAAATTAGCCGTGGTGGCAGGTGCCTGTAGTCCCAGCTACTTGGGAGGTTGAGGCAGGAGAATCACTTGAACCTGGGAGGCAGAGGTTGAAGTGAGCCGAGATCACACCATTACACTCTAGCCTGAGCTATAGAGCAAGACTCTGTCTCAAAAAAATAAATAATAAACTGAATTTTTGTAAATAAGTATCTGGTGAGGACCACTGTAAACTGCAGGAGGATAGGAGATTAGCATATCTGGCTCCTTGAGACCCATAACTATATTTTATTTAGAATTATCTCTCTGGTACTTCACATCGTGTCACAAATTAGGTAATACACGTAGTGGAATGAATTAGCAAATGATGAGTGCATTTTCATAAACCTTCGGAGGATGAGATGGGTGCCCTTGGGGGGTGGTGAGTGCTCCCTCCCAGAAGTGCCAGGCGTGGTCTGGCCAACCAGCGAGGCAGTGGCTGAGCTGGCTTTAATGTCTTTCCAATCCTGGCAGTCAGTTCTATGAAATTCAATGAGTATTTAAAATGTCTTGTTGGATGGTTTGCAAAAAAAAAAAAAATCACCCCTGGATTTATCAGCTTAGCAAGTTTGCATCCTTGCCTCTTTAATGGATATTTGGCTTTCAACTGCAAGCTGAGAATGGTACACTGCCGAATAAATGGTCCTACTCAACTGCGAGAAAACAAGTCAGAAGATTTCTGGGGGTGGGGTGGGGGTGGAATAACTTTTCTCTAGTAACTGTAACCAACGCATATGTGGGGTGTCTTTGGAGCCAAAAGACATCACATTTCTTCTTTTCTATGCATTAGTTCTGTCATTTTGGGCAAGTTACTTAATCTCTCTAGGCCTCCATTTCATCATCTTCAAGACTGAGATACTTACTTTTTTTTTCTCTTTTGAGACATAGCCTTGCTCTGTCACCCAGGCTGGAGTGCAGTGGCGCAATCTCATCTCACTGCAATCTCCATCTCCCGGGCTCAAGCCATTCTCCTGCCTCAGCTTCCCAAGTAGCTGGGATTACAGGCATCCACCACCACGCCTGTCTAATTTTTTTTTGTATTTTTAGTAGAGACAGGGTTGCACCACGTTGACCAGGCTGGTTTCAAACTCCTGATCTCAAGTGATTTGCCCACCTCGGGCTCCCAAAGTGCTGGGATTATAGGCATGAGCCACCGCACCTGGGCGACATACTTACTTTTATGCAGGGCTGTTGTGAGGATAAAATCAGGTAATGTGGAAAAGCACCTAGCACAAAATCAGAAACTGTAGGCTTGCAATATGATAGCTCTTATGCTCACACATTCCCTTGTGGTTGGCTAAATCCCTAGTAATAAACTTTCACATTCATGTGGCGGTTTGCATTTTACAGAATGTTGTTACAGACATTATTACCTCACTTGATCTTTAAAATAACCCAGTGAAGTAGCACAAAGATTACTACTCTTATGTTACCAGTGAGAGAGGTCAAGGAACTTGCCTACATAATACATACATTAATATATAATACATTACATAATACATGACATTACAGAATGATGGCCAACATCGGGTTTCCTCATTCCAAATTCACACTCGTTCTAGTTTACCTGTTGCTGCAATGGCTACTGATGGGGTTCGTCAGATTTCCTTAATTTATCCAGCAAATATTTTTTTTCAGAGACAGGATCTCACTCTGTCACCCAGGCTGGAGTGCAGTGGCATGATCATGGTTCTCTGCAGCCTTGGCCTCCTGGGCTCAAGAGATCCTCCCGTCTCAGTAATCCCCAAAGTGCTGGGATTACAAGTGTGAGCCACTGCACCTGACCTATCCAGCAAATATTTATTGCAACTCAAGTGACTGAGCTGGAGATTTCTCCTGTTTGTGCTGTCCTTGGTTGATTAGCATAGTACTTGGTATAGAATAGTTATTCGATAAATACCTGAGGAATGAATGAATAGATTAAACCAATTTTCCGAGTCTTTTCGATAGAGTACCTTGATTCTGCTAAATAGGCAAGAACACTTGCAGGGGATAAAGAGAGATTGGCTGTTGGGAGAAGCCAAGAGCTGACAGCTGCAGAGAGAAGCTGATGAAGTCAGTTACACGCAACAACACGGATGATTCTCAGAATAATCATGCTGAGCAAAAGAAGCCAGACCAAGGGCAGTACGTGCTGCATGATTCCCTTTGTGTAACATTACAGAGGGCTGGGCACAGTGGCTCATGCCTATAATCCCAGCACTTTGAGAGGCCAAGGCAGGAGGATTGCTTGAACCCATGAGTTCGAGACCAGCCTAGGTAATACGGTGAAACCCCATCTCTACAAAAAAATACAAAAATTAGCCTGCCATGGTGGCCTACACCTGTGGTCCTAGCTACTCAGGAGGCTGAGGGGGGAGGATCTCCTGAGCCTGGGGAGGTTGAGGCTACAGTGAGCCATGATGGTGCCACTGCATTACGGTGTGGGTGGCGGAGTGAGACCCTGTCTCAAACAAAAAAATTACAGAAAATGCAAACCTTAGTGACAGAAAGTAGTTCAGTGGTTGCCTTTGGGTGGGACCAGGTGGGTAGGGAGGGAGGAATTTCAAAGGAGCAGGAGGAAGTGTGTGGAAGTGATGGGTGTGCTCCTTGTCTTGATGGTGGTGATGGTCTCTTCAGTGTATAAATACGTTAAAATGTATCAAATTATATACTTTTGTGATACCCTAACTTGTATTAACTTGATTGACTCTCTCTTAGCTAAGAAAGCCGGAGGGATTCCATTCGGCTCCTTCATTTGCAAGACGTTAAGGGCTCCTTACCCACCCCCTTCCTCAAGGACTTAACTTGTGCAAGCTGACTCCCAGCACATCAAAGAGTGCAATTAGCTGATAAGGTACTGTGGCAAGCTGTGTCCGCAGTTCCCAGGAATTTGCCCGGGTGATAGTACTCTAGTGCCCCTGCGTTTGTGTCCGGCAGATAGCACCCAGAGCCCCCGCACCTGTCACCTTGTGATGGCTTTAAAGCTCCTGCACCTGGAACTGTTTGTTTTCCTGTAACCATTTGTCTTTTTAACTTTTTTGCCTGTTTTACTTCTGTAAGATTGCTTCAGCTCAATTCCCGCTCCCCTTTCTAAACCAAGGTATAAAAGAAAATCTAGCCCCTTCTTTGGGGCCGAGAGAATTTTGAGCACTAGTCGTCTCTAGGTCGCCGGCTAATAAAGGACTCCTGAATTAGGCTCAAAGTGTGGTGTTTCTCTGTAACTCACTTGGTTACAACACTTTAAATATGTACAATTGTTTTGTTTTGTTTTTGAGGCAAAGTCTCGCTCTGTCACCCAGGCTGGAGTGCAGTGGCATGATCTCAGATCACTGCAAACTTCGCTTCCCAGGTTCAAGTGATTCTCCTGCCTCAGCCTCCTGAGTAACTGGGATTACAGGCATGTGCCACCACACCCAGCTAACTTTTGTATTTTTAGTAGAGATGGGGTTTCGACACGTTGGCCAGGCTGGTCTCGAACTCCTGGCCTCAGGTGATCGCCCCACCTCAGCCTCCCAAAGTGCTGGGATCACAGGCGTGAGCCACCGTGCCCAGCCAGTTGTAAGATCTTGATAAGTCATGTCTCCACTCTTAGCATCTGTCAAAAAAGGGGTTGGACTCCAAGGCTTGAGGTTTCTTCCAGCTTTTGCATTGTGGGGTTCTGTCACCCGCATGTCAGACTATTTGGCTACGCTGAGGACTGCAGATAGGGGGAGGGGAAGTGTGGCCAGTGAAAGCTGTCTCATCCCTGACTCTGAATGAATTTGAGGTATCAGGGAAATGGTGACCTTTACCACCTCCCCGCCACCCTCCCCCACACACATGCATATCATGGATTTGTTTCTCCTCTAGTTCCTCCTGCAATGCTCCTTACTCCATTTTTGTTTTTGTTTTACTCATAAACAGCAAGTCAACATATATACTCAGGTATGTTTTTAAGTTCATGCACTCAAAATCTATCACGTTAATAGGTGAAAAATCTTACCTTC
Source organism: Homo sapiens (assembly GCF_000001405.40). Taxonomy (NCBI): domain Eukaryota; kingdom Metazoa; phylum Chordata; class Mammalia; order Primates; family Hominidae; genus Homo; species Homo sapiens. The sequence goes on along the minus strand of NC_000001.11, from coordinate 25,321,958 downwards.
CAGAAAACTTGGTCATCAAAATATTTAGCCTCATGAGGTGCTTTCCATATTTTAAGATTTAGGAGCAAACCTGTTTAAATGCATAATTTAATGTTAAAAGATTTGGAGCACAGGATTTTTAATCTCAAGATTAATCGAAATATTGTGTGTCAAAACGACAGTATCTCAACAGAAATCCTTTTTCTCCCACAATTGAAAGACAAATAAATGGAAGCCCTGTCATTCCTGGACCAGCTTAATTCTGTAGCCTATTTTATTTTATTTTATTTTATTTTATTTTATTTATTTTGAGACAGAGTCTCACTCTATCGCCCAGGCTGGAGTACAATGGCGTGATCTCGGCTCACTGCAGCCTCTGCCTCCCAGGTTCAAGCGATTATCCTGCCTCAGCCTCCCAAGTAGCTGAGATTATAGGCGCCTGCCACCACATCCAGCTAATTTTTTTTTTTTTTTTTTTTTTAGTAGAGATGGAGTTTCACCATGTTGGCCAGGCTGGTCTCGAACTCCCGACCTCAGGTGATCCACCCACCTCAGCCTTCCAAAGTGCTAGTATTACAGGCATGAGCCACCACACCTGGCCGATTCTGTAGACATTTTTTTTTTTTTTTTGAAAAAAAGAACTGGGAATGGCAGTGTACTGAGCAGTACATGAGAGCCACAGATCTGACGCCCTTCCCCAGATGGAGTAAAAGGGCCCCACGAAAGCTGATCCATGTAAGACATATGGGCTACTATGGAGGGTGACTCCAATTGGGTGCTCCTATAGGTCTGTCTTCTCTGGCTCCAGTCAACTCCTGGGAACCTCAGCTTAAGATTCCACTTGTGTAGTTAGGAAAGTAGCTTATAACTTGCTTAAGTGCCTGTCCTTCCTTTTCCCCATCTTTTTAAGTGTCTTTGATTTTATTTTTTATTTTTGGGACAGAGTCTCATTCTGTTATCCAGGCTGGAGTGCAGTGGCACAATCACAGCTCATTGCAGCCTCAAACTCCCGGGGTCAAGCAACCCTCCCACCTCAGCCTCCCAAGTAGCTGGGACCACAGGTGTGTGCTACCATATCCAGCTCAGTTTTTGGTATTTTTTGCAGAGACAGGACTTAGCCATGTTGCCCAGGCTGGTCTTGAACACCTGAGCTCAAGTGATCTGCCCGCCTTTGCCTTCTAAATGGCTGCGATTACAGGTGTGAGCCACTGTGCCCAACCTCCATTCCCTGTCTACTCTCTGCCCAGATAGCTTGGCCATATGTATTCCTCCAGCTTCCTGAAGTTGGATGAATTTCACAGGACACATGGAATGAGTGCTTCCTTTCACAGGAAGCAAGGAAATGCTCCTGATAGATTTATCTGTGTATTATTAAGGATGATCAGTTCCAGTGTCGTTAACAAGAATGGGCGAGTGCTTAGTGAGATTCGTATTTCCCTTTCGTGGTGCTGCTTTTAGCTGATATTGGCATGCAGGGTACAACCAGCATGACGCAGTTAGCTTGAATTACTCAGTAACGATCTCTGGCGCCTGCATGAATTTTCCAGATAGCTGAGGCTTACTCATCACTGAGGAATATCTGTCTAAAATATATTTTGTCTTCTGAGACAACATTAAACATATTTAGACTTTTTTTAAAAAAAATCAGAACCATCACTAGGAACACCCACTTATAACGTGCCATATAACGTGGAAAAGGTGTGTAGCTGTGGAGGGTTGTTGTTCTAATCTCTCAGCAGCCCAAGCGTTTTGTGTTCTTGTGTCCAGTTTTAAGAATTTGTCGGCCGGTCGCAGTGGCTTATCCCTGTAATCCCAGCACTTTGGGAGGCCAAGGTGGGCGGATCACCTGAGGTCAGGAGTTCGAGACCAGCATGACCAACATGGAGAAACCCTGTCTCTACTAAAAATACAAAATTAGCCGGGTGTGGTGGTGCATGCCTGTAATCCCAGCTACTCGGGAGGCTGAGGCAGGAGAATCACTTGAACCCAGGAGGCTGAGGTTGTAGTGAGCCGAGATAGCGCCATTGCACTCCAGCCTGGGCAACAAGAGCAAAACTGCGTCTAAAAAAAGAAAAAAAAAAGAATTTCTCTTCCTCTGTTAGGCTCTTTGCTTTCACTTCTAACTTCTGCTGGTGTACTTTACCTCTAGAAACCTAGCCCACCTCTAATCTGCTATTTCTAATCTACCTGGGCTGAGAAACCCAATAACTATGCTTGATAGGATTGTTTCTTAAATAAATACAGACAGGCCCATAGAGGGCTCAATTAACAAATTAAATGCTTGTCTTCTGGGAGTCCATTTGGTGCAATTTTGGCTGCTTGAGGAACTTTTTCCCCCTTCCATTGTCCAAGTTGTTTTGTTTCCTTTTTTGAGACAGGGTCTTGCTCTGTTGTCCAGGCTGGAGTGCAGTGGCATGATCTCAGCTCACTGCAACTTCTGCCTCCCAAGCTCAACTGATCCTCCCATCTCAGCCTCCAGAGCAGCTGGGACTACAGGTGTACCACCACGCCTGGCTAATTTTTGTATCTTTTGTAGAGATGGGGTCTCACTATGTTGCCCTGGCTTGAACTCCTGGCCTCAAGCTATTCTCCCACCTCAGCTTCCCAAGGTGCTGGGATTACAAGTATGAGCCACCCAAGTTGTTTTTAATCACCAGTTTGCTCATGTCAAAAACAACATGTAAAGAAGAAAACTTGTTGGTCTTAACTCTTAAAGGAACAATATGATTGTCTTTTCCTCTATTCTCTTTTTTGACTCCAGTGAAGAATAAGAAAAGACCTCCTGGTACTTTGCAAGACAGAGGGCAAGTCAGCACCACTTTGAACATACCAGTGATAACAGTGAATAGTGTGAGTCCCAGGACAGGGTTGCCAAATAAAATGCAGGATACCCAATTCATTTCAAATTTAAAAACAGACACCTTGCATTTTTGCTAAATCCGGCAGCCTTTCCCAGGGTTGGATTGCCAGCTGCCACGAACTGAACGTTAACTTACGGAATTAACGCTACTCCGCCTCTGCTTCTTCACAAAGACTCTGCAAAAAGCTAAGGCCAGACATGGTATATTAAAGCAATTCTAGCCAATCTCACACTCAAAAATTACCCAGGTAACTCCAAAAAGTACCTCCATACAGTTTGTTAAAGCTGGAAGGAAGCCAGCTTAGTTACCATAATCCTTTCATTTTACAGAGAAGCTAACCAAGGCTCAGAGGGAGTAAAGTGACATGCCCAACGTCACACAACTCATAGTGTCTTACGCCATTTGTCTCTTATTTGGCATTCACCTCCTGCTTAGGGACACATATATGGGTGTCTAACCAATAAAAGATGTTTGCTTGTAGAATAAAGGTGAACAGTTCTGGATGGAATGTATATTTTCTTTCTTTTTTTTTTGAGACAGTCTCACTCTGTCACCTAGGCTGGAGGGCAGTGGTGCAACCTCGACTCACTATAACCTCCACCTCCTGGGGTCAAGCCATTCCCCTACTTCAGCCTCCCCAGTAGCTGGGACTACAGGCACACGCCACCACGCCTGGCTAATTTTTGTATTTCTGGTAGAGACAGGGTTTTGCCATGTTGGTCAGGCTGGTCTCGAACTCCTGACCTCAAGTGATCTACCTGTCTCAGCCTCCCAAAGTGCTGGGATTACAGGCGTGAGCCACTGCACCTGGCCTGAATGTGTATTTTCTTTTTTTCTTTTTTTTTAGACAGAGTCTCGGCTCACTGCAACCTCTGCCTCCCGGGTTCAAGCAATTCTACTGCCTCAGCCTCCCAAGTAGCTGGGATCCAACACCACGCCTGGCTTATTTTTTAATTTTTAGTAGAGATGGGGTTTCACCATGTTGGCCATGCTGGTCTTGAATCCTGATCTCAGATGATCTGCCCACTTCGGTCTCCCAAACTGCTGCAATTACAGGTATGAGCCACTGCACCTAGCCACATATTTTCACCTGGCATATAAGTAAAACTGGCTAATTAGCAACTCCCCTAGATTTTTTGCTGTTCTATTTTATTGCAAGAACAGAAACATACTTTTCCCCTTTGTTGAAAGATCTCCAGTGGCTTCCCATCTTTTATAAGGGCCTGCTCCTCACTACCATTCTGCCCTCAACCCCTGCTGCTCCTTCTCACTCCATTCACACCAACCACACTGGTCTCCTTACTGTTCCCTCAACACACAAAGCATGCTGCTGTCTCAGGGCCTTTGCACTTGCTATCCTATTTTCATGGAATGTTCTTCCCCTAACTAAATGCATCGCATATCTCCCTCCTCTTCATTGGGGTCTCTGCTTAAAAGCTAACTACTCAGATAAGCTTTCCCTGACCACCCCCCTAAAAGAACACCCCATCCCACATTGACTCTATGTTTCTCTAGTTTGCTCTGTCTTCACAGCCACTTCTTCCCATCTGGCGTAGTAGACACTTATTTGTCTATTTATTGCTAATACCTTCCCCCACTAGAAGGTCAATTCCATGGGGTCAGGGAATTTGTTTTGCTCACTGCTGTGTCCCCAGTGCCTGGCTCATAGTGGATATTGAATAAATATCTGTTGAATAAAATAGTATTATGGGTGTCCTCAGAAATAAAAGGTAGGCTTTTGGGTGTAAGGATTTTCTCGGGCTTCTGTGCAAAACTGAGTGTGATCACCAGCCCTGGGTTCAAAAGTCTGCAACGTTGCCACTCACCCTACTTATAACCTCAGGGATGTCCCTTCCCTGCCCTGGCCTCACAGTCCACATTAGCAGCAGGTGACCTCTAAGAACCTTTCCAATTCTGAAATTATGTGATCCTCAGGGAAGGAGATGGGGCACATAGACATCCAGCCACACGGCAGGGTGCGCTCTGGACGTGGGTGCTGTGTCCTGGCAATGGTGGAAGAAAGGTGGCCTCACACTGACCTGTCAGGAGACCAGACATGAGAGCTATCACGATGGCCAAGCTGAGTTCCCCAATGCTGAGGAGGACCTGGAAGCCAATCCTAGAAATGACAAAGCAGAGGTGGTCACTTGGGCATCAGGCAGCAGAGGTCATCAGGGACAAAAAGGACTGTCGGTGTCAGTAGTGCCATTGCCAGGAAGGGCCATGAGGAAAACAAGGGTCCTCTCCCTGGCTGGTACATTCCCCTGGCATTTTCCCAAAAAGCCACGCAGACATGTGGGAGGGAGGGAGGCGACGGAGATTCCAAGATTGTGGCTTATTTTAGTTCCCAGCACCTCATGGATAATGAACCAGACCAGGAGTCAGAAAACCCAAGCTCAAGTCCCAGCTCTGTCACTTACTAGCTGCAAGACCCTGGGCAAGTCCCTCAACCTCTCAGAGCCTCCAGTTTTCTCTCTCTCTCTTTTTTTTTTTTTTTTTTCTGTTTTTGTTTGTGAGATGGAGTCTCACTCTGTCGTCCAGACTGGAGTGCAGTGGTCGGCTCACTGCAACCTCTGTCCCCCAGGTTCAAGCGATTCTTGTGCCTCAAGTAGCTGGGACTACAGGCATGCGCCACCATACCTGGATAATTTTTGTATTATTAATAGAGACGGGGTTTCACCATGTTGACCAGGGTGATCTCGAACTCCTGACCTCAAGTGATCTGCCCGCCTCGGCCTCCCAAAGTGCTGGGATTACAGACATGAGCCACCACATCTGGCCAGCCCCAGTTTTCTCGTTAGGCAATTAAAGATGAAGGTTCTATTTCTCTTGGGGCAAGGTGGGTGGGGTAGAGCTTGGCTTTCAGACCCATCTCCCCTGCCCATCCCTACCCCTTGAACATACTTCCACGACCTCTCTCCTTCAAGGCAACCCCAGGGGTTCAATTCAAACATTAAGCTATTACGGGGGCCCTTGGATGCTGAATGTGATTGTCCCAGGGTTCAGCCTGCACCTGGGCACTGCCAGCCCGTTCACTGCAGCCCCACGGATAGTTGTACATAACAAGCCAGTTTTTTAAGCCTTTCCTGTTTCTTGTCTCAACAGGTGGGCAGCTCATGTTCTCATTTTTAAGACAAAGCAAAGCTCCAAGCCTGCAGCCTCATGGGGTGGACCCCACCTTGTATGTCATTTGGTTATCTTCCCTGTCTTTACTGATTGTTCATTATAAAGTGGGAGAAATAATGACAGTCCCTACCTCATAAGATCATAGGAGAGTGGAGAGAATTAAAAAGAATTACCTGCAGACTAGAAAAATAAATTAAGGCCGGGTGTGGTGGCTCACACCTGTAATCCCCACACTTTGGGAGGCCGAGGCGGGCAGATCATGAGGTCAGGAGATGGAGACCATCCTGGCTAACACAGTGAAACCCCTTCTCTACTAAAAATACAAAACATTAGCCGGGAGTGGTGGCAGGCGCCTGTAGTCCCAGCTACTCAGGAGGCTGAGGCAGGAGAACGGCGTGAACCTGGGAGGTGGAGTTTGCAGTGAGCTGAGATCACGCCACTGCACTCCAGCCTGGGCAACACAGCGAGACTCCATCTCAAAAAAAAAAAAAGAAAGAAAGAAAAGAAAAATAAATTAAAAAGATAAAAAGAGTTGCCACCCTGCTGCTCATGTAGGGAGTGCAGATGTCAACAACTACCTGCCCAACCATTCAGGCAGCCATCCCCCCTTCCGTGTGGCAAGCTCCAGGCCCTCATCTTTGCCATCTTTGTATATCTTCAATAGTTTGCTTCCTCCCCAGCTCCAAACACAGTTCAGGTTATCAAAACCTCAGGGAAATATTTGTTGAATGACTGAAAAATGTAGTCAATTACTCAATTCATTGATCTAATAATAAGTGATTTTTAGGAAAAAAATCAGGGGGACATATGCATGACCTTGCAAAAAAAATTTTTTTTTGAGATGGAGTCTTGCTGTGTCACCAGGCTGGAGTGCAGTGGCGTGATCTCAGCCTCCCGAGTAGCTGAGACTACAGGCAAGAGCCACAACGCCCAGCTAATTTTTTGTATTTTTAGTAGGCACAGGGCTTCACCATGTTGGCCAGGATGATCTCGATCTCTTGACCTTGTGATCCGCCAGCCTCAGCCTCCCAAAGTGCTGGGATTACAGGTGTGAGCCACCGCGCTGGCTGCAAAAATTCTTAAAAAGGACATAAAAGAACTAAACATAAAGGGAACAATGATAAATTGGGCTATATTAAAATTAAGAACCTCTCTTGTTCAAAAGACACCATTAAGAAAGTAAAAGGTGGGCTGGGCATGGTGGCTCACACCTGTAATCCTGGCACTTTGGGAGGCCAAGGTGGGCCAAAGTTGAGGCCAGGAGTCCAAGATCAGCCTGTCCAACATGGCAAAACCCTGTCTCTACCAAAAATTATTTTGTCTATACAGAAGTTAGCTGGGCATGGTGGCATGCGCCTGTAATCTAAGCTACTCAGGAGGATGAAGTATGAGAATTGCTTGAAGCTGGGAGGCAGAGGTTGTAGTGGGCTGAGATAGCGCCACTGCATTCCAGCCTGGGTGACAGAAGGAGACTCTGTTTCAAAAAGAAAGAAAGAAGGAAAAAGGTAACGCACAAAGTGGGATTCATATCCAGGATACGTAAGGAATTCCTACAAATCAATAAGAAAAAGACAGAACACCACAATAGAAAATGGGCAAACTAACTTGAATAGACATTTCACAAGAAAAGATATTCAACTGTCCAAAAAGCATATTAAAAGTGCTCCATTTAGTTAGTTATTGGAGATATCAAAATGTAAACAATAGGTTTGATTGCTAAATGACTAATCAAAAAGAAGGAAAACACCAAGTGTTGGCAAAATGTGGAGTAAAAGGAGCTTCTATACACTACTGGTGATTAGATTGGCGCAAACTACTAGAGAAAATTGTTTAGCAGTAGCCACTAAAGCTGACTGTGTGAATACTGTATAATTCAACAATTTCACTTCTAGGCATATAATCAACAGAAGTGCATTCGTGTGCTCCAAAAATAAAAGTGCTAGAATGTTCATAGGAGCAATACTAGAATATTCATAATAGCTCCAAACTGGAAACTACCCAAATCCTCCTCAATAATGGATAAATAAATTCTGCTGCATTCACACAATGGAACACTTGTTCCAACTATCTTTTCTTAGATTCTCTATTTGCCTATCTGGCATTCATTTATGACAGGGCCACACTAATGGCCAAAGTTGTTTATCTCATTTTCTTGCAAGTCAGCTTTCTCAGGCATAGGAAACTCATATTATAAACCCCTCAGCTACAAATTCTAACATATGTGTTTTCACTTCCTGCCCATTAGTGGATGCCCTCACCCAGTTACTCTCCCACCACTCTTTTTCATAAAGGCATAGTCCCAGTTCCCCCTCTCTTTCTGCTGCCTGGTCCCTGGATGATACAGTTTTGTGTGGCCCTGCATGACGTGTTCTGCCTCTTGTTTACAGGGGAACTGTGAACAACAAAACTTTCCTTCCAATAATACTGGAAGAAAATGCCACTCAGTCACCTTTATAAATTAAGACCCAAGCATGACAGAACACTATATCCCAGTGGAAAAAGGGTACAGCAATGCTTAACAACCTGGATGAATCTCACAACTACAATGTTGAGTAAAAGAAGCATACAAAAGCACAGACTTACTGTATGATTCCATGTATATTATCTCAGTTCATTTTCTATTGCTATAACAGAATACCACAGAATGGGTAATTTGTAAAATAAGTATATATAGCTCATGGTTCTGGAGGCTGGGAAGTCCAAGAACATGCTGCTGGCATCTGTTGAGGACCTTCTTGCTGTGCCTGCCATTACATGGCAGAGGGTATCACATGGCAAGAGGGCAAGAGCATGTCAGCTCAGTTCTCTCTTCCTCTTGTAAGCCACCAGTCTCATCATAGGGGCCCCACCCTGATGACTTTATCTAATCCTAGTTACCTCCCAAAGGCTTCACCTCCAATTTCATCAACATATGAATTTGGAGATTAAGTTTCCAACACATGAAATTTGAGGGATGCATTCAAACCACAGCATCCTGCCCCAGCCCCCAAAATGCATGTCCTTCTTACATGCAAAATTCATTCCAATAGCACTAAAGTTTTTTTTTTTTTTTTTTTTTTTTTTTTTTTTTTTAGAGATGGGATTTTGCTCTATCATCCAGGCTGGAATGCAGTGGCATGATCATAGCTCACTGCAGCCTCAAACTCCTTGGCTCAAGTAATCCTCCTGTCTCAGCCTCCTGAGTAGCTAGGACTACAGATGTGTGCCACCATATCCAGCTAAGTTTATTTAATTTTATTTGTAGAGACAGAGTCTCACTCTGTTGCCCTGGCTGGAATGCAGTGGCACGACCATAGCTCACTGCAGCCTCAAACTCCTGGGCTCAAGTGATCCTCTCACCTCAGCCTCCTGAGTAGCTAGAATTACAGGTATATGCCACAATACCTGGCTAATTTTTTTATTTTTATTTTTTGTAGAGACAGGTCTCACTATGTTGCCCAGGCTGGTCTTGAGCTCCTGGGCTCAAGCAATCCTCCCACCTCAACCTCCCAAATCACTGGGATTACAGGCATGAAACACCACACTTAGACAACCCCCAAAGTCTTAACTTGTTCCAGCACCAACTCAAAATTCCAAAGTCCATGGTCTCATCTAAATCAGATGTGGGTGAGACTTAAGGTACAATTCATTCTATGGGAGATTCCCTCTGGCTGTAAGCCTGTAAAGTCAAAACAAGTTATTGACTTCCAAAATACAACAGTGGAACAGGCATAGGACAGACATTCCCATTCTAAAAGGAAAAAGAGGCAAGGGAAAAAGGGTAACTGGTTCCAGGAAAGTACAAAACCCAACATAGAAAACAACATTAAACCTTAAACCTTCAGAATGATCTTTTACTCTGTGTGCCACCTCCTGGACACACTATGGAATTTGGACCCCCGAAGCTTCGGGGAGCTCTGCCCCTGTGGTTTTGCTGGGTTCTGCCCATGTTGCACTTCGCACAGGTTGGAGTCTCATGCCTGCAGTTCTCCCAAGCTGGCATTGCACTATGATAGCTCTACCATTCTGGGGTCTTGGCGGTGGCCCCACCCTTGTAGCTCCACTAGACCCTGCTCTACTAGGGGCTCTCTGGGGTGGCTGTTCACAGCACCCTTTGAAATGTAGGTGGAAGAAGGCATGCCCCCTCAGCTTTTGCATTCTGCACACCTGCAAAATTAGTGCCATGTGTATGCTGCCAAGGTTTATGACTTTTACCTTCCACATCACACCTGTGGCCACCTGAACCACAGCTGGGATGGCTGAGGAATGCTGCACCAGAAATGTGGGGAGCAGAGACCCAAGGCAGCCCTGGGCAGCAGCTGGTCATTCCAAACCATTCTGCCCTCTTAGAGCTCTGGGCCAGTAATGGGAGGGGCAGTCTTGAAGATCTCTGAAATGGCTTTGGAGTTTTTCTCCCTTGTCCTGATGAACAGCCTCTGGCTTTGTTCTATGTGTACTAATTTTCTTTCTTCCTTTTTTTTTTCTTTTTGAGACGGAGTTTTGCTCTGTCGCCCAGGCTGGAGTGCAGTGGCGCGATCTTGGCTCACTGCAAGCTCTGCCTCCCGGGTTCATGCCATTCTCCTGCCTCAGCCTCCCAGGTAGCTGGGAATACAGGCGCCCACCACCACGCCTGGCTAATTTATGTGTACTAGTTTTCTTATCAGTCGGTAGTTGTGTCACACTCTCAGTGTTCTCAGCTGAAAATGTTCTTTCATTCCCTACAACATGGCTGACCTACAGATTTTCTGCCTTCCATAAATGACTCTGGCACAGAAAAAGTTCAGCTAAGATCTTTGCTTCTTTATAAAAAGGATGACCTTTGCTCCAGTTTCCAACACGTGGTTCTTCAGTTCTATCTGAGACCTCATCAGAATGGCCTTTACCAGCCATATTTCTATCAGCACTCTGATCTCAACGACTTCAGTAACCATTAAGAAGTTCCAGACTTTCCCTAGTTCTGGGGTCTTCCTTTAAGCCCTCACCAGAACTGCAGAACTGTCTTTAATGCTCCATTCTTTTTCTTTCTTTTTTTTTTTTTTTGAGATGGAGTTTTGCTCTTGTTGCCCAAGCTGGAGTGCAATAGCACGATCTCAGCTCACTGCAACCTCTGCCTCCTGGGTTCAAGTGATTCTCCTGCTTCAGCCTCCTGAGTAGCTGAGATTACAGGTGTGCGCCACCACGCCCAGCTAATTTTTTGTATTTTTGGTAGAAACAGCGTTTCACCATGTTAGCTAGGCTGGTCTCGAACTCCTGACCTCAGGTGATCCACCTGCTTTGGCCTCCCAAAGTGCTGGGATTATAAGCCTGAGACACCGTGCCTGGCATAATGCTCCATTCTTGACAATACAGGCTTTTTCTAGCCTGCTCCTCAAAACTCTTCCAACCTATTCCCATCACCCAGTTCCAAAGCCACTTCCACATTTTCAGGAATCTGTTACAGTAAAAACTCTACTTCTTGCATTAATTTTCTTTCTTTGTCCATATTCTGTTGCTATGACAAAATATCAAACTGGGTGATTATAAAGAAAATAAATTGATTTAGCTCACAGTTCTAGAGGCTGGGAAGTCCAAAAGCATGGTGCCACCATCTGGTGAGGGCCTTCTTGCTGCATCATGACATGGAGAAGTCATCACACAGTGAGAGGGCAAGAGCATGCCAGCTCAGATTTCTCTTTCTCTTCTTATAAGTCACCAGTGCCATCATACCTCACCCCATGACCTTATCTAATCCTAATTACTTCCCAAAGGCCCTTCCTCCAAAAACCATCAACATATGAATTGAAGGATTAAGTTTCCAGCACATGAAATTTGGGGGACACATTCAAACCATCACATATATAATGTACAAAAACAGACAAAACTGACTGATGCTGTTAGAAGTCAGGTTAGTGGTTATCCTGGAATGAGACAAGAAGAGGTTCTGGGTGTTGGTTATGTGGGGATATCAGAAGATTCATCAAATGGTACTTGTATGATATTTGCACTTTTCTGGATATAGCTTATACTATATAAGTTGGGTTTTTTGGGGTTTTTTTAAGTAATAAGTGGCAGAATAGAGGATAAACCCAAACCTGCTGACTGCCACCCCACAACTCATTCTATATGATGCTGTCTGGAAAAAGAAATGAATGAAGCAGAAATCCATCACCATGATAACAGTCTCCCTGCACAGGGTCTCCCCTGGCGAGACCCTCAGCTCAACACATGTCCTCACAGCAGCCCTGTGAGTGAGCTATTAGTGTCCCTATTTCACAGAGGGCAAGTTCAGGTTAGGGAAGTGAACCAAGAATTCCAATGTTTTGTGGCTTGGACTGGGTGGCTCTTGGGATTCAAACTAGGCAGGCCTGTCCACAAAGCTTGGCCAGATGCTTCCCAGATTTCAGCATTTGAGGACAACATTCATGAATTTAGCCATACTGGCATTCCAGAGATGCTATTAAAATTTTTTTTCTCCAAATAGACTTATTTTTACATTTAAATAATTGAATTTAAAAGAAAACTGAGTTACTAGCTTGAAATAGAAGGGAAATGGGAGGTAGCTGTAAAAAGAGATACAATGAAAACAAAATGTTGCTAAAATCTCTCCCAGATATGGCAGTCTGAGGTTTTCTCTGCTATTCAAAAGAGTGGTTAACAAGAGCTAGAAGGGTGCAGAGATTCTCAGGCCAAGTGGGGACTTTCTTTTCTCCCTGACGTAATCAAAGGACTGAGAATTGAAAAAGAGTATCTGCAACTGCATGATTCAGTGCCATTTCAGTGTGCCTTCCCATTACTTAAAAATCCCACAGTTTGTGGGAAATGCTCCATCCTGGTTCTGATCACAGCATCTGACTCAATCACATATGCTCATCTGAATAGGAAATTGGGAAATATTGTTTGTGGAATTAATGCAAAGTCAACTGACTTGCCCAATGCCACCAAGTAGCTAATCCACAGTTCCCATTAAGTGTTGTGACTTTGCGCTTAATCCTCTCTCCATCTTTCCATTACATAGAGATGTCCTCATACGGATGCAGCATCAGTCATCATAAAGAACGGGGCTATGTTCTGTTGCTAAATCTGCACAGCAACCCTGTGACATAGGTCTTATTTTCCCATTTTACAGATAGAAAACTGAGATTTAGAGAGTTTCAGTACCAGGACTAAGGCTGCATGACTGGCTTCACCACTGGTGAAGCCCACGCCTTTTACTCTCAGCAAACCAAAGACTTCCGGAAGAGAGATCATCACTGTCACTATGCCCTTCCCTTTGCCTGGGTCCTGCAAAGGCAAGAGGATAACTGCTTCTTGGTCCTCAACTCACTCACCCTGATGAGAGTTGACTTGCAGGGATGTGCTGGAGCCAGTTCCCATAGGCTCAGTGGGCTGATTGTTCTCATCTCTTCCCAAGTCCATGTATAGTGATGTCTCCTTGACAGCTTGAACTCAGTCATGCGGGAAGCGTTTGTACCATAGAAATTGCAAGTGCTACCAATCAAGGCTTTATTTTCTTGGAAAGCCAGTTTGTTAAGTTAATCCTTTACCAGAAAACCACTGATTGGCTTTTTCTTTTTTGGCTATAGGTCAGTGGTTCTAAAACTTGAGCTTGCAAGAGAACACTTGTGGGGCTTGTTCAAACATGGACTGATAGGTCCCACCCCCAGATTTCTAACTGGGTAGGTCTGGGGTGGGGCCGTAGGTAGGGCTTGCATTTCTAACAAGTTTCCAAGTGATGCAGGTGCTGTGGAGAACCAATGCTTCCAGAGAACCACAGAATCACAGAATTGGGAATCTAGGCAGCCCACAAGCAGAATTTAGCCACACAGTGTTACTAACAATCTTGAATTTTCTGCCAGTACTTGGGAGAGCACATGCAAAACTCTAGATTTTGAGCTCTTGAGAAGTCATTGGATCTGGCAACACTGAGCCTGGGTCCCTGCACTGTGATGATGGGTGCAAGCTGAAGAGCTCCCTTCCTTCACTGGCTTTTTTTTTTTTCTAACTTCCCCTGCCTGTTCTCTACAGGCATGTGAGTAGGACCTTGCTAGGTCAAGTCCTCATCTTTCAGAGGGGAACTCTCAGGCCCAGAGACAGGAAAGGTTCTGCTTAGAATTGCACAGTTATTAAGACAGTGGCAGACACATCACTGGAACCCATCACAGAGGCGCCTTGCTTCACACAGCTCATCCCCTCCTCATCCCAAGCAAGGATGTCTCACCCACTGATATGTGATCCCTATAATTTGGGGCTATGGTTGTCTCTGTAGAAGGCATCCAAGAACCGGTAGGAACCGCAGCGCCTCCATGATTTCTCTGAGACACGTCCAAACGCATCAGCTCCTCATCACCTGCTTCAGCCATTTTTACAGCCAGGTTCCAGCCGAGTGACCTTGGGCAGATAACTTCTCTTAAATCTCATTTCTTAGAGTCTGAGAATACCTCAGTAGGCGGTTGTGAGAATTCAAGGAGATAATGCATATAATGGTTTCTAGCACAATGCCCAACACTTTTAAAGCAGTCAATAACAGTAGTAAATGTTATCAGTGAATATGATTATCATCATGCTACCAGTTCATCTCTAAAAATCTATCCCTGTATCGTGCCCAATTCACTTTTTCATTTTATATAAGCCATGTCCAGAAAATATTCACACAACATCCAGGAAGTAATGGCTAGGGCTCTGGTGTGTCAAACTGACCATTGCTGTCCACTGTCTAGGGGCCACAGGACCTACCTCTGGTCTGGAGGCCCACATTCCCACCTCGCAGTGAGACCTCAGCCAAGGCCCACCCCTCTCTGGGCCTCAGGGATGGGTTGTGCTTAGCATGTCCCTGCATTAGCTTATTAAATCCAGTAGCATCCCAACAGTCCTGTGAGGGGAGATAGTATCATTATCTCCATTTACAATGGGGCGACTGAGGCTGAGAAAGGTTAAGCCACATGCCCAGCTAGTACGCAGTGGGAGCACGTCCACAGCAAAGCTCTGCATCACGACCTGAACCACAGTCTCAATTGGCTTGGGCCTATTTGACCTGCTCTGTGTTTGTGGGATCACAAAAGATTTCGTGTCTTTGGTCTATACCTAGGTGGCCCTATTTGGAAAGAAGAGGTGGCCTGGAGAGGTGATAAATCCATCCAAGGTAGGGGCTGGACAGAATTTCTGAATAAATCAGCCAACAAATATTCACCGAAGCCTACTGAGCACCTGGCCCCGAGTGCACACGCCCCAGCTAAGGACTCTGCACACATTTCTTCCTGAGTTGGAGGGGAGTGTTAAGGGGATGGGGGGTAAGCCCAGTGACCCACATGCCATTGCCGGCTCCGACGGTATCAAGCACCAGCAGCACAATGTAGATGATCTCTCCAAGCAGACCCAGCAAGCTGAAGTTGTAGCCCATGATGGAGCTGTGGGGAATCCCCAGCACTCGGTTACAACACCCCTGTGGACAAGTGTTATTATAAGCAGATTGGCAGGTGAGACCCATATTCCCTACCCACCCCTTTCACACACCCTTGGTATCCGGGGCCACCAAAGGGGGATGGGCACTAAGGCTCACCTCAAAGAAGCCCTTCTCAGACTTGAATGTGCACTCACATCATCGGGGAGTTTGTTGAAATGAAGAGCTGGCTTTAGTGGATGTGGGGTGGGGTCTAACAGCATTTCTAACAAGGTCCCAGGTGATGCCAATGCTGCTGGTCTACGGACCACACTATGAGTAGCAAGGGTCTAGTGTAGACACTGTTCACAATTTCAGCTGATAATTCCTTGTGGTGGGGGCTGCCCTGTGTACTGTAGGATGTTAAGCAGCATCCCTGGTCTCTCCCCACGAGCTGCCAGTAGCAGCCCTCACCCCACTGTGTCAACCAAGAACGCCTCCAGACATTGTAAGATGTCCCCTGGGGGGTGACCAAGACCCACTGGTCTAGCCCAAATTTAAGCACCATCCCAAAGACAACACAGCTGGTTAGAAAGAAAGCATGAGGCCACACCTTCAGATCCCTACTCAGTAATCCTTCCTCCCCATCACTCAGCCTCCCACACAGCCGTGAGCCAGCAGATGTGGACACATATGCAAATTCAATCAGGCTGGTTCCTTCCTTAGAATCCCTATTAGTCTTCAGAATAAAAATCCAGGTTGGGCACGGTGGCTCATGCCTGTAATCCCAGCACTTTGGGAGGCCGACATGGGTGGATCACCTGAAGTCGGGAGTTCAAGACCAGCAGGGCCAACATGGTGAAACCCCGTCTCTACTAAAAACACAAAAAATTAGCTGGGCGTGGTGGTGGGCGCCTGTAGACCCAGCTACTCAGGAGGCTGAGGCAGGAGAATGGTGTGAACCCGGGAGGCGGAGCTTGCAGTAAGCTGAGATGGCGCCACTGCACTCCAGCCTGGGCAAAAGAGCGAGACACCGTCTCAACAACAACAACAACAACAACAACAACAACAACAAAATACATACACACACGAAAATTAGCCAGGCATGGTGGTGGGCACCTGTAATCCCAGCTACTCAGGAGGCTGAGGTAGGAGAATCACTTGAACCCAGGAGGTGGAGGTTGCAGTGAGCTGAGATTGCACCACTGCACTCCAGCCTGGGTGACAGAATGAGACTCTGTCTCAATAAATAAATAAATAAATAAATAAATAAATAAATAAATATCCAGACTCCTCAACTAGCCCAGGAAGTGTGCCTGAGCACCTCCCATCTTTCAGGGATCTGGGTCCACCATGCTCCTGGGTGGACCCTATGCCTTTAGAATGTCTGTTTCCTGGTTGGGCCACACACTCTTCTTAACAATAAGCTTTCATACACACTGTGCCTTCTGCCTGGAATACATTCCCCATGTCTCTGCCTGGCTAATACTACTTCTCTGTCAACACTTGGCTGTCAACCGTTTCCTCTGCTCCAGGAAGCATTTCCAGACCCATCCCAGGCTAGCTCAGATGTGCCCTCTTGCTGTTCTCACACTGTATTGTGTGTATCCATTTCGCTCACTAAACTATAGCTTGAAAAGCAAGATGAGTGTTAAAACGTATGTGTTGAATGAAGGAATGATGAATGAATGAATATATGAATGAATGAGCGAATCATTTTTGAATAGTCCTGCCAGTGATGAAGTCAAGGAAACAAGCTCAGGGAATGCGATGGGCGCTGAGACTGATGATAACTTGCTATGTGTTCTTTTTTCTGCCCTTCCTCCTTTCATTTCAGGGTTTCAAAGCCAGAGGAGATAAAAGAAATTTGTTCCCCTTGCAAAGATGAAAATCAGATTTGCCCTGGTTTTGGTTAATCGAAGTATTGATACGTTTTTCCTTATTTAATTTTATTTTTTAATTACCTCCAGTTCCATCCATGTTGCTGCAAATGACAGGATTTCATTCTTTTTATGGCTAAATAATATTCCACTCTGTATATAAACCACTTTTTTTTTTTTTAAGACAGAGTCTTGTTCTGTCGCCCAGGCTGGAGTGCCATGGCACGATTTCAGCTCACTGCAAGCTCTGTCTCCCAGGTTCAAGTGATTCTCGTGTCTCAGCCTCCTGAGTCGCTAAGATGACAGGTGCCCGCCACCATGCCTGGCTAATTTTTGTACTTTTAGTAGAGATGGGTTTCACCATGTTGGCCAGGCTGGTCTTGAACTCCTGACCTCAGGCCATCTGCCCGCCTCGGCCTCCCAAAGCGCGTGAGCCACTGCGCCCAGCCAGTTTTTCCTAATTTTAGGTTGGAATGCACTCCCTGAATAGCCCCTGTTCATCCAAATCCAGCCTTCGAAAATCTACTCCTTTTTCCTCCATCAAGTCTTCAAACCCATGAAGATTTGTTGTCCCTAAATATTTCTCTTAGAGAAGCACATTATAACCAATTGGCTATAATGAAGTATTCTGGAACGATCAGGATTTGCTGAGTATTGGAGAAAGATCCATCCACTTAGAAGAAGAATTAAACAATCAGAAGTGGACACGACCTGGACCATCAGCCCAGCACTCCCTCTTCTGGGTGCTGCTCCTCTCACATCATCCACGTGGTTCCCCGGCAGCAGCCACATATGCACGATGTGCCCACCCCCAGCTGAAGACAACATTATCCAAGTTAAACCAAAGAGCCCCTTCTCCAGAGAATTTGGGATTGGGGCCAAGAGATTCCATCCACCAGGCTGCTTTCTTGAAGCAAAAGACTACACCCCACAATGTGGGGTGAAAGAGGAGGAAGCATGTCTATAGAGTAAGAATAAAGCAGATATTCAGGAAAAGCAAAGAAAGAAGTAAAACAGGGGCTTCGGGGCTCCCCACAACACTCCAGTCCCTGTCCTTGAGTTCTGTGACACCCCAGTAGCCTGATAACAAATTCTCCCCAATGCCCAAGCAAGCTCAAATGGGTTCTGCCACCTGCTCCCGAGCATCTTAACAAATGCGCCACCGAGCCAGGATGGATCCCTCACTAGGCGTTGAAGCCAATAAGAGAATGCGCCGACACCTGCCTAATGCAGCTGTGCACTGCACAGTGGCCCATCAGGTCCCAGCGTCCTGCTGGCCTTCAGCCAAAGCAGAGGAGGTTAGTTGTCTAGTTTCTTACCGGCAGGTACTTGGCTCCCCCGACGGAGATCAGCCCAGCCACAAGACCCAGCACCATGGCAAGCCACGGAGAAGGGATCAGGTGACACGAGGTACCCACAGCCACGCCTCCTGCCAACACCGCACTGTGCACATAAGTCTGCAAAGAAATAGCGTGTGGGTAAAGGAAGCAAGGTAGAGAGAGAACACCATCTTGCTGCAAGTGACCAGCACGCTGGGAACAAGGCAACCCTGTAACATCCTCCCTGCTTTGCTGATCCTGAAACCACTTCTCCCCTGTGTTGGGGCTACGTGTCCTTCATCAGTGGACATGATGGGCCAGCTCACTACTGCCTCTTAGGCTCAGGGCACAGTTACCCTGATTGTGCAGCATTTAGGGAATGAGCTGGGAAGTCCAGGTGCTCAGCATCCTAGGCACCCATCACACTCATTAGTGGTGTGTCCCTGGGCAGCGGGAAGAATGGGTTTTTGTTTTATTTTTTAGAGACAGGGTCTTGCTATGTTGCCTGGGCTGGTCTTGAACTCCTGGCCTCAACCAATCCTCTTGCCTCAGCCTCCCAAAATATTGGGATTACAGGTGTGAGCCACTGCACCTGGCCTAGAAGAATGGGGTTTTGGATGTACCTTCTTCATAAGGTTATTGTAAGGATTAAATGAGTTTCCACATATAAAGCTCTTAGCCCAGTGTCTGGCATAGAACATGAATAAATGCCCAGTAGACACAAATCATTGTTATTGTTTTTATTATTATTATTGGCTACTTGGTGCCTGTGCCACCCTGTGTGACTGGGCCCAGTTTCAATAAGCTGGGCCTTGTTCCTGGGTCATAGCTCTGCTATGTCCTTCACTGCTCCAGAACCGGAGCCTTGCCTTGCTCTTATCTGACACCCTCAGCTCTCACCTAGGATTAGCCTCTGGGCTTCCCTGAGTTGACACCCACTCCTGCCTTGCTGGGTGTCTTAGACTTTCTGTCACCATGGAACTCATGGCCACTCACTTCCTCTTAGCACTGAATTCTGCTGTGAAGCTGTCATCTGTGGCCACATTCTTTCCACTCCAGCCCCCCCAGTGCCTCCCACCCGAGCCCCACCACTGGTCTGTCCAGACTTCCCTCCGACACCACCAGCTGGAGCCCCTTCCCCCATCATCATGAGAACTTGTTTTGTCTCCCCTCTCACCCATCTCTGCCCACAAGACTCACACACACCATCGTCTCTCTTTACTAATAGCAGCAGCTAATGTTTGCCTACCATTTACTCCCCGTTAAGCACTTTACATGCACCATCTCTTAATTCCCACTTTACAGATGAGGCCACTGAGACTCAAAACGTTGAAGTGGCTTGACCAGAGCCACATGGCTAGTGTCACATACTTCTCTACTTCTGATTCTGATGGTTCCATTCTTGAAATTTGTTGGGGGGAAGAGAGAGGCTGGCTAATTCTAGTCTAGTCTGTTGCTGCTGACTCTCGCTCATGGTGACTGACTTTAGCAACTAGCAGAAATGGGGTTCAAACTGAGGTCTGTTTCATGTTAGCATGGATGGATTTAATCACTACCCCCAGAAAGCCTTTGATCACTGGACAGTCTCCTGAGTCCCAGGCCCACTGTGACCACCCAGCATTCTACCTAGAGCTCCACTGTAGAGGCAGGCACAGCTCCACCACCCGGCATGCCCTCTCCCAACCCACGCTGGCCCTGGGGTGGGGAGGGGCATAAATATGTGTGCTAGTCCTGTTAGACCCAAGTGCTGCCCAAGGGCAGCGCCCTGCTCACCTTGCTGATCTTCCCTTGGGGGTGAGCCAAGGATGACCCTGAGATGGCTGTCACCACGCTGACTGCTACAGCATAGTAGGTGTTGAACACGGCATTCTTCCTTTCGATTGGACTTCTCAGCAGAGCAGAGTTGAAACTTGGCCAGAACATCCACAAGAAGAGGGCGCCTGGGGGCCAGAGAGGGTGGTTGGCCAGAATCACACTCCTGCTCCAAAGGTCTGAGCCTCGAGGGGTTTTGGATGAGAATCCTAGGGCTGGAGAGTCTCAGCCTTGTCACTTAGAGTTAGATGGGGAAGTCACGTCTCCCCTCCGAGCTCTCAAGCTGATACCAGCTAACCACATTTTACAGACAAGGAAACAAAGGCCAAGAGGGTTGAAATCTGCATACCCCAGGCCTCCTGAACCTGCTCTGTGAAGTGCTTAATTCAAAGGTATGAATTTAGCAAACACTACTCAAAGAAATGAATCATGATGGAAGGGCTTCAGACACCCAGGGGAACTTGGTAAAGGAGGGAGATTTTTTCAGCCAGAGCCTTTTCTGAGCCATTCTGCTCAGCCCAAGTAGGAGACCACTCACCCCACCTTGTCCTTACCCAGCATGGCAGACAAACTGGGTATCGTTGCTGTCTGATCTTTATCCTCCGTTCCCTCGGGTAGAGGCTTTGGCAGGCACCAGGCCACAGACAGCCCAAAATAGGCTGCGAACACGTAGATGTGCATCATGTTCATGTGGTAGTCTGTCTGCAATAAAACCCAGTAAGAGCAGTGAGTGTCGGCATCCTCTGCCCGGGGCAAGCCCTGATAGTCCTTGGAGAAAGTTCAGAGCTTCACTTAGGAGGTGTGACTTGAAGCCATGAGACTGGTGTTCAGAGCTTACCCAGCCCAACCCAGCAGGCTCTGCCCAGGCTGGAGTGCAATGGCACGATCTCGGCTCACTGGAACATTTGCCTCCCAGGTTCACGCGATTCTCCTGCCTCAGCTTCCCTAGTAGCTGGGATTACAGGCATGCGCCACTACGCTGGGCTAATTTTGTATTTTTAGTAGAGATGGGGTTTCACCGTGTTTGCCAGGCTGGTCTCAAACTCCTGACCTCAGGCGATCCACCCGCCTCGGCCTCCCAAAGTGCTGGGATTACAGGCATGAGCCACTGCGCCTGGCCTTTTTTTTTTTTTTTTGAGACAGAGTCTTGCTCCATTGCTCAAGCTGGAGTGCAGTGGTGTGGCCACAGCTCACTGTAGTCTCCAACTCCCAGGCTCAAGCAATCCTCCCACCTCAGCCTCCTGAGTAGCTGGGATTACAGGAATGTACAACCATGCCTGGCCAATTTTTAAATTTTGTGTAAAGATGGAATCTTGCTATGTTGCTCAGGCTGGTCTTGAACTCCTGGGCTCAAGAGATCCTTCCCTCCCAAAGTGCTGAGATTACAGGCATGAGCCACCACACCCGGCCTATCAGTAGCTCTTATATGCTTTTGACCAAGGTTCACTTAGGTGTGGCAAAAACCCACATGGACACGCACCTCACTGATTCCTACTTCTCAGCGGAATTTTAACTCTGCGGGAGTGATGAGTGATATAAATTTTGCAACATGAAGCAACCAGACTTCTTATAATACCAAACTAAGGTCTTCAGGAAATTCTAGATATATTCTAATTTTGCCTGTAATCCCAGCACTTTGGGAGGCTGAGGTGGGTGGATCACCTGAGGTCAGGAGTTCGATACCAGCCTGGCCAACATGGCAAAACCCTGTCTCTACTAAAAATACAAAAATTAGCCAGGCGTGGTGATGCTTGCTTGTAATCCTATCTACCTGGGAGGCTGATGCAGGAGATTCACTGGAACCTGGGAGGCGGAGGCTATAGTGAGCTGAGATGTCGCCACTGCACTCCAGCTTCAGCGACAGAGTGACACTGCGTCAAATAAATAAATAAAATAAAATGCAAGTCAGATCATGTTACTCCTCTGCTCAGAAGCCTCCAGCGGCTCCCATGTCACTCAAAGTCAAGGTCCAGGTTCTTGCCACGACCCTGCAGGATCCACTCTCACCTGACCTCTCGGGCGTCACCTCCTATTGCCCTCCTCCACTTGCTCATCCTCAAACCCACTAGCGTGTTCCCACTTTGGGTCATTCAGCTGCCTGAAATGCTGACCCCCAGCCAGGGTGTAACAAGGGCAGGGTGGAGGGAGTAGTCCACCCTGGGTGCAAGCAATCGGGGTGCCTTGTCTGTAGAGGGTGTCTAAGAATTCTAAAGCCAACTAAAAAGTCTGTCTGCTTTTTATTTGTATTTATTTATTTATTTATTTTTGAGACGGAGTCTCACTCTGTCGCCAGGCTAGAGTGCACTGGTGCCATCTTGGCTCACTGCAACCTCCACCCGTTGGGTTCAAGCGATTCTCCTGCTTCAGCCTCCCAAGTAGCTGGGATTACAGGCACCCACCACCGTGCCCGGCTAATTTTTGTATTTTTAGTAGAGACGGGGTTTCACCATGTTCCCCAGCCTGGTCTCGAACTCCTGACCTCAAGTGATCCATCCGCCTTGGCCTCCCAAAGCGCTGGGATTACAGGCATGAGCCACTGCTCCCAGCCTGTTTTTTTTTTTTTTTTTTTTTTTTTATCACCATGTGCTGACAATTCTAAACAGCGTGGCTGGTAAACAGCCCTCCCAGCACCCTGCCATTGTTCTGCCGCTGTTCTCAGGTACCCATATGGCTTGTGCACTCGTTACCTTCAGGTCTGTACTCAAAAAATCACCCTCTTGATAAGATGAAGCTGCCCCTGGCCACCCTCTCAAACAGTTATCCTCTCTCCCCAACTTTTCGTGTTTCTTTTCTCCATTTCATTTTTATCTGTGGTACTTACCACTCTCTAACATGCTATATCTTTTGCCTATTTTATTGTTTATTGGCAGTCTTTCCTTCTGGAACAGACGTTCCATGAGAGTTGTATTTTCCACTGCCACAAGAGTCCCTGGTATATAGTAAATACCAAATAAATATTTGTGAAGGGAACAAATGATGGTAAAAAGCCCTCAGTCATACATAAAGAGGAAAGTCTATGCAGTTTCCTGATAAGAACTGAAAAGCGGGCTTGTGTTTTTCATCTCTTTGAACTCCACCAGGAAGGAGTTCAGGAAGAACACTTGGGGATTCTTGGCCTGGAATATTCATTTCTTGAGCTGGTGCACTGAAATGACTCTGGTCCCTGGCTCTGGTTCCCCCGGGCCCTCCTGCTGAAGAAACCCAGGCTGAATTGAAGTTTTGAGGAAAATGAATACTCAAAATCAGTGCTAAGCCCTCCTCTAGACCAGTTAAGCTAGCAAGTCAAAGATGCAGAGAAGAGAGATGATGTTATATCAATGCAGTCTTTTAAAGCAATCGTTATGAAGACTGCAACAAAGCAGGAAGAGGTTCGGGCTCACAGGGAGTGTTCTGCCTCTGAAATTTACTCCTCTTCTTGACAGCCATGTTTTTACTGTGTGAACTATTTCCCATGCCAGCTGTAGCTGCTTGGACCAGAGTGGAAAAATGACCCAGGGGACTGATCAGATTCTCTCTCCCTGGACTACAGAATTGAGACTAACTGAGAGAAAAGAGTTGTTTTCTGCAGGATCTGGGACATAGAAATGCAGGAACAAGTGGAGGTGGATGGGTGGGTGGAGGGGACACGTTTTTCGCTAAAGAGAAAGCTGGTGTACAGAGATGTTAGATGTACGGAGAGAATAAGAGCCAAAAGATGGAGAGCACAGACTACCTGGGATCTCAGTGGCTTCTCATAGCCAGTTCTAGTGCCCTCCTGAGTCTGGCAGCACCTCCTGCCCTTGGAGGTTCTTTGTGTTTGTTTGTTTTTTAAAACTGTCCATACTACACAGATACACCTTTATGGTTCTTACACTGAATTCTCTTCATTCCGCCTAAGAAAGCTCTGCTGACATTTTCTTCCTGGGAATCAGGGAGTTCTCATTAATCCTTATATTAAGCAGAGAGAAAAGGCAGAAAATGGAAGTGTGTAAACCGGAATCCAGGAGCCCATGGTGATATAAATAAGTACATAGATGAGTGGATGAACAGAGAAGCGAAAGCTTTTCCTTACAGAAGAATGCCAACTACTGAAGGAAAGATGGAATTAGAAAACCACCATTGGCAATTATTATAGTACTAATTTATTCAGGGAAGAATCAATGAACACTAAAATCAGTGGGTGAAAGTTGGATGATCAACAGGATTTCTATAGGAAATTATCTCCTCACAAGATGTTTATTAATTACAAAGGGGAAAATAGTAACTTTGCAGTGGAAGATCCTGGCAGGTACCATCTTAACCCAATGATCACAGTTAACACACCCAGTAATGGGGCAAATTGATAGCATGTCTTCTGATATGATATACTAAGAAGGGCACACACGGCTCTTGGAGAATTCCTACCAAAAATGCATACCCACAATCTAATCATGAGGAACAGCAGACAAACCCACATTCTACAAAAGAACTGGCTCGAAACTTCAAAACATGTCAAGGTCATGAAAGATAAAGAAAGATGAAGAAACTGCTCCAGATTGATGGAATTTAATAAGACATGAGAACTAAATGCAAGATGTAATCCTCGACCACAAAAAATATATATTTTTTTCTAGAAAAGATATTATTGAGAAAATTGGTGAAATGAGAATAAGGTAATCATAATATATCAATGTCAATTTCTCATTTTTGTTAACTGAAAAAAGGTTATGTAAGAGAATGTCCCCTTGTTTTAGGAAATTGTGTTAGTCTGTTTTCACACTGCTATAAAGATACTTCCTGAGACTGCGTAATTTATAAACAAAAGAGGCTGAATTGACTCACAGTTTGGCATGGCCGGGGAGGCCTCAGGAAACTTACAATCATGGTGGAAGGTGAAAGGGAAGCAAGGCACATCTTACGTGGTGTCAGGTGAGAGAGAGAGAGAAAGAGAGAGAGGAAGTGCCACACTTTCAAACCATCAGCTCTCCTGAAAACCCACTCACTGTCACAAGAACAGCATGGGGGAAACCACCCCTGTGATCCAATCACCTCCCACGAGGTCATGCCCTCAACACGTGGGGATTACAATTCGAGATGAGATTGGAGGGGGATACAGAACCCAACTGCATCAGAAATATACACTGAGGCCGGTTATGGTGGCCCACGCCTGTAATCTCAGCAATTTGGGAGGCTGAGACAGGTGGATCAACTGAGGCCAGGAGCTCAAGACCAGCCTGGCCAATATGGTGAAACTCCATCTCTACTAAAAATACAAAAATTAACTGGGCATGGTGGCATGCCCCTAATCCCAGCTACTCGGGAGGGTGAGGCACAAGAATTGCTTGAATCCAGGAGGCGGAGGTTGCAGTGAGCCGAGATCACACCACCGCACTCCAGCCTGGGTGATTGATGGAGCAAGACTCTGTCTCAAAGAAAAAAAAAAAAAGAAATGTACACTGAAGTATTTAGGGGTTAAAGTCACATACACAGATGAAGACAACCAAAAATTAATAAATACAAACTTCCAGGCTGGGCGCGGTGGCTCACACCTCTAATCCCAGCACTTTGGGAGGCCAAGGCGGGTGGATCACCTGAGGTCAGGAGTTTGAGACCAGCCTGGCCAACATGGCAAAACTCCGTCTCTACTAAAAATACAAAAGTAAGCCAGGCGTGGTGGTGTGTGCCTGTAATCTCAGCTACTCGGGAAGCTGAGACAGGAGAATCACTTGAACCTGGAAGGCAGAAGTTGCAGTGAGCCAAGATTGCAACATTGCAATCCAGCCTGGATGACAACAGCGAAACTCCATCTCAAAAAAAAAAAAAAAAAAAAAAAAAAAAATTTCCCATATTCCCTCCCAGACCATTGTTCTTTTTTCCACCCCAAACATCCCCAGCTCCCTTGAAGAAGATGCCATCACACTCTCCCTTTCTTGCTGTGGTCTCAGCCTCCCGGCCGCCTCTTGGTCACTGATGATGTCAGCCCCTGCCCTTCAGCCTTTCTCTCCATCATTCTTCCACAAATGATCTTAGTCCACCCAACTCCTTCCCTCTCGGCTCCTTGACCGCTCGTCTCTTTCCCTGCGTTACACTTCTGCCACCCACTGTCAAGCCTTAGACCTTGTCATTACCAGTAACTGTTGCCTCCGAAGCCTCAGTTTCAAGCATCGCACCTGATAACCACCACCACCTCCTATCTGTCCGGCTCACTTCCTTAAATTGCCTCCCTTCAGCAGCTCCAATCAACGCAGCCTGAGAACAATGGTGATGATGAAAATAACAGCACTGCCGCAACACTTACCCCATGCCAGGCACTGTCCTAAATGCTTTAGAACAGTGTTCAAAATTGAACAAGTGTTCGGTCACTTGTTCAATCCTCACAACAGCCCTAGGAAGTAGCCTTATTCTTATCCCCATTCTATAGATAGGGAAACTGAGGCACAGAGAGGTCAACGAAGGGGCCCAAATGGATTCAGCTAGTGTGGGTTGAGCTGAGATGTGTACCCAGGCTGCCAGGCTGGGCTCCCCATTTTCACTCTCTCTCCTTTCTTAACCAGCTCAGATTTTGTGGGCTACTGTTATACTTCCTCCTTTGCAAACAGCCCCATCTCTGGTCTCCCCTGGGCTTTGGGCTCACTCTGGGCAGCACTCCAGGCTGGGCAAGTTCAACTCTGCTTCTTCCACACCTGCCTGGAGCAGCTGCACACAGCCCTGGTCACTGATGCACTTTCCACCAACTACAAGCCCTAGGGACCCTGGTGCCAGCCTGCAGTCCCGCTGCACCCCTGCAGCCCTCTCACTCTCTTCCACTCCCACAGATGACCATACCACACTTTCCCTCTCCGCAAACCCCATCCCTCCTTCCCACCCTCACATGAGGCTGATGACGGTGCCTCTTGTTTCTCTGAGAAAATACAAGGAATTAGTAAGGCATTTTCTCCTCTCCCTGCAGGAGACTGAACCTGTGGCACCCGCCACCAAATCTGCCGGCCTATTCACAGTCCCTGCCATTTCTCTCGTTAAGATGAACTCTCCGCCTCAGGAACGAGATGGCGGTTCCCTGGAGGCTGAGTGCCGTTTGCGGTGCCCAAGGAGGCCGAGCTCTGTTGCTGCGAACTCCAGTGGTCAGACCTGCTCATATCTCAGCATTTCTTCAGGACCGACCTATCCCAGAATGGTGTGGAGTGCAGCACATACACTTGTCACCGAGCCACCATTCTGGCTCCAAGGCTGCATCTCTCCACTGGACTAGCGAGAGGGTTGTCAGTGTTTTGCTCCCGGGTCTGCTTCCGGCTGCTTATTTGAATCCTTGCTCTGCGACGGACTATTCCCTGGCTGCAGCCCTCACTCTTCATGGTCACTGGGGCCTTGGACAAGTTGTTACTGATTATGTTCATGGGGATGCCTCGCAGAAAGCTGCCAAGGCAGGGCTTTTGGCATTTTCAGCTTTAACCTTTGCTGGGCTTTGCTATTTCAACTATCACGATGTGGGCATCTGCAAAGCTGTTGCCATGCTGTGGAAGCTCTGACCTTTTTGACTTCCTACTTTGAAGAATTGATGTATGCCTCTTTGCCTCTGCTTTGTCATGCCATTAAGCTCACAATAAGGAAGAAATAACAGATAAGCCCATTGGTGGACAGCCTTCTTCTCTTAATCACAAGATTATTTTCAGAATTTAATCTTTGAGGAAAAGGTTTGAGAGGAATTATATCTAAGTTGTGAGACTGAGTTCTGTATTCTGGTGAGTTAATGGGGTTGCCTCCCAGCTTCTTATAAGACTCACAATATAACTAAACATGATATATCAGCTTTTGCCTTTTAATTTCTCAATCTCTTAAAGAGAATCCAGCTTTATTATGATTAGTACATGATCAAATTTCCATATTTGCCTTGGGAATAATGGACAAAGGGAAATACTCTTAATTCATGAATAAAAACTTTGCAGAAAATTAGACAGTGTTTAATTTTCAAAAACTTCCCTCTCTAGTCAGTAGATACCACCTACTGATGGTTACATATACTAGGGAAATTTTAAAATTAGGAAATGCTGCTATCTCATATTATAAATTTCTAAATCCTAGGAAGAAACGCTTGGAGTGCTTCTGAAGATACAGAAGTTCCATTTAAGGGCAAGTTTCCCCAGAGACATATCAAAATATTATCCATTGTAAACTGAGATTTAATTCTCAAATGTATTCTACTTGTTCTAAAACAATCTGTCCACAAATATAAAACTATAAGTAATAAATTGTTATTTCCGCACAATGGGAATCTCTAATGTGAAAATGTATTCTATGAAAATAATTTTTTTAAATAAAATGTTGTATAAAAAAAAAAAAAAGATGAACTGTCCCTGCATCGGCCTAAAGGTATCAGTGCTCAAAATCCCACTCCTGCTTTCCAACTCAAAGGCTTGACTCTTGCAGTTCATCTCTCTTCTGTATCATCAGATTTTTCCTCTCTATCGGATTATTGCCCTCCTGCTTCTCCTCCATTTCTCTGTTCCCCTTTATAGCAAAGTCCTTGGCAGAGCTGCCCCTGCATGCTGTCTCCACTTTCTCATCTCCTGCTCTTGAATCAGTCAAGCCAGGCTGTTGCCTTCATCCTCCTCTACAACCATGCATGCCAAGGTCTCCTGGCCAAATCCAATGGCTACTTCCCAGCCCTCATCCGACTTGACCTCTCAGCAGCATTCAGCCCACCTGGGGCCCTCTCTTTCCTTGCCTTCCAGGACCTCACGCTCTCCTGGGCTTCCTCCTGCCTCTCCAAGCACAATTCTGTCTCCTTTGCTGGCTCTTACACATGTCCCCCCTCTAAAATGCAGGGTGTTCTAGGACTCAGTCCTCAGACTTCTTCCCATCTCTCTTTATCCTCACTCCTGAGTGATCTCCTTGGGTCTCATGGCTTTAAACACCATCTGTATTGTAACAACTCCCAAATTTATATCCCTAGCCCTAACCTTTCCACTAAGCTTCAGACTTGTACATCTCCATTCAGTGTCTCCACTGGGATGTTTCATACACATCTCTACCCCCCCTCCCCCAACCTTAACCCTAACGCTACCACATTCGACACTGAACTCTGGGTTTTCCCTCCCAGATCTATCCCACCCCAACATTCCCCATCTCAGTAAATGGCACCAGCAGCCGCTGAGTTGTGCCAGATGAGAACCTTGAAGTCATCTTGACCCTCTCCCACCCCACGTGCAGTCTATCAGCAAATCCTGTCAATTCTGCTATTAAAATACAGTCAGGATCCAACCACTTCCCATCACTCTCACAGCTATTGTCCTAGTCTGAGTCTGGATGATGGCAATCACTGCCGCTCTGGTCTCCACCTGCTTCCTCTCTTGCCCCTTCAGTCTTTTCTGAACCCAGAAGCCAGAGTATCTTAAAACATAAGTCAGATCATGGCTCTCCTCTGCCCAACACTCCCTAGTTCTCCCTGTATTTCTCAGAGTAAAATCCAAAGTCCTTTGGGACACTGAGGCACAGTAAAGGGGCTTCATGCTTTTTTTTGTAAACATGCATCATCTCATGTGATTAATTCAATTACTCCCTCAAAACCCTATGTGGTAGTACTGCTACCCTCATATTACAGATGAAGAAACTAAAGCTCTAAGAGGTTAAATTGCCCAGAGTCACACAGGGATTTATGGCAGAGCTGGGATGCAAACCCCAGCCTTTGACTCCAAGTCCAGTGCACTTTCTTCTAAGCCAGGCTGGAACTGTGGGTTCTCGCTTGGGTTCTGCCACTATCTTGCTATGTGATCTTGGGCAGTCCCTTCCCCTCTCCAGGCATCAGCTTTCTCACCTATGAGATGGGAAGGTTGGCTATGTCCTCACTCAGGGTCAGGGTTACAGCAGAGGATCTGGGAGAGCCATTTGGATTGGCCTTACCTTCACAGCTGCCTTCAAATTTAGACTTTCGACAGGCTCTCCCAATGAGAGGACATATGCAGTTACTGACACGCACTGACTGAAAGAAGATGCTGGCTGTACAAACTTGCTGGACCCACTGCTGGTGAGGCTCTGAGAATTAATTACTTTTATATAACCATAATTATATCATGAATAGCACAATCCTACAGGATTATACTGTAGTAGTTAAAGGCATTGGTTTGTTGTGTTTAAACATTTGCACAGACCACATTTTTGTAAACTCATTTGGATATCTATCTATCTATCAATCTTTTCTTTTCTTTTTTCTTTATTTTAAATTTGAGATGAAGTCTTGCTCTTGTCCCCCAGGCTGCAGTGCAATGGCGCGATCTCGGTTCACTGCAACCTCCACCTCTCGGGTTCAAGCGATTCTCTTGCCTCAGCCTCCTGAGTAGCTGGGATTACAGGCGCCTGCCACCATGCCCAGCTAAATTTTGTATTTTTAGTAGAGATGAGGTTCCCCCATGTTGACCAGGCTGGTCTTGAACTCCTGACCTCAGGTGATCTGCCCTCCTTGGCCTCCCAAAGTGCTGGGATTACAGGTGTGAGCCACTGTACCCAGCCTGTCTGTCTGTCTGTCTGTCTGTCTATCTATCTATCTGTCTATCCACCTACCTATTTATTTAGAGATGAGGTCTTGCTATGTTGCCCAGCTCGGTCCCTAACTCCTGGGCTCAAACAATCCTTCCAACTCACACCTCAGCCTCCTGAGTAACTGAGACTACAGGTGCATGCCACCACAACTGGATAATTTAGAAAAAATTACTTTTTAGAGATGAGGATCTTGCTATGATGCCCAGGCTGGTCTCAAACTCCTGGCCTCAAGTGATCTTCCCTCCTCAACCTCCCAAGTAGCTGGGATTACAGGTTGTCTTTATTTTTCAAAACCCTGGAAACCCCACCAAATGGAGCTTTTGGCCCTTTTCTCCCAGGTCCCTCCTCCCAGCACCATGACTCACGTTGAAGATATTACTGATGACCATCCTCAGGTTGCCTAAAGCTGTCACCTCCACCAGCACCATCACCACCAACTGCGCCAAGTTGACCTTCCCCAAGACAGCATCCACTGAGATCAGCACCGACAAAGCACTCATGGTGGCCAGCCGAATACTGGGGGAGAGAGGGAGAGCCAGGACGACTGAGAAGGAAGGATGCCTCTCACTCATTCATTCATTCATTCATTCATTCATTCATTCTTTCAACAAACACTGTTGGGCACCTACTTTCTGTGGGAATAGAAGACAAGATTTCTACCCACCTGGGCGCTGATGCTGCAGAGTGGAGTGACCATCTCTTCTCCCGTTAAGGTGGCCTCTGCACCCTGAGCCATGTGGTCTGGCAGATGACTTAACCACTCTGTGCCTCAGTGCCTTCATCTATGAGGCATTGATCTACACACACTCATCTGACTGAGGGTGATCGGGGTGACTGTTCCCTCAGGGGATCTGATAACTGGGATTCTGCCCAGTCTTCTTTTCTGCTGCCATCATTCGGATGCTCAACAGAGGGCACTCTTCCCCCGCAGGCCTGCCCACATCCAGTCACCCCATCCCCATCTGGGGCCACTGTCCCTTCTCTCCGTCTCCGTGGCAGTGGAAAGAAACTGGATTTGGAATCAGGACAAGCCCGGCTTCCAGTCCCAGCCTTGCCACTGGAGTGGCTATTTCATCTCACTGAGCCTATTTCTCCTTCTGCAAATTAAGAATGATGATCAAACGTATCCCATGTTGGTGTCCTGGGGATGTGAAGGAGTATTCTTCCTATCGGTGTGTCTAGCACCAAGACTGGCACAAAGAACCAACTTCTGAAAAGACGCTAGCCTTATTAACGCTATTATGATTCCTTCCTTCCTTTGACCAATGAGCATGCTCAGGAGTAGAAAATTATTTTGGTCTTGAAGATACTTATGATCCAAAAAAAAAAAAAATGTACTTATGATCTAGACAGGCTACACCATGAGCCTGTCAACTAAGAATATCTGTGATATCACAAGGCTAGTGGGGTTCATTGGAAGGAGAGGGTGATGCTGACTGGACTTATCAGGGAGGACTTCCTGGAGGAAGTGGTACTGAGCTGGACAATCCATGGACATCCAGTCTCCCCTGAGCAGCTTGCTCTGAGACTCCCTCCTCCCTCTGGGAGTTAATGATGATGATGCTACAACCACAGCAACAGTGATGATAATGATTTATTATAAGAGCATTTTGTAAAACAGGCTTGTAACAGCATCACCTCTTTTAAATTTTAACCCTATAAGGCTGGGTGCAGTGGCTCATGCCTGTACTCCCAGCACTTTGGGAGGCCAAGGCAGGTGGATCACTTGAGGCCAGGGGTTCAAGAGTGGCCTGGCCAACATGGTGAAACTCTGTCTCAACTAAAAATACAAAAATTACCCGGGCATGGTGGTGCATGCTTGTAATCCCAGCCACTCTCGAGGCTGAGGCATGGCAGTCGCTTGAACCCGGGAGGCAGAGGTTTCAGTGGGCCGAGACTGCACCACTGCACTCCAGCCTGGGCAACAGAGTAAGACTGCCTCACACACACACAAAAAAAATTCACTCTCTGTAAAATCGTGCTAGCTCACCATTCAGTATCCCATTTTACAGAGGGTCACGTAGAGGATTAAAATGGACTTTTTGGAAACAGTCATGCCAGCTGATCACAAATGTGAGGTTCAAATCCAGCTGGCCTAGATCCAAAGCCTGTGCTCTGAAGTCTGGACTCAGCTTCCCCAGTGTTTGCTGCAGACTATGCCCGCTTAAGCCTCAAGGACTTTAGGGGAAGGTCAGAAAAGGGCAAGGGCATGGGGAAGGAGTCTTACAGGGACCAGGAATTTAGAATAAGGGGTTACTCAATGTTCCATCGTGCCTGGACAGGTTATTCCTTTTAAGTGGGTGTTCATTTCATTGACAAAGGCTTAACTCAGGAGCGTGTGTGCCGGCGGCGGTATTTCATTCCTCAAGGGCCAGTTTGTGCTGAGGAGGTGCTAAGACAGTGATGTGCAGTGGTTAGGAGCGTGCTCTCAGGTCTAGGCTGCCTGGGCTGGAATCTTGACTCAGACACTTTCTGGCTGTGTGATCCTGGGCAATTTATTTAATCACTCTGTGCCTTGGTGCCTCCATTTATAAGGTGGACCCAATGCCTCTGGAGCCACGGTAAGGGCAAAGTGAGTTGATATACGTCAAGCACAATAAAGGAGTTGGTTATTGCTATTATCTTCTAGGGAGAGTCCTGCAGATTTCAAAATACATTAAAAATATCACACTTTTAAGGCCAGGAATGGTGGCTCACACCTGTAATCTTCGCACTTTGGGAGGCTGAGGTGGGAGGATTGCTTAAGGCCTGGAGTTTGAGACCAGCCTGGGCAACATAGTGAGACTCCATCTCTACAAAAAGCAAAAAAAAAAAAAGCTAGGTGTGGTGGTGTGTGCCTGTGGTCTCAGCTACTCAGGAGGCTGTAATTCCAGTACTTTTCAGAGCCGAGGTGGGCAGATCACTTGAGCCCAGGAGTTTGAGACCAGCCTGAGCAACACAGTGAGGTCCTGTCTCTGCAGAAAATAGAAAAATCAGCTAGGCGTGGTGGTGTGCACCCACAGTCCCAGCTACTTGGGAGGCTGAGGCAGGAGGATCACCTGAACCCAGTGAGGTTGAGGCTGAGTGAGCCATGAACATGCCACTTCACTCCAGCCTGGACAACAGAGTGAGACCCTGTCTCAAAAACAGTTTTAGGCTGGACACAGTGGCTCACGCCTGTAATCCCAGTACTTTGGGAGGCCTAGGCAGGTGGATCACTTGAGGTCGGGAGTTCCAGACCAACCTGACCCACCTGGTGAAACCCCTTGTCTACTAAAAATACAAAAATTAGCAGGGCATGGTAGCAGGCGCCTGTAAAAAAATTTAACTCAGGAGGCTGAGGTGGGAGGATCACTTGAGCCCAGGAGGCACAGGCTGCAATGAGCTATGATTGTACCACTGCACTCCAGACTGGGCAACAGAGCAAGACCCTGTCTCTAAAAAAATAAATAAAATTTTAAAACATCCCACTTCAGAGTTCCGTTTATTTTCATTTTTGCTCCAATAGCCATTTGCTAAGTTATCAGTATGTGAGGAAAACAAACAACAACGTTGAATAAGATAGGCCCCTCCCCTGAAGGGACTCAAAACAGAACCAAATCAGTCCCAAGTCAAGTGGCACAAGCTGGAGTGTTGCCAAGGGAGAGTACCCCGTCCCCAGGGGCAGGCCTGGGCACCACCCATCAGCACAGCCCTGACGGGAACCGGTCAGGAAGGAGCCAGTTTCAGCAGGGGTCACCCCTAGGGGGATCCAAGCAGTCAGGGGTGGGGCAGGGGAGTTCACTCAGGCTGCGAGTGACTTCTCTCCCTTCTCGTCTTTCTAGATTGAGTCAAGAACAAACAGGTCCCTGTGGACATCAGATGAGGGGAGCAGCCCTAGACTGTGGGGCAGGAGGCTGAAGGCTGGTGTGACCTTAAGCTAAGGCAGCAACACCAAACCAGGGCCACCACCATTTGAAATCCCCCAGGGTGCCCTTTGTCACTTCCCAGGTGGACACAGTGTGTGTATGCGTGCATGTGTGCGTGTGTGTATTGAATTCTGGTGGGAATTAACTCATAGACTGTTTTTGTTTTGTTTTGTTTTTGAGACAGAGCCTCACTCTGTCGCCCAGGCTACAGTGCAATGGTGCGATCTCGGCTCACTATAGCCTCCGCCTCCCGGGTTCAAGTGATTCGCCTGCCTCAGCCTCCCAAGTAGCTGGGATTACAGGTGCCTGCCGCCACACCCAGCTAATTTTTGTGTTTTTAGTAGAGACAGGATTTCACCATGTTGCTCAGGTTGGTCTCGGACTCCTGACCTCAGGTAATCCACCTGCTAGGCCTCCTAAAGTACTAGGATTACAGGCATGAACCACCGCGCCTGGCCTAAAACTGTTTTTGTTTTTTTTTTTTGAGACGGAGTCTCGCTCTGTCACCCAGGCTGGAGTGCAGTGGCACCATCTCGGTTCACTGCAAACTCCGCCTCCCGGGTTCACGCCATTCTCCTGCCTCAGCCTCCCGAGTGGCTGGGACTACAGGCGCCCACCACCACGCCCGGCTAATTTTTTGTATTTTTAGTAGAGACAGGGTTTCTCCGAGTTAGCCAGGATGGTCTCGATCTCCTGACCTCATGATCCCCCCGCCTTGGCCTCCCAAAGTGCTGGGATTACAGGCATGAACCACTGCGCCCGGCCCCTAAAACTGTTTTTTGAGACAGGGTCTCACTCTGTTGTCCAGGCTGGAGTGAAGTGGCACGATCATGGCTCACTCAGCCTCAACCTCACTGGGTTCAGGTGATCCTCCTGCCTCAGCCTCCCAAGTAGCTGGGACTGTGGGTGCACACCACCACGCCTAGCTGATTTTTCTATTTTCTGCAGAGACAGGATCTCACTGTGTTAGTCAGGCTGGTCTTAAACTTCTGGGCTCAAGTGATCTGCCCACCTCGGTTCCCAAAAGTACTGGGATTACAGGTGTGAACCACCATGCCCAGCCTCTAAACCTTTTAAAAAAGAAAAATATATAAAGTTTTTTCCCTCCAGGGCCAATCGGGAGCTGGCTAGACTGTGTTTCATGTTCTGAGCACTCTGGAGCATGTGGAAAAGGTTATAATAAAAAGTTGGAGCCATCTCCACCACTTAGCTGTGTGGCCCTAGGCAAGTGCCTTGCCCTCTCTGAGCTTCCACTTCCTTACCTGTATACCAGGTTAGATCCCTACCCGGAAGAGTTAAACAAAATAATATTTGTGGAGTGCTCAGCACAGTTCCTGGCTCATAGAGAAATGTTTAACAGCAGTGCCCAGAGGTTTAGCAGGGTCTTAGAAGGGGAGGCTGGAATGGCCTTGAGAGGTCCCTAAGATGCCTAGGATGACGTTTACCATCATCTGGGCAGCACAGGGATTCAGAGGTTTGAACAAAACAAAACAATGTTTCAGGAAAAAATTTAGCCTACTTCCTCCTATTAAGTGCCAATGCCCTTTTAAAACGTGTATAGCTTGATGTGTAATCATCACCCAGGTGAACATAGAGAACATTTTCTGCACCCCATGCGGTTATTTTGTGTTCCTTCCTAATCAATATCCACCTCCTGCCCAGGTAACAACTATTCTGACTTCTGGCACCATACATTAGTTGTGATGGTTCTTAGCATTTCACACAAATGCATGTAAACAAAGCACAGGTAATTTAATGAAAATAAAGGCATGGCTATTTATTGTCTAGCAGCATTAGGGGGCTGAAAGTCCTTTCTTTTCAAGAGAATGTCTCTCAGGCTGGACGCGGTGGCTCATGTCTGTAATCCCAGCACTTTGGGAGGCCGAGGCGGGCGGATCACCTGAGGTCAGGAGTTTGAGACTAGCCTGACCAACACGGAGAAACCCTATCTCTACTAAAAATACAAAATCAGCCAGGCGCGGTGGCACATGCCTGTAATCCCAGCTACTCAGGCGGCTGAGGCAGGAGAATCGCTTGAACCCAGAAGGCTGAGGTTGTGGTGTGCCGAGATAGCGCCATTGCACTCCAGCCTGGGCAACAAAAGTGAAACTCCGTCTCAAAAAAAAAAAAAAAAATAGAATGTCTCTCTAGGTGTGGCATGTCTATTTCTCTCTGTCTAACGTGTTTCCTTCTTACGTTTTCCATAAACTTATATTGATTATGTAACTTTACAAAATCATAATCGACAATAACAGGAAAGAAAGGATGCAGGAGGAATGTAGGCCTGGATTCCTTGTGATACACGGAGTAGGGCTGTCCAGTAAAATACAGGATGCCCAGTTAATTTGAATTTTAAACAATGAATAATCTTTTAGTATAAGGATGTCCTAAATATTGCACAGCACTGGTGCTAGACAGAGAGGGGGCAATATCCCAGATCTTCTGGAACCTGTCCTTTCGGGGTCCATTCCCTCTATGACCCAGAAGTGATCCAGCCACCATCCCAATACCTGAACAGTGTGATGACCACCTTCCCAGAAGGGAACTGGCTCAGGAAGCCGTCCAGCAGGATTGCCCACTGCACACCAAGCGCCAGCATGAAGAGGTTGAAGGCCACACTGCTCCAGCTGTGTCTCCGGAAACTCGAGGTGAGGAAGCCCAAGCCAATGGCCGCCATCACGGTCAGATCTTGGCCAACTGCTCGGTGGGGAGATGGCGAGAAGGACGAGGGGGAAGCAGACGAGATTTAGGGTGGTATGAAATTAGAGTCTTACTAAATGGCAGCTGGAAGGGGCATGCAAGATCGTTTACAAGTATTTGGTCAAGTTACTTTGCCTCTTTGAGCCTCAATGTTCTCAACTGAATAATGGGGATAACATAACATGCCGTGTGGGGATAAGATAAGGATTAGAGGAGCTAAAGCTAATTAAGCACTTAGGGCAGGGCCTGGCCCATAATGAGTGCTCAGTAAATGTGGCAATTATTCTATTATTAAACCTAATAATAAGAACAAGTGTAAAGCACACGTGCTTGACGCACATGGACACTCAGTAAAGGTCATTGCTGCTGTTATTGCATATGAGGGCCAACCCCCTGGCTGGGCACATGAGAAAATGAAGCCACAGAAGCCAAGTGACTTGTCCCAGGACACACAGAAAAGAGAGGGCAGAGATAGGCCCAGCGCTCTTGTTGTTGGGAACCACATAATCTTCACAGCAAACCTCCCTCCCTTTGCCGCCTGCTGCGAGGGACCTGGTGAGCTGGCTGGCAGAAAACATCAGGGCCACCTGGGTAGCCCTCACCTTTCCCGGTCTCAGACCCTGAGCAGAGGCTGCTGTGGCAGGTGAGTGGAAGAGACGCACCTGAGGGCAGGGAGGGGCCCAGCAAAGCGGAGGGTGAGCACTTTGGTTTAATTCCAGTTTTGAAAAAGGGTTAGCAGCTTGAGCTCCAGAACGAGACAAACTTGGGTTCAAATCAGGACTCTGGCACCCTCTAACTGTGTGATCTTGATCTAGTTACTTAACATCTCTGAGCTTTATAACAGCCTACATTTCCTAAGCGTTTACCATGTGCCTACGCTGTTTTAATCACTTTACATAGACTATCTTGTTTCGTTCTCACAACCACACTTTGACGTGGGTGCTGTTACTGTCACCATTTTACAGATATGAAAACCAAGGCACAGAGGCGTTACGTAACTTGCCCCGGTGGGTAGAGCTAAGATTTTTTTTTTTAATATCGAGATAGAGTTTCACTCGTCACCCAGGCTGGAGTACAGTGGCAAGATCTTGGCTCACTGCAACCTCTGCCTCCTGGGTTCAAGTGATTCTCCTGCCTCAGCCTCCCAAGTAGCTGGGATTACAGGTGCCTGCCACCGTGCCCGGCTAATTTTTGTATTTTTAATAGAGAAGGGGTTTCGCTATGTTGGCCAAGCTGGTCTCGAACTCCTGACCTCAAGTGATCTGCCCACCTCGGTTTCCCAAAGTGATGGGATTACAGACATGAGCCACAGGGCCTGGCCTACAGCCAAGATTTACACCTAGATAATCTGCTGGAGCCTGTGCCTTAGACTACCACACCATCTGCCCTCCCTCTTCTTGTTCTTGTCTGTTAAATAGGGGAAATGATCATACTCCTTCATTAGGTTGCCAGAATCAAATGGTATATGTAATGCACATAATTGCTCCAAACTCTAAAAGCTATTTTATCAATAATCACCAACTGTTTTCGCACATGAATAAATGACTGGAGAGAGAGAGATCTTGAAGAATTTTTTTTCCGTCATTAATATTGTCTCTAAGTTTGGGAGGTGTTTTACTTTTTTAGTTTTAGTGTTTAAATTTTCTGCAACCAGCATGTAGACAATTTTTTTTTTTCGAGACAGAGTCTCTCTGTTGCCCAGGTTGGAGTGCAGTGGTGCGATCTCGGCTCGCTGCAACCTCCACCTCCCGGGTTCAAGTGATTCTTGTGCTTCAGCCTCCTGTGCTTCAGTGGGAACCACAGGCGCGCGCCACCACGCCTGGCTAATTTTTGGCCAAGCTGGTCTCGAACTCCTGACCTCATGTAATCCACCCACCTCCGTCTCCCAAAGTGCTGGGATTACAGGCATGAGCCATCGTGCCCAGCCTAGACAATGTTTTTCAAAAAGGTGGAAGGGGAAGCATAGGTTTTGAGTTCACATGGCTCTGTTCGATCCCAGCTCTATCATTTCCTATTAGATTAAACCTCACTAAATTGCCACCAGTTGACTCTTTTGGACATATAAAGATACCAATTTAGGAGGATGAGGTGGGCAGATCATGAAGTCAGCAGTTCGAGACTAGCCTGGCCAACATGGTGAAACCCCGTCTCTACTAAAATTACAAAAAAATTAGCTGGATGTGGTGGTGGGCACCTGTAATCCCAGCTACTCGGGAGGCAGGCAGGAGAATCGCTTGAACCCGGGAGGCAGAGGTTGCAGTGAGCTGAGACCGCACCACTGCACTCCAGCCTGGGCGACACAGTGAGACTCTGTCTCAAAATAAATAAATAAATAAAATGAAATATCAATTTATGTGTTTCCACTTCATAGCCCTGTGGTCTTGTAAGTTGCTTACTTTCCTTATCAGCTGAATAAGGGTAATTAGACCCACCTGAGAGGTTTCTGGGAAATCCAAAGGAAATAATGTTTAGTACAGTGACTGGCACATGGAGAACGCTCAATAAATAGTGACTGTTCATCAACATCATCATGACAATCACAGCAATAGGAACTCACCTGCCACTGGTCTCCAGCCCTGGCCTTGATAACAATGAGAAGCTCTCATTACTGGAACTCTCCAAAGTCTCAGAAAAAGTCTTTGATTTATAAAGTACATTTAAATTCACTTCCATTGAAACATACACATACCCAGGGTCTGCCAGAGAGGACAAGGGAGGACACTGACATTTCCAAATCAACCTGACACCACCAGGATATAGGAGGCCCCCAAGGACCTCCATGGGACCTGGGGATTTGGGGCGTGGGTGAGAAGTGGGCATTAGGAAGGATTCAACTCTTTGCACTTCTTCTGACAACAAGGAGGGAGGTGCAGGGAATGTTTCTATCTCCTGCTTGCATCCTTAGGAATGGGGGTGTGTGGCCAGGGGACATTTTCTACAGGGGTTCCTCTTGGGATTACTCAAATTCCCTCAGGAGCCAAGCAGGAAATATGTATATGAAGGTGCAGTGCACATGCGGGAGCAGTGAGGCTTGTGTTCAGTTGGAGACTGCATGCCCCACTTCAGATATGCAAATCCAACCTTTTATTAAACACGATTGTTAAAGTGCATCTGCCATTTTGTAGCAATGCTATATGCATAGGGCCCAGACTTATTGAAGATTCCATGAGTAGAGCAATTCTTCCATTTTCCTCTCATTTTACAGAAGGGGACCAGAGAGAGCCTGTGAGGGGCGCTCATGACCGGGCCCAGAGGAGAATTGTACATTGTAAGGAAGACCTTCAGGAAAAGTTTATGAAAGCTCCACAACTTGGAGAAAGAAAATCTAACCTGGTAGTTCAGCAGTGAACTAACTACCAGGCCCCAAACATGCCGGCAGCAGAGCCCAGCTCTGAATGCCTGGAACTATGTCCTTGCACAGGCTAGGCTGTCTCTAGCTCTTTCTTCTCTCACCTCACTAAGTGATCTTAGGCAAGTCCATTACCCTCTTTAGGCCTCAGTTTCCCTGTCTGTAACACATAGGAGTTGGACTTGATACTCTCTAAGGCTTTTACAGCTCTGGAATATTCCAAAGAAGTTAGTGGAAGATGGGGAGAGGAGAGTTGCCTGGATAAGGGCAGAGTTGGGGCCCTAAAGATTAGGAAGTCAGACCAGGTATGGTGGCTCACACCTGTAATCCCAGCACAATCCCAGCACTTTGGGAGGCCAAGGAGGGAGGATTGCTTGAGCTGAGGAGTTCAAGACCAGCCTAGGCAACATAGCAAGACCTTGTCTCTACAAAAAATACAAAATTACTTGGGCGTGGTGGCGAGTGCCTGTAGTCCCAGCTACTCAGGAGGGTGAGGTAGGAGGATGGCTTGTGCCTAGAAGGTTAAGGCTGCAGTGAGCTGCGGTCACACCACTACACTCCAGCAGCCTGGGTGACAGAGGGAGACCCTGTTTACAAAAAAAAAAAAAAAAAAAAGGCCAGGCACAGTGGCTTATGTCTGTAATCCTAGCACTTTGGGAGGCTGAGGTGGGCAGATCACTTGAAGTCAGGAGTTTGAGACCAGCCTGGCCAACATGGTGAAACCCCGTCTCTACTAAAAATACAAAAATTAGCCTGGCATGGTGGCGCATGCCTGTAATCCCAGCTACTCAGGAGGCTGAGGCAGGAGAATCGCTTGAACCCAGAAGGCTGAGGTTGCAGTGAGCCGAGATCGCACCACTGTACTCCAGCCTGGATGACAGAGTGAGACTGCAGCTCAAAAAAAAAAAAAAAGAGATGAGGAAGTCAGAGGATCCTGGGTGGGGGCTTTATTGGGCACAGCTGCTGCCCCTGATCCCGATTCCCTGATTCCAGGTATACGCGCTCAGGGCCTTCCTCCCCAAGGCTCTACACTGTCCCTGAGAGAGGAATTGTGCCTCAGCCAACAAGATGAAATTAGGGCAGCAGTTTCCATGAGCTGTTGACAGAGCTCATGCACCCCAAACTGGTCAGGAAATAACATTTGATTTCAGGCTTCTCCTCCCCCTGCCCCCTCATCCTCCCACTTCTCCTGGGCTCCAGGCCCATTTCCACCCATCCATTATCTGGGCTCCCGCTTCAGGGCTGGGTCCCAGCTTGGAGCATCCTCACTGGTATCAGCCTCCACCTCTCACAGTCTGCTCTGCACTCACATCAGCTGCTGGTTTGATAAGCTGATGGGCTCTAAGGTGTTCAGGGGTGATAAGAAGTGGATGTGCTACCCGGGCGCCCATGCCTGGACCCAGAGGGGAATTGTACATTCTACGGAAAGCCTTCAGGAAAAGTTTATGAAAGCCTCATGACTTGCAGAAAGAAGTCTAACCTGGTAGTTCAGCAGCGAGAGATAAGGCAATACTCACCATTGTTGTAACAGCAGGCACACAGATAGACAGTACCCCACGTTCCAGGCACTGTTCTACGTGCCTTACAGACTTAGCCCACAACAGCCTCAGGTAGGAGGTACGATTTATTATCCCCATTTTAGAGATGGGGAAAGGGAGGCACAGAGAGGTGCTATAACTAGTCCAAGTCACAGAGCTAGTAAATGGTAGCAGGAGGATTCAAACCCTACCTACCTAGGTTTAACCATTATGCCATCCTGCCTTTCTATACAGCATATATAGCGTAACGGTGATGAACAGTGTGGGTCTCTCAATCAGGTTGTCAGTGTTCAGAGCCTGGCTCTTCCTCTGTGTCCCAGCTTCCTGAGCTGTAAAATTGAGATGAAACAATGCCAGCTGCTCAGAGGATTGCCATGAGCATTGAGCTCGCTGGCTCATGCAAGTCACTTCGCCCAGCATTGGGTACGTAGTGAGTGTTAGTAACTGTTACCCCGTGCCGGCCGCTGATTAGCGGTGTGACTTTAGGCAAGACTGCTCTCCCCCAGGCCTGTTGCAAAGAGACCACTTGCAAAGAGTTCGTTTGGATAACAGCACTTTGGCCTTCTGAGTCCATCCCCTTGGGCAGCTGCCTCCTCCGGTCAGCTGCCTCCGTGATTCTGGATCTGCGCCCCCTCCCACTCTTGCCCCTCCTTCTGGCCTGCAGAAACTTCAGCACCAACAGCTCTGAAGTCACACCCAGCTTCACTCTCCCAGGCTCTAGGGTTGACCTCCACCCTGTGCTCCCACTGCTGCCTGGAAAGACCACTGCAGCCTCAGGAGGCCGCCACCTCCTCGCCCACAGCCTCTACTCTACCGGCGACTCTCACCCCTCCAGCAGCCTGGGAAGAAAAACAGAGATTTCCCAAAGGGGCAGACCAAAGCTGCAGTGTGGAAGGTGCCAGGGTTTGGAGTGTTTACATGTCACTGGGAAAACTCCTCTGTCTTCTAGTAGCCCCTCTCTCTGCCTTTGAGGAATATGGGGTGGGGATGGGGGACTGAGTGGTATCCACAGCACAGGACCCAGGATAGTCTCCTAGTTTGGAAGCCTTAGGGAAGCTCTGCCTGGTAGGCGATTGTTACAGTAATGGCCCCCAGTGAATCACCAACTGCCAAACACGTGAATGAGGTCATCTGAGGCCATCCCACCCCAAACTGCAGATGCATGAATGACCCTGGGTGAAACTAACAGAAGAACTGCCCAGCTGAACCCAGCCCAGTTGTTGCACCACAGAATCATGATCATGAGTAAATTAAAAGGTTACTATTTTAAGCCACTAAGTTTGGGGTGGCTGTTATGCAGCAATAGGTAATTGATACTCTCTGCTTCCCCTAAGCATATCATAGGCCCCTTAACTCCAAGCCCAGAATGAACATATC
Organism: Homo sapiens; assembly: GCF_000001405.40. Taxonomy (NCBI): domain Eukaryota; kingdom Metazoa; phylum Chordata; class Mammalia; order Primates; family Hominidae; genus Homo; species Homo sapiens. The sequence continues at coordinate 25,278,305 of NC_000001.11, read as the reverse complement.
ATTGTTCATTCATCCTCACAACCTGTCCCTCCCCTTCTGTCTCTCATCTCAGGAACTGGCACCTCTCTATGCCAAATCATACATCTGCAGCCAGCCTTAACTCCCCACTCTTTTCATCAAGTACAGCTGACTTATCTCCTAAATATCTCTAGAATCTCCTCCACTGCCCCTGCCCATCTGGTCTCATCACAGGTCATCCAGACCAGTAGTCATTACAGCAAAGAACACACACCCCAGAAAATGCTCAATACAATCACCAGGGTAGCTGGAAGAAAACAAGCAATTCTAGTTTTATTTATTTTATTTAAAAAATTAAGAAATTAAAGCTTTTGGGCCAGGCGCGGTGGCTCACGCCTGTAATCCCAGCACTTTGGGAGGCCAAGGCGGGTGCATCACCTGAGGTTGGGAGTTCGAGACCAGCCTCACCAACATGGAGAAACCCCATCTCTACTAAAAATACAAAATTAGCCGGGCGTGGTGGCGCATGCCTGTAATCCCAGCTACTCGGGAGGCTGAGGCAGGAGAATTACTTGAACCTGGGAGGTGGAGGTTGCGGTGAGCCAAGATCGCACCACTGCACTCCCCTGGGCAATAAGAGCAAAACTCTGTCTCAAAAAAAAAGCTTTTGATAATAAAAGCTAATACTCTTTATGTGTGTCAATTCATTTATCCTTTCAACAACTTAATGAAACAAGTACTATCATCCTCTGACAGAAGTAGAAACAGAGGCAGAAAGAGGTTGACTAATCTGCCCAAGGTCTCTAAGATACAGAGGCAAGATTTGAATCAGTCTAGCTCCAGGAATTCTCGAACTTTCATGCACAGAAGAATCACCAAGAGGGCTTGTGAAAACACAGACTGCTGGGCCCCAGGCCCAGAGCTTCTGATCAGTAGGTCTGGCCTAGGGCCTGAGAATCTGCATTTCTACTAAATTTCCAGGAGATGCTGAGGCAGCAGGTCTGGGGACCACACTTTGAGAAACATGGATCTAGGCTATTCTATCTCTAAAGGTACTTTGTGAAGTTTTCAATTCTGCAAATATTTAATATTCAGATTCACCCAGAAGCCACCCCTCACTTGCTCAGGATGTCATACAGCCTTGAGTCTCCTAGCTTTGGAAGGTGCCCTAAGGGAATATTGGTCCAATGAGAAGGATTTGATATGCATTTCTCTATATTCTTCATATTGCAACTAATGGCAGGGTTTTATGTTTCATTTATTTTTATTTTCATTTTTTTTTAGACGGAGTCTCGCTCTGTTGCCCAGGCTGGAGTGCAGTGGCGTAATCTCAGCTCACTGAAAGCTCCGCCTCCTGGGTTCACGCCATTCTCCTGCCTCAGCCTCCCAAGTAGCTGGGACTACAGGCACCCGCCACCACACCCGGCTAATTTTTTTGTATTTTTGGTAGAGATGGGGTTTCATCGTGTTAGCCAGGATGGTCTCCATCTCCAGACCTCGTGATCTGCCTGCTTTGGCCTCCCAAAGTGCTGGGATTACAGGCGTGAGCCACTACACCCAGCCTTTATGTTTTATTTATATTTTTAAATTTGTTATTACAGCCTCGCTTCACCTCAAATATTTTTATTTTTTTTGAGACAGGGTCTTGCTCTGTCGCCCATGCTGGAGTGAAGTGGTACAATCCCGTCCCACTGCAGCCTCAAGCTCCCAGGCTCAAGCAAGCCTCTCACCTCAGCCTACTGAGTAGCTGGGACTATAGGCATGTGCCACCACACTGGGTTAAATTTTAAAGTTTTTTTTTTTTTTTTTTTTTTTAGAGATGGGGGGGGGTCTCCCTATGTTTCCTAGGCTCGTCTTGAACTCCTTGGTTTAAGCGATCCTCCCCACTTGGCCTCCCTAAATGCTCAGCCAGGGTGTTTTTTTTTTTTTTTAATTAACTATTACAGAACTTTTAAAGCATATACGAAAACAGAGAGAACAGCACGATGACCCTACGTGCCCATCTCCAAACTCTGATGATTGTCACATGAGACCAATCTTGTTTCTATAATCCTTCTGTACTTTTTCTTTTTTCTGGCATAAAAGCAAACCCCAGATATCATGCCATTTCAATGTGCCTCTCTAACAGATGGAGACTTAAAAAACAAAAACAAAAACAACCCACCATGCTTTTATCATACCTAACAAAATTAACAATAATCCTTGTATATCGTAAGATATTCATGCTATATTCAGATTTCCTGATTGTCTCAAAATGTCTTTTTAGAATTGGCAGGTTTGAATAATCTATTATAGTTTACCAGGACTGAATTCAATTAAGTGGATTGACAGATTAAGTTACCTAAGTTTAACTCAACAAACTTTCACAAAATGAAGTAATGGCTTAACCAACTCGTGCAGAAAAACACAGATTGGAAGCATAGAAATAATGGCAGTCAAGTGAACAAAAGGGAAAAGGCAGAGTGAAACTTCTCCTCGTACAAGCTGTCAGTCACATTCGAGATTTAAAACATGTTGATCTAATCAGATCTGACAAGTCAATCAAGACAATTTCAAATTATCAAGAAGACTCTGAGGAGTGAATTTTCATCCACTATCGTCAACTGTAGCAATGGACCCTGCCTGGAGATTGACACCATTATGATTAGTAATTTGAAAATATTATATATTTCATTTTGATCTCTTTCAATTTTCCTAATTTGTATGTATTTATTGTAACATACAAAATATATTAATGTAGTAATACTTAAAGTAATACTTAAAGTGTAATATATAACCATGGTACATGCTCAAAAAATCGTGTGTACACCATCAGAATGTTGAAGTCCTCAGGTCAATACTACACTACAGCCTCCACGCTGGTCTGGTGTCTCAAGCCATGCCCCTTTCCCTGTGCCCAACACCAGCCCTGGCATGGCTTCCTCCATGACCCAAACCCAAACTTGTCTCGCTGCTGTTTACTATTCGGACCTCAGACTGAAGCCAAACTTCGTATGCAGCCCAGTGAGTCTGCCACCCGCTGCTTCCCTCTTTATTTTTATTTATTACTATTATTTTTTTCAGACAGAGTCCCACTCTGTCACCCAGGGTGGAGTGCAGTGGCATGTTCTCAGCTCAGCAACCTCTGCCTCCTGGGTTCAAGCAATTCTCCTCCCTCAGCTTCCCAAGCAGCTGGGACTACAGGCACGTGCCACCACATCCGGCTAATTTTTGTATTTTTAGTAGAGACAGGGTTTTACCATGTTGGCCAGGCTGGTCTCGAACTCCTGACCTCAGGTGATCTGCCTGCCTTGGTCTCCCAAAGTGTTTGGGATTACAGGCATGAGTCACCACACCCAGTCCCTGCTCTCCTCTTTGTTTTTTTGTTGTTCTTGTTGTTGTTTTTGTTGTTTGGTTTTTTGAGATGAAGTCTCACTCTGGCGCCCAGGCTGGAGTGTAATGGCCTCCCAAGTAGCTCGGATTATAGACGTGTGCCACCACACCCAGCCAGTTTTTATAATTTTAGTAGAGATGCGGTTTTGCCATGTTGGCCAGGCTGGTCTCGAACTCCTAACCTCAGGTGATTCTCCAGCCTTGGCCTCCCAATGTGCCGGGATTACAGGCGTGAGCCACGTCGCCCGGCCCTTTGTTTCCCCTTTTAGGCTCCAGGGCAATGCAATGTTAAGCCCAGGCTCAGTCTGCTCTATTGTGTGTGCACGCCATGGCACCCACTGTGCCCTCACTTGGATGACCCTCCTTTGTCCCACAGGTAATTCCTACTGAGCCTTCAAGACCTGGCTGGGCAGTCACCTCCCTCCCCTGACACCATCGTCTCCCCTGCCTGGGTTGTGGACCCTCCTCTGAGCTTCCGTATAAAGTGAGTTTCTGAGGACATTTTGTACCTACGTTAGTAGCACGGTGCAGGGGTAAAGAACATGGACCCTAGAGTCAATCTACAGGGTTGGAATAGTGGCTGCTAACCTACTGGGTTATATGACAAAGACTCAAGCCCACTGTAAAATGGGGCCATGATGCATAATGGTTAAGTGTAAGGAAACTAAATCCAGGGTGGCTAAATTTAAATACGCTGTGCTATTGCTAGCTGAGCGACCGTGGGCAAATTACTCAACATCCATATGCCTAGTTTCCTCATATGAAAAACGAAGATCATAATAGTACCCACCTCATTGGGTTATTGTGAGGGTTCAATGTAAAGCATGTAGAATAGTGCCTGGTACATAGTAAGTGCTCATAAATATCAGCTCTAATCATCATGAGTCTGGATCCCACATTGGATGTCATACATGGTTGAATGAATGGAATGCATTGAATTGTATTGGATTGAAATGAATTAGAGTAAATTGAAGTGAATTAAAATTGTGCCAGCTCTTGTTTGTCTGTCACTGAAGGCTCCTCTCTGGGCCAGCACCTTAAATGGTATAAGGGCTTCCCTCCCTAAGTCCTACTTGTCACTGCCATGGCCCCCAGGATGACTTCTCTTTGCTTCCAGTTAACTAGCCGTTCATATCAACCTAGGAACAAGCAAGGACTCAACCAGGCTCAAGCTTCAACTTTGTCTCAGGGACATTCTTCAAGGAGGCCCTGTCTATTATCAACAACCTATCAGCCCACTGAGATGCCTGAAACTCATTTCAATATTTTTAAAAAAGCAAAGTCACACCATTGTGGACATCTGTCTTATTTACAGTTGTCTCATCACAGTCTGGGAATATTTTTAGCTGAATATAAAATAACCATCATCCTACCCTCCCCTTCAGCCATACCTTCTGGTTCTGGATTTATAGACAGCATGCAGACTTCCCAGCCCCTAAGTGAGAAGAAAGCTGGGGTCGGTGGGGGTGGGGGTGGGGGGTAGCAACAGGCTGAAGCTTCCAAAAGAAAACTAGTATAGATATGAGCAAGAGAGCTGGGCACAGTGCTTCACGCCTGTAATTCCAGCACTTTGGGAGACTGAGGCTGGAGGATCGCTTGTGTCCAGGAGTTTGAGACCAGTCTGGGAAACACAGGGAGACCCACATCTCTACCAAAAAAAAAAAAAAAAAAAATTAGCCAGGCATGGTGGTGCCCTCCTGTGGTCCCAGCTTCTTGGGAGGCTGAGGTGGGAAGATTGCTTGAGACTAGGAGGTCAAGGCTGCAGTGAACCATGATCATGCCACTGCACTTCAGCCTGGGCAACAGAGTGAGACCCTGCCTCAAAAAGAAATAAGAAATGAGCGAGAGGCCACAAAAAGGAAACAAAAACCAAAAACCCAACAACATGAAATTGCTTGCATAAGATAGCTGCACTTGTATCCCCTAAATCTATAAAAATAAAAAAATTCCTTGCCACTGAGGAGAGAGAAGGGGAAGCAGAGAAGCAGAGAATTATGAAGACCATTTGGTAGAGGGAATTTGAGGAACACCAAAGAGGATGCCTCTCACTGTGCTGAAAAATCAAGGCAGGCTTCACAGAAGAGGGCATGCCCAGGCTGCTTCTAAAGGAAAGCTTACATTGTTGGCTGAATTTCGGTGCAATCTACGGAAGAAGATGGGGGAATCTTTTTCCTTGGGATTTTGTAGAAAGGAACATCTGTGCCCCTGGAGAACCACAGGCCTCCCCCGCCCCTGCCCCTGCTATTTGCTCCTGTGACCACTTTTCCAATGAACTCTCACCTTGATAGGATGCCACGAGCCCCTTTTGATCCTCTAAGGAAGCGTCATAGTGGGTAAAAAAATAGAAGAGGAGAATGAGAGCTGCTTCCAGTGTTAGGGCCCAGAGGGGCAGGCAGCGCCGGACAGACCGCGGGTACTTAGAGCTCATCCTGTGTCCGTCTCTGTGCAGGGGTTCCACCAGCACCAGGCATCACCCCTCTCTCCAACACCTACTTGAGGGCTTGAGGGAGCGATAGGGGAGACACCCGCCAAAGGCCTTATCTCAGGCTGCAAGGCTGGTTGTGCTGGCCTCTCTATGGAGTTAACACGGAAGCAGAGGGACTATGATGGGGAGGGGAGGAAATGTATGTTTTCCAATATTGTCATTCATTCAACAAGTTGCTGTGTTCCTGTTACAGGTTCCTGCTGTGCTCAGTTTGAAAGAGGGCATTCTATTCCTTTGACACCCAAACATAATCCTTCTTTACTCTGTACTTCAGTCATCTTCAGCATATCCTTGTAAGAAAAGCAAGGAATGGATCAATACTCCTATTTTATGAATAAGGAAACTGAAGCTCAGAAGAGGCTTTCTTTTTAAAACCTTACTACATGACAGAGAGGGCACCCAGTGAGCTCTTAACAACAATGTATTGAATGAGAATGAATGAAAGCAAAGAATGGAGCTGAGCCCTGGGGAGGATACAGATAGGACCCACGTAGAACTGACTCCTCATAGTTACACAGTTGAAATTACTTACATTTGAATTTGTATTTAAATCTATGTGTTTCTAAGCATTTTAAGGGGGGGTGGCAGAAGAGAAAGGAGATGTGGGTTTGGCTCTAGTAAAAACCTGGAGGGGATCCTGATCCAGCCTTAGGGTGAAGTTGCTCTACCTCTGGTCACCTCCTCACAGGGCAGCCCAGGACTCTGCCTGGGGCACTACAGTGCATTTGAGGAAGGCCACCAGCCTCAGCATCCCCATCCCTCAGTACTGGACAGTCCAGTCCCCTGGCATGAGCTTTAGGGGGCTTGGGACTTAGTTCTAACCCTGCAGCCAACTTCCCCTGTGCTCCCATCCATGTGCCTGGCAGAAGGTCTGGTACATGGTAAGTGTCGAGGAAGGAAGGAAGAGAGAGAGGGATGTAGAGAGGGAGGAAGAGATGAAAGAGGAAGAAAAGAAGGAAGGAATTGGAGTTTCCTTATTTTCTACAATGGTCCCAGCCACTGGCCACTGAGTGTAAACTGAATGTGTGGAGCCCCAGAGAATAAAGCCAGGGCCAGGAGCTGCAGGGAGGTGGAAAGTGGATACTTTATTGACCATTACAGTTGTCCACTGAAATACTCATGAGGTAGTGAGCACCCTGTCACTAGAGGAATGCAGAAATGTCTTGAAAACAATTCCTATGTAGATCAGAGGAGATTTTAATCACCCAGTCGAATCCTGTCATTTTGTTTTTAGACCAAGAAACCAAGACCCAGAGAGGTCATACCTAAGGTCATCTAGTCACTTGGCATCAGTCACTTCTTGCTCAGTGCAGCTTTATTTACAGAAGGAAAAAACTGAGACTAACCTAAATGTCCACTAGCAGGGGGTTGGTTAAGAAAACTACAGGACATGAAACTTGCTACCAATATGATGGTTCTGAACATATGCAGGAAAAGCAAGAGGAAAACGCTTTTATCAAAACTGACACAGAGGATAGACTGTTTAGTGAAAAAGCAAGTTATATAACAGCATGTACAATATATTCCCACTCTTATAAAATAATATGTTAGCACACGCATAGAAAAAAGTTGGCTGCAAACCACTAAAACATTGGTTAATTTTGCTTTATACATTTTCAGAGCTAACTGTTATTAAGTACTTGCTAGGCACCATTCTAAGTACTTTACATATATGAACTTAGTTCATGACACTGGGATGGGTACTATTAGGATTTATTACAAATGAGTGAACTGAGGCACAGAAAAACTAAGTGACTTGCTCAAGGTCACAGGGCTAGTAAGCAGTAGAGCTGGGATTTAAACCCAGGCAGCCTAACTTCAGGACCTGGGTGTTTGACCACTTAACTGTAGCCTAGATCAGGGGTCCCCAAGCTTTTTGGCACCAGGGACGGGTTTTGTAAAAGACAATTTTTCCATGGACCGGGGTGAGGTTGGAGGGATGGTTTGGGGATGAAACTGTTCCACCTCAGATCATCAGGCATTAGTTAGATTCTCCTAAGGAGCACGCAACCTAGATCCCTCTCATGCGCGGTTCCCAATAGGGTTTGTGCCCCTATGAGAATCTAATGCCGCTGCTGATCTGACAGGAGGCGGAGCTCAGGCGGTAGTGCTCGCTGGCCTATCCCTCATGCTGTGCGGTCAGGTTCCTAACGGGCCACAGCCTGGGGGTTGGGGACCCCCAGCCTAGATTACTTCTAAGTCTTCTTCCAATTCTAAAAGTCTAGGAACATGGGCTTCTAAGCCCTCTGCTACCCCAACAGCAATTAAGGGGGAGGGTACCCCAATCCCCAGAGGTCAGAAGTCTCCATTCCTCTCACAATTGCCTCCTGGTTCTCATTTCTGCTCTATTTCTGGCAGTCAGTACTTCTTATAAACTGGGTTTCCTGAGAAGGAACTCCTCTGCGCAGTGGGATAAATGGATGTGACCTCTGCTAACCTGGGCCCAGTACAAGCTCTGTAAACCAGGCAGCCAACTGCACCTACCTGCCCGAGGGCACCAGATGTCAGCAAGATGAACACTAAAGATGTCCAGGCAATGCCAACCCCCGGACCTGATGGGCATGTTTACCAGCTGGCAAACGGCGTGGGTGGTGGTTGGTTCCAAGGCACTCCAAATCCCTGTGCGTCCTGATCCTGCCCCAGTAAGGAAGCAGCAGGGACTGACTGCTTGACAAGAGGATCCCGCTCCTCGCAGAACAGAAATGCTTTCATTAAAAAAGGGAGGTATCCCTGCAGTTGGCCTCTCCCAACAGATTTGTCAAAAGCAGAGGTTTTGCTCTTCCCCTCTGACTCTTATAAAAGGCCCCATTTTCTGACTACATTTCCTGATATTCTGTCTTTAAATCTTCAAGGCAGGTCACCTGCTACAGAAAGCACAAGGGATCTAGGATAGATAAGTCAAAAACCAAATACAGTAAAATGTTAATTGTTGATTCTAGCTGTGAGATGTATGGCTTTTCACTGTACAAGTCTTTCAACTTTTTTTGGTAGATGTTTGAAATTTTTCATAATAAAATGCTGGGAAAAAAGCACTCTGTGCACCTGCTGTTCTCTCTGTCTGAAACACTCCTCCTACCAGATACAGATGGCCTCCGACGTACGATGGTTTGACTTAACGCTTTTCAACTTTATGATGGCGCGAAAGCAACACACATGCAGTGGAAGCCGCGCTTAGAGTTCCCATCCCACCACTCCGTCTTTCACTTTCCGTACAGTACTCAGTACATTACATGAGATATTCAATACTTTATCATAAAATAGGCTTTGTGTTAGAGGATTTTGCCCAACTGTAGGCTAATGTAAGTGTTCTAAGCATGTTTAAGGTAGGTGAGACTAAGCTATGATGTTCCGTAGGTTAGATGTATTAAATGCATTTTTGACTTACAATATTTCCTACTTACCATGGCTTTATCAGGACATAACCCCATCGAAAGTCAAGGAACAACTGTACTGGCTTGCTCCCCACCTCACCTCCCTGGATCCTCCACCATCCCCTTCTCAGGAAAGTTTTCCCTGACTGCCCTATTTTTTTTTTTTTTTTTGAGATGAAGTTTTGCTCTTGTTGCCTAGGCTGGACTGCAATGGCACAATCTCGGCTCACTGCAACCTCCACCTCCCAGGTTCAAGTGATTCTCCCGCCTCAGCCTCCCGAGTAGCTGGGATTATAGGCGCGTGATACCACACCCGGCTAGTTTTTGTTTTTTTAGTAGAGACAGGATTTCACCAGGTTGGCCAGGCTGGTCTTGAACTCCTGACCTCAAGTGATCCACCCACCTCAACCTCCCAAAGTGCTGGGATTATAGGTGTGAACCACTGTGCCCGGCCTCTGACTGCCCTATTTAAAAGGACAGCATCAACTCCCCTTTCTTCTCCCCTTGACAAGGGTTCCTTGTGTTCCCCTTTTAGTTTCCTTCACAGCACTTACTAGCATCTGACGAGGTCTATATTTTTACTTGTGTATTTAGGTTTTTTTTTTAGACGGAGTACTCTGTCACCCAGGCTGGAATGCAGTGGCACGATCTTGGCTCATTGCAACTTCTGCCTTTTAGGTTCAAGCGATTCTCCTTCCTCAGCCTCCCAAGTAGCTGGGACTACAGGCATGAGCCACCACACCGCGCTAATTTTTGTATTTTTAGTAGTGACAGGGTTTCACCACGTTGGCTAGTCTGGTCTCGAACTCCTGACCTCAGGTGACTTGCCCACCTTGGCCTCGCAAAGTACTGGGATTACAGGCGTGAGCCACTGCGCCCGGCCGTGTATTTGTTCATTATTTGCTTTCCCCTATGAGAATCTGAGCAACATGAAGACAGGGACTTTTGACTGCTGTGGTTGCTGTTGTATCCTCAGCACCAGGGAAGTCCATAGTAGGTGCTCAATAAATATTTGTTGGCTGAATAACAGCTACCATTTCTGGAATGCCAATCACGGACCCAATCATTTTGCATATGTTATTTCATCGGATCTTCAGACACCCGGATGCAGCAGTACCACCCCCGCGGCTCAGTCGCGCATGCGGACACGGGGCGGAGGGCGGGGCGCCGGGTCCGGAGGGAGCCACGCCCACCACAACAACGCGTCTGCGCATGCCCGGGCGCTGGGTTCAGGGGCTTTCCGCCGCTCTGGGTTCACAGCTGGACGTCGGGAGTGCTAGTTTGGAGTACGCCATTTGAGAGTAGGCGTGAGAAGTTGCTCTGTGTGCTGAGCGTTCTAAAGGAAGGCGTCCGTTGGCCTTCGTACCCGTCTTGATTGAGGTGACGAGTGTTTTCTAGTACTGGGGTCGGCCGCGCAGCCCTCTCAGGGGTGGGTGGCAGGAAGCGTGCCGGGTCCCGCGTGGTGCAAAAGGTGGGTTCAGGTTTGCGGCCACACAGCGCTACTCAGGACTTTTTAGTCTTGTTTATTTTCTCCGTGCCTGTTCCCGCCCCCCGCAGCTCCACCTCTGGGAGAGGGGCGGGTTCAGCTCCAGGAGGCGGGGACTTCCCGGCTTGGCGTGGCTGGGGTGTCCCGTGGACCCCAGTCTCGGCGCGGTGACCCACTTATGGGACTTGGCTTTTCTTTGTTGTTTGTTTAAGGCAGGGTTTCTCAGCCTGGGCACTACTGAGGTTTTGGGCCGGCTAATTCTGTCTGGGTTGGGGAGGGTGCTGTCCCGTGCTTCGCAGGTTGTGTAGCTGCATCCCCCGCCTCTACCCAGTGGATGCAAGTAGCAGCCCCAGTGAACCAAAAATGCCCCCAGACTTTGCCAAATATCCCCTCCCGGGGAAGATCGCCTCGCTTGAGAACCACTGTTGGAGGAGAGCCTGGGTTTTCGGGAGGTAACCGTTTACAAAGGGGAGAACGGTAAGAAGCCGGAAGCAACGATGACTTAGCTACGTGAAAGACTTGCGGCCGGGCTCGCCCCTCTTCTAGAAGCCGTCAGTTTGGGTCTCGCGTCTGGAATCACCGTCAAGGAGTCAGATCCAGCCCCGGAGAGGGAGCAGGGTCGAGGTCTCCTTGCAGAAGGCGCCACCGCAGGAAGCACAGGCGCAACGTGCAGTCTCCCTAGCGGAGGCGCTCGCGATCCTGCAGCCGCCGGTCCGGGAGGTGCTCGGTAGCCCTCCTTGGTGCCTGTCCGGTAGCTGGTCACTCTCGGGGGAAGGTCGTGTGCAGAAGGGCACATGCGATCACACAGAGACGGCGTTGCTGCGGCTTTGACCCGATGGTGCACCCGAAAGAACACAGAGGGTGGAGGGGGAGATCCAGGAAGTGGTCGCGGAGCAGAACCCCCTTTCACTTCAGTCAAAAATGTGGGTCAATTGTCATTAAGAGATACGCACAGGTTCATCTGATTGACATGTACGGCGGCAGTATATGAGTGAGATGGGAACCAAGGTGACTGTTGTTTCCTTTGATGGATGAAACTTTCATCCCTTTGGGGTTTTTTGTTTTTGGCGGGATATTAGCCGATTAGTAGATAAAACTGCATGATACAATCTATAGCCTGTTTTTAAATGGACAAGTTCTTACCACTCAGGAGGTTTATCGTGATTGTTTAATGTCTCAGGGTGGAGGAATCTAGTGCAGGCAGTTCTTAATGAAACCTTTTAAATTCCCGTTAGTGACTTAACATTAGTTTACCAGCTCTGAGCAGCTTTAAACAAACATCCTCTTTTAATAGCTAATGAGTGCGGGAGAAAAGATACTAACTCCTTTCTCTTTGCGTTTTTTGCCCCTACCCTTTTTTCTCTTTTGTGGCCTTAACATGATTGTCAAATATTTATAAATAGGAGTGAGCATCTTTATATTACTCTTACTAATAAGATACATGCTTAATTTGTCATTCTTTACCTTTTTGGGACTTAATGAATGTTTGTCTTTTGCAGATAAAATGGAGCTGCTAGAAATAGCAAAAGCCAGCCACCCATATTAACCCCTCCATTTTCCCTATAATTAATGGCTTTCATTATTGTGGTATATTTGTTACAATTACTGGACTAATATGATACATTATTATTAACTGACATCCACATTTTATTCAGATTTCTTTAGTTTTTTGCCTAATGTCTTTTTCTGTTCCAGGATCCCCTCCAGAATACCACATTACAGTTAATTGTTATGTCTCCTTAGTCTCCCCTTGGCTGTGTCAGTTTCACATACTTTCTTTGTTTTTGATGATATAGATGTGAAGAGTACTAGCCAGGAATATTATAGGTATTGGGTTTTTTAAATGTATGTGTCATTTCATGATTAAAAATCAGTTGCGGCCAGGTGTGGTGGCTCAGCACTTTGGGAGGCTAAGGTGGGAGGATTGCTTGAGGCCAGGAGTTCAAGACCAGCCTGGCCAATGTGGCAAAATCCCATCTCTGCTAAAAATACAAAAAATATAGCTGGGCACGGTGGCACACACCTGTAATCCCAACTACTCGGGAGGCTGAAGCACAAGGATTGTTTGAACCTGGGAGGTGGAGGTTGTAGTGAGCCAAGATTGTGCCACTGCATTCTAGTCTAGGCAACAGGTGAGACTCTGTCTCAAAAAAAAAAAACAAGTGTGGATTACAGTATCTGTTGGGCCTACTATCGTAAAACACATACACATGCATGTGCACACACAAACCTCCAGGCTATCACTTCAGTGCCAGCCAGCAGCATTTCTTACTCTAACCACTGCAACTGTGTCCCTGCTTCATCTTGGGGCTTCATTCTCATATATTTTCTTCACACAGCAGCCACAGAGAAGCTTTTACAATGTAAACCAGAGTCTATTACTTCTGTTCTCCAACTACTTCAGTGGCTAAATTGGTACCAGTAGAGTGGGGTGCTGCCGTAGATACTCAAAAATGGGTATGTGACTTTGGAACTGGGTAACAGGCAGGGTTTGGAACAGTTTGGAGGGCTCAGAAGAAGACAGGCAAATGTGGGAAAGTTTGGAACTTCCTAGAGACTTGTTGAATGGCTTTGCCCAAAATGCTGATAGCACTGTGGACAATAAAGTCCATAGGCTGAGGTGGTCTCAGACGGAAATGAGGAACTTGTTGGGAACTGGAGCAAAGGGGACTCTTGTTATGTTTTAGCAAAGATACTGGCGGCATTTTGCCCCTGCACGAGATATTTGTAGAACTTTGAACTTCAGAGAGATGATTTAGAGTATCTGGCAGGAGAAATTTCTAAGCAGCAAAGCATTCAAGAGGTGACTTGGGTGCTGTTAAAGACATTCAGTTTTATAAGGGAAGCAGAGCATAAAAGTTCGGAAAATTTGCAGCCTGACAATGTGATAGAAAAGAAAAATTCCCATTTTCTGAGGAGAAATTCAAGCTGGCTGCAGAAATTTGCATGAGTAACAGGAGCCAAATGCTAATTCCCAAGACAATGGGGAAAATGTCTCCAGGGCATGTCAGAGGTCTTTATGGCAACCCCTCCCATCACAGGTCCAGAGGTATCAGGAAAAAATGGTTTTGTTGGCCAGGCCCGGGGTCCTCATGCTGTGTGCAGCCTAGGGACTTGGTGCCCTGCATCCCAGCCACTCCCAACCATGACTGACGGGAGGCAAGGTAGAGCTTGGGCTGTAGCTTCGGGGAGTGCAAGCCCCAAGCCTTGACAGCTTCCATGTGGTGTTGAGACTGCGAGTGCACAGAAGTCAAGAATTGGGGTTTGGAAACCTTCGCCTAGATTAAAGAGGATGTGCGGAAATGCCTGGATGCCCAGTCAGAAGTTTGCTGCAGGAGCAGGGCCCTCATGGAGATCCTCTGCCAGGGCAGTGCAGAAGGGAAATGTGGGGTCAGAGACCCCACACACAGTCCCTACTGGGGCACCACCTAGTGGAGCTGTGAGAAGAGGTCCTCCAGACCCCAGAATGGTAGATCCACCGACAGCTTGCACCGTGTACCTGGAAAAGCTGCAGACACTCAATGCCAGCCCATGAAAGCAGCTGAGAGGGAGGCTGTACCCTGCAAAGGTACAGGGGCAGAGCTGCCCAAGACCATGGGAACCCACCCCTTCCATCTGCGTGACCTGGATGTGAGATGTGGAGTCAAAGGAGATCATTTTGGAGCTTTAAGATTTGACTGCCCCACTGGATTTTGGACTCTCATGGGCCTGTAGCCTCTTTGTTTTGACCAATTTATCCCATTTGGAATGGCTGTATTTACCCAATGCCTGTACCCCCATTGTATCTAGGAAGTAACTAACTTGCTTTGGATTTTATAGGCTCATAAATGGAAAGGACTTGCCTTGTCTCAGATGAGACATTAGACTGTGGACTTTTGAGTTAATGCTGAAATCATTTAAGACTTTGAGGGACTGTTGGGATGGTGTGATTGGTTTTGAAATGTGAGGACATGAAATTTGGGAGGGGCCATGGGTGGAATGATAGGGTTTGGTTGTGTCCCCACCCAAATCTCATCCTGAATTCCCATGCGTTGTGGGAGGGACCCAGTGGGAGGTAACTGAATCATGGGGACAGGTCTTACCCGTGCTGTTCTTGTGATAGTGAATAAGTCTAACAGGATCTGATGGCTCTATAAGGGGGAGTTTCTCTGCACAAGCTGTCTTTGTCTTTGCCTGCCATCCACGTAAGACGTGACTTGCTCCTCATTGCCTTTCGCCATGATTGTGAGGCCTCCCCAGCCATGTGGAACTGTAAGTCCATTAAACCTCTCTTTCTTTTGTAAATTGCCTAGTCTCGGGTTTGTGAACAGACTAATACAATGGCTTTTCACCTTGCAGAATAAAGTCCTACGAGATCTTCATGCTCTAGCTCCTGGCCAGGCCACCTCCTCAGGAGTTAGATCACTTATCCGTCTCTCCCTGGCCCACCCTTCTCTGTCACATGGCTTCTTTGCTGACCCTGATACACACCACACTTGTCTTCTCTACCTGGAAGTTGTATTCCCCATACCCACATGGCTCACTTCTTCACTTCATTCAAGTCTCTGCTCAGATATTAACCTCTTCAGAGAGCCCTTCCTTCACACACTGTCTTGCATAGCAGCCTCCCCTACAAGTTGTCTTCTTTCTCCTTAACTTTTGTGATGGTTAATTTTAGGTGTCAGCTTGACTGGATTAAAGAATACCTAGAGAACTGGAAAGGCATTATTTGTTAGTGTGTCTGTGAGGGTATTTCCAGAAGAGATTGATATATGACTGAATGGACTAAGAGGGAACCATCCGCCCTCAATGTGCAGGTGGCTTGAAACAAAAACGGAAGAAAGGCAAATTGGTCTTACTCTCTTGGAGCTGGAATACACGCTTCCATTCCTGCCCTTGGATTTCAGGATCCCAGGCTGTTGGGTCTCAGGACTCCAGGACCTACATCAGCCTTTCCGTCACCGCTGGGGTTCTAAGGCCTTTGGGCTAAGAATTATATCATCAGCTTTCCTGATTCTGAGGCTTTGGGACTTGGACTGAGCCATGCTACCAGTATCCCTGGGTCTCCAGCTTGCAGACAATCTGCTGTGGGACTTCTCAGCCTCTGTAATCATGTGAGCCCTTTCTAACTCATAAACCCTCTTTTATATATCTATGTATCCGATTGGCTGTGTCTCTTTGGCGAACCCTGACTACGTATACTTTTGTTTGAATTCAAAGTATTTATCCCTACCTGATATTACATCCTATATCTGTTTGTTTTCTGTTTCTTCCATTAGAATACAAGTTTCATGAGGACAGGGACTTTATCCATTTGTTTACTGCTGTATCTTAGGCTCAAAGTTGGCACTCAATAAATATTGGTTAAATAAGTGAATTACAAGCAGGTTGGATTATTAGGTAATATGGTTCGCAGTGTGGGACTCCTGAACTCCAAGATGTCTTTGAAAGTAGCCATTTTTTAAATTTCTAATGGTTTAGTCAGACTACAGATTACTTAATAACAGGGACTATAGTTGATTCATGGATATATCCCCAGAATCAGGAACAGTTTCTAGAATACACTTGAGTGCTCAATAGACATAGCTATTATAGTTAATTGAAATGGAATTGGCAATGTGGGAAATAAGAAATCACATTTTTGGCCAGGCACAGTGGCTCACACCTGTAATCCCAGCACTTTGGGAGGCCGAGGCAGGAGGATCACTTGAGGTCAGGAGTTCGGGACCATCCTGGCCAACATGGTGAAACCCCATTTCTACTAAAAATACAAAAAGTAGCTAGGTGTGGTGGCGTGTGCCTGTGATCCCAGCTACACGGGAGGCAGAGGTGGGAGAATCGCTTGAACATGGTAGACAGAGGTTGCAGTGAGCCAAAATCATAACACTGCACTCCAGGCTGGGCAACACAGCAAGACTCCATCTCAAAAAAAAAAAAAAAAAAAAAAAATCTGCTGGGCGCGGTGGCTCATGCCTGTAATCCCAGCACTTTGGGAGGCTGAGGCAGGTGGATCACGAGGTCAGGAGATTGAGACCATCCTGGCTAACATGGTGAAACCCCGTCTCTACTAAAAATACAAAAAATTAGCTGGGCAGGGTGGCGGGCGCCTGTAGGCCCAGCTACTCGGGAGACTGAGGCAAGAGAATGGCGTGAACCTGGGAGGCGGAGATTGCAGTGAGCCGAGATTGCACCACTGCACTCCAGCCTGGGTGACAGAGTGAGACTCTGTCTCAAAAAAAAAAAAAAAAGAAAGAAATCACATTTTTCTCAGAGCAAAGTCTTTGTGATAGTAAATCTGGATAAAGGCAGTGGAACACTGAGGACATTTATGCATAAGGACAGTAATCACGAAATTATCTTTGTATATATTGTCCGTTAATGACTACTGCTATTTACTGAATTGATCTCCCTCAGATTCATATTTTGAAGCCCTAACCCCTAAAGTGACTATATTTGGAAATAGGTGCTTTAAAGAAATAATAGTTAAGGTCAAATGAGGTCATGAGGGTGGAGCCCTAATCTAATAGGACTGGTGTCCTTATAAGAAGAGAAAGAGGCCGGGTGCGGTGGCTCACGCCTGTAATCCTAGCACTTTGGGAGGCCGAGGCAGGCAGATGACAAGGTCAGGAGTTGGAGACCAGCCTGGCCAATATGGTGAAACCCTGTCTCTACTAAAAATACAAAAATTAGCCAGACATGATGGCGGGCACCTGTAGTCCCAGCTACTCGGGAGGCTGAGGCAGGAGAATTGCTTGAACCTGGGAGGCAGAGGTTGCAGTGAGCCGAGATCGATCGGGCCACTGCACTCCAGCCTGGGCGATAGAGCGAGACTCTGTCTCAAAAAAAAAAAAAAAAGGAAGATGACACCAGAAGTGTAAAAGCAGAGGACAGGCTCTATGAGGACACAGGGAGGAGGCAGCCATCTGCAAGACAGGGAGAGAGGTCTCACCAGAAACCAGCCTTGCCGGCACCTTGAACTTCCAGCCTCCAGAACTATAAGGAAATAAATTTCTGTTGTTTAAGTCTGAGTGGCTTAACAACAGTTTAAGCTGCTGTTATGGTAGCCCAAGCCGACTAATACAACACTTAAGGATTTCAGTCACTGAGTGGAACCACCTTAGAATGTGAAAGACAATGAGGATATACACACAGCCTCCTTCCCCTGTGTTTGGAGGGTGGCTTCAAATTCCTTCTGTTTTATGTGCTGTGTAGGGAAAAAAAAATCTGTAAAATTATGTGAGTTTGTAATTGATAGATTGGTTCTCTTTCGTGCAAATAGTGCTTATAGTTTAAAAGTCCTAGAAAAAATTCACAGTCACATTTTCTGTATGTAACTACATTTATGTAAGTGAAAACTTGGTAGTTTGTTGGCTTGTTCATTTTTATTTTTCAAGTATTGTGTAAACAAAAAGAACCTTGGTCTGCCAGAATTTTCAAAGAAAATTGGCAAAACAAGATTCCCCATAGTAGCAACCATACATATAGCTATATTCAGTGACTAAATGGTGTTTATGTGTTTCTTAAGCAATGGAGTTCATTTTGACCAATTGTCTGTTAAGAAGTGCCTAAGAAAACCGCTTATTCATTTTCCACATCCTGTTTGGCAAAGTGTGACACATAGCAATAGAAAACAATAATATAATCTTGGGATGCGTATACAATCAGTGCACAGAGAGCTGTCGTATCAGCCTTCAGAAGAGCATTTAAACACTGCCACACGCTGTCCGTCTGTTTGTCCTGCAACCAGGTTCTCCCCTTGGTCTCAGTGGAAGCCTGAATCACAAGCACTGCCACGTTCACAAAGCTGTTAATTCTTCAAAACGCCAAATGGTATTCAAAAAGGGAAGTATAGGCTGGGCACGGTGGCTCACACCTGTAATCCCAGCACTTTGGGAGGCCGAGGCAGGCTGATCATGAGGCCAAGAGATCCTGGTGAAACTATCCTAGCCAACATGGTGAAACCCTGTCTAGTAAAAATGCAAAAATTAGCTGGGCGTGGTAGTGTGCACTTGTAATCCCAGCTACTCGGGAGGCTGAGGCAGGAGAATCACTTGAACCTGGGAGGCGGAGGTTGCGGCGAGCTGAGATTGCGGCACTGCACTCCAGCCTGGTGACAGAGTGAGACTCCGTTTCAAAAAAAAAAGTATAAAAATCTGAAGACTCTAGTGGTATAATCTAATTAAGTTTCTATGAAGCACATGATTGCAGTCATGTCAAAGCAGTTTCTATGAGCACACTGTTAACTGTTAAAAAAGCAAACAAGGCCGGGCACAGTGGCTCAGGCCTATGGTCCCAGCACTTTGGGAGGCCGAGGCAGGCAGATCACTTGAGGTCAGGAGTTTGAGATCAGCCTGGCCAACATGGTGAAACCCCATCTTTACTAAAAATACAAAAAATTAGCCAGATGTGGTGGGTGCCTGTAATTCCCAGCTACTTCGGAGGCTGAGGCAGGAGATTCGCTTGAACCCAGGAGGCAGAGGTTGCAGTGAGCCAAGATGGTGCCATTGCACTCTAGCCTGGGTGACAGAGTAAGACTACATCTCAAAAAAAAGAAAAAAAAAAGGGAATAATAATAAATTAACCTTAGCTTACTGGATGACCACCATCATATATGCAGTCTGTTGTTTACCAAGATGTTGTTATGTGGTACATGGCTGTATTTTATTGTTGTATTCTACAGTGCATAATAAATGGTGAGATTCTCCTCAAAGAGTGGCAGAGAAAGGATTCAACTCCATTTTCTCTGACTCCAGTGCCTGCGCGAACATTGGATAACACCTCTAAAATGACAAAGTGTTTTCTAGGCCAAATCTCCTATGATGCCAAACTTCTTATAAGAGTACAAATGCAGTTTTTTTTTAAGAGATATTTATTTCATTGTTTGGTTCCAGAAAGAAAGATAATTCTTTATGCTTTAATACTCAAAGTATTTGGTATAATGACTGAATATTAAAAATTTAAATGAGTTTTTATTACATAAAGCAGTATTCTTGTTCATTCAGTAGATAAAAATTTTTGGTTTTGAACCTACTGAGAGAATAATTGGAACTAATTATTTATGTCATAGCAACAGAAACCTCAGATAGCTTTGAGAGGAGGACAGCAGGAGCCAGTCTCACAAACGCAATGACAGGGTCTTCCAAAAAGTCTTCTTCTCCCATGAGAACACCAGTTGCCGGCTGGGCACGGTAGCTCACACCTGTAATCCTAGCACTTTGGGAGACCCAGGCAGGTGGATCACAGCGTCAGGAGTTCAAGACCAGCCTGGCCAACATGATGAAACCCAATCTCTACAAAAAATACAAAAATTAGCCGGCATGGTGGTGCACATCTGTAATCCCAGCTACTCAGGAGACTGAGGCAGGAGAATCACTAGAACCTGGGAGGCGGATGTTGCAGCGAGCCGAGATTGTGCCACTGCACTCCAGCTTGGGCAACAGATCGAGACTCTGTCTCAAATAAATAAATAAATAATGAGATTATGCATTTTTGTAGTGTAGGTGTTTCAGGTATTTGTTTAAGCAAAGCATATGTTAAGGTTAAAAGCCTTTGGAACACTCTGCCCCCACATCCTGGAAGCGTTTTCTTTCCTCCCATCCAGTTAGGTAAAGCTACTTGCCATCTCAGTGTATTCAGTCAGCTTTTAGGAAATAGATTATTTCTGATGAATGAGGATCCTGCTGCTTCACAAGTAGATGTTGACACTCATGGCTCCCCAAAGTCTGCCTCAAATCTATTTCTGTGGGCCAGGTATGGTGGCTCACGCCTGTAATCCCAGTACTTTGGGAGACTGAGGTGGGCAGATCACTTGAACCTAGGAGTTTGAGACCAGCCTGGGCAATGTGGAGAAACCCTATGTCTACAAAAAATACCATCACCAACAAAAAATTAGCTGGGCATGGAGACGTGTGCCTGTAGCCCCAGCTACTTGGGAGGCTGAGGTGGGAGGATCACTTGAGACTGGGAGGTTGAGGCTGCAGTGAGCCATGACTGCACCAGTGCACTCAACCTGGGCAACAGGGCGAGACTCTGACTCAAAAAAAAAAAAAAAAAAAAATCTGCATCTCCAGCCTTATTTTCCAAAATTCCCCACAATAAACCCTTTGCTCTAGTCAAGCTAGTTTTTCTTCTATCCCCAAATTCTAAAATGGGCATTTCTAACTCCAAGTTTGCTAAGACTTTTGTTTCTAAAATATTATTTTCCCTCTGCCTGTTCCCTTCAGACCTATTTGAGATTCTTTTTCATTTGTTCATTCAGTAAACACCAATTGAATGCCAAATGAAATACACTGTCTGGAATGCTGGGGTAGAGTAAGAACAAGTTTCTCTCCTTATGTAATTTATATTCTGGGAGGAAACACACATTAAAAATAAATTAAAACCTTAATTATTTAATTACAAGCGTGATAAATGCTAAAAATAGGAGGCACAGGAAAGCAGGATAACCTATAATTGGAGGAAAACCTGTCTGGGAGATCAAGAAGGCATTCCCATACATTGTCGTGACAACCTTTTTTGGAAGGCAATACTGAAGTGTATTAAATGACACAGCTCCTTCGACCTAGCTGTTCCACTTTAGGAATAAAAGTAATATAGCAATAAAAGTAATACTACTTAAAGCAGCATGTGGCTTTGGCTCCCAGTGAAGTTGCAGGTGTTACAAAGCATAATATGCCTCCAAGCCAGGCTGCCCAAAAGGTCAAATCCAGAAACCAGTCTAATAGACTGAGGAAAGCAAGTGAAGGTAACTTGACACGCCATAAAGAACTGTTCAAGTGAGTGGACTCATTGTGAGATGCCTGATGCACTCCAGAGAAATCAGATTTAGGTCCAATAGCATAATACAAGAAGTCAAGCACGTGAGGGCCTCCTGTGAGATCTCGATGGGGCAGCCAGGCACGGTGACTCACGCCTGTAATCTCAGCATTCTGGGAGGCCAAGGCTGGAGGATCATTTGAGCCCAGGAGTTCAAGATTAGCCTGGGCAATATGGTGAAACCCCATTTCTACAAAAAAATACAAAAAAAATTAGCTGGGTATGGTGGTGGTGTGTGCCTGTAGTACCAGCTACTGGTGGGAGCTGAGGTAGGAGGATCACCTGAGCCTGGAAGGTTGAGGCTGTAGTGAGCCATGATCACACCACTGCACTCCATCCTGGGTGACTGAGTGAGACTCTGTCTAATAACAGCAACAAAATCTCAATGGGACCCAGCATGGTGGCTCATGCCTGTAATCGCAGTGCTTTAGCTGACTGGGATGGAAGATCTTGCCTGAGGCCAGGAGTGTGAGAACAGCCTGGGCTACATGGACTTTACCAAACACTCTTTTTAAAAATTAGTCAGGTGTAGTGGCGCATGCCTGTAGTCCTAGCTACTCAGTAGGCTGAGGCGGGAGGATCGTTTGAGCCCAGGAAGTTGAGGCTGCAGTGAGCTAGGATGGCGCCACTGCACTCCGGCCTGGACAACAGAGCTAGTGAGACTCTGTCTCTTAAAAAAAAAAAAAAAAAAAGATCCGGATAGAAGACTTCCAGGAAAAACTTATCCATTAATAGCGTTTAACGAAACAGTTGCTGAACATGGGAACAACGTTCAGAGCTGGTTCTCTGAGCACATTTGTTTTATTGGCCCGAATGGTTGATATGTATCACCCTTTGCCAATGGAAGGTGGTCTCCAACCCCCCATTTGTGGCCTGTTAGGAACCAGGCCGCACAGCAGGAGGCAGGCGGTGGGCGAGTGAAGCTTCATCTGTATTCACAGCCACTCCCTATCACTTGCATTACTGCCTGAGCTCCACCTCTCGTCAGATCAGCCGCAGCATTAGATTCCCACAGGAGCGAACTCTGTGCATGCGAGGAATCTAGATTGCCACTCCTTATGACAATCTAGTGCTTAATGATCTGTCACTGTCTCCCATCCCCTCAGATGGGACTGTCTAGTTGCAGGAAAACAAGCTCAGGGCTCCCACTGATTCTACATTATGGCAAGTTGTATAACTATTTTATTATATATTACAATGTAATAATAATATAAAGTGCACAATAAATGTAATGCACTTGAATCATCCCAGAACAACCCCCCACCCCCAGCTGTGGAAAAATGGTCTTCTACGAAACTGGTCCCTGTTGCCGAAAGGGTTGGGGACTGCTGCTCTATAAGATCCCATTTCACTGGTTGTAAAAATAATGGCTTCATTGCATTGTACCTTGAAGTAAAGGTTATTTGTTGTCAGCATGAGGATCGAACAGTTCATCTTTACACAGGGCCAGACAAGTGCTAAATCTCCTAAGACATTACCTGTGATCATTTGGTTGTTGAGTCAAAGTTGCAAAAATTAAGTATGATCAAGTAGAGGCCGTGAAAGGATTTGGGGGGAGCAGGACACAAAGTAGACTGCATATAACCTTCAAAAAGGAAGCCTCTTATAGCATCAGTAACTTAGCCTTCTATAGTATTTCTCGTTTTTCTGTTCTGGACCCAGTTGACATTCTCCAGTTATTCCATTGCCCATGACTGTGCCATCACCGAAGTTAAATTCCCTGTGAAGTTTGTGTAACATAATCCATATATGGTTAATAATGGTTTCTCTGATGTTAAGGTGGGTATGGTTGAGATGGCTCTTCTGACTGAGTAGCAACACCGTAGTGAGCAAAAGTGTGCGTGGAAGAGTTATATTTTGTGCAAAGCAGACCAGTCCTCAAGCAATACAGATGGCCATTAGGCACGGACGTGACTGTCTCATTCTCAGTTACACAGAGGCACCAATCGGTTCTTCCGTTGTAGTGACACTACCAGTAATTGCACCTGTATGACTTATCAAGAATAATATTGACAAATACATATCTGGATTTGTGTGTTGTCCTTTTGCTTGCCCTGGTTTCAGTAGACACCCCCCAAAGCTGAATGATGTGATACAGAACTATTCGGCTGGGCCTGGTGGCTCACGCCTGTAATCCCAGTGCTCTGGGAGGCTGAGGTGGGCAGATCACGAGATCAGGAGTTCGAGACCAGCCTGGTCAACATGGTGAAACCCCGTCCCTACTAAAAATACAAAAAATTACTTGGCATGGTGGCAGGCGCCTATAATCCCAGCTACTCAGGAGGCTGAGGCAGGAGAATCGCTTGAACTGGGGAGGTGGAAGTTGCAGTGAGCTGAGACCACACCACCGCACTCCAGCCGGGGCGACAGAGTGAGACTCTGTCTCAAAACAAAACAAAACAAAAACCTATTCATAACATCTCTATATGGTGGCTGTAATTGGACAGAGTCATCGGCTTCCCTGGTGAATATTACAGATAGCATCTTCACATACTAGGTATTCATGGCAGGGAACAGATGTGTTAAATTTATCAAGGGTGCCTCCTGTATAGCACTGCAAGCCTGATATTTCCACACTACAGCTATCAACCCAGGAAACCATCACTAAGAGGAGCAGTAGGAAGATCAGCTGACTTACACCAAGGCTCAGTAATTGCAAACAGTGGAGTGAGCTCCTATGGGGTGATGGTTCACCCAGCAGCAGGAATTCCTTGGGACATCCTAAAAAAGGCCATGTTTGTTGATGTGTTAATTGCCTTGAATGCTTTACTGGTGACTGTAGCTATGATTCTATAGCAGCCCTAACAACGGAGATGTCTAATCTCAACTAATCTCTGATCTAAGATCAACAAATGTATCATCTGTGTCAAAATCACTCAGAGCTCCTTTTTCCTCTTTGTAGCTCTCACACTTTGGATACGCTCCTCTAATCCTGTCTGAAAGAGCTAAGCTGACCCCCACCACCGTTGGAGGAAACTCCTGGAGCAGTGCTGGGGTTTTCACTGCAATCAGCTGCTCCAACTTTGTCTTGTACATGGCTCTTTGACCTTGGGCTTGTGGATTAGGGGCCTGTGGAGGAGCTCTGTGACTGCTCTGATATCTGTGGATGGTTCTGAGGCATTGTATTTAGTGAAAAAACTGGAAACCATATGCATGTCCATGAATAAAAAATGGGGCATAGGCCGGGCGCCGTGGCTCACACCTGTAATCCCAGCACTTTGGGAGGCGAGGTGGGCGGATCACCTGAGGTCGGGAGTTCGAGACCAGCCTGACCAACATGGAGAAACCCCATCTCTACTAAAAATACAAAATTAGCTGGACGTGGTCGCGCATGTCAGTAATCCCAGCTACTCGGGAGGCTGAGTCAGGAAAATCGCTTGAACCCGGGAGGCGGAGGTTGCAGTGAGCCGAGACCGTGCAGCCTGGGCAATAAGAGCGAAACTCCATCTCAAAAACAAACAAACAAAAAAACAAAACAATGGGATAGACCAATTTCTAGTACTTCTAAACTATGGAATACGATACAGCTGATAAACCAAAACACATTAGATCTATGTGATTTCTCTTAAAGGATGTTGATTATAAGTTTCAACTTGTTTAGAACGAGCCCATATTCATCAAAAATTCTGTATGCACCGATGTGGTGGCTCATGCCTGTAATCCCAGCAGTTTGGGAAGCCAAAGTGGACAGATCCCCTGAAGTCAAGAGGTCGAGACCAGCCTGGCCAACATGGTGAAACCCCTTCTTGTGGAGTAAAAGTTAAATATTAAATTTGAACTCAATTGGACTTGAACACAAGGAATGGTTACGTGCCAGAAATCTGTCCCTGGGCACTTGCTCAGGAACGGATGGACATACTGATTGTTCTTGATAAATACATCATCTGCCTCGAGGCAATAAACAAAACCTTGAAAATAGGCTGACCTTTCCGTGTTCCTTGAGTCCAATGACAAAAGGCCCTTGTGCCTAGGCCTCATGCCAAAAAGAATACTATAAAAAGGTCAGGCCAGGTGCGATGGCTCATGCCTGTAATCCCAGCACTTTGGGAGGCCAAGGTGGGCGGATCACCTGAGGTCAGAGGTTCGAGACCAGCCTGGCCAACATGGTGAAACCCCCATCCTACTAAAAATACCAAAAATTAGCTGGGCGTAGTTGCTGGCGCCTGTAATCCCAGCTACTCAGGAGACTCAGACAGGAGAATCCCTTGAACCCAGGAGGCGGAGGTTGCAGTGAGCCGAGATCGTGCCATTGCACTCCAGCCTGGGCAACAAGAGTGAAACTCCGTCTCAAAAAAAAAAAAAAAAAAGGTCAGGGTCCCAGACTACGCTGAAGCTCCACGAGACCTCTCCTTCTCTGTGCATGGACCAGTGGCTGACTCTGGAGCCTAGGCTGTTGCTTCCCGGTCTGGTGATGAATCCTCCATTGTCTGGTGAGTGTATATATGCTGATTGTTTTTTTTTCCTCACTGCTATTTGCTCAATGCACCTTCTATTTTATACTTAAATGAACCTAAAGTAGTTTACAATCTGCACTTATGTGTGAGTGCTGTGTGTTTGCTTGTACCTGTGCACTCCCCACACAGAACATGTCTCTACTAAAAAAAAAAAAATTAGCCAGCTGTGGTGCATGTGCCTGTAATCCCTGCTACTTGGGAGGCTGAGGCACGAGAATCACTTGAACCTGGGAGAGGGAGGTTGCAGTGAACCGAGATCATGCCACTGCACTCCAGCCTGAGTGAGAGAGTGAGACTCTGTCTCACAAAACAACAACAGCAACAAAAATTAGCCAGGCGTGGTGGCGTGCACCTGTACTCCCAGCTGCTTGGGAGGCTGGGGCATGGGAATCACTTGAACCAGGGAGGCAGAGGTGGCAGTAAGTCGAGATTGCACCACTGCACTTCAGTCTGGGCAAGAGAGCGAGACTCTGTCTCAAAAAAAAAAAAAAAATCTATATGTGGGTATATTTGACATGTCTTGAAGAAAACTGTGGAAGGGCACTCGTTAAACTGTTAACATTGGTTATCTCTAAGATATGAGGAAGAAGGATGGAGACCTCTTTTAGAGGATTCTATACCTCTAGGGAATGATCGTTAGCTTGTATACATCTTTGGATTCCTTTACCTGATAAAAAATTAGTTTTGTCATTAAAATTAACAAAAATATTAACTTTGAGCCGGGCGCAGTGGCTCACGCCTGTAATCCCAGCACTTTGGGAGGTTGAGGTGGGCGGATCACCTGAGGTTGGGAGTTGGAGATCAGCCTGACCAACATGGAGAAACCCCGTCTCTACTAAAAATACAAAATAAGCCAGGCATGATGGCACAAGCCTGTAATCCCAGCTACTCAGGAGGCTGAGGCAGGAGAATTGCTTGAATCCGGGAGGCAGAGGTTGCAGTAAGCCAAGATCAAGCCATTGCACTGCAGCCTGGGCAACAGAGTGAAACTCCGTCTCAAAAAAGAAAAAAAAAAGGAAAACTATAAATTATACTGAATGTTTTATTTTCCTATTGCTGTGGTAATAAATAACCATAATGTTAGTGGCTTAAAACAACCTAAATTTAATATCTCATAGTTCTATAGGTGAGGAGTCTCACCAGATTAAAGTCAAGGTGTCAGTCACATTTTGTTTCTTTTTGGAGGCTCTAGGGGAAGATCCCCAACACTAGCTCATCCATGTGTTGGCCGAATTCAGTTCTATGATGTGGGATTGAGGTCTGTTTCCTGGCTGTCAGCTGGAAGCCACCATTAGCCCCTAGAGTTCTTTCCCTGCCCTTGCACATAAGCCCCTACATTTCTTTCTTTCTTTTTTTTTTTTAATTATTTTTTTCTTTGAGTTGGAGTCTCGCTGTGTTGCCCAGGCTGAAGTGCAGTGGTGTGATCTCAGCTCACTGCAACCTCCGCCTCCTGGATTCAAGTGATTCTCTTGCCTCAGCCTCCTGAGTAGCTGGGATTACAGGCGGACGCCACCTCGCCCGGCTAATTTTTGTGTTTTTAGTAGAGATGGGGTTTCACCAAGTTGACCAGGCTGGTCTCAAATGCCTGACCTGGTGATCCGCCTGCCTTGGCCTCCCAAAGTGCTGGGATTACAGGCGTGAGCCACCGCGCCTGGCCCGCCCCTACATTTCAGAAGCAGCAACAGGGCATGGAATTCTTCTCATGCTTTGACTCTCTCCTGAGATTAGATTGGGCCTACCCAGATACTTCAGAATAATCTCATCTCCAGATCCTTAACCTTAATTACATCTGCATAATTCCTTTTGTCACCTTAAGGTAACATATTCACAGGTTCCAGGAAATTAGGGAATGGACATGTTTGGGAGGCGATTGGTTTGCCAACCATAATGAAGGACATAAACAAAAAACCAACTTAAATGGCACATTTAAAACTTGTTGTGATACCCTACCTTGTTTAAACCTGAGTGACTCTCTCCTAGCAGACAGAGCCGGACAGACTCCATTTTAGTTTCTTTGCTTGCAGCCCTCTTTATCCCCCTAAGGGAGTAACTAGTGCAAGCTGACTCCAAGCACATCCAGGAATTCACCTGCTGATAAGATATTGAGGCAAGCTGTACCAGCAGCTCCTGGGAATGTGCTCGGTGGAAGGTACCTAAAGCCCCCGCATTTATCTCTTAGTGATAGTTTAAGCCCCTGTACCTGGAACTGTTTATTTTTTGTAACTGCTTCTATAACCAATTAACTTTTTTAACTTTTTGCCTATTCTGCTTCTGTAAAACTGCTTCAGTTAAACCCCCCTCCCCTATTTAGACCTTAGTATAAAAGAAAATCTAGCCCCTTCTTCAGGGCCGAGAGAATTTTGAGCGCTAGCTGTCTCCCGGTTGCCGGCTAATAAAGGACTCCACAATTTGTCTCCAAGTGTGGCGTTTCTCTATCTCGCTTGGTTACAACATTGTCACATTCTTAGATGGGAAGATTTGCTATTGTAAAGATGTTATTTCTGCCTACATTAGCCTACAAATTCGGTGCTAGATGTTCTAATAACTAAAGTTGAATTTTTTTCATTAGGTGAGTGGATAGATGCTCAGAGAATATATACTGTTTAGAGAAATAAAGGAAGGTGACTTTGCAGACTTTAACTCAGGTAGACCGCGTATGTTTTTGAGACAAATACACCAGCATTCTGCACGAGGGCAAAGTAATGTTTCCCACTGTTTCCAAAATCCTGTTAATATCCAGGATTTGCTGGGCACAGTGGCTCACGCCTGTAATCCCAGCACTTTGGGAGGCCGAGGCAGGCAGATCACTTGAGGTCAGGAGTTCAAGACCAGCCTGGCCAACATGGTGAAAACCCATCTCTACTAAAAATACAAAAAAAATTAGCTGGGCATGATGGTGCACGTCTGTAAACCCAGATGCTCGGGAGACTGAGGCACAAGAATTGTGTGAACCCAGTACGCAGAGGTTGCAGTGAGCCCAAGATCACACCACTGCATTCCAGCCTGGGCGCCAAAGCGAGACTGTCTTAAAAAAAAAAAATTAGGATTTTTCTGGTCACCATTTTTTAGGCACACATTGACTGATACTTTGAACTGTCTACGGAGACTTGTTCCATCCTTTCCTATTCATAACCAAGAGCTCAAAACTGTATCGTAAGTATACTTTAGTTCCCCAACACATCATTTTTATACTTGTCAAATGTGAAACTCGTGTTGTTATTATTATTATTTGTTTCCAGACGGAGTTTTGCTCCTGTTGCCCAGGTTGGGTTGCAGTGTTGCAATCTCAGCTCACTGCAACCTCCGCCTCTCAGGTTCAAGCAATTCTCCTGCCTCAGCCTCCCGAGTAGCTGGGATTACAGGCGCCCGCCACCATGTCAAGCTAATTTTTGCATTTTTAGTAGAGATGGGGTTTTGCCATGTTGGCCAGGCTGATCTCGAACTCCTGATCTTAGGTGATCTTCCCGCTTCGGCCTCCCAAAGTGCTGGAATTACAAGCGTGAGCCACCGCGACTGGCCTCGTGTTATTTTTCTGTCCACTCACACAGCTTTATGAGAACTTTCGGCAAAGGTTTCTGATGGATGGGCATTGTATCTTCACTGTCTTGAGATTTAGAGAAGAAACTGTTTAAGAACTACTTCCATCATGATGCATCCTCAGGAGATGTGGATGAACTGCGGAGATGTGGGGTGAAGATGAACAAGAGATGAGTGAGTTTGTGTCTCCCTCTAAAGAAAGTGGCTTTTGTCAAAATGTACTTGTAAAGAAGTGTATAGGCTGGGCAAAGTGGCTCACGCCTGTAATCCCAAAACTTCAGGAGGCTGAGGCGGAAGAATCGCTTGAGCCCAGGAGTTGGAGACCAGCCTGGGCAACACAGTTAGATCCCGTGGGTAAAAAAGTGCAAAAATTAGCATGGTGGTGCATGCCTGTAGTTCCAGCTCTTCGGGAGCCTGGGCTGCAGTGAGCCGTGATGGCCCCACCACACTCCAGCCTGGGCGAGTGAGACCCTGTCTCAAAAAAAAAAAAAAAAAAAAAGGCAATTAACCCACAATTTTCAAGGCAATTGTTATGCTTTATTACAAGAAGTGTTTGAAATGCATCCCATTTGTAGATCCCTAGAAGTAAAATAGTCACCTTTGTTTACACTCACACCAAACACAGTTTTTGGAAGAGATATCGCAGACTTCATTATTATCCCCAGATTAAAGGTCAGTTTTGAGTCTTTTTATTTTGTCTCGACCTTATTACCTTCCTAGCCAAAACATGGAAGTAAAACATCTTTTCTACGTTAATACTGCATTTCCAGGGGTCTTGGGGTGTTCCGGGGGAGGGTGAGGTCCCCTCTCTGTCATGGCGGGGTGTGGACGCGGTCGCCTTCTCCTGGCGCCGCGGTACCTAGGACAGGAGGAAGAGGCCAGGAAGGGTCCAGGGAGGCTCAGGCCGGGTCTGCGACTTGCCGGTGGGTGGCGGCAACGACCCTGTGGGCACCAGCCCGTCAGACGGCCCCAGCTCCGAGCCCGGCTGCGAGCCCTCTCCAGCCTGCAGCCGCTCCTCTCCCGGCCCTACTCCCCGCCCGGCACTGACGTCCAGCCCCGCCCGTGCAGTGAGGCCAGAGCCTGGTGTAGCCCCACGCGGGGCCGTTCCATCTTCGAAGTTTTCTGGTGACTGGGTCGGTCCCGCAATTATCTCAGATCAGGGGGGAAGCCAAGGGCAACGGGACACCCTGATGTATCAAACACCTCCCCCTGGAGCCCCATCGCGCATGCGCACCCTGGAGGCAAGCGCTCGAGGCACAGGGCGCGGCTTGGGGAGGGAGGAGGCAGGGCGGTGGTTGGGCAAGAGAAGAGCCGCGCCCACCACGGAACATCTCTGCGCATGCGCCGGGGGCCAGCTTCTGGTACTTTTGACGCGTCTGCTAACGTAGTCCCTCAGTGCGCATCCGGACGTAGGAGGTGGAGGTTGTGGAATTCGCCGTTCGAAAGCAGGGACTAAAAGCCCCACTTCGTCTTACGTTCCGAAAGGAAGGCGTCTGTTGAGCCTTTCTCTCAGTCGTGAGGGAGGCGTCGACGGCGTGCGGTAAGTTTTCTGCTGACGGGGTCTCTCAGGACCACCGCAGTGGTCTCTCAGGAGTGAGGGACGGGAAACGTGCCGGGCCCCGCGTTTGGGGAACGCAGCGTTTCGCTTCAAGGCCGCGGCCTCAGGGCGCCGAGCGGGGTTTCTAGGGCTCGGTTCCTGTCGCGGCGGTCGCCGCCCGCGCCGTGGCTCCGCCTCCCGGAGGTTCCCCGACTGTGGCTTCCGGGTGGCCAGGCGCCGGCTTCCGCGACTCGACTTGTTTTTTCTCTCTTGGTTTTTTAGGAAGTCCTGAGTTGAGGCTTGCGGGATCCTTTCCGGAGAAAGCGCAGGCTAAAGCCGCAGGTGAAGATGTCCAACTACGTGAACGACATGTGGCCGGGCTCGCCGCAGGAGAAGGATTCGCCCTCGACCTCGCGGTCGGGCGGGTCCAGCCGGCTGTCGTCGCGGTCTAGGAGCCGCTCTTTTTCCAGAAGCTCTCGGTCCCATTCCCGCGTCTCGAGCCGGTTTTCGTCCAGGAGTCGGAGGAGCAAGTCCAGGTCCCGTTCCCGAAGGCGCCACCAGCGGAAGTACAGGCGCTACTCGCGGTCATACTCGCGGAGCCGGTCGCGATCCCGCAGCCGCCGTTACCGAGAGAGGCGCTACGGGTTCACCAGGAGATACTACCGGTCTCCTTCGCGGTACCGGTCCCGGTCCCGTAGCAGGTCGCGCTCTCGGGGAAGGTCGTACTGCGGAAGGGCGTACGCGATCGCGCGGGGACAGCGCTACTACGGCTTTGGTCGCACAGTGTACCCGGAGGAGCACAGCAGATGGAGGGACAGATCCAGGACGAGGTCGCGGAGCAGAACCCCCTTTCGCTTAAGTGAAAAAGGTGGGTGGGTCATTTACCTTTCCATTTGTGGTAATGTATGGTGGCAGTATATGAGTAGGCTAGGGAACCAACGTTGCTGTGTAGTTTCAATATTAGTTCCTTTAGTGCCCGAAATCTTTTTGGAGGAAAGAGGGAGGACATTACCTGTATTTAAGTGGACAGCATTCTCTTTAGGGTTAAAGGTCAACTGGATGTTAAATGGCTCAGGATGTAGGGAACTTTTTTTCCTATTGGCTGACTGTTCTTAGTGGGTGGAGCCTTTTAAATGTTATGATTAAGTTAAAGGTTCTAAGTTAACGTGATTGGGAAGAACAATATCAAAACACGCCTTCTTTTAGTTGACATTATTACTGAATAAAATTGGATTGTCGAGTATCCTAAGTGACCTAGGAGGCCGGGCGCGGCGGCTCACCTCTGTAATCCCAGCACTTGGGGAGGCGGAGGCGGAGGCGGGTGGGTCACTTGAGGCCAGGCGTTCCATACCAGCCTGGCCAACATAGCTCACTATCTAGTAAAAGTACAAAAATTAGCCGGGGGTGGTGGTAGAAATACACTTTAGTAGTGTATCAGTATTGGTTCAGTGGTTGTGATAATTATATAAAGAATCTACAGCAGAAAAACCTGGTTTTCAGAAATACATCTTTGAAGAGAAAGCAAAATAATATCACTATTAGCTAGAGAAAATTAAGTACAACAAAAAGACAAAATAATAGGACGCTCAGGCCTTTAGTCAAGAAAACAAAACTAATTGTTGAGATAATTTAAGAATTTTATTCTTTTCAGCAAGAAATGAGCTGGAGAATAGAATTTTCAGTGAATAAAGTTACACAGTTGTCCCTCTGTTCACTCGGGGGATTGGTGCCAGGATGCATATGGAACCCTCGCGCACACTTGGGGTTTACAGTCTCTCAAACACTGTGGTACTTTCTATCTGCATTTAGTAAGGGGGAGAAAAAACAAGTATAAAGTGGACCAGCGCAGCTACTAGTGTTCAAGGGCAACCTTAGTTTACCTATTATAAAACAAGTGACTTAATATATTTAATACCACAAAATAACATATTTATTGTGTAATTCTGAGTTCTCTTGGGAAATAACTACCAGATTAATGAGTATTTTAAAATCTCTCTCTTTTTTTTTTAGATCGAATGGAGCTGTTAGAAATAGCAAAAACCAATGCAGCGAAAGCTCTAGGAACAACCAACATTGACTTGCCAGCTAGTCTCAGAACTGTTCCTTCAGCCAAAGAAACAAGCCGTGGAATAGGTGTATCAAGTAATGGTGCAAAGCCTGAAGTAAGTATTCTAGGTTTGTCGGAACAAAACTTTCAGAAAGCCAACTGTCAAATCTGATTAGCCACTTATATCTTAGACTATACTTTTTGGGAAGTCTAGAGATGTATATAATGTGCTAAATTCAAAGTAGCAAATCTGAAGATAGGCAATGTCAAACCCATGAAAATGGGAGATTAATGAGCTTTATTTGGCCGTGCATGGTGCCTCATGCCTGTAATGAGGCAGATGGCTTGAGTCCAGGAGTTCAAGACTAGCCTGGGCAATGTGGCAAAACCGCGTGTTTACAAAAAATACAAAAATTAGCCAGGCATGGTGGTGCATGCCTGTAGTCCCAGCTGTTTGGGAGGCTGAGGCAGGAGGATCTTTGAGCCTAGGATGCTAAGGTTGCAGTGAGCCAAGATGGCACCATTGCACTCTAGCCTGGGCAGCAGAGCGAGACCCTGTCTCAAAAAATACATTTATTTTTTTCATTTTCAGTTAACAGTGTACTCTTATAACACCGTTATTAGCTGGTACTTTGGTGATTTCTATTACTAGTTTTTCTAAGCTATTTACAGAGTGTTTGTAGCTTTCATTTGCAGCATTATGTTCCCACAAATTCTGTACTCAGCATATACAGTATAGTTTATCTGCTCTATTTCTGTCTTATAGAAATCATGAATGTGGTCTGCAGACATTGATGAAGAAAATCTGTTGGTAATTGATACATGGGCTAAAGCATCAGAGGTTTAATTTGAAGTTTATGTTCACACACTGAAAACTTAGTTTTTTTGTTGGTAGATCCATGTGCATGCTAGAATTTGGGACAGGCACTATTTGCATAAAGTATTAAAGTCAATTTTTAAACTAAGCAAAGGTACACGTTGTAACGGTGGGGCATCTGTGAAAAAGATGTCCCTTTCATAATATATGCAATATATTCCAGATGTTTTGAGAGATTACAGAAGAGGAGGCCTGCTTCACTTGCAGATAAGTTTATTATAATTCTCCAGAAATGTGCAGGATGTGCATTAGCAAATTGCACTGTACTTTTCACTCCAGCCTGGGTGACAGAGCAAGACTCCCGTCTCGGGGGCTTAAAAAAAAAAAATGCTGTATCTAAATGAATCTGTGTAATTGGGCCCAGATGTGGGTTTGCTCAGTATTAGTAGACAAGGTCTTTGTTCAGACGATTAGGTGCCTAACTGGCAAATGCCTTAGTTTCTTAAAACGTATTTTCTGATGTGGCTTTACATTTCAAAAGTGAACTTGATTCAACCTGAGAAAACTGATTAAAAAATTAGTTTAAATTTGCCAGCAGGGAAGTAAAATAATTATGGGAAGAGTGTCTTAAGCCTAATATTAAATCAGTTTTGTTAAGGGGAAAACTCAATAGTTCTGTTACTTAGGCTGTTAGATCCAAGTTGATTTTTGTGTCTACAGCTAAATTTTGTTTACAATTAGGCTATTTTTTAATATAGGATTTAGAAACCAAGGGTATGTGTTTTAAAATTACACTTTTTCTTAACCTGTCTAGCTGTCGGAAAAGGTAACAGAAGATGGAACTCGAAATCCCAATGAAAAACCTACCCAGCAAAGAAGCATAGCTTTTAGCTCTAATGTAAGTATATCCAGGCATTGAACACTCAAAAATTGGATTTAGGATGTATTTTTGCATCTTTGTGTTTTTATCTTTGTGGTGATAGTTGGGGGCCTACTGACACACTTTTTAAATAGAATTAAAATCATTTGTTTTTGAGCCACTTTTATAAGTGGCCATTATAATGGGTTTGTAATATATATAACATTCACGTTAGTTCCGATATTTTGCCATTCTTTTAAGTGTCCCCCCTTTTTTATTGAAATATTTTAAAGGGAAATCTTTAGAATACTCCTTAATCACAATGTTTTAAAATAAGAGTTTCAAAAACGAAGCCTCAAAATCATTATACCTTGTGTATCTTGTGTATGTCCAGTGTCTCCCTGCTGCCCCAGTATCTTCACTTCACTTTTTGAATCAAGCTACAATTAAGGTTCACACTATGTGTTTGGTTGATAATCCTTTTTTTTTTGTTTTGAGACAGAGTCTTGCTCTGTTGCCCAGGCTGGAGTGTAGTGGTGCAATCTTGGCTCACTGCAGCTTCTGCCTGCCTCCTGGGTTCAAGCGATTCTCCTGCCTCAGCCTCCCGAGTAGCTGAGACTACTGGCGCATGCCACCACGCCCGGCTAATTTTTGTATTTTTAGGAGACAGGGTTTCACCATGTTGGCCAGGATGGTCTACATCTGACCTCGTGATCCGCCCGTGTCAGCCTTCCAAAGTGCTGGGATTACAGGCGTGAGCCACCGCGCCCAGCAATTGATAATATCTCTAAGGCTCATACATGGGATTATTTAATGTACTTTTTTTTGTGAAAAAAGTGTACAATGTATGTTTGGGAAGCTGACTGAATTTGTTCTTTTACAGAATTCTGTAGCAAAGCCAATACAAAAATCAGCTAAAGCTGCCACAGAAGAGGCATCTTCAAGATCACCAAAAATAGATCAGAAAAAAAGTCCATATGGACTGTGGATACCTATCTAAAAGAAGAAAACTGATGGCTAAGTTTGCATGAAAACTGCACTTTATTGCAAGTTAGTGTTTCTAGCATTATCCCATCCCTTTGAGCCATTCAGGGGTACTTGTGCATTTAAAAACCAACACAAAAAGATGTAAATACTTAACACTCAAATATTAACATTTTAGGTTTCTCTTGCAGATATGAGAGATAGCACAGATGGACCAAAGGTTATGCACAGGTGGGAGTCTTTTGTATATAGTTGTAAATATTGTCTTGGTTATGTAAAAATGAAATTTTTTAGACACAGTAATTGAACTGTATTCCTGTTTTGTATATTTAATAAATTTCTTGTTTTCATTCTTAGTCTTTATTGTATATATATAACCTAATGGATCTTTATTTAATGTAGAGATATAAGGTGGTGTGTGTTGATTAAAGCCCTGTTAATCCCAAGTCCAAGGCTGACTGGCCCTACCTGAGATTTTGAGAAATGCTGAATCTCAAGTCCCTACCCTAGACCTGCTGAATTAGAAACTGAATTTTAACAATATTCCCAACTGAGGTCAATACTTCAACTTGAAAAATTGCCCTAAAAAATTTATGGAATACTGGGCTTCAAGGCAAGAAACTAAGCCAGAAAGAGGAGGAATAGAATGCCTCATTAAGCTGTAAAATCTGAGGTATAGTTAAAATTATTATGCTTTTAAAAAAGCATTCTAAGTAAACTTTTTTTTTGAGATGGAGTGCAGTGGTGCGATCTGGGCTCACTGCAAGCTCCACCTCCTGGGTTCACGCCATTCTCCTGCCTCAGCCTCCCGAGTAGCTGGGACTACAGGCGCCTGCCACCATGCCTGGCTAATTTTTTTGTATTTTTAGTAGAGATGGGGTTTCACCGTGTTAGGATGGTCTCGATCTCCTGACCTTGTGATCCACCCGCCTTGGCCTCCCAAAGAGCTGGGATTACACGTGTGAGCCACTGCACCCGGCCAAAGTATTCTAAATAAACTCTTAATTTGAAATGTATTGGTGCTACTGTAACTGGGAATGAT
The DNA here is from genome assembly GCF_000001405.40 of Homo sapiens. Classification (NCBI taxonomy): domain Eukaryota; kingdom Metazoa; phylum Chordata; class Mammalia; order Primates; family Hominidae; genus Homo; species Homo sapiens. Next base: position 25,241,562 of record NC_000001.11, on the reverse strand, counting down.
TTTTTTTTGGAGACCGAGTCTCTCTCTGTCACCCAGGCTGGAGTGCAGTGGCACAGTCTCCACTCACTGCAACTTCCACCTCCCGGGTTCAAGCGATTCTCCTGCCTCAGCCTCCTGAGTAGCTGGGACTACAGGCATGTGCCCCCATACCCAGCTAGTTTTTGTATTTTTAGTAGAGACGGGGTTTTGCCATCTTGGCCTGGCTGGTCTAGAACTCCTGACCTCGGGTGATCCACCCTGCTCAGCCTCCCGAAGTGCTGGGATTACAGGTGTGAGCCACTGCACCCGGCTGGGAAGAATATGAAGCACGTTTTTTTTTTTTTTTTTTTTTTTGAGACGGAGTTTTGCTCTTGTTGCCCAGGCTGCAGTGCAATGGCACAATCCTGGCTCATCGCAACCTCCACCTCCTGGGTTCAAGCGATTATCCTGCCTCAGCCTCCCAAGTAGCTGGGATTACAGGCTTGTATTTTTAGTAGAGATGGGGTTTGTCCATGTTGGTCAGGCTGGTCTGGAACTCCTGACTTCAGGGGATTCACCAGCCTCGGCCTCCGAAAGTGCTGGGATTACAGGCGTGAGCCACTGCGCCTGACCGTTAAGCACATAAAATTTTAAGTGGGTATTACACTTTATGAACTGGAGAATCTTGACAGCTGGTCTAAGTAAGACTGATTTTTATAGACACTTTATTTTTTAGAGAAGGGGTTTCTTGCTCCATCACCCAGGCTGTAGTGCACAGTCACAGCTTGCTGCAACCTTGAACTCCAGGGCTCAGGGAATCCTGCCACAGCCTCTACCATACAGGCTTATGCCATCGCACCTGGCTAATTTTTTGGGGGTAAAGATGAGTGGGATTTCTGTTACCCTAGGCTGGTCTTCAAGCAGTCCTCCTGCTTCGGCGCCCCCAAAGTGTAGGCATTACAGGCGTGAGCCACTGTGCCTGGCCTAAAATAATAGTTTCACCAAATGTTTTAACTTTCTTACAAGGATATTTGGTTTTTGAAGGATGGCATTTTACAGAATGTTATTAAAGATCAGTGTCTATCTCCATGGTTTTGTTCCCATAAATGCACCTGGGCTATGCAATAGAGCGTGGAACAGGAAAGCACCTGTAATTGTGACCACTTCTGGGGAAGAAGAGGGACTAGGGTGAATTTCCTGTAGTCATTGTCACCTTCCTTTCACTACCTACATAGCTTGCAAGAAAAATTAGCACCCTACCTCTGAAGCTCCCAAGGTCAACTCTAGGCTTCACATTAAACACAAACAGAAGACAACCCAAGTGAATAATATACAGATAAACGTGGAAATATACACATTAGAACATTTCTTTACAAACTACAAACGCGCACGGACCTGGCCAGGCGGCAGGTCTGAGCTGGTGTCCGAGACTATGCATCCGTTTCCGGCGCAGCGCACGGGATCTGCGCAGTCTCCGTTCGCGCTTCTGGGCTCCGTAAGGAGAAGCGTCTTCAGACGGGGTGGCTTGGCTTCCGAGGCCCTCTGCTGGCGACCCAGTCCCAGTGTCTGCGTCTCCCTCTCCCCTGGCATCGTCTCCTCCTCTAGGACAGACGTAGCCACAAACGTCCCTACCTCGATACCCCCAGGGAAGGGCCTGCCACCCATCTTGTCAGCCACAGTCTCCGCCCTCCCCTGGCAACGCTTCCCTCCACTTCCGGTAACAATTAACTGGAACCCCGGGCCTCACTTTTCCGGACGTAACCCGGCCCTTCCTGGGGGACCCAGGCAATCCCCACCCCTGGCAGTCCTGGGCTGCGTCCGACTGGGCTAGGCCTGTGCGCAGGCGCATTGGGTGGAGAAACCCGGACCTGTGCTGGAGACGCGAGGACGAAGTGAGCTATGATCTCAGCCTCTCAGCCTGGGTGACAGTGAGACCTATCTCAAAAACAAAACTCTGAAGGCAGACTATCCCTCTCCTTCCTCAGATTTCCTTAAATGCCTTTCTTTAGGGAAGCCAGCTCACCACTTTAAAAGTCAGTTTCCTCTGTTACAGCTCTTCATACATTTTTACATTTTCTTCTTTGCAGCACTTACATACATGTAATTACATAAGTGTGGAGTTGCTTGTTTAATGTAGTTAATTTGGGGTTTTTTTGAACCCCAAATTTTGAACGGATCTCGCTCTATCGCCCAGGTTGGAGTGCAGTGGCGCGATCTCAGCTCACGGCAACCTCTGCCGCTTGGGTTCAAGTGATTCTCCTGTCTCAGCCTCCCGAGCAGCTAGAATTACAGGCGCCCGCCACCACGCCCGGCTAAATTTTGTATTTTTAGTAGAGACGGGGTTTCACCATGTTGGTCAGGCTGGCCTGGAATTCCTGACCTCAAGTGATCCGCCCACCTAGGCCTTACAAAGTGCTGGGATTACAGGCATAAGCCACTGAGCCCGGCCTAATGTAGTTAATTTAAATGAGACATTTCTTAACCTCTATTAAAATAGCAAATATTTGGCCAGGCACTGTGGCTTACTCCTGTAATCCCAGCACTTTGGGAGGCTGAGGTGGGAGGATTACCTGAGCCCAGGAGTTCAAGACCAGCCTGGGCAACAGAGCAAGACCCCGTCCCCTACCTCTGACCCTGCCAGCCCCTCAAAATTGAAGTATTAGCCGGACATAGTTGCAGGTGCCTGTAGTCGCAGCTACTCGGGAGGCTGAGATGGGAGTATCCTCTAGGAGGCAGAGGTTGCAGTGAGCCAAGATTGTGCCACTGCCCTCCAGCCTAGCCAACAGAGCAAGACCTTGTCTCAAAAAAAAAAAAAAAAAAAAAAAAAAAAGCAAATATAGCAGAGTAACAGGAATTTTCTCTATGTTATAGATGATTTGATAGAGCAATATTACAGGTATTTACATTCTTTAAGAATACAAAAATGTCAATTATAAACCAGGCATGGTGGCTCATGCCTGTAATCCCAACTACTCAGAGGAAGAGTCTGAGGATGGAGGATCACTTGAGGCTGGGATTTCAAAACCAGCCTAAATAACATAATGAGACCCTGTCTTTTAAAAATAAAGTCAATTATAAAATTATTTTCAGTAAGATCACTTATCAGAATTACAGGTTTTGAAAGTTATGTTACTAGGCTTACATATGCTAAGTAATTAAGGAGAGCTTAATAAAGGGACTGTTTACAAAGTTGTAGACTGGGTAAGAAAAACCAACCAGAGTGAAGCATACCAGCGCTATCAACAGGGGGATCCCTCACTACTACTACCCCAAAAGAGGCAAAAGAAGGGAGCAGCAATGGGAATCCAGAAAGTATAGGGTTAGGCCGGGCGCGGTGGCTCACGCCTGTAATCTCAACACTTTAGGAGACCGAGGCGGGTGGATCACCTGAGGTCAGGTGTTTGAGACCAGCCTGATCAACAAGGTGAAACTGTCTCTACTAAAAATACAAAAATGAGCCGGGCATGTTGGCAGGTGCCTGTAGTCCCAGCTACTCGGGAGGCTGAGACAGGAGGGATAGAAGATAGTCTTCAGACATAAGCGGTGACTACGGAAATATACCAAATCCGTAATCCAGCCAGGGAATAAATACCTTGACCTCATTTCTTCCAAACCTCTGATCTTATGTAGGTACTGTGCATTGGCAGGACCCAAGAAGGTAGAGGGCAAGAGAGTTTACTGATGCAGTTCATTCAGGCTAGCACTCAGGGACACAGAACATGGAGACCAATGGAGAGTAGTTCTAACAGGGCAGACAGAAAATATGTAGCACAAATTCTTTTTCAACAGGACATGGCAACAATTTAAAAAATTGGAGTCTTATAAGAAGTCTGTTCAAATTATATTTATACATATTTATTAACAAAGAACAGAACAAGTGATGTGTCTAATTGAATTTTTCTAGATGCTGGAAGATCTTCCATTCTATGTGCTAGTCTTACAATGTAACATTGGCACTCCTTCTATCTAGAAGTAGAGTCTGTATCCCTAATCCTTGAATCTGTGACTATGGAGGGAGTGACACTGTGAATTCTGAGACTAAGTCATAAAAAGTGAAACAGATTCCACCTAGTTCTCTTGGGATACTTGTTCTTAAAACCCAGCCCCCATGCTTTGAGGAAGTCCAGGCCAATGGAGAGGCCAGGTGTGGGCGTTCAGGCCTACAGCCAACATCAACCACAAGACTTCTGAGTGAGGAAACCTTTACAATGATTCCAGCCCCAGCCCCTAATCTGACTGCAACTGCATGAGAGACCCTGTGTGAGAACCACACCAATTCTCAGACCTATGAGAGATAATAATAAAATAATATTTGTGCTAAGGTACCAAGTTTTGGGATGATTTGTTATGCCACAATAGAGAAATGATACAGTTCATAACAGTTTTTTTTTTGTTTGTTTGTTTTATTTTGAGCCGGACTCTTGCTGTGTCGCCCAGGCTGGAGTGCAGTGGCGCCATCTGAGCTCACTGCAACCTCCGCCTTCTGGATTCAAGTGATTCTCCTGCCTCACCCTCCCGAGTAGCTGGGACTACAGGCGCACGCAGTCACGCCTGGCTAATTTTTTGTATTTTTAGTAGAGACGGGGTTTCACTGTGTTGACCAGGCTGGTGTGAAACTCCTGAGCTCAGGCAAATCACCCACCTCGGCCTCCCAAAGTGCTGGGATTACAGGCGTGAGCCACTGTAGCCAGCCCAGTTTTTAAAAATCACACAAATTATCATATTGCACAGAAAAGCAATGTTGAAAATCCTGTGAATACTCTTAATAAATCCTTACAAAATCAGTTGAGCAATTTTTACCACACATCTTTCCTTTCTATACTGCTTATCACTTCCAGAAACTTTAGTTAATTACAAACATTTCCATTTTTTTAAGTCCAGACTTGCAGATTTTAATTTGCAATATAAACAAATTGGTAATATAGAGCCCAATTTTACTGGCAGGAATAGGATTTTTTTTTTTTTTTTTCAAGACAGGGTCTCGCTCTGTCACCCAGGCTGAAGTGCAGTGGTGTGATCAGGGCTCACTGCAGCCTTGACCTCCCAGGCTCAAGCAATCCTCTCACCTCAGCCTCTCGAGTAGCTGGGACTACGGGGGCAGGCTACCATGCGTAGAGATGAGGTCTCGCTATGTTGCCAGGGCTGGTCTTGGACTCCTGCGCTCAAAGGATTCTCCTGCCTTGGCCTCCCAAAGTGCTGGGATTACAGGCTTGAGCCACCGTGCCAGCCAGGATTCTTAATAACAGTAAAATAAGAAGGATGTAAGCACTACTCTTCCCCAATAACTGAAATCCAAGAGGCACAAAACCACATGTAATTGTGTGGTTTTTTTTTTTTTTTTTTTGAGACGGAATCTGTGTCTCCCAGGAGTGCAGTGGCACAATCTGGGCTCACTGCAAGCTCCGCCTCCCGGGTTCACGCCATTCTCCTGCCTCAGCCTCCTGAGTAGCTGGGACTACAGGCGCCCGCCACCATGCCCAGCTAATTTTTTAGTAGAGACGAGGTTTCACCATGTTAGCCAGGATAGTCTTGATCTCCTGACCTCGTGATCCACCCGCCTTGGCCTCCCAAAGTGCTGGGATTACAGGTGTGAACCACCGCGCCCAGCCGCGATTCTATTTTTTATTCAGAAATACTGTTGACTATTCTTAGTTTTTCCATGCAAACTTTTAAATTTTTTTTAATTTTAGAATTGACACACTTATTTTTTATTTATTTTTTGAGACGGAGTTTCACTCTTGTTGCCCAGGCTGGAGTGCAATGGCGTGATCTCGGCTTACTGCAACCTCCACCTCCCCGGTTCAAGCAATTCTCCTGCCTCAGCCTCCAGAGTAGCTGGAATTACAGGTGCCCGCCACCACGCCAGGCTAAATTTTTTTATTTTTTTATTTTTTGTAGAGACGGGGTTTTGCCATGTTGACCAGGCTGGCCTCGAACTCCTGACCTCAGGTGATCTGCCTGCCTCGGCCTTACAAAGTGCTGGGATTACATGTGTGAGCCAAGGCGCCCGGCCGAAATACTTACATGGTTCAGAAGTACATATATCTTATTACACCCCCAAAACAGATGATGGCTTTTTTTTTTTGAGATGGAGTCTCCCTTTGTTGCCCAGGCTGGAGTGCAGTGGAGCGATCTTGGCTCACTGCAACCTCTGCCTCCCAGGTTCTAGCAGTTCTCCCACCTCAGCCTCCTTAGTAGCTGGGAATACAGCTGCGCACCACCATGCCCGGCTAATTTTTGTATTTTTAGTAGAGACGGGGTTTCACCGTGTAGGCCAGGCTGGTCTTGAATTCCTGACCTCAGGTGATCCGCCTGCCTCTCTCTGTCCTTTGTCCACAAGGACATTCCCTGTGAGGAAGGTAGGTAGCTTTTTTATCTTAGTGGCTTTTTCAGGTATAGAATGGGAGATAGGTTTGCCCTAAGCAGTTCCCAGCTTGACTTTTCCCTTTGGCTTAGTGATTTTGGGGCCCCAAGATTTATTTTCCTTTCAATGTGTAATTGTATCTGTAACATAAATTCCCAGAATTATGATAGCTGAGTCAAAGAGTAAATGCCTTAATTTTTACAGATATTGCCAAATTGTCTTCCCTAGGGGTTCAATCAATTTTTAGTCCTACCAGCAATATGTGTAGGATTCATTTTTCTTCGGTCTCATCAACACAATGTGTTATTGAACTTCTAAGATTTTTGCCACATTATTTTCCAGTTCCAAAAAACAAAAACAATGACCCACTGAGGTTCTGATGGGAATAACATGACATTTATAAACTCATTTGCGATACTCCTTTGTGATATTGTTTTTATAATATTAAGTCTTCCAACCAGAAAATAGGTTATCCACCATTTATTCAGATTTAATTTACTTCAAATTATCTTTTATTTTTATGTTACCATTTAAATTTTGTACCTAGGTATCTTTTCATTTTAGGGATTACTTTTCTTTTTTTTTTTGGTTTTTTGAGACAGAGTCTCGCTCTGTTGCCCAGGCTGGAGTGCAGTGGCGCAATCTCGGCTCACTGCAAGCTCTGCCTGCCGGATTCCCGCCATTCTCCTGCCTCAGCCTCCTGAGTAGCTGGGACTACAGGCGCTCGCCACCACGCCCGGCTAATTTTTTGTATTTTTAGTAGAGATGGGGTTTCACCGTGTTAGCCAGGATGGTCTTGATCTCCTGACCTCGTGATCTGCCCGCCTCGGCCTCCCAAAGTACTGAGATTACAGGCATGAGCCACTGCACCTGGCCTACTTTTTCATTTCTGTATCTAACTAGTAGTTGTTAGTGCAGAAAAAAATAATTTTCATATATTCCTCTTATATCCAGCACCTTACTTATCTTAGTAACTTTAGCACTGTTAGTAATTCTGGCATTGCCTCTCTGCTGAGCATGTAAGAGTAAACAAGATGGGTGGACTCTGCTGTTCTCCAGTAATAACGCTGATGAGAAAAATAGAAAATCAACAGACAAAAATAAAACTTATGCAATTGGAGAGAATTAAAATAGTGTCAAATGACAGTACTAAAAGTGAGACAGGGTAGTCAGGGAAGACCTGCTTCTATTTTTAAAAATTTATTTTTATGGCCAGGCACAGTGGCTCATGCCTGTAATCCCGGCACTTTGGGAGGCTGAGGTGGGCAGATCATGAGGTCAGGAGTTCGAGACCAGCCTGGCCAACATGGTGAAACCCTATCTCTACTAAAAATACAAAAATTAGCTGGGCATGGTGGCAGGCACCCGTAATCCCAGCTACTCGGGAAGCTGAGGCAGGAGAATCGTCTGAACCCGGGAGCCGGACGTTGCAGTAAGCCGAGATCGGTGCCACTGCACTCCAGCCTGGGTGATAGTGCAAGACTCTGTCTCAAAACAAAAAAACAAAAAAAAATTACTTTTATTTTTTAATTTAGAGACTGATTCTTACTTTGTTGTCCAGGCTGGTCTTGAACTCCTGGGCTCAAGCAATCCTCCCGCCTCCGCCCCGCAATGTGCTGGGATTGCAGCCATGAACCACCACACCAGGCCAAGGGCAAGACCTGCTTCTTGGAGAAAGTGACAACACCTTAAGCTCTAAATGGAAAGAACTTTCCACTCATGGGAATGAATGGCACTGCAGGTTTTTCCTGCTTACTGCAGACAAAACCAATTCACTGAAAAGTGCTACTGCAGTATACAGTTGTATTAACCTGAGGCTGGCCTCAGGGAAGAAGGGTTACCACTCAAGTAAGTTTTCCTGAAGGGTCAGCTCAGAGGTTAGGGTATTTCATAGTTTGGTGTGGGCAGGGCACTAGGGAATGGATGCTGCTGATTGGTTGGAGATGCAATCACAGGGGTGTGGACTACACTCCTCAACAGCTGAGTCCGCCTCTTGGGGGAGGAGTGGGACAGAAGAAGCGGTTGGGTCATGGGTCACGAGTCTGGGTGGGGTCAGTTAGTTGCCAGAATGCGAAAGTCTGAAAAATGCCTCAAAAGACCAATCTTAGGTGCTACGATAACGTTATCTACAGGAATAATTGGGGAAGTTACACATCCGATGTCCTCCGAAACAATGGCTGGTTATCGTTTACTACATTTTAGCAGAATTCTCCCCTCATAATCCTAACCTCCCGGTCTTTCATTAGTTTTATAAAGGCAGTTTCAGCCCCCAAACAAGGAGGGGCCCTGTTTAAGGAAGGGACTATGATCATCCTTGCTTAAAAGTTAAACTATAAATTCTCCCATGGTTAGCTTGGTTTATGCCCAGGAATGAGCGAAGACAGCCGGCCTGCGAGGCTAGAAGCAAGATGGAGTGAGCCATGTTAGATTTCTCTCACTGTCTTTGCAAAGGCGGTTTCCAGGAACAGCGTGCAGAATAGGGGGCTATCAGGCTCCTTTTGGTCATTTCTTCCTAGCCGTCCGATTCTGAGCTCTTCCCAACCCTTTTCTTGGCGACTTACCTCCCGCTGTCCTGGCCCACGCTACTTTTCGCGGCTGCGCAAGACCCTACGCAATCCAAAATATTTCATAGCTAAAAGGGTCCCAACTTCCGGAGACCTCCCGGAAGGGGCGGGGCTTATGGTAGCCCATTCGTACGTATCGGCCCGTTTGTCTGAAGGTTGACGGAAGTGCTCTATCTTGTTGCCGGAAGTGGGAAGAGAGAAAGGTTGTGATGGCGGCTATAGCTGCATCCGAGGTGAGTTCCACCCACCGTACACCGGGGGTTTTGTTGGTGAGGGTTCCGGGGAGCGGCCTGGAGAGAGGTGGAGGCGAAGTCTAGTTTCGCTTCAGGGAGGCTCAGACACTGTGGGGTCAAGTCGGCGGTGGAGGCCCTAGGCCCAGCCTGTGGGGACCGGCGGGGACTCGGCCTGGGCAGTCCTGGGAGAAGCTGAGCCGGCTCTGCCTGAAGCCAGTTCTCCTTGTCGCAGGTGCTGGTGGACAGCGCGGAGGAGGGGTCCCTCGCTGCGGCGGCGGAGCTGGCCGCTCAGAAGCGCGAACAGAGACTGCGCAAATTCCGGGAGCTGCACCTGATGCGGGTGAGTAGTCTTGGAGGCCGGCTTAGATCCGTCATCTGGCCAAGCCTGTGCGCTTTTGTAGAGGGGACGAGGAAGCCACACCACTGCGTCTGACAGACCAACAGAGCAGGATCATCTGAGAGGAAAGCTCTGTTCGGTGGTACTCAACCCTGGCAGCACATTGGGATCATTCTGAGAACATTTGAAAATATAACTGTTCACTCCAGCCCCTCTCCCACCCACATCCAATTTAATGTATCTGGGTTAGGTTTGGGAGTCTCCATTACTAACAACCTCCCTGCTCCGTGATTCCAACAAATTCTTCATTTTACCTAGGGAAATATGTAGAGCTAGAGACAGGAAGAAACTTGTCTAGTGTCAGTAAGAGACCTGGTTCACTTTAAAAAATAATAATCTTCTGTCAGAATCTGTTTGAGTGAAAAGAAAATAATCATCTGTTTTTGGGACTTCTGGGGGAAAAGAATAAAAAGAAAATAAAAAAAATGGCAAACTTTTGAAAGTCTACAGTGTGGTAGTTCAGCCAGTTGATAGGGAATCTGATGTTTAAGTGCCCTGGAGGTGCAGAGGAGGAGAGAGGAATGCAGTTTGTGGGTCTCCAGGGGGTGCCTCATGTAGTAGGTGACACCTAAACTACTGTTTGAAAGCCAGACAACTAAAGGAGTTAGAGAAAGAGATATCCAAGCAAAGGGAACAAATTCAAAGAAAGAGAATTTGTATTAGGGATAAGAGTCCAGCAAATAGCTTGCTGCAGTTGGAGCAGAGAAAGAGAAAAGCAGCCCCTGTTTCACCATGGAGTGACCTGACAGCTAGGCCATGGTTTCACAAAATCCCAAAATCACTCTGACTGTTGTAGTGAGACAAAACAAAGAAGACTTTTCAAATTACAAGAATGACCACATATTTCTTTCTTCTGACTAACACCAGTGACTGTTATTAACAAATACAGCATTAGTCTCACTCCGTTACTTCTGCCTCCTATATAAAAATGTAAGATACTGGGCCGGGTGCGGTGGCTCACGCCTGTAATCCCAGCACTTTGGGAGGCCGAGGAGGGCGGATCACAAGGTCAGGAGATCAAGACCATCCTGGCTAACACGGTGAAACCCCGTCTCTACTAAAAATAGAAAAAATTAGCCGGGCGTGCTGGCGGGCTACACGGGAGGCTGAGGCAGGAGAATGGCATGAGCCCGAGAGTCGGAGCTTACAGTGAGTCGAGATCACACCACTGCACTCCAGCCTGGGCGACAGAGCGAGACTCCATCTCAAAAAAAAAAAAAAAAAAAATCTAAGATACCTAATTGTAGAAAGCCCCTGCTTTCTGACAGTACCCAATCCACATCCTTAACCCTCCCCTCAGTCACCTGATACAAACCCAAATCCTGGAACAAGCCCTTCCTAACACCCTGTCACTCAAATGCCCACGGTTCCCCGTGGTTTGCTCTCTTCTGTGCAACAGACTCAACTTTGTTGACCGTAGGTATGTTCTTGGCGTCTTTAATTGCAGGGCTTTTCCAGGGCCAAGAATATACTAGGGATGGTAGTTGGGAGGAGTATCTCTCTTTGCCGAGGGAAAGTTAATCTAATAAACAATTAAAAAGACATGCTTAAATATTTAGAGTGATTGTGTAAGGAACACATGTCTGGAAATTAGGAGGCGGGGCTTCCTGGACAAACTGCCACCAGCTTATGACCTAAGGAATGTCTAACTCAAGTTTTCCTTAAGACGATACACTCATTTTGCTTTATGCAATTAAGTTTATTTAAAAATAGACTCTTCTCCCTGCTACCCCAGCTCCAAAAAAAAAAAAAGACTCTTCAATGATACTTCAAATGGAAAATTCCTTTCATTTTTCATTTGTCAATGCAAACTGTGAAAATATTTAAAAGGAGGGGAACTTGGAAAGCATTAGAGGCATTAAGATAGGTTTTAAATCCTCTAACCCAAATTGAGGCTTTTTTCTTGAATTAGGATTAAAAGATAATTGAGGCCTGGTGTGGTGGCACATGCCTGTAATCCCAGCACTTTGGGAGGTCCAGGCGGGCAGATCACTTGAGGCCAGGAGTTTGAGACCAGCCTGGCCAAACTGCAAAACCACGTTTCTACCAAAAATACAAAAAAATAAGCCAGGCATTGTGGCACACGCTTGTAACCCCAGCTACTCGGGAGGCTGAGGCATGAGAATTGTTTGAACCCCAGAGGCGAAAGTTGAAATGAGCTGAGATGGCTCCACTGTACTCCAGCTTGGGTGACAGAGTGAGACTCTGTCTCAAAAAAAAAAAAGAAAGAGTGTCTTTCACATCATGTGACGTAATTTTTTTTTTTTTTTTTGAGATGGAGTCTCGCTCTGTCACCCAGGCTGTAGTGCAGTAGTGCAATCTCAGCTGACTGCAACCTCTGCCTCCTGGGTTCAAGTGAATCTCCTGCCTCAGCCTCCCGAGTAGCTAGGATTACAGGTGTGCACCACCATGCCTCGCTAATTTTTGTATTTTTAGTAGAGACGGGGTTTCACCATGTTGGCCAGCCTGGTCTTGAACTTCTGACCTCAGGTGATCCACCTGCCTCAGCCTCCCAAAGTGCTAGGATTACAAGCGTGATCCACTGCACCTGGCCAATTTAATAGTAATGCCAAATAAAGTCTACTTAAGTGCCACTATAGTATGGTCTCCAATACTGCAAAACCTTGTTCTGATCCAATAAAAAGGGACCACACAACTCAATAGAGGCAAAGCTGATTTTAACCTCCAGGGCTCTGGAACAGCAAACCAGTGCAACTCAACACATTTTTCTTGACTGCATAAAAACGTAGACCCTATTAGGCTATTCCCTGGCTTAAAATCCTGTGATGGCTCTCTATTGCTTTTAGGATAAAATGGGGTCAGCTTATTAATATGTCCTGCCTGACCCTCCTCAAAGAAGGCAAGGTGTATCTGGATTTATTTTCATGTTTTAGCTGACAGACTTCTTGTGTTACGGTTTTAGAATGAAGCTCGTAAATTAAATCACCAGGAAGTTGTGGAAGAAGATAAAAGACTAAAATTACCTGCAAATTGGGAAGCCAAAAAAGCTCGTTTGGAGTGGGAACTAAAGGAAGAGGAAAAGAAAAAGGTTAGGAACTATTCTATCTTCATAAGTGATTTAGTCAATCATTCTGTTGTATCAAGACACTACAACATGGTGGTTGTATACACTGGCTCTTAGGCCAAGCTGCCAGAATTGAAATTCTGGCTCTGCTCAGTACCAACTGCAACACGTTGGGTGAGTTTATTTAACTTCTCTGTACCTCTGTTTTCTCATCAATAAAACAGGGACTGTAACAATAATTATTTGAGTTCATTATGAATTAAGTGAGTTAATGCATGTAAAACATTTAAAACAAGGTCTGACACCTGATAAACACTCAATAAGTATCATGTGCTCACTTATATACCATAGTATATTCCCAAATTTCCTTTAAATGCTATTAAAGTGGCCGGGTGCAGTGGCTCATGCCTGTAATCCCAGCACTTTTGGGAGGCCGAGGCTGGCAGATCATTTGAGGTCAGGAATTTGAGACCAGCATGGCCAACATGGTGAAACCCCATCTCTACTAAAAATACAAAAATTAGCCGGGCATGGTGGCATGTGCCTGTAGTCCCAGCTACTTGGGAGGCTAAGAGATGAGAATCCCTTGAACCTGGGAGGTGGAGGTTGCAGTGAGCTGAGATCGCGCCACTGCACTCCAGCCTGCGTGACAGAGTGAGTGAAACTCCAACTAAAAAAATACTATTAAAGTATTGGTTGATATTTATTGGATCTTTCTTGATGTAAAGTAGATCAAATTATTGCATGTATCATAATTGTAGGTGTCAGCTTTTTTCTTCTTTTTAGGAATGTGCGGCAAGAGGAGAAGACTATGAGAAAGTGAAGTTGCTGGAGATCAGTGCAGAAGATGCAGAAAGATGGGAGAGGAAAAAGAAGAGGAAAAACCCTGATCTGGGATTTTCAGGTCAGATTGACCTTTATTGAACCTTATTGACTGGGCTGTTAGTCATTTCCTTCATTGTTTCTGGTTTCAAGAAAGGATGTGCCTCTTGTGCTTCGTGGGATATTCTTGATGAGGCTTAAGACCAAGAAAAGTACAAATATGTCTCTTAGGAGAGAAGTTAAAAAAAAAGGCTGTACTTCAGTTAGCCAGGTTTTTAAATACTTGATGATAAAATTTATCAAAGTCTGTTTGTCAGCATCTTCAGGATAGAAGCTATGCTTAGAATAGTGTTATGGGCATATATTACTTCACACAGATTGAGTATCCCTAGTATGAAAATCTGAAATCCCAAATGTTGCAAAATCCAAAACTGTTTGAATGCCAACATGGTGCTATGATGCTCAAAGGAAATGCTGATTGGAGCATTTCAGATTTTGAATTTAAGTATAATAAAGATATTCCAAAATCTGAAAAAAATCAGAAACACTTCCGATTCCAAGCGTTTTGGATAAAAGATACTCACCTGTGATAATTTAGATTTTTCTCTCAATAGGAAGGTCCAAACAAGGAAATATATTATCGCTGATTCTCATTTTATATTTTTAGATTATGCTGCTGCCCAGTTACGCCAGTATCATCGGTTGACCAAGCAGATCAAACCTGACATGGAAACATATGAGAGACTGAGAGAAAAACAGTAAGTCCTTTTTCAACCTGAGGTGATGTGGATGTATTTGTGTGTGTGTGTGTGTATACATGTACATAAATAGAAACATGCTTTAATGCTAAGGTATGGGTTATTAATAGTTGTCTAAGGATGGTCTCTGTTTTTTCTGGATATTTTTTTCCTTTGAGATGGAGTCTTGCTTTCTCACCCAGGCTGGAGTGCAGTGAATGGTGCGGTCTCAGCTCACTGCAACCTCCGCCACCTGGGTTCAAGCAATTCTTCTGCCTCAGCCTCCTGAGTAGCTGGGATTACAGGCGCCCGCCACCACGCCCAACTAATTTTTGTAGTTTTAGCTGAGATGGGGTTTCACCACGTTGGCCAGGCTGGTCTTGAACTCCTGACCTCAAGTGATCCGTCCACCTCAGCCTCCCAAAGTGCTGGGATTACAGGCGTGAGCTACTGCGCCCGGCCCTTCCTTTTTTTTTTTTTAAGAGACGGTGTCTCGCTCTGTTGCTTAAGCTGGAGTGCATTGACACTGTCATAACTCACTGTAACCTCAAACTTGTGGCCTCAAGGGATCCTCCCACATCAGCCTCCCCAGTAGCTAGGATTACAGACATGTGCCACGATTCCTGGCTAATTAATTTTTTTGTGGAGACGGGGTCTCACTGTGTTGCTCAGGCTGTCTCAAACTCCTGGCCTCAAGTGATCCTCCATCCTTGGCCTCCCACATGGTTGAGATTACAGGTGTGAGCCACTGTGCCAGGCCTAGTCTCTGTTTTGACAGCACTGTTTATTGCTTACTTCACAGCTATTAAATTAATCACATGTTTTTTGTTTTGTTCTTAACTGGGCATTCTAAGACTGGTTGTTGATTGGTTAACACCCTGATTGTCGTAGTTACTTAGATATTATTTTAGGAGGCAGAATGCTTTAGTGCTGGGGTTGGTGAACTTTTTCTGTGAAGGACCAGATAGTAAATATTTTAGCTTTGTGGGCCATATAGTCTCTGTCACAGCTATTCAGCTGTGCTGCTGCAGTGCAAAAGCAGCTGCAGAGAATTCATAAATGAAGCCTCTTTTCATAAACAGGTGGTGGGCTGCTGTAGTTTGGCAGCTTGTTTTAGTGGAAAAGGAAATAACCTCAGGATGGAGCTCTAATCCCAGCTCTGTTCCTAGCACTTTGTGACCTCTGATAAGTCCTGGAGCCTCTCTGCCTGTTGGCTCTTTGATCTGTACAGTGAAGGTGTTGGCGTAGATGATGTCTTAGGTTCCTTTCAATTCTGTAATTTTTTATTTTTTATTTTTATTTTTATTTTTTTTTTGAGATAGAATCTCGCTCTGTCGCCCAGGCTGGAGTGCAGTGGTGCAATCTTGACTCACTGCAGCCTCCGCCTCCTGGGTTCAAGTGATTCTTCTGCCAAGTAGCTGGGACTACAGGTGCCCGCCACCACGCCTGGCTAATTTTTTTGTATTTTTAGTAGAGATGGGGTTTCACCATGTTGGCCAGGCTGGTCTTGAACTCCTGACCTCAGGTGATGTGCCCACCTTGGCCTCCCAAAGTGCTGGGATTATTGGTGTGAGCCACTGCACATGGCCCTATTTTTTTTTTTTTGAGACAGAGTCTTGCACTGTCGCCTGGGCTAGAGTGCAGTGGCGTGATCTCGGCTCACTGCAACCTCCGCCTCCCGGGTTCAAGCAATTCTCCTGCCTCAGCCTCCCAAGTAGCTGGGATTACAGGCATCTGCCACCACGCCCAGCTAATTTTTGTATTTTTAGTAGAGATGGGGTATCACCATGTTGGCCAGGCTGGTCTCAAACTCCTGACCTTGTGATCCGCCCACCTCAGCCTCCCAAAGTGCTGGGATTACAGGCGTGAGCCACTGCGCCTGGCCTCCACATGGTCCTATTTTAATTCTTTTAATTAAAAAAAATTTTTTTTTTTGAGACGGAGTCTTACTTTGTCGCCCAAGCTGGAGCACAGTGGGGCGATCTTGGCTCGCTGCAGCCTCCACCTCCCGGGTTCAAGTGCTTCTCCTGCCTCAGCCTCCCAAGTAGCTGGGACTACAGGTGTGTGTCACCACGCCCGGCTAATTTTTATATTTTCAGTCTCTACTGGGTTTTGCCATGTTGGCCAGGCTGGTCTTGAACTCCTGACCTCAAACGATCCGCCTGCCTTGGCCTCCCAAAGTGCTGGGATTACAGATGTGAGCCACTGCACCCAGCCTGTATGTTTTTTTAAAAAAAAATTAAAGTAGGATCTCACAGTAAATGTATGTGTATACTTTCTTATCATGTATGGTACTTTAGTTTGAAATTTGAAAATGGAGCATTTATAGTGTTACTGTAAGTTCATTTTGCTGCCTTTTCAGTGGAGAAGAGTTTTTCCCAACATCCAATAGTCTTCTTCATGGAACACATGTGCCTTCCACAGAGGAAATTGACAGGATGGTCATAGATCTGGAAAAACAGTAAGTATTCAGTAGAGCAGCTTGACGTTGTAAATACTTCATGACAAAATGCACTTAGAATATGCACCTATATCTGACGTGCTTAGAATGAATTCAAAAGATAGAAATTGTACAGTTATACTTGCTAATTTTTGACCTGTCTATAGTGGCTTGGGGATGGATAGCAAGTGTGGGTTGAATATATCTGATTTGGAATGGAGATGAAGAATGTTGATGAAACTGAATTGTTAATATTGAAGGGGAAAGGTCTAAAAAAAATGATCCTTCTTTAAGGATTTTACTTTAACCACTCCCCTGTTTGATTTGAAGAAGCAAGAATGTTGTAGTAAATGTTCCTCGCTTAGGTTTGTGTTTCTTAATACTGATAGAGGCGACTATTAGGTAGAGCAGAATGAAAATATATTTTAGGAGTTAATACATGAAAAGTATTAAGAATAGTGTCTGGGCTGGGCGTGGTGGCTCCTGCCTATAATCCTAGCACTTTGGGAGGCTGAGGCAGAAGGATTGCTTGAGCCCAGGACTTTGAGAACAGCCTGGGCAACATGGCAAAACCCTTTCTCTACAAAAAATATACAGGAATTAGCTGGGCATGGTGGTACGTGCCTGTAGTCCTAGCTACTTGGGAGACTCAGTCAGGAGGATCACTTGAGTCCAAGAAGTGGAGGGTGCAGTGAACTGTGATTGCATCACTGCACTCCAGCTTGGGCGACAGAGCGAGACCCTGTCTCAGGAAAAAAAAAAAGTGTCTGGCACATATTATGTGCTCAGTATTAGCTGTGGTTATTATTTAATATAATTTTTTTTTTTTGAGACGGAGTCTCACTCTATTGCCCAGGCTGGAGCGCAGTGTCACGATCTTGGCTCACCACAACCTCCACCTGCCAGTTTCAAGCGATTCTCTTGCCTCAGCCTCCTGAGTAAATGGGACCACAGGCGTGTACCACCACTCCTGGCTAATTTTTGTATTTTTAGTAGAGACGGGGTTTCGTCATGTTGACCAGGCTGGTCTCAAACTCCTGGCCTCAGGTGATCTACCTGCCTTGGCCTCCCAAAGTGCTGGGGTTACAGGCATGAGCCACTGCGCCTGGCCTATTTAATATTGTTATAGTTATCTTCTTTTTTAGAAAATGTATTCAAAAAAATTTTTTTTATAGTGATGGAGTCTTCCTATGTTGTCCAGGCCCTGGTCTGGAACTCCTGGGCTCAAGTGATCCTCCCAGAGGACCTTTTGGGAGGCCTTGTCCTCCAAAAGTAGTGGGATTACAGGCATGGGATTACAGCCGCCATGCCCAGCCAATAGTTATCTTCTTCAGTACAGTCAAGTTCCCAACAATGAGTCATCGCTCTAGCATTCTGAAGATGAATTTGTATTTACTGGATTTCACAGTTCATATTCTGAGTTGTGCCATTAATTCAGTTTCAACTTTAACTTGATGAAAACTCTCCTGGCTTCCTCTAGCCCTCACAACATGTGCTATTCTAAACGTGATTATATTCCTGTTTGGTTGTGTTTTATTAAGATCAAAAGAGAAGGCAATTTTGAATTTTGTAAATTTTCTTCTTTCCCCAGGATTGAAAAACGAGACAAATATAGCCGGAGACGTCCTTATAATGATGATGCAGATATCGACTACATTAATGAAAGGAATGCCAAATTCAACAAGAAAGCTGAAAGATTCTATGGGAAATACACAGCTGAAATTAAACAGAATTTGGAAAGAGGAACAGCTGTCTAATCCCTTCAAGAACTGTTTATAGAAGCTTGAGAATGGGGTAAAAATTTCTGCTAGCAAAATCAAGTTCTTTTTGAAATTTTATCAGTAATCCAGAATTTAGTAGTCCATGCCTTCTCACTCAGCATTTAGAAATAAAAATGTGGTTTCTTAAACGTATATCCTTTCATGTATATTTCCACATTTTTGTGCTTGGATATAAGATGTATTTCTTGTAGTGAAGTTGTTTTGTAATCTACTTTGTATACATTCTAATTATATTATTTTTCTATGTATTTTAAATGTATATGGCTGTTTAATCTTTGAAGCATTTTGGGCTTAAGATTGCCAGCAGCACACATCAGATGCAGTCATTGTTGCTATCAGTGTGGAATTTGATAGAGTCTAGACTCGGGCCACTTGGAGTTGTGTACTCCAAAGCTAAGGACAGTGATGAGGAAGATGGCAGTGGCCACCGGAGGACTGGAGCAGTCCCTCCTCATGGCGGCCTGTGACCAAGGTCGGGGAGGAGTGGAGCTATCCTTCCATGATCTGATCATGTACAGTTCCCTTTTTAAAAAGCAATAAATGCTTGGGATTAGAATTTCTAACATTTTTAGTCTATCATTTAAAACAAACATTTGTATATATACATTTGTTTATATACATACATGCTTCCATTCTACAAACACTGAAAGAATATTTTATTATGGGAAATTCCATACACCCAATACCCCTGGTGAGTCCCATATACCCAGTACCCTGTTCAACAATCATTAACTCATGGCCAGTCCTGCTTCATCTTTATTTCCATTTACTTTCTTCATGACTCTTATTTTGACGCATATACTAGATATATAATTTCATCTATAATTATTTTAGTATGTATCTCTGAAAGATAAAGACTTAAATGACCACAATACTATTATCACTGCAATAGATTTATTTTTATAAAACTCCAGAGGGAAAGGTTGTTATTTTTTCTCTATGTTGAATTAAATGCTAAATATCTAATTGGGATATTTTAAATTCAAAGAAATCTGAAGCTCAGAAAATTTCAAATATTGGCCGGGTGTGGTGGCTCAACGCCTGTAATCCCAGCACTTTGCGAGGCTGAGTCAGGTGGATCACTTAAGATCAGGAGTTTGAGACCAGTCTGATCAACATGGTGAAGTCCCATCTCTACTAAAAATACAAAAATTAGCTGGGCATGGTGGTGGGTGCCTGTAATCCCTGCACTTTGGGAGGCTGAGGCAGGAGAATTGCTTGAACCTGGGAGGCAGAGGTTGCACTAAGCCGAGATCACGCCACTATACTCCAGACTGGGTAACAGAGCAAGACTCTGTCTCGAAAAAAAATTCAAATACTTCAACTTTAGTATGATGCCACTGGTGATTAATTATTCTCTTTTTAAATTAGTAGCACTTCAGAAAAAATTTCTGTTCTCCTTTTGTTTCCTCTCCTGGCATTTCTTTTCTTTTTTTTTTTTTCATACCCACCTGCAACGTGAAAAAGGACATAACAGAAGGTAATTTATTTTTCTGTAGAGACGGGGTCTCACCATGTTGCCCAGGCTGGTCTCAAACTTGGGCTCGAGCTGTCTTCCTGCCTTGGCCTCCCCAAAGTGCTGGGATTACAGGTATGAGCCACTGAGCCCAGCTCCTCTCCTGGCATTTCTATGTGCATTTAATCACAGATCTATCACAAAGCACTGATGCCTCTGAAAATACTTTGACTATGTTTCAATCTTTTTATTCCCATTTCCATTACCTTAGGTCTTTGATCCTGAATATCGCAATAGCCTTAAAAAACACCTTAAAAATATTGTTGAATAGAATATGGCAATGTATTTAAAGGAACAATTCACTGTGACTCAGCAGGGTTTGTTCTAAGAATGCAAGAATAGTGTTTTAGACTATGAATTGCCTGGTTTAATTTAATTTTTTTTGAGAGAGTCTCGCACTGTTGCCCAGGCTGCAATGCAGTGGCAGGATCTCAGCTCACTGCAACCTCCGCCTCCCAGATTCAAGTGATTCTCCTGCCTCAGCCTCCTGAGTAGCTGGGACTACAGGCTTGCACCACCACGCCTGGCTAATTTTTCTATTTTTAGTAGAGACGGGGTTTCACCATGTTGGTCAGGCTGGTCTTGAACTCCTGACCTTGTCATCTACCTGCCTCGGCCTAATTTAATTCTTTATTACCAACCAGCACGCAGATTTTTTTTGTGAATTTGTTGTAATATTTCCAGGTAAACGCTTAGTTCCCCAGGCTGACTTACTATTATAGGTGGTCAGATGTTATAATTCTGGCTAATAGGACACACGCTAAATTTATCTTGAGAAACCTTTTCTTTCCTGATATGGGAGGAGGTGCTGCTCCTCCCTTTCTCCTGCCTTCCTTGTTGGATCACATCCAGGAGGCCTGGAGTTGCAGAAGCCCTTTTGTGTCATGAAGTAGCAAGCATGAGGGCGAAAGTCAGCATGAAGAGGAGAGTGGAGTAAAGCTTGTGTTGCAGTGCTGAGCATCTGCACCTAGATGCTCACCTCTTTTACCCTTACTTGCTGTTGAATAAATTTATTAGGTTGGTGCAAAAGTAATTGCAGTTTTTGCCATTACTATTTTTTTTTTTTTTTTTTTGAGGTGGAGTCTTGCTGTGTCACCTAGGCTGGAGTGCAGTGGCACGATCTCGGCTCACTGCAACCTCCGCCTCCCGGGTTCTGGCAGTTCTCCCGTTTCAGCCTCCCAAGTAGCTGGGATTGCAGGCACCTGCCACCATACCTGGCTAATTTTTGTATTTTTAGTAGGGATGGGGTTTCCCCGTGTTGACCAGGCTGGTCTCAAACTCCTGACCTCATGTTATCCACCAGCTCAGCCTCCCAAAGTGCTGGGATTACAGGTGTGAGCCACCGTGCCCGGCGTTTGCCATTACTTTCAATAGCAAAAACAGCAGTTACTTTTGTGGTAGCCTACCCATGGGTGGTTCAATTTCAGGGCAAATGTCAACAAATTAAATGTAAATGAAAGCAAACATCAATAGTTTTTCTCCACTCTAGAAGTAAGTACCTAGAAATGGAGAAGGGGAGGAAATAAATAGTCCAGTTATAATAGCAACAAAAATGATATTTAGGCACAAATTTAGTGAGAAACCACAGGATCTATGTGAAGAAGATTATAAAATCTGATTGAGAGAGTAAACAGGGCTGGGCGCAGTGACTCACACCTGTAATCCCAGCACACTGGGAGGCTGATGTGGGCGGATCACCTGAGGTCAGGAGTTCAAGACCAGCCTGGCCAACATGGCGAAACCCTGTATCTACTAAAAATACAAAAATTAGCCAGGTGTGGTGACACACACCTGTAATCCCAGCTACTCGAGAGGCTGAGGCAGGAGAATCGCTTGAACTCTGCCGGGAGGCAGAGATTGCAGTGAGTTGAGATTGCGCCACTGCGCTCTAGCCTGGGTGACAGTGAGACTCGGCTCAAGAACAAAAACAAAAACAGAGTAAATAGGAGACTTCTGCATCAAACCAAGATGGACTAACAAAGAATGGGTTTACCTTCCCAGTGGAACAACCAAAAAAAAAGAAAAAAGGATGGCATATATAAAACAGCAGTTTTCAAGATACTGGAAATGAGACATAGAAGAGTGATGCCCAAGGGAAAGCCAGCTATGTTCGCCCCAGCTTACTGTCTTTGGAGAACTTTCAGGCTGTGTAGGCTGTGGTGTGTGGAGAGAGAACCCAGAGGAGCCCAGAAGACTCCCTTAGTTTAGGAGCTAGAGCTGAAAGTCTAGAGGGACCAAGGCAAGAGCTTGTAGTACAGAGCACTGGGGAGAAGAGAGCTACAATGTCTGTAGAGGGTCCCCTCAAATACCAGGCAGAGTACTGATCAGCATGTGTATGCAAGGAACTCCTAGAGGTGAGGGAAAGAACCACCTGGAAAGATTAGAGGGGACAGACAGTACTTGGCACTCACGGCCAGGAATAGTGCTTTTCCCACCAGCCAGAATGGAAAATACGGTGATGATAATACTAACCTCATGGGATTGTTGTTGGGAGTAAGTGGCTAATCCATGGGAAGTGCTTCTTGAGGTGGGCTGGTGCAGTCAATACCCACGAGTGTTGGCGGCTCCTATGATCATCATAATTCACGAGGCATTGGGTAGAATACTTAGAAGGTTCTTGCCTCAGCAGTGGAAAATAATTAGCCCTAGGCTAAACACTGCTTGAGTCTTGCCCAACAAGTCTTCAAAGACCTGAAATAATCCAACTGTTCGCAAATAATTTAGCTGCATTCCAGAACAAAGACCAAGAATAATTATAAAGAAACACAGAAACCTTCAGTACCCAAGAACATCACATTCACAATGCCCAGTGTCTCAAAAGAGAAACAGGAAAATAGGACCCATAAGGAGAAGAAAAATCAATCCATCTAACCAAGAACTGACACAAATGTTAGAGGCAAGGAAATTAAAAGTTATCACTGTACTCTATATCATGGAAAAGTTAAAAAGAGACACGGGATATAAAAAGACTCACACTGAGATTCTTGACATGCACACAACAATTTCTGAGATGGGAAATGTATAGCATGGATTTGACTGCAGTTGACATATCACAGAAGAGATTAGTGAACTTGAAGATATAGCAACAGAAACCATCCAACGTGAAGCACAGAGAGTAAAAAGAATGAAGAAATAGGAACAAAGCCTCCGTGAATTGTGGGACCCTGTACGTGTGATCTGGAGTTCCTCAAAGGTAGAAGGGCAGACGCTGCCCCCCGTGGAAGGCTCTGGATCTCAAATCTGTTCTCTGTTCAAATATGAGCAAATATGAGAGGTGTACGAAAGATATGTTAGCACCAAGTTGAGGCTTTCTCCTGGGCACTGACTAGGCAAGAGTGAGGAAGAATTGCAAAGGGCCTGTCTCAGGTGTGCCTACCTGTGAGACACATCTAACCCTTTGGAAAATGCTGTGCCCACAGAATGGAGAGCTTTCATTTCAGTCCTTCCTAACCTATCCATGGGACTGACAAAATTGGGCACCTAAACAAGGAAACAAGGCCTATTTGCGGGGAGATACAGGAGAGTGGTGGAAATGGAAATGGGGTGTTCTCTCTCTCTAGGTGGATGTGGCTGGGGACAGGGATGATGTTAAGCCACCCTTGACTCTCACCTGACTGCTGCTGAATCCTTGTCAGCCATTGCTTATTTCAAGGGAAGAAGGGCGGCTGTGTTCACCCCCAGCTGCAACAGTCCTGGCTAATTCTGCTCCTCTCATGGTGCTCCCCTCTGCCCTGCTCCTGCCCATCAGGGAAGGGTTGCCTCCCCATGGGCCCTTTTTCTCCAAGGGTGTGACATCTTGGTGAAGATGCCTTCCTCATTAGCCCATTTATTTCAAAGACCTCCTCAGAGATGTGGGCTTCATTATGACTTGACTCAACACTGTTCTCTCCGTCGGAGGCACAGTTGCACAGCTTTTGGCCAGGTGGTGGAGCTGAGCACAACAAAATGGTCTCATCCTTAGAATGGCTTACAGTAGAGCATCGTATTCTGGGATGGCTCTGGAGGGGGTGTGCCCCACTGGAATTCTCTTTAGGCCTTGATGACGTGGGGGCGATGATAATACTAACCTCATGGGATTGTTGTTGGGATTAAGTGGCTAATCCATGGGAAGTGCTTCTCGAGGTGGGCTGGTGCAGAGTCAATGCCCACGAGTGTTGGCGGCTCCTATGATCATTGTCATGTTCTCCAATAGTTCTCGCTCTTACTCTCTCCTTTCTCCAGAGCACTCCAGTAGCTGATAAAAAGCACAGACTCAGGTGCCAAACGGCCTGGATTCAAATGCCAGCTCTTCCATTTGCCGGGTGAAAGATCTCCGGCAACTCACTCTGTTAGTCCACTTGGGCTGCCATAACAGAATACCACAGACTGAGTGGCTCAAACAACAGAAATTCATGTTTTCATGGTTCTGGAAAACAGGAAGTTCAAGACCAAGGTGCCGGCAGGGTTGGCTTCTGGTGAGGTCCCTCTCCCTGTTTTGCAGATGGCTGCCTCCTCCCTGTGTCCTCACATGACCTGTCCTCTGCCTTCACACTCCTGGTGTCTCTTCCTCCTCTTATAAGGACATCAGTCCTATTAGATTAGGGCTCCACCCTCATGACCTCATTTGACCTTAATTATTACCTCCTGAAAGTCCCTGTTTCCAAATACAGTCGCATTGGGGGTTAAAGCTTCAACAAATACATTAAGGGGACACAATTCAGTGCATATCATCACCCAACCACTTTGTGCCTCATTTTCCCCGGATTTAAAAAGTGTTATTAATACCTACCTCAGAGGGTTATTGTGAGCATCAGATGAGTGTGACATGTACAGAGCAGTGCCTGCTTCAAAGTGGGCATGGTATGAGTTGTTTATTTTTTTTTTAATTATTATTTTTTTGAGACAGAGTCTCACTCTGTCATCCAGGCTGGAGTGCAGTGGTGCGATCTCTGCTCACTGCAGCCTCTGCCTCCTGGGTTCAAGTGATTCTCCTGCCTCAGCCTCCCAAGTAGCTGGGACTACAGGTGCCTGCCACCATGCCTGGCTAATTTTTTTTTGTATTTTTAGTAGAGACGGGGTTTTCACCATGTTGGCCAGGCTGGTCTTGAATTCCTGACCTTGTGATCTGCTCGCTTTGGCCTCCCAAAGTTCTAGGATTACAGGTGTGAGCCACTGGGCCCGGCAGTTTGAGTCATTATAGTAATAATACATCGCCTGATCTTAGCCAAATGGCTAAGAAGCCATTTATAGTAATAATATAATCAATAAGTAGTATCATCCTCATGGACATTTCCTGCATTCCATCTGCTCTTCTTTCCTCACCTCCAAATCAAGATAATGCCAAACTGAACTTTCAGAAATCATCAAGGGGGGTAGAATTCCCATGTGACTTGCTCCCTGCTCATGAAGGTGTTGGCCGTTTTCTCAAGAAGAACTAGCAGAGACTTCCTCTTTCTGCCAATCTGATGGTTTGAAACGATAGGACATCCGGGAGCTTTGAAGCCTCCCTTCCCCAGAATCTCTTCTCCTGCAACACTCGGCCAGGTAGCAATAGGTAAGTGATGCTTTGCAGTGTGCTAGCCTCATTCCCCTGGGGCTCTCTTTATAAGCTCATCACTTATGCAAGATTAATTTTACACGCTCGCTGGTCAGCTTCTCCAATCCAAAGCAGTTAGAGTCAAAATCTAGTTTCTGAGAAATGGCGACTCTTTGCAGAACCCAGGGATCTGAGGGCCGGAGGTTCTCCTTGGCTTTTTGCTGGAACAGAAGCAGCACTTCAGGTAAATTTGTTAAAAACAACAATCCAAAATATCTTTTAAAAATGTTCACATTTTAAGGCCGGGCATGGTGGCTCATGCCTGTAATCCTGGCTCTTTGGGAGGCGAGGTGGGTGGATCACTAGAGGTCGGGAGTTTGAGACCAGCCTGGCCAACATGGTGAAACCCCGTCTCTACTAAAAATATAAAAATTAGTTGGGCCTATTGGTGCATGGCTGTAGTCTCAGCTACTCAGGAGGCTGAGGTGGGAGGATCACTTAAACCCAGGAGGCGGGGGTTGCAGTGAGCTGATACTGTGCCTCTGCACTCTAGCCTGGGCGACAGAGTGAGACTGTCTCAAAAAAAAAAAAGTCCCATTTTGGATGAATCATCTAGCTTTGGATTCAGTCTTGTCCCTGTGGATGGGGTTGTTGGGTTTTTGTTTGGAAACCTACAGGTTGTTGGGAGCTCTACAGGCTGGAGGGACCACAAGAAATTGGGAGATACTGACGTCTCGCCTGTCTGGTGCACGAGTGTATGTGAGAGTCAGAGGGCAGATGTGCGTGTTTCTTCAGCTGGAAATGGTCCACTGGGGAGAGATGCAGAAAATACCCAGTAATTGCAGAAATACACCCTAGAATGTGTGGAAGGTATTCACCACATATATGTAAAGGTTAAAGTAAAACATTTAAAATATACCACAATTTTTAGAAAATCCTGTCTTGGCATTTCTCATTCTTTTTTTTTTTTTTTTTTTTTTTTTTTTGAGATGGAGTCTTGCTCTGTGGCCCAGGCTGGAGTGCAGTGGCCCGATCTTGGCTCACTGTATCCTCCACCTCCTGGGCTCAAGCATTCTCCTGCCTCAGCCTCCTGAGTAGCTGGGACTACAGGCATGCCCCACCATGCCTGGCTAATTTTTTGTACTTTTAGTAGAGACGGGAGACAGCCAATATTTCACCTTGACGGCCAGGCTGGTCTCGAACTCGTGACTTCAGGTGATCCGCCTGCCTCAGCCTCCCAAATTGCTGCGATTACAGGCATGAGCCATTTCTCATTCTTATTACTATAATAGGAGCCTTTGAATAAAGACGAGCTTAGTCCTTTCCTGTTGCTCAGAGGCCCGTGTGTTTAGTGACGGAGCATTCCCCTTTGGGAATCTGGGAAAAATTAAACAGCTCCTCCAAGTGAGCACAGCAACGGTTTATCGCCCTTTTATGGGATGATTGGAGAAGCATAGTTTCAAAATCAATTTTTTTTTTTTTTTTTTTTTTTTTGAGATGGAGTCTCGCTCTGTCGCCCAGGCTGGAGTGCAGTGGCGGGATCTCGGCTCACTGCAAGCTCCGCCTCCCGGGTTCACGCCATTCTCCTGCCTCAGCCTCCCAAGTAGCTGGGACTACAGGCGCCCGCCACTACGCCCGGCTAATTTTTTGTATTTTTAGTAGAGACGGGGTTTCACCGGTTTTAGCCGGGATGGTCTCGATCTCCTGACCTCGTGATCCGCCTGCCTCGGCCTCCCAAAGTGCTGGGATTACAGGCGTGAGCCACCGCGCCCGGCCCAAATTTTTTTTTCTTTTTTTTTTTAGAGACAGGATCTCACTCTGTCACTCAGGCTGGAGTTCATTGGCACAATCATGGCTCACCATAACCTTGAACTTCTGGGCGCAAGTGACCCTTCCACTTCATCCTCCCGAGCAGATTGGACTGCAGGCACGCACGCACCATCATGCCCAGCAAAGTTTTTTTTTTTTTTTCTTAGAGATGCGGTCTTGCTGGTCTTGAACTCCTGGTCTCAGGCCATCCTCCCACCTTGGCCTCCCAAAGTGCTGGGATTACAAGCTTGAGCCACCTTGCCTGGCCCAGTTCTGCTTTTTTCTTTTTTTGAGATGGAGTCTCAGTCTGTCACTCAGGCTGGAGTGCAGTGACACGATCTCAGCTCACTGCAACCTCTGCCTCCTTAGTTCAAGCAATTCTCCTGCCTCAGCCTCCCGAGTAGCTGGGATTACAGGCATGTGCTACCATGCCTGGCTAATTTTTGTAATTTTAGTAGAGACGGGGTTTCTTCATGTTGGCCAAGGTGGTCTCGAATCCCTGACTTCAGGTGATCCGCCTCCCTCAGCCTCCCAAAGTGCTAGGACTACAGGCATGAGCCACTGCGCCTGGCCCCAGTTCTGTATTTTTAAAACCCAAGCAGCAAGCATTCCACTAGAGGCGTTGTTATGGGAGAGCCTTAAAAAAAAAGGCATTTTTTTGAGTTATAATATTAATCCATAGTCATTGTATACAGTTACTTCCTCTGATTTTGAAGAGAGGGATTGAGGGAAGCGTGAAGTCTTATTGGTTTATGAAATACTGAAGTATGGGAACCACAGGACTACTTATACCTCTTTGAAAAATACTAAGATAAAATTTACAAACCATAAACTACACACTCTTGAGTGTATATTTGGATACAATTTTACATACTTGTGAATCTGTGCAACCATCAACTAGCTCAAACTGTAGAGGGATCCCTCATAACATCTCCCAGTCAAACCATCCCTCAAAGGTAACCATTATTCTGACTTTTTTTTTTTTTTTGAAACAGAGTCTTGCTCTGTTGCCTGGGCTGGAGTGTAGTGGTGCAATCTGGGCTCACTGCAACTTCCATCTCCCGGGTTCAAGTGATTCTCCTGCCTCTATAGGTGCACACCACCACGCTTGGCTAATTTTTTGTATTTTTAGTAGAGATGAGGTTTTGCCATCTTGGCCAGGCTGGTCTCAAACTCCTGACCTCAGGTGATCCACTCACCTTGGCCTCCCAAAGTGCTGGGATTATGGGCGTGTGCTACTGCACCTGGCCCTGACTTCTTTTATAAGCATTTTTTAAATTCTTATTTTTCATAGAGATGGGGTCTCAATATGTTGCCAAACGCCTTGAATTCCTGGGCTCAAGTGATCCACCCACCTCAGCCTCCTGAGTAGCTGAGACTACAGGCGTTTTTTTAAGTGGAAAATTCCAGAAGTATGTTCTGACTTCTATCACCTTGGATTTGTTGGCCAGTTTTTGAACTTCCTACGAATGGAATCCTACAGTATTTACTCTTTCGAGTCTGACTTTCTTTGCTCAGCATTTTGTGAAGTTTGTCCAGGCTGTGTGTAGGACTAGCTTCAACTTTAAATTGCTTTCCAACTTTGAGACTGTCTGATTCTGTAAGAAGGGAGGAAATGAGGGAAGAATAAAATTGGAGAGAGGTCCTTGATGTCGTTTTAGAGTAGATGGCTTCAAGCTCTTCAGGAGAATAATGATTACTTTGAAAGGCGAAGTCTTCAATGACTTGTCCCACGATTGTGTGTGGCTTGTCGGGAGGTGGGGGGCGGTTCAGATAACTTGTCTCTTTAACTGACAACTCTTCAGATTGAGAGGAGCCGTCTTCTTTAACTGTTCTTTGAAGCCGCAACTTCAGGTGGACTCGATTTAGAGGACAACGTTCCGGGCTGGGCGTGGTGGCTCACGCCTGTAATCCCAGCACTTTGGGAGGCCGAGGCGGATGGATCACCTGAGGTCAGGAGTTCCAGACCAGCCTGGCCAACATGGCGAAACCCTGTCTCTACTAAAAATGCAAAAATTAGCTGGGCACAGTGGTGGGCGTCTGTAATCCCAGTTACTCGGGAGGCTGAGGCAGGAGAATCGCTTGAACCTGGGAGGCAGAAGTTGTAGTGAGCTGAGATCACACCATTGCACTCCAGCCTGGCTGACAAGAGTGAAACTCTGTCTCAAAAAAAAAAAAGAAAAAAAGATTCCGGACTTTGAGCTGATGCTGAAAGGGATGAGACTGGTGATTTTGAATGAGGGGGGCGAATGTATTTTGCGTGTAGGAGGACTATAAATGTTTGTGGCCAGAGGACAGGCTGCGGAGGATTGTAGTTTCTGAGGATGGCCACACCAACATCTGTGCCCTTCTTGCAATATGGCGCTGATGGTCCTCCATCAGGAAGTGACATACGAGTTTCCTGGGACTGCTGTAAAAAGGTACCAAGGCTGGGCACAGTGGCTCATGCCTGTAATCCCAGCAATTTGGGAGGCTGATGTGGGAGGATCGCTTGAGTTCAGGAGTTCGAGACCAGCCTGGGCAACAAAGCAAAACCCTATCTCTACAAAAATACAAAAATTAGCTGGGCATGGTGGCATGCACCTGTAGTTCCAGCTACTCAGGAGGTTGAGGTGGGAAGATGACTTGAGCCCGGGAGGTTGAGGCTGCAGTGAGCCCTAATCACACTACTGCACTCCAGCCTGGGCACTGGAGTGAGACCTTGTCTTAAAAAAAAAAAGGGGTCTTAAGATGTGAAAAAAAAGTACAATAAACTAGTGGACCAAATAACAAACTTATTGTCTCACTGTTCTGGAGGGCAAAAGCCCTAAACCAAGATGCTGGTAGGGTTGATTTTTCTTTTCTTTTCTTTCCTTTTCTTTCTTCTCTTTCCTTTTCTTTCTTCCCTTTTTCTTTTCTTTTCTTTTCTTTTTTCTTTCTCTCTCTCTTTCTTGCTTGCTTGCTTGACAGAATCTTGCTCTGTTACTCAGGCTGGAGTGCAGTGGCATGATCACAGCTCACTGTAGCCTCAACCTCTGGGGCTCAGGTGATCCTCCCACCTCAGCCTCCCGAGTAGCTGAGACTACAGGTGCACACCATCATACCCGGCTAATTTTTGTATTTTTTGCTGGAGACTGGGTCTCACCATGTTGCCCAGGCTGGTCTTGAACTCCTGGCCTCAAGCAATCCTCCTTCTTTGGCCTCCCAAAGTGCTGGGGTTACAGGTGTGAGCCACTGTGCCTGGCTGATATTGTAAAATATATATTTGGTGTCTGCCCCTGGTTCCTGAGACAGAGGTACTAACACCCATGTAGAAGAGGCACTAGGAGAATCTTTTGTTTTAATATTTGGTCTTTGACCCCAGTTCCTGCCACAGAGTTGCTAACGCCTTTGTAATTTTCTGAGTGATACGAGCATCTGACACAAAGCTCCTAAATCCTTTGGAATTTCCTGGGTGATAGGAGTATCTTTTGTTTTAGTGAGGTGACTTGCTGGGCTCCTGGAGAGCCTCAGATGGGGGCTGGTTCCCAGGGGAACTAAACAAGTGATTGATTAGAAGGTTAGAACTTTCAACTCCTCCCCACAGTCTCTCCTTCCTCCCACCCCCAGACCTCAGGGAGGGGAGGGGGGCGAAGGGCTGAGATTGAGCTGATCATCAGAGGCCAATGATTTAATCAGTCATGCCTACATAGTGAAGCTTTCATAAAATCCCAGAAGGACAGGGTTCAGAGAGCTTCCCAACAGCTGAACACATGGAGGCTCCTGGAGGGTGGCGCCCGAGAGAGGGCATGGCAACTCTGTGCCCCTTCCATTACCTTGCCCATTTGGCCATTAATCTCTATCCTTTGTCACATCGGTTATAATAAACTGGCAAATGTGTTCCCCTGAGTTCTGTGACTTGTCCTGGCAAATGAAATTGAACCCAGGGAGGGGGTAGTAGGAACTCCAATTTACAGCCAGTTGGTCAGAAGTGTAGGTGACAATCTATTACTTGCAATTGGTATGTGGAGTGGGGGCAGTCTTGTGGGACTGAGCCCTTACCTATGGGATCTGATGCTGTCTCCAGGTAGATACTGTCAGAACTGGGTTACATTCTAGGACATCCAGCTGGCGTGGCCACAGAATTGATTGGTGGTTGGTGGGGAGAAATCTCCACAGATTTTGGTGACCAGGGTCACAGAATATTATTTAGCCATAAAAAAGAATGAGGTACTGGCCGGGCACGGTGGCTGACACCTGTAATCCTAGCACTTTGGGAGGCTGCGGCGGGCGGATCACCTGAGGTCAGCAGTTAGAGACCAGCCTGACCAACATGAAGAAACCCTGTCTCTACTAAAAATACAAAATTAGCCAGGCATGGTGGTGCATGCCTGTAATCCCAGCTACTCGGGAGGCTGAGGCAGGAGAATCGCTTGAACCCGGGAGGTGGAGGTTGCGGTGAGCTGAGATTGCGCCATTGCACTCCAGCCTGGGCAACAAGAGAGAAACTCCATCTCAAAACAGACAAACAAACAAACAAACAAAGAAACAGAATGAAGTACTGACTCATGATACAATACGCATGAACTTTTAAAACATTTTGATAAGTGAAAGAAGTCAGACACAAAAGACTACATACTGTATGATTCAATTTGTATGAAATGTCCAGAATAGGCAAATCCATAAAAGACAAAAAGTCCATTAGTGGTTGCCAGGGGTTGGATGAGGTAGGGTAGTGACTGCTTATGGATATGGGGTTTCCTTTTGGGGTAATGAAAATGTTCTAGAATTATATTGTGGTGATGGTTGTGTAACCCTGTGAATATGTAAAAATCACGGAACTGTGCATTCTAGAAGGGTAAGCTTTTTTTTTTTTTTTTTTGAGATGGAGTCTTGCTCTGTCACCCAGGCTGGAGTACAGTGACGCGATCTCGGCTCACTGCAAGCTCCACCTCCCGGGTTCACGCCATTCCCCTGCCTCAGCCTCCCGAGTAGCTGGAACTACAGGCGCCCACCACCACGCCCGGCTAATTTTTTTGTATTTTTAGTAGAGATGGGGTTTCACTGTGTTAGCCAGGATAGTCTCGATCTCCTGACCTCGTGATCTGCCCGCCTTGGCCTCCCAAAGTGCTGGGATTACAGGCGTGAGCCACTGTGCCCGGCCCCTAGAAGGGTAAGTTTTAAGGTAAGTGAATTATATCTCAATAAAGCTGCTATGGTTTCTGTTTGTAACCATACTGTGAAAAGACTTCCACTGAGTTTGGAAGGTCTGCTTGATATGTAGGCTGTGTGGTCTCTGCAGAATTCACTTGGCTATGATTTCTAGGGGGCGCCTTGAGAAGACAAAGACAAAGCAGCCAAAACAGATTCCCAAGAGACACATGTGATTGCCCATGCAGAGAAAGATCAATAAATCAATTAAATCATTCATTTTGAGCACCCATTATATGCTAGGAAGTACTTTAGAACCTTGGCTATATCAATGAACAGAACAAAGATTCCTGTCTTTGGCTTACTTTCTAGCAGGGGAAGACAAACAAATTAAAAAGAAACATAATGAATAAGTAAATGATATACTATGTCCAAAGGTTTTAAGTGCTATGGCAAAACAAAAACATAGAACTAGATACAGGAATGAGGCTGGTGTGTTTTGAGAAGCAGCAAGGAGGCCAGTGTGGCTGGAGTGGATCCAGATGAACAGAGAAAACAGAACTTGAGCTTGAGCTTCAAGTAGAAATGCAGCAGCTCTGAATTCAAGGGGTGATGTTTTTAGGTTGGTGGAGATGCAGCTTCTCACATGGTCAACTGTAAATTGCTCCCTCCGGGGCAAGTAGTAGCAGGTATTGATTGAATGATATTAGCAAGAATTTGTGACTTCTCTGAGAAACACCCAAGAATGATCAATAAATACTAAAAAAAAAAAAAAAAAAAGAAAATTATAACAGTTTTTACAGTTTTCCTGGCTCCCAACTGTACCTTTAAGTTCAGAGTCCATTTAATGTACTTGTAATAATTCAGGCTGGTGTTTTATTATCTTTTCTACATTATTACCCTCTCAAAGAACAAAAGCAGGTAACTCCTATAAAGTCTAATAGTCTGAAAAAAAAAAAAAAGAATTTGTGACTTCCTTCCTGCTATTCTAAGGTGTGGGGGAACAAGCCAATCCAAAGAAAAAAGCAGGATATATAAAGATCTAGCATCTGTAAAAGATTTTGCCATACCTGGGAAAGTCAATAGCAGTGAGGAATGGCTTTGGCCGTTAGCAGCAGAAATCTCAACTAACAAAGGCTTGGAAACAGAGGAGATTGTTTTTTTCACAAAAATATAGAGATGAGTGATTGCTCAGTGGCTGGACAAGATCATCACGGCCCTAGGCTCAGTCTTTTCTGCTTGGGGATCCTCAGCGTATTGGCCTGTTGCCTTTGTCCTGGTTGCCTGTGGTCACCAGGCACTAACCATTATGTCCTCATAGCAGTGCCCAGTAGGGAGCAGAGGGGCAGGGGCAAAAATGTTTCTCCTCTGGAGGCTCTGCTTATTCTGGAAATCTTTCCTGGTGTCATTGACTAGAACAGGATCATGAGGTGTATCAGCCCCATGCTGGTGTGCAGTGAACACTCATTGGGTTGGTTGGGGTTTGCTGATTCAGGCTGGGCTCAGTTGCGTGTGGCTCTAGGCTTCAGGTCTGGTTTGGGTGGGCTCCATGGGTCTCGTTCTGGGGCCCATTAGCGCAAGGAGGACACACCAATGGCACAAGCCATTTCTTTCTTTTTTTTTTTTTTTGCGATGGAGTCTCGCTCTGTGGCCCAGGCTGGAGTACAGCGGCACGATCTTGGCTCGCTGCAACCTCCACCTCCTGGGTTCAAGCGATTCTCCTGCCTCAGGCTTCCAAGTGGCTGGGATTACAGGCACGCACCAGCACACCTGGCTAATTTTTTATATTTTTTTGGCAGAGACGGGGTTTCACCATGTTGACCAGGCTGGCCTTGAACTCCTGACCTCAAGTGATCCACCAACCTCAGCCTCCAGAAGTGCTGGGATTACAGGCATGAGCTACCGCGCCCAGCCACAAGCACATTTCAAACCCCTGCTTGATATTATGAAATGTCCCATTGGCTGGAGCAAGTCATATGGCCAAGACCAAACTCAAAGGGGCAGGAAATCCACTTAGTCTTCCATGAAGACATGATAAGGGGTACAGGTATAATTCCCCTACTGGGGACTCAAGGCCAAACATCCTGCCTTTCCCGAGACCAGTCAACAGGATTTGGGATTGCCATGAACAGCTTAGTCCAAGCACAACTTATGAAGTTATATGGTGTAGTGGTTAAGAGCATGGGCTGTAGAGTTGAACTTCCAGGATCAAATCCCAGCTTCTCCTCCTGCTAGCTATTTGTCCTCGAGCAATTTGTTTATGTCTCTGAGCCTCGGGTTCCTCATCTGTAAAATGAGGGTAGTTACGGTACTACCTCTTAGGGTTGTTGCGATGATTATATTAATATGTGCTTCTAGGCCCAGCGCGGTGGCTCATGCCTGTAATCCCAGCATTTTGGGAGGCCAAGGTGGGTGGATCACCTGAGGTCAGGGGTTTGAGACCAGCCTGACCAACGTGGTGAAACCCCGTGTCTACTAAAAATACAAAAATTAGTGGGCGTGATGGCGGGCGCCTGCAATCCCAGCTACTTGAGAGGCTGAAGCAAGAGAATCGCTTGAACCCAGGGGGCAGAGGTTGCAGTGAGCCGAGACTGTACCACTGCACTCCAGCCTGGGCCACAGAGCGAGACTCCGTCTCAAAAAAAAAAAAAAAAAATGTGCTTCTAAAATTGCCTTGCACATAGTAAGGTGCCATAAGTGTTAGCTCTGATCCTCTGGGGTAGCTAAGGTCTTGGTACTTCTGCTGTCCTCGATAGCTATAACATCCTAACCAGCAAGGAAGCAGGGAGGAATGGCAGCTGGACAAGCAGGACCTGTGTCTGCCTCAGTGTGTCCTGCCAGGGAGGGCCCCCATCTTGCTCTGTGTGTCTTTCTCATTGCTCACAAACAGCTCTGCAGCGAATGTACCACAATTGCTTTTTCATTAGTAGCCGCAGCATTCACATCCGGTAGCTCTTGACCACTGAGGTTTGCAGTTAATGGTGGCCTCGCACACTGAAACATGAAGCTGAACAGTTTACTCCAGCCTTGTTAGGTTGGAATCAGCCACTTGAATAAAGAACACCACTTCATTACCTGCTCTTGGGTCAAGCTGAAAGGAGAAAGAGCATCTCACCAGATGTCCCATGTGCCGGGGCTTCAGTGTTCTCAGGGATTCCAAGTGTGTTCATTCCAGAGAATTCTCAATCAAAGCGCGACCCCAGGCAGACACATTTTCACACCAGCATCCCCACAGCATGTGTGGAAGAAAGGGGGGTTGGATTTGTGTAGATCTAAGTCAAACTAATTAGCTGTCAGCTGCATCACATCTGGAGATCAAATATAAATTTTTGGCCTCAAAAACCATTCCGGTCCCTGTCATTTCCGTTCTCCTGGTACCAGGCCATCTTTTGTAGCATGGCTCTAATATGTTTCTCTATGCTGCCAAAACCCTGCAGCTTGCTAAGCATGGACTCCCAAGTCATCTGCCATTGGTGACTGTAACACCCTTTTACTTTGTGAGAGGTAGAGTTAGAGACCCAGGTCTTTTGCTGGGACAGATAGGTAGGAGTGGGTAATTTCACTTCCGGCATGTCGGAATGCAGTTTTCATGGGGAAAACAGAAGTGCTTTTGTGGAAATTTTGAATGCACGGTGGAAACCAGTGACAAATTTGGGTTAATGTAAATATGATGTGAGAAATGAAAACCAGAGGTGAGCAGGAGCTCTCAGCTTTAACAAGAGGCTTTCATTGTTTTCTACCATGTGTAGCAAATATTTAACAGTTGCCTATTAATGGGGTCCTTCACCACTGATACAGTTCTGTGTGTCCAAAGATCACAGACTCTGGGGTCTGACACGAGCTGATTTTGACCCATCTCCTGCTGAATTTCATCAGCTGCCTCAGCTTGGATCGGGTGTAGATTTTGCTTCTCAGGAGAGGTCTGTGCGTCTGGCAATGGGAGAGTGGCCAGAGAACAGAGCCAGCAGCAGTTTTATTCTATTTAGATTATTTAAAGTGTTTTTCCCCTGGTGGAAAATAATATGTTTCTGGTTTAACTTGATTTTAAATCACTGCCATGTTATTGTAAATAATGTGACACCTCATTTCTTGAGAGAAGCTTGGAATGTGGTTATGGAATCCCAAGTATATGAATGACAAATTGGCTTTGTGAATTTGATTCTTCTCCATGGCAAAAGATAACGCAATTTTTTGTATATTCTAAAATCAAAGCAATATTTGGTATGGGGTACTTCTAGGAACTTCCCACTAGGGGGCAGTGTACTTTCAGGTTTTTTTTTAACATGCAGCCAGTGGTTCCCATAGTGTCGTCCCTGGAACAGCAGCACCCAGGAATTTGTTAAAAATGTGAATTCTCTGGCCTCCACCCAGACCTACTGAATCAGAAGCTCTGGCAGTGGGGCCCAGCAATCTGCTTTTTATTTTTATTTTTATTTTTTTGAGACAAGGTCTCACTCTGCCGCCCAGGCAGGAGTGCAGTGGCGCGATCTCGGCTCACTTTCAACATCTGCCTCCCTGGTTCGAGTGATTCTCCTGCCTCAGCCTCCCGAGTAGCTGGGATTACAGGTGTGCACCACCACGCCCGGTTAATTTTTTATTTTTTATTTATTATTTTTTTTTTTTTTACGGAGTCTTGCTCTGTCGCCCAGGCTGGAGTGCAGTGGCACGATCTTGGCTCACTGCAACCTCCACCTCCCAGGTTCAAGTGATTCTCCTGTCTCAGCCAGGTTCACGCCACCACACCCAGATAATTTTTGTATTTTTAGTAGAGACGGGGTTTCACCATGTTGGTCAGGATGGTTTCGATCTTTTGACCTCGTGATCTGCCTGCCTCGGCCTCCCAAAGTGCTGGGATTACAGGCGTGAGCCACCAAGCCCGGCCTGTAAATAACATTTTATTGGAATACAGCCTCACTTATTTGCATATTGTCTGTGGCTACTTTCAGCTTACAGTGGCAGAGTTGACAGATGGCCTAAAATATTTACTATCTGGCTCTTTACAGAAAAAGGGTTAGATAGATGCAGAGGTTATTTAGCAAGGCCTTGAGGAATTGGGTCATTAGCTCCAGGAGAGTTGAGGGACCCAAGGTGGGAGACCTTGAGTACTGAAGTGGCCAAGAATGTTTTTGGGGGGTGGGGAGAGAGTAGGAGCAGCATGGAGGAGATAAGAGGCTTGGGTGAGGCGTGGAGAGGGGACATCGAGAGGCTTTCAATTGCTATGCTAATGCCCTCAAATACAAATACCAACCAGAAAACCTACCAATTAGGATCACCTTGACTCATCTGTAAATAACAACTATTTATCCATCTGTAATCAATGAAGATGATTCCTGTTGGGATTTTAATTTACATCTGTTTTAAATTTTCATGCACTTTCTTTCAAAGGACTTGTGAATGTGCATATTAAAGTGCAGAGAAAAAGAAGACATTTGCCAATAAAACAGAATGGACCACATTACACAAAACTCTTTGCATTTATTTCCATCTTTAGTACCAGCTACTGCACTGGAATTTCTTTCTTTTTTTTTTCTTTTTCTTTCTTTCCTTTCTTTTTTTTTTTTTTAAGACAGAGTCTCACTCTGTTGCCCAGGCTGGAGTGCAGTGATGTGATCTCGGCTCACTGCAACCTCTGCCTCCTGGCTTCAAGTGATTCTCCTGCCTCAGTCTCCTCAGTAGCTAGGACTACAGGCATGCATCACCATTTCTGTATTTTTAGTAGAGACAGGGTTTTGCCTTGTTAGTAAGGCTGGTCTCGAACTTCTGACATCAGATGATCTGCGTGCCTTAGCCTCCCAAAGTGCTGGGATTACAGGTGTGAGCTACTGCGCCCGGTCTGGAATTTCTTAAGCAATATTTTCCAGGTGTTTTGAGCCTATTTTGTGCTGGGTAATTTTCATATATTGCATTTATTGAATTTCCACAATACTCTGACAAATACACATCAATTCTTCTATCTTTCAGAAGAAGGCAACAGCTCAGAGAAGTCACGTAATTCTCAGCTGGGCGCGGTGGCTCACACCTGTAATCCCAGCACTTTGGGAGGCTGAGGCAGGTGGATTGCCTGAGGTCGGGAGTTCAAGACCAGCTTGACCAACATGGAGGAAACCCATCTCTATTAAGAATACAAAATTAGCTGGGTGTGGTGGCTCATGTCTGTAATCCCAGCTACTTGGGAGGCTGAGGCAGGAGAATCACTTGAACCTGGGAGGCGGAGGTTGCAGTGAGCCGAGATCATGCCATTACACTCCAGCCTGGGCAGTAAGAGCAAAATTCTGTCAAAAAAAAAAAAAAAGTCAGGTAACTCTCTAAGGCAGGCCAGCTGGACCCTGAATTTGAACCCCATGAACCAATCTTGGCATTAGTCAGAGCTGAGTCCACGGCTCCGAGCTTCCTCCGTCTTGAATGTCTTCCTAATTGTGCTGTGCTTGGTGTTCTTTTTATAGGCTGGTAGCTAGGCCTTGCAGTCTTACTTACATTATTATATTATTATCCTTCCTAGCAGAACCCTAATTAATTAATCATATAGAAATGGTTCCTTATTTAGTCCGTTAAGTTAAATTGAGGCCTTTAGTGAGAGGAGCCAGAAGCCTTGGCCCAAGTGTAGCAGGTCCCAGTCCGCGGGACTAAACATCTGAGAGACACGGGACAGAGTGACCAAGGGCGGGAGGCTGCTCTTCAGAACAGATGTACCTGCAGCTTGCCATCGTCGGGCCATGGGAAGGAAACGAGGCAAAAAACAAATGCATGGTCAGGACAATTTGTTAGATCCAGGGCTAGTTTTTAACTCTCAGTGTTGGCCTGTAAACACATTACCCTGCCTAGGAGTGGGCTCATGATCCCACCCAGAGACTGACTTTGACTGCTGGAAAAAGGTCCCTTTTGTAAGCAGAGTCACACTAGGGCATCTGGAAATAAATGTGCTGGGGCATGTTGGTGTTTTATTCCCCAGCGTTCTATGTTTGTTGTCTTGGGAAGTGTTGACAGGTGCACAAGGCAGAAGTAATAACAAAAGTGTTTGTGGGTGCTCTTGAGAAAAGGTGTGCTAGGCTGTTTTTTTTTTTTTTTTTTTTGAGACAGACTCTTGATCTGTCGCTCGGGCTGGAGTGTCGTGGTGCGATCTTAGCTCACTGCAACCTCTGCCTCCCAGGTTCAAGTGATTCTCCTGCCTCAGCCTCCTGAGTAACTGAGATTACAGGTGCCCGCCACCATGCCCAGCTAATTTTTTTTTTTTGTATTTTTAGTAGAGACGGGGTTTTGCCATGTTACCCAAGCTGGTCTCGAACTCCTGTGGCTCAGGCAATCTGTCTGCCTTGGCCCTCCAAAGTGCCAGGATTACAGGTGTGATCCACCGCATCCGGCCAGCTGTTTTTGCATTGCTGTAAATGAATACCTGAGGCTGGGTCATTTATAAAAAGAGGTTTAATTGGCTCACGGTTCTGCAGGCTGTATGAGAAGCATGGTGCCAACATCTGCTCGGCTTCTGGTGAGGACCTCAGGAAGCTTACAATCATGGTGGAAGGTAAAGGGGGAGCAGGCACGAGAGTGGGAGCAAAAGAGTGGGGTTGGGGGGCGGTTCCAGACTTTTAAAGAACCGGAACTCATGTGAACTCACGGAGCAAGAACTCACTTATCACCAAGGGGATGTCGTTAACCCATTCATGAAGGATCTGCCCTGGTGGTCCAGTCATCTCCCACCAGGCCCCACCCCCGACATTAGGAATCATATTTCAGTGTGAGATTTGGGGGGAACAAACAAACATCCAAACCATATAGAAAGACATCCCCTGGTTCTCAACAGCCCCCACTCTCATTTTTTGCAGGAGGTGCGGAAGGTGAAATGGGTAGGTGGCTTATGAGCATAAGCTGTTGGTAATTAGATCCTTCCTTGGCCTCAAGTCCTCCCTATTTCTCAATTGGCCACGCTGTTGGAGAAAAAGGTGTGGGACAGGCCTTTAGGATCACATTACTGAGGGAGAGGAGGCAGTTTCAGAGGACACATTCCCGGGGATTTGTTTACCTGTTGACCGGATCTTGTGGAGGGCTCCAGAGAGCCTGTTCCCGACAGGCGACCTCCAGCGCTGTGGGTGAAGGGTGAACATGGAAGCTGATGGCCATGACTGTCAGAGGAGCTGCAGTGGGGTCTACTGGATGGGCAGGCCCGTGTGGGATGGAATGAGGCTCAGGGGAGTGGCAAGTCCAGAAACAACTGTAACAGAGGAGGGACTAAATATGATGAGGTGGGAGGATCAAGAAATGCAGAAAAGATGCAGAGGGGTCAGATATGGTGGCTCATACCTGTAATCCTCGTGCTTTGGGAGGATAAGGCAGGAGGATGGCTTGAGGCTGGGATTTTGAGACCAGCCTGGGCAACATAGTGAGACCTCATCTCTATAAAAAGTAAAAAAAATTAGCCAGGTGTGGTGGCGCCTGCCTGTAGTTCTAGCTACTTGGGAGGCTGAGGTGGGAGGAACACTTGAGCCTGGGAGGTTGAGGCTGCAGTGAGCCATGATCACGTCACTGCACTCCAGCCTTGGCCTGGATGATAGAGAGAGACCCTGTCTCAAAAAGCAAACAGACAAACAAACACACACCAAGCAGGAGCCTAAAGAGCCACTCCACTCACGTAGAGAAAACTTCACACACAGGAGCTGATTTTCGGAGCGTGAGAGCCCTATGGCTGGGCACTGTGGTGGTCCTTGCCCTCCAGACAAGGGAGCAAAGGCTCAGAGGTTTACGCTACCGGTTCCAGACCACACTGCTGTGAGTGGCAAGGTGGGGCTTCGAATCCAGCCCTATCGGCTGCCAAAGCCGCATTGCTCATCCACCAAGCCACACTTCCTCTCAGCCCTGCCTGTTCATTAAGGCTCTTCTCGGAAGCTCCAGGTGCCCGCATACCCTCTCCCAGTGCCCCTGCCATCTGTCCTGACTCCCTGCCTGTCAGAGCTTGGATACCACGTGGTACTTGGCCTTCTCCCGTAGATGCTTCTCCCCTACAGACCTGGCCCAGATAGGCAGGCCTTTGCCAGCCTGGCCATGCCTGGCTTGGGCGAATGTCGACTCGTGTCGTCCTGTGAGCACGCCATCCCAGGGCACTATGGTGGATGCCTCTGTAGCACAAAGAGACTGGGCCAGGGTCCTTGAGGGCTCGGGCTGGAGCGGGGGCCCTCACATTCCTGCTGCCTGCCAGCACTGTCTCCAAATGCCTGTCAGGTTGTAAAGGCGAAGAGTTGTGCATAACAGCTGCAGAAATCAAGCTGGCTCAGAAGAGCTCAGCCTGCAGAGAGAAGAAAATGATTTCAGCAAGAAACAAGCTGCAAATAACTCATAATGACCAGAGTGGGGCCCTGCCGGCTTTGCTCTGGGTTTGGTGAAATGTCTTAAGATATTTTTCCAAAGCCCTGGATTTGGCCAAATTGGAAACGTCCTTCGGCAAATGCTTTCTTTGCCTTAATTCTTAAAGTCAAGACTATTTGGAAGGCGATCTCCTTTGCTGTTTCAGATTCGTTTACTCTTGACACATCACAAGGGGCCTGCTGGGCGAGAGCTGTTTATAGGAGCAGATTTTAGGAATCAGAGGCTAAAGCAAGAAAGGTTTGGTCCATCCCATTAAGCACACCTCCCCCCATCCTCCACGTGGGGAGAAAGCCCTGGAAACAAGGGACTGAGGCTTGGGATCCCTGGTGGAGGTCAGGAAGTACCTCCTCCGTCACCCCTGGGCACCTTAGAGTTGTCTCCCAAAGCCTCCTCACTTTTCTCTTCTCTTGGATTCTAGAAATGCTGCCGAACTCAAAGCCACAGACCCCAGAGACCTACAAGGCAGTGTAGGTCTCACGAGCCTTGGTCTCACGTTGCTCAGGGGGGTCTTCCCTTCCTCTCGGCTCCTCCCACCTTCTCCTTCTGCACGACACCTTGGGAGGGCCTTGTGAGTGGCTTCTGTGGCACTGACCCAGGACCCCAAGCTCTGTAATTAGGCCCAGAGCCTCAGGTCTTTCAGCTCTACCCTGGACGTGGAAATAGAATCCTGAAGGCTTTTTGCTTCTGGTTTCTAGGCTGTCTCCCCGGACACTGCCTCGCCCTCTGCGGGGCTCTGAGTTCCTGGTGGAGGCGCCCACAGTGTGTGGCTGGCTACACTGCTCACTGCAATGGCTATAGGAGGTGAACACGGGATCAACCCTGCCGGGTTTGCTCCTTCGCAGTGACGCACGGCTCCGAGAACACACTCGGCCTCTGTATTTTGGCTTCACGTTGGAAAAATCTGCAACAATGCCTTCTGAGTCAATTCCACTGGGGCTCTGGTGACAAACCACTCTGGTTGTGTCTGGTGGCTTACAGGGTCCCCAGAGCCCTTTGATGGAATTACAGCTGCTCCTCTGTGCCGTCGCTGTCTCTCTGCCTCTGTCTCGCTCAACCTCTGTTTCTCTTTCTCTCTGTCAACACGGAAGGAGCTGGAACCAAACTGGAATGTGTGCTTGGGCAGCCTCAGTCCCGAGTGCCCACGAGCTGGTGTGTCTTGGCAACAGTGGCCCAGCAGCGCCCTGGCAGAGCCAAGCAGATGAATGGGTAATTAAACCGAGTGTTTCCCTACTGATACTTATTTCCCTGGTTCCAAATTTATTACTTAATTAAAGGGTATTCACAGCCTGCCAAGAGATGCTAGATCTTTCTTTCCTGTGCCAACAAATAGTTCCTCTTATACCCCTCTTTTGCCCTCAATTCTGCCTCTCTCTTTTTGTCTATCTGTGTCTCTGTCTGTTTCTCTCTTCCTCTCTCACAGACCCACATCCACACCCACGCCCACAGAGTCTTAGATCAAATAAGAGTACTAGTTGTTAGTAATTTCCTTGGTTAAGACTCTTGATAGTTTTTGCCCCAGGACAAGGCAAGAGAGTTAGTCCCGGCTCTTTTCTCCAATGGCTATTTAGTCCTGTGGGCTTGAGGTTTGGGTCCAGGGAGAGAGGAGTCAAGGGAGTGGTGGCTGAGGCCATGCTAAGGCTGGCTGGACCGGTGGGGACGTTAGTGCCCCTGACTTCCCCATCGTTGTTTCCAGGTGGGCACTGCCCCCAGGCAGCTTTCTCTCCTCTGCCCGCTCAGCTGCTGCTCCCCGCAGACTTCCTCATTCCTTCTGTTTTGCCCCATCTGAGATGAGCCTGTGTGCTTTGGAACACAGCAGACTATTGTTCCAAAGACAATAAAAAAAGATTGGGAAATGTAGTGGCTGTCACTCCCCAGTGCCTTCAAGTTAGAATTCGACGTGTGTGTTCAGAGGGCCGTGGTGAGATTGCGCCTGCCAAGGTAGAACAAACAAAAAGGAGTAAGAGAGAAAAAAGACAAAAGCTGGGATTAAACACCCCAAAAAGAAGATAAAATAGGCACCTCCTCCCTTAACCTCCCGTGACAGATTTAAAGCTTCATTAGTGGCCCACAAGGGGTTCTCAAGCAGCTACTGCCTCATCATCATGGCCATTAACCAGCGTGCAAATGACCCGCCGAGGGCCCTCGACCTGTCATGGCGCTGTCACCAGCGTGGTTTATGGCTTCTGAGCACCAGGTCCCAGATGGGCAACATGATCCTTTGCTTCCCTCATCAGAGCAAATCTGGACTTTAGAGCTCGTAAATTCAGCGGGGTGTCCCAGGGGCTGGCTGACATCTTGGAGGTGCCGGGTGAGGATTTATGGGCCCAGCCATAGTTTTGGGGGAGCCACAGGTTACCAGCGCAGGCATTAAAAGATACGGAGTTGCCCAACACAGCAAATGATGGCCACACGGGTGGCTCAAAGACAGCAAGGCTTAGTCAGCATGAGAGAGGGCGTGTGGTCCCTTAATGGGACTGGTGGCCGCTGCTGTTTACCCAGCCGTGGGGCTAGGAGCGCTCTATGCACTGTTTTCCTGCCCTCAACACTCAGGCAGGGGGCTGAGCCG
Organism: Homo sapiens; assembly: GCF_000001405.40. Classification (NCBI taxonomy): domain Eukaryota; kingdom Metazoa; phylum Chordata; class Mammalia; order Primates; family Hominidae; genus Homo; species Homo sapiens. Next base: position 25,197,372 of record NC_000001.11, on the reverse strand, counting down.
GGATCCTGACTCCCAGGCTGGCCAGTGGGGTGGAGCGAGTCCTCACTGCCCCACAGCTCTTCCCAGCTATTCCATTCCCAGGCTGCCTCCACCTCCCACCCCTCCAACCCACCCTGGCCCGGGGTGGCTTTGCACACTTAGAACAACCTCTGGCTTGGTTGTATTAGCAGAGACATGGATCCTTAGTGTTCCTAAATGGCAGGTCTCAGGGCCGGGGCAGGGACACTGCCTCTCCACCCAGATTCCACCTGCTCCATGCCCTGGCTCGTCCCCACCACCAGCCCTCCAAATCCCCGTCCCTGCTGGTATTCATTCATCCTCTGGAGCCAGGCTGCCCATTCAGCTTCCTGCTCTGTCACTCACTGCTGTGTGCTCTTGGACACATCACTTAACCACGCTGGGCCTCATTCTCTCATCTGTAAGAGGCAGGTTTTTACAGAAGTGCCTACGTGGTTGTAGGGTTGTTGTAGGATTGCATGCGATAACCCATGTAAGTGCCTGGCCCGTAGCAAATGGTTGATAAATGTGAACTTTTTATTTATGTTATTATCATCATTGTGCCAGCTCGTCAGACACTACCTGCCAGTCCTTTCGGTGAGACGGCCTGCCTGGTGTCACACTTAATGTGTGTGTCTAGCTCTTTTTTTTTTTTTTGAGATGGAGTCTCGCTCTGTTGCCCAGGCTTGAGTGCAGTGATGTGATCTCGGCTCACTGCAACCTCCACCTCCGGGTTCAAGCAATTCTCCTGCCTCAGCCTCCTGAGTAAGCTGGGATTATAAGCGCCCCCCCCACTATGCCTAGTTAATTTTTGTAATATCTATAGAGATGGGGCTTTGTCAGGTTGGCCAGGTTGGTCTCGAACTCCTGGCCTCAAGTGATCCACCCGCCTCAGCTTCCCAAAGTGCTGGGATTGCAGGCGTGAGCCACCATGCCCAGCCATCTAGCTCATTTCTGGGAGCCCTTAAAGACCTCTGTGTTCCTTAGGCATTGCATGTAGAAGGAGCACAGACAAGGCTTCAGTGTCAAATTGACCCGGGTGTTGGTCCCCACACTCCCAGGTCCCCAGGTTCCCTGAGTCTTGTAGCCTGGGAGGGGCAGGCTGGGTTTCTTGGGGACTTGAGGCCACATAGGAAAGGTTTTTCCTGATACTCTTTCCTGGTTGTTTGCAGGTGGGAGGGCTGTGGCCTGGTGGTTTGAAAGGTGTCTCTCCAGCTTGTCCTTCTGGGGCACTTGGGCATCTTCCCTGAGGCCTGTCCTCTGGGCTGTCACGCTACCTGCTCCACTCCTCCCTGACATTACCATCTGCTTAGAACCTGTGTGCACCTGCCCCTCCCCTGCCCCCACTGTCCCTAGGAAGGAGGGTGGCTGCGTGGGCACCAGAGGTGTGCCAAGCTCTCTGGTTGGGGGTGGCTGGGGTGTGCCTTTGCTTCCGGCCCACTGCTTGCACGCATTGTTCATGTAGACAAAAGAGAATGGATTTTTGGTTTCAAGGTGTGATCCTGCCCGGCACATCCATCAGGCTCCGCTGCCCCCTCTTTCTTTTTCTCCCCTTCTCATTTCCGCCCTGGGCTGTGGAGGGGAAATAGCAATTGTGAGAGGGCCACTTGTCAAGATAAAAATCACACTGCTCAACAATGCTGCTGCCCTGGCTGCTGACAGCCTCAGGGATGTGCCGGGGGGCAGTGCCAAGGGTCACCACCCAGGGTGGAGGGCGGAGCTGCTCTGCCTGGCTCTAAAGCCCAGCCCTGCCTCCTATTGGCTGTACTACCTAATCATGCCGTGCCTCAGTTTCCTCATCTGTCAAATGGGGATAATAACAATTCCTGCACTACAGGGCTGTAATGGAGGATTCAGCGAGTTCTGTCACAGAAAGCATCCAGGACCGTGCCTGGCGTGGAGGAAGCCAGTACTGAATGTTTGTTGTTTTATTAGGAATCAGGACAGGGGCGGGGTGGATGGGCCCCATTTTTGTGGGAAAGTCCAGTGTCCACTGGGAGCTTGGGTGGGACCATTCGCCATCTGTGATGGAAATTTCTTCTGAATCACCCAGGGAACTTCAAAAAATTCATCCCCCAAATATTAATTGAGTGTCTACTCTCTCATCCATAGGCATGGTGTTGAGCTGCTCAGGCACTGGGCTGGGCTGGCCTGGCCCACGCTCAGCTCCGGGCTCTACCACCTGCAGGCTGATTACTGACAACTGACCCCACCTCGCTGAGTCTCAGTTTCCTTATCTGCAAAATGGGAGCGTTCCCAATCCCTATTCTGGGGGGTGCTGCCGGAATGGGATGGGAGGGGGTGTTGCCAGGATGGGATGGGAGGATGCAGCTGAGCTCTGAGACTTGGTTCTTCCCTCGGCTCCTCGGCCAGGTGCAGAGGCTGCAGCAGCACCTGCTCTGGAGCTGAGCGAGGACAGGTAGCTGGCAGGGTACCAGGTCACAGCCCAGCCTCGGTGTCTCCTTCTGTGGAACGGAAGTTTTGCTGGTGCTGTTTCTCTAGAGGCCTGAGTAGGCATGACCTTCCACCATCTCATGACACTGGCATTTGTGTAGAGCTGACGTGGCATTTGCCAAGTGGCCTTGGCGTTTCCCCCTGTGCAAGAAGGAGCCGGCCTGTCGCTCCTGCGTTTCTCACTGACTGCAGCAGCTTGAGCTGTCACGCGGCTGCCGCAGCCCTGGGGGAAGGCATCTATGGACATGCAGGGACAGGGCCCTGGCTGACGGTGCAGCTCCATTCCCTGTTGACGTCCCTTTGTTCCCCCGCCAGACCTGACGCAGGCAGTGACTGAAATGTCAAATCAGGGTTCAGTGTTACCCCAGCAGGGCTGAGTCTGAGCCACAGGAAAGCCAGCTCCCTGAGCCAGATTAGACCTGGGTGGGGGGACTTTGGGGCGTGGCTGGCATAGCTGTGGGGATGTGCCCGGGACGTCTTGGTGGAAAGATTTTGGAGTAGAGTGTGTGTGTGTGCGTGTGAATGTGAGTGTGGAGAGTGTATACATGATTGTGGGTGCGAGGATGTGGGTGGGAGTGTGTGTGAGCATGGGTGTGTGTGCTGTGGGTGAGTGTGAGTGTGTCAGTGTGAGTGTGGAGAGTGCGTACATGATTGTGGGTGTGAGGGTGTGGGTGGGAGTGTGTGTGAGCATGGAGGTGTGTGCCGTGGGTGTCAGTGTGTGTCAGTATGAGTGTGGAGAGTGTGTGAATATATGCGTGAGAATGTTATGAGAGTGGGTGAATGAATATGGCTGTGTGTTAGCACGAGAGTGTGCATATGAGTGAGAATGTGTGATTATATGAGTGTAAGAATGTGTCAGTGTGTGTGACTAAATGACAGTGTTGGCCTGGTGCTGTGGCTCACACCTGTGATTCCAGCACTTTGGGAGGCCAAGGTGGGCGGATGACTTGAGGTCAGGAGTTCGAGACCAGCCTGGCCAACATGCTGAAACCCCATCTCTACTAAAAAATACAAAAATTACCCTGGCATGGCGGTGGGTGCCTGTAATCCCAGCTACCCGGGAGGCTGAGGGAGGAGAATCACTTGAGCCTGGGAAAAAGAGGTTGCAGTGAGCCGAGACGGCGTCACTACACTCCAGCCTGGGTGACAGAGTGAGACTCCATCTAAAAAAAAAAAAAAAAGATTTCCCAAAGATCATTTAAAAAAGAAAAGAAAAAAAGTAACTGAGTGTCAGAATGTGAGACTGTGTGTCAGTGTGAGTGTGTCAGTGACCGTGTGAGCATGAACGTGTGTGTTCTGTGGGTGTACGAGCATGTCAGTGTGAGTGTGTGACTATATGCGTGAGGGTGTGTTATGAGAGTGCGTGGATGAGAGTGGGTGTGTGTCTGTGTGAGTGTGAGAGTGAATATGAGTAAGAATGTGTGTGTGTGAGAAGCAGTGTGTGTGCACACGTCTGAGGGTGTCTGGGGGGCTGGTATGAGAGGGAGAGAGAGGAATTCTGTTGGATCCCCCAGTTGGGGCGGAAGGAAAGCTCCTCTGTGGACTTTATCCCCGACTCCTGAGAGCCCCGGAGCTGTCCTCATGCCCATCCCCCGGCCCCGCTGCCTGGGTCCTGGCAGCAGCACCTCCTTCAGTCTCCTCCTCCCTCCCTTGCCCCCAGCTCTGGGCATACAGGTTTTTAGGCCAAGCTCTCAGGACCACCCTCACGCTACCCTCCTTCCAGGGTGAAGCCCTACTTCTGCTCCCCCTGCCAGGGACAGTAGGGCTCCTCTGAGCCAACCTGTCAACTAGACCCTCAGGGCGCAACCTGGGGAGCAAGGGTTCTGTCCTCAGTGGGTCAGTGGAGCTACCAGAGCCTTTTTGCAAATGGGCCAGTAGTGGTGGATGGGAGTAATTTTCTCTGGAATTCTTGGGAGGGAGGTGAGGCTGAGCCACCCCGAAGTAGACACTGAAGAGGCAGGGGTCCTCCACGAGACCATCCCACTGGCGTGGCGCCGGGACCCTAGTGGCCTTTCGAGGAGAGTCCCAGCCCAAGGGGGACAGCCGAGTCCCTGGCTTTGGGCTTTCACGGATTTGTAAAAATCCACCTTTCTCCAATCTCAGGACAACTTGAGGTGACAGCTTTTTTATTTTGCCAGTTGAGGCATCATGTCATAAAAGAAAGGACCTTAAAAAAAAAAAGCAAGCAACATATGCCAGGTTAAAAAGCAGTATTTTCCAACAAAGAAAAGTCGATAACTTTACTAGAACATTTTATGCCTTCAGCCAGTGAAAATGTCCTCAAGGCGGAGAGAGGGGAGACATCTTTCCAGGACCTAGGGGTTGGGAGCCACGGTGGGGTGAGCCCAGCAATGGGCAGGGACCACCAGCCCTGCGCCTTCCACACTGGGGTGGTGGAACCCTGTGTGGAGCAGTGAGTCCTGTTCTGGGGCAGTGGGAAGGGGAGAGAAACTGGGTGGGTGCGGTACCTGACCCTGCTTCAGGAGGAGGGGATGTCTGGCTGGAGTCTGCTGCTTCCCCTGCATATAAGTCCTGAGGCCACCACTTAATTCCTTGCTGTGTGACTTTGAGAAGTTACTCAACCTCTCTGGCCCTTCATTTTTTCATTTGCGTAATGATAGTAGCCATCTTCCATGGTCGATGAAATCATTCAGTGTTTTAACACAGAGCCTCAAGAACAGCCCCTGGCACACAGAATTCGATCTCTCTGTGTTATTATTTTTACTATTATTATTAAGAGGGCTGCTTCCACTTTTTGGAGGGATCTCATGTACAGAAGGAATCACACTTTGTGTGGCTTTGAAGGGCAGAGCAAGGCCCCTGCAAACATTCACTGTGAGCCAGGCCCTGTACCAGACATTTCATTTTTTTTTTTAGACGGAGTCTTGCTGTGTTGCCCAGGCTGGAGTTGATGGTGCCATCTCGGCTCACCGCAACCTCCACCTCCTGGGTTCAAGTGATTCTCCTGCCTCAGCTTCCCGAATAGCTGGAACTATAGGCGCCACCAAGCCCGGCTAATTTTTTGTCTCTTTAGTAGAGACGGGGATTCACCGTGTTGGCCAGGCTGGTCTCGAACTCCTGATCTCAGGTGATCGGCCTGCCTTGGCCTCCCAAAGTGCTGGGATTGCAGGTGTGAGCCACCGCACCTGTCCTGTACCAGATATTTCAAACATTACTTTGCAGCAAGGTCTATCAGCCTCCTTCCACAAGGGAAGAAACAGACTCAGAAGGTGAGCAATTTCCCAGGGTTGCATAGCTGGGAGGAGGTGGAGCTGAGAGAAAACCTGGTGGGGGGTCGGACTCTACAGCCCCCAGTGGCATTCTGTAACAGCTGGATGAGACTTTAAGTTTCCCTGTATGGAGGATCACCACTGTCCAGTCAGTGCCAACACAGTGCTTGGCGCAAGAGGGCACTCGAGAAATGCGCTCGGAGAATGAATGATGGGAAGCAGTGAGGTCCCTGGCAGTGGAAGTTTTCAAGCAAAGAGCTACCATAGACGGCACACATGCATTAGGGACTCACTGGGCTACCCTCGGAAGGCCCTGTCTGCCCTGGATCCTGTGAGTCTGTATCCAGACACACAGAGAAACTTCCCGTGGCTGAGGGCATTTCTGAAGCATGTGTTCAGCTGGGAGCCCCTGACTTAATCCTCAGAGGTTGCTGGTCTGTCGCTCCCTGAGGGCCCACGGGGCAGCCAACTAGTTCCTTGTTATGCACAGCCTTAGTACCACGTACAGCACCATCTCCATCTGTGTCTGACAGGTGGCTTCTGTCACCTCCCTTGCCACCCAGCTGGGATCGCCACATCCAACCACGGGACTTGGGACACGTGGGAACTTCGGATTTGGCCACAGCGTCTAAGTTGGTGTGCTCAACTTCATTCAATCTTCAGGCATTTCATGAGCCAGCAGCATTAAAAATCAAATTATAGGCCAGGTGCGGTGGCTCACACCTGTCATCCCAGCACTTTGGGAGGCTGAAGTGGGCAGATGGCTTGAGTCCAGGAGTTTGGGACCAGCTTGGGCAACATGGCAAAACCCTGTGTCTACAAAAAAATACAAAAATTAGCCAGTCGTGGTGGCACAGGCCTGGGGTCCCAGCTACTCAGGAGGCTGAGGTGGGAGGATCGCTTGAACCCAGGAGGTTGAGGATGCAGTGAGCTGTGACAGCAACATTGTGCTCCAGCCTGGGTGACAGAGTGAGACCCTGTCTAAAACAAAACAAAACAAAACAAAATCAAATTATATGAGCTTACAATTGGATTATATTTAAAAAGACAATAAGTATTCAAAACTCCCCACGGCCTAATGATTTTTCTACATTTTGCTATTATTATACTCTTGAGGTTATTTTACCTGGTGTTCAGTGACTTCACTTAAGTAGCTTGAAATTGGCTGTGGTGGGAGTATTTACACCACAGAAACTGGCAAACACTACACATCACCCAATCCACCCCATGAGCTTGTTGTTAGACATTTACTAGCACACCACAGCTTCTGCCTGCACTATTAAGAATCTCGTTGACAATGGGTATGTACTATTTCAGAGAAATTATGAGACCAACAGCCTCATGTGCTCAGGAGTGGGTCTTCCTAAACAACTGATTTCATTTCTAGCTCCTGGACTTGGAATCATGTTAATATCCCTCCTCTTCTTTGCCTTCACTGCTAGAAAACTTAGAAACAAATTTGAGTCCCACCTCTAGCAGGTAGCATGGCTTATATTCTGCATCCTGACACCATTTCTAGTACCTTATTTTCCTCCTTGTGTTTCTTCTTTTACTTGTCATCCCCTCCCCTTTTTAAATTTTTTTCGATTCTTTGGCTGCGACAACGGAAGAGATGATTTAGTGTATATGTGTTACACTCAGCCACCACTGAGAACAGAACTAGTCCAGGCTGTCCCAGGTCCAGGGCAGAGGACAAAAGGGACTGCTTTGGTGACCAAGGGGGATCTCTTAGAGGTGCTCTTGGTGATCAGATGGCGATGGATGTTCTGGATCCATTGAAAGACAAGTTGTAGACAGTAGCATGCAGTCCAACGGTTGTACCAGTGTCCTCAGCCTCTGGCACTCCCTCTGCCTCCATGGGTACACAGGCTTCCACCTCTGCCCCATCTTTCTTCTTTTGCGTTTTAGCCTGTGTTTGGCTCTCATGGCAAGTAGGTTTCTAAGAAGGTGGCACTAAGGCTAAGAGAACATTTAAAACATGTTATTTATTTATTTATGGCCGGGCGCGGTGGCTCATGCCTGTGATTCCAGCACTTTGGGAGGCCACGGTGGGCAGATCATGAGGTCAGGAGTTTGAGACCAGCCTGGCCAACATGGTGAAACCCCGTCTCTACTAATAGTACAAAAATTAGCCGGGCGTGGTGGCGCATGCCTGTAATCTCAGCTACTCGGGAGGCTGAGGCAGGAGAATCACTTGAATCTGGGAGGCGGAGGTTGTGGTGAGCCGAGATTGTGCCATTGCACTCCAGCCTGGGCAACGAGAGCAAAACTCCGTCTCAAAACAAACAAACAAACAAAAACCCCACGCCATATTATTTATTTATTTATTTATTTATTTATTTATTTTTGAGATGGAGTCTCACTCTGTCGCCCAGGCTGGAGTGCAGTGGTGCAGTCTCTGCTTCCTGCAACCTCTGCCTCCCTGGTAAGTGATTTTCCTTCCTCAGCCTCCTGAGTAGCTGGGATTACAGGCGCATGCCACCATGTCTGGCTAATTTTTGTATTTTTAGTAGAGGTGGGGTTTCGCCATGTTGGTCAGGCTGGTCTTGAACTACTGACCTCAAGCAATCCGCCCACCTCGGCCTCCCAAAGTGCTGAGGTTACAGGTGTGAGCCACCATGCCCAGCCTATTATTAACATTATTTTAAGAGATGGGGTCTTGGGATGTTGCCTATGCTGTTCTCAAACTCCTGGGCTCAAGCAATCCTCCCACCTTAGTCTCCCAAGTAGCTGGGACTACAGGCACATGCTGCCATGCTTGGCTTCCCTTTTTATATTAAAAAAGTAAAAAAAATTGCTTTTATATAGGAAGATACAAAAAAATTACAACAACTTTTATTACAGCTTTGTTGAGGTATAATTGACAGATAATAAACTGCACATATTTAAAGTGCTCCATTTGATAAATTTTAACATATGTATGTACCTGTTAAACTATCACCACAATCAAGATAGTGAACGGCTCCATCACCCCTAAAGGTTTCCTCACGTGCTTAGTAATCCATTCCTCCTGTCCCCAGGTGATCTTGATTTGCTTTCTACTAAGATACATTAGTTTGCATCTTCTGGAATTTTGTATGAATAGAGTCTATAGTATGTACTCTTTGTTTTTTTTCTTTTTCAGTCTGATTTCTTTTTTGTTTTTTGAGATGGAGTCTCGCTCTGTCGCCCAGGCTGGAGTGCAGTGGAGCTATCTTGGCTCACTGCAAGCTCCGCCTCCCGGGTTCACGCCATTCTCCTGCCTCAGCCTCCCGAGTAGCTGGGACTACAGGTGCACGTCGCCATGCCCGACTAATATTTTGTATTTTTAGTGGTGACGAGGTTTCAACATGTTGCCCGGGCTGGTGTCAAACTCCTGAGCTCAGGCGATCCGCCTGCCTTGGCCTCCCAAAGTGCTAGGATTACCAGTGTGGCCACTGCACCCAGCTCTTCATTTTTATTATTATTTTTTTTGAGAGATGGGGTCTCACTATGTTGCCCAGGCTGGTCTCAAACTCCTGGGCTCAAGTGATCCTCCTGCCACAGCCTCCCAAAGTGCTGGGACTACAAGTGTGAACCACTGCGCCCGGCCCTTATTTTTATTTTTATTTTTTGAGAGATGGGGTCTCACTATGTTGCCCAGGCTGCTCTTGAACTCCTAGGCTCAAGCAATCCCCCACCTCAGCCTCCCAAAATGCTGGGATTACTGGTGCGAGCCACCACATCTGACCTAATTTATTTCTTTTTATAGCTGAATAGCATTCCAGCATAAGGGTATATCCCAATTTGCTTATCCATTCACCTTTTGATGGATAGTTCAGCTGTTTTTAGTTTTTGGCTGTTATGAATAAAACTGTAAATATTTGGGTACAAGTCTTCATGTGCACATATGCTTTCATTTTTCTTGGGTTGGTATCTAGGAGTGGGCTGCCTGGGTTGCATGTTAGATGTGTGTTTAACTTTTAAGAAACTGCCAATTTCAGTTTATTTTTTTATCATACAGTATGACCTTGGACAAAAGCCACCGAGCATGACCTTTAACCTCTCTGGGCCTCAACTTTGCTTAGAACTCAATGATACAGCTTCTGTGGGATTCTACCTTCACAGAACTGTTGCAGGACAAATAAGCCTTGTCTTTGAGAAGACGCTTAGGGCTCTCAGGAAGGACAGAGACCTCCAGAGAGCCAGGAGGTTCTTATTGCCGCCGTCATCGCACCCTCACACCCTTTTAATTAGATCGCTCATCTCCCCTGTGGACCTGAGGGTGCTGGGGGGGGAGCGGGGCGGGGGCTACTGTAGATTCCCTCCAGATTTTGTGCTGCCCAACCCTCCCTGGCCTCTGAATGGTGCTGATGCTGTCATAGGTCATAAGGCCTTTGAAGACAGATGTGAACACCTGCCAGTTGGCGCAGCCCTTGCTAAGTGGATGCTTTCCTCCTGTGGTGTGTGAAATGTCCGAATCAGGTTTCTATACCCCCAAGTCAGCTGGTGACCCCTGTCCCTGACCCAAAAGCAACAGGCAATGTGAAATGGCAAAAACCACCCAGCACCCCCCTTCAACACAGCAAAACCCTCCAACATCTAAACAACTTGCTTAGATGTGAGTTTTTTTTTTTTTTTTTTTTTTTTTTTGAGATGGAGTCTTGCTCTGTCACCCAGGCTAGAATGCAGTGGCACGATCTTGGCTCACTGCAACCTCTGCCTCCTGGGTTCAAGTGATTCTCCTGTCTCAGCCTCCCTAGTAGCTGGGATTACAGGTGTGTGCCACTGTGCCCGGCTAATTTTTGTCTCTTTTTAGTAGAGAATGGGTTTCGCCATGTTGCCAGGCTGGTCTTGAATTCCTGACCTGAAGTGGTCTACCCGCCTTGGCCTCCCAAAGTGCTGGGATTACAGGGGTGAGCCACCATGCCCGGCCCCTAGAGTGAGCATTTTGCAGAGGACTTGAGACATGGGATGGGGACTTTCTTGCTTGGGGAGGACTCTGTGGCCCCATGGCTTTGCTCTGAGGTTTTGCTGCTTCTGACGTTTCTGTGCCCTGGATGATGGTGGGACTGTCCTCAGTGAGTCTGTGTGGGCGGAAGGAGAAGGGGGAGCCTTCCCATTTGATGTGCAGCAAATGCATCTGACTCGGGCCTTAGTGGGATTTGGGGAGAATGCGTCAGGGAAGGAGTGGGGAGGCTCCATGGCCCCGCGGGTTGTAGGGGATTTCATAGCAGGCTTTCACTCCTTAAGAAGGGCACAGAGCCTGCAGATTTTGTTCCACTCTGCTGAGCCTCTTGGAGTGAGTGGTCTTGCTGTGTGCCGGGCAAAGGCAAGCCGGGGAGCTAGGAAATGCCTCCTCCTGCCCTTGACGTATGATAAGCAATGTACCCACCACCGGAGCTGCAGCTTCAGAAAGAAGATTATGTTCAAGTTGAGTCAGTTTGTCCAATCTCTTTGCCTGTACAACTGCAACTTTTCAGTTTGTACTGGTGATTGGGGTGGAAGGAGGGGTGGGGAAGGAAGGGACCATGGAGGGAGGAATAACAGAAAAAAAAAAAAGAAAAAGATTTGTGTCAGCAAAATGACAGAGCCAAGTTTTTCATGTGTTTCTGGGGAAATAGAATTCGCAGAGCTTACGCTTGACTGTAAATCAAGGTGTCTGTTCCAGGCTGCTGTCGGCTCTGTGTTTGCTCTGGGGGGCTGGGACTTAGGTGGGATTCAGAGCCACGCAGGGTCTGCCCTGGCACTGAGCTGTAGATGTGAAAACTGTCCCACGTACAAGCCTTGAAAGAAAACAGAAACTGGCTAAAGAAAATCAGGCCGGAGGTGGGTGGGTGGGGTGGGGGTTGCGGTGCAGGGCAAAGCTGTTTGCTAAAACTAGGGTAGTTCCCTCTCACACCAAATCCAAACTCAAGTTCAAGTTCTTTGCTGTAGGCAGTAAATGCTTGAGCCTTCTCTTTGCCAGGTGATGTGGGAAGAGGTTGGTGAAACCTGGGGGATGGATGGAATGAAAGGGGGAGCAATTTTAGAGAGTGTTGGTAGGGCCAGGGGAAATTTTGCAAGCAAAATTAGATTGTTGCAGGGCTTAATGAGTTTGGAAAATGTTTCGCGGAGCTGCTCCAGCTGGAAAGGCTGTCTGGGAGGTGCTGAGATGGGAACTGGACAGCATCTTGCTTCTGTGGAGCGAGAGGTGGGGGCTCTCTAGCTTTCAATTGGATGAGTTATTTTATAAAGTTGAATTGGAAGGAACTAGCAGCCTCTGCCCCCCTTCTCTTACCTGATTAAAACCCCACCCATTCCATCCTTCAGGGGGCCCTTCCCCTCCCCTCTATGATCTCAAAGATGTTTGGTGTCTATCAGTACTGACCTATGTATTTGGATTTCAGTCCAGCTTTCTTTCTTTCTTTTTTTTTTTTGAGACAGTCTCACTCTGTCACCCAGGCTGGAGTGCAGTGGTGCGATCTTGGCTCATTGCAACCTCCGCCTCCCAGGTTCAAGTGATTCTCCTGCCTCTGCCTCCTGAGTAGCTGGGATTACAGGCGCCCACCACCACGCCTGGCTAATTTTTGTATTTTTAATAGAGACGGGGTTTTGCCATGTTGGCCAGGCTGGTCTCGAACTCCTGACCTCAGGTGATTCATCTGCCTTTGCCTCCCAAAGTGCTGGGATTACAGGCGTGAGCCACTGTGCACGGCATCATTTCTCAGTTCCCTTCGGCAAAAGGTTGACATGAGGGTAACAGTACTTGGCACCCAGTCAGCACTCTGTCACCTTTTTTTTTTTTTTTTTTTGAGATGGAGTCTCGCTCTGTCACCAGGCTGGAGTGCAGTGGCGCGATCATGGCTCACTGCAATCTCCGCCTCTCGGGTTCAAGTGATTCTCCTGCCTCAGCCTCCCGAGTAGCTGGGACTACAGGCGCGCACCACCATGCCCAGCTAATTTTTGTATTTTTAGTAGAGATGGGGTTTCACCATGTTGGCCAGACTGGTCTCTAACCCCTGACCTCGTGATCTGCCTGCCTCAGCCTCCCAAAGTGCTGGAATTACAGGTGTAAACCACCGCGTCTGGCCTCTGTCACCTTTTAGTCATCATTGATACTAAGACTAAGGACAAACTGAGTCCCAGAGAGGCTGAGGCCTTGCTCCAGGTCACACAGCAAAGCTGCTACGTCATGAGCCTAGGGCAGCCAGTCCATGGCGCCCAGGCACTGGAGGCCTGGGGCTGTGCACCATGTGCTCGAGAGGGTGGATGTGGGAGAGGCCAGGATGTAGCGCACACACCTTTCTTCAGTTTCTCCATTTACCACATGAAGACAATGGTCCATGACCACCCCTGACCCTGGGGCAAACACTGTTGCCTGCTCAGGTGGGAAAGCAGATGTTTTCATGTTTAGGGGCCCTCCAGGTGGCCCTGGACCCTTCCAGAAGCAGCAGTACAGGAGCCTACCCCTATCATATCCCTCTTCTTGAATTGCTCTGGGCACAGCACCAGGAGGCCTTGGGAAACACACGCGCATGCACGCACACACTTCCCCCTTTCTGGTTCCCATGAAACACATCTCTAATGGCACGGTCGGCCGAGGGTGTGTGGCTCCATCCCTGGGTCTGCCTCCCTAAGGGAACCTGCCAGGGAAAGGGACATGGCTCACCCTCATGGCTAGGAGGCTTGAGGAGGCTGCTTGAGAGCCTAAAGCTTTTCCTCTGCTGGCTGGTTCTGGAGTGAGGGCAGCATGCTTGCTGGGCAGTAATTAGTAGCTGGGCTATGGATGAGAAAAGGCACAGCAGAGCCTGGATCTGGGCAGAGAGGCAGGACAGGCCTGGGCTGGAGCAGGAGGCCCATGGGCAGGTCCGCGGGGCTGGACTGCCTGTGAGGAGGCTGCACCTTGGGTGAGGGCAGCCCTGACCACGTGAAGACCCCTCGTGGAGAGCCCTGGCCCAGAAGCTGCCTCCAATAGGGCTGCTTTTGTGTTAAGATAACTGGAACCCGGTCTCAGGAGAGCAAGCTGACTCTGCGGCAAGAAAGGGTGGAGAGATGAAGGACGGGTGCAGCAAGGCTCGGGAAGGCCTTTGCATGTGAGGCAGGGCGGTGAGGGTGGTGAGGACGGTGAGGACCGTGGGAGGGCATTGTGCAGGCAGCTGGGGTGGCCCTTAGGGTCCTGCCAGGCTTTGAGACTACATGCCAATGGCCAAAGGCACTTCACCTTGCTGGGCCTCAGTTTCCTCTTCTGTAAAACAAGAAATAAAATATCCACCTCATGAGGTGTTGTGAGGGTTCACGAAATGGTGCAGGCCAAGACTTAGCATGGTGCCTGGAGGGAGGGAACGCCATACTAAATCAGCTCTGCATGTGGAGACTTTGCATGTGCCAAGTCCTCCGCTAAGAACCGAAACCTGTGTAGTCGCATTAAATCCTCACAGCCGCCCAGGGAGGAACGTGGAATTATCACCGACTATGTTTTATACATAAGGAAACTGAGGCACAGGTTACTGGCTCAGGGTCACGTGAGGCCAGAGATGGGCTCCTGACCATTGTCCCCTGCTGCTCTGCCTCCCTGGTAAGTGGTTGAAGGATGAAACTATTGTTGTTTTTGCAAAGGCGAGAGATGGAGGATCAGCTGGAATCTGTTCTCTGGCTTCAGTAGGTGTCCATATATTTTCCTCATGTCACATTCTCATTAGATGGCGTATTCTACCGCCTTCCGGAAATGCGGTGAGGGCCTGAGGTCCTGTTTCCTTCTGCCAGTGAGCTCGGCCCTCAGCGGGAAGGGTTGGCAGACGACCGTATTTTACACCAGGTGATAGTGGGTTGACCTCACTTGTGCTTAAAAATTTATAACGTTCCCATCCAGATCTTTCCACCAATGGCACATTCCTTCACTAGACACCGCACTAGTGTGGTTCGCAAAAATGACTCATGCTTTCATGCCACAGGCGGGGAAAAAATCTTCCCTAGAATTCCCAAGACCAGTAAAGAAGCAGCCCTAGCTGGAATGCTGCAGTGGGTCCAGCCCTGAGTGGTGGAGGATTCGAGTTCCTATAGATGACTCGCACCTCGCCTCGGAGCCTCTCCTGCAGATATCAGTGAGAGTTACCGGCCTTTCTCCTGCACAGTTACCAAAGGACAGCAGTGATGTAGTGAAGTCTCTCTTTTCTGAAATGATGTTTTAGGCCATGAATGGAATACCCTAATAGTATTACATTCTAAATTATAATTTAGAATTATACATTCTAATATAATAATAATTATTATTATTTTTGAGACAGAGTCTTACTCTGTCACCCAGGCTGGACAGGCTGGAGTGCAGTGGGCAGTGGCACAATCACAGCTCACTGCAGCCTTGACCTCCTGGGCTCAAGTGATCCTCCCACCTCAGCCTCCGGGGTAGCTGGGACTACAGGCATGCACCACCACATCAGGCTAATTTTTGTGTATATATATATTTTTTTGGTGGAGATGGGGTTTCACCATGTTGCTCAGGCTGGTCTCAAACTCCTGGGGTCAAATGATCTGCCTGCCTCTGCTTCCCAAAAGGCTGGTATAATTCTAATTCAAATATAATTTAGAAAAGTGTAGTTTCCAGATATTTCAAAAATTTGTTTCTAATATTCCTAAATATTTCTAAGAGATGCAGATTTCCTTTCCAGGCTCAGTATGGATATCCTTGATGGAAAAGGACCGATTCTCTCCTTGATAGCATTTAAGTGTCACCCTGAATCTTGATTTGGATGGAAGGTGGTGAGCAGCTGGGAGGTTTGGTATATTGTACCAGTGCTTTACCCTGGAAGTTGCTTTTACAAAGCAAGTAATGAGAACCTTGCTCTCATGCAAGTGGAGGGAAGGACTGTGTTTTAGTCCACAGAACATTGCTGCCTTTTAGCAAATGTATTTAATTTCAACAGTATTTTGTATTGTAAATAATGGTGCTTAAATCTTACATTTTGGTCAAGTTGGCACTTTTTAATTTTTTAAAGAATTACTAGGTTGTGATGGTTTATTTGTCCATTTTTCCTACTAGCCGGCCAGCTCCTTCGGGGAAAGTTTCTGTCTTCTGCCTCCTTTCATTCCCACAAGTTAGCTAGGGCCTACCGCAAATCCACGATAATACGAAAAACACCTATTGGCCAGGCACGGTGGCTCACGCCTGTAATCCCAGCACTTTGGGAGGCCAAGGTGGATGAATCACCTGAGGTCAGGAGTTGGAGGCCATCCTGGCCAACATGGTGAAACCCTGTCTCTACTAAAAATACCTAAATTAGCCAGGCATGATGGCAGGTGCCTGTAATCCCAGCTACTCGGGAGGCTGAGGCAGGAGAACCACTTGAACTTGGGAGGCGGAGGTTGCAGGGAGCCAAGACCTCGCCATTGCACTCCAGACTGGGTGACAAGAGCGAACCTCCATCTCAAAAACAAAACAAAACAAAAACACCTACTGAGCCCCTGCTGTGTGCCAGGCTGTAGTCCAAGTGCTTTATCCTAAAAGGCATGTTCCGTTATTATTATTCCCACTGTACAGATGAGAAAACTAAGGTGCAGAGAGGTTAGGTGCTCAATAAACGTTTGTTGAGTGAATGACAGAGTCTCGGAGGGATCTGCTAGCCTTATAGTACTAGTGGCAATTGTTTGAGATGACCCTTTTCCCTAGCATGAGTTTCCAAGCTCCGTAATGTCAGAAAAGAAATGCTGCTTATTGATTCCTTAAACAGTTCCCTCTCTTCTGGAAGCATCATGTAAGAGTTAAGGGCACAGTTTCTAGAATCAAAGTATGGCCGGGCGCGGTGGCTCATGCTTGTAATCCCAGCACTTTGGGAGGCCGAGGCGGGCGGATCACGAGGTCGGGAGATAGAGACCATCCTGGCTAACACAATGAAACCCTGTCTCCACTAAAAATAGAAAAAATTAGCCGGGTGTGGTGGCGGGCGCCTGTAGTTCCAGTTACTCCGGAGGCTGAGGCAGGAGAATGGCATGAACCCGGGAGGCAGAGCTTGCAGTGAGCCGAGATCTCACCACTGCACTCCAGCCTGGGTGACAGACCGAGACTCTGTCTCAAAAAAAATAAAAAATAAAAAAATAAAATAAAAAAAATAGAATCAAAGTATGTGGGTCCAAACCTGGCTCTGCCATTTACTAGCTGTGTGGCTTCAGACAAGTTATTAAAACCCTCTGTGCCCCAGTTTTCTTATCTGTAAAATGGGGATAATAATAGTACCTTCCTTTGAGGGTTGCTGTGAAGATTTAAAAATATGTATAAAGTGCTTAGAGAAAGACCTCGCAGTATTCAGAGTAATACATGGTGGCTTATAATTACACTCTCTGCATAAGCTGAAACACAGAGAAATATGGTGCCAGTTTGCGGGTCATTTGCCCTATCATAATTAAAATTCCTATTTTTATCCCAACGCTTTCAGACTTGAGCTCTGGTCTCAGGATTAGAGGTCTGCTTGGTCGCAGTAACATTTATCTTGGGAGGGTGCTTCTTGCCAGTGCCTCCCTCTCCCTTCCCATCCTCCCATCTTCATCTTTCTCTTTTCCCTTTTTTTTTTTTTTTTGAGACAAAGTCTCGCTCTGTCATCCAGGCTGGAGTGCAATGGTGTGATCTCAGCTCACTGCAACCTCTGCCTCCTGGGTTCAAGCAACTCTCCTGCCTCATCCTCTCGAGTAGCTGGGATTACAGACGTGTGACACCACGCCCGGCTAATTTTTGTATTTTTAATAGAGACAAGGTTTCACCATGTTGGCCAGACTGGTCTCGAATTCCTGACCTCAGGTGATCTGCCCACCTCAGCCTCCCAAAGTGCTGGGATTACAGGCCTGAGCCACTGCACCCAGCTATTCCTCTTTTTCTTCTTGCCATAAAAATTTAGTGAGTGCTTGTTAGGCCCTGCGTAAGGAGCTGGGTACGCAGCAGTGAAGCCTGGCTGAAGGAGCTTGCATTCCTGCAGGAGGGAGAGACTTTTTTTTTCTGAGATGGAGTCTCACTCTGTCACCCAGGCTGGAGTGCAGTGGTGCGATCTTGGCTCACTGCAACCTCCACCTCCCGGGTTCAAGCAATTCTCCTGCCTCAGTCTCCCAAGTAGCTGGGATTACAGGTGCCTGCCACCACGCCCAGCTAATTTTTGTATTTTTAGTAGAGACGGGGTTTCACCATCTTGGCCAAGCTGGTCTTGAACTCCTGACCTCGTGCCTCAGCCTCCCAAAGTGCTGGGATTATAGGTGTGAGCCACTGCTCCCAGCCAGGATTGTTTTAACAATCACACAACGGCAGTGACATTGTTTTAACAATCACACAACAGTAGTGACATCACAGATGCAGGGCTGCCGTCAATGACACACGTGGGGGATGGTGAGAGTTCCCTCCCCGCCAGTTCTCTGCTTACCAAAGGGGTGAGGCGTACAGCTTGGAAGCTGGCAGCAACAGCCAGGCCATGCTGGAGGCTATGCTGGGGAGAAGGCCTGGCTTACAGAGCAATGATCAGAGCTGGCCCTTGGCCATGTTCCCAGCTCTGTATATTAACTAAGCAGTTTCTGTATATTAACTTATGTAGTCCTTATATCAAGCTTATGAGATTCTTGAGATTATCATGCCCATTTTACAGGTGAAGAAACTGAGGCCCACATTCAGCAACTTATTCTCACAGCCAGCCAATAGCAGAGCTCAGAGGCAAACACACTTATGAGAGTGCCAGGGTCAGTGCTTGTGACTACTACGTAGGCTGCCTCCTGCCTGTAGATTTCACACCCAGAGTTGGGGGTGGGTTGGTGATGGAGAAAGGTGAGATTCCAGAGTGAGGATGCTATAAAGTGTAGCTATGCAGGCAGAAGTGGGAGGGTGGCTGTCAGCCAGAGAGAATACTGAGCACATTGTATAATTCCAGGAAGGCCTGGAGTGGAACCCTCACTCCTTCCTGGGTTGGAGCCTGTAAGCGCCTTGAAGGCAGAGGCAGTGTTTTCTAGGCCTTTCTCTCTCCCTCCTCACCTAGCAAATGTCATTCACATGGAAGATACTCAAAAAACGATGTGTAGTTGAATTTCCAATCAGTTCCCACTGACAATAGGATTTTATAGGTATTTCATGTGCTGAACATCCTGAGAGCAGGTGGTGATTGTAAAAGGTCCATTGTAACCCCCATGATGTAGTTTGGATGTTTGTCCTCTCCAAATCTCATGTTGAAAGACGATCCCAGTGTTGCAGGTGGGGCCTGGTGGGAGGTAGCTGGGTCATGAGGGTGGATCCCTCAGGAATGCCTTGGTGCTGTCTCCATGGTAATGAACGAGTTCTCCCTCTGGTAGTTCACGTAAGAGCTGGTTGTTAATTAAAAGGGCTTGGAACCTCCTCTCTCTCTTGCTCCCTTTCTTGCTGGTCACATGCCTGCTCCTGCTTCACCTTCTACCATGAGTAAAAGCTCCCTGAAGCCTCACCAGGAGCCAAGCAGATGCCAGCACCATGCTTTCTTTTTATTTTATTATTATTTTTTTGAGATGGAGTCTCGTGCTGTCATCCACGCTGGAGTGCAGTGGCGCAATCTCAGCTCACTGCAACCTCTGGCCTCCTGGATTCAAGTGATTCTCCTGCCTCAGTATCCCGAGTAGCTGGGACTGCAGGTGCACACCACCATGCCCGGCTAATTTTTGTATTTTTAGTAGAGACGAGGTTTCACCATGTTGGCCAGGCTGGTCTCGAACTCCTGACCTCAAGGTGATCTGCCCGCCTCAGCCTCCCAAAGTGCTGGGATTATAGACATGAGCCACCGTGCCCAGCCATCACCATGCTTTCTATACAGCCTGCAGAACCATGAGCCAATTGAACCTCTTTTCTTCATAGATTACCCAGCCCTGAGTATTCCTTTATAGTGATGCAAAATGGACTAACACACCTCTGATGTCTTTCCTCTTCCAGGAGAACTTTCCCAATGAAAGAAAACGAATGAAACTATGCCTGCTGTCATTCCCAACTTCATACTGGGCCCTGTACTAGGTAATTTATACCAGTATCTCATACAATGACACAGACATGTGTATTACATGAATTTTCAGTCTCAACAAAAACTTGTGATATGGTTTGGCTCTGTGGTCCCCCCCAAAATCTCGTGTTGAAATTTAATCCCCAGTGTTGGAGGTGGGGTCTGGTGGAAGGTGATTGGATCATGGAGGTGGTTTCTAACAGTTTAACCCCATCCCCCTGTTGCTGTCTCAGGATAGAGTTCTCATGAGATCTGGTTGTTTAAAAATGTGTAGCACTGGCCAGGCGTGGTGGCTCATGCCTGTAATCCCAGCACATTGGGAAGCTGAGGTGGGCAGATCATGAGGTCAAGAGATTGAGACCATCCTGGCCAACATGGTGAAACTCCAACTACTAGAAATACAAAAATTATCTGGGCATAGTGGCACATGCCTGTAGTCCTAGCTACTCCGGAGGCTGAGGCAGGAGAATCGCTTGAACCTGGGAGGCAGAGGTTGCAGTGAGCCAAGATGGCACCACTGCACTCCAGCCTGGCAACAGAGCGCGACTCCATCTCTAAAAAAAAAAAAAAAAGAAAGAAAGAAGAAAGAAAAGTGTGTAGCACCTCCCACTTTGCTCTCTTCCTCCTTCTCTGGCCATGTAAGATGTGCCTGCTTCCCCTTTGTCTTCTGCCGTGATTGTAAGTTTCCTGAGGCCTCCCCAGCCATGCTTCCTGTACCATCTGTGGAACTGGGAGTCAAATTAAACCTCTTTTCTTTATAAATTACTCAGTCTAAGGTAGTTCTTTATAGTGATTTGAGAATGGACTAATACAACTTGTAACCCTACATTGGCAAAACTAACAAACCCAAATCCACTAAGGTAGTGTATCAGTCCATTTTCATGCTGCTGATAAAGACATACCTGAGACTGGGTAATTTACAAAAGGAAGAGGTTTATTGGGCTTACAGTTCCCCATGGCTGGGGAGGCCTCACAATCATGGTGGAAGGTAAGGAGGCGCAAGTCACATCTTATGTGGATGGCAGCAGGCAAAGAGAGAGCGTGTGCAGGGAAACTCCCATTCTTAAAACCATCAGATCTTGCGAGACTTATTCACTATTATGAGAATAGCATGGGAAAGACCCACCCCCATGATTCAATTATTTCCCACTGGGTCCCTCCCACAACATGTGGGAATTATGGGGCTACAAGATGAGATTTGGGTGGGGACACAGAGCCAAACCATGTCAGGTAGTCACCGTCTCTGTAAGTGGTAGGTTCCAGCCTCTCTTTTCTTTTTTTTAAGCAACTTTATTGAGGCAAAATTTATATTCCATAAAATTTACTCATTACACTTCAATGCTTTTTAGTAAATTTACTGAATCGTGCAACCATCATCACAATCCAGTTTAGAACATATTTACCACACCAATAAGATCCCTTATGCCTATTTATCATCCTTGATTCAATTCTCAGCCCAAGGTAACCACAGATCTACATTCTAACTCTATAGATTTGCCTGTTCTGGACATTTCATATACATGGAATCATGTATTTTTTGTTTTGGAATCATGGCTTTTTGTGTCTGCCTTCTTTCACTTAGCATAATGGTTTGAGATTCATCCACATTGTAGCAGGTCTCAGTGTTTCATTCTTTTTTTATTGCTACCTAATATTCCATTGCATGGACATGCCATACTTTATCCATTCACCTGCCCACAGCCATCTGGGTTGTTTCTAGTTTTCAAGTATTAAGATAAAACAGCTAGGAACATTCGTGTACAAGTCTTTGTGTGGGCACATGCTTTCATTTCTCTTGGGTAAATACATAGGAGTGAAATTGCTGGGTCGTATGGCAGATGCATATTTAACTTTTTAGGAAACTGCCAAACTGTTTCCAAAGTGTCTGCCCCATCCTTACATCCCTGCCAGCATGCCAGCATCATATAAGGGTCTCCGTTTCTCCCCATCCTCGCTAGCATTGGTTCTTCTCTGTCCTTGCCAGTTTCTCTTCTTAAGGTAAATGACTACAGGTGATTTTGTTTTATTTTTTATTTTTATTTTTTTTTTGAGACGGGGTCTCACTTTGTCACCCAGGCTGGAGTGCAGTGGGCATGATCACAGCTCACTGCAGCCTCTACCTCCCCAGCTCAAGCGATCCTCCTACCTCAGCCTCCCAAGTAGTGGGGACCACAGACATGTGCCATCATGTTGGCTATACAGTTGACACTTGTTGAAGACTTACTGTGTGTCAGGCACAGGTAGCTGTTCCTCAGGCTTTGTCCTCACAGTCCTATGAGAAGGTGCCCTCATACGCCCATTCAGCAGACAAGGGGACTGGGGTGTGGAGATGTGAGGTGTCTGCAAAGCAGGATGAAAAGCTGAGTGTGTGCGCATCAGGCCCAACGAGAGCAGAGTGCAGCAGAAGGTGCATCTGAAGTGGAGCAGAGAGGCACTGGGCCTGTCTCGGAGAAGTCTGAGGTCTGGGGCCTGGAGGAGATGGGAAAATGAGGCCAGGAAATGTTCCCTGGACAACAGTTAGGAAGGTCATACTTCCCAGTGAACGGGCATGACTGGGAATGACCAGCAATTCCCAAGGCCAGTGCCCGGGAGCCCAGGCCCTCCTGAGTTTCTGTTCCATGGAACAAAGAGGCCTTTGTTCTCCCTCATAAGCCTAGAGAGAACCACAGAGTTGGGTGCCCAAAAGAGGCAGCAGCCTGTTCTCCCTGGGGAAGAACTCTCGCATGGCGCCTTGCTCTGGACCCTCATCCATTAGCCATGCCAAGATTCAAGGAAGAAAGTTACCATCCAGCAGCTGGCAGGTAGGAGGCGGCCTGTGCTCTGTGGCCCTCAGTAAATCACAGCACTCAGTTGGCGTCTTGCTGGATTGCAATTACAATCCTTCAGGCCCGACACAAAATCACTGGGCTGGTAAGAGGAGAGTACCTGGGTAATGTGTTTAACAAAAATTAACCTGGTTAAGCCCTGACTCTATAGAAAATGAGAAAGTGTGGATGGGCCTAATCGATTCGTCCACAGCCCAATTTACTCCAGGGCTGGCTTTGGGTTTCAGTTAAGTGGGTCCACCCGAAAACAGGGATACTCGTTTTATTAAATTACCTCTTTGATTACAGAGTTCAGAGTATGGCAGAGTTTGTTTTTATGTTAGCCTTGGGGGCTGGTGGATGGAGGAGAGGGGGTTTTGGTGCACACATACGCTTGCACACGCTTGCACCCATGCACACGTCCCCTTGTCCATATAAGCATGCAAACAAACCTTTCCAGGGTGAGAAGGGTTAGTAAATATTTACCTCCCCTCCCACTGGGAGTCGAAAGTATGGATTTGATCAAATACTCATTTACTCTCTGCCCACCACCACTCCCCATCCCCTTGGCCTCTTGGCAGATAAATGATGTTATTTGAAGGTATTCTTGAAATTTCTGATGGAGACTGTTTCTTAAGTGCTTTTAGAGTAGGCCTATACTTTGTAATACTTGTCATATTCTGGCTAGTAAACTCCTGGCCTTTAAAAGCCGGAACCTTACTCTGTTTCCTGAATACAAGGGAATAGGTCATTAACTATGAATTTCAAATGAAGCAGATTTACAGTATATATCACAGAAATATGTTTCTGAGAGACAGCAAATACCAAGGAATCCATGGAGCAGAACAAGCCAAGAACTCAGGGAAAGCTCAGCTGGTCTGGGGAGTAGGCTTTTGTTTTTCTTTCTCAGGTTTTTGTGGCTTACTTGGCCCAGTCCAGGACTCTTGTTCCAGGTTCCTGCTAGAAACACCTTTCTGGTTCCTTTTGCTCCCACTTCAATGTGGAGCCCTACCCGGTGAGGGCCCTAGAAGACTTGACGGTGGAAATGACCATGTCTGGAGGTTAATCCTGGGGAGCTGGGGATGGGGAATTGGTTGGGGTAGGGTTAATTAGGGAAATGAGAGAGATAGTAATGGAAGTACATTAAGGTTGGGTCAGCTGGTTTGATGGTTTGTTTTATGTGTCAACTTGGCTAGGCCATAGGACCCAGTTATTCAACCAAACACTGACCTAGATGTTGCTGTGAAGGTATTTTGTTGACGTGGCTTACATCTGCAATCAGTTAATTTTAAGGAGATTATCCTAGATAATATGGGTGGGTTTCATCCAGTCAGTTGAAGGCCTTAAGAACAGAAACTCAAGTTTCCTAGAGTAGAAGAAATTCTGCTTAAGACTTCAGCATCAACCCCTGCCTGAATTTCCAGACTGCTGGCCTGCTCTGCAGATTTTGGACTTGCTGGTCTCCAGAATCCTAAGTCACTTCCTTAAAAATCCATCCACCCATCCAATCATTTGCCCGCCCATCCAACCATCCATCCACCCACCCATCCACCCATTTATCCACTCATCCATCCATCTATTCATCCATGCATCTACCTGTCCATCCATCCATCCATCCATCCATCCATCCATCCACCCACCCACCCACCCATTCATTCATTCATCCACCTATCCATCCTATTGGTTCTGTTTCTCCGGAGCACGCTGACTAATACAGCTGGCTCCTGGCAATAATTTTTGGACCTCTTTCCCTCATAATTTCTCAGCGTCCTTTTTCACTGGCCACCATCTTGAATGGGAGAGCCCCATGTCAGCACCTTGCACACAGCCTGGCACATGGTGAGTGCCCAGTGAGCATTAGCCAGTTCTACTCTTATTGCTCCCTACCTGGGATGACCTTTCAGTTTCTTTCGAGCTCTCTGCAGTTGTGGTAGACACTGTTGGCTCCCCACTGAGCCTTCACCTTTCTTCTTATAAATAAATAAGTTGAACCTTGGTTTTGTTCCAGCAATAGAGTGCTCAGCTACAGGGGCTGGGTCATGACTGGTCTTGGCCAGTCATAGTACTTCTACCTCTCTTTGCTGGTGATGGGTCTCTGGTGGGTATGTGATCCAGCTGTGGCCCAAGAGATGTTTGGGGAAAGTTGCTGGGGCATTTGGGAACATGTTTGGCCTGATAGGAGAGGCTCAGGTAGCAAATGCACTGTTCTTCCTGTTTCTCTCTTCTGGATCTTTGATTTAAAATAAAATTTGGATGAAATGCACACATCTCAATGAGTTTTTGCATGTATGTATACCCAAGTAACCATTATGGCCATGCATATATGCTACCCAGATCAAGGTGTAAGTCATTTCCAGCACCCCAGAAGGCTCCCTCCTGCCCCATCCTGGTCAATAGCTCCTACCAGAGGTAATCATTCTTCTAAATGCCGCTAACCTTTTATCACCATAGATTAGTTTGTTTGCTCCTGAACTTTATATAAATGAAATCACTCATAGTCTTCATTTGTGCTTCTTTTGCTGAACATTATGACTGTGAGAGTCATTTATGTTGTTAATGGTAGCAATGCTTCATTCTTTTTTAAATTGCTGTGAGCTTTCCATTTTGTAAACACACCCCAATTTATTTATCCATGTTTCTTATTTTTATTTATTTATTCATATGTTTATTTTTAGTTTTTAGAGACAAGGTCTTACTCTGCCCCCCAGGCTGGACTGCTGAGGTGCCATTCTAGCTCACTGCGGCCCCAAACTCCTGAGCTCAAGTGATCCTCCTGCCTCAGCTTCCTGAGTAGCTGGGACTACAGGTGCGTGCTACCATACCTGGCTAAGTTTTTAATATTTTGTAGAGACAGCGTCTTGCTCTGTTGCTCAGGCTGGTCTTGAACCCTGGGCTCAAACGATCCTCCTGCCTGGGCCTCCCAAAGTGCTGGGATTATAGGCGTGAGCCCTTGTGCCCGGCCTGGGGCCCATCGTGACTTTGCTCCTTACTCATGGTGGTGCTGGCGTTTTGCGTGGCTGTGCTCATCTCTCTCAGCAAAGCCAACCGGCCCCGTTCACACCCTAACTTCCCCAAGAAGCCTTCCCAGATGTCCCCTCTAACCCCACAATGCCCCCATTTTCAGCTGTGACTAATCTGTTACCTCTGAACTCCCACCAGACTGCAGTTGTACCTGGAAGAACTTTATTTAGTCATGCCTTCATTCATCTATTCAACAAGTATTTGTTAAGTGCCTGGTCCAAGTAACTATTCTAAGCATAGGGGATATAGCAGGGAATAAAACGCGCCCAGGTCCTGCCCTCATGGAGGTTTTTGTCAGGTAGGGAGGTAGA
Organism: Homo sapiens; assembly: GCF_000001405.40. Classification (NCBI taxonomy): domain Eukaryota; kingdom Metazoa; phylum Chordata; class Mammalia; order Primates; family Hominidae; genus Homo; species Homo sapiens. Next base: position 25,171,636 of record NC_000001.11, on the reverse strand, counting down.
GTAGATAGGTCACATATCTGATGATGGCCATGCTGTGGAGAGACACCCGTATGGGGAATAGGAAGAGTGAGGGATGGGCAGTCAATACTTTCAATAGGGTTTTCAGGAAGACTTCAATGATAAGCGGTGGCATGAGCCTGGTAGGTAGCTGGGGGGAAGGGTGTTTCAGGCTGTGGGGACGGAACGGCAAGCACAGAGGCCTCTGGGAATATTGAACAATGAGTCTGATGCAGAGTGAGCAAAGGGACCCTGGGAGAAGATGAAGTCGGACCATGCAGGATCTTGTAGGCCAAGGTGAGTATTTTGGTGTAGGCTCTGAGTGACATGGGAACTACAGGAGTCTTTGAACAAAGGTGTTATCTGAACTGCCTTCCATTTTATTTTATTTTATTTTGTTTTGTTTTGTTTTATTTTGTTTTGTTTTGTTTTGTTTTATTTTATTTTATTTTATCTTATTTTATTTTATTTTGTTTTATTTTAGAGACAGAGTCTTGCACTGTTGCCCAGGCTGGAGTGCAGTGGTACGATCTTGGCTCACTGCAATCTCTGCCTCCCGGATTCAAGCGATTCTCCTGAATCAGCCTCCTGAGTAGCTGGGACTACAGGTGACTGCCACCATGCCCAGCTAATTTTTTTGTATTTTTAGTAGAGACAGGTTTTGCCATTTTGGCCAGGCTGGTTGCAAATTCCCAACCTCAGGTGATCCGCCCGCCTCGGCCTCCCAAAGTGCTGGGATTACAGGCATGAGCCACTGCGCCTGGCCTTTTTTTTTTTTTTTTTTTGAGCTGCCTTTCCTTTTAAAGCTCTCTCTGCTGCTTTCTGTTGAGGAAAATATTGTAAGGTGTGCAGGGAGGGGGCAGCAGGGTGTCTAGTGAGGAGGCTGGTGAGAGAGGGAGGTGCGGGGGCTGGAGCCATGGAGATGGGGGTGATTGGAAATCCCTGGAGGGCAGTTTGTGGAGTGGTGAAGCACACAGGCACTGGAGCCACCTGTCCTGCCTTCGACCTCGGCCCCATCGCTTCACAGCTACTTAACCTCTGTGTGACTTAGCTTCCTTATCTGTAAAATGGGGATGCGAGTACCTACTCCATAGAGCCACCATGAAGACTGAACGGCTTTTTTTTTTTTTTTTTTTTTCTGAGACAGGGTCTCTCTCTGTTGCCCAGGCTGGAGTGCAGTGGGACTACTGTGGCTCACTGCAGTCTTCTCAGTCTCAAGCAATCCTCCATCTTAGCCTCCCAGGTATCTGGGACCATAGGTGCATGCCACTACACCTGGCTAATTTTTAAATTTATTTTTTATAGAGGCAGGATCTTGCTCTGTTGCGCAGGCTGGTTTCGAACTCCTGGCCTCAAGCGATCCTCCAGCCTCAGGCTTCCAAAGTGCTGGGATTACAGGTATGAGCCACCCGCCCAGCCAAAGAATGAATAATTTAATACAGAAAGTGTTTAGAACAGCACGTGGCATGCAGCATGTCTTACACGTGCTAGCTAATATGCAGACGTGGAACCAGCGAGTCTTGCTAGCAGTTAAATGGGATAGAGAAAGAGGGTCAAAGATGGTTTCAAAGTTTTAGATCTAATATCTGGAGGAATCATGGAGGTGAATTTTAGATGAGTTTGAGATGCCTATTGTCACATAGGTGGAGGTGCTCAGGAGTTCGGTGTACCAGTTAGCGGCTCACGGCGGAGGCTGAACACCAACAGGGAGATGTTACTTTGCTCACTTGAACCTGCAGAATCCTTAGTTCACTAAGTTGTATTGTGTTTCACCTGTCGTGTATTTGGTCTCATAAACAGTAGTCTCTTTAGTTAGCAGGAAATCTCCTCACTCTCTAGGCCTAGCTTTCTCCCTTAGGCCTGGGGCTTCTAGAAGATTCCAATGCAAACACAGTACAAGGCCAGGATTCGAGGACAGGCTGCCCATGGTCTGGCAGGAGTAACGCTCTTCTTAGGGAGTCACAGGGCGGGGCTTGTCCTTGTTGGGAGAGGCAAGAGACAGGCCTTCCTTCTGGGGCCTCTATTCTATGCTTTTTGGAGGTCTGAGTCTCTGAGCCTTGTTGTGATTCCTGGAGCACCAGCTCCATAGGGAGCTGGACTTACTTTTCCAACAGCTGGTCCCTGGATGCCCAAAGGACAATCTTCCTTCCCTCCCTCTCTCCTTCCTTCCTTCCTTTTCTCCTCCTTCTCTTCTTTTCTGTTAGCCTTAAAAGAAGATAATAACTAACCAATTTTTATGTATATGTATGTGTGTATGTATATCTGCCTCTATCATCTTTCTATCTATATCACCATCATCCATCCATCCATCCATCCATCCATCCATCCATCCATCCAACCATCCAACCATCTCTATCTACCTATCTATTCCTTTCAGGAGGATTTTGGGGATAAAATACATTCACGGGGACTTCGTTTTGAAGGGGCCTTCAATTTCATGGAATCCAGACTCTTCATTTTACTGCTCAGAGAGCAAAGTGACTTTCCCAGAGTAACACATGTCTCCTGTGGCAGAGTAGGGATTAGCCCCCAGGTCTCCCGAATCCCCTCACCCGTCCTGCGGCTCTGATTGCATTCAGTCACCACACAGCTGGCAAGCCTTGGGGTGAGGCTGGAGGTCTCCCTGCAAGGATCCTCTCTGAGGCCTGGGGCAGCCTGCCATATCTGGGGCTACCCCTAAGGGGCCCTGCTGAGGCAGCGCTCCTTTTGCGGGGGGCGTTAGCTGCAGGGAGTCTGTTCCTGCAGACCCCTGATTCGGTGACAGATGAATAAAGTACACTGGCACACAGATATTCTGCTCTGCCGGTCCAGCTGAGGGTCCACTTACAGGCTCCAAGCTGAGTTCTGTAAACAGTTGAGACTCGGCCCTGATCAGCTAGTGAGGCTCGCATTTATTCAGCAACACTAATTAACAAAAGTTGCAAGTAAACACCACTAGAGGGTAAAGATTAAAGGCCAGTTTCTGAGGCCTAAAGCAAACACCGTTTGTGAGTAATACACTTTTGCAGACCTCCCTGAGTAGGAGGCAGTAAAGTACCCGGTAGGACAAAGGTCAGTCTAAAGCCCATATAAATAAACAGGTTAGTAAGATAGACTTCCCACATTCCTTTGTACTTGCACCTTAATCTTTCTGGCTCCTGCAAAGAGACCCTGGCTGCCTTCAGCCAAGCAATCTGAAGCTATGCAAACTCTCAGGTCTTCCAAGATAGTTTTTGGCTATTACTGTAACTATCTTTAATATTTTTCCCACCAGCCTGATTGAACCCCAACACCCTGCCCGCTGCTGCCCTCACCTCCTAGTGTTTCAGTCCAGGCCACCTGGCGTAGGTGAGTTTGCTGTTAGGTGACACCTCTCCAGTGGGTTTTTTCTAGGGCATCAGGGTAAGAAGAGCTACCATTTGTTGAATATTTACCATGCACCACACACTGCACTTGGCACCCTTGAGGGGTCAAGGTCAGGGAGGTCATTGACTACCCAGAGATCCCAGCTACTAAGTGGTGCAGGTGGGAGGTCTAGCCCTTGTGTCTTCATTAGTCCGTCTGCAGCTGCTGGTGTGGAAACCACCTTGTACTCCCGGGAAACACACTGGGCAGGGGACCTGAGAGCCTCGGCTCTCTAGCTAGCTCTGTGACCTTGGTACGCTCTGATTTGATTTTCTCATCTGCCGTGAGCCTCTCAGTTCCAGCCCTGCCTTCACGTGCTGTGCTGCAAATGGTAAAGTGCTGTGCTCCCTGGAGATGATGCTGTCCCTCGACTTGGCTCTTGTCCTGGTGGTCATTCTGTTCAGCCGGTGCTGGCCACATACTGCTAGTATCCTGCCTCCATCTACCTCCTCATCTGCCAGGGATGAAATGTACCACACGAGAGCTCCCTCTGGGACCAGGGATGGGCTGTGTTCTCCTGCCGCTGCAGCTTTGATTTCTTTCCTCTTTGATGTGGGGGCTGGAGGATGGGGCGAGGATCCTGCTCTGTGGAGCCACACAATACTGCCTTTGTGAACCCTGCCTCAGGGCATCTGCCCACAGAAACCTGCCCGCTCAGAGCTGCCTCTTGGGGAAAAGCAGCCTTCGGAAGAAGGGGAACAATGAACTTGTCATGTCGAGGAGCCAGCAGAGCCCGGGCCAGGGCTGGTACTGGGTGATTTAGGAGGCAGACTCTGGGGCCCTGTTAGCACTTCAGAAAGACATGGCATTAGGCTGGCAGGGATGGGAGCCTCTGGAATGTGTGGGAAGGGTGTGGTCTTCTGTGGCTCCAGGATCGAGTCCCCACCTACTTCTCTCATCCTGTGCCACCTTGTCCCTTGGCCCCACTCTCCAGCCCACAGTGGCGGCACTTCATCCTGCCTCAGGGCCTTGGTGCCTATAGGGCCTTTTCTTGAGATTTTAATCTTTCAAATATGCAGAAAATTACAGAACATAATTATCCATATACATCTGGGTGCCTATATCTGGGCAGATATGAACCTTTTGTCACTTTTGCTTCAGAATACTGCTTTTTAAATTATTTTTGTTCAAAATTCACAGTGTAGAAAAGGATATGCCACGTCCTCCCTCCATGGACCTGCAAGCACCTAGTCCCTCTCAGAGGCCTCTGATGCCATCGTTCTAGAGTGCGCTTTCTGAGATATTCTGTGCATACTTCCTCCCTCCCTCCCTCCCTCCCTTCCCTCCTTCCTTCCTCCCTCCCTCCCTCCCTCCCTTCCGTCCTTCCTTCCTCCCTCCCTCCCTCCCTCCCTTCCCTCCTTCCTTCCTTCCTTCCTTTCTTCCTTCCTTCCTTCCTTCCTTCCTTCCTTCCTTCCTTCCTCCCTCCCTCCCTCCCTCCCTCCCTCCCTCCCTCCTTCCTTCCTTCCTTCCTTCCTTCCTTCCTTCCTTCCTTCCTTCCGTCTTCCTTCCATCATCTATTTGTGTCAGTATGGACACGTGGTATTTATTTTGTACTTTGGGTTGTAATCTAAAAGTTTATAGGGACTTTTTTTTTTTTTTTTTTGAGACGGAGTCTTGCTCTGTTGCCCAGGCTGGAGTGCAGTGGCGCGATCTCTTCTCACTGCAAGCTCCGCCTCCCGGGTTTATGCCATTCTCCAGCCTCAGCCTCCCGAGTAGCTGGGACTACAGGTGCCCACCACCACGCCCAGTAAAATTTTTTTTTTTGTATTTTTAGTAGAGACAGGGTTTCACTGTGTTAGCCAGGATGGTCTCGATCTATAGGGACTTTTTAATATAGGGAGTAGATTAAGTCAGGGAAGGAACTGGTAGTTTGTTTTTTTAAAATTAAGGTAAAATTCACAGAATATAGAGTTAACCAATTTAAAGTGGACAATTCAGTGGGATTTAGTCCATTTATGGTGTTATGCAACTACTGCTTTCGCCTAGTACCAGGACGTTTTCATCATCCCATTAGGCAGTTACTACTCATTCTTCCTCTCCACCACCCCTTTCCCCCACAATCTGCTTTCTGTCTCTGTGAATTTGCCTATTCCAGATATTTCATGTAAATGAAACCATACAATATGTGACATTTTGTGTCTTATTTTCTTCACTTAGCATGATATTTTTGAGGTTCACCCATGTTGTAGCATGTCTCAAGCACTTTATTCCTTTTTATAGTTGAAGAATGTTCCGTTGTAGGTATATATCACAATTTGTTTATCCATTCATCCATTGCTGGACCATTGTTTCCCAATGTCTTTTGGCTGTTTTGTATAATGCTGCTATGAACATACATGTATTTGTTTGAGTAGCTGCAATTTTTTTTGGGTATATATCTAGGAGTGGAATTGCTGGGCCATATGGTATCATTTTGAAGAACTGCCATACCGCTTTCCAAAGTGGCTGCACTGGCTGGGTACGGTGGCTCACGCCTGTAATCCCAGCACTTTGGGAGACAGAGGTGGGCGGATCACTTGGGGACAGGAGTTTGAGATCAGCCTGGCCAATATGGTGAAGCCCTATCTCTACTAAAAAAAAATACAAAAAAAAAAAAAAAAAGAAAATTAGCTGGGTGTGGTGGCACATGCCTATAATCCCAGCTACTTGGGAAGCTGAGGCAGGAGAATCAATTGAAGCCAAGAGGCAGAGGCTGCAGTGAGCCGAGAGAGCCTGGGTGACAGAGCGAGACTTTGTCTCAAAAAAAGAAGAAAAAGTGGCTGCACCATTTTACATCCCCACCAGCAACATATGAAGTTTCCAATCTCCCTCACCCTTGTCAACACTTATTATCTTATTTATTTATTTTTTAAATTATAGTCATGCCAGGGGTGTGAAGTGGTATCTCATTGTGAATTTAAAAAAATATTCTTTAATTGACAAATAAAAATTGTACATATTTATGTGTACAATATGATGTTTTGAAATATGTATACATTGTAGCTCAGTTGGGCTAACTAGCATGTATTGTTATCTCGCATACTTATTTTTTCTGGCAAGAACACTTAAAATCTAGTCTTTTCACCATTTTCAAGTACATATACATTGTTATTAATTACAGTGCCATATTGTACAATAGATCTCTTGAACTTATTCCTCCCGTCTAACTGAAATTTTATATATTTTAACCAACACCGGCCACCTCTCCACCCCTCCCTGTGGATTTGACTTTTATTTCCCTATGCTTGTTGGCCATTTGTGTATCTTCTTTTGATAAATGTTTATTCAAATCCTTTGCCCATTTTTAATTGAGCTATTTGTCTTTCTGTTGTTGGATGCAAGAGTTCCTTATGTATCCTGGCTACTAGACCTTTATAAGATATGTGATTTGCAAATATTTTATCATATTCTGTAGGTTGTCTTTTCACTTTTTTGCTGCACAAAAGTTTTTAATTTGATGAAGTCCTACTTATCCATTTTTTCTTTTGCTGCTTGTACTTTTGGTGTCATATTTAAGATTTCATTTCTAAATTCGAGGACATGAGATTTACCCTTATGTTTTCTTTTAAGAGTTTTATGGTTTTAGCTCTTATATTTAAGTTGTTGATCCATTTTGAGTTAATTTATTTATATGGTGTGAGGTTGGGGTCCAAATTCATTTTTTAGCATGTGAATATCCCATAAAATAAACTTTAAAAAATTAAAAAAATTTGAAGCAATCTCAAAGTTGCAAGAATAGTACAAAAAATCTTTTTTTCTCATATCATTTGACAGCAGGTTGTCAACATGGTGCAACCTACCATTTTTTTTTAAAGAAGTTCTTTTTAAAAAAGTTTTACATGAAAATATTTCATCCTCTCCACACCTCCATCCCTCATTCCCCACCCTGCTTGGCCCAGGACATGCCTAACAGCAAGTCAGAGGCAGGTAGAAACTCAGGTTTAGTCTGCCTGAGATGCCTCAAACACTTTGGTCCATAGAGACAGTCAACAAATGACTCTGGTCTCCAGGAGCAGAAGGAGCCTGGTCATATCTGATCATGGCTGTAAATAGGAGTCTAGCACAGGTAGCAGGCCCTGCCGACAGAGGATCGGTGAATGCCAGCTCCCAAGGGTAGGCCCAATGTTGTGGGAGTGGGGCAGGGTGAGGGCAGGAAGAGCACAGTCTCTGTGTGTCACACTTACCCTCACCTGCTTGTCTGCCCTTACTCCTCAAGGTGGTCCTAGAAGAGGGGTTATCCCCTCAAAACCCCCTGCCTAGCCAGCCCTTGGCCTACAAGTTAGAGGAATGTGGTTGCTCTCTGCTTAACCTTGGCCTTGGACTTAATGGGCAATGGGCGGATCATGGCTGGGTCAGTAGGCTGGATGAATTTTTTCCAGCCACCAAGCCCATTGATGTCCTTACCACACCTTTGCTGTGACAGGGCTCTGGTCTGTCCCTCTTGGGCTGTTTCTGACCCAGGATGGCATTCGGATGAAAATAGTGAAGCCATCTGATACTTTAGTATCAGGCACCATTGAAACTTGAACGTGCATTTCTCACAATCAAGGTAGGTCTACAGAACCGTCGAAATCAGGACATGAGCATGGATTTGTCACTGCTGTCTAATCTTCAGACCCCATTCAAGGTCCTCCAGTTGTCCCTATAATGTGCTTTATAGCAAAAGACATGATTCAGAATCAGACAGCTGTCATGTCTCTTTACTTCCCTTCACTCTGGAACAGCTCCTCAGCCTTTCTTTGATTTCCATGAGCTTGATGCTTTTGAAGATTACAGGCTAGTGTTTTTGCAGTTTGCCTCCTGAGCTCAAACAATCCACCTATCTTGGCCTCCCAAAGTGCTGGGATTACAGGTGTGAGCCACCGCACCTGGCCTGTTTTTTTTTTTAATAGGCTTTATTTTTCAGGACAGTTTTTGGTTCACAGAAAAATTGAGTGGGAGTTACACAGATTTGCCATCTACCACCTCACCCTACATATACAGAGCCTCTCCACTATCAATGTTCCATGAAAGAGTGGTCCATTTTTTATAATTAGTGAACCACCCAAAGTCTATAGTTTACATTAGGATTCACTCTTGGTGCTGTACGTTCTATGGGTTTTGAAAAATGTACGATGACATGTATCCACCATTATAGTATCATATAGGATAGTTTCGCTTGTCCTAAAAATCCTCTGCGCCCTTCCTATTCATCCCTCCCCATCCATATTTTTGCCTTTTCTGGAATGTCATAGAATTGGAATTATAAGTATGTAGACCTTTCAGATTGGCTTCTTTCACTTAATAGTGTGCATTCAAATGTTCATAGCTTGGTAGTTTGTTTATAGTGCTGAATAATATTCCATTGTCTGGATGTGCCACAGTTTAGTTATTCATTCACCTACCGAAAGACAACTTGGTTGCTTCCAAGTTTTGGCAACAAAAATGTTATAAACATTGTGTGTAGGGTTTTTTGTGGACATGTTTTCAACTGATTTGGATAAATACCAAGGAACACGATTGCTTGATCATATGTTTAGTTTTTAGTATATTATGTTTAGTAAGAAACTGTTAAACTGTTTTCCAAAGTGGCTGTACCATTTGGCACTCCCATCAGCAATGAATGAGAGTTCCTGTTGGATTTTGGACATTCTAACAGGTATGTAGTGATATCTCATTTTTGTTTTAATTTGCAATTCCATAATGATATATGATATTGAGCATCTTTTCATATACTTATTTGCCATCTGTATATCATCTTTAGTGAAGGAAGGGTCTGTTCAGGTCTTTTGCCCATTTTTTAATCAGGTTGTTCATTTTCTTATTGTTGAATTTTATGAGTTATTTGTATTTTTTTCTTCCTGAGTTGGAGTCTTGCTATGTTGCCCAGGCTGGAGTGCAGTGGCTATTCACAGGAATGATCATAGCATACTACAGCCTTAAACTCCTAGCCTCAAGTAATTCTCCTGCCCCAGGCTCCTGAGTAGTTGGGACCACCGGTGTGTGCCATGGTGCCTGGCTGTATATTTTGGATAACAGTATTTTATTGGATATGACTTTTGCAAATACTTTCTCCCATTCTGTGGCTTGTTTTCTCATTCTCTTGGCAACGTTTTTCCCAGAGCAGATGGTTTTAATTTTAGTGAAGTCCAGCTTATGAATTATTTCTTTCATGGATTTTGCCTTTGATGTTGTATCTAAAATATCATTGCCTCACACAGGGCTAACTAGTTTTTCTCCTATATTATCTTCCAGGAATCTTATAATGTTGTGGTTTACATTTAGGTCTCTGATTCATTTTGAGTTAATTTTTGTGAAAGGTGTAAAGTCTGTGTCTAGATTCATTTTTTTCGTATGTGAATGTCCAGCTATTCTTACACCATTTTTAATCAACAAAATAGTTTCTGTTGATTAAAAAACTATTTTTGGTCCACTGTATTGCCCATGGTCCTTTGTCAAAGATCAGTTGACTATATTTATGTGGGTCTATTTCTGGATTATCTATTATGCTCTATTGATCTATTTGCTTCCCCTTTTGCCAGTGCAACACTGTCTTGATTACTGTAGCTCTATAGTGAGTATTGAAGTTGAATAGTGTTAGTCCTCTAACTTTGCTCTCTTTCATTGTTGTGTTGGGTATTCTGGGTTATATGCCACTCCATATAAAATCAGTTTGTCACTATCTACAAAATAATTGTCAGGATTTTGATTGAGATTGTATTGAATCTATAGATCAAGTTGAGAACTGGCATCTCTCCAGTTCATATTCCATGAACATGGACTATCTCTCCATTTATTTAGTTTTTGATTTAATTCATCAGAGTTTTGTAGTTTTCCTTATATAGATCTTGTACTTATATTTTGTTAGATTTATAATTAGGTATTTCATTTTTGGGGTGCTAATGGCATTTTTTTGTTTCGTTGTTTTGTTTTTTGAGATGGAGTCTCGCTCTGTCTCCCAGGCTGGAGTGCAGGGGTATGATCTTGGCTCACTGCAGCCTCTGCCTCCGGAGCTCAAGTGATTCTCCTGCCTCAGACTCTCAAGTAACTTGGATTACAGGTGCCCACCACCACGCCCAGCTAATTTTTGTATTTTTAGTAGAGATGGGGTTTCACTATGTCGGCCAGGCTGGTTTTGAACTTCTGACCTCAAATGATCCACCCACCTTGGCATCCCAAAGTGCTGGGATTACAGGAGTGGGCCACTGTGCCTGGCCGGTATTGTGTTTCTAATGTCACATTCCACTTGTTCATTGCTGGTACGTAGGAAAGTGATTGACTTTTGTATATTAACCTTGTATTCTGTGGCATTGCTGTAATTGCTATTCATTCCAGAAGTTTCTTTTTTCTTGATTCTTTCAGATTTTCTACATAGATATTCCTGTCATCTGTGAACAAAGACAGTTTTATTTCTTCCATCCCAACCTGTATGTCTTTTCTTTTCTTATTGCATTAGCTAGGACTTCCAGTATGTTGAAAAGGAGTTGTGTGAAGGGACATCCTTGCCTTTTTCCTGATCTTAGAAAAGCTTCTAGTTTCTCACCATTAAGTATGATGTTATCTATAGCCTCACGGCCTTTTGGCTAAGATCAAGTGAAGTATGATGTTACCTGTGGGTTTATTTGGTAGATGCTTTTTGTGAAGTTGAGGCAGTTCCTCTCTATTCCTAGTTTGCTGAGAGTTTTTACTTATTTTTTTAAATCATGAATTGGTATTGGATTTTGTCTAATGCTTTTTCTGCATCTATTGATATGATCATGTGATTTTTCTTCTTTAGCCTGTTGATGTGATGGATTACATTTAAATTATTATATTATTTTTAAGACTCAAATCGTCCCTGATTTAGCCAGTGGGAGCCCTTTTAGGCTGCTTTCTGTCATTTTGAAAGGACAGTGCTTCCTTTCTTTCTGGTACAACAAGATGTTCCAGGCCCATCTTGTACTTTCCATGCCCTAGCCCTGGAACAAACCAATTCTCTAAGGATGTGTGGTTCTTTTCAGGAAAGAATGTATTTAGAAACCAAGATCTGGGCACTAGGTGTGCTGGTTGCTATTGTGGGTGGGGGTGGTGGCAGCTGCTCCCAGGTATCTCATTACTTTTCTATTTATTTCACCCTACTGAGGGCTGACCTCCTGTACACATGTCTTCCTCACTATGCTTGGGTCCTGATGCTTTGCCCCTGAGAAAAAGCAAGCATTTCCATTCGATGTGTTAGATTTGGGATGCTGATTAGACATCCAAGTGTGGAAGTTGAGCAGGCTGCTAGAGCTAACAGGGGAGGTTCGGTTAGAGATAATCAATGTGAGGGTCTTCGGTGGACAGGTGACATTTAAAGCTGTGGATTGGGTGAGTTCCTAGAAGCCTAAGAGATGAACCTTGGGGTACTTGAGAGTTAGAAGAGGAGTCAGCCAAGTGTCCTGAGTATGTCAGTTTCCTCATCTGTAAAATGAGTATAATACCTCTCTCATTGGATTGTAAGGATTAATGAGTTGACACATAGTAAAGGCCTTAATGGGGACCTTTCCATCCTCCCCCAACTTGTGGTCTGCCCTTTCCATTGTCCCCACCAGACTGTCCGATCTCTCCTACTTGCTTGTCTCTCCCAATTTTCCTCATCTCTGCTTTCCAACACACTCAGTAAAGGGTACACGGGGCCCATCTTCCCTCCTTTCAGTGAAAACTGACTTGGAAAACCTCCCTCAATGAATTAACATTGACTCCTCTCTTCCTCCCCATCACTCACCACCTTTTGTAAGAAAACAACTTTACCATTACATTTGAGGTCCTTTGTGTGCCTCCTTTTCAATCTTATCCCCTAACCTTCCCACCTCAGAGGTATTTTAACTGTATGACTATATTTCTGAGAATAAATATTGTCTAGTTTTTGCATTTTTGAAGTTCATAAGCATATAATCTTATATTCTTCCACGACTTGCTTTTAATAGTCAGCATTTTGTTTCTGAGATACATCCATGTTGCTGTACATAGTTGTAATTCATTATTTATTTTCTCTGTCATATTATCTCACATTCTACATGTATTTATTTATGCTCCCCATTTGTTTTATGCATTCTCTAGTTGGTTGACTTTCTGATTGTTTCCAGTTTTTGCTGTTACAAACAGTGCTACTATGAGCATTTTGTCTACATTTTCTAGTGCGTGTGTACAGAATTTCTCCAGAGTAGGTACCTAGGAGGGGAAGAGAAGGTACATTGTCAGCTTTTCCATATAACATAAAATTGTTTTCTAAGGGGCTTGATTCAATTTACACTCCCACCAGCAGTATATATATTCCCTGTAAGATCAGAATCAAGCACTATGACCGACTTTGTTCAACAATGTACTGTTCCACGATCCTTGATTATACTCAATATGATTAGACTTTGTGATTCTGCAAATGTGGTAACACATTACAGTTTTAATTTGCATTTTCTGAATACTAATGAGGTTGGATGTCTTTACATGTCTATTAGTTATTTGGGTTTTCTCTTCTGTGAACTGCTTGCTTTAAGTCTTCTATTAGATTGTTTTATTTTTTACTTCTTGGTTTATAAGAGTTCTATATCAGATGTTAATCTGATTACGGGTGGTAAATGTCTTTCCCCAGTTTGTGGCTTGTTTGCTCATTTTGTTTATAATGCATTTTGATAAAAGAAATTCACATTTTATGCGGTATATATATATACGATGGAATACTACTCAGCCATAAAAAGGAATGAATTAATGGCATTTGCAGCAACCTGGATGAGATTGGAGACTATTATTTTAAGTGAAGTAACTCAGGAATGGAAAACCAAACATTGCATGTTCTCACTCATAAGTAAGAGCTAAGCTATGAGGATGCAAAGGCATAAGAATGACACAGTGGACTTTGGGGACTTAGGGGGAAAGGGTGGGAATGGGGTGAGAGATAAAAGACTAAAAACTGGGTGCAATGTATACTGCTTGCGTGATAGGTGCACCAAAATCTCACAAATCACCACTGAAAACTTACTCATGTAAGCAAACACCACCTGTTCCCCAATAACCTATGGAAATAAAAATTTTTTAAAAAAGGAGTTCACATTTTAATGAATCAATTTTATCATTCTTTTCATTTGTGGTAAGTTCTTTTATCTCTTGTTTAAGAAGTCCTTCTCCTACCCCAAAGTCATAAAAAATTATTCTCTTTTGTCTACTAAAAAGTTTTTTAAGTCCTTAATCTACCTTTGACTCATTTCAGTGTATGGTGTGAGGTAAGGATCTAATGTCACCTCTTTCCCCTACATATAACCAATTGTCTTGCAGCCATCTTTGAGGAACCCATCCTTTTCTCATTTATCTTTAATGCCAAGTTGGTCATAACTTTTTTTGTTTGTTTGTTTTTTGAGACAGAGTCTCGCTCTGTCACCCAGGCTGAAGTGCAGTGGTGTGATCTCGGCTCACTGCAACCTCTGCGTCCCAGGTTCAAATGATTCTCCTGCCTCAGCCTCCTGAGTAGCTGGGATTACAGGTGCCTGCCACCATGCCCGGCTAATTTTTGTATTTTTAGTAGAGACAGGGTTTTGCCATGTTGGCCAGGGTGGTCTGGAACTCCTGACCTCAGGTAATCTGCCCGCCTTGGCTTCCCCAAGTGCTGGGATTACAGGCGTGAGCCACCGTGCCCAGCCAGGTCATAACTCTTATGTTGATATATTTCTCTTTCTAGCCTCTATTCTTTCTATTGATCAATTTTTCTATCCCATGACAGTATTTCATTGTCTTAATAATTAACAGCTTTAAAATAATCTTTGATATTTTTAAAGACAAATCCCATTTTGTTTCTCTTTTGAAGTATTTTTGTGTTTTGTACTGTGGCATATATTGTACAATTAGGCTGAATGTTCTACAAAATAAATACTGCTTGGGGTTTTATTGGAATTGAATGGAATTAAACTGAATTTATAGAGCAGTGGAGGGAAAACTGTTGTGTTTATTTTGTTGTGTCTTTTGATTGATGGTATCTTTCTGCATTTATTTAAAGAGAGATGTTTATTTTCGCTACAAAGGCCTTGCACAATTTTTGTTTGATTTGATCCTGGGTACTTTATATTTTTTTGATGTTACTGCAAATTTTGTTTATACTACATTGTATTTTTAAACTGTCATTTTCAAATTTTATTGCTGGTGTTTAGAAATGCAATGGATTCCTGGAGCTAAACTACTTGGAGACGACCTGCTTCTGGGTCGGGGTTTTGTACTTAGCAGAGCAGCTCCCTCGCTGCAATCTATTGAAAGTCAGCTTTCGACACAAGGGTTTGTAGATTAAAATAATGACAAGAAAATATTTACAATTTTTTTTTTTTTAAAGATTAAAATACAAAAGTTAAAACAGGCTGGGGGCGGTGGCTCACACCTGTAATCCCAGCACTTTGGGAGGTGGAGGCAGGGGGATCACTTGAGGTCAGGAGTTCGAGACCAGCCTGGCCAACCTGGTGAAACCCCGTCTCTACTAAAAACATAAAAATTAGCTGGGCTTGGTGGTGGGCCCCTGTAGTTCCAGCTGCTCAGGCGGCTGAGGCAGGAGAATCGCCTGAACCTGGGAGGCGGAGGTTGCAGTGGGCCGAGATCGCACCACTGCACTCCAGCCTGGGCGACAGTGAGACTGTCTCAAAAAAAACTAACAAAAAAAACGAAACAAATAACAAAAAAAGTTAAAACAAGAAATTTTAAAAAAGAAATGCAATGGATTCCTATAGACTTATTCTGTATTCTGTAATCATTCTTCATATTTTTATTAATTCTAATAATTTGTGTGTAAATTTTGTTTCTATACATAATAATGGCATTATTTTTCTTCGTTTTTCATGTATATACCTCTTGTTTGTAAGTATTCTGTAGCTACATTAGCTAGGAACTTCAGTATAGTGAGAAGTAGAGCCATTGATAGGGTCTCCATAATGAGACCCCTAACCAGCTCATGATCTTAAAGAGAATGCTTTCAGTGTTCATAATTGAGTATGATGTTTGATTAAGGTAGATTTATTTCTTCTCTTTCTCTCAGGTACCCTTCAACAAGTTAAGAGATTTCCTTTTTACTTTTTTTTCTCAAATGCTTTCAGCAGAATCACCCTTTTACTTCTACTTTGCAAACTTTTATTTTTGTTATCATGAATGGGTATTGAATTATACCAAATGATTTTTCTGTGTAACTGAAATGATCACATCATTTTTCTTCTTCTTCGTCTTTTGTTTTTTTTTTTGAAACAGGGTCTTACTCTGTCGCCCAGGCTGGAGTGCAGTGGTGCAATCTCAGCTCACTGGAGCCTTGACTTCCTCCTCCTGGGCTCAAGAAATCCTCCTACCTCAGACTCCCAAGTAAATGGGATCACAAGCACGCACCACCATGGCCTGGCTAAGTTTTGTATTTTTTGTAGAGACTGTGTTTCACCATGTTGCCCAGGAACTCCTGGACTCAAGGGATCCGCCCGCCTCAGCCTCCCAAAGTGCTGAGATTATAGGCATGAGCCACAATTCCTGGCCTATTTTTCTTTTTTTTGAGATGGAATTTTGCTCTTGTTACCCAGGCTGGAGTGCAATGGCACAATCTTGGCTCACTGCAACCTCCGCCTCCCGGGTTGAAGTGATTCTCCTGCCTCGGCTTCCTGAGTAGCTGGGATTATAGGCACCCATCACCATGCCTGGCTAATTTTTTTGTATTTTTAGTAGAGATGGGGTTTCACTGTGTTGACCAGGCTGGCCTCGAACTCCTGACTTCGTGATCCGCCTACCTCGACCTCTCAAAGTGTTGGGATTACAGGCGTGAGCCACTTCGCCCAGACTATTTTTCTTCTTTAATTTGTTAATGTGGTGAAGTATATTAAGTGGTTTTGTAATGATAAGCCAATCTTGGGTTCTGAAATAATAACCACAACTTGGTTATGGTGTATTTATTACCCTTTTTGTTACCTATTGCTAGGGTTGGTTTTCTAGTATTTTACTTAGAATTTTTGCATCTATGTTCATGAGTGAGATTGGGGTTGGTTTTCTAGTATTTTACTTAGGATTTTTACATCTATGTTCGTGAGTGAGCTTGGCATGTAATTTTTCTTCATCATACTGCCCTTAATAGGTTTTAGAATCAAGGTTAAGCATAATGAAATGAGCTGGGGAGTGTTCTGTCTTTTCTATGATTCTGAAATAGTTTGTGTGAATTTGGAAATATTTACTCCCAGTTTTTTTGGATAAAATCATCTTTGTTGATCTTTTCTTTGTGAGGTTTATATGGAAGCAAAAATTTTAAATAGTTTTAGGGTTATTCAGAGTTTCTATTTCTTCCTGAGTCAGTTTTGGTAATTTATACTTCTTCCTTGGAATTCGTCTAATTTGTCTAAGCATTCAAATTGTTTGTAATATCTGCTCCTTATCTTTTCATTCTCCATAGCATCTGCAGTTATGACCTCTTTTTCATTTCTATTATTATTTGAATTTTCAGTTTTAAAAATCAGTTTTGTCAGAACATCTTTCAGTTTTGTTAATCTTGTCTCTTTCAGCATAAATTCTGACACAACATATTTTGAAAAGTTTGAAACCTATCAAAAGTTGCAAGACTTATTCATTATTTACGTAGATTCACCAAATGTTAACATTTTGCTACATCTATGCCCACTTTCTCTCTCTTCTCTTTTTTTTCTCTCTCTCCTCTTTCTCTCTTCTCTCTCCCTCTGCCCTCTCTCTTTCTCTCATTGATTTCAGAGTTATTTTAGGGTAAGTTAGAGATCTCATGACACTCTACCCAGAAACAATTAATCATATATTTCCTAAAAGAAAAGACATTCTCCTACATAACACAATACGATGATCACACGTGGGAACTTTAACATTGGTAAAATACTATGATCTAATATATAGTCCAAAATCAAATTTCTCCAGTGTCAAAATAATGAACTTTATAGCTGTTTTATCTCTTTTAATCCAGGATTTAATCAGGTATTGCATATTGCATTCAACTGTCATGCTTCTTTGCTCTCCTTTAATCTACAACAGGTTACCAGCCTTTTTTTTTTTTAAGTCTTTTATAACATTGGCATTTTTGAAAGGTTCAGAACAGTTAACAGAATGTCCCTCTATAGACAGAAAAATGGACTTGCAAAGATATCCATGCCCTAATCTCAGGAACCTGTGGTTATGTTACCTTATATGGCAAAAGAGACTTTGGAGATGTGATTAAGGGCCCTTGAGATAGTAAGAGAATTCTAGATTATCAAGGTGGGCTCCATCTAATCACATGGGTCCTTCAAAGTAGAGAACCTTTATGGGCTGGGTCAGAGAGATGAGGTGGAAGGAGGAGAGATTCAAAGCGTGAGAGGGACTCAACCTGCTGTTGCTGGCTTTGAAGATGGAAGAGGGGATGTGAGCCAAGAAATGGAGGTGGCCCCTTGAAGCTGGAAATGGCCCTAAGCTGACAGCCAGTAAGGAAATGGGGATTTCAGTCTTGCAACCACAAGGAGCTGATTTCCGCCAATAACCAGAATGAGGAAGAAAACGGATCCTCCCCTAGGGCCCACAGAAAGGCATACAGCCCTGCTGACACCTTGACTTTAGCCTGGTGAGATCCATCTCAGACTACTGACCTACAGAACTGTAAAATAATACATTCATGTTGTTTTCATCCACTAAATTTGCGGTAATTTGTTAAAGCAGCAATAGAAAATTAATGCATCCTTAAATTCGAATTTGTCTGATTGCTTCTTCATGATTTAGATTCAGGTTTATTGGTTTTTTTCAACTAATTCGTTTTTAGATATATTAATCATCTAAAATGTATGTTCTCGATTTCATTAATTTCTACTCTATCATTTCCTTCATTCCACTTTCTTTGGAGTTATTTAAGTAGATATTTAACTCAGTTTTCATCCTTCATTCTTTGTGATATAACCACGTAAGGCTATACATTTTCTTCTAAGTGTTGCTATAGCTCATCCTACAAGTTTTTTTGTTTTTGTTTTTTTCTTTTTTTCCCTTTTTGTGGAGAACCAGGTCTCGCTATATTGCCCAGGCAGGACTCGAACTTCTGGGCTCAAGCTATGCCCTCGCCTCTATCTCCCTAAGAGCTGGGATTACTGGTGTGAGCCACTGTGCCTGGCCTGCATCTTACAAGTTTTTTATATATTTTCATTCTAAATATCTTTTAATTTCTACTCTGATTTTGTTTTTGGTCCAGGAGTCAATTAGAAATTTTTTTTATTATAAATTAGGAAACATATGGAGCTTCTCCAGTTAGTTTTTTTTTTTTTTTTTTTCAAGACGGAGTCTCTCTCTGTCACCCAGGCTGGAGTGCAGTGGCATGACCTTGGCTCACTGCAACCTCCGCCTCCCGGGTTCAAGCGATTCTCTTGTCTCAGCATCCCGAGAAGCTGGGACTACAGGCACCCCCCACCACACCCAGCTAATTTTTTGTATTTTTAGTAGAGACGGGGTTTCACTGTGTTAGCCGGGATGGTCTCGATCTCCTGACCCCGTGATTTGCCCACCTCCCAAAGTGCTGGGATTACAGGCGTGAGCCACTGCGCCCGGCCTTCAGTTAGGTTTTTGTCATTGATTTTCTAATTCATTTGTACTGTGCTTAGAGAATCTGATCTGCATGACACCAAATCTTTGAAATATTTATGAAAATTGTTTCATTTATGCTTGAAAGTATGCTGAGTGCAATAGTCTATATACATATTCATCACATCAAGCTTCTTAATTATTTCAGTCAAATTTTTTACATGCTTAACTGATTACTTTTGGTTTGTGTTTTTAGTTTTTCAATTACTGAAAAAAATGTGTTAAAATCTCTACTATGATGGTGGATTTGTCAATTTCTGTCAAATTTCCCCTAAATGTTTTTAGGTTATATTATCACTTGCATATAGGTTTAGAATTATTATATCTTCCTGGTAAAATGAACCTTTTATTATTAGTTAGTGACCTTCTCTATCCTTAAAGACACCTTTTGTGTTAAATTAATTGATGTTAATATAACTACCCAATCTTTTCTCATCTTGTTAGTATTTGCCTAGAGTATATTTTTCTATTCTTTCCCTTTTAGCCTTTCCGGGTATTTATGTTTTCATTGTCACTCTCATAAATGGTACTTACCTCGTTTTTAAAAAACCTACCCTGATAACTGAGATTTTAGGTAGTCTACAATTTATTTGTATTTTTTTCTTTGTATTTTGCTGCTTCTGTTTTTTTCCTACTGCCTTTTCTAGCCATTTTGGGGAGAGTGATTATTTTTCTAATTCCATCATAATTATTGCCTTAAAAGTTATATACTTTACTGTAGTTCTTTTAGTCATTATTCTATACTCACTTACTTAATCAGATTCTAAAATTAATCACCATTATCCTCTCCCCACAAATACAAGCATCTTCTAAAACTCCATCATCCCTCTTCCATTCTATTGTTGTCATGTATTTAAATTCCACTTTTTAAAAATTTTATTTTAATAGACAGGGTCTCACTCTGTCACCCAGGCTAGAGTGCAGTGGTGTAATCATGGTTCACTGCGGCCTCTATCTCCTGGGCTCAAGCAATCCTCCTGCCTCAGCCTCCTGAGTAGCTGGGATCACAGGCATGCCCCACTATGCCTGGCTAATTTTTTAAAAAGTTTTTTTTTGCAGAGGCGGGGGTCTCTCTGTGTTGCTTCTGGTTATGAACTCCTGGGCTCAAGTGATTCTCCTGCCTTGGCCTCCTAAAGTGTTGGGATTATAGGTGTGAGCTGCTGTGCCTGGCCACCACCTTGGGTTTTTAATCCTTATAATATTAATGGTTTGGTCAATCTATTGCTTGGATCTACTTACATAGTCACCATCTTCCTTGCTGTCTGTTCTTTTTGCATCTTTGACTTCCATCTGGGATCACTTTTCTCCTGCTGAAGGAGTACTTCAGCATTAAAAAAAAATGGCGGGGGAGATCTGTTTATGGCAGACTTGGCTCAGTTTTTATTTGTTTGAAAATGTCTTTGTTTCAGTCCCATTTAAAAATCTATTTTCTCTAGCTATAGAATACTAGTTATGTTTTTTCCAACATATTGAAGACATTATTCCACTGTGTTTTGGCAACTCTTATTGCTGTTGAGAAGTCAGCTGTTAATCTAATTGTCATTGACTTAGAGGCCATCTGTCTCATCTCCTTGGCTGCTTTTATAAATTTCTCTTTTTTCTTTGGTGTTTTGCAGCTTTACTGTGCTATGTCTAGGTGTTAGAGTTACCAGAAAAAATACAGAATGCTCAGCTAACTTTGAATTTCAGACAAACAACAAATACATTTTTAGTATCAGTATGTTCTAGTTATTGCATAAGGCATATTTATACTAAGAAACATTCTTCATTGCTTATCTGAAATTCAGATTTAACTGGGAGTTTTGTATTTTTATTTGCTAAATATCATAACCCTATTAGGTATTGATTTCTGATTATTTATCTGCTTGGGCTTTTTTTTGGATTCTTAAATGTGTGGCTATTTACTTTCATTATTTATGCAATATTTATGAAATTCATGAACATTTCTAGAGATGCTGGGTGATTTTGTGACCATTGTCTCTTCAAATATTGCCTCCGCCCCATTCTTTTTCTCCTTTCCTTTTGTAATCATGATTAGGTATATGTAACAACTTTTCACACTATTCTCCATGTATCTTACTCTCTCTTCTTTATTTTCTACTTCTGTGATTTCTGTGTTTCATTCTTCTTCAACTGTGTCTAATTTACTGTTAAACTAATCTACCGAGTTATAAATTTCAGTCATTCTGTTTTTTCATTTCTAGAAGTTCTTTTTAAAAAATCTATGAAGTCACTTTTCTAGATGCTCACTGTTTTTTTATTTTGCGTTTTTGAGATGGAGTCATACTCTGTTGCCCAGGCTGGAGTGCAGTGGCACTTGGCTCACTGCAGCCTCAACCTCTTGGGTTCAAGCGATTCTCCTGCCTCAGCCTCCAAAGTAGCTGGGATTACAGGTGCCTACCACCATGCCCAGCTAATTTTTGTATTTTTTAGTAGAGACGGGGTTTTACCACATTGGCCAGGCTGGTCTCGAACTCCTGACTTCAAGTGATCTGCCTGTCTCAGCCTCCCAAAGTGCTGGGATTACAGGCGTGAGCCACTGCACCCAGCCAATGCCCACTCTTTACTCATAATTGCGAATACCCTTTGAAAACATCATTAAACATGTTGAAATCTTTTAAAATCCTATGTCTAATGATTCCAGTGTTTGAGGTCTTCATGGGTCTAAATCTACTACCTGTTGTTTCTGCTGATTCCTGGTTACCTTGTGTGTTATGGAATTGTGACAGTGGGTTCATCTATCGGAATGTTATCTCTGGGCAATCTTTGAGACTGTGTTGAAGGTGGATTCCTACAGGGGATTTGCATTGACTTCTGCCAGAAGCCTGTGGTCGTTACCAATTTGAGACCACTTTAAATTAATTCTTGGTTTGGTATTTTTGGACCACCCAAGTAGAGTGAATTCAGGCTGTAAATCCTCTTATTGGGATTGGCTTGTAGCTACAAATTCTAAGGGAGAGGTTTCCCCTCTACGATCATTGCCAAGGCTCAGTATAAGCAATTTGCCTTGTAGTCCCTAGGGAGTACAGAGTAGGGTGGTTTCGTTCTAGTTCACCTTGACACCAATGTATAACTTTTTGGGGTCTTGGTTTTCTGCAGAGGGGATTTTCTGTTGCAGTCCTCACCTTGGGTGGGCTCTGGGCTTTGTCTCCGATCTCCACTCCACGTAGCTTAAGGGCATCATTAACATCTCTGAGTTCCAGTCTTCACTTAGTTTTTGGTTCTGAATATGCCTTATGTTTTTGAGAATTAATTGATGCAATTAAAGCTTTTTTTCCCTTCTAGCTGGCATATTTGGTTGTTTCTGGTGGGAGTGTCTAAAGAATATCTAGTACACCATCCTGCTGGAAATAAGACCTCCTTTTCTCCTGCTAGTAATTCTTTAGTGAAAACCTGTAAGATCAGCTTCTGAGTGTTCTTAATTTGTTTTTGGAATCCAAGTAGAGGACACTGTAAGATATGTCAATCACAGCAGTGAATCTTTAATTTGGGCTAGCAAATTCATTCATTCATCAAATTTTATCAAGCCTCTGTTAAAGGCCAGGCTTTTTGTTGGGTCCTGGGGATTCAGGATGGACAAGGCAGACTCAACTCCTATCTGCCCTCCTGAGGCTCACAGTCTAATGACTTGAATTTACAGTACAGTGCTAAGCACTTTACATCCTTGTTTAATTTAATCCTCATTACAGCCCTATGGGTTAGGTACAATCCTTTATAGATTAGGAAGAGAAGGCACAGAAAGACTATGTAAATTACCCACGATCAGACAACTTGCAAGAGGCAGATCAGGAACTCAAACTCACATTGCTCTGCTCTACAGTCTTTGTCCTTAACAGTTATGCTCTTGGTTGTGCCAAGAGAGGGCACTGTTGAGTATGCCAGGAAGAGAGGGTGCTTTCTTTTTTATATGTGTGAAGGAATTTGCCTGTAGAAGCCATTGTTAATTTTCTTAGGATAAATTTCAGTGACATGTCAGGCCAACACACCATCAGAGTGTAGAGCTCCAAGGTACAGGACTGAGGCAGATGACGGCTCATTTTCCAGAAGTCAGTAGCTATTTGCATGACACCATAACAACATTCCTAGATACTTGCCTGTGCTCATGGAAGACAACCAGGAAGGAGGACTCAGTAGCATCCAGAGCAGTACCGTGGGGTCATGGTGCTGTCGTTGCTGCTTACTTCTAGAATATGCAACCTGCAGAGCAAGTGTCAGAAGCCAACCCTGTCCTTGAATATGAGGCTAGCTGGTTTCCTGGATGAAAAATCAGGAGATCTTGGTGGCAAGGTCCTTCCCCTCAGTAGAACTCCGTTTCCTCATATATATAACAAGGACATTGGACTCTATGTTCTCTAAAGGACGCTTCCGCCTCTGACACTCTGTGCTTCTGTGATTTTGTGTGATGCCAAGAGAGGGACCATTTTCTATTCTGTGTCCAGGGAACAGCAGGGAGTAGAAAGTTAGGGAGCAGGAGCCCTAGCTTTTCCTGCCCCCAAGCACTGTCCCAGTTTGGCTACAGTGAAGTGAAATAGTGCCACATGTCCCAATCTTGCAATTCCTGGAATTCCTACAACTCCTTCCCAAACCAGCCTCAATGACATCTCTTCTAGAGGTCCTCCTTGATCCTCCCGTTTTGGGATTCCTAGAACACTTTGGCCAGATTTCTTCCGTAACACCTGTCTTTCCTTTCTTGCTAGACTGTTGAGCTTCTTGAGGGTCAGGTCTGGGTCTCTTGCACCCCCACACCCCCCACAGCATCCAGAGCAATGCCAGGTAAGTGCATGAACGCAAGAAGATCCAGCTTTTTTTTCCCAAACAAGTCTATGGGTAGGCCCAGATTTAAAAATAGGTAGCTCTTCTATATTCTATATATATATATATATATATATATATATATATATATATATATATATTAAACACATTTTATATAGCACAAAAACATAAAATAGTATTTCTATGGATTATAAATGTTCATGGTGGAAATTTAATAAATGTTAAAAAAAATGTAATGATGAAAATAACCATCCCCATGCACCCCCTCTCCCATCCTCTGATCACCCAGGGAATGCCATTGCTAATGTTTTGTTGGATTTCATTCCAGTCTTTTTTCTACATATAACAGTCCTGGCCACTTACTACATATAGAGTTTGCTTCTCTGTGCTTATTACTCAGGAGTTGGGAGCCTTTTCTCATAGCCTTAAATGTTCTTTGAGAACATGATATTTAATGGCTGTCGGGTGTTTCACACCTATTAAGGTCGGAGCTGTGAAGAGCTCAGCTGCCCAGAGGACCTGAGCTCAGTAGTGAGAGGCTTGTGGTGTCCTTGGAGGCTGGAAATAGACCATCTCCATCACCTCTGCTCTCAGAACTCCCACTCTGTTCTCAGGAACTGTGCGGTATCTCCTCTAACCCTCCTAAACGACGACAAGGAAGGCTCTACAGAGACAGAGCCTCTGGAAGGCTCAGAGAGACGAAGTGACTCACTGGAAGTGGCCAGCACACACAGTAGAGGAAGATGCCTATTCCCAAGCCTCCTGCAGTTATTTATTTATTTATTTATTTATTTATTTATTTATTTATTTATTAAGACGGAGTCTTGCTCTGTCGCCAGGCTGGAGTGCAATGACGTGATATTGGCTCACTGCAACCTCCGCCTCCCGGGTTCAAGCAATTCTCCCTGCCTCAGCCTCCTGAGTAGCTGGGATTACAGACATGTGCCACCACGCCCAGCTAATTTTTGTATTTTTAGTAGAGACGGGGTTTCACCATATTGGCCAGGCTGGTCTCGATCTCTTGACCTCAGGTGATCTGCCTGCCTCGGCCTCCAAAAGTGCTGAGATTACAGGCGTGAGCCACCGCGCCCGGCCCTGCAGTTATTTT
The DNA here is from genome assembly GCF_000001405.40 of Homo sapiens. NCBI lineage: Eukaryota > Metazoa > Chordata > Mammalia > Primates > Hominidae > Homo > Homo sapiens. Next base: position 25,146,849 of record NC_000001.11, on the reverse strand, counting down.
TCACGTTGTTGTTGGCAGTCGAGGTTGCTGCTGGACACACTGAAAAAGAGAAAATAGTAACGTCTGGAGCAGGACCCTGTGGTTGGGCTGCTGGTGGGAGGCAGCCGGACCTCCTGGGAGGGAGAGTTGGAACCTCGCTCAGTTTGGTGGTGCTTCGGCTTCCCGGACCTCGAACTCCTGGGGCCCGTCCGCCTCCCTGCTCTGGCTTCAGACGCTGGCTGGAATGCTGCTCAGCACATTAGCTGTGAAGTTAACTGGCTCCGGATCACAAGTTCACTGGCTCCGGATCACAAGTTCACTGGCTCCGGATCACAAGTTCACCACTCTCTGTTCAGGGTGGCAAAAGGAACCTCGTCTGGTGGCCAGAGCCAAGGGAGGGAGAGAGTGGGAGGCTGTGGGGCCCCTGAGCAGTAAAGCATCTTCTCTGATGACTCCTCTCCCTTACATAGTCTTCAGTGATTCCTTAGCATGGAGAAGAGGCTGAGTTGGCTAATTATGAAGGGGGAAGGAAAAAAGACAACAAAACCCCCAGCTACCCTGTAACATAAAACGCTGCCTCCTCAAGACCTTTGTCATATTGTTCTCGCTCCAGAAACTTGGGGTTTCTCACCCTTGTGATATCTGTGCCTGGGCGTGCACCATTTGTCACTCTCAAAAACTGGCCCAGGAACACTTGGTGAGGGGTTATTGTGCTGCAGGAACGGCTCTTACATGAATAGGCATTCCTTTCCACCCACATGCTTGAAAACTGGTTATAATTAGAACCATTTCTACCTGTTCTGACACTTACAGCGGGAGTGTTCGTAGGGGTCCTGCCCAGAGCCCTGACCAAGCTGCGGAAGGCAGAGCCAGAAAGTGGGTTCTAATCCCACCCTCGGCCACTGTGGCTATTAGCTATGCTTCACTAAGAGTCCTACGGTTGGAAGTCCTTGGACCGTGAAGGAGAGAGCTGCACCTCCGCCTCGCGCCACCCCTGTCACATCCTGATTCTGTCTCTCGGGCCTTTCTCTCTCCTTCTGCCGGGAAGCCTGGGAGGGAACAGTTCTAGCCTGAATCCACAAGACGTTCGAATTTTGATATATTTTCACATAAAAATGTCAACTTTTTAGTGGAAGGAGCTTTAGAAATAATTTCATTGTGTGGTTTTCAACTCTTGGGGAGACTTAAAAAAAAAAAACCACGTATCTGGGCCCCACCCCAGTCTCCCAACGCAAGTGGTATTTTGAAAGGGCTCTCAGGTGGGTTTTCCTTTTTAATTAAACTTCTAATTTTGAAACAATTGTAAATTCACATGTAGTTGTAAGAAATAATACAGAAAAATCCTTTGTTCTCTTTGCCTCGTTTCTACCAATGGTAACATCTTGCAAAACTATAGTAGGGTATTGGCTGGCCGGTGTGGCTTACTCCCGTAATCCCTGAACTTTGAGAGGCTGAGGTGGGTGAATCCCATATATATATGTATACACACACATATATATATGTATATATATATATATACACACACACACACACATATATATATATATAGAGAGAGACAGATATATATATATATATATAGAGAGAGAGAGAGAGAGAGAGAGAGACAGAGAGAGAGAGCTCACACCTGCAATCCCAGCACTTTGGGAGGCTGAGGTGGGCGGATCACAAGGTCAGGAGATTGAGACCATCCTGGCTAACATGATGAAATCCCATCTCTACTTAAAAAAAAATACAAAAAATTAGCTGGGCGTGGTGGCACACACCTGTAATCCCAGCTACTTGGGAGGCTGAGGCAGGAGAATCACCTGAACCCAGGAGGCAGAGGTTGCAGTGAGCCAATATCGCGCCACTGCACTCCAGCCTTGGGTGACAGAGTGAGACTGTCTCAAAAAAAAAAATCTATCTATCTATCTATCTATCTATCTATCTATCTATCTATCTATCATCTATCATCTATCTATCTACCTCTTGATCGTAGGCATCAGAACAAGGATGCTGCCGTTGATACAGTCAAGATACAGAACAGTCTCATCTCCACAAAGATCCCTCATGCACTGACTTCCCTCTGCCCCCACTCCTCCTTTACTCCTGGCAACCCCTAATCTGTTTTCCATTTCTATGTCTAGTTTTGCCATTTCAAGAAGCTTGTATAAATGGAATTGTGCAGTATCCAACCGTTTGGGATTCAGTTGTTTCATTCAGCATAATTCTCCGAAGATTAATCCAGGTTGTGCGTAGCAAGGGTTCGTTGCTGTCTATGGCTGAGTTGTGCTCTGTGGTGTGGACATACCATAGTTTGTTCACCACTTACCCGTTGAAGGACATCTGGATTGTTTCCAGTTTTTGGCTGTTAGAAATAAAATTGCTATAAACATTCTTTACAGCTTTGTGTGTGGTGAACATGAGTTTTCATTTCTCTAGGACAAAGGCCCAGGATTGCAATTGTCATATGATAGTTGCATGTTTAGTTCTCAAAGAAACTGCCAAACTCCAATGGCTGTTCAATTTTACATTTCCACCAGCAACATCTGAACGATCCAGTTTCTCTGCATCTTCACCAGCATTTAATGTTGTCACTATTTTTTATTTCAGCCATTCTGATAGGTATGTAGTAACATTTCATTGCTTTTTTAATTTTTAAAAAATTGATACATACAATTATACTAATTGATGGTGTACATGTGATTTTTTTGGATACATGCATAGAATGTGTAATGAAAAAAATCAGGGTCATCAGTATATCTATCACCACAAACACGGATTATTTCTTTGTGTTGGGACCATGTGATTTTATTGAAGTTTCATTGGACACCTTTTCATGTGCTGATTTGCCATTTGTATGTCCGCTTTGGTGAAATCCCAGGCAGTGTTAACAGGCAGTGTTGGTCACACACCAGGTCTGGTCTACCCCACTGGACTTAGTTTGCTGCCCAAGCCCTTTCTGTAGCAAGGAGCAGACTCTCTCCTTCTAGACAGTCCTGCTTGTCAGTAGATGCTTCTTGGCCGGGCATGGTGGCTCACACCAGTAATCCCAGCACTTTGGGAGGCTGAGGCAGGCAGATCACTTGAGGTCAGGAGTTCAAGACCAGCCTGGCCAACATGGTGAAACCCTGTCTCTACTAAAAAATACAAAAATTAGCCAGGCATGGTGGCAGGCACTTGTAATCCCAGCTACTCAGGAGGCTGAGGCAGGGAGAATTGCTTGAACCCGGGAGTCAGAGATTGCAGTGAGCCGAGATTGTGCCACTGCACTCCAGCCTGAGTGACAGAGTGAGACTCCACCTCAAAAAAAAAAAAAAGTGCTTCCTGCTGAGCCCTCTGCCCATTAACACAGGTCCTCTTGTTATTTGAAACATCTTTAGTGACTTAAACTGTGCCATGTAATGTATTGGTCACATCCATCAGGTGCACTTGGCTGGTGCCCATATCTCTGGGTCCACAGGCCCATCGGACTGGAACCCAGACCTCTGAGGAGGAGGCACTGGCAGGCTAGTGTGGGGATCTGGGTGAGTGAGGGTGGGGGCAATAAAGCTGTTCTGCAATTGTTGGAAAAACTATAAAGTGGATTCAGCTGCCACTCCCAGAAAGACCTGTGGCTGCCAAGGTGAAGGAGACAGAATTTAATATATTGTTAATTAGGTATGAGGTTGTTTTTTGTTTGTTTGTTTGTTTTGTTTTGAGACGGAGTCTCGCTCTGTTGCTCAGGCTGGAGTGCAGTAGCGGGATCTTGGCTCACTGCAACCTCCGCCTCCCTGGTTCAAGCGATTCTCCTGCCTCAGCCTCCTGAGTAGCTGGGATTACAGGTGCGTGTCACCATGCCCGACTAATTTTTGTATTTTTAGTAGAGACGGGGTTTCATCATGTTGGCCAGGCTGGTCTCGAACTCCTGACCTCGTGATCCGCCCGCCTCGGCCTCTCAAAGTGCTGAGATTACAGGCGTGAGCCACCAGGCCGGGCCTCTGATGTTGTTAATTAAGTAACCAAAAGGGTCAAAATAGAACGCTGAGGTATTATAGAAGTAATAGCCCCTAGAGCTGGGAGAAGAAAAGGAAGAAGTGGGAATTAGAGAAACTCGGCCTTCTGAGGAGAGGGTACTGCGCAGCTGGGGCTGGTATTCCTAATCTCACAGGAGAGGCCCCGTGGTCCCTGGACCCAAACTTTTAAGGAAGACAGGCAATGAAGCTGCTTCTGCAATTGCTGGAAAAACTGTAAGCAGATTCAGCTGCTGCTTAGGAAGGACTTGCTCCTGCCAGGGTGAAGGAGCATTGCGAGGGTGACCCTTTCAGGAACAGGAAGCGAAGGGAGTGAGTCCCTTCCTCCTCCAGCCTTTCCAGCCTCCCATTAGTCCCCTGTAGGCAGAAACAAACTAGCTGGTTAACGGAAACTGGTTTGTGGGGTCCCTGCCCCAGCATCACAGAGTAGACATGGAAGGGCAGGTTTTGAGGTGAGAAGCAAGAGCTCAAGGACCAGCATAACAGCCAGGAGTTCGGGCTCTGCAATCAGACAGGCCTGGGTTGCAATCCTGGCTCTTTCCAGCTCTGTGGTTTGGAGCAGGTCACTTCACCTCCTGGAGGCTCAGTTGTCCCAGAGATGAAATGAGGATAATAATGTTCTCATTTCTGAACTGTTTATGAAACTGAAATGACAGAATGCAGGTAAAGCAGTTGGCACCATGCCTAGTACATAGAGTATTCAATAAATAAAACTTTGTAATGCATATACTCACAATCGATATATAAATGAGTGGTTCTGGGGTATTTTGAACAGGAGCCTGTGACAATGGAAAGGGCAGCAGCTAAGAAGCCAGAGACCTGAGCTGTCATCTCCGCTCTGGTTGCTTGCTGTGTGACCTTGTAAAAATCACTTATCCTCTGTGGACCTTAGGTTCTTCAGGGGTAAAGAGAGAGGTTGGAATACATGGTCTCCAAGGCATCTTTCTAGTAGAACAGACTTGGCCCCTGCCGTCAAGGGGCCATGCACAAGTCACGTTTGTAGCAAACGTTTATTTGTGCAGGGAATGAAAAGTAAACTGGTCAACGACATTTAGTGGATGGAAAACAAGACTCCGTGTACTTAGGATGCACGTGGTCAGGACAGGGTCCACTTGGAGTTCTTGTAGCAAAAGAACAGCCGCAGAGAGAAGTTCAAGATGCTGATGAAAAAAGGAAGCAAGGGAGGAAGAAAGGAGAGATGGATGATAGGAAAGAAAGCACCCCTCTTGGCTTTAGAATGGCAGCAGAGTCCACACCCTCATTTGCTGGGGAAACACTTGGTCTAGCCTAGGGGGTCCCAAACCTGGCTGATAGTTCTTTTTTTTTTTTTTTTTTTTTTTTTTTTTTTTTTTTTTGAGGCGGAGTCTGGCTCTTGCCCAGCCTGGAGTGCAGTGGTGTGATCTCCGCTCACTGCAAGCTCTGCCTCCCGGGTTCACGCCATTCTCCTGCCTCAGCCTCCCGAGTAGCTGGGACTACAGGTGCCCGCCACCGCGCCTGGCTAATTTTTTGTACTTTTAGTAGAGACGGGGTTTCACCTTGTTAACCAGGATGGTCTCAATCTCCTGACCTCGTGATCCGCCCGCCTCGGCCTCCCAAAGTGCTGGGATTACAGGCGTGAGCCACCGTGCCCAGCCCCTGGCTGATTGTTCTAATCACCTGGACAGGTTGTAAGAATATTAATTCTTGGGCTCCATCTCAGAGACTTAAAATCATTAGATCTAGGAGTGGGACCACAGAATCTGTCTCTTTAACAAACAGCCCCCTGGAGGCTGTTTCACAGACCAGTTTTGGGGAACCTCAACTTGATTTTGTAAGAGGTGTTATCCCCCGTCATTACAAGTGATGTCCTTCCCTGGCACATTGTCATAGCCACTTAACATGAATAAGAATAGGTAATGTTCATTAAGCACTTACTATATGCCAGGAATTGTTCTAAGCATGTATACATACACACAATCTATACTCATCTATATTGATGAGTGTGTGTGTGTGTGTGTATGTACACACACCTTCCAATAACCCCGTGAAACAGGTGCTATTAACATCCCTGTTTTTACAGATGAGGCAATCGAGCAATTTAAAGGTTAGGTAAGGGTAGAGCTGCTTGTAGCTGGGCGTCGGGGTGCATACAGAGTCAAGATCATAGCACACGTGCCAGCACAGCGCTCTGGGAACATGAAGTCACAAGTGTGGAATCAGGAGAGGCTGCGTGGAGAAGGCAATCTTGGCTAGTTCTGCTTGTCCCTGGATAGGAGGACACACCACCTGTGATGACAGTCTGCCTGCCGGGCTTCCTTCCCTGTCCCTGTGACTTCTGCTTTGTGGACACGAGGCATGTGGCAGCCAGGGCCAGACGGCACCTTTGGACCCAGTGGACCAAGCCCCCTTCGGGCCGGCGGTCACTTCCTCCTGCCCTCTGTCCATGGGGAGTTCCACATTCCTGTGGGGCTCCAGCTCTATGACAGGGTATGAGATAAGTGTCACTCAGACCCCATCTGGGCTTAAGATGCGAGAAGAGGAAATGGGCTGAGTTTGCCGCAGGCATGGTTTAGAGTTACACACCAGGGGGTTTCTGAGGTGGTTTTAGGGGAGAGGCACCAGGGGAGACTCTTGATCTGGGCTCTGGGATCAGCCAGGCCTGCAGTCAAGTCCAGACTTGTGATCTTGAGCAAGTTATTCAGCCTTTCTGATCTTCACTTCCCCACCATGAGAAAGGGATAATGATAGCAGCTGCCTGCCCGTGGGGTGGTGTGTGCTTAACTGAGATGGGGAGTGTAGGCACTTGGAACAGCGCACAGCACATGAGATGCACTTAATAAATGTCTGTTTTATTACTATTTAAAGATCTTGGTCAGGCACGGTGGCTCATGCCTGTAATCCCAACACTCTGGGAGGCTGAGGTGGGACGATCGCTTGAGCCCAGGAGTTCAAGACTAGCCTGGGCAACATAGTGAGACCTCGTTTCTGCAAAAAAATTTAAAAATTAGCTTGGCATGGGTGGATGGCTCTGGTCCTAGCTTCTCAGGAGGCTGAGGTGGGAGGATCGCTTAAGTCCAGGCAGTTGAAGCTGAGGCTGCAGTGAGCTGTGATCACACCATTCGGCGGACAGAGCTAGATCTGGGCTGGGTAATGGAGCTAGATCCTGTCTCAAAACAAACAAACAAACAAACAAAAAAAACAAAAAAAACAAAAAAAGATATTTAAGGGCACATTAGATACCCACTGCTCATTACTTTCTGCCTCAAAAATGGAAGCAGTGGACCACACTATGGGAAATTGGCATTCATCTCTTCTTTTTGACATGCTCTGGGCTGGGGTGGGACACAAGGAGCTCTCCAGGCACTGGCAGCAGGAGCCTGTGCCTTTTTGCGGAAGGGGGTGGCAAATGGTTTCCCAGGATTAAGCCTAGGCGTGCAGGAAGGGTAGGAGTTAGCAAGAGGACCGGGAGTGAGAGGTGACTGAGGGAATGATGTTCCAGGCAAAGGGAACTGCACTTGCAAAGGAGGGAAAGTGTGACGCATTCTAAGAACGGAAAGCAGTACTATGTGTTGGCCTTAGAGGAGAGGGAGGCTGGAGGGGAGGAGATGAAGCTGGAGAGATGGCCTTTGCAGGGCTTTAAGGCCTCTTCCTTCTCCTGTAGTTGGTGAACCTTCAGGGGAGGAAGACACCAGCAGCTTGGCTGAAAATCGGAGGGGCCCAGGCCAAAGCTCTCCCCTGGTTGCCTGGGGACGAGTAGCTTCTGCTCCATCATCAGTCCTTGGGGTCTAAACAAGTCCCGACCTGTGTTGCGCTTCCTTTGTGTGTGCATAAGGAATTCTGGTCTTTACCACTATTTTCCCTGGACAACATTTCTGTTTCAATGATCCTTGGCACCCTTCGCTCTGCCCATTCCCTATTATTTAATTTAAAACCATTCATCTAATTAGCATCTGTCGGGAATAGTTCTGGTGTGGTTTTGCCTGGAAGGACTGGGCTGCATTGGGCGACATGTTGGATTTTTTTTCCAGCTTCAAGACTCCACCATAGGGTTCCCACATTTATTTTGACCCAAGAATGTTCCGAGGCAGAGATCAGAGGCTAGAAATTTGGGAGCCTCTGTTGTCTCTGGGGCTGGTGGCTTTTGGCAGCAGTGCTTAGTCCTTTGCGTTGATCATCAGCTATTTCTCCATCCACAAAGGGGCTGGCGCTGAGGGTCTACCTAACTTAGGGAGCATTGAGCGGGACCGTGGATTTGGGACGGGTTTGGTGTTTAATGTTCCAGCTCCCTTCCTCAGTCTCTGAGGTTCCTGTTCTTCTACCTCCACTCCTGTCCAATCTTTTTTTTTTTTTTTTCCTAATGTTCCTTTGTGTTTTGTGTCAATAAGGAGCTATGGCAGGAATCCATGGAGATCTCCCTCTTCATCTGGATCCTTTGTGGTGTCCCCTTGTCACTTTATCTTATTCGATCTTGATCTTTTCTGAGCCTTTGTTTTGTTAGGGGCCTTTGTTCCTAAATTCACCCTAAAGGCTGAACTCCGCAGCATCATTGAATAAAAAGGGCTCAGAAGGTAGAATCAGAGAGATATATTTGCCTCTGGGACTCCTCATGTACTTGTGTGTCTCTTGGGAAACCACTTTCCCTCTGAGCCTCAGTTTTCTCATCTGTAAAATGGAAGATAATGATGATGATGATGATGATTGATGATGATGATGATGATGGTTAATAATAATGCTTAACATTCATTGTAGTCAATCTCTACCAGGCACTGAGATAAGACATTTACATATCAATCTCAGTAAACCCTTAGAGTAAACCTGCTGGCATTATCATTCCCATTTTACAGATACAGAAACTGAGGCTTAGAGAGTATATGACTTGTCCAAAGTCATAGAGTAGCAGAGCCAAGACCGGAACCCAAGCCTATGTGATGCCAAGCTCACATGAAATCTGCCCTAGGGTTGTTGCAAGGATTAAGGGGTCACAAGTGATCAAATGTGCTTTGGCAACCTCACAGTTAAAGGTAATGGAAGGGATTCAGAAGGCTTTGGAAAATGCCTTCTGAGTCTTGAGTCTCTGGTTTTGCAGTATGTGTGTCTCACAGTAGAGTGCAGTGTGGATAGACAGTAATTAAGGGTTTGGATGAGAGACCAGAAGAAGGAAGCAGAGTAGTCTGAAAGGCTGCACCCTGTGGTTGTTCTGCTGCAAGCTGTTGGGTTTGCTAGCCTTTGACATCATCTGGAATGTCACAGCAGGAGTATTCTTTGCAAACTAGTGCAAGGGTTGGATTTATTCCATGTCAGGGTTAGACTAATGATCATTGGTGAAAACATCTTCAGAAATTGGATATTTGGATCTGTTCTTTTTAGGGTCTCATATTCAAGGGGATGTAGGAACAAGAGTCACTGGAAAAACACTGTTGTTGGTAGCTCATTACACCCCAAGCTGTGGAGTCCCTGCCTGGGTCAGGAAGGGAAGTGGGTGTGACTTGGAGAGAAGCTGTATTGAGCACAAAGGACCCTTGAGACTAAGTCATTTTTCTGACATGATTCTTTTCAAGAACATCGTGTCCCCTTCTTCTTATGATCTGCCACTGCACAGAGCCTTGTCCAGGCCACACTCTCTGGGACCAGCCCAGGGGGTTGGAGCTGCCTCTGACTCCACAGCTCCTTCCTCTGCAGGAAGAGGGTGGGGTGGGGGGCACATGTGGAATCTTCTCAGAAGATCTGTTGGGTGGGAAATAGTTGCTCAGGAGGCAAGAACACCCCTGCAGTAATCTGCTTACTCAGAGGGAACAAGAAGCCACATGGGTGGATGAAGGATGAGGACAAGAGTAGGGACTCTGGCATGTGTGACCTTGGTTGGGGCTCAGGCTCCTCATCTATACAGAGGGAATGATGGGCCCTGGTCCTTGAGCTTCCAGTGGCCCACCGGGATCTCCTAAGGGACAACAGATCAGATCTCCGATGAAGACCCTGGTCCAGGCTGGCTTTTGTGAAGATCCATTTTGGGGCTCCATTTACTATAGACAGCACGCAATAAAATTGAACTGCTGGCTTCGAATCCCCATAGCACCAATAATGTGTAGAGGTCAGGGAGAGTGAGAAGCCACAGGGAGCCAGGGACATGGTCAGGTGGTGGCCTGGGGGTCAATATGGAGAATAGGGGTTGTAGGGGCCAGAAAAGGGATAGCAGCCATGGGGCAGGCGTGGGGCAGGTATGGGGCTGGGGTATTTGGCAAAGGATTTTTAAATTTTTTTTGAGACGGAATCCCCCTCTGTCACCCAGGCTGGAGTGCAGTGGTGCAATCTTGGCTCACTGCACCTCTGCCTCCCAAGTTCAAGTGATTCTCCTGCCTCAGCCTCCCAAGTAGCTGGGACTACAGGCATCCGCCACCATGCCTGGCTAATTTTTGTATTTTTAGTAGAGATGGGGTTTCACCATGTGGCCAGGCTGGTCTTGAACTCCTGACCTCAAGTGATCCACCCGTCTTGGCCTCCCAAAGTGCTGGGATTACAGGCATGAGCCATCACACCCGGCCTTTTTTTTTTTTTTTTTTTTTTAATAGGAGGTGAGACTTGAACTACGTCAAAAAGGATGGGCAGATGTCAGAATCCCAAAAACCACATTTCTTTTAGGACTTTCAGGGCAAATATTACCTGCTGTTTATGTCCTCAATAAAGGGCACAAAAATGTGATCACTGAACCAGAGGTGTCTGGAAGCAGGCCAGTATGAGACAGGAGTCCCCAGGGACTCTGTAGGGACGGTTCTCCCAGACTCCAGGGCAACAAAGACAATCAGCCGCCAAACAGACCCTGCAGCATTTTGCCGGCTCATGGGTCCTTGAATCCCCGTTTGTAACGGGGGCCGGCGGAGTTGGGGGGGGGGTCCTTCAATCCCCTTCTGTAACACGGGGAGTCCTTGAATCCCCTTCTATAACAGTAGAGAATGCTGTTTTGTCCAGTGGCTCCCTTTGGGGCACTTAACTTCCCTGGGCCTTGGTTTGGTCATCTGTAAAGTGAATAGATCACAATGGGATGTTGGTAGGGTCCCTTCCAATTGTAACATCAGGGCTAAGGCACTGCAGCAGGGTCCCCAATCACCCCAGGCTAGTGGGGCCCAAACCTGGCTGCATCTCAGAATTACCCTGGGGAGCTTAAAAAAGCACAGATTCTAGTACCCCTCTGCTGACCTGAAGAATCAGAATCTCCGGGGGTGGGGCACTGGTATCTGTAGCTAGGAGAGGCTGATGCAGGCCAGGAGGTCTGTATTTGAACATCTCTTTTTCTGGGTCATTCAGTCCATGCGAAAATGTTGACCTGGACTTTCTAAAGTTCCCCACCAGCCTCCATGTCCTGGTATAGCTTTCTGATGTGGGCCATGGCTGAGATGTTGGAGGAAACCTACGCAGCCTGTCCCCCTCATGTATGTGGAGCTCCTACCACTTGCACCTCAGCAGCTCCAGCCCACAGGGCAGCAGATCCCCCGGACCCTCCCCCAGCTCTTCTCCAAAGCAGGAACCACTTAGCATCGACAGCTGTCCTTTGTCCCAATGGACAGAGACCAGGACATGCATAAATGCAATTGTAAAAGCAATTTTTCTCAGACAGGAACATATAAGACAATTCCTCAGCATTCAAATTATTATAATGAGCTGAGTTCCACTTCAAAGGGAACTAATTTAATAAGAGGAATTGCTGGGGCTCTAAGGAATTCTAATTAGATTTCTTTCCACACCCGCCTTGCGTATTTTTCTGAAGAGCAGCCAGGGCCGCTAGATTGTGTTGTGTTTGGGTCCAGTGTGAAGAAACTGGGAAGCCAAGCCTAGCCAGGGAAGGCCATCCATCTGCCTTGAGCCTGACAGCACAGTGGGAGTGGGGCCTGGCCACCACGAAAGTCAACAGGATTCAGGGCAATGGGGATGGGGAGGGGGCTTGGGGTTGCAGAGGGTTTCCTGTGCTAGTCTGGGGACATGGTGGGTGGGGTGGGCTAGGAGAGGGAGGTCTGGAGCCAAACTGCCTGTGTTTGAATCCCAGCCCTTCCCTTTCCTAGCTGTGTACCTGGCATTACCTCTCCGCACCCCCTCAGTTTCTTAATCTGTGAAATGGGGCTAAGGATAGAACCCACTCCATTAGGGACTTGGGAACATTATGTGTGCTAGGGCACATAAAGTGGCTAGAATAACACCTGGCACAGAGAACTATTGTTATTACTCTCTAAAACAAGGAAATCAAAAGATGGGAAGGGCTTCCCAAAGTCAGGACTGATTTAATTTTGCAGGAACCCCTTGGACTCAGAAGTCAGGTTGGAGGAAATACCTGGGAAAGGATCCATCTCTTCTATGGTGACAAGGCCAAAGAGACCTCAGCTCCAATCCTGGCCTTGTCACTTATTAGCTGTGTGACGTTGGACAAATTGCTTTACCTCTCTGAGCTTCTGTGTCTTCATCTATAAAGGAATGATAATAAACTCAAACAAACGAAATGTTGCATGGGGCCTGGCTCATAGTGGAGCCTTAATAAATGTTGTTTTCAAAATCAGTCATTCTATAAAACAAATATTTCCATGTATTTACACCTCTGGAGTTTCACGCGTCTTACGATTAGTGGTGTCTTATAGTTGCCTGGGCAAACATGAAAAGCTTTCGTATCAACACTTGCAGAATGGGAGGGAGTGGCTTGGTAGAAAATCCGAGGGGAAATTAGTAACAAAATGGTTGTGGGAGGGATGTGGGAAAATGGTGACTCTGACATGTTTAGCAGCGTTGCCCAACACAGGAGTCAAAAGTGAGCCAATGGATCGCTTAAGCCCCGGAGTTCAAGACCAGCCTGCCTGGGCAACTTGGCAAGATCCCATCTCTATTATTTAAAAAAAAAAAAAAGATAAAACAAAAAACTCCCCACAAACAAACAAAAAATTACCCCCCAAACCAACAAAACACAAAAGTGAGCCAGCGCCACACAATGACAAAGCTGGGGTAAGAACCCAGTACTCCTCGCTTTTTCTTCTTTCATGGAATCATTTGGAAAATGCCACATCACCAGTGCTCTTGAAGGTAAGAGGACAATATTGTGTGGGAAAACAGGAACTCCAATGACTCTAAGTTGAAAGGAATTCAGAAGAGCCTGGCTTTGAATGTGAAGCGGTTTTAGGGAGATGGTAACAAATTTAGGTGCCTTATTTCATTTTATGTATGTGCAAGCGGGATAGATGAAAATCCGCGTGTAAGTTGAAAAAGCTTTCTCTAAGCATGTAATCAAAATTCTAAGTGATGAGAAAGCATGGAGTCATAGTTTATTTTGCAGTGTTTTCCATTCTGAGTGGTGCATACATTCATGGTGTGTTTTATGATCAATGTTGTCTTAGATCTGATGACTTACTTTTGATCCTATTTTTCATCTTCTCACACAAACCTGTCTACATTGGGACCAAGAGGATGTTGGCCCTGCCTGTTCTGAGCATGTCCTGAGCCTGGCACTGCACCCTACATTTTACGTGGTATTTCACTTATTCCTCCTGTCTTAGTCCATTTGGATTGCTATAAAGGAATACCTGAGACTGGGTAATTTGCCAAGAAAAGAGGTTTATTTGGCTCACAATTCTGCAGGCTGTACAAGAAGCATGGCACCAATGTTTGCTTCTGGTGAGGACCTCAGAAGCTTCTAATCATGGCAGAAGGGGAAGGGGAGATAGAGTGTCCCATAATGAGTGAGGAAGGGAGCAAAAGAGAAAGGGGAGGAAGGTGCCAGGTTATTTTTAACAATCAGTTTTCCTGTGAACTAGTAGAGCAAAAATTCACTCATTTCTGCAGGATGGCATGAAGCCGTTCATGAAGGATCCATCCCCATGACCCAAACCCTTCCCACTAGGCCCCATCTCCAACATGGGGGATCAAATTTCAACATGAGATGTGGAGGGCAAACATCCAAACTATATCACCTCTCAATGAGCCCATAAAGAATTTTCCTCTTCATTTTGCAGATGAACTGGGGGCTCACATAGGAAATGACTAGCCTAAGATGGCAGAGCAAGAACTGGATCCTGGATTGGAATGCATTGAGCATGTGGCTCTATCCTGAGGGTGGAGGTAAGAGGTATGGCCTTCCTCCAGAAGTTTCCCTTCTGCTTTGTGCAGTGCTACCACCCAAGAATCCTCTGTGGCCTGTGCAAGACCTCTCGGATTCAGGGTCAAGAAACATCACCAAGACCCAAAGTCTGGAGTCATCATTTATCAGGCAATACATAATTACCATTTACTGGGTGCTCAGGAAACAGGTCAGTGACAGAAGCAGTATTGAATTAGGTGCCAAGAGATATGGGTTCTAATTCCAGTGACATCATTCACTAGCTGTGTGGCCTTGGCCAAGTCACTTAACTTCCCTGGGCTTTGGTTTGGTCATCTGTAAAGTGAATAGATCACAATGGGATGTTGGTAGGGTCTCTTCCAATTGTAACAAATCTGTCTTTTATGCAGGTCTAGGGGGCCGGGAGAACTTGACAATGGATTTAGTCCACCTGGAATCAGGTAGGAGCTCTGGAAGCCTCTGATGGACACAGGGAAGCAACTGGCCTTTAAATGTAGGGTCAATGCAGGATGAATGGAGAACACAAACACGCACTTCTTGCACCCTGGGACACCAGGATCTAGAGCCTCCTAAAGATCTACTGCTGTCCTGAGAGGGATGTTGGGCCCCCCGGTGATGCTTGTACAGAAAAAGTTCCGTGGGCAGCCCGGGCCTAGGAACATTTTTGATAAAACAGCACTTGAACCACATTCTTTTTGTTTCACCTCATGCCAATCCTGTGCAGGATTAGAGGTGCATTAGGGCTGGAAGGGGTTCAAGGGGCTCCTATCTGCTCTCATTGGTTTGTGGAGGAGGAAGCAGTTATGTAACTGCTGCAGCTGTGTCTTTCTTCACTTCCCTAGTCAACTGTAGAGTTTTGGGGAGATGGGACCTGCTTGCTTCCCCAGGAGCCCTCACTGGGCTGAACAAAGAGGCGAAGAGGTCTTGGCTGCTACAGGTAGCCTTGCCATGCCTGAGACAACTGGAACCATTAATACACACAGTTATTGGGGCTCCCAAAGTGCCAGGCGCTGGGCTAGGTGCAAATGCATTTTCTCTGTCCACATTGTGGCCATGCAATGACAGCTCTGGTTACTTGACGTGAGTCCTTGGCAAGCATCATTTCATTTGATGCACAGGTGGCACATATGGCAGATGGGCTGAGCCTAGGGCTTGTGCCCTTAGAGGACATGGGTTCACATCTTGGCTTCGCTTCTTTCTGGTAACCTTCTGAAGTACTTAACCTATTTAAGCCTCAGATTTCTCATCTGTAAAGTGGAGATAATCACAGTGTCCTAGGGTATTAAAAAGGTTAACTAGCACATGTGATGTGCTTTGCACAGCTTCTGGCATATGTAGCAGGTGTTCAATCAATACTAGTAATTTTCTGTGTTGAAAATAACCTGCCTGCCATCTGAAAAGTTAGGCATTACATCTCCATTGCAGAGATGAGAGAACAGAGCCCCAGAGAGGTAAAATGACTTGTCTAAGGTCACACAGTGAGTAGGTGTCTAGGCTAGGATTCAAAGCCAGGACTGCCTGACACCCATTGCCTGTTACCCTTTACTCAAGTGTTCTGCTGCCTCCTCGGGGACCAGAGCTGCTCTCCTCCTCATGTGTCCAGTCCTGGTGGGACAGCCTTCTACGGCGCTGTCCCCAGAGATCTCAGACAGGTAATGGGAGACAGTGTTGCTGAATGGTTAGGGTGTGGGATCTGGAGTCCACCTTCCAGCCTTACGCTCCCTGGCTGTGTGACTTTGGGCAAGTGACTTGACCTCTCTGGGTCTCTGTTTCCATATAGGTAAAAGGAGGATGATAATGATAATACTGAAGATTGAATGAATGAATGAAGAAATGTCAAGTGTTTGGTGTCAGGCCTCCCTGTGTGTCAAGAACTCAGAGCTGGATTTCCTCAAGTGTAACATTGTTGTTAGGGTTACCGTGATCACTGTGGGGCAGCCATCCCCTGTCTCCCCTCCGGGTACACCAGAGCCAGAGAGCAGCCCAGCAGGGCCTTCAGGGGCACCAGGATTTTCAGACAGTGGCATAGCTGTCATCCTCCATTTCCCTGACCAGGGCAGGGGTCCAGTGGGGCTGGCCAGCAGCCCCTGCTGTCACGATCTGATTGGAGTTTCATTAGTAGGAAAGGCTGGATCCTGGCACCTGCACACCTCCAGGAGGGAGTGGGGCTCCCAATGCCCATCTGGGGACATTGCATTAAAGGGTTCCTTTCCACAGGCTCAATCTTCAGATGCCTCAGCCCTCCCCGAGCCCTGACCACAAGCCAAATGGCGCTGGACCACAGTATCAGGGTTCTCCAGCGACTCCATCCTCCAGGGAGGAAGAGGTGGTGAATTTCCGAGCTGGGACAGAACCCAGAGTGGCTGGAGCAGGCCAGCACCTCGCCTCATATACTTGGAGCCTGGAGACATCAGGCAGCAAATGAGAAGCATTTTAAGGTTCTCTGACTATTTTCTTTTTTAATTAATTAATTAGTTCATTAATTTTTTAATTTAAAAATTTTTCTTACCTCTGGTTCAAGTTCTCATGACCGATTCCTTAAGGTTGCAACACATGAACATGCCTTTCCTCCAAGAAAATTTAGAGAATTCAGATTAGTAAAAAGAAGAAAATAAAAGTCTTCCATAAACTTATAATCTGAGGATAATGTCTTTTAATGCTTTTTCCTTCCTGTCTTTTTTCTATGAGCAGATATACATACAGGCTTTAAAAATATACCTTGAAAATAGAAGCATTCTCTATGTGAAGTGCTTAGCATATTACCTAGCACATAGTGAGTACTCAGTAAACCTTTACTGTTACTATTATTATTTCTATTTTATAGCCTGATTTTTCTCTCTTAAATGGAATTTCAGCTCCATGAGAATTAGAACCTTGTAAGCCTCATTAACCTCTGTTAGTCTAGCGCTTAGCACATAATAGGTGCTCAATAAACATTTTTAAATAGATGAAAGAATAAACATTTTTCTTTCTCATTAGATTTGCATCTGTAATATTTAATGACAACATAATAATGCATTGCTGAATTTGTTTTTAAACTTGGCTGGTAATTGTTTGAAAAAACCACTCCCAACCTCCTAACTCTCCACGTCAGTCAATCCCCTCATCCCAAGCCTCATCCCCACCTTAACGAGATGGAGGCTGTTGGGTTCTCCAGAGCTTTGGGGACCCAGCATCGCTTCAGAGAAGCCAGAAACCAGCCTGTGGGCTGCCAGCGCCCTCTTTGGCTCACAGAAACCACTAATCATCGACTTAAACCGTCTAGGTAGCGCACAGACGAGTAAAACCCCAACTCCTGCATTTTTGATGAAATTGACATTAGACAAACGCTCACAGCTTACTTGGTCAGACCCGGCAGCGAGGGGCTGAATCAATAATGAAACACTGGGAGGAATAAAGCATTAAACAGGGCGTTCTGCAAGGCAAGCAGCTTGGGGGTCAAGTCAGGGGACCCAGGATGGCCCGTGGCCAATAGTCCCTTCTGCCTAGCTGCCAGGCAGGGAGATGGCTGGGCATGCAGCTTGTCCTCCATTCCTACAAGTCTGGTAGGCAGTGTGACTTCTTGGGAAAACCTCTAGGCCTAGGCTAGAAGCCCAGAAACATGGAAATAGTATTAACTTTGTGGCCTTAGGTTATTTTTTGCCTGTCTGTCTCAATCAGGAAAATAGATCCTTGAACCAGGACACCACGGTTCTTCCCAGCTGAGAGATTCAGTGCATTCGGCTTGAACTTGGGAATACATATGGTCCAGACATAAAGTCTGTTAAATGTCGCAAATGAATAGGACCCAGGAAATCTACCACAGTTCCTTTCTTTATGCTGGAGAGAACAACCTCCTTCTGCCTGTTCTGAGGTTCTTGGCCTTGGGGTCATTGAGAAAATACTTCATTAGGTCTCTGTTCCATCCAGAGGATGCTTGAAGATAATTCCCTTAGAGAAAAGGACTCCAAGCTCCGGATTTCACCTTTCACCTTAGGTCACATCTCTGGGTGCTATAAGACCCTCAAGTTTGGAACAGATATCTGTCCAGTCCCCAAAGACAAGAGGCTGGAAATAGGGAGGAAAGAGGACCCGATGGGAAGGAGTAAACTATGGATTCAGCTGCCAGGTGGGAGTCTCTGCATTTGCTCTAAGACAGCTTACCTTTGCCTGCTCATTTGCATTCTAGAACTTCAGTACTCAAAGCCTGGTCTGTGGACCAGTGACATTGGCCATGTCTGGGAATCTGTTAGAAGTGCAGCATCTCAGCACCCGCCCCCACATCTACTGAAGCAGGATCTGCAATTTCACATTCAAGCTGGGGGAGCTCTGCTCCAGAGAGTCCCACCCACTGGGGACGGGGTGGAAGTAGTTGCTGTGCCCAGGGCTGTTGCAGAGAGTGGTGTTACAGTTTTGCATCATTCAGCTCATTCAGGAGTCTCCGGCCTCACAGTGATGGTTTCACTTCATGGGAGGGGACACTTTTGAAATGCCTTTTCTCTGAGATGGTTTATTTATGCTTATTTTTGAAACCAGATTGAGTCAAGGGACATACAGAGTTTCTATCTGTTAGTTTAATGGCATTTCAGAGGACTTCCCCACTCTTACGGTTGTGAGAGTAAAAATAATACGTTAAACAATTACTCAGAGCCTGCTAAGGGCCAGATCTGGGCTTGGGGAGGGGATCGCAGGCTGGGATATGATACAATCTCAGGAATCCCATGAGGACACAAACCATAGCCAGGCAAATCCCCACACAAGGCCTCTAACTACAGAAAGGGACTCCTTAGACACTGGATTTACCTTTCTTACTCTAATGAACAGAAGATCTTAATCATAGAGGAATTGCCTAGAGAATTTATTCAAAATGTATTTGCCAGCCAGGCATGGTGGCTCATGCCTTGTAATCCTAGCACTTTGGGAGGCTGAGGCGGGTGGATCACTTGAGGTCAAGAGTTCGAAACCAGCCTGGCCAACATGGTGAAACCCTGTCTCTACTAAAAATACAAAAAAATTAGCCAGGCGTGGTGGCAGGTGTCTGTAATCCCAGCTATTTGGGAGGCTGAGGCAGAATTGCTTGAACCCAGGAGGCAGAGGTTGCAGTGAGCCGAGATCTCGCCACTGCACTCCAACCTGGGCAACAGAGCAAGGCTCCGTCTAAAAAAAAACCAAATGTATTTGCCTAGGTCATCTCCCAGAGCATCTGATTCAGTAAAACTAAATGAGAAAGAGCTTCCATGGTGATTTTGATTCTCAACTTTGACCCACTAAGAATTACTGCTTTCTATTTATTTCTGATTTGTAATTAAATTAAATTAATTAATTAATTTTTTTTTTGAGATGGAGTCTCGCTCTGTCGCCAGGCTGGAGTGCAATGGTGTGATCTCGGCTCACTGCAACCTCTGTCTCCTTCCTGGGTTCAAGCGATTCTCCTGCCTCAGCCTCCCAAGTAGCTGGAATTATAGGCATGTGCCACCATGCCTGGCTAATTTTGTATTTTTAGTAGAGAATGGGTTTCACCATGTTGTTCAGGCTGGTCTTGAACTCCCGACCTCAGGTGATCCGCCCGCCTCAGCCTCCCAAACTGCTGGGATTACAGGTGTGAGCCACTGCGCCTGGCCTTATTTTTTACTTTTTTGAGACAGAATCTTGCTCTGTCGCCCAGGCTGGAGTGCAATGGCACGATCTCGGCTCACTGTAACCTCTGCTTCCCGGTTTCAAGCAATTCTCATGTCTCAGCCTCCCAAATAGCTGGGATTACAGGCATGAACCACCACATCTGGCTAATTTTTTTGTATTTTTAGTAGAGATGGGGTTTTACCACGTTGGCTGGGCTGGTCTTGAACTCCTGGCCTCAAGTGATCTGCCCGCCTCGGCCTCCCAAAATGCTGGGACCACATGCGTGAGCTAACGCGCCCAGCCAGAGTTACTGCTTTGTAATGTAGTCCAATTATTTATTACCTTTAGGAGATGAAATGGACTTGTTTGCTATGATCAAAGGATCGTGTCATTCCCTGTGGCAGAGACTGCTTGCTGTGCACCAAAGTTCATTCTCCTCCCCTTCATGGGCATATAGCCCGACCACAAGTCCCAGCCTCCCTTGGGGCTGAGAGTGTTCATGTGACCTTGTTCTTACTAATAGAATGTGATGCATATCTCTCTAGGCCAAGCCTTGAGAAAGTGGCTGGGTCTTCTCTGTGAGCTCTGCCCATTCCCTCCAGCTGAGTCCTCAACCATGAGAGTGATAACATGTTCCCAAGGGATGTCAGAGCCTCCAGATGGAAGAAACCTGAATCCCTGAATCTCTACATGGAGTCGAGATACCTGCCAATTGTAAACTTTCACCTTGGATATGAACGAGAGCAGGAATATGTTTGCCTTTTTTGCTCTTAAAGACACTGCATTTTAGGGTCTTCTCATATTATAGCAGCTTATCTTACCCCAACTAATATGGTACCAACAGTCCCAGTCACTTTCTCCTAATACATTTTACCTCAAGGTTCAGAATTCAAGACTTAGCTTTATGCCACTGCACTAAGTCTCTTATTTGAGAGTAGAGCTTTTGCTTAGTGTATCCTAATTCTTAGGATGGAATCAGGGTTCTAGTTAGTTTCTTTTTTGAGCAGTTCTGTTGTAAGGATTGACATTTCATGGCTCTTATTCTTCCTTAGAGATCTTCCAAAGAAAAAAAGAGAAATTGTATGTTATTTTTAAATAGAAAAATATTGCTTTATCTTGCAATTACCACACGGGCCCATTGGACACCTTCTTAAATCTAAGATATATTATGGAATTGTATGATCTCATTTTTCCTATCTCTTGAAAAATTTTGCCATTTCCTCAGCCTAGAAATTACTTCATCATCACTTATTAACTATTCTAAGCTATGCGGAAAAGACTAAAATAATAAGAAAATGGAATGATGATGGAATTGCCTAGGAGGATGATGGAAAAATATTATAAATCATCAGTGTAGTATCACCCTATAGTTTTCTTTCTTCTTCTTTTTTTTCTCTTTCTGAGACAAGGTCTCACTCTGTCACCCAGGCTGGAGTGTGGTGGTGTGATCACAGCTTGCTGCAGCCTCAACCTCCTGGGCTCAGGTGATCCTCCTGCTTCAGCCTTTTGGGTAGCTTGGACTACAGGCGCATACCACCATGGCCAGCTAATTTTTTTTATTATTTGCATAGATGGGGTCTCACTATGTTGTCCAGGCTAGTCTCAAACTCCTGGGCTCAAGTAATCTGTCCACCTTGGCCTCCCAAAGTTCTGGAATTACAGGTGTGAGCCACCATGCCCAACCCAGTCTACAGTTTTCTTATTGTGTTGTCTTCAACAAAATTATAAGCCATTAACAATTTCAAAAATGTCTTTGAGTAACCATGAACCACACTGCCCAAACCTTCTTCACTCCCGCCAACACCGGCTGCCCCCTAGACTATCAGATGCTCAAGTAGGAGCATGAGGTGGCTGTGCTGGGGGCACCCCACAACTCTGCTCCCCCGAGGTCCACCGTGATCCACATCCACAGCGAGACCTCTGTGCCCAACCATGTTGTCTGGTCCCTGTTCAACACCCTCTTCATGAACTCCTGCTGCCTGGGCTTCATAGCAGTCACCTACTCCATGAAGTCTAGGGACAGGAAGATGGTTGGCGACCTAACCGGGGGCCAGGCCTGTGCCTCCACCGCCAAGTGCCTGAACGTCTGGGCCCTGGTTCTGGGCATCCTCATGAGCATTCTGCTCATCTTCATCCCAGTGTTGATCTTTCAAGTCTATCAATAGAACAGGAGGCAGCATCCAGGCCAGGAGCTCTGCCCACGACCTGTCGCACACACACTCCACCTTCCATTCCTCGACCTGCCCCTGGAGCCGAGTCCTGTATCAGCCCTTTAACCTCACACACTTTTCTACAATGGCATTCAATAAAGTACACGTGTTCCTGCTTAAAAAAATTCTTAAAGTATTGCACTTTGAGTTTGCAAGTGCAAGAAGGAAAATCAGAAATGATGAGAAGCTAGAATCCAATAGAGATGCATTTTGAATCTGAAATCTGTATTTATAAGATGCATGTGTTCCTGGTCCGTGCATAGCAGTTGATGAGAATTTAGGTGTATTCAGAGACTGTTGTCCATTTAAAGTATGTACCTTCCAAACCAGGAAAATAAGAAATAAAAATTTAGGTTTGTTATGTTTAAATTCTTTTTAGAATATATAATAAAGTTGTTCTTCACTCTCCCTTTGTTTTTATTTTTGTAAGTTTTTTTTAAAAAAAGATTTAAAATATTTAAGAGTGTTCCATATCACGAGGTCAGGAGATCAAGACCATCTTGGCTAACAAGGTGAAACCCTGCCTCTACTAAAAATACAAAAATTAGCCAGGCGTGGTGGCAGATACCCGTAGTCCCAGCTACTTGGGAGGCTGAGGCAGGAGAATGGTGTGAACCTGGGAGGCAGAGCTTGCAGTGAGCAGAGATCGTGCCACTGCACTACAGCCAGGGCGACAGAGCGAGACTCCATCTCAAAAAAAAAAAAAAAAAAAAAAAGAGTGTTCCATTAGTCCTAGATGGTAAATGATAGTGGGTCTTTTCCCTCATATACTGAAGATTAAAACAATCTCGCCAGGTGCAGTGGCTCATGCCTGTAATCCCAGCACTTTTGGAGGCCAAGGCAGGTGGATCACCTGAGCTCAAGAGTTAGAGACCAGCCTGGCCAACATGGTGAAACTCTGTCTGTACTAAAAGTACAAAAATTAGCCAGGCGTGGTGGCATGCACCTGTAGTCCCAGCTACTTGGGAGGCTGAGGCAGGAGAATTGCTTGAACCCAGGAGTCAGAGGCTGCAGTGAGTACCTTAAATACCCTGGAAAGACATATAAGCCCTACAAAGATTTGCAGACCTGCCACATTGGTGAAGTTTGCGGGGATATAGTGGTCTGGGGCGTGCTAGTACATTTCCTCTAAAGTAAAGGACAAGTTGTTGTACCTTACACATCTTACTGCTAAGAAATAGACACAATGCCTGGTGGGTCCCTTTGGAGTTTGGAGGCAGCTTTTAGCATACTTGCTAATACTGCTCTGACTCATTCCTTAGATGACTTAGAAAGCTGCCAGTTTTGAGTAGGCAGACAGCAAGAGAGGGTTCTGCAGTGTGTCCAGACTGCAGTGCGAGTGGGGCCTGCTTATCCACAGGGAGGAGGGCTCCTAATATTTTCATGAGCCCACAAAAAGATTTTAATTTATTTTAAAATCAAAAGAAAAATGAATATAATAATAATGATCCATTCTAGATTATGTTCATTTTTATACCACCAATGGAGTCACAAAAGAGAATTTTAATTTTTTTTTTTTTTGAGATGGAGTCTCACTGAGTCATTCAGGCTGGAGTGCAGTGGTGCCATCTTGGCTTACTGCAACCTCTGACTCCTGGGTTCAAGCCATTCTCCTGCTCAGCCTTACGAGTAGCTGGGATTACAGGTGTGCGCCACCACGCCCGGCTAATTTTTGTATTTTTAGTAGAGATGGGGTTTCACCATGTTGGCCAAGCTGGTCTTGAACTCCTGACCTCAGGTGATCCACACTTTGGCCTCCCAAAGTGCTGGGATTACAGGCGTGCTACTGCACCTGGCCTTACATTTTTTTTTTTTTAGATGAAAGACGAGGTCCGCTAAGGCAGGAATGCCTAGTGTCCATGAAAGTCATAATGCAGCCCTAGGTACAAGCTGCTGTGCCCCTTAGACCATCTGATCCAGCTGATCTGAAAGTGTCAGAGGTGTCGCTGCTAGATCGGCACACCATGCAGAGCATCTTGTGAGATCCACGGGGAGGGTCAGAGCACAGATCCCTGGAGTTCTGTATCAAGGCCAGGCCTCTCTGGCAGAGAGGACTCTCCATTGCAAAAGCAGCTCCTGGCATGACACCGAACAATGGTAGATATGGAGTACTTCACTGTGGAATGCAGGTGACCATGTGGCAGAGCTGCCTGTCTGTTGTGAGCTGTGTATTGTCAGAGCTTCCAAATAAAAATGCTAGTTATAATGCTTCGAGTTATATGATGGAAATGGTTTATTTGGGGTTGGGTCCAAGCAGGTTCAGCAGGCACAAATAAATTATATGAACAGATAGCAGGGCAGAACCCATATAACTACCTTTTCCAAACTGACACTTCTCTATTTTTTTTTCAATAGAGATGGGTCTCACTATGGTTTTTTTTTTTTGTTGTTGTTGTTGTTGTTTGTTTTGTTTTTCTGAGACAGAGTCTTGCTCTTCACCCAGGCTGGAGTGCAGTGGCATGATCTCGGGTCACCGCAACCTCCATCTCCCGGGTTCAAGCAATTATCCTGCCTCAGCCTCCCGAGTAGCTGGGATTACAGGCATGCACTACCATGCTAATTTTTGTATTTTTAGTTGAGACAGGGTTTTGCCATGTTGGCCAGGCTGGTCTCAAACTCCTGACCTCAGGTGATCCGCCTGCCTAAGCCTCCCAAAGTGCTGGGATTACAGGTGTGAGCCACTGCGCCCGGCCAGGGTCTATGTTCAAACTCCTGGGCTCAAACTCCCGGGCTCAAGAGATCCTCCCACCTCAGTCTCCTGAGTAGCTGGGACCACAGGTGTTTGCCACCACGCCCAGCTAATTTTTATTATTATTATTTTTTGTAGAGACCAGGTATTGTTATGTTGCCCAGGCTGGTCTTGAACTTCTGGCTCAAGCAATCCTCCTGCCTTGGCCTCCCAAAGTGCTGGGATTACGGACATGAGCCACTGCACCTGGCCAAACTGATAGCTCTGACTCAGCTCACAAGTATGGCCTCAGAGGGTTCTTTAGGATCAACTGAAGAAAAGAACTCGGCTGGTTCACAGGTAGGTTGGAGCCATATATAGCACTGGCAAAACATGGACAGTTACCACCCCCTGGGGTGACCCTGGAAGACAATGGTGAAGAGAAATCCTCCTAGAAGAACACAGCAGTGGTAACTATACTCCACGGTCCCCACTGCACAGAGAGAAAAGCGACTCCCTACGTGGGAACGCATGACTCCTCGGCGTGGCTAATGGCTTGGCTCTGCTTTCTGGGGAAATCCGAGCTAGGACCTCAGGCTTACTCTCTTTCAGGCACTCATTAAATCCTTACGCAATTTTATCAGGTGGGTATTTTTGTAATCCACACTTGATAGATAAGGAAACTGAGATACAGAAGGGTTTGATAAAAGTTGCTCAAAGTCTCACAGTTAATAAGTGGCACTCTGGCCGGGTGTGGTGGCTCACGCCTGTAATCCCAGCACTTTGGGAGGCCGAGGTGGGCGGATCACGAGGTCAGGAGTTCGAGACCAGCCTGGCCAACATAGTGAAACCCTGTCTCTACTAAAAGTACAAACAATTAGCCAGGCGTGGTGGCAGGCACCTGTGATCCCAGCTAGTCGGGAGGCTGAGGCAGGAGAATCGCTTGAACCCGGGAGGCAGAGGTTGCAGTGAGCTGAGATCACGCCATTGTACCACTCCAGCCTGGGTGACAGTGTGAGACTCCGTCTCAAAAAAAAAAAAAAAATTGCTGGGTGTGGTGGCATGCCTGTAATCCCAGCTGCTTGGGAGACTGAGGCAGGAGAATTGCTAGAACCTGGGAGGCGGAGGTTGCAGTGAGCCGAGATCACACCACTGCACTCCAGCCTGGGAAACAGCAAGACTCCTCAAAATAAATAAATAAATAAATAAAAATAAAGTGGCACTCTGAGGTTCAAACTCAGGCAGTCCAGCTTTCCACTAATTTTCATGGTAGGGTAGAATGACTAGTACCATGCTGGAAGTTGAGACATCTCTGGGTTCGAATCCCAGTGACGACAACAATATCTTGGAGGGGTCTTGGGACAAGTTTCGTCTGTACTGTAGGGCCGTTTCCTCTTATAAAATGCTCAAACTCTATTATCACAAATGCTTCTAAGTTACTTGATTCTTCTGGGCATTCCAGGGGTTCAGGGTGGGTGAGGTACAGGGTGGTACACATATGAATAAGCCATAGTTCCCCACTAACACTGCAGCCCTCTCCGCAAGCGACAGCCATAAAGGCTGCATTCTTCACCTACCTGAGCAATTATGGGTTTGGAGGTTTTTAAATAATGATTCCAGCATGTGCTTTGTATAAATAAAGGTTGGGGCAGGGGGAGATGAGGGGAATGTGGGCCTGGCTCGTTTGCGCAGCTAAAAATAGAAACGTGAAAGTCCTATAATGATGAGGCAGAAACTTAAAACAAATTTCTTGGAAAATTTCATCCCCACCCCACATTGCCCAGGTATTTCCCCCTTTTCGCCTTGTGCAGAAGGAGGAGGGGAAATTGGGGTGAGGCGTGGGTATCACGACACACACTTCCTTCCTGGTGCTGAGAAGGAGGGGCTGAGGAGACCAAACTGGGAACAGAACGTCTGTTCAGGAGCCTGATGCAGGCTGACACGGGCCTTTGAGCTCCCTGAGTGGCATTTACAGCCACAGATATGGAAAAGAAAATAAATCTCCCAGACTTGGCATCTTGCTTTAATTAATACCATAATCAAGTTTCTGGCCTTGTGGAATGGAAGGATTTCAACACTCAAGGCCCCTCTGGCAGCCCAGCAAGAAGTGGGCCCCCTGGCCAGGCAGCCCCCAGGGCAATGGGCTGGCCAGGCAGGGCCAGGAGATCAGGGAGGGTGTGCTCAGGGATCCTGGACAGAACCGCGAGATGGGCTCCAGGTGTGAGGCAGGGGGCTCAGGAGGGAAGAAGGAGGGAAGAGGGAAGCCTCTATGGAAGGTCCTAATCCCTTGTGTTTATTGTGCATTTATTATGTCCTGAGCTTTCACCTTTATTTTTCCATTCAATCCCTACAGAAGAATTGGAGTTGTACTCCTCATTTTCCAGATCAGGAAACAGACCCAGAGAAATGGTGTGATTTGCCCAGAATCACACAGCTAGAAGGTGGTGGAGCTGGGATCTGAACCTAGGCTCTGTGAGTCGAGAGAGGCAGAGGATGGTGAACCAGCTCACTGAAGGATGGAGGACTGGTGCCTTCCATGTCTCCCCATGGCCTGGGTGGGAGGTAGGGAGGGCGTCCCTCTCAATCAGGATCACCCACTGTCTCTGTTTTAGCTGACAGAAGTCTTCCAAGGAGGGGCTGGGTGTGGTGGCTCACGCCTGTAATCCCAGCACTTTGGGAGGCTGAGGCGGGTAGATCACTTGAGGTCAGGAGTTCAAGACCAGTATGGCCAACATGGTGAAACCCTGCATCTACTAAAAATACAAAAATTAGCTGGGTGTGATGGTGGGCGCCTATAATCCTAGCTACTGGGGAGGCTGAGGCAGGAGAATCCCTTAGAACCCAGGAGGTGGAGGTTGCAGTGAGCTGAGATTGCACCACTGCACTCCAGTCTGAGCTACAGAGCAAGGCTCTGTATAAAAAAAAAAAAAAAAAAGAAGTCTTCCAAGGAGGATTTGGGGGTTGAGAGGCGATGGCCATATTTAAAAAGTGGCCTCAAAAGGAGAGAAGTGGTAGGTGCTGAGGAAGGTGGAGGAATGAGTGTGTGGAGCCCAGGTTGGTTCTCCAGCAAGTTCCCAGCCCTCCTAGGGGCTAGACGGAATGGATACCCAGGCTGCCTCCAATACACAGTCTCCACAGCACCACGAACCAAGAGCACAAAGAAGGAACCACAGTCCTGGCTGGCTGGGCCTCTGGTCCCCTGGGTGCTGAGCCAGGGTTGGGGCCAGGGCCTGATTTCTGCCATTCCCTCTCCCTCAGGAAGGCCCTTTTTGGACAGCCTCCCTGGCCTACATGCCTGGCTCTGTGTTGGAGGCTCCACCAAGTACATAAACATAGGAAGTCGTCAAATCATGATCTGGCCCCATACCTCTGTCTCTCCTCTCCCCTCCCAAACTCAATGCTCCAACTAAGCCGGTGTGCACGTGGGCTCCTGAGGGCCTGGGTTTGTGTGCTCATGCTGTTCCACACCCACTTCCCAGAAGGGTGGTTTCCCTATCACAGACGCTAAAGTCCTCTCCACCCCTCACTGGCTGGCCCAAAAGCTACCTCCTCCAGGAGGCCTCCCACGAGCATCTCAGCCAGAAGTAATTCTCCTACGTTTGAACACCCACAACATCCTTCTGCCTTTGAGCACCCATCTCCCCCTTTCTCATGACCAGGGTACTTTTCATCTTGCACGGAGTCACTCATTCATTTGAAACACTCATGGGTGCTTGCTTCATTTCTGGCATATTATTTTGTCTGTGACATACCTCTAAGTTCCTCGAAAGCAGAAGCTGGTTGCAGTTATGAACAATATTTCCCTTTGTTTAGTGATGACTCTGTTACCAGCATGTAAGCATTTTATGTGGATCTTTTAATCTTCACAAAACCCTATAAGGTTCATGTTCATCCTCCATATTTTATTGATGAAGGAACTGAGGCAAAAGAGGTTAAGCAAATTGTCCAAAGTCTAGTAAGTGGTAAAGCCAGAACTCAATCCAGTCAGTCTGATACCAGAGTCTAAACTTGTAACAGCTAGTTTAATGTCTGTAGAACTTGTGGAAGTGCCTGCATAGTGCCTGGCCAGTAGAAACAGATTTATTTATTTATTATTTTTTTTGAGATGGAGTCTTGCTCTGTTGCCCAGGCTGGAGTGCAGTGGCACAATCTTGGCTTACTGCAACCTCCACCTCTTGAGTTCAAGCGATTCTCCAGTCTCAGCCTCCCGAGTAGCTGGGATTACAGGCAGGTACTACTATGTCTGGCTAAATTTTGTATTTTTAGTAGAGACGGGGTTTCACCATGTTGGCTAGGCTGGTCTCGAACTCCTGACTTCAAGTGATCTGCCCACCTCAGCCTCCCAGAGTGCTGGGATTAAAGGCGTGAGCCACCACGCCAGACTAGAAACAGATTCTTAATGTTGCTTGAATGCAAACTCCTCACAGGGCCCCATATTGGACTTTGTATTTGCTTGTTTCCAAAATTTGTTGGTTGAATCAATGAAAAAAATGGCTAACGGAACGAACACATGGTTAAGTTTTGCAAGTTTTTCTAGTTATTTACTGCTGCATAACAAACCACTCAAACCAAGTGGCTTCAAATAACTGTATTATCTCATGATAATGAGATTGGTTCTGTAGATTGACATGGCTCGGCCGAGTGGTTCTGGCCTGAGGCCTCTCCTGGGGTTACAGTCAGGTGGCAACTAGAGCTGGAGCCACCTGGTGGCTCACCTGGACATGACGTCCAAGACGGTTTCTTCCCTCCTGTGTCTGGCACCTCAGCTGGGTGGCTAGAACAGCTGGAAGCTGGTTGGCATCTCTCTTGCCACATGGACTCTCCGTGTGGCTAGTTGAGGTTCCTTACAGCATGGTGGACTCAAGCTAGTTGGAATTCTTCCATGGTGTCTGGTTTTACCCAAGGCAGGCATTCCAAGAGGCCCTGGCCAAAACCTTGGAAGTCATATGACCTAGTCTCTCAAGTCACATGCCATCCTTTTGTTGCATTGAGTACTGGGAGGCATGGTTCATTGGTTTGGGGAGAGGACATATTTAGAGACTAGTTACTATGGGAGTAGCACTGAATCGTGAAGGTCCCAAGGTTTCTGTTACTCTGGCGTGACTGCGAATCAGGATCTAATCAGGAACTGAGGGTCGAGTGTTGATGTGAGGGTAAACTTCTAAATGAGGAGAGCTGACACCCATAATGTCTCAGCCTCTCCCAAAGAACAGAAGTTTGCCTAAATTGGGGCGCTGGAAATTTTGCTTCCTATTCCTTCCAGACCCAAATCCTCTAAATCCAAGTCAAATGGAAAAGCCTTTCTTGAGCACCTACTATGTGCCCTCCCCTGGGATTATTATTTTTAAATAATCCCTAATGCTTTTGAGTGTTTGTGCCTGACATTCTTCTAAGTGCTTACCCATATTGTATGTAATTCTCAGAACCATTCTATTTGTTAGGTACTTTCGTTATTCCCATTTTACGGGTCAGAAAAACAAGTCACAGGGATGTTAAGTAACTTGCCTAAGCTCCACCTAAGCCAGTCTGCACGTGGGCTCCTGGAGGGCCTGGGTTTGCATGCCAACCAACCCCTTCCTCAGCACCTGCCACTTCTCTCCTTATAGATCCACTTTTAAAATCTGGCCATCAACTCTCAATCCCCCCAAATCCTCCTTGGACGGCTTCTGTTGGCTAAAACAGAGAAGGTGGGTGATCCTGATTGGATCACCATTTCCCACCTCCCACTCAAGCCTTCGGGAGAGGTTAAGTAACTTGCCTATTGATCGAATCGGCTACCGAAGCTTGTGCATTCGTCACGTAGTTTTCGTGCCTTGGTTTTCAGCTCCATCAGGTCCTTTAAGGACTTCTCTGCATTGGTTATTCTAGTTAGCCATTCGTCTAATTTTTTTTCAAGGTTTTTAACTTCTTTGCCATGGGTTCGAACTTCCTCCTTTAGCTCAGAGTAGTTTGATCGTCTGAAGCCTTCTTCTCTCAACTCATCAAAGATATACCATGGAATACTATGCAGCCATAAAAAATGATGAGTTCATGTCCTTTGTAGGGACATGGATGAAGCTGGAAACCATCATTCTCATAAAACTATCATAAGGACAAAAAACCAAATACCGCATGTTCTCACTCATAGGTGGGAACTGAACAATGAGAACACACGGACACAGGAAGGGGAACATCACATACCGGGGCCTGTTGTGGGGTGGGGGGAGCGGGGAGGGATAGCATTAGGAGATATACCTAATGTTAAATGATGAGTTAATGGGTGCAGCACACCAACATGGCACATGTATACATATGTAACTAACCTGCACGTTATGCACATGTACCCTAAAACTTAAAGTATAATAAAAAAAAGAAAGAAAATAAATCTGAAAACAAGCCAAAAAAAAAAAAAAGTAACTTGCCTAAGCTCCTCTATCTGATTGCTTAAGTTCATGTAATTAGCAAACAAAGTTCAAATACCTGAGGATTTGAACTCAGGTATTTCTGACTCCAGAGCCCATGTTCTTTACCCCTCGCCACCCTGAGTCCCTGCTCTGTGAGGGACCTGAGCCAAAAGACATTGTTTCTGCCTTCCAGGAAATTGAGTCTAGTAAAGAAAATAAGACTCTTGTCTAAGAGTCTTAGACATTTGTTTAGGAAGCAATTCTGTTATTTTTAAATGGTCAGTGGAAAGTTATCTACCTCTCTGTAATAATGGTAAGGTGTAAATTTCATTTCACCAGAAATTCATTTCATTTCATTTGAATTTCTCCTGAATTACCCATCAGAATCAAGAGGAAATGTTTGACATGAGATCAGAATGGAAAAATCTCTATCTAATTGCACAAAAGAGGGTCCCTAGTTGTGTCAGTTAGCATTTGCTGCATAATCAACCACACAGAAATATAGTGGCTTGAAACAGGAAGGTATTTACTCAGGATTCTATGGTTTGGCAATTTGGGATGGGATCAGCTGGGCTGTTCTTCTCTTAGTCTCGGCTGAGCTCTTTCATGTGTCCACAGTCAGCTGACAGACAACGGTCTCACATTTAGTACGTGGTTGGCTGTTTCCTGGGGTGACTGGGCTATGTCTCTTACTATCAGTAGGTTACCAAGGGCTCTTCCGCATGGGTATGGTCACAGGGCTCCCGGGAGTAGCAAAAGGAGGCAATGCCTTTGCTTGTGCCATATTTGCTTATGTCCCATTGGCCAAAGAAAGTCATGTGGTCAAGCCCAGTTTCCAAAAGTAAAGAGATAGACTCAACCTCTTGATGGAAGGGGTTGCGAAGTCATGTTGAGAAGGGGCATGAGTATAGGGATGGGAAGAATCTGGCTTACTTCTGCACTCTATCACATTAATTTCCCTGAAGTCAAAAGACACCTGTGGCAAGCAGAATAATGGCACCCCAAAGATGTCAGCATTCTAATCCTGTAACCTGTGAACACATTACCTTACACAGCAAAAGGGACTTTGCAGATGTAATGAAGTCAAGGATCTTTAGATGGGGAGATTCTCCTGGACTATCTGGGTGTATTCAATGTAATCGCAGGGGTCGTTAAAGGGAAAGAGGCAGCAGGAGAGTCCCAATCAACGGGGAGAGGTGGCAATGGAAGCAGAGGTCAAAGTGATGCCACTACTGGCTTTGAAGAGAGAAGACAGCCATGAGCCATGGAATGCAGGCAGCCTCTGGAAGCTGGAAGAAGCAAGGAACAAGTTCTTCCCTGGAGCCTCCAGAAGGAGCACAGCCCTGCTCACACCTTGATTTTAGTCCAGTGACACTTCTGACCTCCAGAATGGTAAGGTAAAAAATTGGTGTTGTTTATGCCACTATGTTTGTGGTAATTTGCTACAGCATCAATAGGATGTAAATACAACACCTTCAGCCATGTGACCTTTTCTCAAGACCAGTAATAACCTGCTTTGTGATTACTCAAAAGCAGGCAATCACATCTCTTTTATTAGAAGGAACAAAGATAAGGGCTTTTAAGTACCCACTCCTGAAAGTCCTCAAACCCTAGAACATCAACGCTCAGTGGGAAGGCCCACTGGGAATACTGTCTTCTTAAAATCAATTTGAGAGGAAATTGGAAGAAGTATTTTGACAACACTGCAGACAAAACCATGGTTAGAATGAGTAGAGTTGAATGAACGTTGTAAGAAAGGTATCGTGTTATGTTCATGAGCTGCTTTCCTTAAAGATCTTGATCTTTTAAGGCTACTTAACTTTTAAATATTTATTTAACCATTTTAAGAGCAATTTTAATTTTTTTCAAAGGAATATAATGGAGTATAAAAGGTTCAGACCATTACCAAGTTTCCATTGGTCCCCTGCTGCCAGCATATCTTGATTGCCGTCAAAATCCCTAAGAGGAAATAAGAAGCTTCTCTCTCAATAATGCTGAATCAATAGTGACAGCCACGTCACACTCAATAACAGAGAACAAAGTAGGATGGCCCATAATCTTGGAGCAGAGTGCATGGAAGCGCCCCTGTCACCAGTGAGGAGGCACTGGTAAATTCAGCAGTGAGACATTGAGGGGGACTCTCT
Source organism: Homo sapiens (assembly GCF_000001405.40). Taxonomy (NCBI): domain Eukaryota; kingdom Metazoa; phylum Chordata; class Mammalia; order Primates; family Hominidae; genus Homo; species Homo sapiens. The sequence goes on along the minus strand of NC_000001.11, from coordinate 25,113,812 downwards.
CTAGCGGGAATGAATACCAGCCTGTCCCCTTTGGTCTGACTTCTTACTGATGTACCCCAATTTCTCTGGTTAAGACTTCAGCCAGCTTAGCTGGGCATGGTGGCTCACACCTGTAATCCCAGCACTTTGGGAGGCCGAGGTGGGTGGATCACTTGAGGCCAGGAGTTCGAGACCAGCCTGGCCAACATGGCGAAACCCTGTCTCTATTAAAAACACAAAAATTAGCTAGGCATAGTGGTGGGCACCTGTAATCCCAGCTACTTGGGAGGCTGAGGCAGGAGAATCCCTTGAACCCAGGAGGCAGAGGTTGCAGTGAGCCGAGATCACACCACTGTACTCCAGCCTGGGTAACAGAGGAAACCTCCATCTAAAAAAGAAAAAAAAAAAAAAAGACTTCAGCCAACAGATCAGAACGCAGAAAATGCATTTGCCTCAGTAGTGAGTCGGCAGAATTCCAGAGACTTGTAGCCATATCAGGCTTTCCAAGCTGGAAGCAATTTCAAAGAGCAAAGGCGCAGCCTCTCCTCTCATTTACAGATGGGGAAACTGAAGCCCAGAGAGAAGTAATTTGTCTGAGGTCACCCAGCAAGGTGGTGACAACACAGGAACTGGAACTCATATTTCTTCACTCTCAAGACAGACTCTGGGCTGCCCCTTAAGGATAAAAGTAGAGAAGGAAGGGGAGAAAAAGGTAGACATGAAGGAGAAAGAAAAGGATAAGGGAGAAGAAAGAAAGGACAGAGAGAAAAAAATGAACAATCAGAGTAAAGGCAGCAAGCATTCTCTAACTCCTGACCGCGAGTGATCCTCCTGCCTCAACCTCCCAAAGGGCTGGGACTACAGGCGTGAGCCACTGCGCAGGGCCTCAACCAGCGTTCTCTAGAGCGGTGGATCCCAAATGCCATCTGAGGACCAGCAACAGCAGCAGCATCCGGTAAGATCCAAGAAAAGAACGTATTTCCTAAAATAGAATGCTGAGGAAAACAAGAGGCAAGTTTAAAAATAATGGAAAGTAATTTTATGATAAAATACAACGATGGGGTACTAATACCTAGCTCATGTTTATTGTAAGGACTGAGCAAGAGTAAGTATGTAGATATGCCAGTTTGTAAACTATAAATCCTGATGGAAGGCACCTAGCTGGTTACTACTCAGGCAGGTTACTTCTCCTCTCTGGGCCTCTGTTTCCTCAGCTGCAAAATGAGAGGGTTGAATCAAAGGAGGAACAGCGTTCTTTGAGTAGCTGGTGTTGGGCAAGAACTGAAATTGGTGGGACCAAAGAGAAAGAAAACTGTGTTTCTGTTCAAGAAACTTGGCCGGGTGCGGTGGCTCACACCTATAATTCCAGCACTTTGGGAGCCCGAGGTGGGCGGATCACCTGAGGTCAGGAGTTCAACACCAGCCTGGCCAACATGGCAAAATCCCGTCTCTACTAAAAATACAAAAATTAGCTGGGTGTGGTGGTTCGTGCCTGTAATCCCAGCTACTCTGGAGGCTGAGGCAGGAGAATCACTTGAATCTGGGAGTTGGGGGTTGCAATGAGCCAAGATCGTGCCACTACACTCCAGCCTGGGTGACAGAGCAAGACTCCATCTCAAAAACAAAAAACTCCCTCAGTCCATTTTCCCCATCACATTTGCTGCCATCTACTCAAGCTAACTGCAGTGGAAGATTGATCCAGACAACTAGAGTGACAAACCACTTTTGCCTTGATTGTCTAGATGCTGTTGAGTGTGACACAGCTGGGTCATCCCAGTTCTGCCCTGCCCGCAGTGCCCTGCCTGCTGGGACAGGCCAAGGCCCCTGATTCACAAGACAGCACCTTCTGCCCAGCTGCTCAGCAGCTTTGGGCCAGTAGGACCAGACTGGGAAGGCAAACTCGCAAATTCCATTTCTGGCTCATCAGCGACTCATTTTCAGAACTCACCCTCTGGGGAGCTTGTTAAAAGGCCCTTGGCATCCCCAGGAGGGGGGCTCAATAAACATGTCATTCAGGTCAAGTAAACAAACGCGTTTTCTCCTTGTGGCCTAGAGCAGGGCAGTGAGCCTCCCCGTGGGCAGGGGGCTTCTGAGAAGCCGCTTTGTCTGAGCCCAGCCCTGGCTGCAGTTCAGCATCCCCAGCAGGGCCCTGGCTCCCTTTGAACTCCTGGCAGACCCACCCCTACCTCCTGGTCCCCAGCCCTTTTCTTGAGAGGCTAGTTCCCAAAGTAGAAGCAGCTTCTCTGATATTTTATGATTGGAAAAGAGCCTACAGAAAATCCTTTCTTGACTTCTGCACTGCTACCTTTTCTCTTCCTCATTCATTGATTCAGAGGACGTTGATTAAACACCTACTATGTGCCAGTCACATATGTCCTAAGGGCAGAGACTCAATGATGCATAAGACCTGGGCTCTTGTCCTCAAGGGACTCACGCTGTACAGTGGTTCCTCCTGCCCCAGGATCACTGGAGAAGCTTTGAAAACACACAAATCCCCAAACCATCCACACACGTGTGACATTGGACGTTCACTCATGCCCATTCACCTTCTCTCATACTCACCTTTGATTGTGTTATTATCAAATTTTTATATTTCAAAATCTGATTTTTTTTTTTGAGATGGAGTCTCGCTCTGTTGCCCAGGCTGGAGTGCAGTGGCGCGATCTCGGCTCACTGCAACCTCGGCATCTTGGGTTCAAGTGATTCTCCTGCCTCAGCCTCCAGAGTAGCTGGGATTACAGGCATGCACCACCACGCCCGGCTAATTTTTGTGTTTTTGGTAGAGACGGGGTTTCACCATGTTGGCCAGGCTGGTCTTGAACTCCTGACCTCAGGTGATCCTCCTGCCTCGGCCTCCCAAAGTGCTGGGATTACGGGCGTGAGCCACTGCACCCGGCCTCAAAACTTGATCTTAAAAAAAAAATGTAAAAGGTAGACTTAAAAAAAAAACCTCACAAACTTTACTTCTTACAGACACAACATACTCAAAATGTTGCGTTTATAGGTTAATGGAGTCATGGTGACACTGAAAATTCTTCCTGTGTTGGCATCTGACAGAGGATTTGAAACCGAATGCTGAACTCATGTTAGGAAAGTGAAGCAGCAGGTTCTCTGGAGAGAGATGGTCTCTGCATAGCAGAAATGGAGTTCCCCCAAGTGAAGCGAGTCTGGCCGCTGGGGCGCTGGCTTCCTCACTGAGACACCAGAGAGGGAGCCTTCTTCCACATTGTCATCTGAAGATTTCTCATCATTAGACTCTCTCAGCGCACCCAGAATGGGACATGGTGGGTCTGCAGAAAAGGAAACAGTGTTTCCAGATCCTTCTAGACACACGCTTAGTGCATTAAAGGAAAATCATTCGCAGTCTAAATGGGTTAAAAGTACTTCTGCAATATAAATGCAGTTTTAACGGTTTTAAAGCTAAGAAATATGTTCATTTTTCTTCTCAAGGCATATTAAAATTAAATTTAAAAAGTCAATTCTGGACAATCAGACTTATTGCAATAAAAAGACTATCAGGAATTTATTACCTCACACAGTGAGACACAACATGAGAGTCAGAGAGAAAATCTCGACAGTCTTTGGTTTGGTTCCTGGTTCCAAGTGTTCTGAGGCCCAGTCATATTTCCGCTGAGTTTCGTAAGACACTCACATATATTAATGTTTAAAATTGCCCTTTTTGGCTGAGCAAGTTTAAATTGGTTTGGTTTGCTGTGGCTGCTTGCAACTAAAAAGAGCCCTAAGTAGCACAGACCTGAAAGAATTCTGAAACGCTTTCTAAGAGTCAGTTGGGCTGCTTTTGGCTGCAAGTAAGTGAATTAAAATTTAATTCACTTAAGAGGTTTCCCACTCCTTCTCTCATTTAACAGGAAGTCTGCAGGTTGATTATACAAGACACAATTATATCCTCAGAGAACCAGGGGCTTTCCAATTATGGGCTTTTGTTCTCAGGCTTGTTCTCTTGTGGTCACAAGATGGCTGCCACAGCAACAGTCCTCACACACCCTCTGTGAGCAGGAGGGATGTCTTCTTCTCACCTCACACATCCTCTATGAGCAGGAAGGGTGTCTCCTCCTCACCTATCTTTTCTTTTTTTTAAACCAGAGAGAAAAACTTTTCCCAGAAGTCATTTCAGCCAACTTCCTCCCAGCTCCCACTGGCCAGAATTGGGTCACGTGACCATCTATAGCTGCAAGAGAGGCTGGGAAAGTGACCAGCTGCCATTTTCAGCCTCTGTGGTAGAGGCAGGTTGGCTGCACACAGGCAACAAATGGTGCCTGCCACACCGTTACTTCTCAATCACCGCTGCAGAGTAAGAGGAAGATAAATACTGCCCAAATGACAGTCTTCATGAATAACACATTTATCCAAGGAAAATATTCCACCTAACATGGTTGCCTAGGCATACCTGGTGGTGGTGTACTTGGGGCTACACATGGGCTGCCTCTACTGTGTAGTGAGATACTGGTTTTGAACTGTTGGCTGGGAGGTTTTGGTTTCTGGTGTTTTCTTCCTCTCCTTGACCCTTCCCTTCAGTTGGCTGGGCTTTTCAGTTCATTGACTCAGGGAAGGGGAAATGAAGAGAGAAAAGGAAAAAATTCTTGGCTTTGAGTTTCAAAAACAGACTAGAAATGACTCTCAGTGATGGGGGAAAAGGAGAGAGACAGAGGGAGAGTGGCTGGCAGGGAAGAGGACAAGGAGTGGGCCCTGGAGAGATCACGTGGATGTGAGAGGAGTCAAGTCCACCTCATGGCAGACTCCAATCCCAAAGGAACTGTCTGCAGCAGACCTCAGAAAGCCGAGTGGAGCTGAGCTCGTGCCTACCGATGACCCAGTCTCTGTGAGCGCACATGTGGGTCTTCCCATTCATGGCAGCAGAAGCATTGCCCACTGACCAGCCACCTGGCATGGTGCTTTCTGTGTCCTTGGGGACAGTTCCCTCCCTCCCTCCCTCTCTCCCTTCCTTCCGTCCTTCCTTTTCCTTTCTTCTCTTTCTTTCTTTGTCTCTCTCCCTTCCCTTCCCTTCCCTCCTTCCTTCCATCTTTCCTTCCGTCCTTCCTTTTCCTTTCTTCTCTTTCTTTCTTTGTCTCTCTCCCTTCCCTTCCCTTCCCTTCCTTCCTTCCTACCTTCTCTCTTTCTCTCTTCCTTTCTTCTTTCTTTTCATCTCGCTCTGTCGCCCAGGCTACAGTGCAGTGGTGCAATTTCTGCTCACTGCAACCTCCACCTCCCAGGCCCAAGCAATCCTCCCACCTCAGCCTCCCTAATAACTGGGACTACAGGCATGTGCCACCAGGCCCGGCTAATTTTTTAATTTTTTGGAGAGGTGGGGTTTCACCATTTGCCCAGGCTGGTCTTGAACTCCTGGGCTCAAGTAATCTGCCTGCCTCGACCTCTCAAAGTGCTGGGATTACAGGCGTGAGCCACTGTGCCTGGTGGAGACAGTCTCTTTTTATATCCCTGGACACTCAGATCCCCAGGCATGGGGTAGAGCTAGGGCTTAGTGGAGGCAGGAGCAAGGTGAAAGGCAAGCCCCAGCCACTGTCCCTGTCCCCAGACTTGGTTGGAACTGAACAGAACCAGCTTCTGATGAGCTGCTAAGCTGGGAGCATGGAAACTCCTTCTGATCTGATGACAGAGTGGGAGGAGTGCTGGTGGCACCCACTGGCATGGCTCTAGCAAGGGGGTCATACACTTCAGTTGGCTGAAGTGACGTCTGACGTGGTTCAGTTTAGCATAGACCCAGAGTAGGGTGAACCAAAGACAAGTCCCATCACCTGAACCCGTTTCACACCTTATCAGTCCATGCCCCAATCATAGCCCTGCAGCTGGACTCTACACCAGGATGCCTGGTGCAACCCTCCCACACCGCGGGTGCCTCAGCACACTTCTCTCTGCGGACCACTGCTCGGATAGGCTAATCCATGCATGCCTGTAGCGTGGGCTTTTGTTAGGAGCTGAAAGCACTTATTCATCTGTTGTAGCATAGGATCCCCGTTCTAGTTTGACGATAGGAAAACTGAGGCCCACTGCAGTTACTCATTGAATTCTTGTGGTGTCTCAGCTCTGCACTAACGTCATTCTCATATTACTTTGTTTGACTCTTTCAGGAATCCCATGAGTCTCTGCCTGACTCCATTTTATACATGGAGCAATGAAGGCTCAGAGAGTTTCACGAACTCTCCCAAGGCCACACAGCTGAGTGGCAGAGCTGGATTCAAACCCAGGCCCTCTGACTCCTGCCTGTTTTGCCAGTCTCCCAGTTAAATGACTTGTCCAAGCTCACACTGTCACTGAGGAGTGAGCTGAGACCTAATCCCATGACTCTGAGCCCATCCCTAGCGTTCCACGTGGCCTTTGCTCTCACTTGCAAAGATGCCAAATGGGAGTGGAGCAGGGAGTGGAGAGGAGCGAAGATGGCTGCGTGGAGGGCTCCCTCAGTCCTCTCTCTCAGACCGCAGCCTAGGTGGCCAGAGGCCGCACGTGGCCCTCTCCTCACCCCCCCATTCCTGCTCAGCTGACCCGGGAGAAGGGCTCCCACCGCAAACACCCCAGTGTTTACTTGCCCCTGTAGAGGGTGAAAGGCGTCAGGGGCTGGAGGGGAGACAGCCGTGCCAGCCATCACCTGGAATACATTACGGCAGCTGTGACTAATTAAACTTTGATTTCCTCAAATTTCGATCTTCTTGGAAATTCCTTCTGAGCCCGATGGTATTCAAGGCTGTGGCAGAAAGTAAATACCAGGCGAGCCATGCCACGGGGCCTCCAGGTGGCCCGTTCCCCACCTCGCTCTCCCGCTTTCTCTCTGCCTCCCTCTGTGTTGCTCCCCGAGGTCTCAGAAGAGTGTCCCCTTAGAGGATCTCCAAACCACAGCCCCCAGAAGCCGATTTGGCATTTCCACCTGGGTGAAAAAAATGCTCCTTCTGTCCTCCTTGGGAGATGGTGGGGATGTGGTAGTGGGGGATCATATTCTCTACCCACCATGGGATGCCTGGAGGCATGAAAACAGCTGTCTGGGTGGCCTGTGTCCTGGGGTTGCCACCCCTAGCTTGCCCTGGGGTCATCTCAGGCTGTCCAGTGTCCTAAGCCAGCCAGCCAAGCAGTGAAACCCAGAGAGAAGACAGCTGGAGCCAGAGGGCAGGAACGTGGCTCACAAGAGGCCCAGCCAAGGGGCCAGATGGTGTGTGGGAACCTGGGTTCTGTGAGGTGCCCACGCTGCCTCTTGTCTGTTCACGAGGGCGGGCTGAAGCTGATGACCACCATTCACTGAGCATCTATTATGTGCCACATCCCATGCTGAGTCATTTATGTACTTTCTCTCTAGTCTTCATGGCAGTCCTGGAGGAGAGACAGTAGGACCTTACTTTACAGAGGAGGTCCCTGAGGTCAGAGGAGGGGTTAAGTCACTGGCTGAAAGCCACACAGTGAAGCTGAGAGTCAGATCTGGGTCTGTTTGAAGCCAGCGCCTACATTCTTCCTGCCACCTCACCAGGACTTTATATCTGGAAAGTGCTTTGCATCTTCTACCAAGGTGGGGCTTTGGGTGGAATGGAAGGAATGGTGTACCATTTCTCTGGACATCTTGATTTCGTTCCATTCTTTCTTCTTTCTCAAAGTTAAAGAGATTTTAAGTTTTTCTTTCTCAATTTAAAGGCATCAACAATACTTGTTTAGTATAGAAAAATTGGAACACACAATAAGTGAAAGATGAAAACAAACCAACCAGAAACCACATCTGTTCTCATTCTGGTGCATGTTCTTCCAGATTGTGTGTGTGTGTGTGTGTGTGTGTGTTTCTTTCTGTCCATTTGAAAACGTTCTTGCAGCATGTGCCATGGAGAGACTGCAATGCTATGGGAGAAACAAGAGAGGTGCAGTGCTGCCTGCGGACTCTCATCTGACACTGACACTGCCTTGGTTGGGTCCCACCCTGCCACTTATTAAATGTGACCTTGGGCCGGGCACCGTGGCTCATGCCTGTAATCCCAGCACTTTGAGAGGCCAAGGTGGGCGGATCACTTAAGGTCAGGAGTTCGAGACCAGCTTGGCTAACATGGTGAAACCCCATCTCTACCAAAAAAAAAAAAAAAAAAAAATTAGCTAGGTATGGTGGTGCATGCCTGTAATCCTAGCTGTTTGGGAGGCTGAGGTGGGAGGATTGCTTGAACCCGGGAGGTGGAGGTTGCAGTGAGCCGAGATCATGCCACTGTACTCCAGCCTGGGTGACAGAGCAAAACTCCATCTCAAAAAAAAAAAAGAAAAAGTGACCTTGGTCAATGTCTTCATCCCATGTGGCTCAGTTTCTCCATTTGCCAAATGGAATGATAGCAGTGTCTACCTCATAGGGTTGTCAAGAAGATTCAACAAAATAATGCTTGGAAAATATTTAGCACAATGCCTGACATGGTTAGCACTCAGCAAATGTCAGCTGTTAATATTTGTGCCAGGATGCAATGCAAAAATAGACTGGACTCTGATTGCATGGAACCCTTAGGCAGAGGGAGAAAGCCACGAATCAAATAATCACACAAGCAAGTGTCAAGTTGTCTCCCAAGTGCCACAGTGGTGAGTGAGGGCAATGGAGCTATGAGAATCTGTACTGGGGAGGGACATCACTCTAGGCAGAAAAATCCTGGAAGGCTTCCCTGTGGAGGTAACACTAGAACCAAGACTTGCAGGTTGTGGAGGAGTGTGCTAGGCCAGGTGGAGAGGGAAGAGCATTCCAGGCAGAGGGAACAGCATGTGCAAAGGTCTGTGGGTGGGCACCATGGACAGCACAGGGATCTGAAGGAAGGCTTATGTGACTGGAGTGGAGAGAGAGGGGAAGCAGGGCTAGAAATAAGAATGGAGAGGCTGGCAGGGGCTGGACCCTGAGGGTCTCATAGGTGCTGCTTGAGAAACTTTGCAGCTATCCTAAAAGCAATGGAGAGCCATTGAGGGAATAAAGCAGGGGAGTGTAACATGATCCTCTTGGATTTTAAAAAGATCTCTTTGGTTGCCTCTAATAGGGACGAAATTGGCAGGGGAGGTCCGAGCAGAGATGAGGACATTCCTGTCCTTGAACCCTTCCCTGGGCTTTGTACTTTAGAGGGCCCTGCTCTGGCTCTCCTTGGCTCATGCCTCTCCCCATGGAAAGAAGAGTCTATGGGCTAAGGGCATTTGCCTCTTGGGGCCTCTACCCACAACCCCTCTTCCTTCAGGAGCCTCTTCCTCATTCCGATTCCCCTAGGGGAGGATCTGCTTCTGGGGTATAGACCCCTGGGTCTGAGGGTGGTGAAGAAGTTGTCATTTGCAAGAATGCGGCTGGAGCTTGAAAGTGCAGGCTGTGGTGTCCACACCCTACCCTTAAGAGTGATGGAGCAGGAATAGCAAGAGAAAGAGGAGGGCAGGGGCTGCCTTGGTAGGGTGACAGAGCAAAACTCCATCTCAAAAAAAAAAAGAAGTGACCTTGGTCAATGTCTTCATCTCATGTGGCTCAGTTAGGGGCCCAACACGCATGCTGGGGGCAGGTCTGTATGGGGAAACCCACAGTTGCCACTATTTAGGAGAGAAGTGGTCAACTCGAGAGGTGTTCAGGAGGGGAAACCTCTGGGAATCAGCAAAGGATGGGAGATGGAGATGGGGCTGAGGCGTGGGCTTCTGCCTGCTGACCTGGGGGTGCTGAGAGACCCCGTAGAGAAGACTGGCTTGGATGAAGGGTAGATTCTGAGTTGGTTTTGCACTTGTTGAGACTGAGGATCTCTTGGGACATTTAAAAGATGTCAGACAATTCTGTCTTAATCTACACAGACACAGACACACACACACACACGCACACACACGCACAGAACTTAACACAAAACCAAGTCATTCCATTTTCTGCCAGGTTTTCCTAGGATAATGTGTTGGAGGGCTCTGAACCCCAGAAGCTTCACACCTAGAGCTCTTCAGATCTACCCTTGGTCATTGACATCCCAGCATGAATCAGTGACTCAGTCCTTCCAGGTTGGTTCCCTGCCTGAAGGCAGTTTCTACTGGGGTAAGCTGGGAACATGGTATCCAACATGCCCCATCATTGAGAAGCCCCTCATGCAGGGAGGGGGACCACCCTGGCTCATCTTGACGTCCCGTTCCCCGTGAGCAGAGAGCAGCTGGCCGTGGCTCTGGCTCCCAGGCCTGATGGCGAAGCCCCATCTGAACTCCCTAGAGTCCCCTCGGGGGTCTGGCCCTGGCTCCTATCCCTGCCTTTCAGCCTCAGGGCATGTGGGCCTGCGTCTGTCAGCAGCTCACTCCCAGCTTGCAGCGTGGCTTTACACTGTGCAGGGATCTGCTGACAACAGCCCACAGCCACATGTGGCTCTGACCTGAGGCCTGTGGCCTCTTGCTCCCCTCAGCCTGGGAGGGAAGTTGCTGAGCCCCAGCACTTCAGCGTTCCTGGCCCTGCCTGTACACGTGGGTTCTCAAGCAAGGCTGTCAGGCAGGGCTGGCCCCAGCTGGCACCATGGCCCAGCAGTGGACCTGCCAGCTCCCTCTCCCACTCCCTGTTCAAATAACCACATGTGGGCAGCTGCTGAGCTTCTCCAGCTTCCAGGGAGCAGGGAGCTGGGGTAGGGGGTAGAGGCAGCCCAGCTGGCTGTAATTATCCTAGAGGCCTCATGTGGGCTGCCTGCCCTTGGGGAGTGGGGATGCCCATTCGTCTTGGCTTCCTCTGTCCCTTCCCTGAGGGGTTTGGACCTGAAACTAGTGGAGGGGACCATAGAGAGGGGAGGAAGGAGAAGCCCACCATCCCCCCTCACTAGGTCTGAGGGGCCTGCATTCTGGGGTAGGCTCTGAAGTCTCCCTGATCAGAGAGTCTCAGGCTGTCCAGGCATGAACAGACCATGGAATTGGAAAATTTGAGGCTCAGAGAGGTTGTGACTTGCCTGGGGTCACCCAGCAGTGGAGGTGGCCTTCAACTCACGTCTTTCACCCCTGACTCCCTTTCTAGGACTCTCCTCGTGTCTCCCTTTCAAGCCCCTAATTTACTCATCTAATCAACAACTGTTAGTTGAGTGCCTGCTGAGTGCCCATGCAAGTGCTGGGGGCTAGGACACAGACAAAACCTCTGTGGGGGTGGGAGGGAGGACTTCCTTCAGGTGGTGGAGGAAGGCTTCTCAGCAGAGACGACATTTGAGGAAAAACAGGATGGACTCAGTCATGCGAAGATCTGGGGACAGGAGGTTCCACAAAAGGCCACAGCAAGTGCAAGAGCCCTGAGGTTGGAACGAGGCCATCCGTTATGGCTGGAGCAGAGTGAATGGGGGGCAAGGGTGGGGAGATGACATCAGAGAGATGGGTAGAGGCCAAATGAGGCAGATCTTGGTAAAGAGATGTCGAGAAGATGCCAGAGAGTTTGAACTGGGGCCCTCTAACTCCTTAGCTCCAGGCAGAACTCACCCCCCGTCCCCCACCCCGCGGCAAGTGGGTGAAGCCCTTGGAGAACGCAAGGACTCCAAGCCCAGGGCAGTTTCTTTCCTATCTGATTCTTTTGGGGGACAGAGTCTTGCTCTGTCGCCCAGGCTGAAGTGCAATAGCGTGATCTCAGCTCGCTGCAATCTCCACCTCCCAGGTTCAAGCAATTCTCCTGCCTCAGCCTCCTGAGCAGCTGGAATTACAGGTGTGTGCCACCATGCCTGGCTAATTTTTGTATTTTTAGTAGAGACAGGGTTTCACCATGTTGGCCAGGCTGGTGTCAAACTCCTGACCTCATGATCCACCCACCTCGGCCTCCCATAGTGCTGGGATTACAGGCGTGAGCCACTGTGCCTGTCCTGTCCCACCTGTTAGAGAAGAGGAAGGCAACCTGGTGTGTCAATGAGCCCAGAGCTGGGAGTATGGGGACCCGAGTTCTGGTTTGAGTGGTGTGTGAGACCTTGAACTGATCCCCTCTCCTCACTTGGCCTCAATCCTATCAGCTGTGGAGTGAGAGAATTGGAACAGAGGGCCCTCAGTTCTGCGGATGACACAGGAAGGAGAGGGGAGGAGGATAAAACAAAGCTCAAAGAGACTAAATGATACTCACGTGCATGGTGTCTGGCGGGGCTTGCAGCCGACTGCATCCAAAGCCACCCCAGGAGGTCATCATGATGAGGAAGTTTGGGTCTGTTTACTACGAGGTCAATGGCTGGCATCGTTCTCTGCTCAATTTTCACAGTTCCTTAGGGCTGAGAATGGACAGTCCTTTGCAGTACCAGCCAACGGACAGCAGAGGGCGCCAACTCAATGGTCAGGGATCCTGGAAGGAGGAAGTAGTTGGTCTGGAGTTTGCACAGGATGGTTGGTGGCTACCAAAGATTTCCCTTTCATAATAACCGGTGACAGCTGGTGTGTATCCATGTAGATTCATTGAACGAAGATTGACTATGGCTACTCTGCTGAGCATTGTTCTAGGTTTCAGGGAAACAGGGAATAATATAGGTCAGCAATGGCAAATGGCTTTTATATTTTTAAAAAATCAATTAATTAATTTTAATAACTTTTATCTTGAAGGTTTGCTTGCATTGGAGAACTATGCTTGGAAATTAGCGTTAAGAAAATTCTGAGGCTGCTTCCTGGCTCAGGGAGATAGGATAATGTGATTGATTAATCATGTCTGTCAGGGGGAGGTTGAGGAGGGGGCAGTGTGAGTGTCACTTCTCTAATGCAACCTTATTATGGGACAAGTGGGTAAATAAAGATGCAGAGATAGCAAGTTTATTTATATAGGGTCATGCTACTGGTAAGTGTTGGAGTTAGGACAATTGTGCAGTTTTCTAGTCATGTCTTTGGGCCTGAAGGAATGCATCTCCAGGCCTGCAGGGACTCTCTGGACAATGGTGCCATCACCAATGACCATTTTGGTAACCAGAATGCTTCCTGGTGGGGGAGGGCCTTTGATGTGGAGCCAACTGGGGTGGTGCTATGGTTTTGGGTGCTATGAAGGCCAAGCTGGTGGCCAGTGGGGGCAGGCTAGGCCATTCCAGAACCCAGAACCCATAGTTGGGACCAAACAGCTCAAAGCCAAGCAGTGGCAGAATTCAGGCTTGTCCCAGGCCACTGGACTGGGGAGTCCACGTTCGTTTTATGACCTCCACCCCACTTTGTGAGTTCCCACTGGCTTTGGATGGAGAAAGATGCGCTATGCCAGGCCCTGTGTGGGGACAGGGAGGTGCCTGAGCTAGAGTTCCTGTGTAAGGCATTTCCTGCCTATTGATGGGGACAGGTGTGGGGACAGCTTAACCCACACAAGGCAGAAGGGAGAGCTCCGCAGGACACCAGCAGAAAGGGGGAGATGGGAGGGGCAGTTACTTCTCTCTGGGGATGCCTGGGGAGGTGTCATGAAGGAAGTGCCTAAATATTTTTCTCTCATTACAAAAATAACTGTGTTTACTGCAGACAACTTTTTTTCAGAAAAAAAAATAAAATGATAAAAAGCCTCGAATCGATGTCATTACACAGAGACAGTGACTGATAGTATCTTTTTTTTCTTTTTTTGAGACATTGTCTTGCTCTGTCGCCCAGGCTGGAGTGCAGTGGTGTGACCTCAGCTCACTGCCACCTCCACCTCCCTGGTTAAAGCGATTCTCCTGCCTCAGCCTCCAGAGTAGCTGGGACTACAGGCGTGTGCCACCACACCCAGCTAATTTTTATATTTTTAGTAGAGACAGGGTTTCACCATGTTGACCAGGCTGGTCTTTAATTCCTGATCTCAGGTGATCCATCTGCCTCAGTTTCCCAAAGTACTGGGATTACAGGTGTGAGTCACTGTGCCCCACCAGTATCTTAATCATTTATTTACACATAACCACAATGATATCAGGTTGCATATATTTTTGAATTTTCTTTATTACTTAATGTAGTGGCTCTCAAAGTGTGACCCTTGACAGCAACATCCGTATCACCCGGGAGCTTGTCAGAAGTGCAAATTCTTGCTTTCCCTCTCAACCCCAAACCTCAGAGACTCTGGGGGTGGGGTCCAGTGGTCTGTGTTTTAACAAACCCTCCAGATTGTTCTGCTGCTCTGCAAATTCGTGAACCACTGACTTAGTGTATTATAAACAACTTCCCACTCTCTGACTGTCTTATGTTTAATGTGTGATCTTTTGTTGTACTGACCTGATGAATTCTGCTAAAGCAATGCTGTGGTGAACATCTTGGGTGCACGTATGTCCCTGTGCACACCGGGGCTTGTTTTGTGAGGTGCCCTTTGAGCTGAGCTAGTGACAGGAGGCAGGGGGTGGCTGCATGCAGAGAGAGGAGGGGAAGAGGCTGTGACCGCAGCTGTCTCTGACCTGGGACTGCGTGCAGACAGGAGGGACCAGAGCTCTTCTTCCCCATCACGCCCTCCCTGGAGTGGCTCTGGCAGAGCAGGAAGCAGGTGGTGAATGTGTCAACAGCAACTAGAAGCGACTTGGGCTAAAGGAGTCCAGATCTCTCGAGGCCGATGGTCAGTGCTGTCTGGTCAGCAAAGGGGAAGCTGCACTCTGCCAGGAGAAGACAGAGAAGAAAGAAGCAGCCAAAAACACGCTGCGGTGCCTTGTCCCTGCTGGCCTCAGCTTTGGTTTGTGATTGTTTTCTTGTATTTCTCCCTGCTTCCCCTCGCCTTGTGTATGGAGAAAAGATGGACTCTTTGGTCTGAGAATGCTCAACTCTGTGAGCCTTGATGTGAAATGCTGTCATTAATCCACCAGCTTTTGTCCTGTTTCCTGACATAGGCACCAGATTTCAAATTTGGGTCTCCATAGGTCCTCCCTGGACCCGTCAATTTCAGTGGCTCTACCCCAAAACACCCCAGCCCAGCCCCTTCAGAGAAGTCTCAAGACCTTGCTATCACTTTTTCTCTTGGCTCAGCTCCTGGGATTAGGCACGTGCAGATAGATCATTGTGGAAATGAGGGGGCAGCTCCCACCAGCTCACTAATTGGGATGATGAGTGAATAGGCAAGGAATGATCATGTGCTGAGGCCAACCGCTCTGCCCACTCAACCCCAATGGAGGGGAAGAGGCCGATGTTCTTACAGCCAGGAGCCAGTCTTAGCTGAGCCCAGGGCACTGCAGAGGGGCTGCACTTTTGGGTGGGAACTGCCCTGAAGCCCAAGGTGAAGCCAGCCCCTGCCTGTGACTGGGAAGAGCTGGCTGGGGCCCTGCTCAGGTGCAGCCCAGACTTGGGCACTGCTCCTGCCAGTCCACGGCTCAGCAACTTGCTGGGGCTCCACAGGCCCATTAAAGTGCTCACCTGGGGTGGAAGCCCACCTTTCTATGGCCCCAGATCTCTTCAGCTGTATCCCTTAGAAGAGTGCCTGATAAATATTGGTACAACGAATGAATGAATGAAGATGTCCCCCTCCAGCTAGGCAGCTAGATCTTGTATTACCCTTGAAATGCAGGTTATGTGTTTCTGCCACCTTCTTCTCTACTTATCCAAATTCTGCTAGTGCCTCAGCGCCTGGTCTACAGTACGTACTCAGTGTATGTGTGTTGATGTCCTCCTGTGGCTATGTGGCTCCGTGTCTACCTGTGCCCTGAGCTGTGTGTGTGTGTGTGTGTGTGTGTGTGTGTGTGTGTGTTGGAGTTGGGGTTTCTCTGTACTCCCTACAGAGCCCAGAGTTGTGCCAGGCTCAAACCAGGTCCAGACAAGGCAGCAGGAGAGTGACAGTCCTGCCACAGCCCACTCCTGATAGGGCTGAAGCAGTCTGTAAGTCCCAGATCCCTCCCCATTTGAGTTGGGAAGAGAATGTTCTTTGTTGGGTTGTCCACATTTATCACCAAATTTTACTCACCCTGATTCCAGAAAGGATGATGATGTGCTGATGCTAGAAACAGTGATTCAAGGCTAGAAGAACAAGAGCAGGAAATGGAACCAGGATGGTGGTACCAGAAAATCGGGCTGTGCCCAAACGTGTCTCTGAGCTGCTCCTTCACCAAGAGACCCACAGGATCACTGGCTTTTGGGTTTGGACAGGTACCTTCATGGTCCCCTGTGGAGCATGTGACAGAGGACATAGCCTATCGTTGAACCACAGGAACCAGATTCCAAGCCCAGCTCTTCTCTTTGTAGAACCTTGGACACATTTCCTTAAATTTGGGAAAAATCTCAAGCCATTATGTCTTAACATTTCTTTCCTGTCCCACTCTCGCTCACCTCTCCTTCTGAGACTCCAATCACACATACGTTAGACATTGTGATCTTGTCCCAAAGGTTCCTGAGGCTCTGTTCACCTTTCTTCAATTTTTGTTTGTCTCTTGGTTCTTCACATTGGGTAATTTCCATTGATTTGCCTTCAGGTTCACTGACCCTTTCTTCTTCCATCTCCAATCTGCTTGTTAAGCCCATCTAGTGATTTATTTATTATTTATTTATTTATTTTTTGAGACAGCGTTTCACTACCATTGCCCAGGCTGGAGCGCAGTGGTGCGATCTCCGCTTACTGCAACCTCCGCCTCCTGGGCTCAAGCTATTCTCCTGCCTTGGCCTCCCGAGTAGCTGGGACTACAGGCGCACATCACTGTGCCCAGCTAATTTTTGTGTGTGTTTTTTGTAGAAATAAGGTTTCACCATGTTGCCCAGGCTGGCCTTGAACTCCTGAGCTCAAGTGATCCGCCTGCCTCAGCCTCCCAAAGTGCTGGGATTATAGGCATGAGGCTCTGTGCCCAGCCTAGTGAATTTTTAAATTTTACTCATTGTATTTTTCAGTTCCAGGACGCTCATGTGGTTCTGTTAAAAATAGTTTCCATTTCTCTGCTGAGATGGGGTTGCATTTTCCTATTTTTGCATGTGTTACTTTTTGCCTGTAAACCATGCATGACTCATTGTAAAGATTCTGGATTCTCTTATCTTTCTCTGAAGGTTGTTGATTTGTGTTCAGTTAGATAATTAATCACTGGCCGATCACCTTAAGTGTGTGTGTGTGGGTTTGGTTTTACACTTTGTTAGGGCAGACCTGTGTGAAGCCCAAGCTTTCTTCCAAGCCCTTTTAACTTGGCGGGACTCAGTCTCTGCATTCCTTCTTCCCTGTGGTCATCGCCAAGGCTTGGCTTTCAGCTTTGGTAGAGAGGATCTAGAGTAGCCTCATTCAAGGCCAGGGTTTCTCAACCTTGGAATGATTGGCATTTGGGCCAGGGCAGTTCTCCGTGGTGGGGGCTGTCCTGTGCGTTGTAGAATGTTTAGCCGCATCCCTGGCCTCTACCTAACAGATGCCAGTAGCAACCCTCACAGTTATGACAACCAAAAATGTCTCCAGACTTTGCCAAATGTCTTCAGAGGGCCAGAATCATTCCTTATTAAGAACCATTGCTCTAGTGTATGGTCCTTCCTTGGAGATATTTGGGAAGAGCCTCTCATTAACTTTTGATAATCTCCTGAAATGAGGTTACACACCCATCACACAGGGCCTTCCACTCAGCTGAGAGAAGAATCTGTTCCATTACTTCCCCTCACTGTGGAGGACACTACAAATTTACATGCGTTAGCATCAGTCCTGGAGCAATCTTGAGAATATCACAACTAAATTGCCCTGTAATCTTTAGGGTGTTAAATTAGCTACATGTGAATATTTGAAATAGATCTTGATATTTGCACTTTGTGTCAGTATTTCCTCCCACTTTTTAATATGATCAGCCTTCCAAGATGGAAGAGATGGGGGCTCCACTTGCCCTCTGTGAGGCTCAGTGTGTGTGCTCTCCATGATCTCCCTGATCCATTTCCCCCCATGTTCCACGGAGCTGTTTCTTGCTGCCTTTCTGAGGAGGCCTCTCTATTCCTCCCTTCGTCCTTATAGTCTCTATGGTCAGTGCTTGGCCAATTTCCCACCGGAAGAACCCACGCCCCAGTGTCAGGGAGTGGTTCCAGGTGAGGGCTGGGGCTGGGCTCTCTGGAGAGCTTGGGGGAGCTGGTGCAGTAGAGGGTTGCAGAGAGAGCTTTCTTCAGGTCTGCTCTGGGCTAAGACGGCAGAAGAAATCTTAGAGGAAGAAGGAAATAGTTTGGCTGCTGTCTGCACCCTGTTGGGGCTTAACCCAAACCACACTGGTTTTCTCTACATGGTTTCTTGGCAACTTGCAGACCAAATATGGTTAAAAATAAATGGCAGCCCAAGATAGGTGAGAACACCACAGGAGAATACTAGGGTCCTTTACATGACTTCAGATCTTCAAGCCCTGCAAGAACCTCTGAAGTGACCCCATAATGTCCATCCCTAAGGAATGAAAACCAGCGTGGCATTAGAAGGCTGGCGAGAGTGGGGAGGTGGTGGGGGGGTGGTGCTGGGCCTTGTATCATTTTCAAAAAAGAGGAATATTCAGATTCTGAGCAATTACTGACCAACCACGAGGCATAGCCTTGCACTACTGGAACATTCTAGAAGAGTGAAAAACAACTGAAAGTGATGACTCCTGGGAATAAAGTCTTGCCGAACTAACTCCATTGTCTTTTTGATACAATGCCCAGGCTAGGTGTTGGCAAGAACAGGTGGAGCATTGCTGATTGAACAACCTTCCTAAAGATTATGCCCAGTGGGTAGGTCCTCGCCTCGAGCTCCTCTCTTCCTAGGTCCTGAAGCGCTGCCATACCCCCGTTTGTTTTAGTTCCCTGAGTACTCTCTTATTCCTCTCACTTCCGGTGACTCTGGGCCTTCCTTCCTGTTGTTCCTTCTGCCTGGAATGCTCTTCCCCACACTCATTTCCTAGCTGACTCCTCGCGCCTCCAGACTCAGCTGAAACTTCACTCCTCCAGGGAGGCTCCCACTGCCTGCACGTCCTCCTTCCTCCCGTGTTCAGATTCAGCACCCTGCCAAGGGTTTGTTCCATGGCCATCCAACTGTGAGCTCGAGTGTCTGTTTTGTGTGTGTCTGTGTGTTGAGGGCAGGTGGGGGGCACACTGAAGAGTATCTGTGAAATGATATAAGGAGAGTATCTGTGAAATGATATAAGGAAAGCTTTACATCTTATCTCAGCCTGTGTCCTAAAAAGTGGTTAAGGGCCTGAAATAACCAGAAAAGATAATGTTCAGAGGAAGGCTGTCATTTAGAAGACAGACTAGAAATTATAAAGACTTTTCCAAAGGGCAGAACCAGGACCCACAGGTAGAAGCCAGAGGGCAACAGATTTTTGCTTACTCTAAGTGAAACCTGTCTCTGCCAGAGACTGGTGATTGCCTGCTCCTTCTTAGTACCAGAACCTCAGTTTTACCCAGGGCAGCCCTGTGTCTGTTAAAAGAACACATTTTCCAGTTTATCTTGTAGCTTGATGTAACCGTATGACTAGATTTGTGGCCCAGTGGAAGTTGTTGGGGGTTTGGGGGGACTATTTGGAAAGCTCTGAAAGGGGATTCAGACAGCTGGCACTTGACATTTTTGCTCTTTTGTGCTTCTTTCTACCTGGAATGCATATCTGATGGCTGATGCATCAGCAACCATTTTGGAACATGAGGCAACCACGAGGATGGAAGCTGTGTGCAAAGGATGGTGAGGGAGAAAGATACAAGGGGCTGAGGATATTGAGGACATTGCAGAACCACCATACGTGGACTCCTACTTCCTGACTTATGTGAAAAATAAACCTTTACCTTGTTTAAGTCACTGTTACTGTTTTTTTCAGTATGCAATCAAACACTCTTAACTGATACACCAAGTATTTCCTCCTCCCTTTTTGAGGGTCTCCATCCTCTGGTGCATTTAGGGAAAACGCCATTTGCCCTCACTCATCCTGCAGAATGATTTCTGTGCTGTGGCCTTAGACATTCCTACTGCCACTTACTCTGGACACACCTTAGATTTCCTAGATGGCTTCCTCTCTTGCCACCCTCTTTGCTCCATACTGGACACCCCCTCTCTGCCTCTATACTCCCAAAGCTCCCCCAACACAAGATATTGTATGCAGCAGGCATTTCCTGAAAATTGGAGAGTAGCAGGGGGTAATGTCAGTACAGGGCAGTGACCAATTTCAAAGTTGATGCTAGACATCATGCTTCTGGAAATGTCTCAGCCATGACCCACAAGCAGAGATTTCTTTTCTTTTTTTGAAATGAGACAACCACACATTTGGATAGTGTTTCTATATTCACCATCCATTTTTTTTTTTTTTTGAGACAGAGTCTCGCTCTGTTGCCCAGGCTGAAGTGCAGTGGCATGATCTCAGCCCACTGCATCCTTTGCCTTCCGGGCTCAAGAGATTCTCCCACCTCAGCCTCCCGAGTGGCAGAGACTACAGACATGTGCCAGCACACCCAATTAATTTTTGTATTTTTAGTAAAAAGAGGGTCTTCCCATGTGGCCTGGGCTGGCAGCAGAGATTTCTTGTTTGCACTGTCCCTTCTTTGACTCTGTCAAAGACCCTGTTTCTCCTGTTTCTCTCACTCTGCTGCAGCCAATGTTCCCCCAATTCCAGTTCCTTTCCTATGCAGAGCAGGTGGGCCCTGGGCCTCCTTTGTACAGAGCCACTCGCTCCCAGTCTTCATTCATGTATAGCATTACATGAAATTATACTTATTCTTTAATTTATCTTGGATCAAATTCTTGGGTAGGGCCTATTCCCCCTGACGAAAGCAAACTCTGGGACTGGTGGGCTGGGGGCTCTTTTCAGACCTACAGAATCAGAATCCCCCAGGTGAGGTCCAGTGATCTCTTTTGTTAATGAGTTTCCCAGGTGAGGCCCGGGGTGGCCTTGGGGAACAGATCTTGGATCTACTGATGCCTCTTCCAACACGCTTAAACGAATCGAGGCCACAGTCTGGACTCTGGGTCTTCCCTGTGAGATCCCAGTATAGGTCTGTCAGCCACCCAGATCCCAGGCTCCCTCATCTGCTTCTGCAAGAGTCAAGGCTTGCTGGCTTGTCCCCACAGAAGGGACACATCCCTTTGAACTTTAGGCTGGGAACATCAAAGAGAAACCCAGGAGTCCCTCTGGATGTCCTCACAGTTCTGGAAGCCTCCCTGCTACAGGCCCTGTGGAGATGTAGGGTGTGTGGAGATCACCCTTGGCCCAGAGGGGAAACTGAGGCCCAAAGAGAGAGAGACAAGCTTTGTTATTTGGCAGTGTGCTTCATATGGAAAAGGCAGTGCTGCAGCTGCCAGAAGCTGTGCAAACCAGAGGGAGAGTATGTTCTGTTACTGTTTCTGTTCACATGAGGAAACAAAAAAAAAAAGGGAAAGTTCAGGCTAAGTGCACAGAAGAAAATAATGGAAGTGCACTTAAAATGGAAACTGGGGCCAGGTGCGGTGGCTCACGCCTGTAATCCCAGCACTTTGGGAGGCCGAGGCGGGCAGATCACAAGGTCAGGAGTTTGAGACCAGCCAGGCCAACATGGTGAAATCCTGTCTCTACTAAAGGTACAAAAAAATTAGCCAGGCATGCTGGCACATGCCTGTAATCCCAGCTATTTAGGATGCTGAGGCAGGAAATCGCTTGAACCCAGGAGGCGGACGATGCAGTGGACAAAATCATGCCATTGCACTCCAGCCTGGGCGACAGAGCAAGACTCCTTCTCAAAAAAAAAAAAAAAAAAAAAAAAAAAAAAGAACCTAACAAAATGGTTAGGGCTTATCTCTGCTGGTGGAGTTGGAGTAGTTTTTACTTTTTTCCCTAAGTTGTCTGTATTACTAATAACAAGATATATTTGAATTTAGGACCAAAGGGAGGAAAGCTGTAAGTGCCAGGGATAACTGGGAACTTGGGGAACTCATGCTTCAGGGATTGTGTGCCCCTTTCCTGGCTTTGTGGCTGGCTCTGTGGGCTACCTTTCTGCCTCTGGGGCAGGTGGGCCAGAGAGTCACATCCCCACCTGTCTCCTGGGGCAACAAGGACTCCCACTCCTCTGGGGACACTGGTACCTCCTGGCCCCTCAGTTCAATGTGTTGACACCTGGACTGGGGCTACAGGGGTTTGGCTTGTAGGATCTATGCACAGACCATCTGGCCATTTGAATCCGAGCATGCCTGGCTGTGGATAGACAGATTTCTGATTACAGACAGATGCACAGAGAGCTGGATCTGGCTTGGGAAACACATGCAAGTGGTGGCCACCTCTGGCTGGAGCCCAGACGTCTGTGGCCTTATGGTCACTCCTGCTGAAAGTCTCGGGGCTAATTCTCCTCATCCCACCACACCACAGGCAGAGTCAACATAGAGATCCGTAGGTTAAGGGGTTGGGGGCTGTGGTTCTGTCTGTGTCTGCACAATATTTGGCAAATCATTTAACTCCTCTGGGCCTCAGTTTCCTCACCCACAAAGCCATGGAGCAGAGGAAGCTGACTGCTGAGGTCACTTCCAGGGCTGACATTCTGGGATTCTATTAATATTAAGCCTCTGCTGCGCTGCACCAGTAGCCAGGGCCCCAGGGAACTGCATCCACCCTGGTGGACGGACCCTGATGGGAGGTGGGGGAGGGACAGGACCCCAGCTGCAATGGCAGCCAGGCCTTTTAATAGCTCTTTTGGGGTGGCGTGGGATGTGGTTGGGCAGGGCTCCATGGATGAACTCAGGCAATGTTCTCAGAATGTTGACTGGTTTTAAAGAATCTGAATTGCAGAGCTCAGGTTGAAAAGGGCATGGAATCTTATTCACAAGGTGATAAAGGCAGGACCATGAGTGAGTCACTTCCACTCTCTGGGCTTTGTTCCTCAGCTGTTCAAAGAAGGGGCTAAACTTCTAGGTCTCTTAAGATCTCTCCAAACATACAACACTGATGCAACACGACAGCAACTGTCGAGGCTGCCATCGGCCGAGCAGAGCCCGTTTTCCAGAGGAGAATCTGAGGCTCAGAGAGGTGAAGCCACTTGCCAAGGTCACACAGCGAGTTGGAGGTAGAGTGGAGCCTGGTCATTTCTCCTCAGAGCCTGCGCTCTTTGTGGCTCTGCTCTGCTGTTCCCTGCCCTGAGCTGTCACGATGCTCTCCCACCATCTGGGCAGCTTTTTTCCTCCCTCGTCATCCCCCTTTGCCTCCTCCACCCTGCCTCTGCCTTCCCCAGCTCAGTCCTGAAGTGCTCAGCCCTGAAGTGCTCAATCTGCCTGCCCAGCAGCAGCCTTGCCTGCTCCTGGGCCTTTCTGGCTTGCGACTAGTTGCTTCAGAGAAACCCTGAGCTCGATTTTTCTGACCACCCAATGGCCACCGTTACCTCCACTTAATAAATTGCACTGGAGCAATGGGTGGTCGACGGCAGAGGCCTTCACGGGCTGAGTTGGAAATTAAAAGCAGCGGCCGAGAGTGGGGTTGAATGCAGCAACAGGAACCATGAATATTTTACAAGAAACCAGAATTATTAATGTTTCAATAAAAAACAAAACCCCAATGTCCATGCGAAGATTACATGTGACTTAAAGCCTTCAGAAAACCTCTGTGCTCCTCCGCTCTGCCTTAAACCACTCAGCATGGTTTCGCTTAAACCATCCCCATCTCGCCAACCCTCAACCCACCCATCTAAATGGCGGTGGGGCGCGCTGCATCCGCCCGACCGCCCCGATAATTAGCACAGCCCCCCCCCCCCCGCCGCCCCCTTCCTTCGGAGCTACGGACGACCAGAGAAATATTTCTGGAAGACTATTTACGAACTTCCCCATAATCATCAATCATACGGTTAAGAAGGAATGGAGCAAGATTTCTTACCTCAAGGAGCCTCTAATGCAAAAAAGCTATTTACTGGGCATGGACGGGGGCTGAGATTTCTGTTGCCATTACTATAGAATACATAATAGCATCAATAATTAAGTATAAATTGGATTTAATATTTTATGCTGGCGACATGTAATTTACACTCTACCCGAGAAATCAAAGGTCATGTCTGAAATAAATGAGCATGGGGTCGAGCCTCCAGTGGAATGAGCAGAGGCGCCCCTCCTGCAGCTGGAGCTGATGATAGAAGGGCAGGGGAGGAGCACTGGGCAGCGGGGTAGGAGGGGAGACTGGGTTCCGGGAGCCTTAGGGAGATGCAGGTCTCCGGAGTGTGGCTCTTTAACAGAGGCCTCAAGCCTCCCTGGAGTGAGTGGCCCAAATGGAGTGGATGCTTCTGGATGCTCTGGGAGGGCAGCCCTGGAGCTTGGGAAGGTCAAACCCAGAAGCAAGTCTGCTGTGGAGACAGAAGGACAAGGTGGGGTTGTGGCATTGAAGACCTGGCGGTGTCCTCATGGGGAAACTGATATCCAGGGAGGGGACAGGGCTCCCCCAGGCTCACGGGGACTCGGGGGCAGGGTCAGAATAGGACCCAAGGTTCCCGGTTCCTTCCCTTTGTCAGGTGTGCTCTGGCCTGTGAGTGGGGGCATCATCAGCCCAGACCTCGGAGTGTGTCCCTCAAACACACTGGCCCTGGTGTGGTCTGGCACCTGCCTCTGTCCTGTGTGGATCTGGGAACCATTCGGCCATGGCTGGGGGTTGGGGTAGGGAGACTTGGTCTTCCCAGGTGGAGGTTTGAATACAACCAGCGTGTGGTGGTATTGGGGGATGGGTAGGCAGGGACGACCACCCTTACCCCACGCCCCCCTGCCATGTGGGACAGGAGATCTGGGTCGCTGTTTGGCATGAGCAAGAGAAGCACAAGTGCTCACTAAACCCTTCCAAAGCTCCCACTGGCCCCAGGAGAAAACCCAGTCTTCTTACCTTCCAAAGCCCCTCCCCATCCTGCTCCCACTCAGCCCTTCCTCCCGTTTTCCCCTCCCCACTTGCTCTGACACACACGTCGACCCCAGCTGTGCCACACGCCCTGCACTGCCTCCTGTGGGCCATGCTTGCACACTCCCAGGCCTGTGGCCTGGCTGTTCCCGCTGCCTAGGACACCCTGCCCTCAGATGCCACATGGCGCTCCCTCACTCCCTCAGGCCTCCGCCCAGTGCTCTTTCCCACAGAGGCTTACCCTGACCACTTGATCCCAAACAGCCCCTGCCTGTCCTCCCTTCTCCCTCCCATCCATCTGTTCCTGCATCATCTTCCTTCTTGAGCCCATCAACACTTGCCGTTTCATCTACTTGTGGGTTTATTGACTGTCTCCAGGAACCTCATCCATTTTGTTCACTGCCATTTTGACATCATCTCCAGCGCTAGGCTCATAGCATGTGCTCAATTAATATTTGTTGACTAAAAGAATAAAGGAATCTGATTAGCTCAAAGACATCTTTTATGTCTTTGCACCAAATACCACCCCCCAGCCCAGGGAAGGCTGACCAGCCCCCTCTCACCCCTGCCCCCCAAGCTGAGCCAGGTGTTTCCTCAGCACCCGCAGGCCATATCCTGGCACTGATCACGGGGGTTACATCTGTCTATTTTCTTGTCTGTCTCCTTGACCCATGTTCTAGTCTCTGAGGTCTCCTCAATGCCCACTGCAGGATCTGCATACAGTAGGTGCTCAGTAAATGAATGCTGGATAGATGCCCGCATGTCCTGGGCCATGGACTTGTTGCATGATGGTGGGCCTCTTGGCTCAGGAAGTAGACAGGAACAGAGAGCGATCTGGCTCCAGCGCCAAACTCTAGGCTGTGGGGACTTCTAGGAGCCGCTAAGGCTGGCTCTGGAGGTGGCCCCAGTGAAGAGGCAGGGGGAGGGAACAGGAAGTAGAGCCCCCCCTTTTCCCACCCTCCCCAGCACATCTCAAGTGCACAGGGTTGGGCAGGGAGCTGGGAGGGGCCCAGCTGAGGGGCTCTGTTTCCCCATCTGTGCTCTGGCAGGTTGGACTGGCCCACCCCAAAGCCCTTCCAGCTTGGCTGTGACCTAGGGGTGACGATGGGTCCTGGGAGTAATGGGTGTTTGCTGAGGACCAGACACAGCTTTGGAATTTTATAAGTCTCAACTCATGTCATCCTCACAGCCCCATGAGGCAGGCACTGTTGTTATCCCCACTTTACAGAAGAGGAAACTGAGGCACCAAAGGCTAAGTCACTTGCCGGAGCTCACATACAATGGGTCTGCAGTAGAGTCAGGAATTGAACTAGCTCTAGAGTTAGACACCCAACACCATTGTCCTGCCTGATAGCTGAGGTTTGTCTACAGATATCAGCCTGGGGTTGGGGTAGGGGTGAGTGTTTGGTCTGAATCTTTGTTGAGGAGTATCCCAAATGGAGGGGCTGGGGAGGGTGACTTCAGATACAGAGGGAGCTGGAATAAGTGCCCTTCAGCCTGCTTCTCTCTCCTGGAGCTCCAGCTCCCTGGGTGCCCAGGGTGGCATATTTCTTGCTGCCTCTCCATCCTCCCCACCCACAAATGTTGACTCGACTGAGAATTAGCCAGCCACCTGCTCCCTGTGTGACCCTGGGCAGGGCCCCCTTCCCTCTCTGGGCCCCAGAAGCCTCATTGGTGGGGTGGACACAAGCTCTCAAGTGCCCTTCCAGCTTTCCCAGTCTGGGATGTCGAGTCTGTCTCTGTGAGCTCCTCTCTCTGCCTGTGACTCCAGCAGCCGAACCCAATGGG
Source organism: Homo sapiens (assembly GCF_000001405.40). Lineage (NCBI taxonomy): Eukaryota > Metazoa > Chordata > Mammalia > Primates > Hominidae > Homo > Homo sapiens. The sequence goes on along the minus strand of NC_000001.11, from coordinate 25,087,461 downwards.
AAGCCTCAGGGTGTGGGGTATATTGATGTCGCCCTTGTAGGTCAGCCTCCCAGGCTCAGAGAGGGGTGGAGAAAGGTAGAAACTGGACCCTGAGGGGCAAGCGGGAGGGACAGCGCATTCTGGTGGTAAATTTGGAAGTGAATTGAAAAGGAGGAAGGGAAGGAGTTTTCCTCTAGAATCCTCCATCAGGTGCCTTCAGTGGAGGCAGCTTAGCCAAGGCTTTGTGTGCCTGGGGAGAGGGCTCCATCCGGATGCAGTGGGGATGGTTTGCTCAGGGCACCCAGAGGCTGAGTTTGGCCACTCTGTGGTCCTTGGCCTTGTCTGGACTCCAGACCACTGGCTAGGCATTGAACAATTACAGAGACAGATTCACAGCATCCCAGGCTGTGAAGCTGGAAGGATGTCAGACTGGTCACTGATCCACTCTGGAAACCCTCCTGGAAATGCAGGCACGGATCATTTTGTGATGGAAACACAGTACCTGTACATTCTTTACTCCCCATAGGAACCCTGCATCTGCATCCCATTTCTCAGATGAGGAAACTGAGGCTCAGAGAGGTAAAGAAAGCTGCCCATAGAAACACAGCCAGTGAAGGACAGAACCAAGATGGGGTCTAGGCCTGGGTGCTCTCCATGGGCTACTCTCTTCCCTGCTTCAGCCTCCCCAGAAGAGAGAGGTGGCCTGGGGAGGGGAAGTCAGTGAGATCTGCCTCCAATCATGGCCCTTCCCATCCCATGCCAGCTGTGCAGCCTTGAGCAAGGCACTCAACCTCTCTGAGTCTTCATTTCCTCATTTGTGGAGTAGGGCTCATGATCTCCAACCGGCAAGATGTTTTGGACATCATAGGGATGTATGTCAAGCACTGGCATGAGGCTGACATGCCCTCAATATGGGGAATTATTCTAATCAGCCAGAAATCGATGATTTTTCTAAACTTCTTGTTTTAGAAGAGTTTTAGATTTACAGAATTATTCTGAAGATTGTTCAGAGTTCCTGTATATCCCCCACCTAGTTTCCTTTATTATTAATATCTCTTGGTATGGTACATTTGTCATGATTACTTAATCAGCATTGATGTATTGGTATTAACTGAAGTCCATACTTGATTCAGATTTCCTGTTTTCAGGAAATAAGTTTTAACAGGAGTTGTAGGGGCTGAGGCCAACAGCACTCCTCGTAGCCCAGACCTCATAGGGACACGGGCTTTCCAATGTTTCAGCCAGTTGGTGTGGACTGTTATCATGTTACAGAGAGCTGTGTGCATCCTTTGGTTCAGCAAAGGATAGAATAGAGGGAGGGACACTCCAGGGTGTGACAGGCCCTCCTCAATCCTGCAAAGGTGATTTGCAAGAAGCTTCTTGCCACATATTCCTAGTGTCTACTGCTCACAAAATATCACTCCCCCATTCAGGCAAATTAAGGCAATGACAATCATTTTATTATTATCTCTCTTTTCTGGGTGTTGGCGGGGCTCAGCCAGTCAGTTCTTGCTCAGGTTTCTCCTGCAGTTGTGGTCAGATTACGGCTGGGGCTGGAGTCATTGTCATTTTGAAGCCTTTCTCAAATTCATGTCTGAGGCTGGCATCTCCTGGACCTCAGCTCAGCCTGTTACATGCAGTCTCTCCAGGTGGCCTGGGCTTCCTAATACCATGGTGTCTGGGTTCTAAAATGGAGCATCCCAACAGGGCCAAGGGAAGGCTGTGTTGCTTTTTATGACCTAGCCTCCAAAGTCAAGTAGTGTGTCTTCCACCGTTGTCTCAGGATCCAGGGAGGGAACAGAGGTCATGTCACAGTGTGAGAAGAGCACATGGGTTGGAAATTGTTGTGGTGGCCATCTTTGGAAATACAATCTGTCACTCTGCATGAGTTCTGTGGCCCTGGAAAATTTACCTAAAAGGAGCTTTGATGCCCCAGTTGCTTTCTTCTCTCACAGGAGATCCACGTTTACCAAATTGCTTATCTTCATTGAAGACTGGAGCGACTGGAGCTACAGACTGGCCTTCAGTAAGACAATCATGGCTTTGCAGAAGGGGGTAAACTGAGGATCTAGCACCTTGCACAGGGCTGACACAGAGAAGGTGCTTCATAAACCTTGGGTGGTGGGAGCTCAGGACACCTCACACAATCAGCCCAATATTCCTGGGAGAGCAGCAGAAGATGCGTGTCCATGCAGTGAGGTCCCTGGGGCTCGGACCTGTGGGTACCAGCACAGACAGATTGAAGGCCTTCCGTGGGTCACATAGCAGGCCACTAGGAAAAGCAGGAGCAGAATCCAGGCCTGCATTGTCTTGCTTGGGGCTTCTGCCAGAACACTAGGCAGCCTGTGAATTTGCAGAAGAAATCTTCAGGGAGCAGAGGTTTCAGTGTTCGGGCTTCTGAGAGCCAGCTCTAACAAGGGTGTTAGAACTTTCTTCCATGGCTAAGTTGCTGCTCTACCAGAGTTGGGTGGGATGGGGGCTAGAGGGCACCCCACATGCTCTTCTCACCATGTGGCATGACGCCCTCCTTGCATCTAGGCGTGGATGGATCCATGTTCCCTTCCTCAATTCTGGGTGAGACTGTGACTGTGACCCTTACATTCACCTGTCACTGAAGGCTGGAGTCACCCTTCCTCTCTTCACTGGCTTTGACCAGCCTCATAATTGGAGCTTCTGACCACAGTTGAGGCTTGGGGGAAGGAGAGGGACTCAAACCCCTAAAATGTCATTTCCCAAAGGGTTTTCCCTGGTATACTAGGCTTTCAGCATATTAATGGATGCTCTGCCAAGATAAGGGGAGGGTTCTGTAATGAAGTAAGTCTGGGGAGTGGATTAAAGAAACTCCAACTCGATTGCAGGATTCCTCAGAGCCTTTGCTAGACTTGTAACTCTCCAAAAGAGGACTAGCATTTGCAGTGCTTCCTAAACTTGCTTGACTGTGGAGCCCTCCCTCTTCTTTTTGTTTTCTATGCATCTTGAGAGATTAATGTTTCCTGGAACACATTTTGGGAGATAGTGTCTAGAGCAACTTGGATGTTAACAATGGCAATTTTTAAATAGCAAAAGGAAATGGCAACAATAGTGGCACATCAGGCATTAGCCAGGGCACTATTTGAGGGACAGACACTGATGCTCTCTCGACTTCTGCAACAGAGGGAGTCTCAGGCCATAGAGACATACGCAGGGCGTATCTAGGAGTGGGGCCCTGAGACCAGAAGGGGTAGATTTAGCCAATGAGAGCTGCTGCCTTCCTGCCTGTTGAGTGGCACCAAGAATCCCTGGGGCCCTGGGCCTTGAGGATGGAGAGGCAGGCGCCCCAGGCCAAAGACTCTGGTAGCTCCACCCCCGCCTGGCCTGCGGGCTGATGTCGCCTTAATGCTGTGGTCAGGTGGCCACATGGCTCGGCTCCCTAGGCGGGTAGGGTCACATAATGGACAATTCAGACCCGCCCGCTGACGGCTCCATTAAATGTGGTCGATTTTTTTTTTTTTTTGGTTCCTGGTGTTTTAAGCTGAGTGTCTCTGGGCAGGCATTCAAAGCCCCGGTCCAGAGCTAATCTCAGAGGCAGGGACGGAGCAGGTCTGGTTGCATTAAATGGCTAAATCTGGCACAGGGTGGGCAGAGCTCACTCGAGGAAGGAATAGCATCACTGCGGTCTTGGACATCGGTCAGCGGGGCTGGCTGCTCTCCCTGTCCTTCAGGCTGTTGGAGGAAGTTCCTGGGCAGGGGTAGCGGGGCTCAGGAATGGTCTCAGGTGAAGACATTGAATTTTGGAGCTCCATGACTTTGCTGTGTGACCTCCAGGCAGTTGCCAACCCTCTCTGTGCATTGATTTTTGAAGTAGGACTCACTTCTTTGTAGGCTTCTCTACAGGGATGGGAGTTGAGAGGTTCAGGGAGCTGGACAGTCTCTGTGGTTGAAGGATACCAAGCTGTTGGGGTTGGGAGGAACTTGAAGTCTTCTGAGGCCTTAGGAGACAGCCTAGGCCAGGCTGTAGGGAACAAGAGCCAAATGCTGGGGCCCAGGTGGGCGATGGTCATAGAGGGTCTGAGATGGGGGCAAGGATGGCCCAGTGATGGGGAGTTGGGGGCAGGAGAGACTCAGGCATCGTGGCCAGATTCTACTTGACATTGAGTAATTTGAGCCCACCCACTACCCTCTGGGTTGAGAATCCCAATTTTTGGGGCTGAAGCCCCAGGGAAGCTAGGCTGGAAGGTTGACTGTGCTGGTAGGTAAAAGGGAGGGGTGGGGCAAAGTCAGGACAGGGTGGGAAACACCAGTCTGTCAGCTCTGGGTTGGGGATTGGGCCACTGTAGCCCCGCTGGTGCAGGCCAGAGCTGGGAGAGGAGCTGAGCTGGCTGAGAAGTTGCAGGGGCCCAGAGGGGTGTCAGGGACAGGGGCTGAGAGCACGGCCGGCCTGATGGCAGAGCATGCCACACGAGAGCCAGAAAAGGCCCTGCAGATCAAGTCCAATCCCTTGATGGGGAAACTGAGGCTCAGAGAGAGGAGCTTGCTGTAAGTCACACCTCAGCAGGTCTGGCGCTAGAGCCGGGGCTCTATTCCCTGTCACATCACATTCCCTGATCCAGGGGTGCTCTGGGGTGAGGAGCTTGCTTGGATTCTCAACGACGCCCCCACCCCCACCTGCTCCTGGCCCCCAGCCCCTGCGTACCTCGATGAGGGAGGTCTTCACCACCTAAGGTGGGTCAGGGCTGGCTGCAGGCATGGGAACAAGATGGGCCAGGAGTCACGTGATGGAATTTCGAATCCCGTCTTGGCCACCGGCTTGCTGAGTGACCTTGGTGGAGCCATTTGCTCACGCTGGGTCTCAGCATTTGCGTGTGTAAAATGGGAGCCATTGGCCGAGCTGGGGGCTCCTTCCAGCAGTGGGTTTGGGTTCTCTGCAGTGCTGCAGGGGCGGGTGTTGGGGGGCCTCTCCAGCCAGCATCCTGCTCCCTCCACCTTATTTGTCTGGTTTCACCCACATGTCCTCTCAAGCTTCCTCCTCTTGGATTCACTGAATCCCTCTCGCCCCTGCCGTTGAAGCGCAGCCCCTGAGTCATTATTAAATGCCTGTGTGTGCCACGTCACCGTTTGCTGGGTGCCTGTGATCAGGGAACCCGCGGTTCAATTGCGGATACTAGGGAGACAGGATACATCCCCAGTACAATGAGGGGTTGTATACTCTCCTACCGCTGCCGTAACAAAACAAGTCACCACTGGCTTACTGTCTTCGAACGGTGCGAATCTCTTATTGTCTAGGTCTGTAGGTCAGAAGTGTCACTGAACTAAAATCCAGGGACCAGCAGGGCCATATTCCCTCTGCAGGCTCTGGAGGAGAATCTGTGTCCTTGCTTTCTCCAGCTTCCAGAGGCCACCCATCTTTCTTGGCTCATGACCTCATTCCTCTGTACCTAAGGCCACCAGCCTAGTGTCTCCTGTTCTCGCTGACTCCGTACACCTGCCTCCCTCATCCAGGCGGGCCCCATGTATCTCAAGGAATAACCCAGGATTCTCTGCCTATCTTGGGCCTCAACTCACTCACATGTGTGAAGTCCTTTTGCCATGGAAGTAATGTATTCACAGGTTTCGGGGATCAAGACATGGGGCTCTTTGGAGGCCATTATTCTGTGTCCCACAGCTATGCAGACAGCCCCTGCTTCCAAAACTGTCAGGTGGCACAGAAGATCCACCCAGGCATTGCTTAGAACCAGTCTCAGGTTCAAAAATTCCAGTTTTTCTGGCTGAGAGCCTCACAGCCAGGGTAGGCAAATCTGCCAACTGCTCTGAACCTGTTCCCCTACCTGTAAATCAGGATCATGACACCCACCTCACAGGCTTCCAGGCACTGTGGTTAGGATGCAGACCACAGCTCCCAGTCCAGAGTGGCCATCTGATAAAATGATCACATCTGCTTGTAGTTTTTTTGCCAGCACATAATGTACCTTCTGGTTGTGAGTGAAGTGACGTGGGTGGGCAAGGACAGGGAGGCTTGGGCTCCACACTGCACACCCTGCAATGCCACCTGGGTGTGGGAAGGGTTCATGATGCTGAAATGCACTGGGCTCTCGGGACCAGGCTTGGCTCCTCCTGTCTCAACCCAATTCTTTCATTTGTGCCACCAACATTTGCTGAGCTCCTGCTGAGAGAGCTGTACCGTGGCAAACAGGACAGATACATGCACTCCTAAGAAGCTTGTGTTCTGGTGTGTGAGTGTAACACACAATACATAATAAAACTGTTACAGAAACAAGTGAATTCCAGCTTGATTAGTGTTAGAAAGGGCATAAACAGAGTAATATGGGAGAGAATAATGGGATGGTCAAGGAAGCCTCTCTTCTGTGACGTTTAAGCTGAACTCTAAACTATGGGAAAAGGCAGGCCTGGGGAGAGTTGGGTTAAAGCATTGACCTGGGCCTGAGGAGCAGCCTGTACAAAGGCCCTGTGGCGGGAACCAGCTTGCATATTTGGCAGGCTGCTGGAGCAAGCGGGAAGCAGGAGAGGAACTGAGAATGAGGAGTGCAGGAGGCAGGGCCAGGCCTGGCAGGAGCTGGGGTTTTATCCTAAGCATGAGTGAAAAGTGGAGGTTTGAAGCAGGGGACATGATGATTTCGTTTGTTCTCAGCTATTTGCTTCTCTTCCCTGTGGGAGGATCCTGCTTTCTTACCTCATTGACATCAGGTTTAGTCATATGACTTGCTGTGGCCAATGAAATTTGAGTAGAAGTGCCATGTGCTACTTTTGGGCAGAAGCTTTAGGGCATTGCATGATTTTGCAACATCTCCTTCCCCTCTTCCAAAACAACTTGTAGTGTTCTAGAAGGAGGCTCCATCCACCCTGGTTTCAGAGTGAGGATGACACGGATCAGAGCTGCACCTGACCAGCAATGGACAGAAAGAAATCTTTGTTCCTTCAAGCCAGCCACTGAGTCAGCACAGCCCAGCCTGGCCTAATACAGGGGCTAAAAGTGAAACTGGAGAGACCAGTGGGAAGACTGTCTCTCTGGTCGAGGTGAGAGTTAAAGTGGCCTATGACCGAAGAGGTGGAGGAGTGAGGACTTTCCACCCATGATTAAGTCTTTGTGAAGTGTGTTCACTTGTCAGGGAGGAAGAGGCTGAGTGTTCTCCTCTCTCCCTGTGAGTCCGCAGGAACAACAGAGCTTATTTCCTGGGATTCATAGGCCTTGGCCTTTCTGGCTCCTCTGGGCTCTCTCTGCCACCCAGAGATGCATTCCCAAAGAGTCTGCTCTGCTTAAAGAGAAAGATATCTCCCTCTGATATTAAGGCCAGCTTGTATGTGGCATTAGGACTGAAGCTACTTTTTTTTTTTTTTGGCTTGATGGCCAAGAGCCTAGATAGAGCCACCAAATTTTGGTGAGCTTTGTATCCTGGAGGGGCAGGCTGGGGACTTCAGGAAGAAATGCTCCATTGAGAAAGTGAGGGGAGAAGGTAGCACAGAACATGGTGGTGGAAGGGTCTCTGTGCCTTTTGCACTAGCCAGGGAACCCCTGAATGTCTCTAAAAAGTCACCTGCTGGGTCGGGCGCAGTGGCTCACGCCTGTAATCCCTGCACTTTGGGAGGATGAGGCGGGTGGATCACAAGGTCAGGAGATCGAGACCATCCTGGCCAACATGGTGAAACCCCATCTCTACTAAAAATACAAAAAATAAGCCAGGCATGGTGGCGGGTGCCTGTAGTCCCAGCTACTCGGGAGGCTGAAGCAGGAGAATCATTTGAACCTGGGAGGTGGTTTCCTACAACCACAGGATCTTTGCACATGCTCTGTTTTAAATTCAGGTCTCAGGTCTATCATCATTTCATCAAGGAAGCATTACTGATCCCATGACAAAGTCAAAGGCCACTCATTAGATGCCCTTATGTCACTTATGGCTGTGCAATGGATGAAAACCTCAGTCACAAACAGGTGTACCATATGTGGAATATATTCCATTGGTCTATTTTTCTTTCCTTACATTAATACCACACTGTCTTGATTAATTTATAATAAGTCTTGATTTATTGTGTGTTAAGTTCTTTAACTTTTCTCTTCTTCAAGATCATCTTGTCTATTCTTGAACCTTGCATTTTTTTATAAAAACTTTTAAAATTAACTTGTCTATTTCCAACAACAAAAAAAGCCTGCTGAGATTTGGATTTAGATTGCAGACTAATTTATGGAGAATGGATGGTTTTTACAATATTGAGTCTCCTAATCCATGAATATGGTATACTCTTCCATTGATGTAGGTCCTTTCTTTGAATACTGTTTCATAGTTTTCTGTTTATAGATCTTATAAATCTCCTTTGAAATTTATTTTTAATTATTTGATACTTTTGGTTCTGTTATAAATTATATATTTTACATTTTATGTTCTATTGGATATATAGAAATACAATTGTTTGCTAAATCTGCCAATTAATTTTAATTACTTATAAATTACTTTAGAATTTTTTTTTTTGAGACAGAGTTTCGCTCTTATTGCCCAGGCTAGAGTGCAATGGTGCGATCTCAGCTCACCACAACCTCCGCCTCCCAGGTTCAAGTGATTCTCCTGCCTCAGCCTCCTGAGTAGCTGGGATTACAGACATGCACCACCATGTCTGGCTAATTTTGTATTTTTAGTAGAGACAGGGTTTCTCCATGTTGGTCAGGCTGGTCTCGAGCTCCCAAACTCATGTGATCCACCAGCCTCAGCCTCCCAAAGTGCATTATAGGCATTAGCCACCATGCCTGGCCTACTTTAGAATTTTTATGGACACAACCACAATGTCTCCTTCTTCCTTTATAATCCTTAGATCTCTTTATATCTTTTTCTTTTTTAATTTAAAAAAATTGTTAATTTTTTTTTTTAAGAGATGGAGGTCTTGCTATGTTGCCAAGACTAGTCTTGAACTCCTTGGCTCAAGTGATTCTCCTGTCCCAGCCTCCCAAGTAGTAGTTGGGATTACAGGCACAAGCCACCATAACCAGCCTACTTCTTTTCCTTACCTTAGCGTTCTGGCTAGAATTTTCAGTACTATGTTGAATAGAAGTGATAGTAGACACAACTGCCTCATTAGCACTCTCAGGTGAAGATTCTCAGTATTTTACCCTTTAGGTATAATGTATGCTGGGGTTTCACGTAGATCAGGTTTATCAGGTTAAGAAAATTTCCTTCTTTTTTACATTTTTAAAAGTTTAAAAATCATGAATGGGTGTTGACTCATCAGATGATTTAAAAAAATCTACTGATTGTATGATTTTATCTTTTATTTTTCTTATTCTATTAATATGATCAATTACAATAATTGATCTTAAAACGTTAAACCAAACCTCTCATTACTGGGGGAAATATCCAGTATAGTTGTGACTATAACAATCTTTGTACATATGAATTTTTTCAGTTCATCTAAATTACCAAATTTATTATTGTAAAACTTTGCACAATAACTTATTAATTTTAAAATATTATATTTTTATTTTTATTTTTATTTTTTTTTTGAGATGGAGTCTTGCTTTGTTGCTCAAGCTGAAGTGCAGTGGTGCGATCTTGACTCACTGCAACCTCCGCCTCCTGGGTTCAAGCAGTTCTCATGCCTCAGCCTCCCGAGTAGCTGGGATTACATGTGCCCACCACCACGTCCTGCTAATTTTTGTATTTTCAATAGAGACGGAGTATCACCATGTTGGCCAGGCTTGTCTTGAACTCCTGACCTCAAGTAATCTCACCTCAGCCTCCCGAAGTGCTGGGATTACAGGCGTGAGTCACCATACCTGGCCTAAAATATTTTTAATATCTGTAAGCTCTGTAGTGATGTCTCCTTCTTTTCACTTCAGATTTTGGTTATTTGTACCTTCCACACAAAACCAGCTTTGGGAACCTCGATGAAGCTATCCATATTACCAGCCCATAAACCATCCACCATTTATGCTCTGGGATTTTGCAGCTTCCCTGGATTCTACCTGGGAATGAGAATTCTAGATTTTTTTCAGATCCCACGAGACTATCTGCATTCTATTGTCTTCCCCAGTACTTGGTCTAGGGGAAATATAACATAGGGTCCACCTTTCCAGGGAGCTACAATCTCTACACCACACCACTGCTTCCAACTCCTCACAAGCCCTGTATGCCCACTGCATACATTTCTACTTACATCAGTCCAGGGATCAGTACATAATCTGAGGGGTGGGGGAGTTTGCTCTCACTCTTCATACAATCGCCAAAATTTCTCCATGACCTGAGGTTTTGACTACCTTTTTTGAAATTGAAAACCAGGAAGAAATTCCTATTTTCTCTCTTGGCTGTCTCATTGCTTCCTTGAACTGAGTCAGGTCAGAGCACAGAGAAATGGGGTGAGTGGGTAGAGATGAGGCTTGGGAAGTAGGCAGGTGGGCTTCAGTCCATCACTTAACCCCTCAGAGCCTCAATTTCCCCAGTTATAAAATGAAGGTAAAGGACTTTATCTTGTCTTGCTCACAGTGTAATGACAGAGGATTAAATAAATGCTCAAAAGCAAGGACGCTTAAAGAATGTTTATTTTATTATGAACTATACAAACCACTCAAAAGGATGTGTAAATATACATGTGTGGTTTAAGCAATAATTATAATGGTACATAATTATTAATATAAGAAATCTCTATAATAATAATAATGATAAAACAGATGCCTGCGCCCACATCACTCAGCTTAAGAAATCACTGTACTCTAGAAGCTCCACGTGCATCTTCATCCCTTATTATGTTTCTCCCGAGAGATGGCCGACATATTCAATTTTGTATTAATCATCTCTTTTTTCTCCTCATAGTTTTACTTCTTAAAAAGCCCTTAACAATCTGCTTTTTAAGTTTTGCCGATTTTTGAGCTTTATATAAGTAAATCTCACTCTATGTCTTTTGGTGTGATTTGCTTCTTTCATTTGACATTGTGTTTCAGAATCCATTCGTGTGTTTGTGTATAGCTATAATTCATTCATTTTCACTGCTGTATAATATTCTGTTGTAGGAATATAACAGGATGGAGTATCATCCTTATTGATGGACCTTTGGATTGTTTCTAGTTGAATTGCTTCAAAAAATGCTACAACACATATTCTTGTATGTGTCTCCACACCTCAGCTGTAGCCTAATGCAGACCAAAGATTTTCTTTAGGAGTGAAATTGCTGAGTCTTAGGGTGGGTACATATTTAACTCAAAAATATTATTTACTAGGTGCATTAGTTTCCTATTCCTGCTGTAATAAATTACTACAAACTTAGTGGTTTTTAAAGAATACACTTATTATCTTACAGTTTCAGAGACAGAAGTCCTAATTGGAACTCACTGGGCCAATCCAGGAGTCAGCAGGGCTGAGTTCCTCTGGAGGCTCTGGAGGAGAATGTTTCTCGGCCCTTTTAAATGTCTAGAGGCTGCCTGCACGCCTTGGCTTATAACCCCTTCCTCCATCTTCAAAGCCATCAGTGTAGCATCTTCGAATCTCTCTCTGACTCTTCTTTTTCTCTCTTCCCCTTACAAAACCCTCGTGAATACATTAGGCCCACCAGATAATCCAATCTCCCCATCTCAAGGTCAACTGTTAAGCAACCTTAATTTCATGTGCAACATTGATTCCCTTTGGCCGTGTAACCTAAGATAGTCATAGGTTCTGGGGATTCGAATATGTGCACATTTGGGGGTGGGGTGGAGTTTTATTCTACCTGCTACAGCAGGCAGTTCAAAATCTTTTCCTAAAGCTGTTGAGCCTTTTTATGCTTCTGCCAGGGGAGGCCCAGTACTTTGCTCCTGCAAAAACAGCTTTTCAAATTTTAAGTTTACTTATACTTTTAACTATTATTATTATTATTATTATTGAGACAGAGTCTCCCTCTGTTGCCCAGGCTGGAGTGCAGTGGCACAATCTTGGCTCACTGCAACCTCCACTTCCTGGGTTCAAGCGATTCTCCTCCCTCAGCCTCCTGAGTGACGGGGACTACAGGCGTGCATCACCACGTCCTAATTTTTGTATTTTCAGTAGAGACAGGGTTTCTCCATGTTGGCCAGTCTGGTCTCGAACTCCCAACCTCAGGTGATCCACCCGCCTCAGCCTCCCAAAGTGCTGGGATTACAGGCGTGAGCCACCGCACCCGGCCTAATAGTTTTGATTATAATGTCTTTATTTTGAGATAGTAAGATTCACATGAAGTTGCAGAAATAGTACAGAAATGTCCCCTTCACCCGGCTTTTACGTGCACTTTATTTTTTTGGAGAGTGTGTAGTTTTATGATATTTGATCACCTGCAGACTACAGTAACTATCACCACAGTCAGGATAAAGACCCCTTCAGACCCTAATCATGGTACAAATCTTAGTGATTGTCATGACAAGGCCAGCCCCTGAGGCCTCATATGGCTCAGAGCCAGGGGATGTTCTGGGGTGAGACTGCAGGGGAGGTAAAGAGAGGGTCAAGGCATCTGAGGTGCTGACCCACTGGGAGGTTCGCCTCTCTCCGGGGGTCCTGGTGAAGGTCACCTTGACCAAGTCCTTCTCCATGCACCTGAGCACGCAGGCAGCAGGGAGACGCAACGCCTTTAACTCTTCCAGATTAATCCTTCTAAGTTGCAACAATATTGATATGCTATTATTTTCCATCTTTATTCATCCCCTGGCGAAGAAAGAATGACTCCCCCCAGGCCATTCATAATTGAAAAATGCTTTTAAGGCCTTTATGAGTTGAATACTAAATTTCTCGAGGTGCCTGCTTTATTGGGCCTCCAGTCACCGATGATACATTTGCTCCCTAATGTTCTTTAAGGAAAGGAGCTCGAGCGGCACGATGGATGTGTCCGATTGGAATCAATGCTCATTAGTGACTCCAGTGGCCAGGTGGGCCTGGGCTGCTTGCTGGGCAAGGGACAGGCTCTCAGCAAGAGACAAGGGCGAGGCCTGTTGGCTGCCATTTGCCTTGGACTGGAGCTTAGCCTGCCTGACTTCCTTCCTTCCTTCCTTCCTTCCTTCCTTCCTTCCTTCCTTCCTTCCTTCCTTCCTTCTATCCTTCCCTCCTTCCCTCCTTTCCTCCTTTCTTCCTCAATAGATTCTTACTCTGCCAACTGTGCCCCAGGCCCAATGCTGGATACAGGCCTGGATCAGGCCCAGACACAGTCCTCAAGAAGCTCCCAGGACACACAAACAAACACGCAAAGACAATAGAGTGCTCCGTGTTTGACACTGAGAGTGTGCTTGGGGCCTGGGAGGCATGAAGAAGAGAGAGGTTTGTTTTACCTGGCGGCTAGAGGTCAGAAAACACTTCCTATCAGAGGTGACAGTGGCGTGAGATCAATACCTGTGGTGTGAACGAAGGGACTCACCAGTGGAGGAGGAGAGAGTCACACGGTCACAGGCAGGGAGGTGTGACCCAGCCTGGGACGAGGGGAGCCATCAGCTGACTTCTTAGATAAGTCACCCAGGTGGCCAGAGCTGCAGCCCTGCCGATCCAACTCAGAATCCCTTACTTGACAAATAACAGAATAAGAAGAGTCCTCAGAAAATACCTGACCCCAACCCTCATTATTCTGATGGGCAACTGAGGCCCAGAGAGGGAACGGGACTTGCTCAAGCTCTCCTAGTGGGGCGATGGGGAGAGCCAGGACCCAGGGATGAGTCTCTGGCTGGATCACCTCGAGACCAAAGCCCTGCTTCGGCGCTGACCTTGGAAGTCTTAGTTTGTCATTGCATGAGGGTGTGGGCTCAAGACTTGAAACTTGAAGTCTCCTCAACTTCCAAATGCTATGAAGACCAGAGAGAGAAAGGTCTGATGTCAGGTCACCACAGCGAGTTAGTGACACAGGTGGTGGTTGGGGATGTACAGATAAATTTAAGCTGAGTAAAAATAAGCAGAGAGAGGAGGCCAGTGTTCACTGCGCGCCTGGGGCAATCCGTTCCTTATCTGCGTCCTCCTGTTGAATCTCTAGCTAGCCTTGGTGGTGCACGGTGTAGCTCTGGTTTTGCAAATGAGGAAACTGAGGATAGAGGCAGGGTGACTTGCCCAAGGTCATACAAGGGGAATCAGGATTTTAACCCAGGTTTTTTTTTATTTTATTTTTTACTATTATTTTTTAAAAGTCAGGCCCTCTCTCTGTTGCCCAGGCTGGAGTGCAGTGGCATGATTATGGCTCACTGCTGCCTCAACCTCCTGGCCTCAAACAGTCCTCCCACTTCAGCCTCCCAAGTAGTTGGGACTACAGGTGTGCACCACTGTGCCCAGCTAATTTTTTAAAAAATTGTTTCTTTTTTATAGAGGTGAGATTTTGCCCTGTTGCACAGGCTGCTCAAACTGCTGGCCTTAAGCAGCATTCCTGCCTCGGCCTCCCAAAGTGCTGGGATTACAGGTGCAAGCCACTGCCCCTGGTAGGAACCCAGATTTTTTGAAAATGTCAAAGCGCCTGTGCTTTCTCCTGTCCTGGGCTGTCCCCTTATGTGTCTCAAAGAGAAGCTGAGGCTCAGACACAGGAGAGCTGCCCCCTCTAGGGTTCCTAAGGGGCCTCGGTCCAGGGTCTCTGACCATCCCCCATGAGGCGTTAAAACCTGTCAAATAGTTAAGTGACCAGATAGACCTGGTCCTTTGTCCTCCCCTGAGGAGGCTGATGCTCAGTCTCTGTCCAAAGCTCTGGAGTTGGGGGACGGTGCCATAGGGAGACAGCTACCAGGATGGGCAGAGGGGCAGGGCCAGTGCCCCAGCTCTGCCTCTCCAAGGGCCTCCCTGGGCAGGCCTCTCTCCCCACGGCCTGCTGAGGATCCAGGAGGTCTTGGTCTAACACAGACCTGGCATGCAGGTGCTCGGGGGGCACTCAGGCCTCTGACCCCTGCAGCTGGCTGTGAGCCTCACACCTGAGCTGTGGGCTTGGGATCTAGTCTCTTCTCCCTGAGTGACGCCACCCTAGTGGTCCATGTGGGCCATGTGTCTGCAGTCACTTGCTCCCTCCTTAGGCCCGGGGAGCCAGCCACAAGTTGAACAGGCCCCTGGCAGTCATAGAGTCCAGCTGGTCTCACTCACAGGCTGCCTTAACTCAGCAAACCTCAGGCCTGGGGGCCTCGGCCAGCACACCTTCTCATTGCCTCCAGCCACTATATCAAGGTCCCTCCAGCATGGACCTGGACATGGCCAGGCCAGCTGCCCAGAAGGAGCAGTGGTTTCTTGGGGTCACCCAACCCAAGAGACGGGCATCCTGGTCTCCTTCCTTCCTTGATCCATCTCTGCCCCTCCAAGTACTCTTTCTCTTCCTCACGATGCTGCAATTCTCACTTTGGGGTCTTTCCCCAAATCTTTGAGTGGCCCTTGGCTAGTAGCTCAAACATCGCATCCCTAGCTAGGATCTCTGGGCTAAAGCAGTGTCCCCTGCCCCGGTCACTTTCTGCCACATCACCCTGCATTGTTCTCTTTAAGGCATCACAACTCTGAAATCACTTTGTTGACGTGTGTGTTGATGTGTGTGTTTACCTGTGTGTTATCCGTCTCCCTCATAGGGAAGTTGTATTTAGCACGGGTTAAATGAGTGAAGGAAGAAAGAGTGAACGAATGAATGGGTCATGGCCTGACTGTTGCTCAGAGCTTAGAAGGGGTGCTCTGACTCAGTGGGCTTAAATCCCCGCCCTGCCACTAACTAGCTGAGTGAATAGTAAACAAGTGACCTCATGTCTCTGGGCCTCTGTTTTCCCTTCTGCAAAGTGGGACCAGTGACAGCTTCCTCCCAAGGAATAGGAAAGTGAACACAGTGGTCAGGTGAGGGTCTCAGGATGCAGTGAGAGCTCACTGCCAGGGGCTGATGAATTGCTGGGCAAAGAACATTTCCTTGGGGTGTGTGGGGCTGGGGTCGGGGAAGTTTGAGTGCAGTGAGTGAATTTGGGAGCAGCGGGAACCTTGGATTCCGGTCCCAGCAGCTCCTCACTGGCCATGTGACTTTGGTCTGATGACTGTTCCGGGCCTCAGTTTCTCCATCAGACTCATGGGAAGACTCATTTTTCATGAAGACACACAAGAGATGGTTTGGGAGCGCAAGTGAGAGCATGTATCCGTGGAGCAGAGGGAGAAGGAGCACACACTTGGGCATCTGATGGGCCTGGGCTTGTGCCTCGGCTTGGAGAACCACTAGCTGTGTGGCCTTAGCCACAGTGAAGTGAAGGTGGGCCCCACTGAGAGTGGGACCAGCCCTGAGGTTGCCAGCTCCAGGCCTGCCCTTGGGTGCTCGCAGGAGGTGCTAAGTAGAGACAGATGGTAAAGGAACAATGTTGGCCCAGCAGGGAGAGTACACTCACACAGGAGGCCCAGGGGCTGTGGGAACCAGCCCTAACCCTGTGTGTCCCTAATCCAGACACTGTGTCAAGGAAGGCTTCCCAGAGGAGGCAGCACGGAAGCCAAGACCCAAAGGGTGAGGAGGAGCTGGCTAGTGATAGAGTGAGGAATGGGGAGGGGGAATGCCAGGCAGGAGAGAGCTGTGCAAAGGCCTGAAGGTGAGCAAGAGCTTGTTCTCCATAGGCCCCATCTGGTGGGTCTCCACTCCCTCCCAGGAGACTCCTGTTGTGAAACACCCCAGCCTAACATGGAAGCTGTGGATCTCTGAACTCAGGCAATCGGCCATCAGCATTTGTCTCAGTCTGCTCTGGTTGCTGCAAAAAAACACCACAGATGGGGTGCTTAAACAACACACAGTTACTTCTCACAGCTCTAGAGTCTGAGAAGTTCAAGATTAAGGTGCCGGCCAGTTTGGTTCCTGGTGAGGGCTCCCTTCCTATCTTGCAGATGGCCACCTTCTCACTGTGTCTGCGTGTGGTGGAGAAAGAGTGATTTCTCCCTCTTCCTCTTCTCATAAGGGCACTAATCCCATCATGAGGGGCCAGCCTCAAGACTGCATCTAACCCTGATTACCTCCCAAAGCTCCCATCTCTAAGTACCATCACATTGTGGGGGTTGGACTCCAACCAATGAATGTTTGCAGGGACACAATTCAGTCCATAGCAGCATTTGTTGGAGGCCTGAGGGCCAAGTAGGAGTACATGGGATCTGGAAGGACCCTCAGTGGTTTTATTCTAGAGGATCAGCATCATGAGGGCAGGTGCTGTGTCTGTCTGGGGCCCAGAACACAGTGTGGCACGTGGCAGGTGCTTGGAACATACTTGTTAAATGGAAGGGGGAATCCAGCACTCTCCTATTAGGTGGAAAAACAGGCTGAGCTAGCTAGGGCAAAGGGTATGTCCAGCATCATGCTGAAGGCTGACGGCCACACCGGGAAAAGGGCTGCCCCTCAGACCAGTTCAGCTCCACTTGCATCCTTTTATTCGACATTTATTTATTAATACCTACTGTATCCCAGGGAGCATTCCAGTGCAGGAGGTACAGCAGTGAGCAAAACTGACTGTCTGATTTCATGGAGCCTACTCTAGTGGGGAGAGGAGGGCAATAAACAAGATTAAGAATTAAAATAGATAGGATGTCAGGTGCTGACAGATGCCATGCAGAAAAGGAGTAGATCCAGAGGGGAGAGACAATGAAGAGAGGGCTGGAGTCCTTAAAACAGACATGTCCGGGAAGGCATCTCTGGGAAGGTGACATTTGAGCAAGGCCTAAAGGAAGATGGCGGTTTAAAACTATGCCCCCAAATTCCTTGATATTCTTCCCTTCAAGAGACGAGTTTAGGCCAGCCACGGTGGCTCCTGTCTGTAATTCCAGCACTTTGGGAGGCCGACGTGGGCGGATCACCTGAGGTCAAGAATTCAAGACCAGCCTGGCCAACATGGTGAAACCCTGTCTCTACTAAAAATACAAAAATTAGCCGGGTGTGGTGGCAGATGCCTGTAGTCCCAGTTACTCAGGAGGCTGAAGCCAGAGAATCGCTTGAACCCGGGAGGTGGAGGTTGCAGTGAACAGAGATTGTGCCACTGCACCCCAGCCTGGATGACAGAGCAAGACTTCATCTCACAAAAAAAAAAAAAAGAGAGAACTTAATTTTCTTTCCTTGGAGTGTGGACTGAACTTGGAGACTCACTTCAAGCTAGTAGAATGTGCCACAAACCAAGGCTTATGACTTCCATGGGTAGGTCATGAAATACGTTGCAGTTTCTGGTTTGCTCTTTCACTTGGAGGACCGCTCTGGACAAAACCAGCTGCCATGCCATGGAGAGGCCCACCTAGAGAGGAACTAACCCCTTCTTCCAGCAGCCAGGGAGGAACCAAGGCTTCCTGCCAGCAGCCTTGTGAATGCGCCACCTGGGAAGAGGACCCTTCTGCCCCGGTCAAGCCTTCAGATGGCTGCAGCCGCTGCCAACATTCCCAGAGCAGTGTCATCCGAGGGCCTGAGCCAGAATCAGCCACTCCTGGATTTCTGACCCATAGAAACTGTGTGATAATACGTGCTTGTTGTTTTAAGCTACTAAATTTTGGGGTAACTTGTTATGCAGCAGTAGACAAATATAGAAAGGGAAGAGTCAACCGTAGGGAAACTGGGGGTGACAGTGACCAGCAGAGGGAGTAGCAGGTGCAAAGGCCCTGAGCCTCCACATAGGGAAGGTGGAGACAGCACCTGTGGCCCAGCCCCCCATCTGGTTGGTCCTCAGTGTCTTTGTTTGCCACCAGTGCTCTCTTGACCCCTCCAGGGGTATTATTGAATGAGAAATTTGATGAAAGACCCAGGAAGGCTCAGAGAAGTTAGGGACTTGCTCAGCCACATGGCCAGTTGTGGCGAACCTGAGATGTGGGCTCACTCCAAGCAGGCATCTTCCGTGTTATGGCCACCAACGCTGACTTCTGACCCCTTCCCACACCTCCTGGATCAGACTTCCCAGAGGAGGGGCCTGGAATCCCCACTTTTATCACTTCCTGGGTGATTTGGATCCATGTTCCTGATGGCAAGCCCCTGCCCTGCAGGCCTCGGTTTCCTTGGGTTCTCTGCAGCTCCTGATCTTCAAGCCTCCCAGCCAAGACCATCTCATCCTTCAGAATCTACCCCAGGTGTTACCTCCTCTAGGGAGCGTTCCCCCGACCCTTCCCTGATCCCCAGGGTCAGAACTCCCAGCCACAGGTGGGTGCTGAGCCCTGCTCTGGCCCCTCTTCCACAGAGGTATTAATGATTGTCCATGTCATTGCTCTTAAACACTGGCTCGCCATTATTCATTTAGACGTCTGAGTCCCTGAGGCTGGAGAACACGTATGCTGTACCCCATACAAGCCCAAAAGCCAGTGTAGGGCCTGGAGCCTCATAAACTCCAGGCCCTACAGTACAGTGCAGTGTTCTGGATGGGGAGAAAAATCAAAAGATGGAAAAAAAATTGGAAGAAAGGAAGAAAAGGATAGGAGGAAGATGGGGAGAAGATGAAGGAGGGATAAGAGGAGAGACAGGAAAATTGTGAGGAGGGATGAGAGGAAGGACGGGGGGAGGGTTGAGAGGCGGGATAGGAGGAGGGACAGGAAGAACCAGGAGGAGGGTGGGAGGAGGAATAGGGAGAGTCCAAAAGAAGGCTTAGAGGAGGGATGACAAGGGGCTGGAGAGTGAAAGGATGGATAGGAGGAAGGTTGGGAGGGGAGGGATGGGGAAATGAATGCATGAATGAGTATCCAAGTGGGTGAACACAGTCTCTCCAACCACCGTGGCTCCCGTCTACCCAGACAGGAGTTGCAACTTGCTGTAACTCCAGGCGGGCTCGGCTAAGTTAACCAGGCCTCTGTTTTACTAACGCCCTCTTTTGCAGCAGAGGCAATTAGAGCTAACGGCTGGAAGCTTCTCCCCAGGCAGCCCCACCTGCCCTGTCCTGTCCCATTAACTTCCAATTCAACAGCCATCCCTGACCTGCAATGTATAATGAAAGACATTCAAAATATATCCAAATGGCATGAGTATTGATTTATTAATGCTGGGGAATGTTGCTCTAATTGAATTGAGATCCAGGAAGTAAGTTAATGTAGCTGACGGTGCTACAGGAATTGAATTACCCCAGGGCCCAGAATTATTACCTTTTCACTCTCTTTGTTGTCAGTGGGATAAATAACAAATCAATTGACGATTCACCCTGGTGGCAAGAAAAAAAGGCCCACGGAGCCCTGGGCACAGGGCTGGGGAACAGGCATGGGTGAGGGGTGAGGAGCTTCCTGGAGGAGGTGGAGCGGGAAGGGGAGAAGAGGAGGGTCGGCCCCTAGGCTTAGAACCCTGCCTGAACTCCCTACTCTTGCCAGCTTCTCTATTCCAGCAGCCAGAGTTCCATAACCCACAAGCTGCCCGGGCTGGAACAGCCATCTCTGCCCACTGAGGGCATCCCTCACTGCCTCTCTGGGGTCCAGAGAGTGGGATGAAGTTTCTCCAAGTCACCCGGAGAGTCTCACCACATCCCTGGCCTCACTTCTGTTTGCTCATCCTCAGGTGTCTGCGCCTGGTCCCTCTCCTTCTCCCTCTCGCCCTGGGCTTCCTATCTCTAAGGGTCCTCTGTGGTTGGAGGCCTCCACTGGGCAAGGGTTTCTGTCCCTCTGTGGAAGGCCTGATGTTCCTTTCACCTTGCCACTGAGAGATTCGTGCAAGAATTCTGGAAACGTCTGAGAGGAAGAAAGATTCTGGTTTGCTCCATTGTAAGGAAGAACCCCAGGAGTGAGGCCAAGAGGTTACAACTTCAACTAGCATCTTCCTTAAAATCCCCTGCACTCCTCTTCCCCGTTGTGTCTTCCAGCTTTCTCTCTGCCTCACCTCCAATGCCACACCTTTTAGGGGCGTGGCAGTCTCTTCAAAATAGAGGCTTGTGGACAAAGGCATGCCTGGTTTGCAAACCTAGGAATGCTCGTTGCTAGCTTTGCAACCTTATTGAATTCTTACCTCGGAGCCTCAATTTGCCCACCCATCAAATAAGAGCAAACCCCCCTTGAACCTCACACACTGGTGGCTCAGAAGTGCTGCAGAAAACACTCAGCTGTCAACGACAGCGGGGCTGGCGAGTGGCTGCCAGGGACCACATGCTCCTCCTGCCAGACGCCTCCAGCCGTCGGCTGTCCAAATGGGTGTCTGCAGAGCAGCCCGGCTGGCCGTGTTCTGGTCAAGGAAGAGAAAGGCTGAGTTAATTAAATCAACAGCTAACAGTGCAGGTTACCCACAAAAGTGAACTTTAGTGCCCCTAAAACCACTGACCAAAGGAGGGCTGGGAAAAAAAAAAGAAACCACAGTTGGAGTAAAATGGAAAAAGAAATCAGCAGCTCTCCATCACTTCAGCTGGCCACAGGTATCAGAATATTAATTGGTCTTTGACTCGATTTGGCTGTGGGAGTCAGGGCAGGCTGTGGCTTCGGGGAGCCTGACAGCACCATGGGGCCAGCGCAGGGCAGGCTGGGAGCTCACTGGCCACAGGGGAGGGGAGGGGAGAGGGGCGGGGGCCTGGGGCCTGGGAGGACGCACTTGTGAGCAGGGGGGTGGGCGGGTGTGAGTGTGGAAGTGGGTGTGGGCGCCCTGCGGGTGTGAGGCATGAGAGGCACGTGTGAGTGTGGTGAGCTGGCCGGGCCACACGCAGCGTCACTTGAAAAGAGCCCAAACCGTGCTGGGTGCAGAAAAGCTCTCCAGGCATGCTGGCTGTTGTTCTCATCTGGTTCTCACAACAGCTCCAGCAAGAAGGAGGCAATTCCGTGAAGGAGGCGGTGGAGGCTGGCAGATAGGGCTTGCCAGGTCTCTCCCGAGAGCTCCCGCCGCAGCTGCAGCAATCACGACACAGATCATGATATGGTTAGTTCATATTTAGGAAGTGACTGGTGGGACTTGAGCCCACTGCCAGGCACGGAGGAGGCACCGGAAGCATTTGGGTTGAATTTGCTCAGACTCTGAATCTGTGCTCTGGACAGGCACCTGTGCCCGGCCCAGGCCCTGCACTCTTTTCCAGTGGCTTCTCAGGGGTCGGCCTGCAGCAGCCAGGGGTGGGTATCCATGCCGTGGCGGAGAGATCAGAGTTGCACTGTGGGGAGTGGCTTTCTTTTGCCTGCAGCTGCTGCTTGGTGTTCTCTGCCGCTCACGGCCTATGAGCACAGAGATTGTGTCCTGCTCTTCCGCCTGCTGCCCACCCATTACATGTGCCCATGGAACATAAGAAGAGCAAGTCATCTATCTGAGGGGCATACCCGCTGCTGGGGACAGGTTCAGTGGAGCTCATGAGTGGTGTGGAGGGGCAGCAAGTGCCCAGCAGACCCTCAGGAGCACCTGGATGCACTTTGAGTTTGGGGGAGTCGGGAGGATGCAGTCTCTTTGCAGCAGTGCCCCCCATGCCTGGACAGAGGCCTTCAACCAAGGAAGGTCTGCTCAACTCCCCAGCCCTCTTTATTGATTTTGGGACACTGTGGGCAAGAAGGGCTCTTAGATCACTTGTCTGGCCCTTCAGTTCATAAAGGAAGTGATGAGGCACAGAGAGGGGAAGGGACTTGCTTGAGGTCACAGAGCAAGTCAGAACGCAGGGCTCCAGGTTTCCAGCTCCAGGCCTCTCAGACTTCCGTGCTTCCAGGGGCCATGTCGGTGACATTAAAACCATAGTGCAAGTGACAATGTGGCAACTGACGTTGGCTTCAGTGTCAGGAAGGCAAGAGGGAGAGTCCTTGTCTGATCCCAGGGAGGGGGGGCTGCCACCCAGCAGGAAGGTGGGCTTTATTCCACCAGAGCTTCTGCTTTTTCCAGCAAAGTTGGAAATCGGGGTTTTCATGTGATGTGAAGTTTTACAATTGTTAAATGTTGACAAAGCTAAAACAAAAAAAAATTCAAAAGCATGGTGACATGCAAAGCAAAATGACTCATTTGACACCTGTGGGTTACAAGTTTGCCACCTTGGGACTGTCTTTCTGTGGGGCTTGGTGGGTGGAATTGTGGGAGGAGGCGAAAGGCCTAGATGCTGCCAAGAGGATCTGAGCTTTGAGACACTGTTGTCTGATTATATTCATTCATTCATTCATTCATTCATTCATTCATTCATTCACCCTCTGGTCTGGGCTTTGCAGTCTCTCTTCCTTGTTTCAGGGGGTCTGCCTTCCCGTTGGCAAAATAACCTTGTTCTGAGATTCCCAACATCCCAGCAGCCAGACTACGGGCAATGAAGGATTTCCAGGGAACATGGGAACCTGCTGGTATCTCTCCTTGCATTTTTCTGGATAAGGTTTAAGGGCTTTCTTGGTGCGGTGGAGAGTGAAGCTGAGCTGCAGAGCCCACTCTAGACAGACCTAACCCCTAGTCCTGGTCCCATTCCTACCCTGGGGATTAAAATTTGGGATTGGCAGATCAGGTTTGGATCCAGGTTCTGCCACTAACAAGCTGTGTGACCTTAAACCAGTGACTACCCCTCTCTGAGCCTCGGAAAGAAGACCCTGCAGATGCCTGGCCCAAGTCCCCTCAGCCTTCACTTTTTCCCATTTGGTGCTGCTTACTGCACACGCCATGACTGTTTGCCCGAGGGCATTTCCTCTCTGTGTGAGTGAAATCGAAGCTGAAGGGCTTTGAGCCCTGGAACATATGCATCCGCTGAAGCAGCCCTCGGGCAGTAAGGCCTGAAGGCAGACAAATATCCCAGCCTCCTGTCCCCTCAGTTGGGATGATCCTGGGGCATATTCCACGCCATCTCCCAGCAAGCCCCAACCACTTTGGTTGCCCGCAGTGGTCATTTGTTTAATGACTCAGCCTTTTATGTCTTTCTTCCCTTCCCTGTCTCATTTCTCCTCTTCCTTACCGGTATTTCCTGGTATCATCTCTGAAATGCACTACTCACAGGGAACTGAGCCCTCACCTAAGGGCTGCTTCTGGGGGACACCATACTAAGAACCTCAGTTTATGCAGCTGTCAAATGGGTCCACTTACCATCAGCATAGCTTCAGAATTGCTGTGAGGGTAAACAACTTACTGCATATGTAAAATGCCTGGGAGCTGCCTGGTACCCTGCTAGCCTTTCCTCAATGGGTGGTAGGTTTTTTTATTTTTTATTTTATTTTTATTTTTATTTTTTAGACAGATTCTCACTCTTGTCGCCCAGGCTGGAGTGCATTGGCAACATCTCGGTGCACTGCAACCTCCGTCTCGCAGGTTCAAGTGATTCTCCTGCCTCAGCCTCCTGAGTAGCTAGGATTACAGGTGCCCACTACCATGCATGGCTAATTTTTTGTACTTTTAGTAGAGACGGGGTTTCACAATTTTGGCCAGGCTGGTCTTGACTCCTGACCTCAGGTGATCCGCCCACCTCGGCCTCCCAAAGTGCTGGGATTACAGGCATGAGCCACCGGGCCTGGCCAGGTGGTAGGTTTTATTGTTGTTGATGAAGGTGTTGTGACATTGGGCTGACCCCCAGGTCCCAATTTCAGGTCCTTTAGGGCAGTTTCGATGTGGGGGCCTGGCTGCTGCAGGAGGGCCTCAGGGGCTGGCTTGTGCACTGAGGGTGAAAGAGGCAGGAAAGACAGTGGCCTCTGTGGTGGGGACAGAGGGGATAGTGGGGTCTGGGTAGCAAGAGGGTTGGGCCCCCAGGGGAGCGCATTGGCACTACCCCTGCCCCCAGACCTCAGAGTTGTTATTGAAAATGGTGCTAATGGGGCCAAGCCCAGCTGTCACCATCAAGGGAGTGGGCACCACAAGGGAAGGGGGCAGAGGATGAAGGGGACCCTGTAGCCTGGTATGCCCCATGGCCACCTCATGTTTTAGGAGTTGCCTGAACTGAGTCTCCAGCAGGGGCAGGGTTTAAGAGAGACAGAGTCTGCTGAACTCAGAACAGAAGACTTCTGGGGTGGTGGTGCAAAGGCCTGGCTGTCTCCCTGGAAGAGCACATGCGAGATCTTTAACCTGCCCAGATTCTGGGGAGGCCACAGAGGTCAAGATCCCAGTAGGTTCTTGAGCCAGAACCTTGGTCAAGACACTCCCCACCTCCCGCCCCCTAATCAGTTTCCTCATCTTTAAAATGGAACTAAAAAGAATCCCACTGACTTCCTAGGCTTGTTTTGAAGTGTCCATAAAATAAAATTGAGCCAGAGAAGCATGTGCAAGCTCCTTCCCTGGGAAAGATCATGGCCTCCCTTCTCTGCCCAGGCCCTGAGCTTGTCCCTGTCTATGCCTCTGACCTTCTGCCTGCCTGGCCTGGAGGGTGGAGGTGCTGCACCTACATTTTCTTCCGACTTACCTGCCTTTGGCTGCAAACCTCACACAAACTCAGGGGGCCTGTGGTTGCAGCAGAATCTTTACGTCCAAAGGGATGTAGCTCCCTTTGGGATAAAGGGTTTAGGGTGCCCCCCAAAGCCTTTAAGGAATGAGGTTCCAAGTGAATCTCTTGTCTTCAATCAGTAGTATCCGTCCCTGCCACCAACACACACACATACTCACACACACACACACGTGTCCTCTCTCACAATCCTGCACGAACCTCCTGGGAGAGCCGTTCTGGACTTGGTCTCTGAGTTCCCACAGCCAGAATCACCCTCTCCTGCTTCACAGCCATCTTGCTCAAGAATCCTAAATCAAGCACCTGAGAGTGTGCAAAGCCCCGTCGTGTACTCAACTCTCTCATTTGCTCCACAGAATCGCCCCTTGAGGGTTGTAGGTCACAGTTAAGATTCCCATTTTGCAGATAAGAAAACTGAGCCAGTGGCCAGGACTAGGGTGAGGCAGGCAAGAGGCCCGGGGTGTAAAATCTAAGGAGGTGCTTGTGGTGTGGCACCCATCCGGCACGCGTGGGAGCCTGGGGGTGAGCTGCCCTGTGCCCCTCGCTTGACTCCATCCTCACCGTGGGCCACTGAGTCCTGGCTCTGAAGCTGAGGCTGGAGGGGCTCCAGGACCTGCCTGAGTGTCTCAGTGAGGAGGTGGCAGAGCTGTCACCAAGGTCCCTTTTCCCTGACCCTGGGCTGGGGCTCTTTCGTCTACACCACAGTGAGATAATATTTTTGGATGGAGGGATTTTTAGTGGGGAAAATGACCCTGGTAGAAGGAAGAGGGGTTTGTGTGGGGTTTTGGTTTTTGGTTAAATACAAGACCTGGAAATACACCAGGAGTCTGTCCAGGAACAGCTGGGAAAGCCCTTCGTGCACACAGTATGAGGCCCAGTGTGGGGGTTTGCAATTCTCATGATTCTTATCAGTCTTCCAGAAGGAGGGGACACCTCAGCATTGGGAGGTACTAGTGTCCTCAGGGGTGTGGGAACAGGACTATTTGGCAGAATCTGGTAACACTAACAAGTGCACAAATCCTGAGGCGCAGCCATCCCACCTCTAGAAGTAACTGGAATGGCTGCTGATGCTCCTGACGCGGCAGGCATTGTTCTTAGTGCTCTACACGGTATAACTCATTGCATGCTCACAGGGGCCTCTGAGGTAGGTGCAGTTATTGTCCCCATTTTCCAGATGAGGAAACTGAATTCCAGAGAGACCTGTCCAAGGTCACTTAGCCCGTAAGTGGCAGAGCCGGCTCCTGTGTCTGTGCTCTAAGCTGCTGTCTTTTTCATTTATTTATTTATTTTTATTATTATTATACTTTAAGTTTTAGGGTACATGTGCACAATGTACAGGTTAGTTACATATGTATACATGTGCCATGCTGGTGCGCTGCACCCACTAACTCGTCATCTAGCATTAGGTATATCTCCCAATGCTATCCCTCCCCCTTCTCCCCACCCCACAACAGTCCCCAGGGTGTGATGTTCCCCTTCCTGTGTCCATGTGTTCTCATTGTTCAATTCCCACCTATGAGTGAGAATATGCGGTGTTTGGTTTTTTGTTCTTGTGATAGTTTACTGAGAATGATGATTTCCAATTTCATCCATGTCCCTACAAAGGACATGAACTCATCATTTTTTATGGCTGCATAGTATTCCATGGTGTATATGCGCCACATTTTCTTAATCCAGTCCATCATTGTTGGACATTTGGGTTGGTTCCAAGTCTTTGCTATTGTGAATAATGCCGCAATAAACATATGTGTGCATGTATCTTTATAGCAGCATGATTTATAGTCCTTTGGGTATATACCCAGTAATGGGATGGCTGGGTCAAATGGTATTTCTAGTTCTAGATCCCTGAGGAATCGCCACACTGACTTCCACAATGGTTGGACTAGTTTACATTCCCACCAACAGTGTAAAAGTGTTCCTATTTCTCCACATCCTCTCCAGCACCTGTTGTTTCCTGACCTTTTAATGATTGCCATTCTAACTGGTGTGAGATGGTATCTCATTGTGGTTTTGATTTGCATTTCTCTGATGGCCAGTGATGGTGAGCATTTTTTCATGTGTTTTTTGGCTGCATAAATGTCTTCTTTTGAGAAGTGTCTGTTCATGCCCTTTGCCCACTTTTTGATGGGGTTGTTTGTTTTTTTCTTGTAAATTTGCTTGAGTTCATTGTGGATTCTGGATATTAGCTCTTTGTCAGATGAGTAGGTTGAGAAAATTTTCTCCCATTTTGTAGGTTGCGTGTTCACTCTGATGGTAGTTTCTTTTGCTGTGCAGAAGCTCTTTAGTTTAATTAGATCCCATTTATCAATTTTGGCTTTTGTTGCCATTGCTTTTGGTGTTTTAGACATGAAGTCCTTGCCCATGCCTATGTCCTGAATGGTAATGCCTAGGTTTTCTTCTAGGGTTTTTATGGTTTTAGGTCTAATGTTTAAGTCTTTAATCCATCTTGAATTGATTTTTGTATAAGGTGTAAGGAAGGGATCCAGTTTCAGCTCTCTACATATGGATAGCCAGTTTTCCCAGCACCATTTATTAAATAGGGAATCCTTTCCCCATTGCATGTTTTTCTCAGGTTTGTCAAAGATCAGATAGTTGTAGATATGCAGCGTTATTTCTGAGGGCTTTGTTCTGTTCCATTGATCTATATCTCTGTTTTGGTTACTGTAG
The DNA here is from genome assembly GCF_000001405.40 of Homo sapiens. NCBI lineage: Eukaryota > Metazoa > Chordata > Mammalia > Primates > Hominidae > Homo > Homo sapiens. The sequence continues at coordinate 25,059,674 of NC_000001.11, read as the reverse complement.
CCTTGTAGTATAGTTTGAAGTCAGGTAGTGTGATGCCTCCAGCTTTGTTCTTTTGGCTTAAGATTGACTTGGCGATGCGGGCTCTTTTTTGGTTCCATATGAACTTTAAAGTAGTTTTTTCCAATTCTGTGAAGAAAGTCATTGGTAGCTTGATGGGGATGGCATTGAATCTGTAAATTACCTTGGGCAGTATGGCCATTTTCACGATATTGATTCTTCCTACCCATGAGCATGGAATGTTCTTCCATTTGTTTGTATCCTCTTTTATTTCATTGAGCAGTGGTTTGTAGTTCTCCTTAAAGAGGTCCTTCACGTCCCTTGTAAGTTGGATTCCTAGGTATTTTATTCTCTTTGAAGCAATTGTGAATGGGAGTTCACTCATGATTTGGCTCTCTGTTTGTCTGTTTTTGGTGTATAAGAATGCTTGTGATTTTTGTACATTGATTTTGTATCCTGAGACTTTGCTGAAGTTGCTTATCAGCTTAAGGAGATTTTGGGCTGAGACAATGGGGTTCTCTAGATATACAATCATGTCGTCTGCAAACAGGGACAATTTGACTTCCTCTTTTCCTAATTGAATACCCTTTGTTTCCTTCTCCTGCCTGATTGCCCTGGCCAGAACTTCCAACGCTATGTTGAATAGGAGTGGTGAGAGAGGGCAGCCCTGCGTTGTGCCAGTTTTCAAAGGGAATGCTTCCAGTTTTTGCCCATTCAGTATGATATTGGCTGTGGGTTTGTCATAGATAGCTCTTATTATTTTGAGATACGTCCCATCAATACCTAATTTATTGGGAGTTTTTAGCATGAAGGGTTGTTGAATTTTGTCAAAGGCCTTTTCTGCATCTATTGAGATAATCATGTGGTTTTTGTCTTTGGTTCTGTTTATATGCTGGATTACATTTATTGATTTGCGTATATTGAACCAGCCTTGCATCCCAGGGATGAAGCCCACTTGATCATGGTGGATAAGCTCTTTGATGTGCTGCTGAATTCGGTTTGCCAGTATTTTATTGAGGATTTTTGCATCAATGTTCATCAAGGATATTGGTCTAAAATTCTCTTTTTTGGTTGCGTCTCTGCCCGGCTTTGGTATCAGGATGATGCTGGCCTCATAAAATGAGTTAGGGAGGACTCCCTCTTTTTCTATTGATTGGAATAGTTTCAGAAGGAATGGTACCAGTTCCTCCTTGTACCTCTGGTAGAATTCGGCTGTGAATCCATCTGGTCCTGGACTCTTTTTGGTTGGTAAGCTATTGATTATTGCCACAATTTCAGCTCCTGTTATTGGTCTATTCAGAGATTCAACTTCTTCCCGGTTTAGTCTTGGGAGAGTGTATGTGTCGAGGAATTTATCCATTTCTTCTAGATTTCCTAGTTTATTTGCATAGAGGTGTTTGTAGTATTCTCTGATGGTAGTTTGTATTTCTGTGGGATCAGTGGTGATAACCCCTTTATCATTTTTTATTGCATCTATTTGATTCTGTCTTTAGAAGCGTTCGCCTGAGGGTGATCACACTCTCAGGACTGCAGAATGTTCACAAAGAAGGGAATCACATCAGTGCCATGAACAGGGGAGCCACACCCTCCAGAACATCCCTCAGTCCTCCCGGACTGTGAAACAGAATGAACGCAAACTACACACTGTTCCCCCGTGCTTTCTACTGACACTATATATAACTACATATTAACCGGAAAAAAAGGGACATGCTACTCTGTACCCGATCCCATCTGTTTAAGAGAAAAAGCAAAAGCACACACGGCTCTCTAAGCATTGAATGGGCTGGGGGTATCCAGACCAACTGGGTGCTGGTGCCGAGGCTGCCTCTAGGGATTGGTGGGGATGGAGAACTAGCTCTGGGAATGTGGGCAGTGGGCAGTGATCTGTAACAATGAGCCGGTGTTACTTTTCTAATTAATCAGGAAACATGTATTTTTTAAAAGAAAAGGTATAAAAGGATCTTAAAAAATGTGTCCTGAGGGGTCCCCCCTTAAGTTTTGGCTCCCAGACTCCCTGTGGAGGCCTCTGCCTCAATGACTCAGGTCTGTCCTTAGGGAGAGGGGAGGGACGAACGTGTCACAAGGAAATATTTCTGCTTTTTGTCTTTCTCAGCTCACCCTTTAGCCTGGGGCAGGTGAGGGGCTGGGGGCGTGGTGCCTGATCTTCTGCTGATGGCCTCAGTGGCAGAGGGCAGTGGACCAGGAAACTGGACTCTGCCTGGGAGCCCTCACCCTTCCTAGGTCGCCATGTCCCTCCTCTCCTCTTCCTGCCCAACCCTGACCACTTGTGTACACTTGGGGTATTTCTTTCCTCTGGCCTCAGTTTTCTCACCTGCAGAATGGGAATAATTTCTCTCCTAAACTCCCTCTAAGGATGAAGTAAAATGCACTTGAGAACTGTCGAGAAGGGAAAGATTGGAGAGATAATTACAGTTTTTATTTAGTAGTAACCTTTTGGATCAGAGAGATCTGGATTTGAATTCTAGCTCTCGCACTGACTAGCTGTGAATAAGGTAGTGAACCTCTGGCCTGTTTCTTCATCTGCGAAATAGAAATAAAAGTAAGTAATTTGCAGAGCTGAAATAGAAATTCAATGAACTAATTCAAGGAAGCATTCAACCTGGCTCCTGGCATACAGTAAGTGCTCAATAGTTGGTTGTCGTGATAAGGAGGAAGGGGCAAGGAGCTGCCCGGGGTGCCTGCAGCTCACTGAGGCCTGAGGGCATCAGCGGCTGTGCGGCCGGGAGGATGGCCAGTGTGAAGGGCAGGCACTTGGGAAGCTGGGCCTTCTTTCTGCCGTGACTTTGAGAAGGGGAACCAGGGCTGGGGTTTGGCAGGAGGAGTGTGGCCACTATGGCAAGTCCCACAGCCCGAACCTGGGGGCTGCTCTCCCACCGCACGCCGGTGGGCCGTTGGGGAATGGAGAAGTTAAGAGCCATCTCCTGGGGAGGGCCAGACAGGCCTGGCCGAGGGTGGAAAATCCCTCTGGTCAGAAGGCATGAGGAGTGGGAAATGCTGGCTCCAGGCCTGGCCACCTGCACCCCCCACAATCCTCAGTCTCACACCCGCTGCCTGGGCCCCAGGCTTCCCCAGCTCAGCCCCACCAGGTCAACCGAGGCCAGATTAACCTTCCTGAGGCCCAGCCTGGACTGGCCCCTCTGCCGGTCAGGCCTCTCAATGGCTCCCCAGTGTCCACAGACCCACCTTCTCACCCTGGCCTTCTGAGCCTGCCTCAGTGCACCCTCAACTTGTCTTCAGCCTTCCCAGTGTGGCTGGAGGGGTGGCATGAGGATCAACCAGTCCCAGAGTCTCCCAGGCTGATGGGGGACAGCCCTCCCTTCCTCACCTTTGCCCAATCCGGCACCCTAGACTTCTCCCCTGCATGGAGTACGCACTGGCTCCTGTGGGGACAGCACTTCCCAGCTTATGCAGCAGATCATCCATAGTCCCACTGCACAGCAAGGTGGGGACTGGGACCTCCAGGTAGCAGCCATGGAGATGGCCCTGCAGCTCCCCTTCAGGAGATGCTGCCTGGAGCACAGCAACTGAGCGCCAGCTCTCTGGATCCACCACCACGTTTCCCTGGAGGCCACAGGCCCTGCCCGTTTCTTCCTACCCTCCCTTCCCCAGCACAGTGGAGGTGTCATACCTGCACCCTGGCCTGGAGCCCTCTCTGCCTGCTCCTGTTCCCTCTCCTGGTTAATCTGCCCAGGGTCTCCCCCAAGAGGCCTCTCGCCCATCTCACCCCATCCTGGTGCCTGCTTGTCAGAGACCCAAACCAATGCACCCATTCAATAGTGGGGCAAATGGAAACAGAAGTGAGAAGTGACTTCCCAAAGTCACACAACTAATTATGGCCAGATCCAGGTCCAGAACCCAGGTTTCTTCCTTCCAGCACTTTTCCCCATGGCCTCACCCCCTTGATCAATAGTGAGATCCAGTGGCAGGACAGCCTCCCTCACAGGGAACGAGGCTGCCCTGGAGGCCCTGAACTCAGGCAAGAGATTCTTACCTGAACCCACATCTTGAGAGATCTGGGCTCCTGCCCGCAGGAGCCAACACCCTCTCCCCGGTGGTGGTGGGGGCTCAGGTCCTGTTGCCTGTGGGGGTCCTGCTGGGATGGGGAGGACTGTCTGCAGGGAGCCTGGGCGCCTGAGCCACTGGCTTTTAAAGCTGCACAACATTATTAAGTCCAGGCCACAGCAGGAGGGGCGGGTGGGCGCTGGGGCAGGGACGACAGGCCCTAATGGCTTCTGAACGACTCTCTGTCGCCATTTCCCACTTCTGGGGAGGGCAGGACAGGGGCTCAGGGCTCCGCGTGCGGGGAGGGACTGCTGGCGGGTGGGAGCTCTGGGGAGCCTGATCTTGCACTTGGGAGGCAGCCGTTTGTGAGGGAGGCTGTGTGACCAGCTCCACCTTTCATTATCAAGGGCCTCATTCTCCAGGGAGGGAAGGCAAGGCCCTGGGTGCAGGGACTTACTCAAGGCCACAAAGTGAACCAGCACGAGAGGCTTCCTGACCGCCTTTGCCCCTTGCAGTGAAGTGCCCCCTGCCCCAGCCTGCCCTGCATCAGATTCTCTCCCGCTCTTCCCACACCCAGGCCAACCATCTCCATCAGCTCCCTGGAAGATGCCAGGGTTGCGGCTTCTCCCAGGGAGAAAATAATCCAGCACAGCCAGCGCTTCTGCCTGCTTGACTCCCTCACTTCGGTGGGGGTTTATCTTCATCACAAAGCACACTCCTGTTACACATAAGTAATGCAATGTTAGCCTCTGCTCTCCAGGTGAATCATGAACCCGGGAGTTCCCACTTCTGCATCTTCCTTCTTGCAGCCATTCTCCCCGGCCCCCTCCTCTCCGTCCCTCCAGCACGACAAGCCTGTCCCTCCACTGGGCTTTAGCTGGGCCCTGCTCCCCCTGCTCCCCATGCCCCACCACGGAGCTCCACTCATCCCCCACATCCCAGCTCCAGGGCCACGCCTTTGGAAAGGCACCCTGCCCCGAACCCTTGATGCAGTGAGGCCCCCCACATGTCTCTTCCTGACACCCATTCCTGCTTGTCATAATTATAGTCATTGTCGATACATTTGGGATTCTTTGGTTCATATGTTTCTCTCTGTGCTCTACAGCAGGCTCCAAGAGCACACAGGGTCAGCTCTTGTTGTGTTTATAGTAGCATTTGATAATAATGAAAGGAAGGGAGGGAGGGAGGGAGGAAGGAAGGAAGGAGAAAAGGCGGGGGAGGGGAGGGGAGAAAAGGGAAGGGAGGAAGGGAGGGATGGAGGAAGGAAGGAAGGATGGATGGATGGATGGAAGGAAGGAGAAAGGAGGAGAGGGAGAGGGAAGGGAAGGAAAAGGAAGGGAGGAAGGGAGGGAGGGAGGAAGGGAGGGAGGGAGGAAGGAAAGAAGGAAGAATGGAAGGAAGGATGGATGGAAGGAAGGACAGAAACTGAGATTTGGGAAATAGACCATCAAACTCACACAGAAAATAACACCATAAAGGCAAGATGATTGCTTGAGTTGAGTTCCAAATTTGGCTTTGAGCTTCCCAGCAGCCAAAGCAGAAAGGAAGATATGGTCAGTGACATGAGTGTTGGTGTCAGAAAGGGGGAACCCATCAGTTCCTCAAGGAAGTCCAGCTGTTTGTGGGAGAGCGCATGGTGGCAGGGCGGCTGGGGTCCTCTGCCCCCCTCTGTGTGTGCACTCATGGCTTTCTCGAGGCAGTCTGTGGGTAAAAGCTGAGACGCTGCTGAGCGACGGTGTCTGTGCAGAGAGCTGAGGCGACGGACCACGGCTAGCCCAGGGGAATGGGTGTGTGGTGTGCCCACTCCCCTACCCCATGTGCTCCCAAATCCTCAGTCCATGGGTCAGGGATGATCATCCCAGCCGGGGAGCCCAGCTCCATGCCTGGCTCTTGGCAAAGCTTGGCTCTCAGAAGATCTTAGGCTGCGCCTCAAGGAGTCACCTCTGGCCGGGGAGAAGGGCTACCTGTGGCTGCAGGGTGTGGAGTGTGGTGGTGGAGGGTGGGCCCTGGAGTCAGCCTCATTTTCATGCCTACTCCAGCTCTGCCATTTCCCACAAGTTCCCTCCCCTTGCCCTGCTTCCTTCCTGCTTTGTGGAATGGGATTGTCACAGCACCGCCCTCGGGACGACGCTGGAAGGATTGAATGAGACAAAGCACATCCAGGGATGAACATCGTAGGAGCCCAAGACATGTCAGCACTTGTTAGGGTCATTATAACTAGAGGTGCCCAGTGCCAAAGCCAGAAGGTTCTCACCAAAGAGGCAGAGACTTGGTGAGAGGAATGTTTGCTTCCGAAATGAAAAAAACCAGGGGGACATATCTTATGGTACAATTTTAGACACTGTTGTCTTCAGCATCTCCCATGGACTTGCCCTGAACTTGGTTTCTCTGGAAGGAAGCAAACTGAGGCTCAGAGCCGCAGCCTTGGGCACGCCTAGAATGTGTGTGTGGGGATGGGGGTGGGTGGAGATGGGATGGACCATTTGGGAAGATGAAAAATACCAGGTATTAGGCAAATGCCCAGGCTCACATATACCCAGGAGGGGCTCTAGGAGTTCTGGAGAGAAAGAGACCATGCAGGAGGCCAAGAAGGGGTCCCAGGGGTGAACTAGGAAGAAGGGTAGGATTCAGGTGCCAGGAGGGAGGAGAAGGGCATTGCAGGTGCAGAATTTGTTCAGGGGACAGCCATGGGAGCAGCTGCCACCTGGTGCGGGACTCCACCCTGACTGAGCTTTGTCATGTGTGCTTACGGTCCTCAGAGCTCACATATGAGGAAACTGAGGCATGGGGAGACTAAGAAACCTGCCTGAGGTCACATAGCTTGTGTCTGGTCTGCTCAGGCTGCCATAACAAAATACCATGGATTGGGTGGCTTAAATAACAGAAATTTATTTCTCACAGTTCTGGAGGTTGGAAGGTCCAAGATCAAGGTGCCAGCAAGGTAAGCTTTATTACCAGAGAGGTTTCACCCTTCTCTTGGCCGTGGGCTGTTGCCATCTCGCTTTGTGTGTGCGTGGAGAGAGGGAATGAGTTCTCTGGTGTCTCTTCTTATGAGGACAATAGTACCCGCCTTGGGTCCACAGGGCCCCACCCTCAGGACCTCATTTAACCTTAATTACTCCCTTAGGGGCCCCATCTCCAAATATAGCCATAGTGGGGGTGATGGCATGTGAATTTGGGGGTCACAAATGTTCAGTTCATAACTTGCTATCGAATCTCTTGGTCCTAGCATTGGTTTAACCAGGCGCCAAGTCGAGATCTGAACCCAGACCACAGCCCTGGCCTTGAGCACACATGTCGGGGGGATGAGTGGTTGGGGCTCCCAGGCTCAGGGGTGCCTGGACAGAGCGAGGTCCTGCCAGAGCCGACGAGAGTCTGGGGTGAGCAGCAGTAGCAACCATGTAGAGGCAGAAGTGGAGGAGGGAGCTTCCCCAGGAAGGTCAAGGATCGATGGAGAGTAAGGAGAGCTGGTCTGGGCAGGACGAGGCACTCATTAGTGGGAGGCCCAGCTGGCCGACTGCTCCAGACCGTGAACTTGGCAAAGGGCAGCCACCCAGGGGCAGAGGGTGGCCTGTCCATGCAGATGGGACTCCCGAGGGGGTCCTGGCCAGATCAATGCGGGCAGCCAGGTCGATGACAGCTCAGCAGGCCCTGGGGGCGAGACTCCGGCTCCCCACACAGGGGGATCATAATAGCACTCATGCTGCATCAGAGCATGTGCTAAGCACTTCCCAGGCCACGGGTGCTATTGCAGAAGCCCTCAGTCAAGTTCAACGCCTTAGGTGTTTCACAAAGCCACCCTGCAAAGCTGCTCTTGCAATCCCCATTTTACAGAGGAAGAAATTGAGTCTTAAGAGAAATCGAAGGAATTTGCCCAATGCTGGGGAGTGGCTCAGACCCAGACAGCCCGACTCCAAACCCCAGACTCTTGATGATGAATTTTTGCAGGACCATCTCTCCTTGGCTGGGGCCTGGGCGCCTGTTTCTCCTGCGGGCTTGGTGGACAGACTGGTGGGCGGTCTTATCCCCTCTCCTTTGGCTGTCTCTGGTTTGGTTTCTTCAGTGAATGGCAGGTGGAGGTGGAGTGCAGAGGGGCAGGAAAGCAGAATTGAACTCCATAAGGCAGCTGAGCAAACAGGCTGGCCTGAGACCCAGTGAGGAAGCTGGGGAGGAGGAGCTGGGGCAACCATTGTGCAGGCGTGTGCACTGGCTGCCATCTCTCCACCCTCATGCCCCAGCTGTGGACTGGCATGGGCCCATAAGGCTTCTCTCCCAGACTGACCCTTACAACTTTGCCCTTTCAGGTCACTGAAACCTGGAGCCCCATGTTGGTGGGGAGGGGTACCAGCCCAGTGTAGATTGTTGTGTACCTACTGAGTGCCAGGCACAGTGGTAGGCACAAGGGATTCTATGGCAGGTTAAACCAGGACAGTCTCTACTTACATGTGGCTTACCGTCAATCAGGGAAGTCTGGCATTCATCACCTAATCCCACACAGCAAGGTGAGATTGTGGCTGGGACCAGCGCTGCGGAGGGGCCACAAGACAGAATAATGGTGGTGGTGGTGTGATCTAGCAAAGAGGATGAGGGAAGGCCTTCCCAAGGAAGCGGCAGTTGAGTTGTGCTCTCAAAGAGAGTAGGTTAAGAAGGAAAGGGAAGAATGTATGGCCTGTGCAAAGTTCCTGTCTGGGGAGGAAACGAGGAGGATGCTGGGGTCTGAAAGAAGGCAGCCAGAGGGCGGGAGCGCAGAGGAGGCGAGAATGGTTTGGGGAGGTGGCTGGAGAGGTAGGCAAGGGCTGGACACACAGGGCCTTGGGGTCATGTGGAGGAGGTGAGGCTTACTCTAAGAGCTGTGGGACATCACTGAAGGAAGGGACCGCATACACTATTTTGTGGATTCTAGAACACACATTTCACCTTTGCTGCCTATGAGACTGATATGCATCTTATAATCCATGGCACCTGGCGGTGTCTTTCTGCGTGGTACATAAAACTGTGGTGTGTCTTACAATCGATCAAAGATGCAGTTTATGGAATGGATGAGAGTGGGATGCTCCAGTTCAAGAGGTGAGGAGCCTGGGGTCCCACGTGCTCAGCTCCCCTCACCATGCAGGAGCCCCGGGTCCCTCTGCCATTCCCAAGACTCCAGAGAACACAATTCGCTTGGAAATTAAGGGTCCTGAGCTTGGACATGTTTTCACAATACATATACCCAGGCGCCACCCCACACATGCCGAATCAGACGCCCTCGGGGGTGACCTGGGAGTCTGCACCTGTCAGAGCTGCTGATGACTCTCATGTGTGCCAGACTTGGGAGCTGCTGGTCTATTTACTCTCCAAGGCCTCAGTCCTGACTTTCCAGGATGCTGTTTCTGGAACATGAGTTTTTAACTTACACAGGACATCATGTACTTTAAAGAGCACCCCACATGCTGCGCACAGTAGGCTGGGTGTGGGACTGCAGACATGGCGCAGCAGAAGTGGCCTGAGGTTGCTTCCCTGACACCTGTGGGAAGGGAGGTCCCAGGAGCCCCTAGAGCTGCCCTGCTCCAACAGCCTTTTCTATGCCAGCAAATCTTTTTCCTGAAAACCTTTCTACAGGCAATGGAAGGGTTGCTTGTCCCCATCCTGGTTCCCACCCTTTCCTCTGTCTTTATCTTCACTTTTTTTTTTTTTTTTTGCATCATCTGGGACAAGGGCAGCTGAGTTGGGGGACCCCAGGCTCCTCCCATCTACAACTGAACAGAATCAAATAACCACACACACTCTTTGTTTTCAGGGCAGTTGCTTTTGGCTGGGTTGTGGCTAATATGGGTCACAGGAGTCACCCAAGTGATGAGGATCAATAGCAGATCCAATTTTTCCTGCTTCAATTTTAGAGCATTTCAGGTTCACATTAGTTTGATGCAATTGAACAGAAAAGCAGCTGAGCAGCTGCCCAGATCCCAGAGGTCGTGCTGGGAGCTCCCCATTTTGTGGAAATGAACCTGCAAAGTCCTCTTCTCCCAGATGGGCCTCTGAGGCCTGCCAGGGCCATATAGGGGTCCTCTGCCCCCTTTCCTGCCCCAGGTAATCCCTCTGCTGGAGGAAGGAGGAAAGCAGTGGAGGGTGGGGTGGATGGCACAGCCAAGGCAAGGGGGTGCTGGGAAGATGGCCTGGAAGCTGCTTCTCTTCTTACCCCCAAACCAGGGTGTGGGGTCACCCTGGGCAGATGTAATTCTGCAACCTGCTTGCTAAATGCAGACAAAGGAGCTCATCTGTTTATTTTTAGTGCCTGGCAGCTGCCTGAGTCTCTGACAGGCTTAACAGTTCTGCTGCCTGGAGGAGGCTGTGTTGTGAGTGTGCGTGGGGTGGAGGGTGATTTTGGGGTCCCCAGATTTATCTTCCTTTCACAGGGCAGACATGTGGTTTACATGCTCACCATCACGACACCACACAATTGTCCCCAGTTCCTCAGACTTCAGACCTGGGATGAGGAGTGCAGAGATATATAAGGAAGGGTGTTCATTTCAGCAAAGGCCTGGAACTAACTGAAATGTCCATTAAGAGGGGAACAGTGGTTCATCCGGACAATGGAATCATAGTGGATAAACAGAATCTAGTGACATGAAAATGCACCAATCTGGAAAAATCTCCAAGACAGACTGCTAAGCAGAAAAATTAATAATAAAGCAGCACGACTGGCATGATGCCACTCTGTAAGAAAATGCATGACTATGTTTGAACCAGTGCACATCCACACAGCTCCGCCTCCGTAATCTTGGGAAAAGGATACGAAAGATTCATATGCTATGTTTGGAGGCTTTTACTTCTTCGTTCATGTACTTGACAAAAAAGCTATGGGAGTATGGGTATTTAGCCTTAGCCTTTCTGTTTTCTTTTCAGTATAAAATCTGCAATAGCTAAGAATTATGGTAGATGTGTATACATAAATATGGAAAGATTTCCACACTACTAAAAAAAGGCACATCAGAGAAAAATGTATATGGCTTGGCGCTATTTCTGTAAAGTAAATCCTACATATGTCGATCTCTGTGATATCCATGTGGAGTTTTTTTAATGCACATAAAAGGGTCTGTAGAATAGACACCAACCTGCTAGCGGGGCTCACCTGCTAGGAGGGGCAGGGGATTGTAGAGAGGAGAAGAAGGTGAAGGGAACTGTCACTTTTTAACTCCTAGGGCTTGTGACACCATCAGAACATAGGGACCCTGAGAAATGGGGACACATGGGCAGTGAGGAGGGGTGTGGGGCTCAGAGGCCCTGGTGATGGCGATGGTGATGGGAGACAGGTGGCTGGGGTGACTGTCTGTCTTTGAACTTCACGTCCTGGGATCTTCTGCTGCTCCTCCTGCTGCCTCGGAGACTCAGGGGCCAGGAAGGGAGGGGGACACTGTAGGGAGACTGCGTGTGTATGGTGGGGTGGGGAGCAGGTACGGGGGGCTTCTCCAGGGGCTGGCCCCTGCCTGTCCCTGAGGTTGGTGAGTAGCTAGGGGAGCTCTGAAGTCCTAACCTGCTCCCAGTTCTTCCTCCTCTCCCAGCCCTTTCTGGTGACCAGGGCAGGCAAGCATGGCCTTGGACGCTGGCTCTCGCCCCAGGGACTGACCATGGCAGACACATCCACAGCCCCTTTTCAGAGCCCTAATAAGTCATTCGTGTCTACCCACAGAGGCTGGACCTGGCCCTTGGCTGATACCAGCCACTCACAAGTCCCCAGGGCCTCCTGACTGCCCCTAAACTCCACTGAATAAATGAATAAGTGAAATGAGAGGAATAACAGATCTGCTGGTCACCTGGGGAACTGGAAGCAAAGAGAATCCTAGGGGGCCCATGGGCTAACGGTCCAGCTCTGAACAGGAGGGTGGACGCTGGGATGAGAGGGCGAGGAGAGGGCCCAGCTATCCCAGCTCTGGGGTGGAGAGCATGGTCCCAGCAGAGCCAGAGGAGTAAGGAAGGGTTCACAGGACTGGGTCGGGGGGCCACAGCACAGGGTTCCTGCCGTGTGCCCAGCCTGGGGCTGCTACTTTGCTGTGAGGACAGTGTCCCGATGGGCTAGGTCCAGGGAAACCTCAAAGAGGCTGTCGGGAAGGACTGTGTCTGGAGGGGCCAGTCTCTTGTAGCAAGTGGGTGCTACTCCTGGCCTCTCTGCTTTCTAGCTGTGTGACCTTTGGTAAAGGACTTCATCTTCTGAGCCCTAGCTTTCATCATCTATAAAACAAGGGTAATCATGGCACCTCCCTCACAGGCCTGTTTAGGATTAAAATGAGAGGCTGTATTTATTTAAAGTGCTTTGTGCAGCCCCCAGCATTTATTAAGGGTTGAATAAATGGCAGCGATTCTCCCTGCCCTCCACCTCATTCATATGAATATTATGGATTCGGGGTCTCGGAAATGCACAGCTACTCAGGGGGCTAGGCTGGATGATTCAAGGACAGGATTTCATGAGGGGAGAGGCTGGATGGGGACTTCTGAAGGCATTCTCTAAAGAGCTGGTGCCCAGGAAACGCTGCCTCCCTGGGAGCCACACACTGTTGTGGGTTTGGGTCTAGGCCCCGCCAGCCTTGCCCAGGACGAGGTCAGAGCTGGTCAGTGGCACATGGAGTTGTGTGCAAGTGTGGGTCTGCAGAGCAGCTGGGTGAGTGGGGAGGGCTTTCATGCTCTGGGGCTGAGGCCGGGGTGTCTGATCCTCCTGCTCCAGCCCTGGGGTTGGGAGCTCAACAGCCACTTCCTCAAAGAATCTTCAAGGGGCCATGACCTTGACACGATGCTGCCTGACCTGAGCAGGGATTCCCATGAATGCCTCCTTGAAGCCATGTGCAGTGGGATGGACAGATCAAGGCAAAACCTTGGCCCAGGAGCCGAGGCGGGTGGTGTGGGAGCCAGCATTCCCCAGAGGACGTCCTGCGTGGCCCCTTTGGTAGCAGCCTTGAAAAATAGAAAGTGGAAAAAAACAGCCCCCACATTAACTTGCAGGTGAGCAAATGGGCCTGGGAGGGGTGGGCCTGGGAAGGAAAGCATTTCTTCCTAAACCTGGAACCTGGCCTCCTTCAGGGACCTGGCCTCCCTGAAGGAGGCCAGCTCTAGGCCAGGCTGGTCACTTCCCTGAGTCTCAGCGTCCCCATTTGTGACACGAGCTTCACAGCTGGCCTAATCTCCCCAAAGATAAAGCTTTTTGGAACATGTAAGCCTCAGTTTCTGCATCTTTAAAATGGGGAAAATCATAGCATGCACCTCAGGGGCTGTAGTGAGAGTTAACGAGTTGATGTAAAGCACCAAGGCACCAGGCCCAGCCCGAAATACCAGACCGTGTCCAAAGCAAAGGCGGTGGGGATTTCCCCCGTCCCCTCCATTTTACAGAGGAGCAAATGAGGCTCAGAGAAAAGTGGTTTGGCAAAGCTCACCAGCAAGGCGTGGGTGCAGCTGAGACTGGTCACTGGCCCACTACCCTGCACCTCCCGGGCCCCACCCCAGGCCCTCCTTTGTCTCCCGGGGCTGGCGTCAGCAGAGTGCAGGCCCCTGTGGACCCACAGAAGTAACGCAGGTGACAGCTCACACCCACCCCACCCGCTGTCACCTCCTCAATTCCCAGCTCCAGCCCCGGGTGGACCTGTGGTCTGGACCAGCTGGACTCCTGTGGCTGGTGGTTGAGACCCCAAAGCCACAATCAGCCAGGCTATTGATTGAGGGACCCCTGCATGGTGGGACACTGAAATGGGTGGCAGGGCCGGGCCCAGCCCTCCAAGAAAGCAGTTTGTCTCTGCTCAGCCTTGTGGTCGTGGGCAGGGGGCTGGGCTTTGGAAACCCAAGGGGAAGCAGGCCAGGGGCTCTTTGCCAGTGGTCAGTGATGACAATAGCCAACACTTATTGGGCCCACACTCCACCGTTAACCTTTTCCCAGATGAGCTCATCTAATCCTCCTGGTTCTTGGAGGTAGGTAGTACCATTCGCCTCACTTTACAGGAGGGGAGACAGGAATGCATTGAATACCCTGCCCTGGGTCATACCACAAGGCAAACAGCAGAACCAGGGTTTGAACCCGGGCCATCTGGCTCCAGAGCCTGAGCTATTTGTGCCTACTCTACAGGGAAACCAGGGCCCATTAGAGGCCCATCCTTGAGGGGGGCAGAGGCAGCTCCTTGACTGGAGAGAATCAGAAGCCACTCAAGGCTCATGTGGATTAGTACCCACAAGGCCTGTCCCTGCGGCGGAGGCCTGAGCTGAGCCCCCAGGGACTCCACATCAGGCAGTTGGTGCCTTGGTCCAGCAGCAGGGCTTTGGGGCCAAAAGGCATGGGCTGCGTGAACTGGGATAGGCTCCCTACCCTTAGTTTGGAACAGACTAAAATCTCTGCTCTCACGAAGAAACCGAGCACTATGAGGGAAGATCCTGCTAAGGGGTCATGACTGCTTTCTGGGATAACATGGAAATCCAGGTGTGCTCTGACTGCTTTTCTGTCCCAGAAAGGTGGGGCAGGAGATGCCTTCCCCAGAGGTCCAGGGACCCAAACTCCAATAGGCCTGTCCAGCGGTGTCCAGCAGCCTAAAGCCTGGGTCACAGGACCCTCCTGGCTGATGGAGGCCACCCACTCCCTAGCCTGTTGAAGTTGACTCTTTCCTCCTTCATTTCTTCCTTCCCTCCCCATCCCTTCCCTCCCCATCCCTTCCCTTCCCCTCCCTTCTTCCTTCTTCCTTCCTTCCTTCCTTCTTCCTTCCTTCCTTCCTTCCTTCCTCCCTTCCTTCCTTCCTTCTTCCTTCCTTCATTTCTTCCTTCCCTTCTTTATTTGTCTTATACCAAGAATAGTCAAGACACTATTTTAAAATTGGGGGCAGGGCGCAGTGGCTCACGCCTGTAATCCCAGCACTTGGGGAAGCCAAGGCAAGCAGATCACGAGGTCAATAGATCGAGACCATCCTGGCCAACATGGTGAAATTCTGTCTCTACTAAAAATACAAAAATTAGCTGGGTGTGGTGGTACGCGCTTGTAGTCCCAGCTACTCAGGAGCTTGAGGCAGGAGAATCGCTTGAATCCGGGAGGCAGAGGTTGCAGTGAGGCAGAGGTTGCAGTGAGGTGAGATCGCACCACTGTACTCCAGCTTGGCGACAGAGCGAGACTCTGTCTCAGAAAAAAAAAATTAGGGTATAGTTTACATATAATAAGAGTCACCCTTTCTAGTATATAGTTGGATGAGTTTTGAAAACATATACAGTTGTGAGAACATTTCCATCACCCCCAACAGCCACCCCACACTCCTTTGTTGTCAATCAGTTTCCACCCCTGCTACCTGGCCACTGGCCGTCACTGATCTGCCTTCTGTCATGATAGCTGTGTATTTCCTAGAATTTCATATGTACTGAATCCTATATGATGTGTGCTTTTGTGTCTGGCTTTTCCACTTAGCATAATGCTTCTTTAGGGGACTATAATTCATTTGAGTTCATTTTTATAGATGGTGTGAGGTAAGGTCCAAAGTTGCTGCTGTTGTTGCTGTTTTGCATACAGAGGGCAGAGGATTTTTCCCAGGCCTTGAAACCTGATGGAGTTTGTCTGATTGGATTTTGAAATTGCTTGGGACTGGTGACTCCTTTTTTCCTTCCATTTTCTCCCTATTTGAATGGAAATGTCTATAACTGTTGTCTTATGCTGTCCCACCACTGTATTTTGGGAGCAGAAAGCTTGTTTTCTAGTTTCACAAATCTGCACATCCAGAGGAATTTTGCCCAGAACTGATTATATCCTCAGCCCCACCCATACCTGAGACTTTGCAGATGTGATGAAGGATCTTGAGATAGGGAGAATATCCTGGATTATCCTTTTCAGATGGATGCAGGAGGAGTCGGAGCTGGAGGAAAAGGCGATGTGATGACAGAAGCAGAAATTGGAGCGATGCACTTTGAGATGGAGGAAGAGGCCACAAGCCAAGGAATGCAGGTGCCTCTAGAATCTGATAAAAAGAAAGGGAATGGTTTTCCCTCAGAGCCTCCAGGAAGAAACACAGCCCTGCTGACACCTTATCTGTCTCAGGGAAAAATCTGAAATCTTGACCTCTGTAGCTGTGTGACAATAAATTTGTATTGCTTAAAGCCACAGTTTTTTTTGTGGTAATTTGTTTTGGCAATAACAGGAAACTAATGATGGCAGCAGCGGGCCATCTGGAGGGGCTGCTGCCATCACACCGGCTTCATCAGGGAGGCATGGCTGGGGCTGCATTCTCCATGGAGCTGGCAGGAGCCAGGGACAAGCAGGAGCTCCACCCCCTTCTGAGTTGGGGCGGGATCTCCGCTGGTACCACTGCAGCCACCCCAACCATGGCTGCGGACCCGGGCATCCCTGTGCTCTCGGGACCTGGGAGCAGGTGGGAGCCCCACTCTCCTGGGCGGAGCCACAGCTGCCCAAACTGTGGGTGTGAACCCAGGCATCCTTGCATTCTTGGGGACCCAGGAAGGGGCTCCCTGCCTTCACAGGCTCAGAAGTGCCCGCTCCCACTGCCTGGATTCTTTCTACTGTCGGTGCCTGCTCCGATCTCAGAGCAATGTGGGGCCAAGCCTGTGTGCTATCACAGCCAGGCCAGCGGTGCACACACTTGGGGCAGCACTGACATTCTGGCTCCCTGCTGCCTTGGCCCCCTCCAGACTTTGGGCACTGACAAACGTTGGGGAGGAAGCTGAGGGGGTTGCTGAGGGTGGGTCGACGCTGGCCTGCAGGTGCCCATTGGTGGGTGCAAGCAGCCTGGGGGCCATGAACAAGCCTGGGAGCAAGAGGCAGACAGGCCAGGGAGGGCTGCCATCTGCCTTCAGAGAAAAGCAACCCACCCCAGGTCCTCCTCTCTGCTGAGAGGACAAAGAGACGATAGGATGACCAGCTGTAGAGAGGAGCTAGCCTCTCTGCTGAGAGCCGCAGAGACAACAGAATAACCTGCCTGCAGAGAGAAGCCACCCCCTCTAGGGCCTCCTCTCTGCGGAGAGCTGCAGACAACAGGATGGCCAGCAGCAGAGAGAAGCAACCCTCTCTGCTGATAGCTGAACACTTGTCAGGACAACTAGCTGCAGAGAGGAGCTACCCTCTCTGCTGAGACCTCAACACTTGTTGGAACCTGCCTGCAGGAACTACACGCTCTGCTAGGAGCTGAACACTCATCGAGACACTCTGGCTGCAGAAAGGAGCTACCCATGGCAGGTCTCCTCTGAGCTGCGCTATTGCTCAGTAAAGCTCCTCTTCCTTTTGCTCACCCTCCACTTGTCTGCATACTTCATTATTCTGGATTGCAGGACAAGAACTCAGGACCTGATGAATGGCAAGGCTAAAGAGCTGTAACACAAACAGGGCTGAGATATGTCCCTTGCTCGCCATGCCACAGGCAAAGAGGAGAGAGGAGCTGCAGCCCTTCAGGGAGCTCAGGCCTGGGTGCTCCCTGAGCCAGACCTATGACTCCCTCCTTGGGTCCCTGTGGTTCCTGGCATCTCCAAGCTTCCAGGTGCCACTATGTTCCCAGTGCCAGCTGTGGATGCTGCTTGCAATGCACCTGGTCCAACCACAGACTCACAGAAAGCTGGCACTGGTGCTGGCACCTGGAGCTGCCTGCCCCACTGCAGCAGCCACACAGAGGTTTCCGGCCAGAAAAGTGACACCCCAAAGATCCCGTAGCACTAATACACCAACTCAAATTTGAAGAAGAATATTAAGAAAGCCTTGTCTTTTTAGAGACGATGGCTTATTATAAAGTGTAGTGATTCAAGGAGGATGTTCAAAAAATGGAAGAGAGAACCTCTGAACGCACCCACTTATAAATGGGCACTTCGAACGTGGAAGACGTCAGCATTTACAGAGCAACCTATTTAATAAAGAAATGGTGCTAGGCTAACTGGCTCTTCACACAGAAGAGATAAAATGCTATTCCTACCTCACACCAAACATAACGTACATTTCAGATGACCCAAAGCCCTGAATGGGAAAGAGCAAAATTTAAAATTTTTAGAAGAAAGTAATTATTCATGACATTGGGGGTACAGAAGTCTTAAAACAAAAACAAAAACAAACTAGATACAAAATTGAAATAATAAAATAAAAAATTAATAGTTAAGACTACATCTGTATTGAGCATATACTATGTATCAAGCATGATCTGCTCCACACTGCCACCAGAGCCACACATCTGACCACACCTGTGCCTGATTGAAGCCTTCTGAGCAGGGTGGTGCCCAGCCCACCAGGGGCAATGCAGGCCTACTTCTAGAGCAAAGGTTCCCACCCTCTCCTGAAGGCATCACACCCCACACACCTTCATTGCTTTCCGGCATTCCTTAAATACAACACCCTCTTTCGTGTCTCTAAGCCTTTGCACCTGCTCTTCCTTCTGCCTGGAGTGCATTCTCTTATTCACCACCTGGACAACTCCAGTGCATCCTTAAACGCCCAGCTCAGGTATCATGTCCCCAGGAAAGCATGCTGGCTTGCTGCGGGACTACTGCCTGCAGGACAACAGGCAATGTTGCAGTTCTCTCATCTCCACAAGCACTTACCTGGTGCTGTTCATTATGAAGTCTTTGCTGCTGCTTCCATTATGAGGGAGGTCCCTGGGGGTGAGGTGGGATGATGCATAACGTGATAGTTGAGTGTTGGCTCTGGAGACAGACAGTCCTGGGGAGAAATTCCAGATCTGCCATATTCTTGACAATGACCTTAAGCTTTCTGAGCATTTGTTTCTGTAGAGTGGGGCAGCAGGCCCACCTCCCAGGGGTGTTGTGAAGGTGAGATGAGATGACATGCGATGTGTTCATACCTGAGTTTGGGCTGATCTGAAAGCAGACCCTGCAACTCACACTAGGATGTGAGTTGCAGGTAGTTCATTTATGATCCCAAGGAGTACCTGTAAGGGGGTGGGGAAGAAACCAGGGAGGAATATGCATTAGCCAGCAAGTTATAGCTGTGGGCAACCGGGGCTCCATCCCACTGGGGACCCTGGGAAGACAGCGTAGAACACACCTGAGTGACCCCAGCTGAGCGGGGAGGGAGCTGAGTGTGTATTCCTCGGCTCTGTTCCAACATTGCTTGAGGGTCACTCCTAGGTGTGTGCTAACTCCCAGGACTCTGGCTTGCCCCCAACCACTGACCAGAGAACATTGTTGTGGGGCAGGGGGAGTTGCAGGTGCTGTGGTTGGAAGCTTTCCCATGGGCATGAGCCACAGGAATAACCAAGGCACGCGGGCGGCACTGCCATCTGCTGCAACCACGCATGCACCTGTGCGCAGTCACCAGAAGTTGCCCATTTGTTTTCTCATTTGTTTCCACAACCATCCTGGGAAAGGCATTCTGCCCATTTACAGATCAGGAGACTGAGGTCCAGAGAGGTTACCTAAGAAGACATTTGTTGAATAAATGAATCAATGAACAAGTGAACGCACAGACCTCTCTGAAGTGGTGAATTAAGTCAATCTGAGAAGATGAGAATCCAAGAGTCCCGATTCCCAGCTGAGGCTTGCATTCTCTCCCCTCATGCCCAGCTATCTCTGCACAGTGCTCTGCCGTCTCGAATCCCTTTCCACTCAGTAATCACTGAGCCAGTGGTGACTCCATGTTCAGGCTCAGGGGGGAAGCCCACTGGTGTAGGAGATTTGAGTTCTGGTCCTGGCTGTGTCTTCATCTGCGCTATGATGTTGGGTATGTCCTGGCCCCACTCTGGGCTCAGTTTTTCCATCTGTTAAATGGGAATGGGTGGATGTTAGATCAGCTAAGTCCCCCAGGCTGTTGGAACAGTGGGGAGGCTTTGGGTTGGGTTGCCCAGACTTGCCAGGTCTGGCATGGGAGATGGAGGGAACTGATGTGTCCCCTCTGCCCAGCATCCTGCTTGACAGGGCTGGCAGCTCAGTGGTTACAGCATCTCCTGATTTGGCCACACCTGGCTCTGAGGTCAGATTTTGGCCTGATGCAACGCTGGTGGCAGGCTTCACTCCGCAGACACACACTTCTGACGCTGGCCATGTTTGAGTCCTGACTTGGGCCTATTTGCTCTTTGACCCTGGTGATGGATGAAGTCCTGATTTGAACATAAACCGACGGCTGTCCCTTGTCACAGACTGATCCCTCAGCCAAACCATACACTGACTCCTGCCGGGGTACCCACTGACTCCTGATCCAACCACAAACCTCTGGCCCAGGCTGACTGCTGACCTTGGCCCCACGCTGACCACTGGGCAGCGGCTGGGCAGCCTGAGATTAGTCACTGGTGTTCCTCAGCCACTCTCCCCTGCTGGTGGACTTGAGATACAGCCCTTGTAAGTAGGAGAGTCCCCTTACTCTAAAGGGGACACACTGGACGAGACAGCAGGAGGCACTATTGACTGGGCCTCTCTGTCCCACCATAGCCGAGCACTGCCACCCAGGCTGGCTCTGCCTCCCCCAGGCTGGGATTCATCACCCGTGCTTGGTTCAGTAGCCTTTCTGGAGACTGCATCGTGCCCCAGTCCTTTGGGGTCCCTGAACTTTGGGGGTGCCAGAAGTGATGCATTCCATTAGAAACTAAAGAACCTTGAGTTACTCTCGGAAGAGCTCTGGTATGGAAGGCAGAAGACCGAGGCATGAATTCCAGCTATGCCACAGACTCACTGTGTGACTTTGAGCATGATCTTTCTGGGCCTCAGTTTCTCCATCTGCCCTGCCTCTTCCCTGCCAGATGTAGAAAGTGCTCCTTAACTAGGGGCATCTATGAAATGGGAACAACAGCGATTTCTAACTCAAGGTTGAATGAGATGAATCAAGGAGACAGTTGCCTCAGGGCCTTTGCACGGCTATTGTCGCTGCCTAGAATGCTCTTCCCCCAGACACCCACATGGTTCTTTCTGCTTTCTGCTTAAATGTCATCTCAGGGAACCTCCCCTGACCACACAGCTTAAAGTACTAACACCTTCCCCAAATGCCTTCTCTCCTCCTCCTAATTAATTTTTCTCCAGAAGTTATTATATGATCACTGGCACACACTGTATGCTTTTATTTTGCTTATTATCTTTCTCTCATGTCCAGAATATAAGTCTCATGAGGTCAGGAATTTTTGTCTGTTTTGTTCACTGTTGTGATCCAGCACCTAGCACACAGGTGCATAGGAGATGCTCAGTAAATATATAAATGAATGAATGAGTAAATAATCCATGTAAAGTACTTAAACTGCAGCACCCAGCACTAAGTACTTAATGCATGGTACTTGTTGTTGTGATGATTGTTGTCACCAGTGGGTGATGGCAAGGAGTTGGATCTTGTCTTTGAGACAGTGGAGCCCCACCTCCTCCTGGGAGCCTTCCAAGACTACTACCGTCCAAGCCTACCACACTCACTCAGAGCTACAGGGGTTATTGCATGGGGCAGCTGAACCAGCCGTTGACTTGAAATCAGCCAGTGTGGACTCCAATGGCAAGGTTACATCCCCTTGCTAAGCCTCAGTTTCCTCAGCTGTCAATGAAGGTGAATACAAGTACCTACCCCATAGGATGGTGTGGCCTAAAAGAAGTGGAGCATCACCAGTGCTGAGTGCAGTGCTGGTTGCATGGGGTGGCCATTGGCTGTAATTCCTGGAACTCCGGCACATGAGCTCTGTGTTCTGTTCTGGGGCCATCTTGCCTCATCCTGTGGCCTGTGAGTCCCTGGAGGGACTGGAACCTGGTGCTCTTGGTCCCTTGCTACCCCAGCAGCCTGTGGTCAGACCTGGGCCTATAAGGTGGAGATGCATCCTCATGGCAGGGGGATTGACAAAATCGAGACTGTGCATTTGCGTACTGCCAGTCACAGACACCAGGGGGCGGCCTGGCTATGTGTGCGGGGGGGTGGGGAGGGGAGGGAGGGGAATGGGGCTGGGGCATAAGGTGGGGTGGGGTGGGGTGGGGTAGGGTAGGAGGGATGGTAAGCAGGGTTAGGGGTTTGCCCTGGCTGGTAACTTTCAACGTCCCTCTTCCAGAGCCCACCTTGTCTTGTTTTGACAGACAGGGAGATGTCTGGTCTATCTTCCCATCTGTCAGCTGTTTTTTGAGTTCTGGTTGGGAAAGAGCCCAGGAGACCTAGGTTCTTCAGCCTGGCTTTGCCACTCACTTGCTGCATGACCTTGGGCAACGACCTTTCCCTTTCTGAACCTCAGTTTCCTCAGCTGTCAAATAGAAAATACCAGCCATAGTGTCCCATCATGTGGTAGGTTCCAAGGTTTGTCTCAATTTTGTTTTTAATCAATAAGTGCATTCATGCCTGCCACAAAGTATTGCCTCCTCTTCCTCCTAATTCCTTCTTCCTGGCTGATGGCCGATCTCACCCTATTATACATGTTGCCCTCTGTTGGCTGGCAGTAGAACTACAGCTTCCGATACTGCCCTCAAGTGCGGCTCAGGGGAGGAAGGAAGAGGTGCCGGGGGAAGGGTTTGAAGCCCAGTGTTACCGATCAATTCACTTATTCAGCTAACATTTATTGAGCCCTTACTGTATACCAGGCCTGGTGATAGGCTCTGAGAACACAGCAGCGCAAATGATATGGCCCATGCCTTCAAGGAGATCACAGTTACTTGCAGGTTTGCACACCTGGGATTTTCTTTGGCGTGTCCCATGCTCCTTCCATCTGACAGTGAGTGTAGTGGTTAGGTGCGTGGACTCTGCGTGTTGGGATGTCTGAGTTCAAATCTTGGCCTTGCCAT
Source organism: Homo sapiens (assembly GCF_000001405.40). Lineage (NCBI taxonomy): Eukaryota > Metazoa > Chordata > Mammalia > Primates > Hominidae > Homo > Homo sapiens. Next base: position 25,036,994 of record NC_000001.11, on the reverse strand, counting down.
TTACTAAGTGCCTGGCCTTGGATAAGCTATTTCACTTCTGTACCTTTGTTTCCTCGACTGCAAAATAGGGATAATAATACTACCCACCTCATAGGGTTACTACAAAGGTTGAATTAGTTCATATATCTAAAGTAATTAAAACAGTGCTTGATCAGTGGTGCATAGGTGTCAGCTAAAATAATATATAGTAAATATTTGTTGAGAGATAGAGGGACCAATATGTACATTTCTCCTACCATCCCCAAGGGGGTCTGATGTGAAGGTCAGGTCAGTTAAGCTCATTTTGCAATTGGCATTTTCCATTCGGAATGTCCTCACCTGCCTCAGAGCACAGAGGTTCATTTTCACCCACCCTTGGCTGGTCCCACAGGGTTCTGGGTGAAGCCTGAGCTGGGTATCCCAATTACCAGCAGGGTAATGGTAGAAGCAAGATGATTAGCTCAGTCTCTAATGCAGACCATGTGTCAATGGCGGTGCTGGCAGTGCTTGTGGTTATGGTGTTGATGGTGGTGGTGGTGATGATGGTGTTGATGGAGATACTGGTAGTCTGATAGTAGTGCTGGTGTCAATAGGGATGGTGGTGATGGTGGTGTTGATAGTGATGGTAGTGATTGTAGTGGTGATGACGTTGATGATGATGCTGGTAATCAGATAGTAGTGCTGGTGTCAGTAGTGACGGTGGTGATGGTGGTAGTAAGAGTGGTGTCAATAGTGATGGTGGTGATGGTAGTGGTGGTGGTAATGATGGTGGTGCTGATGCTTGTAATGGTGTTGATTGTGGTAGTGATGGTAGTGCTGGTTATGGTGTTAGTGGTGATGATGGTGGTGTTGGTGGTGGTGTTGATGATGTGGATGGTGGGGATGGTGTTGATAGTGGTGATGGTGGTAGTGGTGGTGATTCCAGTGGTATTAGTGATGGTGGTTGATAATGATGCTAGTGGTGATGGTAGTGATGTTCATGGTGATGATGGTAGTGTTGCTGGTGATGGTGATTATGGTAGTGCTGATGATAATGGTGGTGTTGGTGTTGATGGTGGTGCTGGTAGTGATGGTGGTGTTGATGGTAGTGGTGGTGGTGTTGATGGTGGTAACAGTGATGCTAGTGGTGACTGTGGTAGTGTTGATAGTGGTGGTGCTGGTGATGGTAGTGGTGCTGGTGGTGATGATGGTGGTGGCGATGGTGGTAGTGCTGGTGGGAGCTCTGGGGTTTGGTTCAGGAGACCTAACCTCTTCTCCTGGGTGAGCTCACTCTTCCAGCCACAGCTACCATCAATGTTCTGGGACAGGAAGATGGGATAGAGTCTCCCTCTGAACTCTCCAGAGACCTTTTTTGAACCAGAAAAAGGAAGTCATCATTGGAACATCAACTACCCTTCCTTATCCTGCCTGTAAGAACTGTGAGGTAATTTTTTCTCTGTGCCTCAACTGCCTCATCTGGGAATGGGAAAAGGGAAAAAGCATCCTGGTCCTGAACATGTTATTTTTGTCTTTGAGAATCTGATGAAACCTGACCCTCCTCCTTGGGAAATGCAGATAATGTGTGTATATGAACACACACACACACACACACACATACATACACACACACACACATACATACACACACACACATATCCCATAATTCCACATGGGATTTGCGGTTCCCAGCTCTTCTTTAGGTCCATGGACTCTCATTCTGTCCCCACGATGGGCTAGCCTCTACCTCCTCTGCCAGCTCTGCCATCCTGAGGCCCACTCTCCAGAAGCCTGAGCTGGGACTGGGCAGTGGTGCCAACAGCATCAGGAAGCCTGCTGCTGGAGGGCTGCTCCGGGCCCCGCCCAGCCTCCCCCTTACCCCTTGGCTGCACCACAAAGGCTGTTTGGGCTCCGGGGTCTGTGGAGGGCTCTGCCAGCCTGCAGTAGACGGGGGTTTGGGTGCCACAGTGTCAGTGGCAATGGCGTCTCTGGCTGCTGATGTGGGAGAGGTGACTTCACACGCAGCTCCTCCAAGAGCACGGCCTCCAGTGACTCAGTGGAATCAAGGAAAGAGATTTGCCACCTCTCACCCAATGGGGGGAGGCAGGGGTAGAGGCAAGCAAGAGGAGTCCTCCCCTCAGGAGGTGCCAGACCCCACTCCTTGCATATGGAGTTCAGGGGAGGGGCAGCAAAGAACGGGAACCCTTGAGATCTGAGTTCCAGTCTACCTCCAGCAAGAAGCCCTTCCTGTTCACAACACAGTACGGAGCATCTGCGCGCCCCAGGAGCCCTGGGAGACGAGGTTTGCTGTCTTGTAGGAAAAGGCCCAGGGGCCTTGGTTGACTTGGCCAAGGTCCCATAGCTAGGAAGGAGCTGAGTGAGGCTTGGGCCAAGTGCTACCTCCCAATGCAGTGCTCTTTCCAGAACCTCACGGCCCTGCTACCCACTGGCTGTGGGACCGGGGACAATCTCCCTCCTTTCCCACCTGCCTCCTCTGTAAGGACTCTTCGGGGACTTTCCAGCTCTGGCCTTTCAGGACTCCCCATTTTCACTGTCCCTCTGAGGCGGCGGGTGGTGGGTGATCACCCCATTTAACAGACGAGGAACAGGTCCAGACGGGGAAGCAACTTGGCTGAGGCTTCAGGGCGAGGAAGTGGCAAAGCGGGGCTGAGAACCCAGGTCTGTGGACCCCCAGCCACAACATCAGGGGCCCCGGCCGGACCCAGGCTTCTAAGAATGCAGTGCTGGTCCCAGAACCTGAGAACAGGGACTTTCAGGCTGGCTGGTTCCCAAGTGTGAGTGCAGGAGGGCCTGGCTCGGCAGGGGGTGGGAAGGGGCCAGCCACTTCCTGCTGGGGCTGGTGCGGTCCCCATGCGGTGGCCATCAGAAGCTGGCCACTTCCTGGTCTGGGCTGCCTTCCCCTTTCTGAGCCTGGGAGGGAACGAAGGAGCGGAGTGAGGTGCCCTTGCGTGCTGCGGCCTGGACGACGTCTGGCCTCTTTTCATTTCCCCTGCATACCGCTTCGCTCTCCACAGCCACCAACGGTCGGAAGCTTCTGGGAGCTGACTGCCAGGTCCCCTGTCCACAGCCGAACCCCTCCTGCCTACGGGCTTCCTCCTCCCTGGGGCTCAAGGGACTCCTAGCCCTGCTGGGGGTCTGCCCACCAAGGGCCTAGAATGAGGCATTGTCGTTTGTACCGAGGCTGAGAGGTGGCCATCGGTCTGAGGTTACACGCACAGCCAATAAGTGGCAGAGCTGTAATTGGAGCTCAGATGTGTCTGACTCCAAAATCCACATCCTTTGCATATTTAACAACCCCCTGTCCCCTCAGAGGAAGTCTGACCAGAGGAGGCTTGGACGAGGGGACATGGAATGACCCTGCTAGACACTGACCTCTGAGGCCAGTGATGGGACCAGCTTCTCCTTCCTGTTAGATCCTGGAACCCAGCCTGGTGCATGCCCCAGAGCAGGTGCTCGCGACACTGGCAGAAACACAAAAGGCATCCTGACTGTTCCTGTCCAGCTCCTGACACTCATGAGCACCTGCTGCATACCAGGCCTGGGCGTGGAGACACAGGACCAAGGGAGAAGACCTTGCCCCAAGATCGGTGGCCATCTTCCGTACCAGGCTTAGTGTGGACAATGTTTAAATGCACCTCAAATTCCACATGCAAGAGAGATCCTTTAAGTCCTTCCAGCAGGAAAGCCAGACCTGGGTTGCACAGGGACCCCCTCTGGTGCAACAAGGAGGTAGCAGGGTGTGAGGATGAAGAACGTGGAGCCAGGCAGGCCTGGGTTCAGATCCCAGCTAGACGAGCCTAGGGTGGCCTTGGGGAAGTGACTTCATGTACCTCAGTTTCCTCACCTGTAGAATGGGAATCAAACCATAGAAAGTGCCTTACAAGACCTCCCTTCAACCCACTCTGGATTAACAAACACTCTCCCTGTCCTTTGAAAGAGAGGCTAGTAGATGCCACAGCTTCCTGAATGTTCCAGGCAGGCCGGCCGCTGCTATTCCCACCTAGGCGGCTCCTCTGACTCAGTGAGGCTTCTTCCCAGACCTGCAGCTGCTGGCTGTAGTGGCCGAACCAGGGAGACCAGAATGTGAATGGGAAAGAGAGTCGTGTCACAGAAAACCAAGAAAGGACTTTGCAAAGGCCCAGTTATAGGCGAGTTGTCAACGGAAGAAAAAAAAAAAGTGCTGCCAAATGAGGTGTGGGCAAGACAGCCATAAAAGACTGGGGAAGACAATAGTTAAAATCCGTCACAAACTTTCATTGAATTAGGTGTAGACTAAAACTGGAGGGAGGGGGTGATTATTAAAAATCCAGAGGGAGTCTAGGGAGTCTGTGCTCAGATGGCTTCACAAGCATCTCTAAGGTCCCACTCCGCTTTAAAGGACTCCTAATGAGAGCCATAAACGCTGCTGCACAGGTTGGTTTTATGCAAGAAAAACAAGGTAGGACACCAGCTGGGGGCCTCAGTCTCAAAGACAGCCTTGGCCCTGCATCAGAAGATCATCTCATAAAAGTACACGCGCACGTGTTACGTTCAATAAAATGCCTACTTTATGTATCATATGATTTCCTGCATTAATTTTTTTTTCTATTAACCAACCACTGGTTTTGCTCTCATTGGATAAGAGGCTTCTGCTATTAATAGCACTTACCTCACTGGGCGGATGTGAAGGCTGAACGAGGTACCGATGCAAAGTGTCTGGCGCGATGCCTGGCACACAGTAAATGTTCAGCAAATATTAGCTGTAATAATCATCTCCAAATCCAGAACTCTCACTTGGCAGATGAGAAAACTGAGTCTCAGCGGCGTGGAGTGAGCGGGCTGCAGACCAAGGCCTAGAATCTGCAGCCCGTGTGAGAATCGCCCACATCTGAAACCCAAGCCTGCGTCTCCCCAGGGCCTCTCTCGTTGCATATTTTGGAGGGGGTGTCACTTCCCTGAGGAACGTCAGGTGGAGGTCACGGGAGCAGTGGTGGGTCCCTCAGCATCCTTCAGGATCATTGCACCCCAGCCTCCCACTGCCCATCCTACTCGGTGGAGGTCTGAGTTTTCCCTCTGGTTCAAGCTTAGGGTCAACCCTAAGCTTGTCTCAGTGACTCTCTCTGTGTTCACCGATCTTGTGTATTTTTATCTCAGAGGCTTTCATTCGTGTCTTTAATTATTTGTTTCAATGTCTGTCTCTCTTCTGAACGACTGGGAGTCCCCCGGGGAGCAGGCCTGATTCATCTGGAAACCCTGAACCCAGCCCAGTGCCTGGCTCCAAGCAGGGGCTTCACGCGTGTTTTTTGAACAAGTGAGCAACGGAACAAATGTGAACAAGTGGGGGTCCCCAGTGTCTCATCGTCTCTGCACCAGACTTTCTGGCCAAGGTTGTAGCAGAGAGAGGTTCACACTTTGTCTGACTTTGGAACCAGCCAAAAATGCCTCCAGGATTCATGGATTCCCTGCCATGGTACAGGCCCAGCAGCTGAGGCCCTAGCCTAGTGCCCAGACCCCTCCCGCTCTTTGTTTTCCTCCTTTATCCCTCCAGCCTCCATCCCTCCAGCCTCCATCCTTGTATTGCTCCAGCCTCCATCTTTCCATCTCTCCAGCCTCTATCCTTCCAGCCTCCATCCTTTCATCCCTCCAGCCTCCATTCCTCCCATCCCGCCATCCTTCTATCCCTCCAGCCTCCACCCTCCAGCCCCTATCCTTACAGCGTCCATCCCTCCCATCCCTCCATCTTTTCAGCCTCCATCCCTCTAGTCTCCATCCCTCCAGCCTCCATCCTTCCATCTCTCCAGCCTCCATTCCTCCAGCCTCCATCCCTCCATCCCTCCAGCCTCCATCCCTTCATCCTCCATCCCTCCAGTCTCCATCTCTCCAGCCTCCATCCTTCCATCCCTCCATCTCTCCAGTCTCCATCCTCCTCTTCCTAGGGAGCCTGAGAGTGTCTGGCAGGGCAGAACAGACCCTGGGAAACCCAGCCCTGGAGTGAGGCTCCCCTCCAAACCGTGAATGGGGTGTGGTTTGGGGCTTTGTCTCCTCTGAGTCACCTCCATGGTGTGGTGGGGTTGACTCAGACAGAGAGTGAGAAGGAGAACTTGGTTGGTCCTCCTGGTTTCCACAGGTCCTGAGACTGGCCAGGGTGGGGCTGGGTGGGGTGGGAGGACAGGGAGAGGCCCACACTGAGGAAGGTGTTAGAACCACACACTGGGAGGACTGACATGGATCTCAGGTCCCCGGGAGCATCTAAACCCCACACTTTCTGCTCTGGAACAGTGAGGGCTGGAAGCAGCAAGGTGTGGCGGAGGGAGGAGTCTGACTCTGTTCTTACCTCCTCCCCTCCCTAAATTTCAGACTCTTCACCTTACACCAAGGGGGTTAGTTCCAAATCCCCTCTAGCCAACTTCCAGCCTGAGTGCCAAGGCCAGGCTTTACCTAATGACCATGGGGACTGGAAGAGAAGAAAAACAGCCAGACGCAGTGGCTCATGCCTGTAATCCCAGCACTTTGGGAGGCTGAGGCGGGTGGATCACTTGAGGCCAGGAGTTCAAGATCAGCCTGGCCAACATGGCAAAACCCTCTCTCTAGTAAAAATACAAAAAAGTTAGCCAGGTGTGGTGGCATGCACCTGTAATCTCAGCTACTCAGGAAGCTGAGGCAGGAGAATCACTTGAACCCAGGAGGCGGAGGCTGCAGTGAGCTGAGATCATTCCATTGCACTCCAGCCTGGGTGACAGAGCAAGACTCTGTCTCAGGAAAAAAAAAAAAATAAAAGAAGAAGAAGAAGAATGACCAAGAGCTACCCTTATTTGAGCACTTACTGCATGCTAAGGACTGGCTGATTGTTCCATATGCATGACCTCATTTAGTCCTCATGATAGCCTTCCAGAAACCCACTTTGCAGATGGGGAAACTGAGGCTCAGTAGAACAATGACTTGCCGCAGGGCACACTCTAGGCTAGATGGTGAGCTGGGCTTCCCAGGTCTCTTGACCCCCAAATCCTCATCCTTGACTGCTTGCTCCCAAAGTTACTGTTTCCCCTCATCACCTGCACCCCAAGATGCTCAAAGTGGTATCTTCTGATTCTAAGAGGGTCAACCAGGGAGGCCAGCCAGGGCCACTGGTCTCTGACCTCTCTTGCTTGTTGACAGCCCCCGGGGGCTGTACTGCTGACTGCAGCCTCCCCAGACCATCTCTCCCCAAAACCCTGTCAGACAGCTCTGGAGGAGGCATTTGGCTTTCCTTTTACGGTTTTTCTTTTCTTTTAACTTCTCTGCAACAAATATAGAAAATACAGATAAGCACAGGAAAGAGCAAGAAAATCACATTCCTTATCATCTTCATTAGAATAGTGACATTTGGGTGCATTTCATTCCAGTATTTTTCTTTTATGCACTTGCATTGCCAGTTTTGTTTTTATGAAGACAGGATTGTTTGTCAACAGACATTTCCTGAGTACCCACTGCGGGTGGGGAGCTGTGCTCCGTCCATCAGCGACAGCTCCGCCTCTCCCCTCGCAACAGGTTCTTCCCTGAGAAGGGCTCCCGCTGCTGGGCTGGGCAAGATGGGCACCAGGAGAATGGGGCTTTGCAGCCTCGCAATTCAGAGCCAAGCTTTGGAGAAGGTAGATCTGGGCTGCTGGCTGTGTGGCCGCGGGGGTGCCGCTTGGCATCCTTTTCAAGAGTGGAGTGGCTTCCTTTTCTGTGGAGTGAGAGTCACCACTTGTCACACAACAGGTTTTGAAAATTAAATGGCCAAGTGAATGGGAAGGGTTTGGCGCCAAGTCGGCGCTCGGTGAGTGTTTCGTGGGCTCTCTGTGGGTCTCAGGGGACCTCTGTGTTGAGGGCATTTTACTTCCTGGTGCTCTCAGGGAGCAATGCTGGACCCAGGACTTGGGAGACACCTCATGACAGTTCAGTGATTCAAATCTTGCCTCTTGGCTTGAGGCAGGGCCTGGAAAACCTCTCACCGCCCTGCGGTGTTTCCAGAAAACACAGGCTCTGGCGCAGTCATCTTCCTTCCCGCCGGTTCCTAATATGGGTGTGATTTGCAACCGAAAAACCAAAGCCAACTTCACAGCTGAGACCACGAGCTCATCTCTCTTTGGGTTCTGTCCCAGCTCCCCGAGCCCTGGGGCTGATGAGGGTGGCGGAGGAGAGTCAGGGAGAGAAGGGGACCTGCAGAGGACGGAGGTGGGGTGCGGACTCGGATGAGGACTCAGGCGAGCTGCAGGGCCCAGAGGCACTCGGCCCCCCAGAGGTGCTCAGTACATGTTTGCCGAGTGAACACGAGTGAATGAGGAAGCCAGCTGAGGCGTGCGCACTGGGAGAATGGGAGGAAAGAAGCCTTCATCTTTTCTGCCCATATTTCAAACCCCAGTGCCCGCCGCAGAGCCTAGGGGCACCCAAAGGGCCCAGCAGAGAGGAGAGGAACAAACTCACCTTGCTGGTGGCTGCCCTCAGTCTCAGATGCCACTCTGTGACCCTGCCCTGGGCTCTGACCACCTCATTCCCCTGCAGCACCCCCCATGCCCTCTTAGGTCTCCCAGCTCCCATCTTTCCTGGGGAGCTTAGCAGGTACCATGCTGCGTGCTTGACTCTGGAGGATGGCACGCTCATGGTGGACTTTCCGGCACGCAGGGAAGACATTCTAGAAGCCATCTTGCAGGCAAGCAACTGCTCCACCCAGGGATGAAGCCACCATGTGTGTCGAAGCCAAGAGCCTAGCCAGCCATCCCCAGTGGCCCTGCTGCCTGGTGGCAGGAGGCAGCTGACTCTGGGAAAGGACCCAGAAAGAAGAGGAAGAAGGGGCTGGGGGGCTGCACGTGCTGGAGCCACTGTGGGGTCCTGGGAAGTGGCCTCTCCCTGCCTCTGAAATGAGGGGGCTGAGCCACAGGCCTTCAGAAGGGCCCCCAGACCTCTGCCCCCTGGAGGCACATCCATGGGTTTTGGAGGACAGAGAGTGCAGAGGAGGCTCCCAGCTGGAGGCGGTGGGCACCCCATGGGGAGCAGTGGGCAGGAGTTGGACTTACGAGGCAGGGCCGGCCCTCACCAGGGAAAGGAGGAAAGTGAGTAACGGTGACAATAATATGACAACTTCCATGACTGAGCACAGGGAGCTGGAAACTTCTCTCAAATGATCTCCTTTCATCTGCAAGACCGCCTCTTGCATGGCAGGCAGCAAAGGCCAGGGCATCTGGAGTCGGGCGGGCAGTGTTCATGCCAAACCTCACACCCTCGTCTCCTACTTGGGATCCTCAGAGCCTCTACCCTAGAGGGTGATTGGGCCGTGTCAGAGAGGAGTCACTTGGAAGAGTGTCTGGCAGAAAAACGGGGCTCACATCCTGTGATTATTATTAGTATTATTAATGCAGAGATGGAACCTCAGAGAGGTGAAGTCACTTGCCCAGGGCCACACAGCAAGTAAGTGGTGGGGCCAGCATTTGATTTCAGACTGTCCAATTCAAAACCTTAGTCCTTCCCCAATACCTCCTGGCTTGGCTTCTGTCTTACGTCCCTTCTGGTCCCTCAGGAGGACAAAGTAGTTAAAACCACAGTTGCCAGACAATTGCCCTTAGGTCCCATCCATTTCAGAGGAGAGGGATTTGCCAGAAGTCACACAGATAGACCTGGCCAGGGTGGAACCCTCAGTGGACAGACTCTCACGCCAGAGCCCCCCAAGTGTATCTGTGGAACCTGACAACAAGGTCACCCCCTTTCTGGCCCCCTGTTCCGCTCCCACCTCCCATGGGGCACAGGAAGTGATGGCTGAGATCCATTTCAAACCACAGGGGAAATTTTTTGTCTGGGCTGTACTGGAATCCCGCCAGGGCTTCAGGTCAGAGGTTCTCAGTCATATGCAAAAGACAGGGGATGTAGAATGGGCTGGGGAGGGGGCATTGCATTCCCATCACTACTTGGCCTTGGGATTCCCCTCGCCTGATCGGGCAGCTCTGAACTAGGCAGGCTTCCGAGTCTCCATCCCAGACTTGACTGCCCGGATCTTCCTGAGGTCATGGTCAAGTCAGGCCCTGGTCATCTCAGCTCCACGTCTGATCAGAGCTGAGTGCTGGGTGAGGCACGGCCGACCAGCCTCCCCTGCTGGCTCTGCACACTCACTGTGGGACCCTGGACAGGTCTCTCATCTTCAAAATCATCAGCTTCCCGCTGTCTCAGAATCCTTCCCAAACTTCCCTTCTGGGATTTCCAGGGAAGCTCGTCATAAGCACTTCTGCTTCTGCAGGACCAGCCTCCTGAACCCCAGCACCAAAAGAAAAGCTAAAGAACATTTTAAAAAATTTTTATTTTAAGCAGAGCAGGTGCCTGTGGCTTCTATCTTGTCCACCCTCCCAGCTGGCATGAGGATGCAATGAGCTTGGAGGAGAAATCTTTGCTCTGTAAAACTATAAAGGGCTGGAAAAGAACTGCAAACCATTCCTTCTTAGGCTGAAAGCTTCTGGAGGACAGCTGCTGGCCCCCTGCCGAGGCCTAACAGAGCACTGACACTCAGGGCTTTCCTGGGGGCAGCTTGGCTGGCAATGGGTAGTGTCCAAGTCTCTACAGCACACAGTGTGCCCCATCCCTGAGGCTGGCAAGGCTGAACCGTAAGGCAAGGGTTGGATCAAAGCAGGAATCGAATCTGGCTGGCACAGGTGTGAATAGTCCCAGACAGACCAGAGCTGATTTCCAGGGCCCTCGATACATTTATTATTATTATTATTATTTTGAGACAGGGTCTTAGCTCTGTTGCCCAGGCTGGAGTGCAGTGGTGCAATCACAGCTCACTGCAGCCTCGACCTCCTGGGCTCAAGCCACCCACCCGCCTCAGCCTCCCAAAGTGCTGGAATCCCAGGTGTGAGCCACTGTGCCTGGCCTATTACTATTATTATTATTTGGCGATGATGGTGGGGACTACTGGGCAGGGAACCAAGAGTCAGGATGCTAGCCCCTGCTTTAGCATGGCCTCCCTGGGAGTCCTTGGACAAGTCCCCTGCCTTTGCTGGGCCTCAGCCTTCCCCTCTGTACAATGGGGGGATGCCTATGATTCTGGGGCCAGGGCAGAAAGTTGGAAATGGGCAGAGCAGGGCCTCAAGTTTTCAGTGCATTTGTGACTTTCAGTTTGGAGACAGGCAGCTCTGGCCTTGGTGGAGATGGCTCTCCCAGCGTCTGTGTTTCAGAAGACGGGCTGGGAGTGAGGACTCTCAGCTGCAGTCTCCCATCCTTCCCCAACATGCCTGAGCCTCCAGGTTCTGCCCCGCCCAGTCAAGCAGGGTTCCCTTCCCCAACCCCCCAGTGAGTTGCTGTATGACCTTGGCTAAGTCACTCTACCTCTCTGGCTTCCATTTGGGGTAACAGAGTCACAAAGGCCTCAGCAAAGGGCAGCCTGTCCTGGCCACCCACTCCCCTCCCTTTGGCCACATATCATCCCTCCTATTGTAGCACCACTGAGCTGGGAGAGCCTTGGGGGATGGTGGAGGCCAAGTGTCCAGTTTCACAGGTGAGGAAACTGAGGCCCTGAAAGGTCTGCCCAGGGCCAGCCATCTCCAGTCCTCATGCCCTCTTTCTCTGCAGCATCGCTCTGTAGTAATAAAGAACACACCCAAATGACAGAGGCCGGCAGCTAGAGCTCCAGCCGACTTCCAAATCCCCAGGCTTCCACATTCCCAGACTTCTTTGAGCCCCTCTGTCCTTGTCTGTGGAACCGGGATAGCAGCAGACTCTGCTCACAGGCAGGGTAAGCCCTGGAGGGAGGAGGAGGGCATGAGAAGCAGTCTGAGGACACCGGTGTCCAGGGTGGCCCTCCTTCTCCCCACTCCCCCCAGGCCCCGTGCAGCGGCCCAGCCTCTCTCTTGCCATCCTTTGGCTTCCTGCCCTCAGTTTCCCCCTCGTGCCTCCCTGGCCCGTGCTGCCTCTTGCTAGGCCTCTAGGGCAACCAGGAGAACCCCACAGAAGAGGCAGCAGTGATGGCAGGTGGTGGGCACCGAAGCCCAAGCCCCTCAACCGTCCTCAGAGCATTTGATGTCAGAAGGCAGTATTTGTTTCCAAGGCCAGCTGCACTGCTGCTTGGTGTGCCCCTGCTCCTCTGCATGATTCCTACCTGGCGTGGCTGCTGCTGTGGCTTCTTCCGTGGTCATCTATCCTTTCCCCCCTTGCTGGCCTGGCTGCACCCCCTGAACACTGCATTGCCCCTGTTGGCGTGGCTGCTGCAGCCACTGTAGCCCTTATGTGGGCAGAAACGGCAGCGCCTTTGCTGGCATGGCTGGTCTGTGGTCAGATAAGCTGCTCCCCACCCACCCTGGCATGGCCACTGGGAAGCACGCTGTGGTCCACTGATGGCCTCTGCTGCCAGGATCCAGGTCTGAGGCCACAGCTGTCTGCATCAATGGCAGTGCTCGAGGCACTCACTGGACATCTCTAGATGGCGGCTGCTGTTCCTTCAATGGGGGCAGCCCAGCCTCACTTTGAAGTCCATCACTCAAGGGACCCCAGCTCCTCCAAGACCCTGGACCCCCAAGACTCTCTGTGCCCACCTCTTCCCAGAACCTCTCTCTGGCCCTGGTGATCTTTCGACTCCCAAGGATGGAGCTGAGTGGTCCTTTCTTACGGGACTTCAGGGTAGCAGAGAGTGGCAGCAGGACAGGGGACCTTCCTCCCTGCTCCCATAATGCTCCAAGGCCATCACAAATAGCCCGGGATCTCCAATAGCCCGTGGCACAGCTGCCCTGGGAGAGTAGGCTACTCTGAGACCGCCTGTCTCCCCCAAACCCTCATCAGGCAGCAGTTTCAAGGCCTGTGTTCTCCAGGGGGCATCAAAGGGATTTCTGTATAATGACAGAGAAGCTTCTGGAAAATTTTCATGGCCATTGGTGCTCCAGGCTTCTCCCAGCCTCTGGCCACCTTGGTGGTACTTATTCAGTCCACAAACCTTGGGGACCTACTGTGTGCCAGAGACTGTGCTTGCCGTGGGGATGGGGCAATGGGAGGCCAGACCCATCTCTACCCTGGGGACACTCACAGTCTGGGTGAGGACACAGGCGGAAACAGTGATTTAGCTGCCGTGGTAGTGAGTACACAGAGACTCGCTGTGCGTCACCAGGGTACCTGACAGAGACAATCCTGGAAAGTTCCTGGAGGAAGTGACCTTCCAGCCCATCTCTGAGCCTTGGGGAGGATATAGTCAGGCAATTGGGGAAGGGTCAGTGCTTCAGGCAGGGGAAGAGCATGTGCAAAGCCTCTGAACAGAAGGGGCATGCCCTTTATAGCCTTGAGTCCAAATCCTTATTAGTTACGTTTGCCAGGGACAGGTTGGCACAGTGGCTAAAGGCTGGGGCTCTGGCATCACATGGCCTAGGTTTGAATCTCACTTTGCTGCTTACTAACTATGAGACAATGTATAAATTACTTGACCCCCTCCCCATCCTTCAGTTTCTTCATCTGTAAAATGGGAATATTACTTTACACGAATGGTCCTGCTGAATCCCAACAACACTTCGCAAAGCTGTTGGGATTCAATGGGACCATTCATGTAAAGCACTTAGCACACAATAAATGCTCAATAAATCTTACCACGAATCTCACCTACTGAGCATCTGTGTGTGTTCCGCAGTTTATCTTCACACAGATCTGTGAAGCTTGGACCCACTGCTCCATTTCATAGATAAGAAGACTGAGGGTTAGAGGACTGAATAAGGTGGAGATCGACTGAGGTTTTGGAGGAATCAGGGAGGCTTCTTGGAGGAGGTGGTGGCTGAGCTGGGTGTTGAGAATGGCCACCCCTGCCCCACCCACCAGTCAGGAAGGCTCACTCTAAGCAGAGTATTTCAGCTTCAGGGGCTCCACTGGTCCCGGGCTCCCTGGGTCTGGGGATGGAACAAAAGGGCTGCCCTGGGCACTCCCAAGGCCTCCCAGGAGTCTCAGCAGGGAAGGCCCCATCGGGCCAGGTTCTCAGGCTACAGAGCCTCCAGCGAGCATCAAACAACAAAAAGGCTTTTCTCACTCTGGATGAGTCACCAGAGCGAGCAGACGCCCCGTCCCTGTGCTGAAGAAGATGAAACCACACATCTGAAGAAGTTTCCCACGCCACCACTTGCTTTAAATAGCTGCAGAGAGAAGTGGAGGAGGGAGGGAAGGGGAGAGGGGGTAGGGAAGCAGGGCTGTCCGCACCAGGACCTGGCTGGGGTCTCCCCCATACCCCAGGACCCTGACACGCACCCCTTGAAGCAGGTTGTTGATGAGAACTCAGGCCCCATGGGTGCCAGGGGAGCCCAGCAGAGGCCCAGAGCCCACGGTGGGCCAGGGCACAGCAGACAGATAGGCAGACAGCAGGAGACACATCCAGCTGGGCCGTGGGGTGCACACCCCTGTGTCAGGGTGCAGGCCCAGGAAGGGGGAAGTTGACCTCACTGTGCACCCCGGTGCAGCCTCTAGGCCCCCAGCCAAGCTTCCTCGCAGGTCACCTGACACCCCTGAGTGCTCTGGCTGTGCCCCCCTGCCTGGCTAGGTTCGTGACTGAGCCCTGGGCGGCATTTCCGGAGGCAGGCCGGGAGCTGGGGCTGCTTACGCACTTGCTGTCCCCCCCCGCCTCCAGCAGGGCCGGGTGAGAAGAGAGCCCCCCATCCCCCCCTTCCCGTAAATGAGCTCACCCCCACCCCAGGGCCTCACAGGGATTCTAAGAAGTGGAAGCCAGGCACCTGCTCCTCGCCCACAGCAGGGGGTGGGGGTGGGGTAGGAGGGGGAGGGGCAAGGGAGAGGCCAGGGGTCCTCATAACCCCTCAGCTCAGCCCTCAGGCCTAGGCCAGGGTTCAGGGGCGGCCCCAGGGGTTGGTAAATATTCTTTCCCTTAGGTGTGGAAGAATGCCCTCTCTGTTGTCCATGCGAGAGCAGTGCAGTTCAGGATGCCTCCATGGCCCGGGCCCATTTTTCAGAAGGCAAACTAAGGGAATCCCAGAGATGCCTTGGAGGCCAGTCTGGTTCCCTCCCACGCTGGGAGTAAGATCACCTCCTGGATGTTCGGGCAGCCCTTGGTGACCATCAGTGGCTCACTAAATATCTGCCTTTGGAGACCCTCTAAGCCAAGGCCCAGAGAGGGCAGTGATTTGTCCAAGGTCACACAGCAGGCCGGGGGAGGTCCAGGCATACCTCTAGGTGAGTCCATACCCTGCCCAACCCACCAGTACTGCCAGCAAACATTCATTTGGCATCTACTGGATCCTTTGCAGGGACATGGGATTAAATAAGACAGCATCCCACCGACGGGGTCCAAAAAATAATCATGAGCAGTCGCCAGAACCTGGGCCAGGGGATCTCAGTGCTGCCTTCTCATCCAGGTCTCGAGGCTTTGAAAAAATACAGATTCCAGGGCTCCAGCCCTGAGATTAGGATTCAGCAGACTGGGAAGGAGCCCAGGAACCTGCATTTTATAAAGTTCCTCTAGTTGATCTGATGGATTGAGAAGCTTGGAACAGACTGTAAGCAAATTGAGGGCAGGGGCTGCCCCGAAGGAGGGGAGGGGTTTTCCAAGGGCTTCCAGTGAGAGACACACACCCCAGCCTTCCCCTCCCACACCAACCTCTGCCTGTACACAGGGCCCAGCCCAAAGAGGCTTCCAGGAACGAGGCACTGACAAGAATAGTTCCAAGAGGCTGAATGACGGCCCCCGCCTCTCTCTGCTCTCCCCACTCCCGAGTTCACATGCAGGACAGGGTGGCCATGCTCCAGGCAGCCAACGAGGTGGGCGATCCCACTGTGGACGGCTCTGCCTGGTGTTAGGGCCCTGGCCTGTGCCCTCCGTCCCCCGTCTGCACCCTCCCTGAGGTCCCTGCGGCCCAGGCTGGGTGGCTCCAGGCCTCCGTAGGCTGTAGGTCCTGGGGTGAGGGGGAGTCTCTTGTCTGTCCAGAGAGTATGAGGCTGGGAAAGGCGGGGGTGCTAGGACCTGCAGCTAAGGTGTGTGCGGGCTCGCTTCCTGGTACTCGAGGAGTTTGGTGCTCCCGGGCCTGGTAGCGTGGGAAGCAACATGGAGGCCCTGGGCTGGGCTGTCCCTGTGTGCCTGGCAGAGCATCCAGCCAGGACCAGGCTCAGTGAGGACTCATGGACCGACTGATCTGGGGATGTGGGTGGCAGAAGCTGCCCCCTCCCTGTCTCTAACGCAGTGCCCAGCTCGGCCACCTCACGAGGCCACTGTCCTCTCAGACTCCATGTCTGCTTCTGTGCAATGGGCAGCAGGGGTGGGAAGAGAAAGGCTTGTCCAGGGCCACAGTGGGGCTAGAGGGAGCAGCCAGGCCCCTCAGCAGGCCTGCTCCTAGCGCCAGGGGCCACATCCCCACAGCCTCCGCTTTTGCAGAGGGCAGGGGAGACAGAAGTCACCGAGAGGAAGTAGAGAGCCCTCCCCAGACCCATCTGAGTGGGGCTGCCAATCGCCGGCTCTGGAGCTTCGAGCAGGGCATGGTGCCACGCCTCTCAGAACCCCATTTTCTCATCTGTGCAGCAGAGACCCCCCGACTCCAGAGGGCTGCTTTGAGGGTTAAATGAGCAAAATCTCGTGAATGTGTGAGGAATAGTCATTATTTCGATAGGCGTGATTGACATTTTTCTCACTAGAGTGTGAGTTCCAGGGGCAGGGGTTGTGCCTGACATTGGTAGGTGCTCAGTTGGTTTGTGGAGTGAATAAACGAGTGTAGAGGGAGCCGTTCTCTTGGCCTGTGCTGGAGGCTTCCTGGGGCCTTGTTCAGCACATGTGTGTGCTCACGTTTGTGTGCACCCATGTGTGTAGGCATGCATGTGCATGTGTATGTGCAGGCATGTATGTGTGTGCACGTGTGTGTAGGCATGTATGTGAATATGTGTGTGCAGGTATGTATGTGTGTGCAGATGTGTGCATGCAAGAATGTATGTGTGTATGCATGTGTGTAGGCATGTATGTGAATGTGTGTGTGCAGGCATGTATGTGTGTGTAGGTGTGTGTATGCAGGTAGGTATGTGTGTGCATGTGTGTGTGGGCATGTATGTGAATGTGTGTGTGCAGGCATGTATGTGTGCGTGTGCAGGCATGTATGTGTGTGTGCAGGTGTGTGTGCGCGCAGGTGTGTGTGCAGGCATGTGTGTGTCCGGGCATGTACGTGTGTGTCCAGGCATGTATGCGTGTGTGCAGGTGTGTGTGTGCACAGGCATGTAGGTGTGTGTGTGTGGGCATGTATGCATGTGTGCAGGGGTGTGTGTGTGTGCAGGCATGTGTATGTGTGCAGGTGTGTGTGTGTGCAGGCATGTATGTGCGGGAGTGTGTGTGCACGCATCCACATGCCTGCACACTCCTGCATGCGGGTCTGGCCCCGGTGTGGAAATGTGGGTCTGTGCATGGCCTGTCTGGGTCTGTGTTTTGCATATGGGTCTGGCATGTGGCCATTTGCATGTACTTCTCAGTCTGTGGGCCTATAGCTATGAGTGTGCTCACCCCACAGGTGTCCAGGCTTGGTCCGGAGTGAGGGTGTCTGATTATTGGTGTATGGCGGGTATGGGAGGTTGCCTCCTGCTCTCCTGACTCCCTCTCCCCAACCAGGACTCCAAGTTGTGAGCCCGCCTGGGAGTGCCAGACTATGTAAAACAGAGACCAGGCCCAGGGAAGCCCCTGCAGAGTGGCCCCTGGGGACTTCCAGGCCCCTCCTCCCTGGATGCCCCTCCCCTCAGTAAAGCCTTCTGCCCCTTCCAAAGTCTCATGACTCTCCACTCAGGGGCTTCCTCTCATATCTGGGGGCTGCACACAGTGCCCAGATTTCCCTGTCTGCCCTCTCTCCCACCACTGCTTTCAGCCCCTCTTGCAATGCCAGGCCTGGCGTCTCCCTCCTTCCTTTCTGAGGCCCCCGCTTCACTTCTGCACAGTTCCCCCAGCTGCTTTTGTGAGCTCCACTGTGCGCCAGCTCCTGGGCCCTGGCCCTTCGCCTGCATCATGGTTACCACTGAGAGAGCTTCTAGCTGAAGCCCCATTTTACCAATGAGGAAACTGAAGCTCAGAGAAGTTAAGGAACTTGTTCGAGGTCACACAGCAAGTGAGTGAGAATCAGACACAAACAAGACTCCAAATCCAGGTCTCTTTCTCATACAGCCACACCACCACCATGCTTCAAGTCATATCAATGACTGAGCCTCACTGGGAGGACCGTGTAAACCCCTTCCCCAGATGGACCCCAGGGGTTCAGGCACCTCCCATATCCATGGCTCATAGGATGAAGGCTCCTGGCTCTGGAAAAGGCCTCCTGGCCTCCTTGTGGAGGAACTCAGGCTCACCCTCTGCTCCTGGCGGAGCCATGTTTGGGCCTGGAAACCTCCAAGCCTACCCCAGTTGGGCCAACTTGAAGCCCCCAGGTCTTCTCAATGCCACATAGCACTTGCCTGGCGGGCCCCATGGAGAGGTCAGAATCCCCTTCGGCAGGGTCATTACTGTTTCCCCAGAACACGCTTCCATTTGGCAAGGACACGTGTGTTGGGGGAGCCATGTGGCTTTGATTTAAATTTCACCCTGGAAAAACGATGGTTTGGATTAAGGGAAGAAACAGTTGGTGAAATGTCATGGAAAGAAAGGAGGGGAGAACAGGGAACCTTTGTAGCAAGAGCAGCCCCCAAACTTTCAAACCCACATTCCAGAGGTTTCTGAAGGCCTGCCATGCAGACCTGACCTCCTACCCCAGCATGCTCCTGTCCTCTTCAGTAGCAGTGAGGTGTCCTCAGGAGATATCCCACTGGTCCTGCTCCCTCCTCTTACAGAAGCTGAAACAGAGGCTCAGGGAAGGGTGGCGACCTGCCTGGGGCTATGATGAGTTCTGGTGGCTCATGGAGCTCAAAGGAGGCTAGGGGTGGGGTGAGAAGAGGGACATGAGGCTCTGCTTTCCCCCACTCTGTTGGCACGGGGCTTGACCTCTCTAGGCCTCAGTGTCCCCAATGAGAAAGGGAAGAAAAAGGAATTACAGTATTTTCAATCTCCACTGGAGCTGAGCGAAGCCCAGGAGCCCTGTGGAAGGCCAGTGTGCTTGGCTCTGACTTCCTGACCCTTTGCTTATGCTGGGCTTGGCTCTGACAGCATCCCACGCGTGGCCTGCGCTGAGTTCCCAACACCCACAGTCCCCACCCTACAGACAGCAGACTGAGGCTCCTAGAGGCTAGGAAACTTACAAGGCTCCAAGAGGCTAGGAAACTTACGAGGCCCCTTGGCTAGGATGCGGCCCCAGGGGCTGTTCCTAACCACTGGACTGTGAGGTTGAGGCTGGGAAGAGAGTGGAGAGGATTTAGCCCAGGGCTGTGAGAGCTGGGAACAACCTGAAGCCCACACCCCCAGGAGTACCTCACAGTTTCTAGGTCACCAGCTCTGAGTCAGGAAGTCTCTCGATGTCATCCATTCATTTAGAGGCGGGAGCTGAGGTCAAGCAGAGGGATGTATCCAGGGCCACACAGTGGGGAGGTGCCACATCTCCAGATGGCCAGTGGGGGCTCTGTGGTGTGGATCCTGGAACCAATGCGGGATGACACTCTGACCCGTCAGGCTGGCCTCAGGGACTGTGCAGCCCTGCATCTTCATCTCTGTAGTGGCTGCTTGGGGTCGGAACTCCAGCTGTGGTTATGGGTCCATCTGAGACCAGGGTCAGGGCTCAGTGTGTGGCCGGGGCTATATGTCAGCAATGAGGGCTTGGTCTGTGACCAGGGTCAAGGCTGAGGAGTTTAATGCAGTGAATTGGCTGTAGAAGATAAAAATGGACTCGAAACCCAAAGGACAGAATCGCTGATGGGGGTTGTGCGTGCTGTGATGGGCCAGGGAAGAGCTGGGCACGGGGGCTCTGGATCTACAGAGGCAGGAGCTGGGGCACTTCGACCCCATGAAGTCCTCTTCACACCCACCTCTGCCTGGTGCAGCCCTCCCCCTTCATCCCTGTGCCCCCAGGACAACCCCATCTCTTTCCTCTGGGGAGAAGCCACTGGAAGTCATCCCCCTCCTGACTTGACACCTAAAGGGGCCAGAAGAACCATCTGCCCCCCAGTGCTGGGTTCCACCCGTGCTCAGAGCCCCATCTCACCCCACAGGATGGGAAGGGAACCATCTGGAGGACAGGAGAAAGGCCGCTCTGCACGGGTGGGGCGGGGATGCTGACGATGGACTGTCCAGAGCCAGGACTTAACCTGGACAGGTTGGTTCTTGAGTTCATGCTTTTAACCAACCACCATAGATTCCCAGAAGCACTGATAAAAGGTAGCCTTAGTATTATTTTAGCCAAGTCTGGCAGTGTGTGGCAAAATGCAGAGACTCAGGGGCCACCCTGAGAGAGTGCTGAGCAAGTCACAGCACACCCTGGGCCCTGGCACACAGTAGGGGTTTAACCAATGGGAGCCGGAGATGATCCGACAGAAGTGGCTTTCAGGCCCCAGGGCCCCCAGGTCAGGAGACACCACAGTGCGGAAATGAGAAGCCAGCTGGAGACCCCTTCCATGCCTGTCTGGCATGGGAACACAGCTGGCACTGCTTGATGGACTGTGCCTAAGCACCAGGGTCAGATAACCGGGCGCTGCTCTTCCTTTTTTTTTTTTTTTTTTTTTTTGAGATGGAGTCTTACTCTGTTGCCCAGGCTGGAGTGCAGTGGCATGGTCTTGGTTCACTGCAACCTCCGCCTCCTGGGTTCAAGCAATTCTCCCTTCTCAGCCTCCCCAGTAGCTAGAATTACAGGTGTGCGCCACCACGCGTGGCTAATTTTTGTATTTTTAGTAGAGACAGAGTTTCACCATGTTGGCCAGGGCGGTCTCGAACTCCTGACCTCAAGTGATCCACCCGCCTGGGCCTCCCAAAGTGCTGGGATTACGGGCGTGAGCCACTGTGCCCAGCCGGTGCTGTCCTTGTTGACTCTGTCTGCCCCAACCTTGCAACATCGCACTCTCTAAAAACAGACAAAAAATAACCGCAAACAACTGGGCAGGAAGGGACCCTAGAAATCATCACCCCTGATTTTACAGAGAAGAAAATTGAGGCTTAGGGAGAGGAAGGGACTTGGCCACAGTCGTACAGTGCTGTGGGAACAGTCCAGAACAGGGGACTTGCAAGCACACGGCTGCCCCAGGGACAGTGCCTGGTGATTATAGCCAGCATTTACACGGGCCTGTGGGAAGCCCCCTCAGGCTTCTTCTCATCTAATCCTCCCAGAGTCAGGTGACCATCAGGGTGGGCGCTTAGGGATGCACTCACCTAACACGCAAATGGAAGTGGTGAGGTCTGAGCCTGGCCACTGAGCACCAAGCCAAGTGCACCCGTGCTGTGCCACTGGCCTCATTCACACAGCCCAGGCTAGGGGGCCCTAGCATGTCTCAGCCTCCGCGCCAGCCCCCTCACCCCAGAGTCTTTGCAGAAGTGCAGCCTGTCCTCATTCCACCAGGAACACTGTTCTCTTCACCTCCTAGGCCATCTCATGAGAGGTAAGAGGAAGAAAAACCCACAGAGACAGAGGCAAAGCCATCCCACACCTGCCACCATTCCCCCTGGTGGATTTTCCCTGTGTCTCTGAATGCAGAGGCACCAGTTAACGTGGAGAAGAAATCAGGCTGGGGGCTCAGGAGCTGTGGCCTGGGGCGACCAGGGGCCAGGGCTGAAGGTGGGCAGCAGGTTGACCGACTAGATGCAATTAATTCATTCAGCACCGACCTTGAAAAGTGTCAGAGGGACTGCAAGAGCCAGGTCTAGTATCACGGACTAGAACACATCACTTGCCTTCTCTGGGCCTTTGTCATCCCACCTGTAAAATGAGAGGCTTGGTCCCATCAGTGATTCTCAGTCCCAGCTACACAGGGGATCTTTTATTTTTATTTTTGTTTTTATTTTATTTTATTAGTTTTATTTTTGTTTTATTTTTGAGATGGAGTCTCGCTCTGTCACCCAGGCTGGAGTGCAGTGGTGTGATCTCGGCTCACTGCAACCTCCGCCTCCTGGGTTCAAGCAATTCTCCTGACTCAGCCTCCTGACTGGATTACAGGCACAGGAGACCATCCCCAGCTAATTTTTGTATTTTTAATAGAGACATAGTTTCACCACGTTGGCCAGGCCGGTCTTGAATTCCTGGCCTCAAGTGATCTGCCTGCCTCGGCCTCCCAAAGGGCTGGGATTACAGGTGTGAGCCACGACGCCCAGCTTGGGGATCTTTTGAAACATATACTTAATTGATTCTGGGATGGACACCATTTAAACTCTTCCCAGTGATTCAACTGAACAGCTGGGGTTGAGGGTCCCTGGGCCAGACTCTGTGTCAGGGCCCCTCTGGCGCTGAAGTTTCGCCAGAGTATGGGGGTTACGCGTGTGGCTGCAGGTGTCAGACTGACTGAGGTTGGTGTCTGTGCGCCACTTGCTGCTGCGTGTGCCTGGGCAGGCCATGTCACTGCTCTGTGCCTCAGTTTCTCTGTCCGTGGTTAATCATAGCCTTCCCTGCACAGCATTTTTGGGAGGATTAATTGTCCTGGTTGTGTAAAGTTCTGGCACATGCAGAGGTAGGACTTGATAAGCCTGTGTCAAAATAGTAGGGATGACCGTTCCGGGAACAGGGCCTCAGCTGGTCACCTGCTCCTAGGAAAATGGGGAGGCTGCAGTGGGCTTTACCCCTGGACTTTCCTGGACTAGATGCTTTCCCACCAGCCTGAGCAGTGCTGACCTGTGGTGCAGCGGGGGCTGCAGGTCAGAGGCTGAGGCACCGCCTAGCGGAAACTGGGTGGGCTGGCTTGGGTACCTGCGGAGAGGGTTGGATGGACAGGAGCTCTGGGGCCATGATCTCTGAGCATGTCTGCTGCTGCCACTCCAAGATTTGGGGAGCCTAGAGTCCCTTTGGTCAGTTCTAGGTCTCTCCCTCTTGGCATCTGTGGCCTCTCCCGCCCCAAGCCCTCCCAATTGGCCCAGTGTCCCTGTGGAGGGGGGTGCTAAGCCGTAGTGGGAGGGGCGGAAGCTGAGAGGTGTAAGGGGAGGATGGGGGCTGCGGGTGGCTACCTCAGAGCCAGCAGCCCTCCTGAGTTCATCAAATGTCAGAAATATGACTTTGGACCGTTCACTGCCTTCGGTAAGCCTCAGTTTCCTCACCTGTAAATCGTGGCTGTTAAGTCCCAACTCGGGAAACTGTGGTGAGGAGAAAACGAGATCGTGCTCACAGCCAACATCTCGTAGACACGTGCTGCCAGATGGGCATCATGCCAATGTTATCTCAGTTTGTCCTCTCCATCCTATGAGGCTTATCAACACCAGCACCAAGCATCCCCATTTCACAGATGAGAAACTGAGGCCTGTTTGTTTCACTGAGCACCTGCTCTGCCCTCTCCCCTGAGAATGGGAAGGAAACTGTGCAAGGTGCCACAGCAGCAAGAGCCACGGCCTGGATTCGAGCTCGGGAACATTAGACACCAAAGCTCTAAGCCCTCCAAGCCCTGGGTGGACTGTGATGGGCAGACAGGTCCTGGCAGGGTTCCTGGAGTGAGGCAGCTGCTGTGAAGGTGGCAGTGGGAGGTGACACCTGTCAGAATCCAGAAAGCCTGGGTGCAGGCCCTGGGCTGTCAGTAAAGAGGAGGTGAGGTGTCTCCACTTGTGCCGGACCCAGGCTGGTGTCAGGACAGCAGGAGGTGTGGGTCTTCAGGTCCAGAGAACGCCTCAGGCCTGGTGTGGGTAGCACTGGTGACTGTGACGTGTCACCTGACACATGACTCCAGGTGACTGAGCATCTACTGCCTCTCCACCTCTGTTCCAGGCACTTCCTGCCCACTAACACAACTATCCAGAAAGCAGGACTACCACATCCCCATTTTACAGATGAAGACGCCAAGGAACAGAGAGGTCTAGTCAATTGCCCAAGGTCACAAAGCTAGGAAGGAGCAGAGTCACCGTCAAAGTCCAGACCCCCACCCTTGAACAGCTGTGCCATCCACCTCAAGTGTAGATACCTGCATGAAACCAAGAGGATCTGACATCTAGACTCTTGAACCTGCTGCCCGGGTTCAAATCCCAGCTCTGCCACTTACCGGCTGTAGGACCTTGGGCAACCGACTCAACCTCTCTGTGTATTCCAGTTTCCCCATCCATGAAATGGGGATAAAAATCAAGTACCTCCCTTAGGGGTACTTTGATGCTTAATATATCAAGTAGCCCGGCCCAGAGCAGGCCCCAGGAAAGAGTGGACTGTGGAAATTCACGTGGGGAATTTTTCATGGGAAAAATCTTTCATGGGAAGATAGTATATGCGGGATGGTCAGCAGTGGTTACTTTGGGAGTGGAATGGCAGGAGGCTTCCACTTTGTAATCACCACACTTCAACACATTCTCTGTTTTTACCTATGTTGTGATATATATTTTTTAAATAAAGAAAACTCTCTGAGCTGGGTGTGAGTGGGTGTCAAGACGTCTCTTGTGGCTAGTAAGTTGCTCTCTTTAGAGAAAAAAACAGGGCATTTTTATTGTACTTCACATAATCTGAGACACAGCTCATGGGGGTGCACAGAGGCCATGTCATTTCCATTCAGAGTGACAGGAAACAATCTGGCCCTCACTGGGCGCTCCATGCACAGGGCTGTGGGAGGAGCGCCAGCCCTGGAGCCCAGGACGTAGGTATCAGCCTCCTGTTCTGCCCCAACTTGTGATGAAATCTTTATTTGTTTGCTCAGCAAACTCCCCCTGCTGCTTCCTTGGTGCCAGGCCCTGGACTCCAGGGCTCTGAGTGTCCACTTCTCACTTGCGCCTACTGCGAATCCTGGAGACAAAAGGTAGGACAAGGCAGAAGCAGTCCCTGTCCCTCTGTGACCTGCAACCCAGCAAGGGAAGCCAGCACTATCAAATCATCCCACAAGCAAAGGTCAAATTACCACCTAATGAGTGTGGGAGTGGGGGGCGGGAGTGATGGAGAATAGGCGCTTGGAGAACCTCCCTGGGGACAGAGAATGATCAAGGCGAGGGGAAGTGCTCCTACAGATGAAGGGTGCACTGCCATGGGGAGCTAGAACGGCGTAAGCAAAGGTCAGGCAGTGCAAGGGATCCTCGTGAACCTGAGGGAGTGAGAGTGCCAATGGAATGAAGATGCTGACGGGGAGCTCGGTGTGAGACAAGAAGGAGGGGGGCAGGGCCAGGCCACAGAGGACATTGTAGCAGGGATCTGACCTTTATTCCAAGAGCCAGAGGCCATGAAGGGGATTAGGGACGGGGGCTAAAGATTTCATCCGAGATCCCCCTAGAGCATGGGGAGAAGGGAATGGGTGGAGGGTCAGAGTGGACCCCTGCCAATCTCCAGTTCTTCGAACTGCACAGGCCTGTACACAGCAGCATCAATAAATGGCTCTTTTCTCGGATCCATTCTTCTTCAACTCATGGAAGTAAAATTTAGATCTCAATTTTTATTATTTATTTAATGACTTCTTTTTCTGAACACAAAATATGTAGTCTAGAGTGCAAAGCGATAGGAAATTACCAAATTTGATGAGCTGCTGTGGGAATTAGGGGTTCGGCTCACTTCCTGAGGTTTTCTCAAAGGGAGAACCAGGGACAGAGGGTGCAGCTATGAGAATAAGGAAGAAGCCCTAAGCCTGTTTTAGGAGCTGTTCTAAGATCCCCAAGTTCCTTGATAGGTAGTGAGTTCCCTATTTCCGGGGCACACGTAAGCTGTCAAAGTATAATTTCAAAAAAAATAGAGTAAAAGCATAACTCTCATTCAAATATAGGTTGAACACATGTCAAAATTTGTTTAACTCCTGAATGAGGGAACCAGTAAGAAGATAAAGCTGATTCAAAGGAGAAGTAGAGGAATAGCACTACAGAATACTGGGAAAAGAATACTGGAATACAATGGCTCAGTGAGATACAAAACTGGTTAATGTCCTGATGGGCCAGAAGTCCGTAACTTTTGGGGCATTTTCTACTGGACAGAAATCTATATATTAACATATAACTTCTAAAGTCTGGTCTTCTAATGGCTCATACTAAGTCAAAGGTACCTTCCTCTAGATAATTAAATACTATCTTAGTCTGTTTGGGGAGCTATAACAAAATACCATAAACTGGGTAATGCATAAACCACAGATATTTATTTCTCACGGTTCTGGAGGCTGGGAAATCCAAGATCAAGGCGTCTGGTGAGGGCCCGTGTTCTCATAGATGGTGCCTTCCCGCTGTGTCTTCACTTGGTGGAAGGGGCAAGGCAGCTTTCTGGGGCCTCTTTTATAAAGACACTAATTCTATTCATGAGGACTCCACACTCATGATTCAATGACCTCCTAAAGGCCCTTCCTCCTAACCCCATCCCATTGGTGATTAAATTTCAACATATGAATTTTGCAAAGACACAAACATTCAGACCATAGCAGATACCCTTAGTGGGCCTGCTAAACAACACCCCAATATGACATTGAAAAGACCTGCTGCCCTGTCTTTGCCTATTTCCAAGTTTTGGGTAATTTTTCTTAACAAAGCTGGAGCAAATGGCTGCAGTGAGAGGCTGCAGGAGAGTTCTGGTGGTGGAGGGGCTGGCTGGCATGTTATCTTTTGCTGTGTAAAAGATTACCCCAAAACCTGCTGGCTTAAAACAATAAACATTTATTATGTTGCAATTTCTGCAGGCCAGGAATTCGAGAGCAGCTCAGCTGGGCATTTCTTGCTCAGGGTCTCTCAGGAGGCTGCGATCATGTGTCAGCTTGGACTACACTCATCTGAAGTCTTGACTGGGGCTGGCAGACCTGCACCCAAGGTGGTGCACTCACACAGCTGGCAAGGTGGTGCAAACTGTTGGCTGGCCTTGCCATGTGGGCCTCTCCATGGGTTGCTTGAATGTCCTCACAGCATGGCAGCCAGCTTCTCTCAGAGCAAGTGATCGATCCCAGAGAGAAGTAAAGCAGAAAAGTAGTATGCCTTTAATGACCTAGCCTCAGAAGTCACACTCATTCATTTCTGCAGTAGCCTATTGCCTACAGAAGTCAGCCCTGCCCAGTGTGGGTGGGGACTTCCTAAGGGAGGTGGTTAAGGGCCTTGTCAGTTTTGGAGACTGGTTCCTGCACTGGGCACCTTCAGGGTGCCTCAAGCCAGAGGCTGGAGTTGGTGCCGGTAGCAAGCAGGGATTGCCTTCAGCTGTATCACTGCCCAGGCTCCTTCCTATTCACCTGCTTGCAGCTGCTACACAGTGTAGGGCCTGGGACAGATGGCTCTGCTTTGGAGTCTCTCATTGTAGCACCTGGTTGTGTCTTCTGAGTAGCTTTCCCACCCCAGAATCTCAGCCCACAACAAAGTCTGTCTCTGGGAGAGTGCAGACGGTCAATCATTCACACCTTAGTATGAATGAGTTCATCAAACTTCACCTCTGGCAGTAGAAAAAATGTGAGATTTGGGATGGGAGCTGGGGCAGAGGGGTGTCGAGGTTGTAGGGAGGGTGGGTTGAGCAGTAGCCTTTCTGGGGAGTGGCAGAGGAGACTGTCTTGGAGGGAGCATTCAAAGGGGGACACCTCAGGCAGCACATGGGAGACTCCCTGAAAGCCAGTGGGGAGAGGAGGACCCAGGAGGCTGCCCACTGCTGAGGGTCACGGGAATCACCAAGTACCCAGGTGAGGGCATCAGG
Source organism: Homo sapiens (assembly GCF_000001405.40). NCBI lineage: Eukaryota > Metazoa > Chordata > Mammalia > Primates > Hominidae > Homo > Homo sapiens. Next base: position 25,009,458 of record NC_000001.11, on the reverse strand, counting down.
AGAGGGCAGAGCATGGCAAAGAGAAGCTTCTGTTCCTGGTGGTTTGACCCTGGCTGCCCGTCAGGACATGCCTGGCTGCCTGCTGGTGTGTCTGATTGAGGGGTGGTCTGCAGACCAGCAGAGCCAGACATAGCATCTGGGCCACCCTGGGCTCCCAGGGAAGTGAGGAAGGAAGGAGGATCCCACTTTGCCCATGCAGGCTGGCAACAGCCAGGGTTGGGAGTGTGACCAACCAAGAGACGCATTTCCCAGAGGCCTCCCGAGGCTTCAGGCCCAAGGCTGACCCGAAGCTTCCAGGCAAGGCAGCTGGAAAGAAGAGCCGGCGGTCCAGGGTGCAGACCTGGCCCTGTCCTCCACTGCACTCTGCTGAGCCATCAGACGGCTTCCTTCCCCGCCCTGGTTCCCAGCTCCCATCTGTGGAGCAGCTCGGGGCACTGCAATGGCCAGCTCAGGGAACATTCCCTCCTCTGTCCTCTCCTCTTGGCCAATCCTCATCAGAGGAGGAGGTGGGCAACCGGGAGAGAGGGTAATGGCCCCAGGGGACCCCATGCCCAGCAGATGCCCAGAGTCTGATCTGGGGTAGGTAGCCTCAGGGCGAGCCCAGGGGCACATCCAGCTGGGATATAAAGCTTATGGAAATGTCCCAGAGACGTTCATTTGAGGAGAAAGGGGGAGGAAGTCTGCCAGTTTGGGGGGTAATTATTTTGCAAAACTTTATGAAGTTTCCGAAAATCTTGTTTCCCCCTTCATTGAAACCATTGTTTTTCAAGGGAAATTGAATTAGAAGGTGGTGGTGGCTGGAGGGGGCAGGAGAGGGAAGAGTAAGCCACATGTTTTTCTAACTAACTGGGCGTCTGTCCTGTGCCAACAATTCCAGCAGCTCCTTGTGCTCTGCATCTGGGACCACCAGGGCTGTGGCTGGGGCCAGGAGACAGCCCAGCAGCTCTGGGGACAGTGGCAAGGCTGAAGAGCATGCCCCAACATCAGCTGCCTTCATCAGGGCTGGGCAGACATTTGGAGTTTAACTGAAAAGTGGGGTCAGGCCCTTGGTGCTGGGGTTTAAACTTAGGAGAAACTTTTGCAGAAAGCTGAGTGACCTTGGGTAAGCCTGGCAACCTCTCTGTGCCTCCGTTTTCCTCCTTGGAAGACAGTAGCCAGTAATGGGTGTCCTGAGTGGTGAGTCAGACAGAAGGCAGCATGAAAAGTGAAGAGTGCTGCAGGCTTCATTACGATTAGCACCACTGCCATCATCATCTAGTTAAGAGAGAGCCATTTACTAACACCCTTCAGGCCAATTCCGTGTGATTGGTAGAGACTGGCTGGGACACTCTAGAGCTGAATTGGAGCTTGATGGGAGAGAAAGTGCAAGGATCAACTAGCGATGCCTGTTATGGGTGCAGACTGGGAAGTAATGCACCTGTAATTCCAGCACTTTAGGAGGCCGAGGAGGGCAGATCACGAGGTCAAGAGATCGAGACCATCTTGGCCAATATGGTGAAACCCTGCCTCTACTAAAAATACAAAAATTAGCTGGGCGTGGGGGCGGGTGCCTGTAGTGCCATCTGCTTGCGGGGCTGAGGCAGGAAAATCGCTTGAACCTGGGAGGCGGAGGTTGCAGTGCAAGATTGCGCCACTACACTCCAGCCTGGCAACAGAGCAAGACTCCGTCTCAAAAGAAAAAAAAAGAAAGAAAGAAAGAAAGAAATAGAGGAGTGGCCAGGTGCAGTGGCTCTCCCCTGGAATCCTAGCACTTCGGAAGGCAGAGGCAAGTGGATCCCTTGAGCCCAGGAGTTCAAGACCAGCCGGGGCAACATGGCGAAAAACCATCTCTAAAAAGCAAACTGGGTGTGGTGGCACGTGCCTGTAGTCCTAGCTACTCAGGAAGCTGAAACGCAAAGCTTGCCTCAGCCCAGGAGGTCAAGGCTGCAGCGAGCTGTGATTGTGTCACTGCACTCCAGCCTGGGAGATAGAGTGAGACCCTGTCTCAAAAAAAAGAAAAAGAAAGAAAGGGGCATTAAACTTTCAAAATGTGCCTCTTCCTGCTTCACACATTTATTGGCATGTCTGCACTCAAAAACCTTCAGTGGCTCCTGCCACCTGCAGAATGAAGTCCAAAATCTTTAGCTGGTCATTCAAGACCCACTCTGATCTGGTACCATGCACACGTTCCAAATGTTTGTTTCCTCCTTCCCTAGGACGGGGTTCCAGCTGAGCAGGGCCATATGCCCACCCCTTCTTCCCCACCTTTGCTCCTGCAGTGTCTGTGCCTGAAATGCCCTTCCCACATCTCACCTGATGGGCTTCCTCTCCCAGCACCCCCACCCTAAAGCCCCGCAGCCCTCCCTCTCTATTTTCCCTTGCAGTCGTGATCAAACTTTATATCTCAACAAGATCCCCACGTGTTCTCTCGCCCGCTGAACAGTGAGCTTCTGTAACTGACCAAGTCGGCTTGATTTTTCCCTCTCCCTTTCCTGGCACAGGGCCAGGCATGTAGTTCCTTAGCCGGTATTCACTGCATCAATGAAATGAATGTCGAAGCACACAGAAGGCAGGGAGCTCCTCACGCTGGACCCTGGGTCTCTGACTCCCTGGCTAGTGCTCCTCCCGGAGCCCCAGCTTCTCCTCTGAAAGTCTGACTTTCATTCACATCGGCTCTTTCACGGCTTCCCAGGGCCAGCTAAACCTCCCTTCTCACCCTCTCTCCTTCTCTCCCATCCCCCTCCTAGCATGATCTGGCCACTGCCTGGCCGTGGAAGCCAAGAATGAAGACAGTAAGCCTGGAAGGAAAGCCATGACTGAAACCCTGCCACTGTCATCTCTGCAACCCGTTGGCTCCCAGCATTTATGAACTTACATGTCAATCCTTCCAGTGGGGTAGAGGGGGGATACAAGGACACCTCAGAGCTCTGACTAATCCTTCATCTCTAGGCAAGTGAACCCAGTGCTGGGGAAAGCGCCCTGGATTGGGGGCGTCTAAGTCACACGCTGTGACTGCATGGCCTCGGACAAGTCCCTTGCCCTCCCTGGGCTCACCTGCACAAGAGATCAAAGGATCCCTCCTGCACTAACAGACAAGGCTCATCCATGCCTCCCAGGAGAGCGGCAGGCTGGGACTGTCTCCTGGGGGTGAAGGGGCCTGCCCTGCCGTGCTCTGAGGGCCTGGCCTCTTGGCCCTAGTGCTTGAGCCCCCTCTTCCTGGGCTGAGTGTCTCAGGCTGCCTTGGAGGCTGTTTCTCCTAAACCTCAGCAGTCACAGGGACCTTCCTGGGCCAGAGCAATGCCTGAAGGGAAGATCAGAAGACAGCTCTGGGTTCTCCACCTATTTTGCAAACGGAAATGCCTTTGAGGGGGCCAGCTCTCATTGAAGACATTTACTTTGTTAATATATTTATTTATTTAGAGTAAGTTACATTGTAAAAATAAAAAAAAAGGTTCTGCAAAGAAAGGGAGGCTCCATTCCAGAGAAACAGAGACAAACAAATAGAGACAGAGAGAGGGGAACCCGACTCTGACAATCTGGGCATCTCCAAAGGCATCTCAGCCACTTGCAGGTGTCCTGACTGAACCTTCCAGCCCTGTTCCACTTCCCGCTCCTCCTTCTCCCGAACTCCATGCTCTTTCCACTTTCCGCTCCTCCTCCTTCCCAACTCCATGCTCTGGGACGCAAATTCCAGCCTCCAAGCCTTTGCTCCTACAGCCTCCCTCACCGGGAGTGTCCTTTCAGTCGGCTCAATCTTGTTCCTTGGGGAAGCAGTAGAGGGTGGTGGCTAAAGGTGGGTCTCTGGGCTTGGAAAGGCCTGGGTCCCAGCTGTGCCTCTGCCTCCTGTCTGCCACTGACTGCACCTCTCTGAGCCTCAATTCCCTGTCTGAAGAGATAACAGTAATATCATCCCTTGGCTTTGAGGAGATTTAAATGCTCTAAAATGCTGAGAATGGTGCCTGGTATATATTAAGTGCGTAACTTTAAGATGTTAGCTATTAAATAATTATAAGGTCCATAAATGCTCCACTGACAGCATGCCTCTGCTGACTGCTGAGCCCCCGAGGCTGCTGCCTCCTACCTGCATCCCTCAGCACTGATGCCACACTGGGATGCAAGTGCTGCCATGGCAGGAACCGCCTCTCCAATTCCCAGGCCACACAGTGCCTAACACAGCACTCCATCAGTGTTTGGGAATGAATGAAGGAGTGCTCAGCACGGTTGCTGAGGGGCTCAGTTCATTGCAAGAAACATTGATTGAGCACCTGCAGTGTACCCTGGCTGGGATGCGTTAGCTTCATCTGTGTCCTCTCCTCTAATTAGGCAGGGACCTCCCCTACTTGCCTCCTTGATGCCTCTTTTAGGAATGCCGAAATTGCCCATGATGCAAAGTATCCAGTAGGTGCTCAGCAAATGTTTGTTGCTGGTGAGGCTACAGTTGGAGAGGAGGGACGGGGAGGCTGTGGCATCTCATCAAAGCCACAACCTCTGGGCAGTCCTCATCCACGGCTGATCCCAGATAGTCTTATACTTTTTTGTTTTTGAACCACATGAATGTGTCACTCATTAATCCAGTTGCTATTGCAAGACACGTGACTCTAAAACATAACGGCTTAAAACAACATTTTATTTTGCTCGTGATGTCGCGGTCAGGAATTCAAGAAAGGCAAAGCAGGGTCTCTCTTGCTTGGGGTCACCTACAGTTGTCATCAGAGGCTGGCCAGGGCTGCATTCATCTGAAGGCCTGGCTGAGCTGGATGTTCAAGTTGACTTGTCACACTGCTGGCAGTTGATGCTGGCTGGTGGCTGGAGCACCCACCCGTGGCCTCTCAGCATGGTGGTCTTGGGCCTACTCAGGTGTCTTATGTGGAAGCTGGCTTCTCAAGCAGGAGTGTCCCAAGACACCCAGCCAGAAGCTGCACAGCCTTTTATAAGCTGACCACGGAAGCCACATCATGTCACTTTCATGACACTCTTGGTGGAAGCAGACACAAGCCTGCCCAGATTCATGGGAGGAGGCATAAAGCCCACCTCTTGATGAGTGTCAAAAAATTTGGCCCATGTTTGGATATACCACACTGATTTTTAAAATTGGATTAACTAATTTTTTAAAATGTTAAAGAAACTTTTTATCTCCACACTACATAGAAAATCAGTATCAGTGGCTGGGTGTGGTGGCTCATGCCTGTAATCCCAGCACTTTGGGAGGCCAAGGCAGGTGGATCACTTGAGGCCAGGAGTTTGAGACCAGCCTAGCCAACATGGTTAAACCCCGTCTCTATTAAAAATACAAAAATTAGCCAGGTGTGGTGGCACCAGCCTGTAATCCCAGCTACTCAGGAGGCTGAGGCATGAGAATCGCTTGAACCCGGGAGGCGGAGGTTGCAGTGAGCTGAGATTAAAAGCAAAAAGCACTATTACTTTCCTACTGCTGTGTATGAATTTATCAGCTTACATCAACACAAATGTACTCTCCCACAGTTCCCATAGGGCTGGAGTCCAGGCATGAGTCAGCTGGGCCCTCTGCTAAGGGTCACACTAGGCTGAAATTAAGGTGTCAATGGAGCTATAATCTCACCTGCTCTCGGAGTCCTCTTCCAAGCTCACTGGTGACAGAATTCAGTTCGTCATAGCTGTAGGACTGTGTCTCTATTTCCCTGCTAGCTGTCAGCCAGGGACCATCCCCAGCTCTTAAAAGCCACTCAAAGTTCCCTGCCACGTGGCCCCCTCGTGGGCTGTTCATAACAAGGCTGTTGGTTGTCTCCCAGGCTGGCAGAGCACACCTCCTGACATTTCACCTTTAAAATTTTCCTCTGATGAGGTCAGGCCAGCCAGAATAAACTCCCTTGTGACTGACTCAAAGTGAGGTTCATGGGTTCTGCCCACACTCAAGGGACAGGAATTATACATGCTGTGTACACCAGCAGCAGTGAGGAGGGGGTGCTGACCACAGCCATTATGAGCCCCCAGCTAGACACCATCATCCATTGAAGGCCCTGCCTGGGAGGCTCTGTTTAGGTGGGAGGTTAGCAAGTCCAAGAGTACAAGGACTCTCCAGCTGGAACTTCTGCCCTGATGCTAATCAAAGACATAAGCAAGAATGGAAAAGGGCACTCCACTCTCACCCTGTGGGTCGGTGCCCATCAGCAGCTGCCCCAAAGCACCCCATAGACCAGCTTCAGAAAGCACAAGACCAAATAACCACTAGGCCCTTCCAGCGATAACATTCTGAGACGTTGTCCATCAATGTCAGCTCCATTCTTTTCGGTCACGTGGTCTTAGGCTGGTCGTGGCAAGCCTAGGATGTGACAATGGGCTCTGCAAACTGTAAAGTGCTGTGCCAATATATGGGGTTGTTATCATCAGTCCTGCCTCCTGAGCCAAGCCAAGCTGGACTCAGTGTCTCCTCTGGGTACCCATAAAGGCTGAGCAGAGCAGAGCCCATCAACCTTCATGACACGGAGTAGCTTTCAGTGTTCTTGTAGCTGGGGGTGGCTCAGAAGGGACTGGGCTGTGACATCTCAGAGGCCTGAGAAGAGATGGACTCAGGGAACCTTCATACGAATAACCCTTCGAATCACTCTTCAAGGACACCATTATAGATGGTTCACCAACCAGAATTTGCTATTTTCATGGTTATCTAATATGCTTTAGGAGAAAAACATCTCTAGGGAATCCAAACTATGATTTGACAAATAAGGTTTTTTAGGATGAGGATAAATTTATTTAAGTAGAAAGAATGAATTAATTAATATAGATGTTATAATATATAATATATACTATAACATATATAAATATATTATAATATATAATATTCATGATGTGAATTAACATGAATATAACATAATATATAATATAACATATTATATAATATATGTTATTATCATATATGACAATATAAAATATATAATATATAATATATAGTATATTATATGTTATACGATATGTTATAACACATACCATGTGTTACATAGAGCAACGTATATAACATATATGTTACATAGAGCAACGTATATAACATATATGTTACATAGAGCAACGTATATAACATATATGTTACATAGAGCAACGTATATAACATATATGTTACATAGAGCAACGTATATAACATATATGTTACATAGAGCAACGTATATAACATATATGTTACATAGAGCAACGTATATAACATATATGTTACATAGAGCAACGTATATAACATATATGTTACATAGAGCAACGTATATAACATATATGTTACATAGAGTAACGTATATAACATATATGTTATAATGAGTAACGTATATAACATATATGTTATAATGAGTAACGTATATAACATATATGTTATAATGAGTATATAACATATATGTTATAATGAGTATATAACATATGTTATAATGAGTATATAACATATATGTTATAATATAGTATATTAAATATATTATATTAAATATATAACATATATGTTATATATATTTATATATAATTATAATATATATTATAATACATAACATATATATTAAATATATTATAACATATATTATATTTAATATAATATATATGTTTTCCTTTATATATATGTTCTATTATAATATATAATATAATGTATGTTACTATATTATAACATAACTCATATAATACGTGTATATGCACAATATGAATTTAGGGTAAGAAAAGCCATTAAGTTGTTACTGGAATGATTAAAATTTGGAAAAAACATCTTTGGGAAGACAGTTCACCACAGAGTGGCCCCAGAGCCCAAGGTTGTGGGGTGTGGCTGTTTCTTCCTGAGTCATCAAGCCAACAGGCAGGAGTTTAAAACGGGTCTTTAAGATGGGTCACCGCCCCCAGCCCCAACTCCCCAGCCCAATCCAGGATGCTGGTCTCTAACAATGGTCAGAAGCGCCTGAGGCAGAAAGCACCTCTTTGTAGACCCGGGGCTGCAAGGCAGTGGCTCCCTGTGTTCCGGAACAGCTGACCAGTGTGTAGTCTGCGGCCTTCCTAGTTGGACCAAAGAACGACCTGGCCCAGGCCAGTTGCCCTTGGGTGCCAACTTCCTGCTGAGGGAGAACCCGAGGGCCCCTGGAGGCTTCTGAGTCTGATTTCCGGTGGCCAGGGAGGGTACGTAGCGGGAGAGCTTGTGGCCAAGGTGGAGGGGCCCCGGGTTGGGTGGCTGGAAGACATGGCAACCCAGCACCGGCCAGGGAAAACCCAGGCAGGAAACATGGGCACCCAGCAGGCCTTCACGTCAGCAACAGAGAAACCAGCCTCGGCAAAGAGTAAATACATCCAGCCCTGCCCAGCCCAAGCTTGTCTCCTGGGGGCATGGCTGGCAGTAGCCAGAGCAGAGGGCACAGGAGGGGCGGCTTGGGGGAGCCCAGGCAGATGGTAGTGAGGCCATGGTGTGATGTCTTCCAGGTGCCCAAGGACAAGCCCACAGGCCCTGGCCTGTTCCAGGGACCACAAGTGCTCCAAGCTGGGTCTCTGGAGGCTCTCTATCACTGGGGAGGGCCTGGGATGAGGGACCTGGAGGGAGGAACAAGAGGCAGGATGAAAAAGGAAAGGGAGAGGAATTCACGCGGACTGAGCGTCTCCTGGAGTGTTCATGACTGGAGTGGCTGACACCCGCTGACCACTGACCACGTAGTCTCCCTGCAGCATCTTTTCACCAGATCCTCCCCGAAAGCCCTGGGAAGGAGGTATGGTTATACTGCCATTTACATGGAAACTGAGGCCCAGAGAAATTAAGAAACTTGCTCAACATTACACAGCAAGGAAGTGGTAGAGGACAATGACAGGCTGTCCCCTCTGCCCTCGAGAGCCAAAGTGCATTTCTAGTCAAGAAAACTTCTCCGGCCAGGCACGGTGGCTCATGCCTGTAATCCCAGCACTTTGGGAGGCCAAGGTGGGTGGATCACTTGAGGTCAAGAGTTCAAGACCAGCTGGCCAACATGGCGAAAACCCCACTCTACTAAAAATACAAAAATTAGCTGGGCGTGGTGGCACGCACCTGTAGTACCAGCTACTCCGGAGGCTGAGGCAGGAGAATCACTTGAACCTGGGAGGCGGAGGTTGCAGTGAGCCGAGATCATGTCACTGCACTCCAGCCTCCAGCCTGGGCGACAGAGTGAGACTCCATCTCAAAAAAAAAAAAAAAAATACCAACATGTCCTTCATATGAATATAATTTCCCATATGCTCACGCCTGCATACTGTGTTGTAATCAGCTTTGGCCCTCAGTGTACAGCAAACCTCTTGCCACATTATTGATTTTGATCCTGATGTTTCTCAAGGATGCAAGACCAGGCCTCCTTCGGGTCTCTGCACCAACACCGAGCCAGGTATCATGCAGTGGGGGTGACAGGCAGGGAAGACAGTGTGTCCAGGACTCTCAGAGGGTGCAGCCTGGCCCCTGGCAAGGGCTCACAGGTTCACTTTCTTCAGTGGACATTTGCTCTTCTATTCTCCACACCAGGCCCTGGGCTGGGCATTGGGGCACAGACATGCACCCGCCACAGCCCCTGCCCTCAGGGAGCTTTCAGTCTAGTTGGGGCATGAACAGGGAATCACAGAATTCCTGGAGAATAAATTAAACAACCTGGGAAGAAGACTCTTAACCCTCAAAACACCTGGTAGCTAAGTAGGAACCCATGATGGGCCAGAGATTGGCTGAGCGGGACAGACAGTGTTGTGGTGGGAAGTCAGAGGAGGGAGAGGTCTCTGTGGAAGGGCTGGTCGGAGACAGTTCCCTGGAGGTGCTTGGTCTGTGAGCCTTAGGAAGGTTGGCCAGGCTTAGAAGAGGGGAAAGGAGTGGCCACCAGGAGAAAGGCCTGTAGGAGGAGGAAGCCTAGTGAGCATCCGTGTCACGGGAATAATCGCCACTGGGCTTGCTCAGGGCTGACCTGGGCCTGGCATGGTGCTGAGCCGTCAGCACACAGACTCTCACGCAGCCTGTGACAGTGCTGTGGGGAAGGTAACGATGGTCTCATTTTACAGAGGAAGAAGCTAGCGTGACCAACGATCCTTGTTGCCCTGGACTGTCCCAGTTTTAGTACTGAAGGTCCCATGTCCCAGGAAACCCTTCAGTCCCAGGCTAACTGGGACAACTGGTCAGCGTAGAACAGTTTCTGAGCTTCACCACTACTGACGTTTAGGACCAGACAATTTTTTGTTGTAGGAGGTTGCCCTGGGCACTGTTGGATGTTAGCAGCATTCCTGGCTACTACCCACCAGGTGCCATTGCACGCCCCGAGTTGTGACAACCGAAAATGTCTCCAGACATTGACAAATGTTCCCCTAAGAGACAAAATCACCTAGGGTTGAGAACCATTGCCCTGAAGGAAGCTGAGGCTGAGAGATGAAGACACTTGCCCAAGGCCACACAGATGTAAATATCAAGGCTGGGACTGCTGGACTTCCCACGGAGCCAGGTGGCTGCTCCCGGCGTGGGCAGTCAGGGCATCCAGACAGCAACCCTCGCTCTGCCTCCGATGCACCATGTATCCTAGGCAAGCCATGCTCCGACTCTAGGCCCCAATTTCTTCATCTCTACAGCGTGAGCTTAGATTTGACAAACTCTGAGGCCCCTTGTGTTTCACTGTTCTGCCTTCCCAGGGACTAGGGCAGGGTCAGCCCAGCTGGTATGGGTGGGGAGGTAGGGTGTGGCACAGACCAGAGGCAGGGAAGTTAGAGGGCTGGGCAGGGGGAAGGGAGGGTGCTGGGCTGCAAGTGCCACCATCACGTCTGCCCACAGGGCACACCTTGTCTGAGCACAGGCAGGTTCTGAGCTGCCCACAGTGGGTCCCTTCAAAGGAGCAACAGAAAGGGGCTGAGCAGAGGGAATAAGAATACAGGGGATGGCGTGGCGACACCGCCCTCCAGGAAGCCTCAGCCTGTCTCTGTGGCCATCCCCATCTCTCCTTCCTTTGACCCTTGTCTGCAGGTCTTTGCACTTAATGAATGCTCAAGAAATAGTTTTTTGAGGCCGGGCGCGGTGGCTCACGCCTGTAATCCCAGCACTGTGGAAGGCTGAGGCGGGTGGATCATGAGGTCAGGAGATCGAGACCATCCTGGCTAACAAGGTGAAACCCCGTCTCTACTAAAAATACAAAAAATTAGCCGGGCGCAGTGGCGGGCGCCTGTAGTCCCAGCTACTCGGGAGGCTGAGGCAGGAGAATGGCGTGAACCTGGGAAGCGGAGCTTGCAGTGAGCCGAGATTGCGCCACTGCAGTCCGCAGTCCGGCCTGGGCGACAGAGCGAGACTCCGTCTCAAAAAAAAAAAAAAAAAAAAAAAAAAGAAATAGTTTTTTGAATAAATGAATGAATGAATGAATGTCCACCCAGATCCCGCCACAGCTGTGCAGAAACCAAGCTCTCAGACACTCTTGACTCTCCCAGGCCTGTAGTTGAACCATCACCCCCACCTCTGCTCCTGCCTCCCCACAGCCCTTCCTCCTCTCAAGCCCCTGCTGGGCCTGGCACATCGGCCATGCCAGGGCTGCCGTAGGGGAGGGGATATTCCCCCTAATGCAGGGTCAGTATCTCTAGTATCTCTCCCCTCGGCAGAGAGCAGCTGGCACCTAAGCTGGGGGATGCCTGGCAAGGCCTGCCTGGCTCCTGTGGGGAGACTCGGAGCCCCCAAGCTCCCTCCTCTCCCGCCCCCCACACTGTGGTTTGCTCACAGAGGAAGCAGCAGCTGGGCCCGAACACAAGGCCTAGAGACGTGCTTGCTGGGGCCGTGTGGAAAGTTACAGCCGCCACCACTGAGGTCTTTGAAGACCAAACTGTTTGTGTTCCCCACAGCTATTTGTGGCCACCGCGCCCACCCCCTACCTCCCGCTCTGACTTAGAGCTGGAGACTGAGCAGAGTTCAGAGGGCTGCGGCCATCCCTCCGCCAACCCGGAACCCAGCCAGGCCATAACCCAGCCCACCAAGCCGGCCTACCCCAACAGACAAGCCAACCAACCCAATCTGTCTAAGCCAGTCCAGTTCTAGAAACCCAAGTGACCTATCTCATCCCACTAGCTCTACCCAACTAACCCTGCCCAAGCCAACCCAAATCAGTCACCCAAGCAACAAACCCAACCCAAGGAATGGGCTCAACCCATCTAACCAAACCTAACCGCCCACCCCAACCCAAGGAGCCCTGCCCCACTACCTATCCAGCCTAATCAACTGATTAGCCCAACTCAACTGAACCAGCCCAATTGGCCAATCCAACTCAACTCAGCAGCCTAACACAACTAACTTGCTGAATGCAACTAACCAGACAACTCCAGTTAAACCAGCCCAAACCAACCCAACTGAACTAACCCAAACAAAGCCAACCCCAAAACCCAGTTCAACTAGGCCAAACCAACTCAATTTACCCAGCTCAAACCAACCTGGCTCTCTCAGTCCAAATAACCCAACCCAATTCAACCACACAGGTCATTTCACCTAACCAGGACAACCCAACTAATCCAGCCCCACTCTACTAACAAGCCCAATCTAACTAGCTCAGTTTAATCCAGTTGAACCCAGATAACTCTGCCTAACCATCCTGGGTGGTTGGGCCTAACTCAACTTAAATCCACCACATTTAAGATAAATCCTCCTAATCCAGCTCACTCCTTTTAACCCAACCCAGTCCCAAACAAACTACCCCCGCTCTCCCTACAAAGGGCACCCCAGCAGGTTCCAACACCCATACTATTGTTGTGCTGCTACCTTTCTTTATTAAAGAGCCCCTGGGGAAAGATGGGGACAACTCTGCCCCTGCCCTCAGGGACCCCACAGTCTCTCAGAGTTTGGGAGAGGACGCCAGCCTCCATGGAGCAAACCCTCCCTTGTGGGGGTCACCTGGAATCTGAGCCAGGCCTGCAGCGGGAGTGGCTGTAGCCAGTGCTGTGGGAGCTCTAAAGGGGGCACACCTGGTCCCATGGCTGACATGACACGTGTGCGGGTCTTGAAGCATTATTTTGACCAAGGGAAAAGGATGGGAAAGCACTGTAGGCAGAGGGAAGGACAGGTACTGGGCCTGCAGGTGGGGAAGCCCTGGGCCCACTTGACAACAGGAACAGTGTGCTGGGGCTGGAAGCTGGAGGCCCAGGAAGGACCACTAGGAGGAGGCTGGGGGGCCTCGAATGTTACCTGAAGGACTGGATCTCCGTGTCTTGGGCACCGGGGAACCAGGAATTTTGCTGAGCAGGGCAGGAGCTGATCAGACATGTGCTTTTGATGGCTCATCTTAAAGGAGAGAGTGGAACAGGGGAGAGAAGGGCCAGCCTGGGCCAGGAGGCCAGGCAGCAGGTGAGACACAGGAGGAGGGCCAAGAAGGGAGGAGCAGCATGGAGGGGGGAAGATGGGGGGAGCAGAGAGACAGAGAGGAGGGAATGTGAGAATATCAGCCTGGAAGGGCCTTTCTACCCTTCCTAGCTCAGGGTGCCCCTTTGCAGATGGAGACACTGAGGGCCAAAGATCAGGGTATGCCCAGAGCTTAGGACCCAGCGCAGAACTCCAGCCCAGTGTTCCTTCCTGAAGCAAATACTGGAGCCCAGCTCCAGGGGCCATTGTACGGCCCCTGTCTGTGGGCCCAGCAAATGAGGTCTCCTCCTGGTGGACAGCCCTGCCCCCACAGAGAAGGCCAAAGATGCAGGGCCCCTTTCCTGGCCCCGTGGGGAGCTGCAGCCTCCTTGGGAGACAGGCAGGCCCTGGGGATGTGTGTGGGATGGGGTGGGCATATCATGAGGTCTTTGGAAAAGAGCTTTGCCAGGAGAGGGTAGATGTGTGTGGGAAGGGGCAGTAATTGACACTGGGATGTCAGGGGCTAGGGTGTGAAATGGGCCCCCCAAGAGCCATGCCTACCCCATGAGCCATCACTTGGGGGATGGGGGCGCAACATGCCCAGACAGGAGGAAATATTGTCACCATCACCCTTCAGGGCAGAGCTGGACTGTCCTTACTGACCATTGGTCTGACCTCATCCTTTGACACCTGGGGACAGAGACTTTCCCTAGTCTACCCAGCAGATCAATGTCCGAGGAGGGGCTAGAACCAGATTGATGACCCAGCCCAGGGATGTCAGGCCTGTACCACCAGGCCATGCATCAGGTTCAGAGTCCAGGGCTGGAGGGGGACAGCCATGAGCTGAAGCACGGAGCATCTCGGTGCGCCCTGAGCCGGGAAGGGGCCCCTGGCCCGGGCCTCTTCCCAGCATGCTCTGCAGCCCCACCTTGCCAGCTGACTCTCAAAGGAAGCCCAGTCTGATCTGCCCTGGCCTGTGTTTCTAAAACTCAAGGGGAACTATTTCCTGGCTCCAAACCCTCTGCCCCCATCTGCTGGGCTGGGTCTCATTGATTTCAGATTGGGAAGAAAACAACTGCTTTCCCTGTGCTGACAGTGCAGATCAATAGAAACAGCTCTGCCCCTTGCCAGACAGCCTTGTGTGGCTGGTGGGCAGTGGATCTATACCAACCCAGGACCTCTAGATCCTGCCCACCCAGACTGCCTGCTTACCCCATTAGAGGAGCGAGGCCAGGAGATAGGCAGCCTGCTGGTTCTAAGTGCGAGTCGCCAGAGGAGGGGTCACAGTTTGGAGGGGGGAGGAATGGACACCTTGGGGTCAGGGGTGGGGGGCGGAGGGTTGCTAAGAGCCCACGCACTCCCAGAAGGTGCAAAAAGCTTGGAGCACCAGAACCCATCTCTCCATAACTGGGAAAACTGAGGCTCAGAGAGGACCATTGACCTGCCCAGGGTCTCATGTGAGTGAGCTCAGAGCTGGGATTCCCATTGTGCTTCCTTAAGACCAGAGCCAACCAGGAAGCTGGGGAGTGGGGCCAAGGCCAGCACCCTTACCACCCTTGCTCAGTGAGGACACCCCATCCCTGCTAGGAGGGGTGGGATGGTCAGCAGTTCAAGAGCATAGACAGTGAAGCAGACGGCTGGGTTCCAATTGCAGCACTTACTGGCCCTGTGAACTTTTGGTGCCTCCGTTTTCCTGCCTGTGAGATGGGAGTAAGCATTTATCTCAGATGTGATCAGAGAGACGCAGTGAGGCTTCCATGTTGGGGCCATGATGACTCCCCAGCATCCACGCTTAACAACGGTCTGTTGAGTAAATGGAAGGGCTTCCTCAAGTTCACGGTGAGTCAGTGGCAGAACCAGGAGCTGGAATCAGGCTTCTTGACTCCTGTTTCCTCATCTATATCATGGGGAGAGCAATGCTGCGAAGGGTCCACAGTCATGCACAAGCTCATCTGCAACAGCACCCAGCATGCGACCCACGCTCAAGGAAGGCCAGGCTCCCCTCGGTCCAGCTTGGGTCATATGTCCCTTCACAAACCAATCAACCAATCACCTTGACCAAGGGGTGGGAAGCCGCAGTGTCCCATCTGGGTTAGGTGCCACCCGGAGATGGGGCTGCAGCAGGTCCCAGAGCCCCAGGGACTTGACCTCCAGGCCCTGATGCCCACAGAGGGACAAAGCCCTGTGCATCCCCCACCTGTGGAATTCGAGCCTGGGACAAGAAAGTACATAATCCCTGCCATGGTTTCTAAGCACTGCCTAGGGATGCCCACGCCCAGATGCTCACTATCAAGCGGGGACTGTTCTAGCCCATGTCACCGGTGAGAACACCAGGGCAGCATAGGAGGTTAAAACGCCTTAATCATGATGTCTTGGAGCAAAATGTATGGCAAGTGTCCCCATCAGAGGCCTCCTTGAATTTAACTGAGAATTATTACATGTTCTCCTGCTGAATGGCTATTAGAATCGTTTGAATAACTGATAATAATAATAGCTGACATTGATTAAGCACTTACTATGTGCTAGGCATTGTCCTAAGCACGTTTCATCTATTAACTCATTTAATTCGTGCAATACTCCTATGTGGTAGGTCCTATTATAAACTCTGTCTTATAGATTAGGAAACTAAGGCACAAATAGGTTAACTCATCTAAGACCCCACAGCTAATGATTGGAAGTTTCCATCAAGAGAAATTCAATTCATCACGGTTTTGCCATATAATGGGAGAAGACCTCAGTTAGCATTTATAGGGAACGCTTCCCTTTCTTCTGCCTCTCCACCCGCTCCCTGCTGGTCTAAGGTTATCTCAATACTGCCTACTTACCAGGCGTTCTGCTAGGTGTGTTATCTACATGTAGTCCCCCTGGCAAGACCCCCAAGTCGGCTTCATCATCCCCATTTCACAGATGAGGAAACTGAGGCTCACAGAGGCACAGTGACTTGCCCCAGCTAATACCCACAGCAGGAGGAGGTGGAGCAGGGCCTGGACTTAGGGGCTGGGAGGGGGGTGGGGGACCTCTGGCCCTGCGGTGAGGACCTGGATAAATGGGGCGCGACTGTGGTGTGTGGTAGAACATTCTGTGCCCGTCCCAGCTCTCTCCCCAGCACACGTCTGGAAAACTCATCCCCAGGGAGGGCAGGAGTGGCCTGGGCATCCCGGAGGGCTGCACTGCCGGAGACTGGATTCCAGGTGACCTTGGCATCGGCTCCTTTAGGACCACAGCCTGACCCTTGTTTTGCTCAGAAAGCCCACACACCATTTCACACAGGAAATTCAACCTGGCCTTCTCACGTCCTGTTCTCAAGAAGAGAGGAAAAAAACCTGTAAATTCAGTCTCTGTGTTGTTTTTTAAACAGACTTTGAAATGTTTCCTGAGAGGGAGGAAGAGTTCACGAAAAGAAACGATAGAGAAACCTGCAGATAGAAATGGGAGGGAAAACACAGCACGAGGATGAAGAACCAGAAGAAGGAGAGACCTAGCAGAGAGGGCATCTAAGATGGAGACCTGGTGCAGGGAAGCTTCGGAAGTAGCCGAGAAGTTGCTGCAGAGGCAGAGGGACGGGGAGCCAGCAAGATACAGAGCAGCACAGGAACGCTTGAGGCTGGTGGAGGTCCCCACCCCACCTCCATCCCCGGCACCTCCCTCTGTCCAGCAGCAGCAACATCGCAGCAACATCATCCAGTCCTTCCACCCCCCACCTCTTCCAGGACGGTGGGAAGAAGCCTCGCTATGGGGTCAGACAGACTATCAGTGGCGTGCTGGACATGGCTGGCCTGGGCTGCTACCAGCTTGTACGAGGCAATTGTGAAATATTTGGGAATTTTACAGGCCCGTGTTGGTAGCTTGAAAATGGCCTTGGTGGGGAGTATTTACACCACAGGAATTGGCAAACACTACAAATTGGGGCTTTTGTTTTGTTTTGTTTTGTTTTTGAGAGCCAGTTTACCACTAGCATACCATTCATTGCCTAGGGCCTGGGGTACAATTCCAGCCATGTCTCTGAACAGCTGTGTGACCTTGATCTTGTCATTCCACCTCTTTGAGCCTCAGTTTCTTCACCTGTGCAATTAGAAGACCAATACTCATCTCACAGGGCTTTAGCGAAAATAAATTCCGAGTGTGTACGGAGCATCCACACACAGCAGGCACTCAACCACTGTCCCCTTCTTCTCTGGAGAACTCACAAGCCTGTCCTCTTCCACCCTTCTCACTTCCTTTTTATGCCTGAGGTTCTCCTGCTCGAGAATAATGGAGCTGAGCCTTGCACTATTTCAGTAGGAAAATGCTGATCATCCTGAGAGCGGAGGACACTGGTATGTTTACAAGGCCTTTAGTCTTCTTAAGTCAGCAGCCGTTAAGCCCTTGTAGGCACAGCATGCCAGGGAGGGCACAGGAGGGGAGGAGGAGGCAGGAGCAAAAGAGACGACTAAGACATGTTTCCTGGAATCACAGGACAGGGAGATGAGGTGGCACATCCAGAAATGACTGGTGCTGAGAAATAAATCACAGCGGACTTTGAAAATGGGATTCAGGGGATGCTCCCAAGGAAGGTAACATTCGAACTGGATTGTCCTCCCTGCCCTTCTCTCCCCTCCCTCCGTCTCTCACCTCTCTCTTTCATCATTCAATTATAATGTATTCATTCATCATTCATTCATTCAGCCAATATTTCCTGCTCACCTGCCCAAACTAAGAGATGAGGACACAGAACATGTGTTTCCCCTGCCCTCTAGGAGCTCACGGTGAGAGGAGACACAGGCCCGCAAGCAGCCAATTCCAGTGCAGGGCTGCCCCCTTTGCAGGCTGGCAGGATTGCAATACATGGAGATGCTAAAGAGGGCATTCCAGGGAGAGGAGATGGCATGAGCAAGGGCCCAGGGGTTGGACTGGGCAGGGCATATTCAGAAGGAGTGAGGAGGCTGAGTGGCTGGAGGGGAGGGTGGGATCCAGAGCCCAAGCTGGAAAAGGGAAGTCAGATCCCTGAATGCCTGGGGCAGGACATTGTTACCTCACCCAGCAGGGTGACTTCCATGGACTGGCAGAAGAGAGAGAGGACATAGAGGAGGAGGAACCTGAAGTCCGTGCTCCCTGACACCACAGTTGTCTTCAGGCAGCCGCTTGTCTATATACCCACCCTATTCTGCAGAGCTGGGTAGCTGCCACCCTCCGCAATGGCTGTCTGTGGTTTGGACACCCCCAGCTCCCTCTCTTCCCTCCTTCAAAAACAACATCTGGATTTTCTTGTGAGGAGCCGCCCCTCCCCGTGTTCCCTCCTTGTGGTGTGGGAGAGAGCTGACCCCGCCTCAAGTTCCAGGGGAGGGCTCATGACCCAGGCTACCCAGTGACAGTCAATCCTGGGGCCATGACTGCATTGTCAGCCAAGAGGTGTTCTCTTTCACAGAGGGTGGAAGCTGATGGGATGAAAGCCAAGTTGATGGTGACCCTTTATGACAAAGGGTCAGAAAAGCCTACGCGAGAAGCAGCTAAAGCAGAGAAAATCAGACTGGAATGAGGGGCAGAGGGAGTTTCTGATGGTATCATTTGAGCTCCCGGATCCATCTGTGCCTGAAGCAGGCCCTATTCCTGGAATTTTCAGTTCTATGAACCAGTATAATATTCCTATTGCCTGTTTATTTTGCTTTGTTTTGTAAGAGCCAGCTTGACAGTCTCTTCGTCTGTCACTTGCCACTTATCCTGACACAGCGGCTCCCCTAGTCCTTGCTAATGTCCGGCATCTCTTTCAGACTCAGCCCTGGGCTCACTGCGTGGACCTGAAGAAGCCGCTTAACCTCTGTGAGGCTCTGTTTCTCAGCTGTAAAGTGGGTGTGACCATCCCCGCCAACCCCGTAGGATCACCAACTAGCGGATGCGACCGTGCTGGTGAGGGGGTTAGTCGGGCAACTCCACAGAGCTGGGACTTGAAATGGAGCCTGTGTTTAAGTGGTTTCGATCATTGACCCCTCCCTCCGCTGTGTCTGTAGCCCACCTCCCCTCCTTTGACCTCCAGGCTCATCTCCAACCGTGCCCTGTGTCTCCACTTGCACCTCAAACACCTCATGCCCAAAAGAAAATTCTTGACTGTTCTCCCCCGAGCCTGCCTCCCACAGTCTTCCCTCCTCAGGTAGTGGGCACTTCATCCTTCCCCGTGCTCAAACTGAAACCTCCCTACAGCCTTGCCACCCACCAGCCTCTGCCCCGGTCCCCGCAGTCAGGAAGTCCTGCTGCTTCCACCTTCAAGGTACAACTCCCATTTCTCCCCACCTCCAGTGCTTCCTCCCTGGCCAGCCCCCATCACCTCCAGCTCGTGTTACTGGGGGAGCCTCCTAGGATCTCCCTGCTTCCACACATGTTCCCTACAGTCTAGTCTCAACAGTAGCCAGGTGGTCCACCTGGATCACCTGATCAGGAGTCTGATGAGGTCACCCCTCTGCTAAAAACCCTCCAATGGCTCCCACTACCATGGGAAAAAAAAAGAAAAAAAGCCAGGCTGGGCACAGTTGCTCATGCCTGTAATCCAAGCACTTTGGGATGCTGAGGCAGGCGGATCACTTGAGCCCAAAAGTTCGAGACCAGCCTGGGCAACACAGTGAAACCCCATCTCTACTAAAAAAAAAAAAAAAAAAAAAATTAGCCAGGCATGGTGGCTCATGCCGGTAGTCCCAGTTACTCGGAGGCTGAGGCAGGAGGATGCCCTGAGCCTTGGAAGTCGAGGCTGCAGCGAGCTGACATCCTGCCACTGCACTCCAGCCTGGGCAATGGGAGTGAGACCGTGTTTGGAAAGAAAAGGAAAAAACAAGAAGAACTCCTCACAATGGGCTTCATTCAGGCCCTGCACACCCTGGCCTCTGTTTCTCTCCAACTCCTCTCCTCCCACCCTTCCCCTCTGCTGCCTCCTTGCTATTCCCAGAACTTGCCAAGCCTGTTCCCACCTCAGGGCCTTTGCACGTGCTCTTCCTCTGCCTGGAATGTCCTTCCTCCAGATGACAGCAGAGTCCATGCACTCATTTCATTCAGGCCTCTGCTCAAGGGTCCCTTCATCCAAGAGACCTTTCCTGACACCTCTGTGCCTTTCAATCCTCTTATCCTGAATATTGTTTCCTTTTTAATGCTCTCTGCCATCTGACATATTCCATTTTTGTTTGCTTCTTGTGGTTTATTATCTTTCTCTGACTCCCCCACCAGTGTTGCTCTGTGAAGGCAGGGTCTTTTTGGCACCAAGCCTACAGGTGCCCGAAGTGGCTACATAGCAGGGCTGGCTAAGGTGCCACAGGCTGGTCTCATTCATTCATTCCACAAACATTCACTGAGCATATGGACTGAGTGTTGTTCTAGGTTGCAGAGGACACAACAGTGAACAAGGCAGACAAAGACCCTGGCCGCCAGGAGGCTTTCATTTGAGTGTAACAAGATAGGATGTCAGAGGGACACCAGGACAAGTGCTGGACTTGCGTCCAAAGCACAGCAGGAAGAGGCTGGGCTGAGCTGTGGTGTGTGGGGCAGGAGTCAGCACTTAGAGGGGCATCGACTGGGTGACACGGCTGCGAAAATTGACTTTGGGATTCTCGACTGCATTACTAAAAGAAGGGCACCCAGAAAAAGGAGGTAAGCATTCCCTTTAGCTCACACACCTGCACCCAGTGCCCAGCAATAGGGAAATAGAGAAATTTTGGCTCAGGAGTAGACTTCTGTGTGTGTGTCTGCCGTCCATTTTCACTTCTTCTGTGAACAGCACCTTTATTCTCCTTTGGGGAACTCCCCCAGCAAACACACACATACTTTCAATGCATGTGATTCGGGTAGAATGATACTCCACCCAAGCTTGAGCTCCACCATCTCTTGAGCTCACTCCGCAGCTCAAGAGATGAGCACATGACCCAGGCCTGGCCAATCAGCACTGGATCCTATATCTAATCATCGGTTTAAGTGAGAGCACATGACCCAAGCCCAGCCAATGATAATCAGTCCTGAGACTTTGCCTAGAAGGATAGAGAGGGGAAGCTCTTTCCCTTGGAATTGTTAAACTGATAAAATACAAAGCTTTAGTTGCTGAGGGCCACTAAGGGGAGAGGCCTGCCTGAAAGTGAGGCTAAGACAGAGTAGAGCACTGTGGAGAGCTGAGAGGGAGAATAAGAGGATCTGAGTCCTAATCGTGTTGTTTGAGCTTCTGGATGCAGCCATGCCTGAAGTCATCTGCCCCTGAAATTTTCAGTTGTATGAGCCAATGATTAAGCCAGTTTGCAGGGAATTTCCATAATACAGAACTACAGGAATCCTGATCATTATAATTCAGTTGTGGGTATCCCACTTTGGGAAGCTTTGATCTACTGGACCATTAGCAGAAGAAGGGTTTCAGGGTAGCAGGATGTTCTCAAAATCATGGCATTTGAGGAACAGTTGAGGGCAGGGTACCTGATGGCAAAGAACATGGGCTTTGGAGTCAGAGCTGGCCTCCTGCTCAGCCTTGTATTAGTCGGGTGATCTTAAGCAGGTCGCTTCGTGTCGCTGATGCTCCGTCTCCTCCTCTGTAAAACAGGCACAGTAACAGTGCCTGCCTCAGGCAGGAGGACATGAGATAACATGAGCGATGTCCTCAGTCCGGCGTCTGGAGAGCACCTGATGGGAGAGCTGACTTAGAGGCCTGGATAGTGTGGATGAGGGATTAGCCTAGTACTGGGGCTGAGGCAGGCAGGAAGCGGCGAGGGAGCGGGGATGGGTAGAGGGCAGAACTGGGACTGATGAGTAGAGATACAGAGGCTGACTTCAGCTGGACATAAAGGAGAACTTTCTCCCAGTCCAAGCTAGCCCAAAATGGCATGGACTGCCATGACAGGTAATGAGCTCCCCATCACCAGAATATGTGGCCACTTCAGAATGCTGTAGAGAAAGTTCAAGCATTAAGCCACGGCAGGAACTAAAGGAGCCCTGAGGTCCATGGAGCCTGGGGGTTGGTGGGGAGGGGGAGTCATAAGCGAGTTCCCTGAATGTTTCAGTTTTAGCGAACTCCCTGGGGGGATATTTAAAGCTTGATTCCCCCCAACCCCATTCCACCAACCCCAGGGCTCCACTATATTCGAGTGATTTTTTTCCTTCAGATTTGCAGTTCCCCTGTCAGGCTGGTCCAAGTCCAGGGATCTACTTCAAGGCAAACATGTAGGAATCATTGTCAGACCACAGAATGGAGGGCTACCTGGCCCCCTAGCCCGCCAGAGCCACAGCAATTGGCTCAGGAATCAATGGTCATGTGAACTGAGCCAAGCCAATGAGTGTCAGCCCCGGAACTTTTGCTGGAATTATTGAAAAACAGGCCCTCCCTTTATCTGGTTTGCTAAGCTTCAGCAGTAAGTTAGAGCTGCTGGCTGCCTTCTTTGCAGTTTGTAAGAAGAGCCTTCTCAAGAATGAAGCCAGCACAGAGGAAAGCAGAACAAAAGGGGTGGAGGGGAGCCAGGGTCGGGGAGGGATTTATTTTAAGGAATTGGCTCATGCAATTGTGGAGGCTGACAAGTCCAAAATCTGCAGGGTAGGCTGACAGGCTGGAGACCCAGGGAAAAGCTGATGTTGCAGCTTGAGTCTGAAGACAGATTGCAGGCAGAAATCCCTCTTCCTTGGGGAAGTCAGTCCTTTTTCTCTGAAGATGGTCACCTGATAGGATGAGGCCCACCCACATTATGGAGGGTCACCTGCTTTACTCAAAATTGACTGATTTAAATGTTAATCTTATCTAAAGAGTACCTTCCTAGCAGTGTTTAGACTAGTGCTTGATGATATATTGGGGCACTCTGGCCTAGGCAAGTTGACACATAAAATTACCATCAGAGCTGGGTTTTGTAACTTGCAATAACCAAATCGGTCCTGATACAGTCGGTTGCCTGGAGGCAGGGGGCGTGGACCAGGTCACCTTCCCACCTTCTCTGACTCAGGGAGTCCACCTGAAACAGAGGCGTTGGGGTATCTTGGAAAGAGCACTGGAATCAAGGGTCAGACCAGAGCATACATTTCTTTTGTTATAAGAAAAGAAATAATAAAGAGTGGTTGAAATCAAAGTAAGCATGGAAACAGCAGGTCACCCTTCTCTTTCTTCTAAGACCCAGTTACATAGAAGTGCTACAAGGTGTTCCAGCTGGACAGACAAAGCAGGTAGTAGAAACAGCCAGAATCTGAACCCAGAAAGGCCTCGGCATAGGCCCAACTCGGACACTTCTTGGCAATGTGACTAGGGGGTGTCCCCTGGCATCTCTGAGCCTGTTTCCTGACATATGAATGGAGGCAGTGATACTGACATCACCACATCATTATGGAAATTTAAGGAGGCCCAACCCAGTATGTGAAGTTTTTAGGGAGGCCTGCCTGGAGTAGGTTCCTAATATATGTGAGTTTAAGCTGAACAGGGTAAAAAATTCAACAAAAGCATTTATGGGTGCCCATGCCGCATACCACACAGTGCTGGGCACTAAAGGGCAAACAGATTCCTAGATGCTGACATCTTGACTACAAAGAATAGATGATGAGCCTGGCAGCTGGGGACTTCCTGGAGGAGGCATATGCAAGCTGGGTCATGAAGGATGAGCAGGATTTAGACAATGGCAGAAGAAGGGAGGGAATTCTGAGAGGAGAGAGCCCTGTGGGCAATGACCTGGAGGCTGAAAGGCACAGAGCATATTCCATCCTGGCCAGTATAAGGTGCATGGGGAGAAGCAGGAAGAGGGTTACCTAGAAGGACCCCAACACCAGGCTGAGGAGTATAGTGGTGACGCTGTGGTCCTAGGGAGCCATGGGAGATTGTAGACCAGGAGAGGACCAGGTATTTTGCATTTCCTGGGATTTTAATGGGGCTGAGGATTCCACCCCAGCCCAGGCTCCATGGTGAGTGGTCTCTGCCTACATCCTCCCCAGGCTTCCTGGAGGCCCAGACAAGCAGTGAGAACCACGGAGGGAGGCAGACAGCAGCCAGCTCGTCTGACACTTTGACCACATACAAGAAAAGAAGCTTATCTGATGTGCCTTAATGTGCAGAGTCTGCAGAGCCATGAGGGAAGTGTCTTGATTTCTCTCTTTCTCTGGCTGCTTTGCCTTGGAAATGCTACTGTAGCTCTGGTGAGGGTTGGGAGCAAGTACTCTGCTGTCATTATTGGGTCACATGGTGTGGTGGGACCCCAGAATAACATGGGGGGATCGGGCTCCTAATGCAATTGCAGGAGCAGGCTCTGCACCGCTGGGAGGATCTCTCCCTGTCCTCTGCTTCCCACTGCCTGGAATCCACCAGGACAGCTGCCTCCCCTGGCCCAGGGCCTGCTTTGGTCCTCACTAGGATGCAAGTGTGGGCCTGGGCAGGGGGCTCTGCCATCCAGGAGGACTCACAGGGAAGGCATTTCCATTGTTTTCTGGAAATGGATAGAAAAGCATAGGGATTCTGGGGGGTGGGAACAGGAGGCAACAAGCAGGGAAAGGGACAGACTGGGGGCCCTGGGACTTCTGAAGCCAAACCCTGTCCCTTTTGGCCCAGAGTTCCCCTGCTCATCACTGGAGCTTCCTGTACCTTGACATCCTCTCTCCTCATCACACCAAACCTTGCCACAGAGCACCTTGGGTCCCCAGGCCATGGTCACCAGTGTGCTGAAGATTCAAGGTCTTCTGGGAGTTTCTTTTCACATCCCACTTGCCTGAACCTGGCTGTCTCGAAAGACACCACCTCCATGCAGCCCTCCAGGAGAGGTTGCTCTCCATCAACTCCCCACTGTCAAGGGCTTCCAGACGTTGCCCCAGACAGTTCTCCCTCTCATCTCCCACTGAGCCCTCTGTTCCTCAGGGCCATCCCCTTCCTATCCCTACTCTCCAGGCCCCTGACCACACCCCCTTAGCCCTTCCAGCCCTGGGCTCCTGGGGGGTCATGTTCCTCTTTGCCCCCAGGCTGAAAGAAAGAACGAATCTGTGAATGGATGAGTGAATAAGCGCATGTTGTCTGCCTTCTGCCGGCCTCTCCTGCGAGACCCACTCACCACCTGAAATTGCCCCTGATAACTCGCCAGCGGATCCTGGTCACCGCACCCTATTTATGACCCCTTCCTTACAGGCCTCCTTGGACTCCCCTCATCCCTGAACCCACCCAGTCACCTTCTATGCTCACCCCGCCCCACCCTCAAAGCCTGACACATCCCAGCTTCCTGCCCTCTGACCTATCTCCTTAGGCACAACATTTCCATGGCCACGTCTGGACAACTGATGGATGCCCAAACTCCTGTCTTCTCTCGTGGGCTCCAGAGCTGTAGGAGAGACCTCCTCAGACATGGCAGGGCCAGTGTGAACCCCTCACACTCTGACCTAACAGGGTCCACCCCCATGTTCCTAAAGGCTCCACCCTCATCCCACCACACCTCAACAGGCCCTGCTGTGCTCCTCACCACCGTCCAGTCTCCAGGCCACAAATCTGGGCCAGCCTTGACTCATTTGACTCAGCTTTCTAAACACTTCTTAAATCCATCTCTCCCCTTTCCACAAAGCCACTGTCCCGTGTCAGGCCTCAGCCCCAGTCCTGGACATCACAGAAGCCTGGACATCTCCTGCCACCAATCCTCTCTCCCCACCACTCCCCGTCCAGTGCCACCCTGCAGTCACCCAGGTGACTTTTCGGAAATGCAAATTGGAGCCTGCCTCTCCCCTGCTCAATACCCTCCCGTGGCTCCCTACTGCCTGCCCACGGCTAAGTACAAATGCTGTGTCAGGGAACAGCAGCTTTCCCTTCTAAATCAACCTCTGTCCATGGTCCAGGACCAGACAGCATCACCAGACAAAATACAGAATGTCCAGTTAAATTAGAATTTCAGAAAGGCAACAACTATTTGGTATGGCCCAGGTAATATTTGACGTCCCACATTTTTATGCACTAGATCAGCCAACCCTAGGTTCAAAGTCATCTTGAGCTGTGCTCCCAAACCACCACCATGGCCTCAGCTGAGGGCTGGCGAGATGAGCCCCCAGCGTTCTGGAGCTGAGAAAACAGCGACACGGGGGCTTCTTCCTGTCCCTCCACACGTGCTGTGTTTGCCGTTCCCTCGGCCTGGAAGGCATCTGCCTACCCCATGTATGGGGCTCACCCCTTCTTTCCTCTGGGTCTCTGCTCACATGTCCCCTGCTGAGAGAAGTGTCCCTGACCACCCACCTAAAATAGGCCCTCCCTCACTCCATCCCTTTCCCTGCTTTATTTTCCCCAGATGTGGATGCCACCTGCCATGGCACACACTTACTCCTCCATTCTTTATCATCTCTGCCTAGGACCCAGCTCCAGAGGGACAGAGACTTTATCTGGTTCACTGTGAATCTTAGACCTGATTTGTGCCTAGAACATAGCAGGTGCAAAATAAATACCTGCGAGCAGAAGAAAGTCATCTGTCCCTCTGTTTTGGCACACTGCCCCGGGGAGCCACTCCGAAAGGGGCCAGTGCACCTCTTTGGCTCTGCAAAGCTCAGAAACCAGAGGGCACGTTTCTGACTTTTCCAAGTGCAGGAAAGTGGAGTGGCTGGAGGGGTGCAGGTTGCATTTGAGTGGGCAGAAGCCAGTCTGCCATTCTGGGAAGCTATATTTTCACAAATGCCACGTGTAGGGGAGCCACGGACCACCCCCCAAAACACACTCCTGTCCTCGGGGTCATACTGCAGAGAACCCCCGGCACATCCATGACCATGTTTGTGTGGCGATCACCTCCCTAGAGTGAGTGGGCCCGGTTGGCGAGCCCCTTCCACAGTTACAGCCCCTGTCTGTGGCCTGGGCCAGCAGGGGCCCATCCCAAAAAAAAAAAAAAAACCCAGGCAGAGGAGGGGTTCTTAACCTTTATTCGGGTTCCAGAACCCTTTGGGAACTTTATGAAAGCCAGAGACCCTCTCGCTGGAGACCACACGTTTTATATACTTTTGTGTCGGGATTTCGGGGGTCCCTGAAGCTTGTGTGCTCTGGGTAAGAATGCCAGTTGTGTTAAAAGAGAGTCTGTCTCTGTGGGGGAGAAGTCAGGAAAATTTAGGTATGGGGGAACATTTGGAAATATGGGGGGGGGATATTTGGAGAAAGAAAGAAGGAAAGATGAAAAGACAGCTTGAGCTCAAGAGGAAGAAACACCCCAAAACGTTGACAGTGTTTCATTCTGGATAACAGGACAGGAGTGATTTTTAAGATTTTTTTTTAGTCTTTTCAACTGTTCAGTATGAACCACGCGTCACT
This sequence comes from Homo sapiens, assembly GCF_000001405.40. Classification (NCBI taxonomy): domain Eukaryota; kingdom Metazoa; phylum Chordata; class Mammalia; order Primates; family Hominidae; genus Homo; species Homo sapiens. Next base: position 24,982,003 of record NC_000001.11, on the reverse strand, counting down.
TTTGTTACCAGGGAGGAGAGGCAGACAGCACCATCGGGAGGGGAAAAAAGCCGGTGAAGGGTGCAGTGGGGCAGGCCTGGGGGAGGCCACAAAGGTCAGAGCCCAGCCGCTGGGCTCAGGCCTGTGGAGCAGCCCTAGCCCCCGGGGTCAGTGCCGTGCTTGGCCTAAGCCTCAGTTTTCCCACCTGGTAAATGGGGACTGATAGTGACGCCCCGGTCGTCACGTGAGGGTGAGTGTGAGGACGAGGGTGGGGGTGAGACGTAAGGGGAAATGTAGGCACACAGTTGCCTCTCTGAGGCCTGGGGTGGGGAGAGAGCTGGCAAGTTTTTTTCCTTTTTGTGGGAGGCAACTTCAGGTTCTTTGATCTGTTTCCTCGAAAGGGGGAAATCAAACCTCTGTGAGCAGGGGGCAGGGCGGGGTGGGGTGAGGGGAGTTAGGAACAGGGAGGAGTGGGAGCAACTTCTCCTCAGCACCCCCCACAAGAAGCCTGGAGGGCAGCTCCCCCTGAGTGACAGGACCACTTTCTGGGGGTCCCTGGCTTCTAGGCCCTGTGAGGGGCTGAGGTCAAGGGAGGAGACGCCTGGGGTGAGCCGATGGGCACGTCCAAGCCTGTGGGCTGATCCCTGAGGTCCAGAGGACACTGTTGAAACCACCTGCTGAGAGCTGCCCCCAGTCCAATTCCCTGATGCCTTCCAGACCCTCAGAGGGCCATACAGCTTCAGAGAGGGTAAGACATTGGCCTCAGATACACAGCCAGCATGCAGCAGACCTACATTCAAACCCCGTGCCGTCTGATACCAAAGGTGATCTAACTCTCGCAGCAGACATCCCCTCCTCAGGGCCTGGGCCCTTCCCATTCCCCGCCTTGTCTAGGAGATGGGTGCTGGCATCACACTCATTTTACAGATGTGGGGGTTGTGTCACGTGCTGTGGGTCACATTGCTTAAGTAACTGGCAGAGCCAGGACTTGAATACAGGTTGCTTGGTTGACAAGCCCAGCCTTGTCCACTTGCAAACTCTCCTCAATTTGATTCAACAAATGCACATTGAGCAACGGAGGTGCAGCAAGCCCTGGGCTGGGCACTCCGGACACTGGCCCAGCCAGTGAGGTCCAGGACATCAGACCCATTTAACAAAAACCCCAGTCAGCAAGCGGGGTCTCTGCCTGCACCTTCCCTCTCTGGGGCTGCCACGGCACCACACCACAAGCTGGGTGGCTTGGGACAGCAGCAGTTTATTATTTCCCAGCTCTGGAGGCCTCAAGTCTGAAATCAGGGTGTAGGCAGGGCCTCGCTCCCTCTGGAGGCTTGAGAGGAGAATCCTTTGACTCGAGGCTGCACCTGTCTGATATCTGCCTCCACAGCCCCATCACCTCCTCCTCTTGTCTGTTACTCTCCTTTGCCTCTTTATATAAAGATGCTTGTGATGGTGTTTACAGCCCATCCAGATAATTCCACATCATCTCACCTCAAAATCCCTAACTTAATCACATATGCCACCATATAAGGTAATATTCACTGTTTTGCCATATGAAGTAATATTCACAGGTCCCAGAGCTTAGCATGTGAATGCATCATTTTTGGGGTCACCATTCAAGTTGGGAAAGGCCACCCCTTTCTCCAATGATGTGGGGTACCTGGGGAAGCTTATGATGGGTATATGGGGGCAGGGGGTTCAGAAGATATAGGTTTACCTCAGGGGTGGTGGGGACAGGAGCCCAGGGCTACCTTAAAAGTAAGCCCTTACATGGGGCATGGTGGCTCACACCTGTAATCCCAGCATTTAGGGAGGCAGAAGCAGGAGGGTAGCTTGAGCTCAGGAATTCAAGATCTGCCTGAGCCATATAGCGAGACCCCATTCTCCACAACAAGGAAAAAAAAAGACAACAAAAGTAAATCCTTAGAAGACACTAGGGGGGGGCTCAGGGGAGTGGTGGAGATGGGAGTCACCTGCCTTCTGCCCTTGGTGACAGGGGGCTGCAGGCTGTCCCTGTGTATGTGTGGACACCCCCAACCCCACCTCCCAGGCCCCCTACAACTAGTTATCCAGAGACAACTTTAAGAATGTAACCGATCATGTCATGTACCTACCCCAAGATCAAATTAAACCCATCAGGAGCTTGTCAATGCTCTGCTTACCTGTGACCACCTTGACCACCTGACCATGCTGGCCCAGCCCAGCCTGCCTTTCTGTCCTCTCTTCACTGCCCCTGACCCCTTTGTTCAGTTTCTAAACCAGGCTGGACTCTTGCCCTCCTCTGAGCCTTTGCCCATGCTGTTCCCTCCACCAAGCACACTTTTCCCAGACCTCACCCACCTCCCCATACTTTCCACTCCTGACTCTGTGTAAATGTCATGTCATCCATGAAGCCTTCATGATTAAAATTAAATAATTATTTGTGAAGCTACTTGTTGAATGTCTGTGTATTAGTTCGTTTTCATGCTGCTAACAAAGACATACCTGAGACTGGATAATTTATAAGGAAAGAGGTTTAAGGGACTCACAGTTCCACCTGGCTGGGGAGGCCTCACAATTATGGCAGAAGGCGAAGGAGGAGCAAAGGCACGTCTTACATGGTAGCAGGCAAGAGTGCATGTGCAGAGGAACTGCCTTTTATAAAACCATCGGATCTCATGAGACTTATTCACTACCACCAGAACAGTATGAGAGAAACTGCCCCCATGATTCAATTATCTCCTCCTGGCCCCACCATGGACATGTGGGGATTATTACAATTCAAGGTAAGATTTGGGTGGAGACATAGCCAAACCATATCAGTCTGTTTCCCCCGTTAGACTCTAAGTCCCACAAGGGGAGAGATACTCTCCACATTGTTAATTGCCCTATCCTTAGCACCAAGCACAGGGCCTGACGCCTAGTAAGTGTACACAGTACATAGCTATCAAAGAAATGAAACAAATGCCAAGCCCAACTATCTGAGCTCTCTCTTCTTCAATGTTTCAGAAAAGCAGGGCATTCATTCGATCCCCCATTGGGTCAATCAATCAAATATTCATTCAACAAACATTTGTGGATGTCTGCTTTGTATGAAACCCTGTGCTGGGAGCTGGGGACACACTTCCTGTTCTTAGGACACTCACAGACTGGTGGAGGGGGCCAGACATGGGAACAAAAGCTGCTACAAACCACAAGCCTGGAGAGGGTGAGGAGCCTGAATGAGGTTTAGAGACAGTAGCTCCTCCATGGTTGGGAAGCAAGTGCAGGGAGGAGCCCAGTCTCTACAAAGTTCGAGTCAGCAGATGTGAAGTCTGGAGCTCTGGAGGCCCCACACACGGTCTGGAGGGCTGGGGCTGGGAGGGGTGGGTGGAGGAAAAACTAGGGTTTTCTTGCAGAAAGTGGAAGTTGTGAAAGCTTCAGCAAGGTGCTAACCGATTGTTCACCTATCTGGATGAGAGGTGGGGAATGAGTTGCTCACACCACCAGACAAGAGGTGGTACATGGGGAGTGGACAGTGAGGGAGGATGTAGCTTGGTGATGGAGTGAGTGGCATTCAGTAAGCCTTCCCCTTCGCCCCCTGAAGGGTCACCGAAAATGAACCGACAAAAGGCACATTACCAGGGGAAAAAGGCATACAGATTTAACATGCGTAGCGTGAGACAATCACAGGAGAACCATTACCCAATAGCCCAGTGAGGTCCAGATGCTTATATGCCCTTCTTCATGAGAGAAGAGGGAATAGGGGGCATAGAAGTAAACGGTTTTTAGGGGGAATGAAATGAATGGACCCAGGAGGCAGACATTATCCTGTGAATGAATCTCTGGAAACTGAATGGAAGAGGAAAGCAAGCAATGGTTTGGGACAAAATTTGAAGTTCAGTTTGGGCTCTATATGTGGCGTTTAATTTTCAGTGGTTTTCTCTATGGTTGCAGTTTTAATCTTCTCTGGTTAATAAAATTTCAGAGAAGGGGTGGAAGGCAATTGTGTTTCTCTCGGGGGGGTCCAGTTTCTGGAGAGATAGGGGAACTTCAGAGAATGGCTTTATCCTGGGCTTTGACAGCCAGGAAGGGCGCGGAAGGTAGAGAGAGCTCGAGGCTGCTTCTTCAGTTCAGCATGTGGAGTTGCTATATTTATTATTATTATTATTATTATTATTATTATTATTATTTTATTTTTTGAGACAGGGTTTCACTCTGTTGCTTGTGCTGGAGTGCAGTGGCACAATTTTGGCTAGCGGCAATCTCGACCTCTTGGGCTCAGGTGATCCTCCCACCTCAGCCTCCCAAGTAGCTGGGACTACAGGTGCACACCACCATGCCTGGCTCATTTTTGTATCTTTTGTAGAGATGGGGTTTTGCCATGTTGCCCAGGCTGGTCTCAAACTCCTAAGCTCAAGCAATCTTCCCACCTCAGCCTCCCAAAGTGCTGGGATTACAGGCATGAGCCACTGTGCCCGGCCTCCTTGCTCCTCTTTTATAGAACTGTCTTGGCTTTCCTTGGCCATTTATTCTCCTATATGAACTTTATTTTATTTTATTTTATTTTTTGAGATAGAGTCTCACTGTGTCACCCAGGCTGGAGGACAGTGGCATGAGCTCAGCTCATTGCAGGCTTGGGTTCAAGTTATTCTCGCCTCGGCCTCCCAAGTAGCTGTAATTACAGGTGTTTGCCACCACGGCCAGATAATTTTTGTATTTTTAGTAGAGACGGGGTTTCACCATGTTGGCTAGGCTGGTCTTGAACTCTTGGCTTTAAGTGATCTGTCCTCCTCAGACTCCCAAAGTGCTGGTATTACAGGTGTGAGCCACCACACCTGGCCTCCTATATGAACTTTAAAAACAATTTGTCAACTCCTATAAAAGATCTTGTTGGGGCTTTCATTGGACTTGCTAATATAATTTGTAAATTAATTGGAAAGAATGAGCATCTTTTGAAAATTAAGTCTTCCCAAACATAAGATGCATTGGGAATTCTTACCTCAAACAAAATCTCCCCCGCGATGTAGAAAACAGAAAGGTGTGGTTTGGACGCATGCATTCACCTCTGCTTCCTCTCTATAAAGTACTGTTGTTGTTGGTGGTGTTTTGTGTTGTTTTAGGCATAAACCCACAAAGTCAAAGAGAACAGGGGAAAAGATAACAACAACAAAGCGTAGGAACCTGGAAAGCAACGGCATGAGAAGCCACGGACTTGGCAGATCTGAGAGACCTGAATCCCTACAGACAGCAGTGGGGAAAGCCAGAAAGCCACTCAGCCTCTTACCCTGCAAAACCTCTGAAGACTCAGGGATTGGCAGCACAAGAGATATATCCGGAAATGGAGGTAAAGATGGGGCTGACAACAGGAAAAGTCTGCTTAGAAAGCAGTTAGACCCCCAGGTCTTCTCCCCACCCCAGTGGAATATTCGAGGTTTATTTTCTAAAAAGAGAAAAACAGAGGGACTCTGGATAGGAGGGGACAAGCCATGTAAAAGACAAAGGCTACTCTGCTGAAATGAAGGATCCAGTGAATGTGGCATACATACGTTTACGATCTTTTCACTCCAGAACATTGATAGCCAGTCCAGTACCTTCCAAACAGATCAGAAGGGTCTACCCTGGGGAATCCAAGCAGAATAAGATGAAAGATATAAAGATACTGACCAAGAAAATGACCCAGCCAGACCCCCTCTATAAAGTCCAGAGTCTGGCCGTCCCACACAATTACACAGAGCTTCTGATCAGAGTTTAGTACCTTGTTATTAAATAAGGTCAAACAGCAAAGAATCGTCAGCCATACGAAGAAAACCTCTACCCAGAAAGACAAGACAAAACAGAGAATTTTTTTAAAGTAACTTGGAAAAAACAGACTATGCAGGGAGATGAAATATTTTTAAAAATTATATCAACACAATCCTCAGAAAGTAAGAGAAGGGACTCCATCTATGCAGTAAGAAAAAGTAGTATGAAATGTAATAATTAGAAAACAAAATACAAATTCAAATTATTATAATAGAAATCAAAAACTCGATAGAGGCATTCAAAGAAAAAAAATTAAGATACCATCCCCCTCCCCATCTAAAGACTATAAAAATACAAAGAGATAGAAAATAAGAAAGAATGAGAATTTTATAATTCTTTAGAATCTAAAAAAAGAACAATGAAAAGGCAAGAGAGAAAATGATCAAAGAAATAATTATGAAAATGACCCAGGATTGATCACTATAAATGTCCAGATCAAAAAGATTAACTGAATGTCCAGAACAATAGAGAAGACAGGATTACATGAAGGCATCTCACTATGGGATTTCAGAACACTTGAGACAAAGAGAATATCTTCAAAACTTCAAGAAAGAAAAAGTAGGCTATTTTCAGATATTAAGAATTAGTATCTCTAGACTTATCAACAGCAGCACAAGAAGCAAGAAAGCAATAGAGAAATACCTTTAAAATCTGAAGAAAAATCATTTCAATCGTAATTTCTATACCCAGCCAAACTATCTATGACGTATGACCAAAGACATCAAATGCAACAAGCTCCCAAATAAATCTACCTCTCATGTGTGCTTTCTCAGGAAGCTAATGGAAGATATGCTCCATCAAAAAAGGGAGTAAACCAAGAAAGAGAAAGGATCCAGAAAACAGAGGGCTCAGTGTAAGAGAAGGCAAAGAGAACCCCAGGATGACAATGAAGGGAGTTCCCAAGTTGACAGATAGCAGCATTCCTTAAGAGCAATCGGTACAGACTGGATCAAGTTAGGGGATTCCAGGAGAGAGGGCTCAAAAAAGATGAAACTGAGAGAATACCTGAAGTTTTTGAATTTCTTCCCTTTCCCTTTCCCTTTCCCTTTCCCTCTTCCTTCCTTCCTTCCTTCCTTCCTTCCTTCCTTCCTTCCTTCCTTCCATCTGCTTCTATCACCCAGGCTGGAGGGCAGTGGTGCTATTACACTCACTGCAACCTCAATCTCCTGGGCTCAAGCAATTTTCCCACCTCAGCCTCCTGGGTAGTTGGAACTACAGGTGTGTGCCACCACCCCCAGCTAATTTTTATTCATTTATTTTTTGAGAGACAGGGTTTCAACATGTTGCCCAGGCTGGTCTTGAACTCCTGGACTCAAGTGATCCTCCCACCTCAGCCTCCCAAAGTGCTAGGATTATAGGCATGAGCCACTGTACTCAGCCATGACCTTCTTAATAGGAGATTTGGACAGCTAGCAGAGAGTGTAGGGATGTATTAGTGACAAGTACACAGAAAATTATGCAAATGAAAAGCTAAACAAATAACAACTCTAGGGAAAACAAAGCTGTGCAAGGAAGGAAATGAAATCAGAGCATACTACATGGCTCATCTGTGGGAAGCATTTACCCAGCTATAAAAATGGAAATACTAACAGTTAATCTAAACAAAATTGTAACTATTCAGTGAGGATGGAAAGGCGCTTGGTAAGGAGGGAGCCAGGTGAAAAGCAGCTCAGTCCTCCTCCATGGTGGAAAGTCATTAGATAATGCCAAAAATGGAAAAATCACAATGAGCTTGGGAAACATGCTATTTAGAGAAATCAAGGAAATACTAGAAGAAACAGTTCAAAGAACTGAAAGTGATTTTTCTCTGGGGCTAGGAAGGACAGCCTTCTAGAAATATTTGACTCTTTAAACCATGAGCATGTATAACTTTGAGGTAGAAAATGAAAGCTAAAATAAAAATGAAAAGATAGACAAAGCAGGTTTCTCTGGTCAAAGTGGTGAAGTGGACAGAGATGCCTTTCCCCCATCCAGCCTAGTCCTTGGGGCACCCTGAGGCATTGTCTCCCAGGGTTCCAGGGGACACTATTTAAAAACCAAGGCCTCACATGCTGAAGCTTGGGTAGGGGAATTTCAGGCCCTGGCACGGGGGTGAGGGAGTGATTTTGTCCCCTATCTACTGTGCCAACACATCACTTTCTTGATGGCAGGACAGCTTAGAAGGGTTGAGTTAGGAGTTAATGAAGATGCACGTGAAATGATGAGTCCTCACCTATCAGAGCTGGGAGACACCCTAGAAATCATATGCCCTGGCCGGGCACAGTGGCTCATACCTGTAATCCCAGCACTTTGGGAGGCTGAGGCGGGTAGATTAGTTGAATCCAGGAGTTCATGGACAACATGTTGAAACCCTGTCTCTACTAAAAATACAAAAAAAAAAAAAAAAGTAGCCAAGTGTGGTGGCTCATGCCTGTAGTCCTAGCTATTCTGGAAGATAAGGTGGGAGAATCACCTGAGCCCAGGGGGTCAAAGCTGCAGTGAGGTGAGATTGCACCACTGTACTCCAGCCTGGGCAACCAGAGTTTTCCTTTTTTTAATTTTAAAAATTAAAAAAAATAATAATTTATTTTAAATTTTTATTTATTTATTTTTATTTCAAAAAATAAAAGATAAATCATATGCCCTAAACTGACACCTCCCCATAAGGACAGGTTGGCCTGAAGATGTTTTCTGGCTTTGAGTGAGCTTTACTCAGTGGTGATGCAAGAATTGCCGAGAGTCATTATTGCCAGAGCAACCCTCGACCAATGAGACCTGGGAGCCAGTGGATACATACCCCAGCTCCCACGCCCCAGGGGAGCAGCTCTGTACTGCACTCCACACAGTCCCTCTGAACGTCCCTGGTGGGGTTGAGCTCCAGATATCCAGGACGGTAAGCCACCCCACCCTGCACCCTGTATGGGCTGCCTTCCCTTCCCTATGTCACTCATCACTTGCCCCTCTCCCTCACCCCTGCTTCCTGGGATCACCCCCCAGATAAACTGTTTAGACTCAGGGTCTGCCTGTGGGGGAACCCAAACTAAGACACCGATCTCAATCCTCCTTTCCCAGATGAGGAAAATGATGCAGAGAGAGAAAAGAACTTTTCTGTGTGCACACAGCAGGTTACTCCCAGAACGTGACATTGTAGAAAGAGCACTGGACCAAGAGTCGGGTGATGCAGATCTTGGCCTTGGCTGTGTGGCCCAGGACAAGTTCCTGCCCCTCTCTGAGCCTGAGTCCTCCAACTGTCAGCCTCGGCCTGTAACCTCACTGGCCAGGGCTCTCTCCTCACGCCAGGCAGACCCTCTTCCCACACGCTGTTATGTGCAGATGCTCAAAGCATCCTAGTTTAATGTCAGGAAAATGCACACAGAGAGAGATGGGAAGCCACAATCCTGGATGGGAACTCATTCTGTCATTTCCTTGAGGGCTGCTGAAATTCCTGGGATGCTAAGTCGGTGGCATACAAAATGCCCCACCATTTCCCAACCACATAATGACATCCCCCCTCCTTTTGCCTGGGTCAGCGAATTTGCTGGCCGGCACACCCCTGAAAACAAGGTCATTATTGTTGAAAGAGAAAGAAAAAGAGTGAGGGAGAAGGGGGGAAAAACCCTGAAGATCAAATTATTTTTTAAAATTACAACCCAATCCTGACATTCCCTGGGACCCAGTCCCTCAAGGAAAGCAGCAGGGACTGGGAGCGGCGTGGGAGCTGGGGGTTGATATGTCAGCTTCTAGCAAAGGCTTTGGGAATTCCAGCAGAATTCAGACACCGAATCTACCACTTCCTACCTATGCAAGCCCAGGCAAGTCCCTTTTCCTCTCTCAGCCTGTTTCCTTCTCAGTAATATGAGGAAGAGCAAGATAGGAGGACTTCCCCTCCACACATACATATGCATCATTTGTTAGGAGAATCAATGGAGGTCATAGGCACCACACCATGGAAGCCTGGAGACTGGAGAGAGCTCAGAGGGCTCTGGGAGATCCGAGTGAGCTCAGAGGGCTCTGGGAGATTGGAGAGAGCTCAGAGGGCTCTGGCTCAGACAGCCCTGTCACGGATCCTGATTCGACGTTTGTTTTAGGTTATTTTGAGCAAATCCTTCAGCTTCTCCAAGCCTCTGCTTCCTCTGCTGTCAATGGGACTAATAATAATAATAATAGAGACTGTCTGGGTTCAAATCTCAGCTCTGTCCCTTCTGAGCTGGACTTGGGCAAGTGATTTGACCTCTCTGAACCTCAGTCTTCTTATGTGTTAAATGAATTAAGTTGATTTATGCAAGGTTCTTAGACGAGTCCCCAGCTTGTGGTAGGTGCTAAAGAAGTGCTAGCTTGTGATTATTGTTAGTATTACTAGGTTTGTAGCGAGAATGCACTAAGAGGAAATGGTGAGGGCACAAGGCCTGGCCCCAAACAGATGCTCACTGAATGGAATGGGAAGGAGCCCTGGGCCAGGCATCCAGAGAGTGGGGCTCTCGGTGGCTCTCTCCCTGCTCTGCCTGCCCTGAGGGTGGGGCTCCCTTCCTTGCGCCCTCCTGCCCCATCCTAGCTGAGGAGTGCCCGCCTCTGAGCCACGCTGTGGTCACACAAAGCCCTTCCCTTACTAGGTCTAAGCCCGTGGCAGAACCCTTTGATGCTAAAAATAGATTATTCCACCCAAAGACCCAGAGAAAGATCATTTTATGAGCCAAAAGGGCTGTCGTTTGGGATTTTTCTTCTTCCTCTGAGGGGCCTGGAACTCTGAGGGAGGGAAGCATCTTATGGGCAAGACTCCAGGTCTCAAAGGAACACAAGAGAGGCCCCTGAGCTGAACAGCATCTCAGGGAGGTCACGCCGAGTGACTTCTCCAGCACCCCATCCTGCAGTCTGGTACCCAGGTTCAGGCAGCCCTTGGCTGGGTCGGCCTCCAGAAACCGCGGGAGCTCAGTGCCCCTCACAGCAGGCCTTGGAGGAAGTGAGTGGGAGGGCAGGAATCTGCTGGGGGGCGCTAAGGCCCTGGCAAAGTGGTGAGTCAGACACGCGCCCCCTTCCACCATGCACCTCTGCCCTGTACTCCCCTACACGCATGCATACACATGCAGTCTCACACACACGCGCACACAGACACGAGCTCACACTCACACATACACACCCACACACATGCACACATACATGAGTTCACACACTCATACACATGCACACTCACACACACTCACATTCATGCATGCTCACACCTACGTGCGTGCAGACACGAACTCACACACACATACACACCCACACACATGCACACACACAAGCTCACACACACCCCTACACACACTCACACACACAGACACGACTTCACCCTGGCCGAGTGCCCACCACATGCTCTTCCCAGGAGGTCCCTCTTCACCTTCACCCCTGAGGAGATGACAGGTGCTTATTTTTCCCACTTTGCAGGTGAGAACAGTGAGGTTCTGATAGCCCCGGACACTAGCACGCCCTTAGGTGGTGCCAGAGCTGGGATCTGAATCTGGCTCATCCATCCAACTCTATGGCCTCAGCACCTTCACCCCCTTGGAAGGGACTTTAGGGAGACACGGGGAGTGGAGGGGTATCCTGGGGACACGACGGGATGTGGCTGCAGCAGACCTGCCGGTGAATCCTTCTGACTCACCGTGTGACCGTATGTGAGGCCTTCCCCGGTGAGCCTCAGTTCCTGGGCTGGACGCTGGGGAGAGCCGTCTCCACCCTGTCTGCCTCCCGAACAGCTTGCTCTGGAAACTCCCATAGGAGGCATTTGTGCGTAGGTGGCTGTGGGGTGAGAGGAGCATTGCTGATCATTATTTAAGCAAAGATGACACTGGGCAGAAGGGGGCAGCGAGCCCATTCCTGGGGAAACAGGATGCATCCCAGCCTGCGCTCTCCCCCCTCAGTCAGCTAATCTCCCCAGGCCGACGCTGCTCCTCCTCCCGATTCCATCTGCCTCTTAAACGCGGGACTTCTCACTGAAACGTATTCAAACCCGAACATGCACTAAGGGAACTTCAGACAGGAGGAGAGGCAGCAGGTTGAGCTCTTGGGGTCCCTGGCGAGGCAGACGCTGCGGGTGGAGACAGTCCTTAGTTTGTCCTCGGTGCCACCACCCCTGTGGTACAAGAGACACTGAAGCAGCTGTATGGGGTGGCAGCTCCAGGCTCGGCCAAGAGCAGGGCCCGAGGCAGGAGGTGAGGACTGGTGGTTCTCGTTCTGAAGTGGGCACCGAGAGCAGTTTTTCAAAACAACAGGAAAGAGAGAAGCGGAGGGCGGGCTGGGTTTGAATCCTGCTTCCTCCACCAGCAAGCTGGGGGACCTTGGGCAGGTCTCTCCACCTCTCTGGCTCTCCCCCAGAGACTATCAGACTGCTTAGGCGCGTGGTGCCGTCCTCAGAGCCCACCCCTGGAGGGATCATGCCTAAAGCTCTCAGCATGTGCGCCCCAGGTGGTAGGTCCTCAGCTGATGATCCCTTGGCTTGGCCTGGGTGTTCTGGTCCTGGGTGGGTTGCACAGCTCTGCAGGCCCCATTCTCCACCCCCGGAGAGGGGCTGATCTGGCTGAGTGGCGGCATCTTAGTGTCTCTGTGCTAGCCCTCGAAAGGGAAGTGCCCCACCCCCACACCCACCCCCAGCCCACGGCAGATATCGCTCCAGCAGCTTCCCTGGGCTCACACCAGGATCTGCTGATGAAAGGCCAGAATTTGAACTCCAAGGCCAGTGTCCACCTCGAATCTGCTACCTGCCCGGTCCAAGCTGGCAGTGCGACTCCTGGAGGCTAAATCTTGGGGTTAATCCCTGTATTAGTTTTTTCCTCCTCTGAAAAGTGAGGAGGGCCACCCTGTCCTGTAGGTTGTTGGGAGGATCTGGTGGTTTGAGGTGTGCTGTCATCGAAATCATAACGTTCAGAGGCAGGGTCTGCATCCAGTGCTCATCGTGGTGACATAACCTCAGCCCTGCACACAGGTTAGGGAAATGAATTTCATCACCATTCACAGGAGACACCTTCTTAATTGACCCCCGGGTATCTCCCAGGATTCACCTGTACTTCTCGTATAAAATACCAATGGATGCCCTCAGCTGGCAGGCCCTTCTCTGGAATGCCACATCTCCTCCCACCAGCCACTGAACCGTCAGCTTACCAGACGTGAGTTGGAATGTGTCCCAACCAGTTGGTGCCAGCTGGGTTTGCATGGCTATAGAACGTCATTGGAGATTATGCCAGTCCTGGGCCAGTTTGCCCACAGATCAGCTCTGCTCATTCCCCTGTTTGGCTCTGTCACACAAGGGTTTGATGGCACGGGCTGCATTCCCCGAGCTCCTTGGCCAGCTGGTCCCCGCTACATTCAACCAATGGGAGGCACCAAGAGAAGATGAAAAACAAAAGCAAGGGAGAAGCCAGGGTGTTTCTCCCCTCTATTCTTTGTCTCAGGTGATGTCTCCATGTGGCTAAGTCTCCTCTGTGACTCTAGCAAATGCCGGACTGGCCCACTAAGTTCCTGCTTCTGCTGGGGGCCCTGGTAACCCCACCTCTCTCCGTGTCCCTCTTACCCAAAGGGTGTCAGTGGCTGAACTGATGCTCACACTGGGACTCCTCACTGTCTCTGTTTGGCTCCTCAGGTTGTCCCTCACCTGTGTTGCTAACACTCCCTGAATTAACTTCCAGGACTCAATATGGCTCCTGTTTTCCTGGTTGGACTCCGACTGATGATAATGCCATGAGGTCAATCGTGTGATGCCGAACAGGAGCCTCTGCTTCTATGAAAATTGGGAAGATTCAATGAAGGCAAATTGCTAAAAAATAAATTGAATTTGGTATGGGTGGGACATTGTAAAGGATGGAAAGAAATAGTAAAATCTAGATGATGCCACATGCTCATTCTTTCCTTAGCATCTTTACGTTCATATTCCACGTTAAAGAAATCAAAACTACGCCAGGCATGGGGGCTCATACTTGTAATCCCAGCACTTTGAGAGGCCGAGGCAAGAGGATCATCTGAAGCCAGGATTTCGAGACCAGCCTGGGCAATATAGTGAGACCCTGACTCTACAGAAAAAAAAATTTAAATTAGCTGGGCGTGGTAGTGCACACCTGTAATCCTAGCTACTTGGGAGGCTGAAGCGAGAGGATTGCTTGAGCCCAGGAGCTCAAGGTTACAGTGAGCTATGATTGCACCACTGCACTCTAGACTGGGCAACAGAGCAAGACCCCGTTTCTAAAAAAAAAAAAAAAAAAGAAAGAAAAGAAAAAAGAAACCCAAACTGGAAATTGTTAAGCTAGAAGAACAAGAGGAAGGCCATTTAATGCATATTTATAAGTTTAAAGCTAAAAGAAGGGTTTAAGATACTATTTTTATGATTCCCTTTTATTTTTATATAATATTTCTTATGATTCCCTACTTCAACCATATTTTTTTATTAACCTGATTTAAGTTTTTTTCAGTGGAGAACAAGAGGAAGCCTGACTGCCCACTGCACGACAGGGGAATGCACAATCAGAATTTCAAGGGAAGGGAGTCCCTGGAAATTGAGCACCTACTATGTGCCAAGCACACTCACAATTATTTTCTCATTGAGTCCTCTTTATGACTTTGGGAGGTGGGCACTACAGTTGGCTCCATTTCACAGGCGAGGAAACCGAGGCTCAGAAGAGTAAAGCCTCTTGCCCAGAATCTCACAGTTCATAAGAAACAAAGCAGGCTTCAGGTATGGCTGGTTTCAGCCTCCTTGTCCTTTCTGCTTCCCTTGGCAGCTTCCCCAGGGCTGTTTAAAGCTTAGCACATGCTTATGAGGGGGCATGTAGAGATGATAAGCCCCTTAGCGGCAAGGACCAAGCTTGGCTCCAATTCACCACATTGCCCCGAGAATGCATTGAACTACTCGGTGCACAGATGGATCACTGGGCCGTGCACAGCCTCTTGAATTCCCTCCCCTTCCTGGGCCTGGACTCAGGTTCCCAGGGAGGGGGAAGCCCCTCAGGGTGATCAAGTTATAGGGGCTTGGGGGGGGCCCACTCTTAGGTGTGGAAAAAACAGCAAAGCACGTAGGGTGGTATGTTCAAAACTGGAGGCGGTGTTGGTGGAATGGAAACAGCTCCTGGGCTGGGAAGCAGGGGCTTGGGTTCCACTGACTCATTGGGTGAACTTGGATGAGTCTCTGCTCCTCTGGGGGCCGCAGTTTCGGCTTCTGTATAAGGGGGGGTCTTCCCAGCTGTGTCATTCTCCAATCTATTTCACAGATGGCTGACTCCAAAAGGCATCAAATTCAACCAGGAGGTCAAGGCCCCTTGGCAGGTCCCCCCTGTGCCATTGACCCCTGAGGGTCCCATGCAGGCTGGCCAGCTGATGAGTTTACAACACAGGGTGGGGGCGGGGCAGCCTCTCCCCCTGCATGACTGTCATAGCTCCTTACTTGAGCTGACTCATAACGGAGCCCAAATTGCGTCATGGAGGCTCAGCCAAGGAAACCAATGTTTATGATGCCCTCACCCCGTGCCTGTCCCTTTGAAGAAGGTGTTATCCCCATTTTACAGGGAAGAAAACTGAGGCCCAGAGAAAGGAAGTGACTTTCCCCAGGGTCTGGCTGCTCAGATTCAGCAGAGCTGGGGCTGGAAGCCAAATCTGACTCTAGAGCTCTGTGGCTGTCACCATAAACCTGCTTCCTCTCTGGCCAAATTAGAACTCTTGTCCCCACCACCCCCACCCTCAGCACCAATTGACCCACCATTCAGGGACAGAAGACTGAATCTTCATGAGGCTTGAGATGAGGCTGAGTGAGCGTTTCCAAGGCCATCTTCTGCACATGTGCCTTGGGCAGAAACAAGTCTCTTTGGGACCTTGGACCAGCCCATCCTCTTCCAGGGATGTCCCCACCCCATCCTTGTTGGCCTACAGAGGCTACTGTGAGTCAGAGGCTGGTGCTAGGTTCTAGCCCCAAGCCTGGGGTCCCTGGGAGAGGCCAGGGGTTGGTGGCCAGGCTGCAGAGGGACTTTCTGAAGTCTTCATTTAAAGGGCATGGAAGGGCACTCTGGTGTCATGCCCAAGGTCGGGGCTGGTGAGTCAGAGGCTGAAGTTCCAATCCCATTCCAGAATACCACATGACCTTAGACAAGCTGGCGTCACCACCCTGGGCCTCGCAGCCTGGCCTGTGAAATGGGAGAGTAGAGCTTGCAAGGGAAATGGTAAAAGCCGCCACCTTTCCCCCACTCTCCACCCTCTCTCCCATCCTGACATGACTTTGGGGAACATGCAAGTATAGGGTTCAATCGTCTTCATGACTTTTCTACTTTTGAGCCTCTCTGGGCCTTGACTCCTCAAGGACATGAAGACACAAAGGGCGCTTCTGGTGAGGGGAACAGCATGAGCGAAGGCCCGGAGGCAGGGAAGCTCCCGAGCATCATGCTGGGGCAGAGACCCCCAAGGGGATGCGCAGGTGGCAACAAGAGGAGTAAAGGGCCCTGAATGACATGCTGGGGACTCAGCCCCCAGCCCTGCAGAGGGCCCCCCAGTGCGGGCAGGCCACCAGGTTTCCACAGGAAGGCCCTTCTCGGTGGGCAGGCCGAGGCCAGGCGTGAGTGCTGGCAATGCCACTTCATGTGTTTCCCGTTGTACTTAGTCCCAACTCCCATAAAAGCCCCAGAGGTGCCACCCAGCCACACATGTGGACACCTCTCCCTGGCAACAATGGTGGTGGACAATGGCAGGGAGTCAGCCGCAGCCCAGGGGCGAGGTGGCATGGCAGGGAGCTCTCCGGCCGCTGGTGGATCCGGGCTCTGGGCACTCGGTGAGGGGCCCGCGGGGCTCCTAGCCCGCCCAGGCCAATGCTGGCCTTAATTAAGAAGGAGTCTCCCACCCAGGAGCCAAACCACCCTCCTGGCCACGCCCACTGCAACCGCTTTCAGTTCTGTTTCTTGGGCCGCGTGCTGAGGCCAGCCTCACAAATAAAAGCCATCACTTTTCTATTTCTCTCTCTCTCTCTCTTTCTTTTTTTTTTTTTTCTTTTCCAAAAAGAGAGGCAGCCACAAGATCTTCTAAAAGGCCGTGACATCACGGCCCAGGTGACCGCGGCCCAGCCAATGAGCCAAGGCCGCGAGCAGGCTTCTCGCATCCTGTGAGCTGAGGTTGGGTTGACACTGGGAAGGCCTGGTCCCTCAACCACAGAACCACAAGGCCAGGCCCTTGCCGCCTCCAGGGCCCTGCGCGGGAGCTGGTTGGCTCCTGGTGCTCCCCACCCCCGGCCGCCCTCGTACCCACCAGAGCCTGGGCTCTGTCAAGGGTAAGCCTCATTCATTCATTCCCCGTGGCACTGGAGGCGGCCCACTCTGCTCTGTCAGCTTCGGAGCTCCTCCACCCTGGCTGCCGAAAGCCCCTTCCCGCCATCTAATGATACACTCTGCATACGCTTCTGTTGAGAATTTGTGGCTAGACATTCCTGTGGGACCGGGAATCCAAATTCTTGGGTACAAACAGAAACTTACTTTCCTTGGGGATTTTTTTCTCTCTCTCACTCACACACACTCTCGCGTTCTTTCCTTTTTTCTTTTTCGTAGCAGCAGGGGGGAAAAAAGAGACAAAAACAAAACAAAAAACAACAAAAAGCAACACCCCCCCCTTTTATTTTCAAAAGTAGCTAGAGGAAAAAAAAATAAAACAACAGCCAACCAAGTGAATCCCAACCCAACCCCCTGAAGGGCTGAAAATTCTCGCCTTCTTCAGAGCGGGGCATGGCATCGAACAGCATCTTCGACTCCTTCCCGACCTACTCGCCGACCTTCATCCGCGGTGAGTAACAATAGCCCAGGGCCCTGGGTGGGGAGCTGTGGCCAGGCCCCGGACCACGTCCCTCCACTGACCGCCCTGGCTGCCCTCAAGCGCACAGCCTGTCCGCCTAAATCCGCTGGCCTCTGAAAGCCTGAGGTGGGAAGAGGGGTTGGTGGTCTCTGTGGTCTCTTGGCGTGGAACATCGCTGTGGCACTTTCATCCTCCGCTGGTGGGGACAGTAAGCCGTGGGGGCGATGGATACTCCAAGACCTCAAGACCTCAAAGGGCAGCCCTCAGAGGGGCCAAGGGAAACTCTCAGGGACCCTCGGCTTGCTGCTTCACTAACAGGGCCCCAGGGCCTGCAGCCCCAGCCCCTGTCCTGCCTGGGACTCCCCACCTGGGCTCAGGAGGTCACTGCTGGCAACTTCTGGGGAGAGCTGTGGGATGCAGGGGTCTTCCTGGAGACCACCGCCAACATTTTGTGTGTAACTCCTGGGGTATCAGAAGCAGAGGGAGGAGAAGGAAGCCACAGGCTTTTGTGGAAAACTGCACAGAGCTGGGCTGCACTGAAGCTGGACCTGCACGGGGCAGGGGGACAGACCTCGAGAAAGTTCGTGGATTTGGCCACGGAAGAGGAGAAAGTGTTTCTGGGCAGCTTTTGCCTTTTTTGGTGGCTGCAGGGATGCAGAGTTCTGGGTTGTGTCTCCCAGCAAGGATAGGGGGTCTGGGATCCCCGACCTGGAGCCTCTAATGGGGCTGGGACTCATGGGGAGACTTCTCCTGCCTCTGTCTGGCATTTAGGGCTGATGCACCCTGGCCTCAGACACCCCCTGCTGCCTTCCTCCTCCCTAGCAGGAGCCCAGATGGGGCTGTGACACCTGAGACTGGGGATCAAGAGTCCCTGAGCTCAAGTCCCACGGCTCAGTGGCTTCCTTGCTGAGAGACCTTAGGAGGGGAGTTACTTAACCTCTCTGTGCCCCAAATAGAGTCCCCTCTGCTTGTGGAATTCTCATTGTCTGAGCCTGGGGGTGGACCATGTATAAGGGCAGTGCCTCTGGATGGTTCCAGAACAGAGAGGCTGCATGAGATCTAGAACTTCAGGGTTGGGGGCTGGTGCTGCCTTTCCTCAGCCGAGGCAGTCAGCAGAGATGCAGAGGTGGGTCTGCCTGCCTGCCTACCCTCCAGCCCATTGGCCTGCCCTGCCGCTGGCTGACCGAGTGATTCAGGGCTGCTGCCTGGGTGGCCGGCTCGGGGCAGGGACCCAGACACATTTGGGTGTTTGAGTCCTCAGGCTTCTGGGAAGGCTTGTCTGAGAGCGGGGCCTGTTCTTCTTCCCTGGTGAGGCCAAGGAAGGCTGTGCTGCTGCAGATGGGGACTGAGTCGGGGAGTGAAGGGGGCCTGCTGTCCCCTGAAATGGGGGCACTCCCATCAAACCTAGCTGTAGCTGATGATGAGCGGCAGCCCCAGGTCTGAGAGCTGAGAGCTGTGGCTGCTTCCTTGGAGTTGCTGCTATTATAACGTTGTTCCCTTTGTAGTCCTCGGAGCTAATTAAAGGCAGTTCTGTGGCAAGAAAATAAGAGTTTATAAAATCCATTTGCCGGGTCTTTGTAATCTGTATTTCTCCTTCCGTGCGCAAGATGGAGAAATGTAGGGTTTAAAACAAAGGAACCTTGGGAGACAGGGCTAGAGCCCCGGTCGGCCTGGGCTGGGTCCTGATCCTCGGAGCCTGGGAGGTGGCTGGCAGTAGCACAAAGGGCACAAAGGGAGAGGTGGCTTTGGCCCAACATGTCATGTATGCGCCCAGAGACAGGAGGCCGCTGGGCAGAGCGGGCTGATCCTGGCCAGCAGTGGCACAGAAGGCGCCTCATAGGCTAGGGTCTGTGGAGATGTTTGGATCTGGGGTCTGTGGCCCGAGGGCCTTCCCTCCACTTTTGTGGAGACCTGTCTCCCCTCTTCAGCCTTCTCTCTCCTGTTCATTTCTGCTCACGACGTGCTCGCCATGGGGGCCTGTCTCCCAAATCCCATCCCTGGAGGCTTACAGGGCTCCAGCTGCCAATTCCTTCCTCAAAGAGACGCAGCCCCAGGGTCCCATTTGCAGGGTGCCAACCCCACGCTGCCCCCTACAGGGTCCCTAACCCACCGACCCTTGGCAGTCTCAGGGAACCTTCAGGTTCCTCCTCGGAGTTGCGTTTTTAAACGCGTAAGACAAAATCCAAAGGATTACAAAGGAAAAGAAATCGATGGAAATACCATTGTCAAACTCAGAAAGCAAGCTGGTGACATATTGACTCACGTTTTCCATTTGTTGAACTCCATTTGTCTGTGCCTCTTCAAGAACTCACTGAGTGACAAGACCCCGCGGTGGGCCATGCAGTTGTGATGAGCATGAACAATATTTCAGGTCATCCCTGACCCCGCTGTGATACCAGAGAACACCTGTGATTTCCACTGGTGGAAAATCGCCATGGAATATGATGCTAAATTTCAGCTAGAGGCCAGGGAAAGGAAAGACACGGTTATCTCCAGCCCAGTGTCACAGACCCCCTAAATTATACGCAAGACAAAAACTCCAGGTCCATCCGGGTCTCGGGTTCTCAGAATCTTACTCGGGCTGTTCTCTCGTCCACAGGCTTTTACCAGAAGGGGAAGGGTCTCCCTGTGCCCCCCACTGCCTCCTCTTCCTCCTACCTGTGTCTTCCAAATGCCATCCCATCTCAGTCCCTGAGCAAAGTGTGATGGAGCCAGCAGGTTTTCTGAAATCACCGCCCCTAGAGAGTTTTAAACACTGGATTCCCAGTTCCTACCTCAGGCTGTGGAGGATTCTCCATTCCTACCTCAGACTGCGGAATCAGAATCTCTAGGGTTTGGGCCTGGGCAGGTGTGGTTTTGCAAATCCCCTAAAGCGATTCTGATGTGCCTCTCAGGCAGGCTTGGGGACTGCTGCCAGGGAAGCCCAGTCCCCTACCTGCCTCTGCCGCCTGTGTGCTGTGAGACTGTGTCTGAGTCACTTGACATCTCTGGATCCGTGTTCTCTCATGAGTAAAAGGGCACGAGTGAGTTGCATTTGGTGCCTCCTATGTGGGCTTCTCTGTCTCCCCCACCTGACAACCCAGGGTGGTCCCTAGAATTATCACCGAGCTCCTACTACCTCAGGGTCCCCATAGACCAACGGAAGATGACTTCCCTTTTGTCTTCACTGGCAAAAACAGGCTGAGAATGAAGCATCCCATCCATGCCTCTGCCTTCAGGCACCTGTACTCAGCCAGTGCCACAGCCTGTGCAGGGGCCTTCAAGGCAGCAAGGGAGAGATCCAGACCCCTGGAGAGTCCGACTGCTTGTGCATGACATTCCCACGGCTCCCACCCAGCCCTCCCCTCTCAGTTTCTCTGACTTTGAGCTAAGGGATCAGAAACTCCCCTCAGTTCACTGTGGAGAGAAGGGGTGTGGGAAAAGGGTGGAGAGGCATTTGGTTCCCATCCTGCAGTAGAGGCGTGAGCAGGAGGTGAGAAGAGGGCAACGCCTACCCTCAGGGCTGGTGCATGGATGGTGGAATTCTAGAAGCTGGAATGGAAGGTGTGAGAGGGCACAGGGGCCCCCTGGGGTCTACCCCCAGGCAGGACAAGGGGGATTTATTCTCCCTGTGTGACAAATGGGGAAGCTGAGACCTAAGAGCTGTGATCCAGACACTCTGTGTAACTAAGGACAAGTCCCTTCCTCTCTCTGGGCCTCAGTTTCCCCGTCTGACAATTATGGGCCAATGGCCCTGAGGACCCCTTGCCCATGCACGGTTCCACTGGGGGCCAGAACCTTCATTCTGAATCTGCCTCATGAGGCCCTCCTCTGCACCCCCTGGGGCACCCCCCCCTCACACCAGGTCACCTTTGCTGAACCCTCACTTGTACCCCCACAGGCAAACACTCACCAGGGACACTGGCAGTGGGTGCCCCTCCAGGGAGGGAAGCCAAGGAAATGGGCCCAAACTGCCACATGTAGGCTTTAAGGGGGCTCTGGGGCGGCGGGGGGGCAAACGCGTTCATCTGTTTAGTCAGTCATTTCCCAAAAACTTATCGAGGTGTAGAGTATCGAGATTCCAGCTTGGGCTTTAGAGCCAGGCTCTCCAGGTTCAAGTCCTGACTCTGCCCTCTGCCGTCACCTGCATGAGTTACTTCACTTCTCTGTCTCTGGTTTCCTCATCTGTAGGGGTTACACCAACCTTGCAGAGCTATGGAGAGAATTAAAGGAGCATGATGCCTGGCACAGAGTAGTTGCTCAATAAGCATTTTCCATTTGATGAACACCATGAGCATGGCCTTGTACTGGGAGCCCGGGGGAAACTGGGTCAGGATCTCCATCCTAAGAGCTCACCATCTGGTGTAGAAAAAGATGGGTCAACAGAAAATTGCCCTGGGGCGTGACAAAGGTTTTTTGGGAGAAGAACCAGGGCTGTGAGTTCAAAGAGGGGTACTAGCCCAGCCTTGGGAAAGAGAGAACAAGTCCTCTGGAGGAGTGACTTGGAAACTGGGTCCCTAAGGGTAAAGAGGTAACAAAGACAGGGAAAGGATGTTCCAGGCAGAAGGAACGTCCTGGGCAAAGGTGTGGAAGCAGGAAAGTATGAGCTGGCTCGGGAGCCACAGGGAGGGCTGGGAGCGTGGTGTGGGTCTGGCCGAGGTCCCCCTAGCAGTGGTTGGAGTTGGCCGGCAGCTCCTCCCCTGAAGATGCCTGGGAGAAATGGAAAGTGGACTCTTGGGTATGAGGCAGGCCTGTGTGGAGGCAGGGGGTGGACAAAATGGCCCTGGGCAGGTCTGGCCGAGATGGTCTGACTCAGAGGTCACCGGACAGGGAGGAGGCTGCCCAGACCAGAGAGGTCAGTCACTGTATCCTTTCCGAAGGTCCAGGAAGTTCCAATAACAGGGGACTCTCTGTTTTAGCACTGAAAGCTCCACGTCCCAGGAAACCCCTTCATCCCAGGCAACCCCTGATGGCTGGTCACCCTGAGCACATGTGTCCATGGGGCCTCCCCCTCCCCGCCATCCCTGGGAGAGGAACAGACTGACCGCCAGCCCTTCCGTGCCCACTATGGCGCTTGCCTGGCGCCACGTCTGCTAGGTCCCTTTGATGGCGGCTTCTGAGGCTGCCCTGCACACACCCGTCTCCCCAGACCACCCTGCCTGTCCAAAGTGCCCCCCAGGCTGGAAAAGCATTCCTAGGAGCCCCCCACTGCCCACAGGGTCTAGGCAGGCATGAGCCGACCCCACACAGCGGGACTGTGTGTCCAGGCCTCACCGCACCCACTCTGGCGGGCTGGAGGCCCCCAGCAGCCCCACTGGTCATATAGAGGGCTCATTGACGCCTGGGCCTGGAGGTGGCCGCATCAAAGCGGAGGCTCCCTCGGTTACCTGGAGGGAGGAGGCCGGGAGACGGATAAGCAGAGCCTGAAAACCTGACCTTCCAGCGGGCTGTGAGAGGCAGGAGGAGAGTGGCAGCCTCTGACCCCGGCCTTGCCACTGAGCCAGTCCGGACTCCTCCATGGGTGGGGAAACAGGCCTGGGCTCTGGGTTCAGTGGGGCAGCCCCAACACCAGCTCTTATTGCCATCTCCTGGGGATGCCTTATCTGCAGACTCTTCCTCAAATCTGCCACCCAGAGTGTGCCCCCACCCCCCGTAGTTGGGGAATCTCACCCAATCTTCCAGACTGAACCCAAACACCCCCTCTGCTAGGAGTCAGTGCTGGGACACCTGCAGCCACTGGGGAGCCCTGTCCTCCTGAGCTTCAGTCCGTGGGCCTGCCCTGAGACTCAGCGAGTAGTTCCCTACCTTGCTTAGTGGAAGTAAAGAGAAGGAAGGAAGGAAGGGAGGGGTGGAGGGAAGAAAGATTGCCTTTAGCCCTCAGTGGATCTACAGCCCAGGCCTTTGCCATCTGCCCTAAAATAGCACCTCCTGAAGCCCCTGGACACAGTGGGGATGGGAATCTCGGGCCTAGGGCTGGGAGTGGGACTCTGGTCTTGCTTTGAGAAGTCACAAGAACAAGGAACAGTGAATCAGTCCAGGAGCATATCAGAGCCCGGAGGCAGAGAGTTCCCCTCCTCATTTCATACATGACGAAACTGAGGTCTAAAGAGGTGTGTGGTCTTGTAAAACATTGAATTCAGCAGCAGGAAAACTGACTTTCCTTGCCTCCCTGGGGTCCAATCATCCGCCTTGCACACAGTTTAGGAGTCAGAACAATCTAGGCTTAAACTGCATGGTAGCTGGGTGACCTGACATGTTAATTCACCTCTTAAGGTCTCAGTTTCCTCCTC
Organism: Homo sapiens; assembly: GCF_000001405.40. Lineage (NCBI taxonomy): Eukaryota > Metazoa > Chordata > Mammalia > Primates > Hominidae > Homo > Homo sapiens. The sequence continues at coordinate 24,958,235 of NC_000001.11, read as the reverse complement.
TGTAAAATGGGCTAGTAACACTGACCTCAAAGGGTGGTTGGGAGGAGCAACTGTGGCCCTACCCTGAGCCCCGCATGTGGCACCTGGTACACAGGGAGCACTGGCCTGGCACAGGCCGGCCTCCTGATCGGCTCGGGCCCCTCTGCGCCAGCGTGATCCCCTGCCACTCAACAGATGTTTCCACATCTCACCCTCCTGCTCTTTCTCCAGCGCCAAGCCCTGGTTTTTTCAGGGCTAGAGAGGGCTGAGCAGGCACAAGACTAGAGGGACTGTCAGACCCCTTGTCAATGGCTCCCAGGGATAAAGGAAGGCACTCTTCGGAGAGAAAGCAATGTAAAATGCGGCTATAAGCCTCAGCTGCAGCCAGGCTCTGCCACTTCCTCGCTGTGTGGCGTTGGGAGAGGTGCCTCACCTCTCTGTGTTTCATTTTCTTACCTGTAAAATGGAGAAAATGAATAGCACCCCCTCAAGGCATGTTGGGTAGGTTTAATGAGGTAGTGTGTATCACGTGCACAGCACAGGGCCCGGCACAGACAAGCCCTCATGGAATGCCAGAAATTACTACTATTTAATGTTCCTCCTCCTCTGCAAAAGCCTTCTGTCTGACTCTAAGCAGGATGTGGAAGGTGAGAAACCCTGGCCTGTCTTCTCAAGGCCCAGCTTCATGGCCGCCCCCTTGGGGAGCCTTCCCAGCCCTTCCCTTTCTCCCCTCCAGGCGGTGGGGGTGCTCTGCCATTGCTGCCCCTCACTACTCACCCCACAGGTGTCCAAAGGGTGTTCTTGGGAGCAGGGGCAGGCTCACAGGTGATATTCAGCCCTTCTCACTGAATGGATAGAGGAAAGAAAGAAAGAATGGATGGATGGATGGATGGATGGATGGATGGATGGATGGATGGATGAACGAATGAATGGGCTGACGATTGGTCAGCCTGAGAGTTTTCCAGCTTCTCCCTCACTTCCCCCTTCACTGTCTGGCTTCTTCTTTGAAACACTTGTTGGCGCGAGCCTGAGCACTCCGGTCCAATCGGTGCAGGCAGCGTGAAGGTTTAGGTTCCTCTTTGGGGTTTTCTTTCGAGTCTGGGAAAAGTGTTTTTGGCAAAAGGTTCAGACTTACGTGTGGGCGGAAAGGGCAGACGCATATAACTTATGATTTGAAGGGTGACCAAAGTCAGCCCCCTCCAAACATCCTTCAACGTGGGACATGGTGACTGAGATTCCACCAGCACATGCAGTCCCTGTGGGGGGGAGCTTTTGTAAATGCAGGTCCCTTCCCATCATGCACACCTGAGTGTCCACAGTCTGCCTGATTCCTTGGCCTTTGTTGAGAGGAGTTAAAAGGCTGGAGCAGAGGAAACAGAGGGCATCTGGGGGACGGAACGCTTGGAGAACGCAAAGGGAAAGGCGGATGGAGTGGAAAGGGGTGGGGAGGAAAGGAGGGGTCCATTTTGGTCATGCCCCTATTCCCAAACCCAACTTGCCTGGGCACCAGGGCTGAGGACCAGCACCTGTGGCTTGGCCTCCAGTGCTCCTTCCTCAAGCCTGAGTTCTGTCCCACCCCACCTCCGTGGGGTAAGCAGGGGCAGGAGGGGAGGCCTGCTGACGTACCTCCCCCAGCTCTTCGCACCCCTGTGTCTCGGGAAGAGGTGCTAGGTCCAGGGGGGGTGGAGAAAGGACCTCCAAGTCAGAAGTGATAAAGAGCCCATGGAGAGAGCCTGGTGCCCCCACATCTCCTACAGAGCAGCTATATCCCTTCCCAGGGGGAGAGAAAGCCACCTCTGAGAGCAAAGCCACCTCAGAAAAAAGACTAGAGGGAAACACTGAAAAGTCCATAGTAGTTAATACTGTGTGGTCCGCCATGATGGCAGGTAACCTTTATTTTATATTCTTTTGATTATTGTGTATTTTCCAAACTTTTAATACTTGTAAATTTAAGGGAAAACAATTTTTGTTTTCAGAGAAAGAAAGAGGAAGAGGCAGTCCCACCCTCCCAGGAACAGGCAAGCTGGGGCTCCCATCAGCCTGAGCTCCAGCCTGGGAACGGCCTGCTCCCACCCAGGCAAGGCCCTGCTGGCCACCCTGCTCTCTGTTCTTCTTCCCAAATCACTGTGTCTGTCACCTGCCTCCTTGGCTCTGCCCTGTCGGGCTGTGGAGCAAGGGTCTGCCCCGGGCTGCGCAGAGCCATGCATACAGTAGGTGCTCAGGAAATGCTTGTGACCTGAGGTGTGGTCCCAATCTGCAGACAGTTTCCCTGGAGAGGTGGGCCTACGTCCCCAGCGGACTTAGGATGTGAGGTGGGCGAATTGGTTGCTGCTGATTCATTCAATGAACATTTATTGAGCATCTACTGCATGCAAGCACTGTTCTGGGCACTGGAGATGCAGAAGTGAACACAATGGACAAAGATGCCTTCTCCCTGGGGCGCCACATTCCTGTGATGTGTGGAGAGAGACTGCCTCAGGAACCACCCTCCCCCCCAGTGTTTTTCAGTGTCCCAGCTTTCCATTTATAGATGGGGAAACTGACACTCAGAGAGGAGGCAGTCCTTGCCTGAACCCCGACAGCCAGGGAGTTGCAGATGCTGTTCTAAGCTCCAGAGCCTCGAGATTCAGCCCAGACCTTAGCCTACCAAGCCCTACTAAGGTAGGCTCTCTCCTCTGGCCACCCACACCCCTCTGGCTTAGGTCCTTCCTACCTATGCAGAATCTTGGCCTCCTGGCACTTCCATAAATGCTCTGGATTCCCCATTAAATCCTCATCACAGCTCCGTGTGCTGGGCATCACCACCTCCATTGTGGAGATGAAAACAGACTCAGGCAGATGGTGGGACTTGCTGCAACTAATGTTTAAGAAGAGGAAAGAGGACCTTGAGTCATCCTGTGGTCTGTCTGACATCAAACCAGCCCGTCAAACTCTCCCTTCTGCCCGGAAGATATCTTCTCTTCCTTGGCCTGAGGGCACCACCTCCATGGAGCCCTCCCCGATACCTCTAAGCGAGGTGATTCATATCCTCCTCTATGCAACCACAGCATCTTCAGGCCCTTCTCAAATACTTCCTGAAGTCTTTCTAGAAAGGGTGGAATCTGAGATGGGTCTAGAAAGGGCAGATCTGGGGAGGAAGGAACCTTGCTGGTACAAGCAGAGTGAACAGCATGGGCAAAGGTATGGAAGAAGGATCACACAAAAGGATTACATGGAGATGGAAGGTTTATGGGTCCTGTGGAGGGCTTGAGGGAGAGGAGACTGAGGAAGAAGGTGGGCCAGGCCTGGGGTTGGTCATGGCTTCAGGACACAGGGCTCCAGGACTGAACCAAGCTGGGCCGTGATGTGGGGCAAAGCATCCCATGATGCACAGGGCGGTTCTCTGAAATAGGCCAGTGTAGACATGGCCTTGAGGGTAGGTACGTGTGTGAACAGAGACCACAGGGGCCTCCCGCACCCACTCACGAGCCCTGTTTTTATCAGTCTCTAGACACACACCTGAGCAGCCGAAGCACACTTGCTCTGAGGCACGTAGAGGGCTCCGTGGATGGCCACGTCCGTGGTTGGACAAGGACAAGGGCGAAGGCTTAGAGCAGCTGAAGGGAAACCTGTCCTGGGGAGAATCCCAGGGCTAGTGACGGCGGCATGATTTTCAGGGCACAGTGCAAAATGAAAATACAGGATCCCTTGTTCAAAAATCAGTAAGAATTTCAGGACAGCGACCACAGAACACGAAACCAAGCATGAGGCCCTTCTAAGCAAGGGACCCTGTGCAACTGCCCAGGCCTGAAAATAAGCCTCTGTCTGCCTTTCCTTCCTTCCCTGGACTTGTGTGGGCTTCCATTCTTTATGAATCCACAGTGTTAAAATAATAATAAGTGAAGCCTTGGGTGAGAGCATAGCTTGAAGATTTTAGAACCAGTAAGAACATTAGGGAAAACATGACTCCAACCAACGTCCCCACCCTGTCTGCATTTTACGTTGTAGAACACCTGAAGGATCTAAGAAATTTAAAAATAAGCTCGGTAATCTCAACACCCAGAAAAAACCACTATCATTCGGTGTGTTTCCTTCCAGTCTATTTTTACCCCATGTCTTGTTTTTGCCTCTGTGGGTCTCTTTCCTCCATGTGTGAGGCCATGCAGATATGTCTGAGAACCTCAACAAGAATATCAATAGGCTGGGGCATGGCGGCTCCCGCCTGTAATCCCAACACTTTGGGAGGCTGAGGCAGGAGGATAACTTGAGCTCAAGAGGTGAAGGCTGCAGTGAACTATGATCGTGCCACTGCACTCTAGCTTGGGCGACAGAGCAAGACCTGGTCTCCAAAAAAAAAAACCACACATTAACAGTCATTACAGGTTGAACATCCCTTACCCAAGATGGCTGGGACCAGAAGCATTCAAATTTAGGACTTCTGATTTTGTCAGATTTCGGAATAGTTGGATTATACTTCAGTCCAAAATCCAAAATTCTCCAATGAGCATTTCCTTTGAGTACCATGTTGGCCCTAAAAAAGTTTTGGATTTTGGAGCATTTCAGATTTTAGATTTTTGAATTAGGGATAATCAACCTGTATAGGTGTTAGGATATGTCTAAGAAGAATCTAGAACGGCACCGTCCCGTAGGATTCTCTGTGATGATAGTAATGTCCCATGTCTGTGCTGCCCAACACAGTAGCCACCAGGGGCACGTGAATCCCGAGCGCTTGAAACGTGGCTACTGTAACTGAGGAACTGAATTTTTTATCTTATTTCATTTTAACTATTTTCATTTAGATAGCATTTAAGTATTTTCATTTAAAAGCTAATGGCTACTTTGTAGGGCTATGCAGATCTGTTTTTTTTTTTTTTTCATTTTTCTTTTCTTTTCTTTTCTTTTTTTTTTTTTTTTCAGACGGAGTCTGGCTCTGTCGCCCAGGCTGGCGTGCAGTGGCGCAATCGCACTCACTGCAAGCTCCGCCTCCTGGGTTCACGCCATTCTCCTGCCTCAGCCTCTCGAGTAGCTGGGACTACAGGTGCCCGCCACTACGCCTGGCTAATTTTTGTATTTTTAGTAGAGACGGGGTTTCACTGTGTTAGCCAGGATGGTCTCGATCTCCTGACCTCGTGATCCGCCCGCCTCAGCCTCCCAAAGTGATGGGATTGCAGGCTTGAGCCACCGCGCCCTGCCTTTTTTTCATTTTTCAACTCAAAATGTTTGAAAAGTTTTATACATAACAAGCACGTACTGCTTTAGTAATCAAAAGAAAGATAGTAAAAATTTTAAGTTTTTAAAGCATTCAATGCTACCGGAAAAAAAAAATACCTGAGTTTTTTAAAAGCCTATGATGGGGGAAGATTGATCCTGTTAGAATAGGATCTATTTTTACTTTTCCAGTCAACATACAGAAGAACGAATGTGGGGTTTAGAATCAGAAGCTGTGGGTTTGTCTACCGGATCTGCCACTTACTGGCTATGTGCCCACTTAACCTTTGTGAACCTCAATTTCCTCATCTGTATGATGGAGACATTGATGCTAGTGACCTCTCCAGGCCGCTGTGGGGGCTGAATCAGACAAGGAAGGTGAGAACAGGAGGAATGGCCTAGCGATGGTGCACATGACTGGAGATGATTTCTGTAGAGGTGGAGCCACTCATCCCTGCGAGAGGGTGTTCCTCACAGCTCTGACTCCCCTTGCCATTTCCTAGAAAGCAGGAAATGAGGGTGGCATCTCCCAACGTGTGTTCAGATGTTATCAGCTGTTGAGCAGAAATAATGGAACTCTGTGGTCAAACAAGATTGGGATTGGTTGTTTCAAACAATGTTCAATGGTGTTTTGCTGCAGGACTTGTCAGAGTCTTTGATATGCTAATGGCTACCTTGTTGGGCCATGGAGATCTAAAATAGTGTATGCTCAACTGTTTATTGAGTTATCTCTTGGGGTGAGATGATGCATCTGGAAGGGGCTGGTGTGTGCAAAGTCCACTTTTGGAAAAGCTGCTCTAGAGAGAGCTATTGGATCCACCATGGGCTATAAGCACTGTGGGGGCGGGGAAATTATCTTCTCAAGGACCTAGGAAATTGTATTGAGATTTCAAAGGAAAATTTGCTGGATCCTAAATACAAAAGGGAAAAGCACAACATTGAAATGAATCAATTCGTAATTGACAGTCTAGAAAATATAAATTATGACTCAACTTTTAAATAGTTCCATTAGCAGTAAACATTTACATAGCTCTTAACTCTATGTCAGCCACTGTCTAAGTGTTTTCCATACCTTTGCTCATTTTGTTTATATATGTATTTGAGACAGGTTCTGGCTCTGTCTTCCAGGCTGGAGTGCAGTGGCATAATCTTGCTCACTAAAGTCTCTGCCTCCCAGGCTCAAGTGATATACCTTAGCTCATTTAATCCTCACAACCCTATAAGACAAAAGCTCTTATGAGGCCTATTTTACAGATGAGAAAACTGAACCCCAGAGAGATTAAGGCATCTGCTCAGGTCACCCACCCAGGCAGCCTGCATCCAGAGCCTGCGTGGCTCGCCAAAGCACAGTAGCTATGAATTAATGGACGTTTCCTCAGGTCAAGGAGCATCCTTGGTCTTCTCTTGGCCCCATTTCTGGCAAGAGCTGGTGGTGCCCCCACGAGCTTGGTTCCCACGTCCTCCACCCAAACCTAGAGAGGCTGGAGCGACTCAAGGGGTGAAGGGAAGCCAGGCAGAACCAGCTCCACCACCTTCTTACTGGGTGAGTCATTGCCTCCTCTGGGCTTCAGTTTCCTCGTCTGAGAAATGGGCCAGTAATCATTTGTGGAACAAGAGAGGGGAGATTCATAAAACTCAGTGTATGGCCCATGCAGAAGGTACTTGAGGTGTGGTGGTCTTCTCCTTGCTCAGTGCATAGTTAGAGAAATTGAGGCACAGAGAGAGAGGGACAGGGCCAAAGCTGAGCTCAGAGAGCACCCCAGGGAGCTGGGCCAGAATCCCATGGCAACACATGCAGGGAAAGAGCTTCTTTCTCTCTCTCTCAGCAGGCACCCATGCTGCCTTATTTTTTTTTTTTTTTTTTTGAGATGGAGTCTCTCTCTGTTGCCAGACTGGAGTGCAGTGGCATGATCTTGGCTCACTGCAACCTCCAACTCCCTGGTTCAAGCAATTCTTCTACCTCAGCCTTCCGAGTAGCTGGGATTACAGGCACGCACCACCACAACCGGCTAATTTTTGTATTTTTAGTAGAGACAGGGTTTCCCCATGTTATCCAGGAGGGTCTCAATCTCCTGACCTCGTGATCCACCCACCTCAGCCTCCCAAGGTGCTAGGATTACAGGCGTGAGCCACCACGCCCGGCCTATGCTGCCCTTCTTACGGCAGCACATCAAGCACTTTGGCAGGGACCTCTGGGTTCCTCTCCCCTAGGCTCCTCAGCTCTCCTGGGGCCCTTCCACCTACTACAGGTCTGCCTGATCCAGGGTCATGCCCAGGCCTACTGCCCGGGCATGGTGCAGATATGCCCTGGTATTCCCGTCAGGTGCCCTCTTCTGAGCGAGGGGCAGGCACACAGGCATGGCCCTGTTCATGGCCCCCTGTGCTTGTCCAGGTACCCCAGATACTCCAAGCAGAGGGAGGTACTCCACATCCCTCTACTCCAAGAACAGAGATCCACCCCACGCCCAGCCACCTGTGAGACTGCTATGTTCCAGGGCTACCTGGCCCCCCCACCTCCTGTGCTTGAATTTAACGCTCAGCAGTTGCCATATTGAAATGCTGGATCATTTTCGCTCTGAATTAGTGTGTTGTAAATGAAGCCTGATGGGCTAGTGCAGCATGCCTGGGGACTTGGGGCCCGGGTCCAGTCTGCCTCCTGCTGCCTCCAGGGATGGGTTCTCAGCAGCCCACTACCTGCACTGCCGCCCTCCACTGAGGCAGGCATGGGGAGGAGAAAGGGGTTGGAATCTGCACACCAAGTTTTGGGGTGGCCCCTGAGCATCTGTGAGGGTCTGCACTTTCTGCACAAGTCTCCCCAGGTCCAAGTACGTGTGACATTGAACAGCAAATAAAAAACACCACCGTGGGTTGAGAGTCCACAGAAGAAAGGAAAAACTTTTGTTCCTGCATTTTGAAAAGGGGTCCTGTATTTTCTTTTTGCACTGGGTCCTATAAAGTAGGTAACTGGCCCTGCCTGAGGATTGGAGAGACATGCAGGACCCCCAGAAATACAGTGCAGGCATCGGGGGAGCTCAGATGAGCTGCCCTGTTGAGTTTCTGCAAGTGAGAGGAGGGAGCAACGGCTCCTGGGGTCTCCTGGGGTTCCAGGGCCCAGGCAAAAAGAGGAGGCTGCAGTGTGAGGACCCTGGGACATGGAAGCCCCGCCCACAGGTACCCTGAGCTCAGCTATGCTGACCCCTCCTGGGGTGGCCCCATGCTCTGAGCCAAGGCCCACCCTTCTGCCAAGCAGGGTGCCAAGGGCCAAGGCCAAACCCCCGCTCCAGAGAGGCCTGGCCCAGAGTGGCAGGCCAGAGGTGGTGGGTGGGCTCCTGACGGCCTCCCTGGCCCAGGCCGCGTGGATGATAGGCTGGGTGAGGTGGGCTGCTGGCCTTGGCTTTCACACACATCACGGGGAATGAAAAGCTCACAGAGGCCACTGCAGAGTGCAGGAGGCCAGGTCACAGTTCAGTCAGTGATGAAGGCCAGTGGGGGTCAGTGACAACTTGGACTAGAAATCAAGCTGTGGTCAAGGTTGGGACTCAGTTTGTGGCCGCTTGGGGAGTCAGGTTGGGGCCTCTCTCTGTCTCGTTCACATCCGCCAAGTCCTTGGTGTGGGTGCTGGGCAGGGTCTGAGTCACAGGAGGTGCTCAGTAAATGCTCCTGGAGGAATGAATAAATGAGTGGTCTGCTCACGGGGGGCGGGGCATGGCTGGAGTGCAGCCCTGGACGCTGGACGATTTGCACTTTCCATTTAGCCAGACTTGGATTCAAATCTTGGCTCTGCTTCTTACACCCTGAGGGGGATATTTAACCTCCTTTTTGCTGTTTCTTCAGCCATACAATGGGGAGAATAACAGTACCTCCCTCTCAGGCTGTTAGAGAATTCACTAAGACAAACCTGAAGTGCTCAGCTCCACAGCCGCCCGTGGGAAATGCTCCAGTATGTGGGAATGAATGTGATTGTATCAAGAAGACCTGCAGACCCCCATCCCCTCAAAGACACTCGCAGTGTTCACTGTGGTTATAAGACTTCAGGCTTTAACATTTTTTATGTGTTTTCTGTATTTTCCAAGATTTTTCATTGTGCTCATATTATTTGTATCACAGGGGCAAGCAGCAGGAGGCAGGGAGGTGGGTTCGATTAATGTGATTAATTTACAGTATTGTTTAAATAGACAATCATAAGAGGAGGTCAGGCAGAGTTGGCTCCCCTCAAGCATTCACTGGGGTCCCAGCTTCCCAGAGGCCCTGACAGCATTTGAGCCCTGTGGCCTCCCCACATGTACCCTTGTCCTGGATATGCCCCTCCCCCACATGCACACCTGCCCTGCATGCACCCCCAATGCACCCCTGCCATGTACAAACCCTTCTCTCCCATGCACCTCTGTCTTGCACGCACCCCCCACATGCACCCCGTCCTGCACATGACCCTCCCCGACATGCACCCATCCTGCATGTACCCCTCCTCCACATGCACCCCTGCCCTGTACATGGCCCTCCCCCACATGCACCCCTGTCCTGCATGTACCCCTTCCCTGCATGTGCCCACCTTCAGGTCAGACCAGCACCATCTGAGGGTTTCTGGTAAGACCTGCGGGTGTGCTGGGGCCTCTGTCACAGGCTGTCCCAGCTCAGCAACCAAAGTCTGTCCCTGCCACCATGTTAGGCCTCCCGCCTTGTGTGCCCACCCCCACCATGTGCATGTGAACACACACCACCCTCACACAAGCATACACACACTTCACAGGCCGCACCTGCTGCAACAGACACAGACTTTTCAGGAACTCCTTTTGGGGGGACCAAGGGCCACCTGGTGGCGTGGTCTGAGGGAGGCTGCAGGGGGAGGATGCTTAACCCCTACCCACGCTGCTCTTCTTATCTCTGGCCAGGAAATCCTTCCTCTTCCTGGGGGTCCCCAGACACCTGCCACGAGCTCCTGTCCACTGGGTGGATGCTTCTGGAGGGCTGAGGCCTCCAGGAATCCAGGACTGATGTGACAGAGTCAGGGCCCCAGCTCAGAAGGAGGTTTCCCAGCTGGGAGAAGCCTCAGTGATGTCTGGAGGGTCCCATTGTCTGACAGATGGGGAAACTGGCCCGGGAGAAGGTGGGGCCTCCCCAGGTCACCCCAGGAAGAAAGGTAGAAGCGGAGGAGGCAGCCTCACCTGGTGGAAGCACACAGCAGAGAGGGCAGAGGAAGCCAGTCCTGGTCAAACTTCTCTGGGCTCTGGGTCCCTCGCCTGGCAGACAGGGGCCACTCAGGCCCTGCCAGCTCCGGCTGTGATCTGCGGGGAGCTCCAGAAGGATTCAGGGAACTCCAGGTGAAGCCCACATAGCTCTCTGGGTTGTGGGGAAAGGAGGATGCAAACAGGGAGCGTCCCCAGGGGCCTAGGTTAACCCCCTGCAATCATTTCTGTCCTCTTCTTCCTGTGGGGTTAAAAAATAGCCTCCCATCTGCTGGGGCAGGGTGGGCCAGCCTCCATCTGGGGCCGTCAGGTCCCTCCTAGCTCAGCCTTGGTCAAAGGCCTGCCCACTCCAACCCCTCAAAGACCGGGCTTGGCTGCTTGTGGTGAGCTGGCCCATCTGGCAGGGTTCTCTCTCTCTTTGACTCAGCACTGAGTATCTGCACCCACTGTGCTCAGAGCCGCCACAGGCCTAGGAGGCTGTCTCTGACTCCCTGCTCTCCCATTTCACAGACGGAGAGGGTGAGCTGCCCAGGGCACATATGGAGAAAAAACAGGCACAGGACCTGGCTGCCCAGCTTCTAGGCCAAAGCTTGTCCTTGTTTCGGGGTAGTGCTGGGACTTTGCCCCATTGGGTAGCAGGCAGCCAGGTAGCAGGCAGCCGGACTACTGGGGCAGCGCCTTTGCACCCCCAGGTGACAAGGCCTAGGGCCCACAGCTCTCTGGAGCACCCTCAGTGTTCTCACCTGTAAGATGGGAGACAGCCATCCCTAGCTTCAGGGTTACCGTGAGGACACACAGAGACGCAGAGGGTCTGGCACGTGGTGAGCTCCGTGGGTTAATTATTACCAAGTATGATGTCTACACAGGCCTGAGGTCCAGAGGACCCTCAGACCACAGTGACCTCTGTGGCTATTTTGGTTGGAACTAAGCATCTGGGCCTTAGACCATAACGTGGAGAAATAGCTGAGTAAATGGGTATTTTCAGCGTTGGATGGAATCAGTGAGGCCTTGGGTGTAGACAAGGCTTTTCTCTGGAGGAGGTGGAATACTGCCCCCGGCTTTCTGCCAAGCTGAGAAGTCCAGGCTGCCAGTGGGAGTGGGGCTGGAGAGCAGCTGTGGGGAGGATGTGGGGCGGTGTCCGGAGCCTCTCAGTGTCTATACTGGTCTCAGCAACCCCAGTCCCAGAATCTGTCCTAAGGAAGGAACCAGGGATGCAGCTAAGACATCCACGCAGGGTGTTCCCTGACAGAAATCTGGAAACCCCCTAAACAGCCCATCACAAGGGAACTATGGTGGTCCATGAGTAGGGGGGGAATGGGCTTTCCACACCCTGGCCCCTACCAGGCTTGTCTAGCAGCCACTTGTCCCCTGCCATCAGGGAGGCTTTAAGAAAACAGGAGAACACACATACACACATGTTGGGGGATTTCAAAAGCAGGTTTAAAGGACCCCATACTGTATGTTCCCAACACTCAAAAAAAAAAGGAAGGAGAGAAGGGAGGGAGGGCGGGGAAGAGAAGAAGATAATAAATCTATACATACAGTAAGAAGAGCAGAAGGCTGAACACCCAGTGGGAACCATTGTTCTGGGTGGCAGGATTATGGATGGTTTTAATTTTCTTCTTCATAATTTTATTATTTTCCAATTTTTCTTTAATGAATGTGTATTATTTTTATAATCAGAAAAAAATGTGTTTTGTTTTAAGGAATGGGGGGCGGTTCAGGATTGTTCTTCCCCTTTTATAGACTCTGAAACTGAGGCCCAGAGTGGAAACAAACAGCATTCGTTCATTCACTCAGCCATTCATTCACTCACTCATTCATTCATTCATTCATTCATTCTCAAATGCTTCTGGGAACCCCCCTAAAGCCAGACTCAGTTTGAAGCCCCATGCCAAAGAGCTGAAAGGGGCCCATCTCCGTTCTCAGGGAGGTCACAGTCAGGGAACGTAAAGGACACAATAGCAAGTCCTTACAACGCATTCAGACAAGGGGCCATGGTGGGGAGGGGAAAGAGAGGGGGCCAAGTCCTCCTGGGAGTTTTAGAGATGGTCTCACAAAGAGAGAAAAGTAGGACAGGGCTTTGATGTATGAGGAGGAGTTCAGCAGTCAGAGAATGCGGAAGCACATACCCTGAAAAGGAACCGGGGGCTGTTAGAGAGAGAGGATCCACAGTGTTCAGGGGAATGGGTAGGGAGATAACATTAGAACATTCCATGAGCCAAGTTTTCAAAGGCCTGGAATTGCCTGGCTCTGCTGCTCAATGGTTATGTGACTTTGAACAAGTTACTAAGCCTCCTGGGCCTCAGTTTCCTCATCTGGAAAATGGGCTAACCACCTCATTGGGTTATTGCAAGAACCGAGTGAGTTAATAAGTGTAAAGCACTCAGCCCGGGTCTGGCATATTGAAGCGGCTATGAAACTGTCTGCTTTTATCATTTGCTATGATTTACACTTTACCCTGTAGGCATTCTGGGAGCCAAAGAGGGTTTTTAAGCTAGAAGTTAATGTGAATTCATTTGCTTATCTATTTCACTCATTCAACAGACATTTATTGAGATCCTAATACATACCCAGGAATGGTTTTATGTGTTGGGGATGAATTCGCCAGATAAAATACAAGACTCCTAAATTATTTTAATTTCAGATAAACGATAAATAATTGCAATATTTGGGGCAACTTTATACTAAAAAGGAGTTCATTATTTATCTGAAATTCAATTTAACTGGGTGTTTTATATTTCCATTTGTTAAATGTGACAACTCTATCTGCGAATGTAACACCAAGCAAGCAAAAAATCCCTGCCCTCCTGCAGCTGACCTTCTGTGAGAGAAAAGAGACAATTCATAAGTCAAGCTATTGTGTATCAGGCACTAATAAATGTGCTGAGGAACTGTCAATCAAGGAAGGGAGACATATTCGTTTCCTATGCCTGCCATCATAAATTAACCCACTTTTAGTGCCTTAAAAAAAACATGCATTTATAATCTTACAGTTCCAGGGATCAGAAATTCTCTATGAGTCTCCCTTGGCCAAGATCAAGGTCAGGGCAGGGCTGTGTTCCTTGCTGGAGGCTCTGGTGGAGAATTTGTTTCCTTGTCTTGTCCAGCTCCTAAAGGCTGTCTGCTTTCCATGGCTCATAGCCCCTTCCTCCACCTTCAAAGCCCACAGCTTTGAGCCATGTTTTTCCCACGCTGCCATCTCTCAGGTTCCCTAATCAGTTTCCACACCCCATCTCCCTCCGACTGTCCTTTTCTGCCTCCCTATTCCATGTGTGAGGATCCTTGTGATCATATGGGGCCCACCTGGGGAATCCAGGATAATCTCCCATCTGAAAGTCTTTATCCTTCATCACATCTGCGAAGTCCCTTTTGCCATATAAGGTAACATAGCCACAGGTTTGGGGATTAGGATGTGGACATCTCTGTGGCCATTATTCTGCCTACCACAGGAGACCAGAGAAGGCCTCTTGGAGGAGGCAGCAGGGACCTGAATGAAGTGGGTAGCTGAGCCAGGCAGACAGAATGGGAAGGGTTTTCCAGGTAAAGGGCAGCACAGACAAAGGCCCTGTGGTGGGAGTATGATGGGCATATTTGAAGGCAGGGTGGCTGGAGCAGGGTGAGGGAGGGGCAGAGTGGAAGCAGATGAGGTCAGAGAGGTGGAGGGTGGCAGGTCATGTAGACCCCATCAAGCCTGGCTAGAAGGGGAGAATCAGCTCTCTCCTGCCCCTCAACGGCCCCCAAGCCCTGCCCCTGAAGTACCACCCTGTCCTGCTAAGCTGACACCCATTCCAGGAGTACTCACATTTTAATAAGAAACTCTGTAAGGCCCCAAGGGCTAAGTCGCTAATGTTTAGGCCCAGCGATGGACAGTAAAGAGATATTTTATGGCAGAGAGGGGCACAGTCTCACCTCCCACAACACCAGGGAACTGGTGATCTTCCCTAACATCAAAGGCCAAACTCTTCTTAGAGTACTGCAAGATGAGAAGGAAGAGGCTTTCCCTGCAAACGAGGGATTCAGGTTAGATGTTCAAAAGAACTTCCTGTGTGCTAGCAGAAAACTGTCAGTTAAGGTTGGTAACATCTGGGAGCCTAGGTCCTGGCTGAGGACCCTGCCCTCAGGGGGCCTGACATTCAGGGACCAGCGGAGGTCCCACGATGACCTGGGGGAAGAATGAGTCCTGACTTTGGACTCCCCTGGGCCCCAGCACGTCACATCCCCTCTCCAGACCTGTTTTTCCGACACAAGGGGACTAGCCTCAGAGATCTTCGGGGGTCCTCTCCGCACTGGCCAACTGTTCCAGGGCTCTTATTTCCTAAGACAAAAACCTGGTAGCTGTGTGTTTGGCAGGCTACTTAACCTTGCCGAGCCTCAGTTTCCCCAACTGTAAGTGGGGATGATCACAGAACCCCCTCTTAGGATGGAGCAAGGATGAAGAGTTAAGCTGTGTGAGTTCTCAGAACCGTGCCTGGCACCGTGAGCACACCATCAGTGGGAGCTACTGCGATGAAGATTCTAACATCCTCAGGGTCTCAGAGCCTCAAGTCCATGACCCTGTCTCCAGGAGCCTCACATTTGCTGGCTGTGGGATTCTGAGTCTCCAGACACCCCCCTCCACCCTGCTGCCAGCATGCTCCCAAAGCCCTGGCCTCCCCCACGTGCTGGGTGGCATGCCTGCCCCACAACCACATGAAAAGTCATTCCCTCAGGGTGTCCCCACACCTGGGAAAACCGGCAGTCTGCCCGGCGCTGGTCCCGCCTGGTGGCTGGAACACCGGGCAAGATCAATGACACCCGGCTCGGCTCCCGGTGCTGCCACCTTGTTCCAATCAGGGCTGGGCGCCTTCCGCTCCGGACCCCCGCCCAGTCCTGAGCCGCTGCCCCCTCCTAGACCCTACCCAGCTGCCCACATTTCCAGCCTGTGACCTCTCAGGAGCGGTGCCCACGGGCTGGCTCCACAGTGGCTGCAGCCTGCCTGGACTGGGGTGGTTGAATAACATGCCAGGCAATGGGCAGGCTCCGAGGAGCACCAGGCTGGGAGGCGGGAGCCCGGGTCAGGTCCTGGCATTAGGGCACCGCTGATGCTGACCCTCCCCACTCTAGCCTCAGTTTCCTGCACTGCAGGTCAGGCTACTTAGGCTCACCCCATCTGGCTCTCAGGGCTGTTGTGGGAGAAGCAACAGAGAGAAAGGGCAGTAAGAGTTTTAGGAACTGGGGATACTAGCAGTGCAGAGGAGTGGGGAGAAGGCAGGTGGGTAAAGCCAGTTCCACTGTGCAGTGGGCCCTCCTACCAGCCCCCTTCTCCCTTCCTGGGTCCCTCTCAACCCTCTGGTCTCAGCTCGCATGTCACCTGCTCCGACAGACCTTCCCTGACCACCCTGTCTAAAGTATTGCCAAGAGCCCCTCTCTCCCCATCCACCCAGTCACTCTCTCTGACTTTACCCCCATCTGTTTTCTTGAGTGTCCCAAGACACTATCAAATATTGGCGTGCTTATTTATTTGCCTCCTTGTCTGTCTTCTGTCTGCCCTGCTGGAATCAAAGCCCCCAAGGAGCTCCATGGCTTTCTGGTCCATTGCTTGTATCCCCAGCACCTAAAATAGCCCTAGGTGCCTAATAAGTGTGTGTTGACTGCTTCAATCTAGTGCCAACTCCTTTTCCTCTGTCTGTTTCTTACTTCTCCTTTTCCTTTCCATCTCATCTCCCCCCCTCATCTAAGCTCAGAGCTGCTAAGGGCAGGACTGGGAACCTTTTCCCCTGAGGACACGGATGGGGGCAGGGGCAAGCCCAGGCCTCCGTGAGCTAAAAGGGCCTTCAGATCATCCAGCCACCCTGGATTTGATTAAGGCTCAGAGGTGAGGCAGTGAGAGGGCCCCCCACCCCAGGTCTGAGGACATTCAGTGGGCTTCTGGAAGCCCACTCAGGTGATAAATGTCACATTCCTGCCAGTGGAAACTTATGCCAACAGCAAATGACAGAGTGCCCAGTGTCTGAGCCTGTCACCTGGACTTGCCAGGCAGGGAGTCCAAAGCCTGCTCTAGCTCCGTTTGGCTGTACCCACAGCCTCAGCACCTCCCCAGCAGCCATGACCCTGTAAGGAGGCGGGGACTCAGGTCATCACACAGGGCTAGCATCACTCTGGGAGCAGATCTCCTAGGCAGCATCCTCCAACCCCAGCCAACCCCCCTGCTGGCCTCTGGTCCCTTGGGATCCGCTGTGGACCCTGGAGCCACCGTTCTGTCTTTTGTTTCCATGAAGTCTGAGCTCCCCACACAGCCAGGCCAGGAAACACAATCTGGGATCAGGCTGCTGAGGTTCAAGGCTCAGCTCTGATACTCACCTAGGGTGTGAACTTGAACACGTTCCTGACCTTGCTATGCCTCCGTTGTCCTACTGTTACAATGGGGATGATGATAAATGTACCTAATACAAAAGTGGCTCCGGGGATTCAACAGCATGTGTGAGTGTACATAACGCTAGTTACTATAATCAAGGGGCCTGGCTCCTCGGGTGAGGTTGCTGCACAACTTTGGCATTGACAGAGCTGGTTCAAATCCCAGCTCTGCCCCTTCCTATGTAGGTGCAAGGGACTTCCTTGCCTGTAAAGTGGGCCCACTGACACATACCTGAAGGGCTACTGGTCGGCCATGAGGAGTGCTTGGGGAGCGTGCTCAGCAGGGGCTGTTACCTAGAAGTGCTTACCTAGGTGGGGGTTGCCATGATGAGGACAGCTGCAAGGGCCTGCAGAGATTCAACTGAGAGTGTGATGGTACACAGGACCATCCGGATGAAACAGTGCAGCTTTGCTGCATCATGAATAATTGTACGATATTATGCACATTTGAGCATATTGTCCATTTTTTCAGAGGTTTGGGGCAGGGGAACTTTTTCTATATTTTATCTTTTGCTTTCCTTTAAAATATTTTTAAACATGTAAAATACATGTACAGAAGAATGTATAAAATATAAGTATTGTTTAAAGAAGAAGAATAAAGCAGACATCTATCTACCTACCACCTGGCTTTAAAAAACAAAGCACTAATGGGACCTTAGGGCTCCCACCAGTGTCCCTTCCCTGACTGCATCCCTCTCCCTACTCATCACAGGTGGCAAGTGGTGGGGACCACTCTCCTGATTTTTTTTTTTTTTTTTGGTAGATACAGAGTCTCACTTTGTTGCCCAGGCTAGTCTTGAACTCTAGGCCTCAAGTAGATCCCCCCACCTCACCCTTCCAAGTAGCTGAGATTACAGACACAAGTTACCACGCCTAGCTATGATTTTTGTATTAACTATTCTCTTGCTTGTCTGTCTGCTTTTCACCTTCAATGTCATTTTCTATTTATAAGAGCAGAAATTCTGGGATGACCTGAAAGACCAACAATAGGGGATGTGACTTGCTGGAGCTCTTGGAAATAATTTGTTCTCCCCATTTCATAGATGAGGAAACTGAGGTTTGGAGAGGGCCAAGGTCATGCAGATGGCAAGGTGGGAACCCAGAGCTGGTATGCTCTGAATCACGGATGATTGGCTCAGAAATGGAGCTCTGCAGTCGCTCTCTCATTTGTTCAATACGTGTTTGCTATGAGCTGAGCGTTTGAGACACTAGTATCTGGTCCGGCCCCTGCCCCATCTAACACTCGAACTCCCTGCACAATATCCTGGTCTCAACTTGATCTCTACCTCTGAGGGGACGTGTCCCTATTCCAAGCCAGCTCTCAATATTTCTATTCCTGGTATGGAGCCCCCAGCATCCATATGGTCCCTGCCACCTGGGAGCTCTTCATAGATCTGCCAGAGGAGCTCTTACCCCCCAAGCCTGCTCTCCTCCAGGGCAAAGTCTCCAGTTGCTTTAATAGTTCATCATGTGACATGGTTTCAGTGCTCTTCCCCATGCTGAGGCCCCTGGGGGTGTCACATGGCCCTAACAGAGGGGGCTCAGGATGAAGCCCAGAGAGGCCATGTGTTGGCCTAGGGCATCTCAACCTAAACCCAAACTCAGGTCTCTGGGCCCCTAGGCTAGTGCCCTGCCCTTCCACCCATGCTGCCGTGGGGCACCCTAGCTGCAACCCTCCCACTTCTCCCCTCCCACTGCCTTTCTCTGGACCAGGAAGACAGGCTCTCCTTGTCCCCATCGAACAATGAGGGAGCGGGTTAAACTCAGATGCTGGGGAATGGTTTGGAAGCCCCAGGGGGGCAAACCACCCAGAAAGTCCATGCCTCTGAATTGAGGAGAAGCAGAAACTTCCAGAGCCAGGGTTCGACTCCTCCCAGAGCTGCTCTGTAGAACAAATCCAAAGCTCTGAGCCCTGATTCCATGCCTGCCTCTGTGTGTAAAGATTTGTCCACACAATGGTCTGCTGTTTACACAGCTGTGATGTGGGTTTCTGCCCATGTGTGTGTCCACACCACTCATATAATGGGGCCTATCTGTGCATCTATCTGCGCATCTATACCAATAGGTCCATGCATGATGATGCAGACAGAGGCATCTCCTAGGAGCATCTTTGCACACACCTGCACTTAACTGTTTGCACCTGTGGCTGCACTGTAACAATGCTGTCCTCCATGAGGGCTTGTCCATGTGGGTGTGAGCTGCCAGTGAATGTGTGAGAGACTGTGCCCATGAGCGTGGGTGCTGTGTGTGAGTGCACACATGTAGGGTATAGATGTGTGTGCGTGTGTGTGTGCACTCTGCGTGCCCAGGGTCCAGTGGAGACTTTTCCCATCCTAGCCTCCTACTTCATGTGCCCCTCCAGTCCTGGAGTCTGGTCTTTCCTCCTCATTTTCCAGCCAAATTATAACCCCTGGAAAAGGGGCCTTTATTACGGAAACACTGACACAGCCCAAATGCGATTGGGGAGAAAAGGGTTGCTGCCATCCCCTGGCCCACTTTTGTCTAAAGAGAGTGTCTTAGTTCACTCTGTGTCGCTGTAACAAAATACCTGAGACGGGATAATTTATAAATAGAGAAATAGAAACTTACTACACATGGTTCTGGAGACTGGGAAGTCCAAGATCAAGGCTCTGGCAGGTTCCGCATCTGGTGAGGTCCTGGACTCCCTGTTTCCAAGGCAGTGTCTTCTGGCTGTGTCCTCCGGAGGACACAGAACATTGTGTCCTGAAGTCAGAAGGGCAAAGAGGGCCTAATCCATTCATGAGGGCAGAGCCTTCACCACTTAATCACTTCCCGAAAGGCCCCCCACTGCCTCTTAATACCATCACAATGGGGGTGAAGTTTTAATGTATGACTTTTGGGAGACATTCAAGCCATAGAAGAGGAACTTTATTGCCTGCCAAGGACTCTTAGCTGTGATTTCCAGGCCTGGACACTGAGGGTGCCTGACAGACCACCTGGGCTAAAGGCGGCGGGACAAGGGCAAGCTGAGCTGATGCTGAGGCCAGATCCTCCGAAAGTTTGTGCAGAGGCAACCGGGCCAGCTGACAGGAGCCTCAGAGTCAAGTCCACTTGTCAATAAGCACCTTCTGTGACGGTGGGCAAATCTCTGATCCTTCCTGGGCCTCGGTTTCCCCAGCTATTAGATGCGGAAATGAACAGACCTGTTGTAGATTAATATGGAATTCTAGAATGTTGAAGACAGAGAGGCCTCCTGGGGCTCAGGTGTGGTCCAATGCATTTATCTCCCTGAAGGGGAGTCTGAGGGCCAGAGAGGGAAGGGACTTGCTCAAGGTTACCCAGCAAGGAACAAGGAAATGGCTGCCCTGGATCTAGCAGTTGGCTCTATGAGCCTTAGGCCCAGGCCTGGTTATAGGACATGGCAATCTATGGGCTCTGTTCAGCCCCAACTTTCATCAAGAATTTGGACTCTTTTGAGTTTATCAAGGTGCCAGATCCAACTGCTTCCCAACCAGTGAGGGTGGCAGAGGAAAACTGCAGCGTGAAAGAGTGGAAGAAGACACAAGGAAGGACTTCCAGATGTTTAGAATGGAGAGCTGTGGGGGAGGGGGACAGGGTAGGGCTCCAGCCACATTCCAGACCAGACTCAAGGCAGTGACCTGCATGGAAAGAGCTAATAAATTTACAAGTGGCACAAACAACTATAAAACTGAGACTCCATCCCCAGCCCTATGGATCCAGGCCCAGGTCCACTGTTGCCCAGGCCCTCGGTTTGACACTGACTTGAGAACCTTCACTTCTCTGGCCTCAGTTATGCCTTCTGTTATCTGGGAATAGAGCAGCCTAACTGTGTGTATCCCCATCCCCCTGGGCATGGTGAAGATGAAATAATGCAGAATGTAGAGCTGCTAAGAGCACTCACTTTGGAGTCAGGGAGACCTGAGTTCAAGTCTAGGCTTCCTTGCCATATGGAAGCCTCTCTGAGCCTCAATTTTCCACATCTGCCCAATTCACAAAGTCATTCTGAAGTTCATCTCAGGTGATATAAGCAAACTGGCTAGTAGGCACTCAAGAAACCCTACTCCCCGGGATTGGGTACATGGCAGGGGCCAGGAGAGACGTGACAATTGGTGATGAGGGGTGGATTTGTGGTCAGGACTGGCTATATAATTTGGGGGGCCCAGTACAAAATGAAAACGCAGGACCTTTGTTGAGCAAGTATTCAGAAGTTCAAGGCAGTGGTGGCAGGGCATTAAAACAAGCTCAGGACCCTTCTGAGACCAGGGCCCTGTGCGACTGCATGGGTCACAGGCCAGAAAGCCGGCCCTGCCTCTGGGATATCTAGGGTGGCTCAAATCCAGTTCAGGTGGAGAAGCTGAGGCTTCCCCCACCACACTGGGGGTCACTCCCTCTCCCCAGGATTGCAGCTGGGACCATGACCGCTGGCCCTGCCACTGTCAGTGGACATCAGAGGCGGCATAAAAGACCGACTGTTGCCCACCTCCGTATGCCCATTTGTATCTCATGCCATGCGTACAGCACATAGTTGATTTATTTCCGCAAAGGGCTGCACTTTTTTTTCTTTTCCAAGGGCGATGCTGGAAAGCCATGTGGCTTTTATTGCTGGCAGGAATGTCTGAGGCGTTCTTTCACCACCACATGAAATAGAGCCGCAATCTTCATCTGCGTAAGGCCAAAGCCCCCAGTCTCCTCCGAGCCATCGGCCTCTGAGATTAATTAAGGCTTCACAAGGACTGACAGTCATCAGGACCTTTTTGGGGAGGTGGAAAATCCCTAATGGGCCTGGCTGGGCCCAGAAGCTGCTGGGTGGGCAGTGGGGAGAGGAGGGCCTGCGAGAGAGGAAGGTGCGGAGTCAGCGGGAGGTAGCTGGAGAGGCAGGGGGTGCAGACTCTGTCCCTGGCACTGGCTGTGACCTTGAGTGAGACTCTTCCTTCCTAGGCCTCAGTTCTGTCATTTGAGAAATGGGGATTTGGATTTGATATCTCAGAGCCCTTTCGAGTCTGACATTGTAAAATTCCGAATCCTGCCCACAGTTCTTCTGCCAGGATTCTAATTCTATTCCATGACTGTAACTCTGAGCATCTGGTTTTAGTCCACAAGAGTAGAGTGTAGTGGGCAGCAACATGGGCTCTGGGGCCAGGCTGCCTCGTTGGAATCCTACCCCTGTGGTTTCCCAGTGGTGCCAACTTGGACAAGTTACTTGAGCTCTCTAAGCCTCAGTTTTCTTTCCTGTAAAATGGGAGTGATAACTGTCGCTACTCCCTAAGAATACTGTGAAGCAAAAATGTGTGTAAAGCAACAGCCACTCAGAAGAGCCCTTTCTCTCCCTGCCCGCCAGAGCTGAACCCCACCCTGGGGGAAGGGCACATGTTTCCCAGAAGCCCCCTTGGCTCCAAGCTGCCCAGGTCTCTCTCACCACTCCATGGCTCCCAGTAGAAGAGTCCGTGTTTGATGGCTCTGCTGGCAGGTAGCTCTGCACGCACCTGCTGCTTTGGATGGAGAGCTCTGCGCTGAGAGCAGCGGTCAGAGTGCAGACAGCCCCTCCCTGATCGAGGAGTGGGGTGCTGGAAGGGCTCCTGAGAACCTGTTTGAACTTCTCAGATTCTGAGGCCCACAGAGGAAAAGCTCTTTACTTTCGGAGCTTGGGTTTCCCCATCTGTGAAATGGAAAGAATAAAATCTCTGCCCTTCAGAGGCACCTGAGGGTGAGCGACAATTGGCGGAAAACTCCCAGCATGCGGCAGGTGTTCAAAAAATTAGGGCAATTATTAGTCATAGACCAATGATCAAAGTCACAGACCAGATAACTGTCTTCCAGAAGTATTTCCCTGATTTACAGATGACAAGAGCGAGTAGCAGGGAGGGTGGTAGGAAGGCCCCACCAAGTGATGGGATCTGAAACCAGAAACCCCTTCCCTGGTAACCGATGGAGACGGTTTTTCTGCTCTGCGCTCCCGCAAAAGAAGTCTCTTTTCTCCGTCCTTGCCTCCCTTTCTCTCTCCCATCCTCAAAGCAGAGCACCCTCTGACCACCCACCTGCAGAACAGGGTGGGGATGGGCGTGGAAGGATCCGAGGTCATGTGGACGCAAGGGAGCTGGCGCCCCGCGGGAGGTGGAGAGGAGGTGGGTGGGGAGGAGGGGCCTCGGGTCACAACCAAACCCTGGGGTCCTATGGAACCCGCATGGCATGTAGAGGGGCCTTGAAAGTGCACCCCCGCATTCAGATGCAAACACTGAGGCCCAGAGGGAAACACGTCTGATTAGCACTTCCCCTGGGCGAGAGGCACTGAATGTGGCATCAGGGTGCTAGTGTATGAGGCCCAGGACTGGGCTGCAGTCTCCTGCAAGGCAAAGGTCCTGTCCAACTGCGTTTTGCCTCGAGGTGCTTGCTCCTGGCCTTGCTGGAGCTCATTCCAGATCCTGATCACGCCCTTTCCCCTTTCTGGGCCTCAGTGTTCCCATCTGTAAACTGGGGACTACTGCCAGTCCTGCCTCCTCGCAGACTGGTTCTGAGGCCAAAGGAGAGCAGGTGGTGGGTGCACCTTGACTATCACAGGACCCTCCCGAATGACCCTGGCAAGTCCTTCCTGACTCCCTGCAGATTTGAAGAGTTTACTGATTTCCAAGCCCAGGGCTGCTTAGCAGGATTTACCAAACCCAGCTCCCTCTCCCCATCACAATAGCTCTTTCCTCTGTATCTAGATGCTAGCTCTTCCCATTACTCAGCCACTAGGAGGAGAGTGCTGACATGCTTGGCCAGGTGATGCGTTCATGCCCCACATTTTGAACCAGAGCAGACTTTTAACCCGGGTCTGGCCCTCTCTAGCCTGGCTGACCTCGGACAACGTTCCTCTTTGCTTACATGGGCATAACACCTACCACATATGACGCCGTGGGGATTGAATACCATGAGCAATGCCCATGTGCGGCGCCTGGCACAAGGTAAAGCCTCAGCACCCCCAGCTGTTACTGTTCTTCCCATTTTACCCTCGGGGACCAAGGCTCAGGGGAGCGTGGACACCAGGCAAAAGTCTCAGACCGCACAGGCAGCATCTGGGTCCTAACACCCTCACCACCCTGCTCTCCCTTGCTCCTTCTCCCTCCCCTCCAAGTCTGGAACTTTCCAAAAAGGAAGAAAGATCTCTGTAATTTGAGAAGCACATTTGTGCTCCCACACATTCTGAATCCTTCCAGAGAGGCTGCCCAGGATAGATGACCCCAGAGCTGGACTCTCTGGAGCTGGACCCCCGGCCTACAGGAGACAACCCCTCAACCCAGATATATTGCCATTTTTCATTAACATTTCTCGCTTATATATTCAGAGATCATTATCTGAAATCAGGATGCAGATGAGTCCTAGTTTACTCAGCAGCATTTTCTTTCTGTTTCTTCAAACAATCGATCATCAATCACAATGATGCCCCTCCCCTCCTAGAGGGAATCCTTAATCCCCCTCCCGTGAAATGGAGTGGTTAGAATGACCTCCATTGACAGAAGAGGAAATTGAGGCTCAGTGAGGGGCATGAATGTCCCCTTTGAGTTCTAGGGCACTGGGCAGGAGATAGGTTTCACCACGGGTCCCTCTGGACAGGGGATTTAGGGCCAGGCTGGGAGAAATTTTCAGTTCTAGAAGAGAGTCCTCTGCTCTCTTCGCTGGACTAGGCTCCTGTGTGATTCGGGATATGGGGAACAGAGGCCTCCTGGGAAGGAAACGGGGTCCCTGGCAGTGTCCGCTGAGGCCCAGTTGCTACTCAGGAAAGGGTCTGCCCACAGGAGGGCGGCCGGCTGGGGGCGAAAGTGAGGTTCTGAGAGGAATGGTCAGACAGGCAATCATCGAGACCCAGCTCTGGCCGCCCTGTGATGGTTGCTGGAAACCCCGCTATGAGCTGACTCCACGTGGAGGTAGGTCACAGCCAGTCCTTACCTCCCCCAGGCAGCCTGTGGGCGAATTGAGGGATCAGGACAGCATGGACTGGCTTGGAGTCCTAGTAAGCTTTGAATATGAGAACTGGACATTTCACAGATGGAAGTGTGAGGCCCAGAGAGAGGAGGGGTGGGTCAAAGGCCCCCAGCAAGGATTGAGAGGTCTTATTTTTTCATGACAGTGATGGCTCCCGGAGGCTGGAGCACCCTCCATGTGCCAGGCCTGTGCTAAGCACTTTACACACAATTCTATGAAGGGCCACTATGAGTGCCCCACTTTACAAATGAAAGAAATGAGGCTCAGAGAGGTTTAGGCAACTTTCCCTAGAGCGCTGTGGGTGAGGGAAAAAGACACGCTCAGGCAGAGGGACTGTGGACCCCAGCTCCTTCCATAGCCCATGGACCTCTTAGGCGGTTTCCCAGGGCACACCTGCCCCTTGTCTGGTATACCTGGGGATCCCTGCCCAGGCGCCACAGAGTCCACATGAATCACACCTGCCCTGGGAAGGCGGCACCCTCACTGCCAAGAACGCACTTAGAGAGCACTCCTAAATGCCAGAGGGAGACGAATCCCCTTCCTGGGGCAAAGGAGCTGGCTCTATTTGCCCGGGGATGGGTTCTGGGTTTACCCAGCTCTAAGTCAAGGTAGGGTAGGGGAGTGTCCTGACCTTCTGCTTCCTAGCCCTGCTGTGGACAACTTAGGGTGCTCTTAGGTGGGGGCCACTGGGGAGAAACTGGCCTGTTTGTCCATCGATCTGATGGAAGAGGGAGAAAAGACGACGGTCCATGCCAACTGGGGAAGGGCGAGGGTGTCTGCATGCCCCAGGTGGGGGAGTCGGAGTTCTCCCTCCCATCAAACAGACGACAATTTTTGTCGGTCCGGGATGGGGAGGAAGCAGGTGGAAATTGGGAACAAGCTAGCCTGTTCTGTGGGTCTTCCCCGGGTGCCTGAAAACGCGAAGACAGAAGGCGTCCATCTTATCAGAGGTGAGGAAGGCGGCCTTGGTTTGACACAAAGCCATCGGTTTGTCTGAGACCTGGCCGCATGGATGGCAAGGAAAGGGCAGCTCCTCGGGGGCGGTCGCCGCGCCTGCACCCGGGGCCGCAGCTGGCGCGCATCTGTAGCCCGGCCGGGCCCGCACCTCCGCGGCTGGCAGGGCGCGGGCGCCAACTAGCGGCGGCTCCCGCCACTGTGCCTGCCAGGCGGCCCCGCGACCTTGGTCTGGGGACCCAAGGGCCTGCACCCGCCCCCCCTCCCCCCGCCGCCCTGGTCCCTTGGATCTGGTGCCCACGGGGAGCCAGCGCCCTACGGAGAGCCGGAGCCGTGCCGGGCCCTGCGCCAGGTGCCAGGGCCCACAAGAGTCCCTCATTCTCTGGAAACTTGTCTGTGAACCCATCGTAAGCGGAGAGGGAGAAATCAGGCGGAGGAACAAGCAAAGGGCACGGTGCAAACCGAAACCATTCGACAAATGGAATTTACCACCACCTGAAACAGCGGGTCATGGTCCCGCAACCTGCTCGAGGGCAGCACGTGTTGCCCGCCCCCGGCCAGGGCCCTACCTGGCCACGACGCGCTGCGCCTTCTCGGAGACGTTCCCGGAGGTGGGAGCGCCCAGGCTGGATCACTCGCTTTCCTCTAGTTCTGCTGCTCGTGCCAGCGCGTCCGAGGGCGCGCGGGCCTGGGTCCGCAATCGACAACTGCCAGGCGCAGGCTCTCTTAAAAGGTTCAGTAAGGGACCTTTGCCGTCCTTCCTTTCGACACGGCCTGAGGGCGTGCTGTGAGGTCCCGAGGTGGGTAGGGGCCAGCTCTCCCGGTGGTCGGGGTGAGTCCAGAGTCCTTCGCCCCTGGAGCGCACGCGGGGCTTGATTTCGTTTGGCAACGACGAAATGGCGCGCGCTGAGCAGGGGTCAGATCCATGATGAGATCTTGCGGCCACCGTCGGATCCTAAGCTTCTTTGCTTCCGAGGCTTGGAATTCATTGTTTTGCACCTGTCGAGAGCCGGAGGCAACGAAAATCTAGCCCCGTCTCCAAAGCGGCGGGGAGGCTCAGCACGCGTTCGTTCCCCAGAGTCTAGGGAGGTGTCTGGGGCGATAATTCGGAATGATTGTGGCTTGATCTTTCCCGTTGCCCTCCCAACTGTAGCCGGCCCCTAGGTCTGCTCGACAGACTTAGGAGGCGGGAGAGGAAGGGGTGATTTGCAGTGAAGCCCAGGAGAGGTTGGGCCACGCGGCTGGGAGTGGGAGCGGGGACCCGGAGCCGGGCGGGCAGGCAGTGCCTTGGCGAAGCTGTCCGCGGTCCCTGCGGCGCAGCCGGAGCGCACGGGCCCAAGAAGAAGTGGGGTTGGACCCGCAGAGGCCACTTTCCACCCGCATGGAGAAAGAAAATTCTCTCCTCTGAAAGCGAGGGCCCTTAGCTTTGCAGCCACTGCTGTTTTTCTTTTGCCACCGACGCGCGTACCGTTTCACGATGCAGGACCGTGGTTACATGCGTAAAGGAAAAAAAGAAAAACGCATTTTGCAGGCCTCGTCGTGTTTTTCAAAGAGCCACAGGCCGCCACAACGAAGAACGACGCCGCGAGGCCTGCAAGATCCTGAAACTTGTTTTGAGGGGAGAGCAGAGAGGAAAGGGGTTGTTGGCCCCAGGCTACTTAGGGTCCCTAGGAGACTCCCTTCCGCCTGTCCCCGGTTTGGCACAGGGGCCACCGAGGCTGGGACCAAAGCCGCGCAGGGCTGGGAGCAGCAAAGGCCGCCGGCCGGGCGTGGACGACGCGCAAAATCCCGTGTGGGGTGGAGGCTCTTGGGTCAGAATAATGTGCGGGACGAGGGAGGTGAGTAACCTCTTTGGGGCGGCTCCCAGTGCGGCGTCACCGGCCCTGAGACCCCGCGGCCCCCAGCCCGGGGTTGCAGAAGTCACAGGCCCGAAGCAGCAAGAGCTGGGGAAGCCCGGCCGCGGCCAGCGGGGAGGAGGAGCGAAGGGGTTGCGCCCCAGCGTCAGGGAGCTACGACCCGAGAGAGGGCGGCAAGGGCGCCTTCCGTGGGACCCGGACGTTCTAAGCAAATTTCTAGCATTTGCCCCGGGCTCCCAGAGCTCTCGGGGGCCCTGGGCTGTGGCACTGGGGCCTCCTCCGCGGGGTGGCGCCTTCCGCCCCTCCCCGTTGGGCGGCCTCCGGCAGGCCCCGTTCCTCCCCGCGAACGCCACCGAGGTGCCCGCGATGGGGGCTCCGCCGATTGGCTGTGCGACGCGTCGCTCCGCCAGCCCCGCCCCGCGGGCCCCGGGGGTACTAACCCCGCGCGGGCGGCCGCGGCCCCGCCACTTGATTCTGGAGGATTTGTTCTGGGGCTGCGGCCGCGGAGTCGGGGCGGCCGCGGGCGAGCTTCGGGGCGGGAGGCGGCGGCAGCGGCACAGCCCCGCGCGGGCCCCGCCGCGGCCCAGGCAGCCGGGACAGCCACGAGGGGCGGCCGCACGCGGGGCCGCGCGCCGAGGATGCGGGACTAGCCGGGCAGGCTGCGGGCGGCCGTCGGGCCAGCGAGGCCTCGCAGCGGGCGGGCCCTGGCGAGTAGTGGCCGGGCGCCGCCCCCTGCGCCCTGAGGCCCGGGCCCCGCCGCTTCTGCTTTCCCGCTTCTCGCGGCAGCGGCGGCCGAGGAGGCGCCCGCGCCGGCCGCCCCCGGGGGAAGCCGCGCCGTCTCCGCCTGCCCGGCGCCCTGACGGCCGCTGTTATGCGTATTCCCGTAGACCCAAGCACCAGCCGCCGCTTCACACCTCCCTCCCCGGCCTTCCCCTGCGGCGGCGGCGGCGGCAAGATGGGCGAGAACAGCGGCGCGCTGAGCGCGCAGGCGGCCGTGGGGCCCGGAGGGCGCGCCCGGCCCGAGGTGCGCTCGATGGTGGACGTGCTGGCGGACCACGCAGGCGAGCTCGTGCGCACCGACAGCCCCAACTTCCTCTGCTCCGTGCTGCCCTCGCACTGGCGCTGCAACAAGACGCTGCCCGTCGCCTTCAAGGTGAGTGCGGGACCCGGGGCGGGAGGGCGCCGGCCCTGGGGCTCCGGGCGTCTGAGCTGCGGGAGCCAGAGCCTCGGGAGCAGTGGGGATGGGAGGTGCCCGAGACGCCGCGGCGACACCCGGGCACCCGGTTCAGTCTGGCTGCGCGCTCGGCTCCGGGACCTCGGCGTTCCGTTTTGGATGCGCCCTGCAGGAATGACTTTTAACGGGGTTGCCCCGCTCCACCTGGGTTTTGGGGCGCCTTGCGTAGAGACGTTGGTGCGGAAATGGGCGGATGGGGTTTTGCGCCCCCCTAACCCGGATCGCTCAGATACAGCCCTGCGGGTAACGGAGAAGAGGATCCCGGGACAGGGGCAAGGACACCGCGGGTGGGGTGCGAACGGTGAAAGGGCCTACCCTCCGCCTCCAGCACCCCTCCTCCCGCGCCGCTTCGCAAAAGCTTCCTGCTCACACCCTCGGGCTTCCGAAATTTTACCGGACGGCGCTAGGCCGGGATCGGGGCACTGCTCTCCAGACGTTTGCTCGGGGATATTATGCGTCCCGAATGGCGAGTTGAGATTGGGGGACCCCTAACCCTGGCAGCCCCCAGCCATTTAGAGGACCTTTTTCTTTATGCCAGGGAGTAGGCGACTGTTTCATTTTCATTTTTTTAAGGGGGCAGCGAGATGAAACGAAAACGCCTCGGTTTTCCCCTAAACCTCTCACAGCTGCCGTGAGAAAAGGGCAGGGCAGGAAGGGCCGGCGGCTGGGGGTGGTGCTGCCCGAGGTGGCTGGAAGCTGAGGCCGTCCCTGCTCCCATTAAGACGACTCTAAATGGGAAAAAAAGGAAGAGTGGCTCTTTGAGGTCTCCCGGGTGACATCTTAAAATACCAGTGGGGGAAATCTCGCCGGGAGGGGCGGGAGGCCCGTGTGACTTTAATCGTCAGATCGGAGGTTTTACTGTCACTTGGAGCTTAAAAGGAGTCTTTGAAATTAAAAGAAGACAGGATGTTGACAGGAAATCTGGTCTTCTTAATCAGATCCCAAACATTTTCTCCTTGAAATTTTTACCATATGGATCCCCAGTCCCTGCACGCGGCGGCCACGTTTAAATAGTTGTGACTCTGTTTAAAGTCTGATTCTTTTTCAAAAGGCATCCGCCTCTCCGTGCTCCTGGGGGTGGGGGATTTGGGGGAGATGGTGTTTAGGGGGACATCGCCACCCCCATCCTGCAATTCCCGGCAGGTGCATCCTTCCATTATCAAAAGCCCCACTCTCACTTTAAAGGGGTTTTCTGGTGGCCTTTTTCAAAACACCAGTGAGTTTTGCATTCTGCATTTTCTCTGCATAACGAATTTAGGCTCTGCAGAGGCCAATAAACTGGGCCTGGTCCACATTTCAGGGCCAAATTTCATGCCCTAAACAGCTCTTGCATAAATTGAGTGGGGGTAGCAGCCCTGTTGTTATTATTGTTGTTACTCTTTCTCATTTGGAGACTTCGTTGCTAGGAGCATGTTGATTCCTCTTTCGCTGCAGCCGAAGACAACAGGGGAACTGCACCCCACATCATAGTGACTGAGCTGATTCACAGCTCTGGCTTAGATTTCATTGAAAGGATGATTTCTTGGGACACAGTTTATGTAAGCAGTTGATCTAGGATTTTGGTGTGGAAGCTCGAGATTCCATCTTCTTGTTTTCGTGATATTTGGGGGAAGGTCTTTATTGTTTTTAAGCCTCTTCTCCACCCTGCATTGGAGAAATACTCAGTGTGCCTGGGACCTGGGGGAGCTGCCCAGCCCAGCCCCTCCCCTCCTTTCCCTGGTCACCCTCTTCCTTTCTAAGCTGTCCCCCTGCATCCCCCCGCCCCGTGTCTTCAGGTGGTGGCATTGGGGGACGTGCCGGATGGTACGGTGGTGACTGTGATGGCAGGCAATGACGAGAACTACTCCGCTGAGCTGCGCAATGCCTCGGCCGTCATGAAGAACCAGGTGGCCAGGTTCAACGACCTTCGCTTCGTGGGCCGCAGTGGGCGAGGTAAGTGGAAGGGAGGCCTCGCCATTTCAGCATTGGCAATGGCAGGGGCAGCAGGGAAGGAGGTTGAAAGAGGGGCCTTAGAATCCCGAAAAACAGGTCTCCAGATGCAGCTCTGTCTAAAAACAGCAATTTGTAATCCTGTAGGATATTACAGATCGCTTTGAGGAGGTGAGGAAAGTTATGGTCTCTTGCCAGAAAAAGACAATTTTCTCCCAGTTTCTAGGGTTTACCAACTCCTGAAACCGTTCATGCCACCCCCTCTTTCCCGGTTAAGCACACCTGGTCTCACAAAAAATGCTGGCAGGAGATGGTGGATTAACAAGCTCAAAAAGGGAGCTTATAGGTCTTTCAGCAAGGCGGTTGCAGGACAAGTCCCTGATCTGTGGGGCCCAAGCACCCCAGCCACTCTCTCCATAGGGGGCAGAATATCCCCCACACTCTGAGGCTGTCTCTCCAGCTGTGGTCTCCCAGACCCAGTTTCCCAGCGCCTTTGAGCCCTAGGTGGTCTAGAACGGAAGCTAACGCAGCTGAATGTTGGAAAGCACAGCTCGAAGGCTGCCATCTCCTGCCCCAGAGTCAAGGCGGGTGTGCCACCCTGCCTGTCTGACCGACCTTGAGCAGCAGAAGGAAGGCGGGACGGGGGTGGGGGGCTGTTGAATGGGAGGCTTCTGGGACCTGAAACCCATCATCACTTAACTCCTGGATGGGAAAGTCCTGGAAACCCTGCCCCTGTGGAACGGAGGCCTGAGGGTCCACTGGCCCTTTAAGACCAGCCTGCCTACGAGAAGTGGCTGAAGTGGGAGTCGCCCTTCCCAAGCACCAGGCCCGCCTCTAGCTTTGTTAAGAAGTAAGCTGGGTTCCCTCTGCTCCCCAACTCCACAGCAGGCTGAAGTGGCTGAAGCAGAACCGTGCTTTTCATCACCAATAAACAGGACCTTCTCAAGGTTCTAGTTCCCTCTGAGCTGCCAGCCCCGCTCTGAAACAGGCATCTGGGCACCATTTTTTCCTTTCCAGCCGTTCGATGTATACATACAAATGTCAGCCATATTTTGACTTTTCAGCATTAATTAAAACCAGGACATTATTTGCATGTAATAACTGTTTACTTGTTACTTTTTATGAAACTGAAATAGTTTACATTCTTTCAAACATTTCCTGTTCCTGTTGGCTCCCTTCCCCACACACAGATTTCTTTCAAACGGTGCCCTTAACTGGTTGCAGGTTGATGGATGGAAAATGTTTGCTTTTATGAATTAAGCTTTCATTGCTGCTCCTAATTAGTCTCCAAGTCCCTTTTGTCATCCCCAATCTCTCAAACCCTTTGCGACTTAATCCCAACCCTGAGAGGACAGTCACTGGTCCTTGGTCGGTGGCAGACAAGGCTGATGAGCTCTGCTGACTGCGGGGCAGTGGCCAGGTCTGCTAGCCCAGGTATGTGTCAGGAGCACTATAGCTGCTGCCTGTTGCGAGGCGGGCAGAAGGTGCTGTCGATCTGGGAGCCCAGCAAGGCATCAGGAACTTGATTCTCCCTTCCCACTCTCTCTCCTGGGAAGCGAGAGAAAGAGAAGAGACGACGATTTTCTGAGTTACCGAGACCTTGTCTGGCCATTCTGCACACTGAGAATGATTTTTTTAGGGGTTTTCATGCCCACAGACCTTGAGCCCCCCTCCCCAGGCCTGCAGGGAGGGAAATGGGTTTCCAAGGCGTTGGTTGGGAGCTTGTCCTTGTAGCAGGAATGGCCGAGGCTGGGACTGTGGCTCTGGGAGATGCAAGAGGCTGAGTTTATAAACCATTCTCTCATCCATCTCCTCTCAGAGGTCCATAACCAGTCTCAGTGGTCCTGGGAGGCAGGAAGTGATCTGAGGAGGAGTTCCGATGTCTGAGGAACTGTGGCTAAGGCGTTCAGCCTTCAGAGGCTCGAGGTCTTTGAGAGCCTGCATTCTAGTATCAGCCACCCTGCGTTTGAGTCCCAGCTCTGCTAATGACTTGCTGGATGACATTGGGCAAATGACTTAACCACTCTGTGCCTCAGTTTCCTCATCTGTGAGATGGGGATGATAATGGTACCTACCTCATGAGATTTTGGGAAGGTTAGGGAAATTGACACAAGTGTATCAGCTGGCGCATATTGAGAGCTGGATACATGTTAGAGATTTTGTTACTTCAAATGCCTGGGACTGGAGGAGGACTTTGAGGTCCCTTTGAGCGGTGACAGCCACTGATTCTCTGATTACTGTGTGGTTTGGGCGGGGGTGGGGGAAACCCAGAAGGTGTGAACTGCTGAGTGGGAGAGGTGGAGGCGGTTGGCAGGGAGGAAGGAGGGTGCCGGGTCCGCTGGCATGCAGACACACATCTGCAGTGCCCATCCTGCTGACTGGGAAATTCCCACCTGAGAGAACAGTCAGTGGTTGACAGTGACAATCTGGGCCACTTTAGGAGATGGGACACTTTGGGAGTTAAGACTGGGGGTTGGGACCCAGAACCCTTGCCTGGGTCTCTTGACTTCTGCCAGAACTAAGAAGTCTGATGGAAACCTCTGCTTGTTGCCTCAATTTTTAGTTCTACATTCTGTCTGAATTCCAGGAAGATGGCTTTCCATGAAAGACACGCACCCAGTAACACCACAGAGCTCTTAACAACAGGGCTGAAGGTGTGAACCAAGAAAAGGAAGGGAGGAAAACCAGGTCATTGCTGTCTCCTGCAGTGATTAGGGCTGAGGTCCCTGCCCTGCCAGACACGAGGAGCCTTTCTTACAATACATATTTTATATCAAGCCTTACTATTCTACGTTGAAATGTATAAATAATGAAACCTACCTATTTACATGCAGTTGCAAACTATGTTATTCCATAGCTATGATGGAGAAAAAAAGGGAAAGTAATTTATAATAAAACACTGATTTGAATATGTAAACGTTGGGGCCACAGGACTCCATGAGGTGGACGAATGCCCTCCATGCAGAAGCCCACAGCAGAGGGAACAGGCAGGGTGGCAGGGCTCAATCTGAACCTGGCCTTGCTGCCAATACCATGACTTTCTGAAGTTGTCAACACCTGTTGGCAAAGCGCTGAACAAAATTAAAAAAAAAAAAAGAACTGTCTTTCCTTCTGGAAAATTCAGTAGATATTAAAAGTACAAAAAAAACCCTTGTTTTATGTAAAACTGAGTTAGGTTCATGACTCAGATAATTTTTTTTTCTTTTACTTTTTTTTGGGACAAGGTCTCGCTCTGTCGCCCAGGCCAGGGTGCAGTGGTGCGATCACTGCAGTCTCAACCTCCTGGTCTCAAGCAGTCCTCCCACCTCAATAGCTGGGACTATAGGCATGCGCCACCATGCTCAGCTGATTTTTTAAAATTATTTGTTGTAGAGATGGGGGTGTTGTTCACTGTGTTGCTCAGGCTGGTCTTGAACTCCTGGACTCAAGCGATCCTCCTGCCTCAGCCTCTCAAAGTGTTGGGATTACAGGCATGAGCCACTGCGACCAGCCAGAGAACTTTTATAAGCAAGTTTTTCCCTCCCAGGAAGAATTGAATCTTCACCACCCTGGGCAGCGTTGGGTGCTGGCATCCCCCACCACATACACGCACCCCACCCCTAACGCTGGCAGTGCCACCCCAACACTATGTTGACCACACGCCACCACAAATCCCAAAAATGCCCCTCTAGCAGGCGGCCACTGGCCTAAGTGAAAATGAAAAGCACATGAGCTCTCGAGCTGTGATCAACTGGTTAAAAAGCAACTGTGTGTCGACAGAGATTCGGGGTGCAGTGTGCCGGTGCAGGCTGAGGGGAACCGCTGGTTGGGGGAGAGATGAATGGCTTCTTGGCTGAAGCTGAGAAAACCCCGAGGTCCCCTGAGACTGAGACACGTCCCCTCCCCCCACCCATGCAGCTCCTGTGGGTGGGGCGGGGACCTTATACACATAGGAACCCAGGCAGAGAATGCTCAAGGACTTGCCTGAGGCCCTGCTGCCACCCCGGCTGGTTGATGATGGGTCCTGGAGGAGTTTCTGGAGCCCTAAAGGAAACCCATTTCCCAGACCAAGACTTCTCCCCTGCAACCAGGGCCAGCCCTCAGAGAGCCTGGGTTTACACTTCCTGGGCTCCTGATGGATTGCAGGTTTGCCTGGGACTCCTGCACAGAGTTATATCTAGAGGCTGAGAGAGAGGGATGGATGGGTTTGCCACTGCCAGGCAGAGAGAGAGCTGGGCAGGGCCGGGGTAGCTGAGGGGCACTCAGGGAGACAGCTTTCTCCCACCCCTGCTCCCCAGGCTCCCTGTCTCCCGAGGTCCAGGACTCCTGCCCCTCCCTCTCACTCCTCCTCTTAGGCCCCACACTCCTCTCCTTTGTACCTGGGAGGGGTGGTGACAGGCGTGGAAGCTGGTGGAAGCGGCCGAGGAGTGCTGGTGACCTCAGGGGTGGCATGTGGTTTGCTACCTGGTATGGGTGGGGGCTTCTCACTTCTCAGGAGCGGGACGTTAGTACCTGTGTGCAAAATGGGAGCCATTATCTCTGCCCTTAATTTATTTAACAAATGTTGTTGAGCACCTACTCTGTGCCGGATGCCGTCCTAGGGGCTGGAGACACTGCATGAACAAGACAAAAACTTGGGCCCCTGGGGAGGTTATAATCTAGTAGAAGGAGACAAAATGAGTAGATGGATTATTAAAAGCATATGCATTGTGAGAAAATTCCAGCAGGTGCAGGGAATAGAGAAAGGGAGTGGTAGGGCCTGTGATACTTCAGGTTGAGCTGCTTAGCGCTTTTTTTTTTTTTTTTTTTTTTTTTGCCCTGTGGGCCCCTCTGATAGCTGGTGAAGCCCGCACACCTTTCTCAGAACAATGATATTTTTAAGGTATAAAATCAAATACAAAGTATTACAATAGAAACCATTTCTATTAAAACATAGCAAAATACTTTAAAAATTGTGGTAAATGTGCTGCTTTATTCAATGTATTAAATAAGATCTAGCATTGGGCCTAATGACAACCATGGTTTTGAAGTTGTGATGAGCATAAAAGATATTTAGAGCAATCTGCAGCAACTGTAATGTGATATGTAAGTATCTGTGACGTCTGTTGGTGACAAGGTCACAGGTACGGCTGATAATACCTCTGTGGTTTGTTGCCTACGCTCGTACTTGAGAGTGATGCTAAATTTCAGTTAGAGGTTAGGGACAATACAATTGTAATTTTTTCCTACCCTAGTTCTCAGGCTCATTCAACTCTACGGAGCCAAGTTAAAAATGCCTTCCAGGTGTAGTGGTTTACGACTGTAATCCCAACACTTTGGGAGGCCAAGGCAGGAGGATCACTTGAGCCCAGGAGTTCAAGACCAGCCTGGGCACATAGTAAAAGCTTGAAAAAAAAAAAAAAGAAAGAAAGGAAAGAAAGAAAAGAAAGGAAAGGAAGGAAGGAAGGGAGGGAAGGAAAAGAAGGAAGGGAAAAAAAGAAATAGCCGGGCATGGTGGCGCTCACCTGTTGTCCCAGCTACTCAGGAGGCTGAGACAGGAGGATCACTTGAGCCCGGGAGGTCCAGGCTGCAGTGAGCTATGATCATGCCACTGCACTCCAACCTGGGTGACAGAGCAAGACCTTGTCTCAAAAAAATTAATTAAAATTAAAAATGCCTACTTCAGATAAAGTGACCAGGGAAGGCCTGACTGAGAAGGTGGGCGACCTGAAGGAGGGTTTTAGTAAGCTTTCAAATGCTGCTGTGGGCCCGGGGCCCTGTGGCAGGGCACTGGGACCCATTAGTCCTCCGTGTCTCCAGTCTGGCCCCTAGGGCTCTGGGCTGTCTGCCTAAACTCCCCGTCATAACCAAGAAGGTGCTGGACAATGCTGGCAGGGTCAGAGGCTCAGGGACCCCAGGAGAGTGCTGGGCTGGTTGGAGGAGAAAGAGGTCCAGCAGAGAAATGACCTCAGAGTGAGGAAAGGCAGTAGGAGGGGTCGGGCAGGGAGCCCGAGGCATCTGCCTGGCACTTCCCTAGACCATCTGCACTTCTGCTTCCAGAAATCATACAAAGTGGCCCCTGTGACCTGAGAGTGGGAGACCAGGTCTGTTCTGACCTGGGGCTCCGGGGGCAAGTGCAGTCAGAATTTCTATCCCTGCCTCAGCCGACTGGCTTAGGAAAAGGCTTCCAGAGAAGCCCCTCATTTCCCAGCTGGAGTGACACTCAGTGGGTCTTGAGCTTTAAATTCCCCCTGGTGTCTCAGAGGGCCTTGGGTCCTGTGGCATGGCTCCTGGCAGCCTGGCTGGTTTAATTTTGTTCCGGATTCTCCTGCCTCTGGGGCTAGAATTTTCACTTGATCAGTTGACTAACAAGTACCCGGCCATGCAAAGAGAACTGTGAGATACTGGTCTCCACCCTGAGCTTCATCTCCCACCTGCAACGTGGGGCTGTTGAAACCTACCTGCTCACTTTGGAGGCGTGTCAGGGGGACACCAGAGGGATGCGCTTGGGCAGCCTCTCTCCTTGACCATCCTGTGCCAGCCCTGGGGTACAGGTGAGAGTGCGAGACCATTGGCCCCTACCCACAGGGAGTTCCCAGGCCTGTACGTGGGATCCAGAGGCAGGGATAGGGGGATAAAGTCTGGCTTGGGGGATCCGCAAATCTCCCCCGCTCCCGGCCACCAATCTCATAAAGCATGAGGCTGTGGATCGTAATAGAGAATAGGGTGAGAGGAGGACTCTTACCCAGACCCCCAAACTCCCAGACACATCAGAGAATTCACTGTAGAAAGTAGAGAGAAGACTGTCGAAAGTAAATCTTCATAAACTGCTTTCTACACGGAGAAACCCGTCTGAACATAAAACGATAGAAGAACGAGAAATAGAAGTGAAAATGAAAAACCACCCAGCGTGTGAAGGCAAAATGTGCAGGCCTGTGCCCGGGGAAACTGATGGCCACAAATACAGCATGGAAAGTATTAACAAGCTTAATATATAGCAATTTTTAAAAGGCACTAAAACCTTCACAGGAAAGTAAAAGAACATGAAGCAGTAATTTGTGTTGGATTATGATGGATAATAATCATATAAAAAGTTTCATTCTCACTAGTAATAGAAAAAAAGGCAAACAAAATCAAGAGCGTGTAAAAGATCTTCCATCTTGATAGACACATCCCTGGGGTGTGACGCAGCCTCACACGCGAGGGTGACGACTAAATCTCTCCGGAGAGTCATCTCACTCCAAGAGGGATCCGCGCCCGTAATATGTCCCAACCCTCTGCTGCCGTGAAATCACTCACCGCTTCTTGGAATCTCTTCTAAGGAAATAAGCAGAGATGCAGACAAAGATTTTTATAAACAGAAGGTCACTTTCATTTTATTTTAAATGGTAAAAAAAAAAAAAAGTAGTATTTTAAAAGTTTTTTCCCCTCTCAGGAATTTTGAATGGAGACTTTGGAGCCAAATGTCTATCTAAAAATAGAACATTCTGGAAATAACAGTTGTGTCTACAGAAGAAATGTCTGCAGCTCCCAAATCAGTCCTTTTTCAGCTCCAGCTGCACACATCAATAAGAAATTAGCAACGATGTAAATACCCGAGAGTAAGGAGGTAGATAAATAAAAGATGAGGAGGCTTCCTTGAGTTGAAATATTTTGCAGCCATTAAAAACGAAGTTTATGGAGTTTTAATGACGTGGGAAAGTGCTTCTGATGTGAGGTTAAATGAAAAAAAAAACAGTATGAAAATCTGTATTTTAGTACCACTGCGACTGTGTAAATATACAAACCCATACAAAAAGAGCTGAAAGGGAAAACACCAAATGGTAACGGTGTCTATCTCCAGCTAGTGGAACCGTGGGGGGGGGGTGTCTTTTCTTCTTTATTTATATTTTGTATGTTCTTGAATTTTTCTACAAAGATCACCAATTACTTTCAGAAAATAGAATATACCCATCCTGCTCCCCACCACAAAATCGTGTGGGTCTCTGAATAGAAGAGACAGCAGAAAGGCCAAGAAGAGGGGAACATGAGCCAGGGTGGTCACGGCATGGGGCGGGGGGTTGACAAAGTTGGCGTCAGACCCCCAGGGGCCTTGAATGCCAAGCCCAAGAGCTTGAACTTCACCCAGAGCCCTATCTTCTGCCCATGTTCAAAGAGGACAGAGTGCCCCTTCTTGACAGTTAGGGGCTTCCAGGGGTAGATACAGGTGGGAGAGCAGGGTATTGTGGAAGCTCCAGGTGCCAACCACCTGCCTCTATTCCCCACTCTCCCCAGGGAAGAGTTTCACCCTGACCATCACTGTGTTCACCAACCCCACCCAAGTGGCGACCTACCACCGAGCCATCAAGGTGACCGTGGACGGACCCCGGGAGCCCAGACGTAAGTGCCACCGAGCCCCCTGAGCCCCTGCGCGGGGGAGGAGGGTCCAGTGCGGGAAGGACAGCAGCTAGGTCAGACAGATGGAGCCCTCCTCGGGGGGTTGCAGTCCTTGGCTCTGTGCCCCCACACACTGCGTGCCTGCTGGCAAACCCCTAAACCCTCTGGGCTTAGCCTGAGACCGTGGGAGGCCAGCGAGGAGGCTGGGAGTGGAGATGACTGTCCATGGAGACTACTGAGGGAGTCAAGGAAAGGAAAAGGATGGAGAAAGCTTTCAGATATGGCATTTGTCGGGTGCTTGTGTGTTTCTGGGTGGAGGTTGAGCCAGGCTTGCTTTACTCTGCCCCCAGCTTCTCTGCGGGTGGCTGAGGGATGCATGGAGGGCAGGAGTGATCAAAAGTCAGGGGCTGGTCTGGCTGTGAGGCCAGGCCTCTTCCTTGGAAACTGAGTCTTTGAATCTTAGCATGTGACTTGCTCAGGTCACCCAGAGTCCGGGCACCCAGACCCTATGAGCAGGGAGTTCTGGTCCATCAAAGCGAGTTTGTGTTTAATTCTCTCTGCTTGCTGAAGGTCAGATTAAGGCTGGGGAAGTGGGAGGGTAGGCTGAGGCTCTGTGTCCACAGAATGAATGAATGACTGACTGACTGACTGACTGAATGAATGAATGAATGAATGAAATAGAGCCAGCCAGCTTCCTGAGCTCCATCCCACCTCCCCAAGGCATTTTCAGCTTGGTGCACTGAAGGTTGGCCCACCCCTCTCTTTCTCAGAAATGTGACCCTTTGTAGTTTAGAAGACCTTTTAGCAGTCACTATTGAATGGGATCTTGATGACAGCAGAGCCAGAGGGGTCACCCAAGTTCCAGTGAGGAGAGAATCCAGGCCTGAGGGAGTTGGGTACCTGAATAGGACCTAATGCTGTGCAAGGAGCAGGAAGGCGCCCCAGGCTTCAGTCTTCCCAGAGGCAAGATTCTAGGCTGAGCAGGCCTGGGGCAGGAGGCCTGGGGCAGGAGGCCTAGCCCTGGGCTGGCCCCTCCCTTCTTGGGAGTCAGCTGGGCCTGACACCCCATCATCCAATTCCTGGGCCCATCCCAGCATCTGGCCACTTGGGAAAGGCTTGGAGCTGAGTCCAGCAGCCCTGGAAGAGTTTCCCTCCAGGGCTCTCAGGGTCACCTCTGCCAGCCCTGAGCCCCGGCACGCATCCTCAGGCCTGCACCGTCAGCTCCCAGCCAGCACTTGCCCTGGCCACACTCCTGCTGGTTCCCTCCTGCTGAGATCAGACATAGACCAGCCCATGCCCTTGGCCTTGGGCTTCATGACCCTAGGCAAGTCATGTCTTCTTTGTGGCCTCAGTTTTGTCATCTGAGAACTGGATCAGTGACTCCAGGAGTCTCAAGGTGGTGATGGCTGGGAAGCCCTCATGAGCCATAGACCACCATGGTGTAGAGAGCAGTTTCCAAGCCAGCCTTCCTGGCTGTGGGTCCTTGGGCTAGTCATCTCCGTGCCTCAGTTTCCTGAACTGAAAAATGATATTCGCACAAGCAGCTACCTCATGATGCTATTGCGAGGAAACAGTGGCTTAATCTATAGAAAGCACTTAGCGGTGGGGGTTAGCAAGGGATCCGTCACTTTAGCCAGGGCTGTTATCTGCAGTGTGACCTAGGGCAAGTCACTGACCTCTCTGGGCCTCAGCTCCCTCCTCCATGAAGTGTGATGATGCCACCCACCCTGCGGACCTGGAGATCAGGGGCGACATGTGGACAGCACGTGGCCGTAGCACAGAGGGGTCCCATGAGTCACTGGGTCCGCAGCGTTTTGTCGTCCTCAGTACCCAGCCCCCTTCCTGCACTCCCACCACCACCATTAGTCAACGGTGAGCTCTCTCATGGGCAGCAGCTGGGTGGCTGCCTTGGTAATAGAGGTGCAGGTATCAAGTCTCCATTGAAGGAGGTGGCAGCCCTGCCCTATGTCTCCAGGGGCAGGGTCAGCATGGACAGGAGCCTCAGTTGGGCTCTGGGTGGGGATGCGGCACTCAGAAGCCACTCCAGAAAGAGGGGAGCCACTCCAGAAAGAGGGAGGCACGGGACGGGGTCTTGACGCTTGGTGGGAAGATCCAAGGGACCGGGCAAGGTTGGCCCCTCTGAGAGCCCTCCATGCTCAGCCCAGCCCACCCCAGAGCCGCCCACTCTGCCCTGCTGGGACCCCTGGATGAGCATGGAGACTCAGCCCTGCCTGTGGGAGATTCCAGCAGAATCCCCTGCCTGCTCTTCCCTGCCTGGGTCTCCCAGACCTGAGATGGCCCCTTCTGGGGTGAGCTGGAAGGTAAATGCGTGGCTCAGGACGAGGCAACAAGAGGGAGGGACAGAGGCTGGGCCTGGAGACCCACGGCGTCAGAAGCCAGGCTTGCTGCACCACCTGAGACAGGTGACCTCCCTCTCTGGGCCCCGGCAGCGGCTGGATCAGTGGTTTTATTTACAGAACAGAGCAGAGATGGAGTCGGGGGGCAGTCTACTAGGTCCCCCATCCTTAGGACCTGCCTGTTCCTGTCCCTGGCATATCCTGGCCCTGAGATCAGGTCCCCCCCCATACCCTGGGTTGCAGCCCCACTCCTTTGTCTTTGGCCCTGGACAAATCCTTGGCCTTTCGGGTCCTCAGCGTCCCCATCTGTAAGAGTGAAGGGACCAGCTCAGCGGCTCCTGGTCACTGAGCAACCCCCTCCCTTGCGTCAGGCCCTGTGCAAAGTCCCCAGTAACTGATCTCTTGGGCAACCCCAGGAGAGGATAGAGGCCAGGGCGCAAAACCTTTTGCCCAAGGTGACTGTCAGCACACCCTGGGGGCTCCGACCCGGGGGCTGCGGGAAGTGAGGGCCACTTGGAAGGGCCTTTTCACCTCAGTGTGCTCAGCTGTCAAATGGATGGTATTGGTGTCTGCCTAGGGGAGTCGCTGTGAAGGTTGACTGAGTTTACCGGGGCCTGGCCCCAGGAAGTGCCCCCACAACCTTCACAGGTTGTTACAGGCCTTTTGTGCTCCTGGACTTCCTTTCCCGGCTTTTTTCCTGTTTTGCCACCTCCGACCCTCTGAAATCTGAGCCCGCTGTGGGGTGAAGTGGGAGTAGGGGCTGGTCCTGGGAGCCAAGGACTGGGAATCTGTAGATCCCTGAGGCCGGCTGTGGGTTCTGTGGCCGGGTCGTTCCCCTCTGGTGCCCTGCAGAGCGTGCCCGGCCTGCAGCCAGGTGGCCAGCTGGGTTTGAAGGCTGGCTTGGTGGCTTCCTGCCTGTGTGGCCTCGGTTTCTGAGGTTCTCAGTGCTGGTGTCCCTCAGAGTCACTGGGGGCTGGTTAAGAAGCAGGTTGCTGAGCCAGGTCCAGGATCCCAGCAGGAGGGGCGGTGACACCTGGCAAGTCTGGCATGGACCACGGTGGGGGAAAGGCCCTCACGCCCCCCTAGCCTGTGCCCGTTACCCCCTGCCCTCCCTCCCACATCCTGCTCTGGCCACCCTGGTATCCTGGCTGGTCTTTGAACTTGCCAGGGACACTCCTGCCTCGGGGGCCTTTGCACTGCTCTTTTTTCTATCTGGAACACTCCTCCCCGGACACCCCCAGATGCATGGCACACTCCTTCACACCCTAAAGCCTCTGCACTTCTCAGCAGCCCGCCTGTTTCAAGTGGCACACACACAGCCTTCCTCACCTCTCCCCCTTTTCCTTCCTGGCTTTAAGGTTACCCCGAGCACTTACCACTACCACCTTCTAAGGTGCTATCTAGTCCGATAGTTTGTTTCATTTGTTATTCATTTCTCCCATTTTGTTTTGTTTTGTTTTTTGAGATGGAGTCTTGCTCTGTTGCCCAGGCTGGAGTGCAGTGGCAAGATCTCGGCTCACAGCAACCTCCGCCTCCCAGGTTCAGGAGATTCTCTTGCCTCAGCCTCCCTAGGAGCTGGGATTACAGGCACACGCCACCACACCCAGCTAATTTTTGTATTTTTAATAGAGACAGGGTTTCACCATGTTGGCCAGGCTAGTCTTGAACTCCCGACCTCAAGTGATCCGCCCACCTCAGCCTCCCAAAGTGCTGGGACTACAGGCGTGAGCCACCGCACCCGGCCCCCTGTTGTTTATGCTCTACAAGGGCAGAGTTCTTTGCTCTGGTTTGCCAGGCCCTGGTATAGCTAGACCCTGAGAATGTGGGCAGGAGCCCTTCACAGCTGCTCCATAAATCGTTGATGAATAAGCAAATGATTCATTAATGTCATTTCGGGTAGTAGGAAGTCCTATGAAGAAAAACAAAGCTGGGAGAAGGAGTGGAGCGTGCAAGGGATGGAACAAGGGATGGGGCGGGGAGGCCTCCTGAAGAGGTGACCTTTGAGCAGGGGCCTGAAGTGAGCAGCCAGCAGAGTGTGGCTGCCGAGGGTTTGGCGTGGGCAGGAGAAGTGACCCTGAGCCCGCAGTTGGGCCTTTGAAGGCCTTAGAGTTTCTGTAGTTTCTTCCTGGGCTGAGGAGAGGCAGCTGCTCCAGGTCCCTGGCTCCCAAGATCCCCACAACCCCCAGGAGTGTCTCCTGCGCTAGGGGCAGGGCTAGCGGAGTCTGCCCAGCAGGAGGGAAGGGGTTAACCACAGACCTCCTGGGTTCTCCTAATCAACCCCAGGCCTCTGGAAGCCCCACTTGCAGCCCTGGGAGGGAACCGCTCGCCTCCCTGCCCGCTGGCCCCCGGCCAGCCCGTTTCCCTGCCCAGCCACCGACCCGGCTTTCATCTGCTCACAGGGGGCCGATTCACAGCAGACCACCCCAGGCCCGGCACCCGCCTGCGATTCCGCGAGGCTGTTAAGAGTCGGGTGTAAATCTCCTGACAGGCCGCAGAGCCGGCCTCGGGCCCGGCGCCCCACCCTGCTGCTGGGTAGACAGTGGCTGCTGTGTCTGGGTCACAGCCGCACCAGGCGGCCAAGAAGGCTGCCGAGTGGCTTCAGATGGGTGACGGGCCTGGTCATTGGAGCCCACACTGTCCCCAGCAGACGATGCTGTTCCTGTGGCCCTGCCCGACTCTGCTTTTCCCAAGAGGCTGAACACTGAGCTGGCCTCTTGCCAGCTGGACCTTACGGCCAGGTGACCCAGCTCTTCTCTCATGGAGGTCTTGGGAAGCGATGACCTTAGCAGCTGAGCTCCATGTGTGACCTTTCCAGGTTTGAATCTCAGGGGTGCCACACACCGTGTGACCTTGACCGTGTGCCTCCACTTTTCCATCTGTAAAACGGGGGTGATAGTCACAGCCTGTCAGAGGGATATGACCCTTGGAGACGACATGCATGGCCCCCCTTGCACAGTGCCCGGCACATCATGGATGCCTGCTAAAATGGTTGCCACTCCTATGACAGGGGCTTGTGTTGGGCCTGCATGGAGGCAAGGGGGTAACCCTGATGGTCTCTTGGTTCCCCCAGAAGCATCAGGTACCTGGCGGGGGTAGGACCCCAGGCTGGCCAGGCTGGTGGTGGGGAAGGATTCCCTGGGGACAGTGGTAAAGGAGCTGCCAACCCAGAATCCAGCCCTGGTCCTCTAGCTCCCACACTGCGTGACCCTGGTGAGTCCCCAGACTGGCTGGGGCCCAGCATTCCTGCTCCCACTTTGGCCTTTATCATATGCCTGTGAGGTGGGTCACCCCCACTGCACAGACGCATCAGAGAGGAGC
The DNA here is from genome assembly GCF_000001405.40 of Homo sapiens. Taxonomy (NCBI): domain Eukaryota; kingdom Metazoa; phylum Chordata; class Mammalia; order Primates; family Hominidae; genus Homo; species Homo sapiens. The sequence goes on along the minus strand of NC_000001.11, from coordinate 24,913,567 downwards.
TGTTTGCCTAGGAGCAGATGGCCAAGTCAGAATGGGAACCCAGAACACCTTCCTCAAAGGCCAAGGCCTGGTGGGCTGTGTAATTCTTGAAACCTTTCCTGACCCTCGGGGGTTAGAGGTGTGATCCCCATTTTGCAGATAAGACAGCTGAGGCCCAGAAGGCAAGAGTGGCTTGCCCAAGACAGTGACCACTGGTGGGTGAGAGCTGCCTGGTATGAGCTTGGGGCCACTGGGCCCTTGGGAGGGGCAGGCTGGGATCTGCCCTCCCATAAGTGAGGGTCATAGACACTAATCCAGGCCATGCTGGAGGAGCTGTCTGATCTGAGCCCAGCAGCTGGAGGCTGACAGCAGCCAGGACAGGCCCTGAGGGCCAACGCGGGGCTTTCCCCAGCCATCTCAGTCCTCTGCTTTTAAAAGCATGTGGCCTGTCCTCCAGCTCATCGGCACCCTCAGGGGTTAGACAGTATGATAACCACTTTACAGATGTGGAAACTGTGGCCCAGAGGCAGAGAGTGACTTGGTGGTCTAGAGCAGGGTATGATTGGAAATTGCACTCTCAACCCTGAGCTTCAGAGCAGGGAAGGGCCCCTGGTGGAGTCCACTGAGACCTTCTCATCTTCCTCTCCCAAGTCCTATCCTCCTGGGCCTGCAGATAGCAGCTCTGGGCCTGGGGCTGGACGGGGCCCTAACATCTATTGTGGAGTCCCGATACATCTATTGATGTATCGAACCCAGGCTGGCTGTGAACCCCGCCCTCTTCCGCCACAATAGATGTGTTTTCACAGGCTCTAGGGAGAGCAGGTGGCTGTGTGTCTTCTGCTTGACCTTGAGCTCACTGGCTGTCCAGAGCCTCAGTTTTTTCACCCATATGATAGGATGGTGGCAGACATTACTCAAGGGGATGCTGCCAGGCGAAACAAGATGGTGCTTGTCAGCTGCTTAGACGCTGCCGTGGAGGAAGCACCCAGCAAGCATCTGCTGCCGTTTTGATGATTTCCACTCCTGCTGGCGACTGCTTTAAAGGACAGCCCTAGCCTGCAGAGGTGTGATGGGGATCTACTGTGGGAGAAGGGGGGCTTCCTGGAGGAGGGGCTCCTGGACTGGGCTTCACAGGACAGAAAGCATTGCTGGCAGAGGCTGTCCTGAGCTGAGGCTCTGAAGAGTGGGGGGCAGAGAATATTCAAGAAATACTGGGAACAGCAGCAGCAGGAAGAAGTGGTAGTGGGTGGGCCCTGGGGCCAGCAGCCCTGCCTTCTTTTCTTTCTGGGGCCCCTCTGACCAGCGGCTGATCTTTGCTACCTTAAATCAGGGACTTTCAAAAGGAAGGGGCCTCAGTGAGCAGACTGTGCAGAGGGGAAACTGAGGCGTAGCAGGACTGGGCCCAAGGTGACGGAGTGGGTTAGAGCCAGAGCTCCCCACGCAGCTCTTGCTCTGGGTAACCGAATGAAAGAGGCTTTTTCTGAAGACCATCTTCTTTCCTCAGGCACTGGAACTTCTGTCCTATTCCCAGTGTGAGAGCCCTGGCCCTGTGGCTCTGAGACTCTCTGGCGCCCTGGCCACGTGGGGCCGCCTTGGCTCCCCTCTCCCCTCCCTGGCAGTGGCTCCAGCGTTCCACAGTAACAAGGAAGCTATTTCCGAAGTGCTGTTGGACTCCCCTCCTCCGGGAAGTCTGCCCTACGGAGGGCAAGGGAGCATGTGGTGGGAGCGTGGGTTCCGGGGTCAGATTACCTGACCCACAGCCTGGGTCCCGGAACAGGCGCTCAGCGTCGGTCTCATGGTGAAGCCTCGGTGGCCCCGTCTAAACAATGGGAACAAAAGGGAAAGTGTCAGGAAAAGAGCCCTGGGCTTGGAGTCGGGGGATCCGGGTGTGAATCCTGCCTTGCTGCTCAGGCTCTGTGTTCCTCACACGACTTCAGCATCCTGGCCTCCACACCCCGGTCTCCAGCATGGGGATGATAGTTCTGCTTCCTTTGGGCATGAGCAGAGATAAAAGCGATGGTCATGATGGTGGTGACCCACGTGACTGGAAAGTGTCCACACCTTAGGCCAGCACCTCAACCCACAAAGACAGTGTGATGGGGACACCGCAGCTCGGGGTGGGGGAAAGGAGTGTGACTTGAGTGAGGCCACCAGACTGCAAGTGACAGGACCCGTCCTCGAACCCAGGCTGGCTGTCAACCCCGCCCTCTTCCGCCAGGCCGCAGGAGTAACTGTAAACACTCTTTGTACATGGTGTGACTCAGAAACAGGGGACTTTATTCTCCTGTGACGAAAGTAACAAGGCCTGAGGTTTTGCACCAGCCCTATTGGCTCCCTTCAAGCTTGTGGCTGACTAAAACACCCAGATCCTTTGCACTCAGGCTGTTGTCGGATCAGTCTGTGGTCCCCACGTCCACCCGGCAGGCTTCATGCCTGTTAAGATTCTTCTGCTCACTTGTCCCCCAGCTCATCCACATCTCCCTGCCATTTCCAGTGGCCTCAGGAGCAAGGACAACATTTCCTCCAAGGCCTGTTAGGGCTGAGGACTCGGTCTGGAATTGGAAGCTCTGGCCGTACTGGGCCTGCCCTCCTCAGGGTAGCAGTCAGGTGCTTTCCACAAGGCATCTCCTCCCCATCCGCTCCAGGCCCCACCCATCCCACTTGCCTCGTTCACGTGACTTGCCCCATCCCCATGGGCATCTGAGTTTGCAGCCCCAGCTCCAGCTAAACTCGCCCCCAGCCCATGTTTTCCCCTTTGTTGCCAAGGGCCCTGGGAGGCAGCAGTGGGGGCCTGGCCAGAGACCAAATGGTCTTATTCCTGCCACCAAGTGTCCCATGGATTCCTGGTCTGGGGCCTCATTGGAGGAGAAGGTGGGGCTCCCTGGTTCTTGGTGACTGGCTGAGCCCCTGTGGCTCCCAGGCCCCCTGCTTTCTTTCTGAGGCTCCCAGATACCTGTTTGAGCTTCCAACAGGGATGCGTAGGGAGCTTGGGGGCCTACAAGTACCAGAATCCATTGCGTTCCCATTCTGAAAATCAGAAATCAGGCCCATGCGAGGCCTCGGGCTCTGTCCCCTCATGCCCTACAGTGGTCGACAGGCTTTTCCCACTTTTCGAGTCCCCAGCAATCACTTGTTCAGGCCCCAAGAAGCGCAGTGAGTTCTGTTTTACCTCCCACCTACATCTTGCCTCTTCTCCCTCTGCCAAACTAGAAAACGCACATGTCATTCTAGACCCAAGGCCTTAGGCAAACCTTCTCCTCCCCCTTACCCCCTCCCACATTTTTTTTTTTTTTTTTTTTTGAGATGGAATCTTGCTCTGTCACCTAGGCTGGAGTGCAGTGGTGTGATCTTGGCTCACTGCAACCTCCGCCTCCCGGGTTCAAGCGATTCTCCTGCCTCAGCCTCCCAAGTAGTTGGGATCATAGGCGCCCGCCACCACGCCCGGCTAATTTTTGTACTTTTAGTAGAGACGGGGTTTCACCATATTGGTCAGGCTGGTTTCAAACTCCTGACCTCACTCAGGTGATCCGCCCGCCTCGGCTTCCCAAAGCGCTGGGATTACAGGCGTAGCCACCATGCCTAGCCTCCATCTTTTCTAAAGGGTCCCAGGTCCAGGAAATCCCACCCCTTGTTCGGCGTGTGGCCTCCAACAAGCTTCCTCGCCTCTCCGCAGTTGCAGTTCTCTTACTTGTAAAAGAGGGCCTGGCCACCCTGCCTGACTGGCAGCCTCCCACCAAGTCACGTGAGGTAGAATGGCCGTGACCGTGTTAGGGTTGATCAGCCGAACCCTGGAGTGCACAGTCCTCCAAGGGAGCCGTCCTTTCCTCGGGTCAGCCCTGGAGAAGCTGCAGCCACTAGGGGGTGCGAACAGGGACGTTCCCGGGAGTGTTGCATGTAAGGGAACTAAAGGGGAAGCTTGAGAAGGACTGAAATGTGGGTGGAGAGGACTGCGGAGTGAACTGTGCCTCCAGTGGCCAGCAGGAAAGAGGGAGAGCAGCGTCATTCTCGCCATGCTTGTTGAATCCCTTCCGTAGCAGGGAGGATCCCCAGGGTTTTATGGGAACTCCGTCATTTCTGTGGGGCTGGATTACTGTCCCCATTTTGCAGATAGGGAAACTGAGTTTGAGCTCCAAGGTGTGCTACTAAGAAAGCAAGTTACAGAATGACACACCCGGACTGAGGCTGTTCAAGAGAGTTCCATGAGAAGCCTACTTTGCGTTTTCCATTCATGGAAGATGAAAAATGTCTGGAAAGAAACTGGTCACGGTGGGGACTCTGGAGAGGAGCTTAGAGCGGTGGACAGAGCCTTATCTGTAATGCTTTTATTTTTGTAAATATTCACGTGTTGCTTGTGAAATGTAAAATTAGTAATTAAAAAAGTGTGTGTGGCGGGGGAGGTCCCTGCAAGCTTGATATCACTCCAGAAGTGTCCCTCGGCCTCAGCAGGCCGCAGGAGGGTGGGAGCCTGGCCACCTTGACCCTCCCAGCACCTCTGAGTCCTCGGATGTGAGGCTGGGATTCTTCCTGTGTGGGCTCTGGCAGATAGGGAGTGGAAAATGCTGGCAGTTTTCTCCAGGTGTGACATCTCGTCCCCTGACCCCAGCTTCCAGGCAGAGATGGCTGTCTAGTCCCTCATGCAAGCCCCCTACACCTCTGCCCAGCATCCTGGTGGAGTTATTTTTCTGCCTGAGGCCCAGAGAGAAGAAGGCATGTTCTGGGGATCCCAGAGTGACTTAGGGCTGGAAAAGCCTGCAGTCCCCTCCTGGGGCCACCTCCCATTGTTCTTGTAGACATGGGAGACAGTGTGCAAGGCAGGCTGGGATGCTGGGAGGCAGAGGGTGGCAGTGCTCCTGGGTTATCTCCCTGCCTCCCTTGGGGGCATGAGCCACTTTCTCATGTCTGTTGCCTCAGTTTCCTTTTTTTAGATCTAGGGTCCTTGTTCCGTTGCCCAGACTGGGATGCAGTGGTACAATCAGCTCACTGCAGCCTCCACCTCCTGGGCTCAAGTGATCCTCCTGCCTCAGTCATCCCAGTAGCTGGGACTACAGGCTTGTGCCACCCCACCTGGCTAAGTTTTTCTTTTTTCTTTTTTTTTTTTAATTTTTGTACAGACAGGGGTCTCGATAGTTGCCCAGGCTGATCTCAAACTCCTGGGTTCAACTGATCCTCCCATCTCAGTCTCCCAAAGTGCTGAGATTATAGGCGTAAGCCACTGCACCTGGCCCTCAGTTTCCTCTTCTGCCAAACAGTGTGTTGTAGAGGTTTGGATCACCGTGTGTCGTAGAGGTTTGGATCACCACATGTCGTAGAGGTTTGGATCACCGCGTGTCGTAGAGGTTCAGATCACCGCGTGTCATAGAGGTTCAGATCACCGCGTGTCGTAGAGGTTCGGATCACCGCGTGTCGTAGAGCTTCGGATCACCGCGTGTCGTAGAGGTTCGGATCACCGCGTGTCATAGAGGTTTGGATCACCGCGTGTCGTAGAGGTTCGGATCACCGCGTGTCGTAGAGGTTCGGATCACCGTGTGTCGTAGAGGTTCGGATCACCGCGTGTGGTTGAGGTTCGGATCACCGCGTGTTGTAGAGGTTTAGATCACCGCGTGTTGTAGAGGTTTAGATCACCGCGTGTGGTTGAGGTTTAGATCACCGCGTGTTGTAGAGGTTTACATCACAGTGTGTTGTAGAGGTTTAGATCACCGCGTGTTGTAGAGGTTTACATCACAGTGTGTTGTAGAGGTTTAGATCACCGTGTGTTGTAGAGGTTTAGATCACCGTGTGTTGTAGAGGTTTGGATCACCGTGTGTTGTAGAGGTTTAGATCACCGCGTGTTGTAGAGGTTTACATCACAGTGTGTTGTAGAGGTTTAGATCACCGCGTGTTGTAGAGGTTTAGATCACCGCGTGTTGTAGAGGTTTAGATCACCGCGTGTTGTAGAGGTTTGGATCACCGTGTGTTGTAGAGGTTTAGATATGTGGGGTGGCACATAACGACCATTCTCTGTTCAGAAAGTCTTTTGAAAACCTCTGTGAAGAGGCTGGCGGTGACCTCAGGGTTCTCCCAGCAGAGGCCTAAGGTCAGACCTCAGGAAGAACTTCCCAGCAGAGTGAGGCATTTCTGTCTCCACTGAGACTCTGGGGAAGCAACGGCTGATGGGCTTCCTGTGCTCTGCAGGGCACCGGCAGAAGCTGGAGGACCAGACCAAGCCGTTCCCTGACCGCTTTGGGGACCTGGAACGGCTGCGCATGCGGGTGACACCGAGCACACCCAGCCCCCGAGGCTCACTCAGCACCACAAGCCACTTCAGCAGCCAGCCCCAGACCCCAATCCAAGGTACGGCACGGAGGGAGGGGCTGCAGCGGGGTGAGGTGGGGGTGGAGGGCCTCGATGTGGTCCAATCTGCCCCAGACCAAAAGCCTGTCCGAAGATCAGTCACTGCACCCCCTTGTTTTGTAGAGGAGCTGCTGGTGCTCATTGGCACCTGCAGACGGTTCCTGTGGGCTTTCTGTGTGCTAGCCATCATTCGTTCACTCAGCAAACACTGACATTACTGACACATGCCTGGTGCCTGGCCCCAGGGATCTGCATACCAGGAGTTCACTGTGCCTGGGGAAATGGGGTTAACCCCATAGTGCCCCTATTAAAATTGGGGCATGACTTGTCCAAGGAGCCGTGACAGACTCGCCCCTGCCATGTACAGTTTCCCCACCCCTGCCCCACAGCCTGCGATTTTTCATCTGAAAGTGGATTGGGGCGGATGCCTCCACCCAGGGCTGGGATGACATTCAAATGACATTACTGTACTCACACAAACTTTGCACACTGTTAAGTGACATTCCAACCCTAGAGAGGCACATAGCATTCCTGGGAAAGGTCTCCCACCCTGCCCAGAGCATCCTCCCAAACAGGAGGAGCTGAGGTGGAAGGGAAGACCGAGCTGGGGTCTCCATCTCCACTGCCTAGACGGATACAGCAAGCACAGTTGCAGCCAGGCCTCAGGCAGGTCTTCTGGAGTATCGAGGTGCCTGGCGCATAGTAGCCGCTCACTAAACGGCTGCCGGCTGCATCTCTCCTCTGTTCTCTCAGTCAGTGAGCTGGGGACATGGGAGGCTGTGTGCACAGCCGGCCCTTGGGCTAAGTGGGGTGCCAAGGGTGCTTGGTGGCCGGGTGGACAGAGGCAGGCAGCTGGCTGCCGTCACGGACTGTGCCCATTCTTTCTCAATTCCCCAGAGCCTGGTTAGAACCCCTTGGCAGATGAATGAATTGAGAGGCCTAAGAGGTTCAGAGCCACCCTCGGGTCACACAGCCCATCTGTGACCAGGTCCACAGTCTCCACAGTACCTGCTCCCAAGAACTTTCTGTACTTCTGAGGGGACAGATAAAGGGGCCTGGAACAGGGCTGCCAACCGGTCTGCCTGCCCCACCCCCTTTTCCGGTGCCACGCTGAGGTGGGGGCCGACTGGGTCTCTCTACTGACATTGTTCCAGGCATAGTGCTGCAGCCAGGGGCTGGATGCAGGCCTTCAGTGTGAAGAGAGGACCCCTCCCCTTCTGGCCTGGGCTCAGGACTTTTGGCCTTGGTCCTGCTGAGACGCCAAGGTTGGGAGAAGCCCCAGGCCCAGCCTCTCTGAGCCCAGGAGCTAGTGCATTTGAGACTCTCAGCTCTCGAGCCCAGGAGTTGGAGGTCTGCTCTCAAGAGGTAGCGGAAGGAGCCCTGCACGCTGTGCTCACGCCCACCCCTGCCGCGTAGCTGCCTCTGCTTCTGCTACCCATGGGCCAGCATCTGTCGAGGTGCAGTAGCCTGAGAGCCAGCCTTTCTCTGCCATGGACAGAGCCAGGCCAGGGGATCGGGGCTCAGCGGGGGAGCCAGAATCCAGGAGGTGGGGTGAACAGTGGCTTCCTGTCCACCAGCCCCCATGGAAGGAGAGCCCACATCTGCCCATCCACTGCTGGGTGGGCACAGCTTGGGAATCAATGCCTGGCCCCACGGCAGGCACAGCTGCTGCTTCCATCCTGGGCTGGGAGGAAAGGAGCCCAGCCTGTGTGGGGCAGTGGCTGACTTCTGCTTCTCTGCCTGCTCCCTCCTGAGGCCTGGCCCAGTCCCTCGCTAGCCCCCCACAGCACTGGGCCACAGGCAGCCAGGCATCTCCATCCTCAGGCCCATCCCCTTTGGGTGAGAGAAAGGGCCTCGGATGACCAGGACAGGGCGAGCATGAACTCTGCAGTCAGCTGGACCAGGCTAGGAATTCAGGCTCTGCCAGGCATTGGCTGTATGATCTTAGACAAGTCACTTAAACTCAGCCTCAGTTTTCTCATCTGTGAAGTGGGGAGAAGGAGGTCCCTGACAAAGAGGGGTTGCTGGCAGACCTAGGCTTGGGAAGTCACTCTCACAGGCCCTCCTCCCTCTGCCCTCGGACTCCCTCCTGGGGATCCCCCTTGGGACACCCCACCACCACTTCCCTCGGTGCCTGTTAAGTGCTTTGACCCTCCAATATTGGTCACTGGCAAGCAGTGCAGAGACCCCAGCACCTCCCATACCCCAGCCCCAGCCCCCAGCCGCAGCCGCCCACAATGGGGGCTTCTCACAGCTGAAAGGGCTCATTCAGCCACCATGCAGCAGCCCGGACAATCTGGAGAAGAAAATAAACATTTCTTTCCACTGTTGGGATTGGCCACTCGACAGTGCCCCGGGCAGCTCGGGTTTCCTGGGGCTGCGAGGCCGCAGGGTGGGGGTACAGGAGCTCCAAGGAAGCTGCTGGGGGGTCTGAGGGAGTGCTGAGGGCAGGTACTTCCCCCACCACCCCGGAGGAGGGGTGGTGGCCCTGAGGAAAGAGGCTGGAGGGGATGGTGGCAGGTCCAGGGAGGCCCAGCCCAGCGCCCTGCAGCCCGCGTGAGCTCTGAGGGGCACAGTCCTGCCGTTGTATCCTGCGGTCCCCATTTGTTTCCTTCGTCTTGAGAATGGGGTTCCCATCAGGCGGCCAGCACCCACTTCCACCCCACCCATCTCAGCTGTGCTGACGTGCCCAGCACCTGCAACAGGACCTCTCCCCCCGAGGGGCTCCCCAGATGAAAACTGGCAGCCAGGTGCCTCGGAGGCTCTCGGCCTCAAGGGGCCGGGACAGCCAAGTGACCTACTAGGGAACATCCCAGATGTCCCAGAAGGCCCCCGCCACCCAGACTGCTGTCCCCACATCTTCTTACCTTAAGCCAGGAGCATCACTCCGTTCGGATCCACGCCCAGGGCCAGAGTACGCTGCTGAGGGAAACATACCCCAGCTGACTTGGGAAGACCCCAAAGCCCCGAGAAGTTCCAAGTCCCAGCCGAAGTCACACACACCTCAGGCTCATAGCTCTCCGTCCTCAGCCAAGCCTCGGCGTGGCAGGCAGAGCCCACTCCGGCTAGCACCGGCCCTTATCCTTTGGTGGGTGACACAGAGGGGTTGCTGGGCTGGACAGACTGCACCTCTGGACCACTGCTGGGGGCTCATCCACCTCCCCCGGCTGCCAGAGTAGAAGGGAGGCCCTGCACCAGGGCCTCAACTTGGCAGGGCCCTGAATGAGCCAGTTCTCCTGGGTACCCAGAGTAAGAGACACCACAGCCACAGTGGCCTTGCAAAGCCTCATGGACCCCTGCTCTGTGCCCAGTGCCATTCTAAGTACTCGATGTGAATTAACTGAATCCTGATGAACTGTTATCGTCTCATGTTTTATATGGGGAAACTGATGCGCAGAGAGGTTAAGTGACTTGCCCAAGGACACAAAGCTAGTAAGTGTCCAAACCAGGATAACTGTCCGGCTCCAGAAGCCACACAGTAAGCCTTGATCCTGTGCTGCCTCAAAGACGGGACAGCTCCCTCTCAAGTACGTGTTGGGGCTCAGGACCAGAGGCCCTAGGATTGTGTGCCAGGTCCAATGTGCTGTGTGACCCTGAGGGAAGTGCCTCACCCTGTCTGGGCCTCAGTTTCCCCATCAAGGGTGTTAGACTCAATCCCTGAGCCCCTTTGAATGCTGAGGTTTTGGGGGTCTGTGATGACAAAAGTTGGGGACAGAGGATGGAACACCCTTGCCTTGGAGCCCATTGAGAAGCCACATTCCTGGGGGAGCAGGGGCAGAGTCTGGGCTGGACACTGTGACCAGGTTGGGGTCTGGGTCCCCAAGTTTGTCTGACTGCTGTCTCACTTTGCTGCCAAGGCAGGTTAGGGTGGCATCCAGTCACTGTGTGGCCACGAGTCGGCTCCAGAGACACAGGCCCAGGGTGAGGTGGAGGCCAGAGCTCCTGTGAACTCAGTGCCCACAACCCAGGTGTGAGCGCACAGAACCTCCGCGTGCTGCACCTGGGCAGGAGAGGCACGTGTGTCCCCAGCAGAGGCCTTGTGATGAGAACCAGTCCTTTCTCTGCCACAGAGACTCAGTCTTGCTCTCTCTCTGCCTCCATTTTCTTGTCTTCAAAAGCGGGTTCCAACTCCCAGTCTCACACGGTCATTGGAGCCCTTTACACATCCACGGCCTTCCCAGCTGTTAACATGGGCCGGTGGGGAGAGGAACCTGCCTGGGCAGGGCTGCTGGGAGGCCTGAGCTGACTCTGCCCTCAGCCCCACCACCGCATCCTAGGCCTCTCCTCTGCGAGGCTGGGAAGGAGGATTTAAAAAGAAGAATAGACCCCCTCCTCTGTTCTGTTGCTGCTGTGGGGGGGCTCCCATGGCCCCTCTTGGCCCGGGGCACGCTCCAACCAGCTTCCCGGCAGGTCTGTGTTCGGAGTCCTGGCGGGGGAGGCCCCGGGCAGCCTAGGGCAGGAAGAGGAGAGCCAGGTCTAGAACTAGGGGTCCCCCAGATGGGCCTTGGGAACCAGAGCCCAAGGTCATTCTTCAGGAAGCCCTCCTGGGGTTGTCTCGAGCTGGAACTGACCTCTTCCCTGCTGTCCTCCAGGCACCTCGGAACTGAACCCATTCTCCGACCCCCGCCAGTTTGACCGCTCCTTCCCCACGCTGCCAACCCTCACGGAGAGCCGCTTCCCAGACCCCAGGATGCATTATCCCGGGGCCATGTCAGCTGCCTTCCCCTACAGCGCCACGCCCTCGGGCACGAGCATCAGCAGCCTCAGCGTGGCGGGCATGCCGGCCACCAGCCGCTTCCACCATACCTACCTCCCGCCACCCTACCCGGGGGCCCCGCAGAACCAGAGCGGGCCCTTCCAGGCCAACCCGTCCCCCTACCACCTCTACTACGGGACATCCTCTGGCTCCTACCAGTTCTCCATGGTGGCCGGCAGCAGCAGTGGGGGCGACCGCTCACCTACCCGCATGCTGGCCTCTTGCACCAGCAGCGCTGCCTCTGTCGCCGCCGGCAACCTCATGAACCCCAGCCTGGGCGGCCAGAGTGATGGCGTGGAGGCCGACGGCAGCCACAGCAACTCACCCACGGCCCTGAGCACGCCAGGCCGCATGGATGAGGCCGTGTGGCGGCCCTACTGACCGCCCTGGTGGACTCCTCCCGCTGGAGGCGGGGACCCTAACAACCTTCAAGACCAGTGATGGGCCGGCTCCGAGGCTCCGGGCGGGAATGGGACCTGCGCTCCAGGGTGGTCTCGGTCCCAGGGTGGTCCCAGCTGGTGGGAGCCTCTGGCTGCATCTGTGCAGCCACATCCTTGTACAGAGGCATAGGTTACCACCCCCACCCCGGCCCGGGATACTGCCCCCGGCCCAGATCCTGGCCGTCTCATCCCATACTTCTGTGGGGAATCAGCCTCCTGCCACCCCCCCGGAAGGACCTCACTGTCTCCAGCTATGCCCAGTGCTGCATGGGACCCATGTCTCCTGGGACAGAGGCCATCTCTCTTCCAGAGAGAGGCAGCATTGGCCCACAGGATAAGCCTCAGGCCCTGGGAAACCTCCCGACCCCTGCACCTTCGTTGGAGCCCCTGCATCCCCTGGGTCCAGCCCCCTCTGCATTTACACAGATTTGAGTCAGAACTGGAAAGTGTCCCCCACCCCCACCACCCTCGAGCGGGGTTCCCCTCATTGTACAGATGGGGCAGGACCCAGCACGCTGCTGGCAGAGATGGTTTGAGAACACATCCAAGCCAGTCCCCCCAGCCCAGCTTCCCCTCCGTTCCTAACTGTTGGCTTTCCCCCAGCCGCACGGGTCCCAGGCCCCAGAGAAGATGAGTCTATGGCATCAGGTTCTTAAACCCAGGAAAGCACCTACAGACCGGCTCCTCCATGCACTTTACCAGCTCAACGCATCCACTCTCTGTTCTCTTGGCAGGGCGGGGGAGGGGGGATAGGAGGTCCCCTTTCCCCTAGGTGGTCTCATAATTCCATTTGTGGAGAGAACAGGAGGGCCAGATAGATAGGTCCTAGCAGAAGGCATTGAGGTGAGGGATCATTTTGGGTCAGACATCAATGTCCCTGTCCCCCCTGGGTCCAGCCAAGCTGTGCCCCATCCCCCAAGCCTCCTGGGAGGATCCAGCCAAATCTTGCGACTCCTGGCACACACCTGTCTGTAACCTGTTTTGTGCTCTGAAAGCAAATAGTCCTGAGCAAAAAAAAAAAAAAAACAAAAAAACAAAAAAAAAACAAAACAGTTTTTAAAACTGATTTTAGAAAAAGAAGCTTAATCTAACGTTTTCAAACACAAGGTCTCTTACAGGTATAGTTCCGTGATTATGATAGCTCTGTGATTATAAGCAACATCCCCGCCCCCTCTCCCCCCCGCGGACCCCCAGCTGCCTCCTGAGGGTGTGGGGTTATTAGGGTCTCAATACTTTCTCAAGGGGCTACACTCCCCATCAGGCAGCATCCCACCAGCCTGCACCACAGGCTCCCCTGGGAGGACGAGGGAAACGCTGATGAGACGCTGGGCATCTCTCCTCTGTGGCTCTAGGACATCTGTCCAGGAGGCTGGGCGGAGGTGGGCAGGATGTGAGAGGTGGGGAGTACTGGCTGTGCGTGGCAGGACAGAAGCACTGTAAAGGGCTCTCCAGCCGCAGCTCAGCTGCACTGCGTTCCGAGGTGAAGTCTTGCCCCTGAATTTTGCAAAATGGGAAAGTGGGCGCTTGCCCAAGGGCCAGGCTGCATGGATTCTCACATCAGAGTTCTCTGGCCCTAGAAAGGCTTAGAAAAGGCGTAAGGGAACTCATAAAGGCTAGCAGCATGCGGTATTTTAACTTTCTGCCTCGGCCTCTGTGGATGCAGAAATCTGCCCTACAAAATGCTCTTCATTGGTTGTCTCTGTGAGAGCACTGTCCCCACCCAACCTGTCACAACGGCCAGAACCATACACCAGAGACACACTGGCAGGTTAGGCAGTCCTTCTGGTGATCCTATTCCATTCCCTCCTGCTGCGGTTTCTCTTGGCCTGTCCTCACTGGAAAAACAGTCTCCATCTCCTCAAAATAGTTGCTGACTCCCTGCACCCAAGGGGCCTCTCCATGCCTTCTTAGGAAGCAGCTATGAATCCATTGTCCTTGTAGTTTCTTCCCTCCTGTTCTCTGGTTATAGCTGGTCCCAGGTCAGCGTGGGAGGCACCTTTGGGTTCCCAGTGCCCAGCACTTTGTAGTCTCATCCCAGATTACTAACCCTTCCTGATCCTGGAGAGGCAGGGATAGTAAATAAATTGCTCTTCCTACCCCATCCCCCATCCCCTGACAAAAAGTGACGGCAGCCGTACTGAGTCTGTAAGGCCCAAAGTGGGTACAGACAGCCTGGGCTGGTAAAAGTAGGTCCTTATTTACAAGGCTGCGTTAAAGTTGTACTAGGCAAACACACTGATGTAGGAAGCACGAGGAAAGGAAGACGTTTTGATATAGTGTTACTGTGAGCCTGTCAGTAGTGGGTACCAATCTTTTGTGACATATTGTCATGCTGAGGTGTGACACCTGCTGCACTCATCTGATGTAAAACCATCCCAGAGCTGGCGAGAGGATGGAGCTGGGTGGAAACTGCTTTGCACTATCGTTTGCTTGGTGTTTGTTTTTAACGCACAACTTGCTTGTACAGTAAACTGTCTTCTGTACTATTTAACTGTAAAATGGAATTTTGACTGATTTGTTACAATAATATAACTCTGAGATGTGTGGAAGGAGTCCAGTGCCCGGTTTCTAGGGCTATGCATGGAGGTGGGGTGGGGTGGGGGAGAGGATGGAGACCTCCTGCTGTTGCCCAGGAGGAACAGGAACAGAGACACCCAGCACCTTCATCTCCTTGCTTCCAACTTCTTCAGGAATGGCCGCAGAGACCACCCTGGCCACAGGACAGCCGGTGAGGCCTGCTCCTGTATGGCTGGGACCCCAGGAGAGCATCAAATAGGTCTTCAAAGTGCCACAACCCTTCCACCAATCATGAGCGGGCTGTGAGTCTTCCCAGCCGTGTTGGGAGGAATTCCTATGCCTGTTCCTCAGATTCACATTTCGGGAGGGGGCAGAGGCAGAGGGAGAGTCCAAGTGCCTTGGTGAGAACCCCCCTCTGAGGCTCGTGTTTCAAGATCTGTGGCAAGCTAGCAGCAGTGGGGATTGGGAGTAAGCGGCAACTTCAGTGCCCCCATTTTGCAGATGAGACAACTGCGGTGCAAAGAAGGAGTGTCATCAAGGTCCATGTCTCCCTGGGGTTGTCCATGGCTGAACTGGGACCACAGCCCAACAATGGTAGCATGGGTGTGATGGTGTGGGGACCTGGCTTGACAGCCCCCCTCCCACCTTGCCAGCAAGGAGGCCTGGTCCACTTGGGATTTGTACCAACACACAGCCCAGAGCCTGGCCAGTTGGGATTTGTGAAGGGAAATTTTTACAAAACAGACCTTATTTTTGAGTGATGCCCACCGACTTCAAAAACCACTCCCAAAGCTTTGCCCTGCTCAGTTTGGTTGGTCTGCCTGAAACTCAGCTCCCAACAAGAAGCTTCCATTTCCCTAGCCCGGCATCCCCTTTTACCCAAAAGACAGCAGGTCCATCTCTGGACAGGACCTCAGCCGTGGCTACAGAACTTCTCTGTTGGTCTGCTCTGGGCAGCCTCTGCCAGGGTTGGTCCTGAAACGGCATCTACATGGCCAAAACTGTTTCTATTTATTTGGGGTCACTTTGTAGGGGATGGTAGCACTCCTCACCAGGCACACTTTGGTGCCACAGCAGATCGGAGAGGAGCTGTGCCCTCCAGAGTTCCTGACTCAAATCTCCATCACCTGCACCCTAGCAGGCACGAACCAGCACACCCAGCTTGCCAAGGGGAAACTCAAGGTCCCGAGAAGTCTCAGCTTGCCTGAGGTCCCAGGGCTGCGGGAGGAAGTGCTGCAGTAGCCACAGCAGCCTGCAGGTGGCAATAGGGGGCGGCATCCCTGGGCAGCAGGTGGAGAGAGTGGACATCATCCCCTTTGGACAAGGGTGAGGAGAGGCTGCCTTGGTTACAGCAAGAATTCAGGTAAGGTATTAAGAAGAACTTCCCAACCTCAGGTGACTCATTCCCGAAAGGGCCAGCTAAAGGTCTTGATGTGGGGAAGGTTTTCCCTTCCCGAGCCGTGTGGCAGTGGGAGGTCCCTGTCCCTCTCTGAGTCTCCCTTTTTGGTCATACGCTGAATGAGCACCGGCCGTGTGCCAGGTGTGGAGTAGGACCCCACACCCCATAATCGTCTGCTTTGGGACAGGGTGTACCTGGCTTGAAGGCAGGGTTGACTTTCATAGTTTTACAACCCTGGCCTCCTGGACCCTGGGCCCAGCCCCACCCATGTCCCCTGAGCCACCAGCAAGAGCTTAGGTCATGTAGAAGCCAGTTCAGATTGAGGAAGCCATTTAGTTCCACAGCCTGGGAGCCCCTGGACTCCAGAATTCCGCTTTGGAGGCTCTAGGAGTCCTGTTGATCTGGGCTGGACTTTGAGTCCCTCCAGTTTCTTCAGCCCCCACAGCTTGAGGTTGGCCCAGATGGGCCCAATGATGGACCCAGAGAGCCGGCTGTGGCCTGGGGGCTCCCAGAAGTGGCCTCCTGTGGGGTGAAGTGGCCCAGATGGACCCGCCTTGCCGGCCCCTAGGAGCAGCCCTGCCACTGTTGGGCTGTGGCCATGGGGATGGCTTTGGCTTTTACACTGAGCAATGGATGTCCTGGCAGTGAGGCTACAGGCCAGAGATGACACATTCCCACGTTAGGGCCTGGTGAGGGCTTGAGGAGATGGCGCGGGGTGGGGCCAGTGCCGTGGGTAGGGGAGGGCAGGGCTGGATGCAGACCCAGCCCTGCCTCCCTCCTCAGCCCCGGCCTCTCCTCTGCTCCAGACTGCACCCCCGCATAAATGCAGCCCCCCAGCATGGCCCAGAGGGCAGCTCTCAGCTGCACCAAACAACCCAGCCTGGCCACGTGAGTAGAGAATACACCTCAGTGGGTCGGTTCATTTTGGGGTCGTAAATGAAATGAGCTGTCAAATGGGACGGGGGCAGGAGGGAGGCCAGAGTGAAAGAATGAACTGTTCCTGGCAGAAATCCAAAATGCCCCTCATTCCTCCCCATGAGGGCTCCAGAGCTGGGAGGGGTGAGGGGCCACATCGCCCCGACATCCGCAGCCACACCTGTGTGGTCCAGTGGCTGGGGAAGCCTGGGGAGCCGGATCCCGCGCTTCCTATTTTTAGTTTTGCAGCTAAGAGTGCGCTGTGTGTTTTATATATTTATATTCACCCACAGAAAGGGCCTGCCCTGGGCCTGGCCCAGGGGACCTATCATGGGAAGGGGAGTGCGGCAGCCCTGGAGCCGGCCTGGACTACCCTCCTTTGTGCCCACCCTGACGGCTGGCAGCAATGTGGGCTCTCTGGTGTCCAAACACACCATTTGGGCCACACCACCCCACTCAGCTCATTGGGCTGGGTGTCTTTGAGGCCTTGGCCAGAATTCATTCACTCATTCACCAGACACAGAGCCCCACCCCACCCTCAGGTGCCAGACACCAAGAACAAGGTGAACAAGTCACAGCCATGGCCTCAGGGATCTCACAGGGCAGACAGACAGGAAAGCAGGTTGTGCCAGCCCAGTGTGGATCAGGGCAAACAAGCCAAGCTCCTCAGAGAAAATGTCTCTCCCCCGAGATCAGATGGAAAGATGAGTAGGAATGGATCAAGCAGAGATGTGGCAGGAGGGAATCCCATGTGCAAAGGCCTGGAGAACCAGGTGTCGCTGAGCTGGGAGGATGGTGGGGCAAGTGGCGCAATGGTGATGGGAGGTGGGAGAGGATCCATGTCAGGGGTCAGTGGCACGGGGGAGCCAAGCGGAGATGTATGTGTTGGATGGGAGCACCATCATGGTGCGGACTGGGGATGAGGGTCCAGAGACCTGTTCACAGGCTACTAAAATAGTCCAGGCAAAGGAGAAGCCTGTGCAGAATGACAGAGGGAGGAGCTAAGAGGTATCTTAGACATCATTAGCACCAAAGTCACAGGAAGGGCACCATGCCCCAAACCTCAGGTTTGAATGTCTCTCAATCTCTCAGGGTTAGTGGCATTTCATGTGCCACTGGGGGCAAGGTCTTAACAATAGTCTTTATTATCACCCAGTTGGCAATTGCCCCCTCCCTCTCCACCACTTCACAAGTGAAGCCTTATGTCCTGCCTCAGTTTCCTTATAGAACCATGTGACCATACCAGAGGCCACATGCAGCCTCTCCTCTCAGACTTGTGGGTCCAGGACGCTCAGAGTCCGGCCAAGCTACCCCACTCTCCTTCATGGTCTGAAAATATAAAGATTATGAGACTCTCCATCTGCGGTTCCTGAGTTCTATATATTACATTTTAAGTAATATTTTTAGTTTTTATTTTTAGACAGGGTCTCACTCTGTCACCCAGACTGGAGTGCATTGCAGCCTCCAACTCCTGGGCTCAAGTGATCCTCCCTCCTGCCTTGGCCTCTCAAGGAGCTAGAACTACAGGTGTGCACCACCACACCTGGCTAATTTTTTTTTTAGAGGCAGGGCCTCGTTACGTTTCCCAGGCTGGCCTCAAACTCTTGGCCTCAAGCAAACCTTCCACCTTGGCCTCCCAAAGTGTCGGGATTACAGGATGAGCCACCATGCCCAGACTAAATGACATTTTTAAATGACACAAACTAATATATAATCATGAGAGGGAAAGTAGACAGTCCGGATTACCAACAAACACACGAGAAAAATGAGCCATAATCCCCCCCTCCAAAGATAACCACTGTTAATATTTTTAGGCTTTTCTCCCCCATTCAGATCTTTATTTCCTATAAATATATAAATACTTTTTAGAAATAAACATTTTTCTAGCCAGACACACACTGCGTATACAGGTTATCAATTAATATAGTTAAAAATAGAGATAAAATTAATCCAGAATGAAATCAATGCAAAGATGGGATTATGGCTGTTTTCTGTTTTCTTCTTTACAGTTTTCTAAAATTAGCACACTTGTTCAGGGTATAGCATATCAAATTCTAGACATAAATGTCCAAGCAGAGGAGTTCAAAATCATGCAAGGACTACCTCATCTGTCATTAGCTGAAACACCACCTCTTCCAGGTAGCCTTCCCTGATACCCTCATACTAGGTTTGATGCCTTCTCTTTATCTCTGGAATAATAAAAATAATAATAATAATAGTTAATACTTACTCTGTGCCAGGCACTATTCTAAATATTTCACCATTTTTTAACCCAGCCCATTGAGGTATGTATTATCATTCTCCCCATCTTACAGATGAAAAAAAACTGAGAAACAGGTTGGGTGCGGTAGCTCCTGCCTGTAATCCCAGCACTTTGGGAGGCTGAGGCAGGAGGATCACCTGAGGTCAGGAGTTCGAGACCAGCCTGGCCAACATAGTGAAACCCCATCTCTACTAAAAATACAAAAATTAGCCAGGCATGGTGGCACATGCCTGTAATCCCAGCTACTCAAGAGGCTGAGGCAGGAGAATCACTTGAATCCAGGAGGCAGAGGTTGCAGTGAGCTGAGTTTGTGCCACTGCACTCCAGCCTGGACAACAGAGTGAGATTCCATCTGAAAACAAAACAAAACAAAACTGAGAAACAAGGACAGAATTCCACCTGATCCTGACGAAGGCAGAGCAGTCGCTGAAAATATTAAGTTTCCTACCAACTAAAAGTATTGGAGGCTCAAAGTAAGAATCAAGTTGACTTTAAGAAAAAAAAAATATGACATTTCTACACATACTTGCTTATAAAGATTGATCAAGGGGGAGGAAAAAAAGAAAAAGAAATGAGAAAATGTCTTTTTAAAAAAACAGAGGCCCTTTCTCTGCGTCTGAGAGGGATGCCTCTACCTTTCTGAGTTGTGATTCTAAGATTTCACAAAGCATGAAATCAAAAAACAGAAGTCACTGTGACTGTCTCTGAATCTGTCTGGAAACCCCCAGCCCATTCTTCCCCGCCCAAGGCGGGGAACTTCATGAACGAGGCCTCCCCGGAGCTAGGTCTGAGCCTCTTCATGGCAGGCTCACCCCCCTACCCAAATATGCCCACAGTGGGAATATCTGCCCAGGCATCAGTCTTGCCCCGCCACAAACAGGTTCTATTTCTTTTTCCATGAAAACAACTCCGTCCTAAATCACTGACGCCTGAAATTAGGAAAATACAAGGCCTATATTATCATAAAACTATTTTAACACAGTGGGGCCCCTTCGGTGGTGGGAGCGGTGGCCAAAGACTCTGCAGCCCCTTCCATTTGTAGCCCCTGGAAATGCTCAGAGGGATGAGAAATTTGGTTTTCATTAGCGGCGAATGTGAGGAGCTCTGTCGCTCTGAATGGACCTTTGATTCTGGCTGGTGGTGGACTCTTTCCAGGGCCTGGTGAGTTTTGTTTTGTTTTGTTTTGTTTTCATATAAAATGGGCTAGGCCCTTCCAGCTTATATCTCCCTGTACTACATGAGAATTGGGCAACGCCCCACTCTCTTGACTTCTAAAGTCAACAGCTGGGGCCGGCAGGAGAGGCACCCAGGACCATTCGCCTTTATTGACTCTGAGGTTTTATTAAAAATGTTATGTTTCCTTGAGGCCTGTGCCAGACCCAACAAGCAGACTGGCCAGTGAGCAGCTGGCAGAGGCCAGGGGGTTTGCACTGCCTGGAAGACAACCCACCTTGACCTGCCTTCTCCCACTCCAGTGACCCCCAGAAATGGCCTCTGCCTTGGAATCTCCACAGAAAACCCTATTTCTTCCCCTCTACTTTGAGCAAAAGAACATTGGCCTGCTCTTTTATTCATTCAACACACATTGGTTAGGCATCTACTACAGTGGCGGGTGCTTGGGATGCAGCTGCAAACAAGTCACACAATGTCCTTATTCCCCTGGAGCCTACACCCTAATTGGGGAGAAAGGCCATAAACGAATAAATAGATCACATGGCTACAGACAGTAATCAGTACACAAAAAAATAAAACAGGAGAATATGATGGAGGAAGACTGGGAGTTGGAAGGCATCATTAGATAAGATGGTCAGGGAAGGTCTCTCAGAGGAGCTGACTGTGGACTACATAAACATAGCCAGGCATAGTCCAGTTTCACCCACTGTACCAGTTGTGGCATCTTGACTACAGCAGATCAACACTGTCTCTGGAATTTGGTATGCAGCTACCAATTTGGTAAATCCTTTCTTCCTGATATCCAACAGCAGAGAGGCACTAGAGCAGTTTACATGGCAGGGACAGCAGAGCACCTTCATGGTCCAGCCTCAGGACTCCCTCACTCCATCCTCCATCATGGTATCATTTAATTGACTCTCTGTTCCACATGGCTGGGGAGGCCTCACAGTCATGGCAGAAGACAAAGGAAGAGCAAAGGTGACTGTTGCTATGTTTTACCAAAGAGACTGGTGGCATTTTGAACTTGAGAGAGATGATTTAGGGCATCTGGTGGGAGAAATTTCTAGGCAGCAAAGTGTTCAAGAGGTGACTTGGGTACTGTTAAAAGCATTCAGTTTTATTCATTCACAAAGATATGGTTTGGAATTGGAACTTATGTTTAATGGGGAAGCAGAGCATAAAAGTTTGGAAAAGTTGCAGCCTGATGATGCAATAGATAAGAAAAATCCATATTCTGAGGAGAAATTCAAGCCTGCTGCAGAAATTTGCATAAGTAATGAGGAGCCAAATGTTAATCGCCAAGACAATGGGGAAAATGTCTCCAGGGCATAACAGAGACTTTGTGGCAGCCCCTCCCATCACAGGCCCAGAGGCTTAGAAGGACAAAATGGCTTCATGGGCTGGGGTCCAGAGCCCCACTGCTCTGTGCAGCCTAGGGACTTGGTGCCCTGCATCCCAGTTGCTCTAGTCATATCTAAAAGGGGCCAAGGTACAGCTCAGGCTGTGGCTTCAGAGGTGGAAGCCCCAAGCCTTGGCAGCTTCCATGTGGTATTGTGCCTGTGGGTGCACAGAAGTCAAGAATTGAGGTTTGGGAACCTCTGCTTAGATTTCAGAGGATGTAACTGGATGTCTAGGCAGAAGTTTGCTGCAGGGGTGAGGCCCTCATGGAGAACCTCTGCTAGGGCAGTGCAGAAAAGAAATGTGGGGTTGAAGCCCCCACATAGAGTCCCCACTGGGGTGCTGCCTAGTGGAGCTGTGAGAAAGGGCCATCATCCTCCAGACCTCAGAATGGTAGACCCACCAACAGGTTGCACTGTGCATCTGGAAAAGCCATAGATACTCAACGCCAGCCTGTGAAATTAGCCAGGAGGGAGGCTCTACCCCATGAAGCCACAGGGGCAGAGCTGCCCAAGACCATGGGAACCCACCTCTTGCATCAGTGTGACCTGGATGTGAGACATGGAGTCAAAGGAGATCATTTTGGAACTTTAATATTTGACTGCCCCACTGGATTTTGGACTTGCATGGGGCCTGTAGTCCCTTTGTTTTGGCCAATTTCTCCCATTTGGAACAGCTGTATTTACCCAATCCCTGTACCCCCATTTTATCCAGGAAGTAACTAACTTGCTTTTGATTTTACAGGTGCATAGGCAGAAGGGATTTACCTTGTTTCAGATGAGACTTTGGACTGTGAACTTTTGAGTTCATGCTGAAATGAGTTAAGACTTTGAGGGACTGTTGGAATGGCATGATTGATTTTGAAATGTGATGACATAAGATTTGGGAGGGGCTAGGGAGGGAATGATATGTTTTGGCTGTATCCTCACCCAAATCTCATCTTGAATTGTAGCTCCCATAATTCCCATACGTTGTGGGAGGGACCCAGTGGGAGCTAATTGAATCATGGAGGTGGTTTCCCTCATACTGTTCTTGTGATATTGAATAAATCTCACGAGATTTTATAAGGAGTTTCCCCTTTAACTTAGCTCTCATCCTCTCTTGCCTGCCACCATGTAAGACATTCCTTGCTCTTCTACCATGATTGTGAGGCCTCCCCTGCCATGGGAACTGTGAGTCAATTAAACCTCTTTCCTTTATAAATTACCCAGTCTCGAGTATGCCTTTATTAGCAGCGTGAGAATAGACTAATACACCCAAGGAATCTCTTAGGTCAGGTTTCCCTAGAAGCAGATCAAGAGGTGGGGATTTTTGTGGGGAGGACTTTCAGGGGAAGTGGAAAGAGGGAAGCAGGACACAGCAGAGAAAGAAAGTTAATCTATGACATCCCTGGGCTGGAGGCCAGCCTCATTCTGGTCTCATGAGGGCCTTTGGAGCATTAATTACAGCACTGACTTGTCCCCTCCAGATAGCAGACTTTTTGTGTCCTCAGGTAAGTCAGTTGGCAAGACTTGCCACACCCCCAAAGGAGCATAACCTCCACGGTGAGATGTCTACTGTTTGGCAGAGAGCAATTCTCCAGAGAAGGGGGCAGATGTGAGCAGTTTGCAGCCAATGCTCACACAATGTTAACATGACGGACCTGGGTGGTAGCGTGGGGTGTCAAGATGATCAAGGACACTGCAGTGGATGCTGTGGGTGAGCCTCTCAACAGACCCCCTTCACTGGACAGTTGCTCCCATGCTCCTGCTGCTCTAAACCTAAGGAGGAAAAATGGCAAGAACCCAAGATGCTTTAATAAAATATATGGCTGGGCACAGTGGCTTACGCTTGTAATCCCAGCACTTTGGGAGGCTGAGGTGGGTGGATCACCTGAGGTGAGGCGTTCGAGGCCAGCCTGGTCAACATGGTGAAACCCTGTCTCTACTAAAAATACAAAAATTAGCCATGCATGGTGGCGGGCACCTGTCATCCCAGCTACTTGGGAGGCTGAGGCAGGAGAATGGTTTGAACCCAGGAGTTGGAGGTTTCAGTGAGCCAAGATCGTGCCACTGCACTCCAGCCTGGGTGACAGAGTGAGACTCCATCTCAAAACAAAACAAAACAAAAATGTATGCACACCAGAGAGTGGAAGATAAAGCCTCTGAAAATTCAGGGTCCCCCGTATTGATGAAGATCTTAAGGAACCTGTGATCTGAGGCATGCCAAGCCATCCCCTCTCAGAAAAAAAGACAAGTTGCTGCATTTGCACCTCTACCATACAGTAGGATGAAAAAGCACCCCCCCACCCCACCACGAAGATATGTCCATGTCCTAATTTCCAGAACCTATGGGGATATTACCTTATTTGGAAAACAGATCTTTGCAGATGTAATTCAGTTAAGGATCTCAAGATGGGGAGGTAATCTTGGATGATGCAGGCAGGTCCTAAATGTAATGGCAAATGTCCTTATAAGAGACATACAGAACAGAGGCACATAGGGAAGAGGAGGAGGCCATGTGACCACAGACGCAGATTGGAGTGATGCAGCCACAAGCCAAGGAATGTCTGGAGCCAAGAGAAGCAGGAAGAGGCAATACACGGGCCTCGTGTATTGCCCGTGTCAGCCCTGCCAACATCTTGGTTTCAGACTTCTGATCTCCCCAGCTGCGAGAAACTGTCCTTCTGTTGTTTTATGCCCACCTTCTTTGTTCTCCTTGAATTTCAAAGCAGCATATACCACACTTGGGAATGCTACTCTGACCTATTTATTAGGCAATTCAGAAAGCTTTCAGTTCTGAGACAAAGCAAAAGAGAACGCTGCATAGGTCCAAGCTGCAGTGTGAGCTGCTCTGCTAGCCATGAGACTGAGAAGATTTATGGTGCTAGATAAAGAACTTGGGTGGAGCCTTTAACAAACCCCAGTAGAAGAGTCCCAGTACAGACCTCTAAAATTTTCTGCAGTGGAGAACTACTCTCCTTTTGAAAAACAATTGCTGGCATGCTACTGAACCCTACAGAGACTCAGAGCCTGACCATGAGACATCAAGCAACTATGCTGGCTGAGTTTCCCTCTGTGAGCTGGCTATGACCAGATCCACCAAATCCTAATGTGAGGCAGGCACAGCAGTAACCCACTGTACAATGGAAATGCTACAATGCACTATTCACAATAGCAAAGACATGAAATCAATCCAAATACCCATCAATGATAGACTGGATAAAGAAAATGTGGTACACATACACCATGGAATACTATACAACCATAAAAAGGAACGATATTATGTCCTTTGCAGGGACATGGATGGAACTGGGAGCCATTATTCTCAGCAAACTAATGCAGGAACAGAAAACCAAACACCACGTGTTTTCACTCATAAGTGGGAGCTGAACAATGAGAACACAAGGACACGGTGGGGGAACAACACACACTGGGGCCTTTCAGGAGGTGCGTGGGGAGGGAGAGCATCAGGATAAATAGCTAATGCATGCTGGGCTTAATGCTTAGATGATGGGTTGATAGGTGCAGCAAGCCACCATGGCACACATTTACCTACGTAACAAACCTGCACATTCTGCACATGTACCCTGGAACTTAAAATAAAATTAAAAAATAAATAAATAAATAAATAAATAAATAAATAAATAAGTATTTGTCATAATATAAAAAAAAGAGAAATGCTACAGTGATATTTGGGATTGAGACTGGCAGGTCCAGCAGGTACAAGTGGGTTACATGAAGAAGTGTGCCAGACCCCACGCCACCCACTTATGTTGTGTCTCTACCCACCCCTCAACACACACCTGTAGCCTCATGGCGATTTCCTGAAGCCGACTGTCAGAGGGGTAAGGGGCTCAGGTCTGGTTCATAGGTTGGCACACAGAACTATGAATAGATTTGGTCATCTCCATCTCATGGAGGAAGAAGTGTGACATGTCCACAGTGACTCCTGAGCTAGTTGATCAGCAGCCTGAAAGGACAAGATTAGAATATCTTGGATGGTGTGGTTGGGGAAGGCCCGCCCATAGAGGGGACAATTGAGCACAATGCGTGGCAAACACCCCAGTGTTCACAGAGGGCCTTCCCATTTACAGAGCACCATCGCCCATGAATCATGAACCCCTGGATCCGGGGAGGTGGATCCCTTTGTGGCTCCCTGGGCTGGGTTCCTGCATATCAGTCCTGGCTGCAGCAGGCTCCAGGTATGGGGATCTGTTTCAGCTTGGGCTGCCCAGAAGCAGACTTTGAGAAGAGAATTCACATGAAAGTGATTTCTTAAGGAAGTACTCCCAGGACAAGCCAGTGTCAGAGTAGGGGGAGCTAGACATGGAGGGTGAGGCCAGTTGAAACTGACCTGTGGGGGGCTCCGGAGTATAAGTTACACCTCAGAGTTTGTGCCCAACTGCAGGCCAGGGATCTGGGCTTCTATGCTTCTGCATGTGCACCTGTCAGTCATTCCTTTTTTTTTTTTTTTTTTTTTTTTTTGAGATGGAGTTTCACTCTTGTTGCCCAAGCTTGAGTGCAATGGCGTGATCTCGGTTCATTGCAACCTCCGCCTCCCAGGTTGAAGTGATTCTCCTGCCTCAGCCTCCCAAGTAGCTGGGTTACAGTCATGCGCCACCATGCCCAACTAATTTTTTTCTATTTTTAGTAGAGACAAGGTTTCACCATGTTGGTTAGGCTGGTCTTGAACTCCTAACCTCAGGTGGTCCACCTGCCTTGGCCTCCCAAAGTGCTGGAATTACAGGTGTGAGCCACCGTGCCCTGCCCACCTGTCAGTCATCACCATGGTAAGACAGCTCCAGGGGTCACGAATATCCAGGCACTCTGGCTCTGTGTGTGTGTGTATATGTGTGTGTGTGTGCATGTGTGCATGTGTGTGTGCATGTGCATGTGCGTGTGTGTGTGTGTGTGTCTGAATTTTGTGCACACAAAGCCCCTCTAATAGCTCAAGGGGAGCCCTCGAGAGAGAGTGGCAGGCACAGGCTGTTAGAAGCAAAGACACAGAGGAGCCAAGGAGGAGCTCACAGAAATGGAGTCATCTCCAGCCTCCTACCTAGTGATGCCCTTGGCATTGCCTGGTGCACTGGGCCATACATTATCCTGCTCAAAATTCATGTACTTCTTAGAACCTGAGAATGTGACCTTTGGAAATAGGGTAACTGCAGATGAAATTAGCTAAGACGAGGCCATACTGATGCAGGGTAGGCCCTTAATCCAATATGACAATAAGATGAGGAGAAGAAGACACAGAGACAGAGGGAAAGGGAGAACGCCATGTGAAGATGAAGGCAGAGACTGGAGTGATGCATCTACAAGTCAAGGGGCTCCAAGGATTGCCAGCAACCACCAGGAGCCAGGAGAGCGCCTGGAACAGATTCTTCCTCAGAGCCTCCCGTAGGAACCAGCCCTGCCAACACCTTGATTTTGGACTTCCAGCCTCCAGAACTGTGCAAGGAACAATGCCTGTTGTTCTGAGCCTCCCAGTTTGTGGCTCTGTGTCACAGCAGCTCTAGGAAATAAACACACCTGGGAGCATCTGGGTTATAGGTAAGAGGCAGCATCTGAGGCCCCTCAGCACTGATGGGAGACGGACAGGCTCACACCATCATCATCTGGCCAGAAGGACTTGGAAAGATGCTTATGTTCCACAAGAGAAAGGAGAAAAAGGAAACCACACTTCCACAACCTTCCAGGAGGTAAGGAGCTGTAGCCCCACCCAGAGGCAACAAACCTGGATCCCAGCTATGGACAGGAACACCACTAGTTCAGGCTGGAAAATGTATCCAAATACTGCTGCAGTTGTTTTTGGAACTACATCTGGCTAAATGGGAGAGGTCCTGGGCCTGGCAGCTGGACCAATGCCCAGTTACAGAAAGAGGAGGGAGTGGCTGGCTACAAGGTAAGTGGGCAAGGTTGCGGGAGAGGGAAGGAGTCACTCTCCTTTGCTCCAGAGACCCCTTGTCCATGAATGCATGTTTAGGAACAGCAGAGGAGGGGGAGCCTGGCTGGGGTCTTGCCAAGTTTACCCTCTGGGTGGCAGACCAGAGGCCATATCCCCTCAGCCCTGGCATCTTTTGCTGAATAAAGTATATCCACAGGCCAGAGGAAACCACCAAGGAGAAAGAATTCACTAGAAACAACATTGCCCAAACTTCACTCACTCAAGTACCATCTTCACACATTTTGCCATGTCTCAGGGTCAGCTCAGTATATACATAGATGGGTAACTTGGATTTCATCAAAATAAAAGTAGATAGTTAATCAAAAAACACTATCAAGGCCAGGCACCCAGGCACAGTGGCTCACGCCTATAATCCTAGCACTTTGGGAGGCTGAGGCAGGCGGATCACCTGACTAGCCTGGCCAACATGGTGAAACCCCATCTCTACTAAAAATGCAAAATTAGCTAGGCGTGGTGGTGCATAAATGTAATCACAGCTACTTGGGAGGCTGAGGCAGAAGAATCACTTGAACCTGGGAGATGGAGGTTGCTGTGAGCCGAGATCGCGCAATTGCACATTGCACTTCAGCCTGGGCAACAAAAGTGAAACTCCATCTAAAAAAAACAAAACAAAACACTATCAAGATCCAGCCTGGGCAACACAGCAAGACTCCACCTCTACAAAAAAATGTAAAAGTTAGCCAGACGTGGTGGCACACACCTGTTGTACTAGCTGCTTGAGAGGCTGAGTCAGGAGGATTGCTTGAGCCCAAGAGTTCAAGGTTACAGTGAGCTATAATCATGTCACTGTACTCCAGCCTGGGTGACAGAGTGAGACCTTGTCTCAAAAAAAAAAAAAAGACACTATCAAGAAAATAAAATGAGGCTGGGCACAGTGGCTCATGCCTGTAATTCCAACACTTTTAGAGGCTGAGGCAGGAGGATCACTTGAGCTCAGGAGTTCGAGACCAGCCTGGGCAGCATAGTGAAACTTCATCTCTACAAGAAATATAAAAATTAGCAGAGCATGGTGGTGTGCACCTGTAGTCCCAGCTACTGGGGAGGCTGAGGTGGGAGGACTGCTTGAGCTGGGGAGGTGGAGGTGGCAGTGAGCCAAGATTGCACCACTGCACTCCAGCCTGGGTGACAGAGTAAGACCCTGTCTAAGAAAGAAAAAAAAAAAAAAGGAAAATGGAATGACAGCAAATAATGAATAATGGGAGAAAATGTTTGTAAATCATTTATCTGATAAGCATCTAGAATCCAGGACATATAAAAAAAACTCTTGCAATTCAGCAACAGAAAGACAAAATAACCCAATTTAAAAATGGTCAAAATGCTTGAACAGACATTTTTTCAAAGAAGATATACAATGGCCAAGAAGCACATGAAAAGATGCTCAACATCATTAGTCATTTGAAAAATCCAAATCAAAACCACAATGAGATACTCTTTCATATCCACTAGAATGGCTATAATTTAAAAGACAGAAAGAGAGAGAGAGGAAAGGAAAGGAAAGGAAAGGAAAGGAAAGGAAAGGAAAGGAAAGGAAAGGAAAACAAGCACTGGTGAGAATGTGGAGAAATTAGAACTCTCATATGTTGCTGGTGGGGATGTAAAATGGTTCAGCCACTTTGGGAAACAGCTTGGCAGTTCCTCACAATGATACCATATAACCCAGCAGTTCTGCTCCTAGAATTGAAAATAATTCTCCAAAAGAATTGAAAACAGGTATTCGAACAAATGTTTGTACACAATGTGTACAATGAGTACAAATACATAGCAGCACTATTCACACAGCAAAAGTGGAAACAACTCAAACGTCCATCAGTAGATGAATGGATAAACACAACATAGTATATCCATGCAACACAACAGTATTCAGCCCTAAAAAGGAATGCTATCAACATGGATGAACATTGAAAACATTATGAAAAGTAAAAGAAGTCAGATACAAAAGATCACATATTGTATGATTCCATTTAAATGAAGTATCCAAAATAGCTATATTCATGGAGACAGAAAGCAGATTAGTGGTTGCCAGGGGTTGAGAGCAGGGACATGAGGAGTGGCTGCTTAATGGATTCAAGATCTCCTTTGAGTTGATGAAATGTTTTGGAGTTAGATAGAGGTGATGGCTGCACAACATTGTGAGCATACAAAATACCACTGAATTGTATGTTCAGTGTACAATGGAATTAACAAAAAATGAAAACAACCCCAATGTCCACCAACTCATGAGTAGATAAACAAAATGTTGTATATCTATACAATGGAATATTATTGGGCCATAAAACAGAAAGAATTTGACCACATTTTGGGCCATAAAACCCACCTTAACAAATTAAAAGGAGTAGAAATCATACAACTTCTGCTCGCAGACAACAATGGAATTAAAAGAAATCAATAACAGAAAGATAACTAGAAAATTCCAAAACATGTGGAGATTAAACAAAACACTTCTAAATAATACATGGGTCAAAGAAGAAATCTCAAAAAGAATTTTAATATTTTTACCTGATGAAAATTAAAACACAACTTATTAAAATGTGTAAGATAAGCCAAAGCAGTGGTTTGAGGGAAGATTATAGCATCAAATGCATATATTAGGAAAGAAGAAAAATCTAAAATCAATAATCTAAGTTTCCACCTTAACAGACTAGGAAAAGAAGGCCAAAGTAAGTAGAAGAAAAAAAAGAATAGTAAAAATTAGGGCAGAAATCAATGAAATTGAAAAAAGAAAATTAAATAATCAATGAAATCAAAAGCTGATTCTTTGAAAAGATCAATTAAATCAATAAGTCTATAGCCAGACTAAGAAAAAAAGAGAGGGAACACAAATTACTAATATCAGAAATTAAAGAAGGGACATCACTACAGATCCTATGGACATTGAAAGGATAAGAAAGGAATACTATGAACTCTATGCCCAGAAATTTGATAATCTGGGTGAAATGGACCAACTCTGTGAAAGACACAATTTGCCAAAACTCATAAAAGAAGAAATAGACAATCTGAATAGGCCTATATCTATTGAATCAATAGTTAATAACCTTCCAAAACAGAAGGCACCAGGCAGAGAAGAGTTCACTGGTAAGTTCAACCAAACATTTAAGGAAGAAATTATACCAATTCTCTACAATCACTTTCAGAGGATAGAAGCAGAGCAAATACTTTCTAACTCACCCTATGAGTCCAGCACTAACAAAACCAGATAAAAAAACATTACCAAAAAACAAAACTACAGACCAATATATCTCATAAACACAGATGCAAAAATCTTCAACAAATTACTAGCAAATCAAATCCAACCATGTATAAAAAGAATTATACCTCATTATCAAGTGAGATTTATCCTGGGTATATAAGGCTGGTTCAAGATTTGAAAATAAATTAATATAACCATCACATGAACAAGCTAAAAAAGAAAAACCCCATGATTATATCAATAGATGAAGAAAAATAATTTCGCAAAATTCAACACCCATTCATATAACAACTCTCAGTAAACTAGGAATTGAGGAGAACTTCCTCTATTTGATGAAAAAATCTACAAAAAACTTACAGCAAACACCATACTTATGGTGAGAAACTAGAAGCTTTCCCACTAAAATCAGGAACAAGTCAAGGATGTTTCCTCTCACCACTCCTTTTCAACATCATACTGGAAGTCCAAGCTAACTCAATAAGGCAAGAAAATGAAATAAAAGTTATACTGATTGGGAAGGAAGAAATAAAACTGCCTTTGTAGATGACATGATTATCTATGTAGAAAAATCCAAATAAATCAACACAAAAATCTCTGGAACTAATAGGTGATTATAGTAAGATTGTAGGATATAAGGTTGTTGTACAAGTCTGTCACTTTCCTATATACCAGCAATGGGCAAGTGAAATTTGAAATTTAAAACACAATACCATTTACGTTAGCACCCAATAAAAGAAAGTACTTAGGTATAAATCTAAGTAAATATATATAAGATTTATATGAGGAAAGCTACAAAACTCTGATGAACAAAATCAAAGAAGAACTAAATAAATAAAGAGATATTCCATATTCACAGATAGGAAGATTCAAAATTGTCATGATATAAGTTTTCCCCAACCTGATCTATAGATTCAGTGCAATCCCAATCAAAATCCCAGCATGTTATTTTGTGGATATTGAAAAATGATTCTAAAGTTTATATGAAGAGGGAAAGATCAAAATAATCAACACAATACTGAGGAAGAACAAAGTTGGAGGACAGACACTACCTGACTTCAAGACTTACTAGCTATAGTAGTCTTCAAGACTTAAAGCTATAGTAATCTTCAAGACTTAAAGCTATACTAATCAAGACAGTGTGGTATTGGCAAAAGAATAAACAAGTAGATTAATAAACAGAATAGAGAGCCCAACATAGGCCCACATAAATGTAGTCAACTAATCTTTGACAAAGAAGCAAAGACAATGCAATAGAGCAAAGACAGTCTTTTCAAAATATCATGCAAAAATCCATCTTTTAAAAAATATGAATAACTGGACATCCATATACCAAAAAAACTGAATTTAGACACAGACATTATACATTCCACAAAAGTTAACTCAAAGTACCTCATAAATCTAAATTAAAAATGCAAAACTGTAAAACTCTTGAGAAGACAACATAGGAAAAAGTCTAGATGACCTTAGGTATGGTGATGACTTGTCAGGTATAACACCGAAAGCATTATTGCTGAAATAAACAATGAATGAGCTGGAATTCATTAAAAAAATTTTTTAAACTTCTGTTTTGTGAAAGCCAATGTCAAGGGAATAACCAGACATGCAACAAACTGGGAGAAAATATTTGCAAAAGACATGTTTGATAAGAGACAGTTGTCCAAAATATACAAAGAACTCTTAAAGCTCTCAATAAGAAAAAAAACAACCCAATTAAAAAATGGGCCATGTACCTTAATAGACACCTCACCAAAAAAGATATACAGATGTCAAATAAGCATAAGAAAAGATACTCTACATCACATGTTATCAAGGGAATGAAAACTAAAATAACGGGATACTACATATCTATTAGAATGGCCAAAATACAGAATACAAACAGCACCAAACACTGAGGAGGATATGGAGCAACAGGAACTTTCCTTCATTGTTGTAAACGTAAATGTAAAATAGTACACCCACTTAGCACATAGTACAGTCACTTTGAAAGGTAAATTGTCATTCTATAAAGCTAAACATACTTTTACCATATGATTGAGCAATCACACTCCATGGTATTTACAGAAAAGAGTTGAAAACTTATGTTCACACAAAAATCTGCACACAGATGTTTATAGCAGCTTTTTTCATGCTGCCAAAAGAAGAAACCAGGATGTCCTTCAGCAGGTAAATGGATTAACTGTGGTACATCCAGACAATGAACTATTATTCAGCACTAAAAAGAAATGAGCTATCAAGCCATGAAAAGAATGGAGGAAACTTAAATCCATATTACTAAGTGAAAGAAGCCAATCAGAAAAGGCTACATACTGTGTGATTCCAATATATGACTGCTATTGTTTGAAAGTCCCCTCAAAAAACTGATGTTGAAGTTTAGTTGCCATAGTAACTGTTGAGAGGCAAGACCTTTAAAAGGTGATTAGGTTATGAGAGCTCTGCCCTCATGAATGGATTAATGCTGTTATTGTGACAGTTGGTTAGTTATCTAGGAAGTAGGCTCCTGATAAAAAGAATGAGTTCAGCCTGATTTCTGTTCTCTTTCTCTTGGCCCTTCTGCCATGTTATGGCACAGCAAGAAGGTCCTCACCAGATGCAGTTCCTCAACCTTGGACTTCCCAGCCTGTAGAACCATGAGTCAATGCTCAGTATTATTATATAAAATACATACATATATATTTTTTCTATATATTCTATATATATATTCTATATATACGTAAAATTACCCAGCCTGTGGTATTGTGTTATAGCAACAGAAAATTGGTGCACAGAAGAGGAGCTGTTGCCATGACAAATACTTGAACATGTAGAAGCTGCTTTGGAACTGGGTAATGGATAGAAGCTGGAAGAGTTTGTAGGAGCAGGCTAGAAAAAGCCTAGATTCCTGTGAATGGAGCATTAAGAGCAATTTTGCTGAGGGCTCAAAAGAAGGCCCTAGAACTAAGGACAGCCTAAATCTTCTTGAAGATTATTTAAGTGGTCATGACCAGAATGTCCGTAGAAATATGAACAGTAAAGGCCATTCTAATGAGGTCTCAGACAGAAATGAGGAACAAGGTATTGGAAACTAAGAGGAAAGGCCATCTTTGTTACAAAGTAGCAAAGACTTTGGCTGAACTGTGTTTATGTCTAAGGGCTTTATAGAGTGCAGGACTGAAGAGCAATGAACGGGGATATCTGATGGAAGAAACAGCTAAGCAGCAGAGCATTCAGGTTGCTGCATGGCTCCTTTTAACCACATACAGTGAGATGCAAAAGGAAAGGAATGACTTAAAGACAGAATTTATAATTAAAAGAGAAGCAAAGGAAAACTCACAGCCTGGCCTCCTAAAGAGTGAAAAGCAATAACATTCGGAAAAGAATACTAAGGGTGTGGCCAAGCAACCATTTACTTAAAAGATCAGGCTAGATAGAAGAAAGCCAGGTGTTATTCCTTTGGAGGAAAGACTCCAAAGACATTTCAGAGCTCTTCCGGGCTGTTTCTCTTATTACGGGCCCAGAGCTCTAGGAGAGCAGAATGGTTTCAGGGAACATGCCTGGGACATCCTCCACAGGCTCACTGCCCAGAGCCATCTCAGGACTCTGCCCCCATCATTCCAGTGCAGCACCTCTTGACTTCCCTGGCTGTGGCTTAAGTGGTCCCAGGTGCAGCTCAACCTGCTGCTCCAGGAGGTACAAGCTTTAAACTTTAGCAGCATCCACATGGTGTTAGGTCTGCAAGCTCACAGAATGCAAGAGCTGTGGGGGCATGGCTACCTTCAACTAGATTTAAAAGGGGGCCCAGGCAGAAACCTGCCACAGGGGCAAAGCCATGACAGAAAGCCCTATTAGGTAAATGCCGAGTGGAAGTGTGGGATCAGAGGCACTGCACAGAGTCCTCACTAGGGCAATGCCTACTGCAGCCGTGGAAGTGGGGCCACTCTCCAGACCACAGAACTGTTGAGCTGCCAGTGAGTGATGGCAGCCTGGGAAAGCTGCAGGCATGAGATCCCAACCTGTGAAAATTGTGTGGGCTGAGCCTAGCAAAGCCGTAGAGGCAGGGCTGCCCAGTGTGCCCAGGTGGCTGGTCGTGGAGTCAAAGGAGATTGTTCTCCAGCTTTAAGACTTAATCTTGTTTTCCCTTTTGGGTTTTGCACTTCTTTGGGGCCTGTTACTCCTTTCTCCTTTCCTGTTGCTCCCTTTCGGAATGGGAACATCTATCCTATGCCTGTCCCACTATTGTATTTTGGAAGTAGATAACTTGTTTTGATTTTGCAGACTCACAACTGGAAGGAATTTGCCACAGCATGAGTCATGCTTTGAGTCTCATCCATATCTGATTTAGATGAGACTCTGGACTTCAGTCTTTTGAGTCGGTGCTGGAATGAGTTAAAACTTTGGGGCTATTGGAATGGGATGAATGTTATTTTGTATGCAAGGAAGACAAGAGTTTTGGTGGGCCAGAGGTGGAATGCTATGGCTTGAATGTCTTTTCCAAAACTTATGTTGAAATTTCGTTGCCATTGTAACAGCGTGGAGAGACAAGACCTTTAGGATGTGATTAGGGCCAGGCGCAATGCCTCACACCTGTAATCCCAGCACTTTGGGAGGCTGAGGCAGAAGGATCACTTGAGTCCAGGAGTTCAAGACTAGCCTAGGAAACATAGCAAGCCCTCATCTCTAAAAAAATTTCAAAATTAGCCAAGCATGGTGGTACATGCCTATAGTTTCAACTACTTGGGAGCCTGAGGTAGGAGGATCACTTGAGCCTGCGAGGTCAAGGCTGCAATGAGCTATGGTTGTGCCACTGCACTCCAGCCTAAGCAACAGAGTGAGACCCTGTCTGAAAACAAAAACAAACAAACAAAAAAGAGGTGATTAGGCCATGAGAGCTCTGCTCTCTTGAATGGATTAATACCATTATTAGGGGAGGGGGTTAGTTATCGCAGGAGTGGGCTCCTGATAAACAGATGAGTTCAGTCTGAGTTCCTCTCTCTGTTCCGTGAGCTCGCTTGCCCTCTGCCGTGTTATGACACAGCAAGAAGGCCCTCACCAGATGCAACCCCTCAACCTTGGATTTCCCCAACCACGAGCCTAGTAAGTCTCTTTTCTTTATAAATTACCCAGTCTGTGGTATTTTGTTATAGCAGCAGAAAATGGACTAAGAGAATGACATTCTGGAAAAGGCAAAACTGTGGAGATGGTAGAAAGATCAGTGGTTGCCGGGGATTAGGGGGATGGGAGGAAGAAATAGGTGGCACACAGAGGATTTTTATGGCAGTGAAAATACTTTGTATGATACCATCATGACAGATACGTGTCATTATACGCTTGTCCAAACCCATAGAATGTACTACATTAACAGTGAACCCCAAAGTAAACTATGGATTTGCAGTGATAATGATGTGTCAATGTCAGTTCATCGGTTGTTAAAATTGTTCCATTCTGGTGGGGGATGTTAATGATGGGAGGCTGCGTATGTTGTGGGGGCAGGGAACATAGGGAAATCTCCATACCTGCCTCCCAATTTTGCTGTGAAACTAAAACGACTCTAAAAAAATCTTTGAATGTATTTTAAAAATGTTTTTAATTTAAAAAGAAGATTTTTTAAAAGGGTGAAACATGCTACAACATACATGTTCCATCAGTACAACATGTACTAATACATATT
Organism: Homo sapiens; assembly: GCF_000001405.40. NCBI lineage: Eukaryota > Metazoa > Chordata > Mammalia > Primates > Hominidae > Homo > Homo sapiens. The sequence continues at coordinate 24,877,620 of NC_000001.11, read as the reverse complement.
ACAATATGGATGAACCTTGAAGACATTATGCTAAGTGAAAGAAAAGACCACATATTCTATGATTCCATTTATATGAAGTGTCCAGAATAGGCAAATCCATAGAGATGAAAAGTAGGTTTGTGATTGCAGGGGCTGAGGGACAGGGGAGTGGGGAGTCACTGCTAAATGGTACAAGGTTTCTTTTGAGAGCAATGAAAATATTCTGGAATTAGTGATAATAGGTTGTATGACCTGGTGGATAATACTAAAAGCCACCACACTGCACACTTTAAAGGGTTAATTTTATGGGATATGAATTATATCATTTAAAAATTGTCCTTGGGGCAGGGCGCTGTGGCTCACGCCTGTAATCCCAGCACTTTTGGAGGCCGAGACAGGTGGATCACCTGAGGTTAGGAGTGCGAGACCACCTGGCCAACATGGTGAAACCCTGCCTCTTCTAAAAATAAAAAAATTTAGCTGGGCGTCGTGGTGCATGCCTGTAATCCCAGCTATTCAGGAGGCTGAGGCAGGAGAATCGCTTGAACCCAGGAGGCAGAGGTTTCAGTGAGCTGAGATTGCACCACTGCAGTCCAGCCTGGGTGACAGAGCAAGACTCCATCCTAAAAAGTAAATAAAAATAAAAATAAAAATTGTTTTTGGGTCTAGAGTAGTTGGGGTGGAGCCCGATAATTTGCATTTCTGACAAAGTTCCCAAGTGATGCTGACACTGCTGGTCCCCGGACCAGACTTCGAAAATCATTTCATGTAAATTGCTCTGTGTCTGGCCAAGAGCAGCGGCTCAATACCACGTGAGGAGATTTCAGTGATATCCACAACCAACCATCTGATGCAGGAACAGGGTAATTTTCTTTAATTTCCAGTTGGGGAAACTGAGGCCCAGAGAAGGCGGTAACTACTGGGAGTCATGAGGGAGGATGGGACATGGCAGAGGTGGGACTCGAGCCCAGGTCTTCCAGCTCCACGTTGAAGGCTCCACCACTGGCCTGGAGCACGTGGGCTTCTCTCTGAATGGCCCCATAGACAGGGAAATATGCTCAGGAACATACCCAACCCTCCAACCCTCTCACTCCATCCTCAACAAAATCCTTCCATTCTCCCAACCCCTTCTGAGATTATATCTAAGGGCTGATCTGCCTGGCTCCAGATCTACTTCATTTGTGGATTCTGCCTCCTGCCACCCTCCTTCCCTGGCCCCCCAGGGCAAGTCTCAGCCGGATCCTTCCTGCTGCCACTCCTGCCCCGCCCCGCCCCGCCCCTCCCCGCCCCGCCCCACCCCACCCCACCCCACCCAGGGATCCAGGCCTTGGCCCCAGCAGGCATCACAGCAGGGCAGCCTGAACCAAGTCACAGAGGGGTGGTCTTGAGGTCTCCAAGAAGGTCACCTAAAGACATTCACAGTTAAGCCCTCACAGCTCAGGCAGAGCAATTTTGCATCTTTGTCTCATTTGCTCCTGTGACTTTTGCAGAAAGTGGCTTTCCCAAGGGCAGCCCGGCGGGCAGGCTTCAAAATAAAGGCTCTCCCTTCCTGGCCTTTCATTTGCTCATTCATTCAAATACTTACTGGGTGCTTGTTCCATGTCAGGGCCTTGGGAACACAAAGGTGATTAAAACACAGTTGCATGGCCAGGCACAGTGGCTCACCCCTGTAGTCCCAACACTTTGGGAGGTCGAGGTGGGTGGATCACTTGAGGTCAGGAGTTTGAGACTAGTCTGGGCAACATGGCGAAACCCTGTCTCTACTAAAAATACAAAGATTAGCTGGTGTGGTGGCACACGTCTGTAATCCCAGCTACTCGCGAGGCTGAGGCAGAAGAATCGCTTGAACCCAGGAGGTGGAGGTTGCAGTGAGCCGAGATCGCACCACTGCACTCCAGCCTGGGCAACAGAGCAAGACTCTGTCTCAAAAAAAAAAGAAAAGAAAAAAATATTAAAACAAACAAACAACAATAACAAAAAACAAAAAAACACAGTTGCAGAAGCTCACAGGTTGGGAAAGTAACTCGCTAGGACCTGAAACAATCATCACAGGGATGAGTCTGAGGTCCGACCCTGAAGACTGCTTTGAACGGTCCCCAGAGGGCACAAGCCTGGTCTTTATCCACACCCAGAAAGGACTGTCCAGAAGCAGCCTGGTATTAGAGCTGAGGTTTCCCACGGCCTGCTGGTCCTCTTATTCCAGGCCGGGGCCAGAGGTAGTAACACTTGGCTGCCCCATGAGAGAAGTGGGCAGAAGCTACCTGTCTGGGGGCGAAGTGACCACTGAGACAGCTAGCCCGGAGGAACTGCAGTCTCATCTGCTTTCCGGGGCTTAATGATGGAGACAAGCTGCTTCTCAGAGGAAACTGCTTCAGTAAAGATCTTCAAAAGGCAATATACTGTATTTTGGTGACTCTAAGAGGCTTGATTTTTCACATTTTAGTGTCTCTGAAATAGGGGTGTGTCTTACAGTAATTGTTGGCAGGAGGCCCTCTCCAGGGAGTGGTCACAGCCCGCTTACACCGTCACATCGACAATGGGATTCTGCGGCTTGGAAGGAAACCCTGGAGACAATAGAGGAGTGTTCTTTTAACCTCTAGGAACCAAATGGCTGTGGGTACGGGATGGAGGAGGTGGTAAATCGGACGTGTTTAGCAGCATTCCTCCCATGGGCGTCGAAAGTGGGCCAGCCCCGCACAATGGCAAACCCCTCGCAGGAGCCCAGCGCCAGTGGCCCTCAGCCACCTCTAGGAAATGCCGCATCCAGTAGTTGTTCCCTTGGTGGAAAGGGGCTGGGACAGCCACAAAGGAGGCTTCTAGGATGCTGGGAAGCTCTCCCCATCTGGGTAGTAGCTACACTCAGTGGTGGGCCAGTAAACCAGACCTCTGAAGGGAAAAAAACAGCCCTGGATTATGTAGCATTTGCCAATTTCCATGATGTAAAATACTCCCATTGCAGCTAGGGTTTGGTTTTTGTTTTTGTTTTTTGAGACGGCGTCTCGCTCTGTCACACAGGCTGGAGTGCAGCAGCTCCATCATAGCCTACTGCAGCCTCAATCTCCTGGGCTCAAGCAATCCTCCCAAGTAACTGGAACTTAACAGGCACACACCACCACATCTGGCTAATTTAAAAATATATATATTTTTGTAGAGACAGGGTCTCCCTATGTTGCCCAGGCTGGTCTCAAGCTCCTGGGCTCAAGCAGTCCTCCTGCCTTGGCCTCCCAAAGTGTTGGAATTACAGGTGTGAGCCACTGCGCCTGGCCCGCAGCTGATTTTAAGTGACCAACAATTTAAAAACCAGTTTGCAAAATTCCTGAGTGTTTAACAATGCTAATGTGAGCCAGCTCCAACGCACTGGTGAGTCTAGATGAATATTAACGTGGATAAAAATTCATCAAGTGTACTTATAATTTATGTACTTTGTTATATGTAAACACGCTTTTCCTCTCTAACATATTTTTGAAGAGAGAGGGAGAAATCTTCATCGCCAGCATTTGCTGGTGCGGAGAACAATCTTATGGGAAAGAGCTGGGCTTCTACTGCTCACTCAGAGTTTGTCTTTTTTTTTTTTTTTCTTAAGACAGAGTCTCACTCTGTCACCCAGACTGGAGTGCAGTGGCACAATCTTGGCTCACTGCAACCTCCGCCTCCCGGGTTCAAGCAACTCTCCTGCCCCAGCCTCCCAAGTAGCTGGGGCTACAGCCTCTGCCACCACACCTGGCTAACTTTTGTATTTTTTGTAGAGACAGAGTTTCGCCATGTTGCCCAAGCTGGTCTCAAACTCCTGGCCTCAAGTGATCCACCTGCCTTGACCTCCCAAAGTGCTGGACACAGGCATGAGCCACCACGCCCAGTTACTCAGTTAGATTTTGAATATGAAGAAGTTTATTTTCACATAAATCCATTTCATGTCATATAAGTTTATTTTCAGATAAATTTTCCTTCTATGTACAGACAACTGAGAGAGATACATATATATATGCATATATGCTTATATATGCATATATATGCTTATATATGCATCATATATAAGCATATATATGATGCATATATATGATGCATTATATATATGCATATATATGCTTATATATGATGCATATATGATGCATTATATATATGCATATATAATGCTTATATATATATGATGCATACAGATATGAAAGAGCTCTTTTAATTAGTCTAAAATAAAAAAATTCTATGTGATGAGAAATACTGTGTCTTACTGTAGCTGACAGCATTTCTATTTCCTGGGGTATATAAAAGAGTGGTGTATCTATATTCAATGATGTCATAGATTTGTTGAAATATAGTCATATATATTTTTAAGTTTGATGGATGTTCTCAACAGTTGCTTGGAACACTGAACCAGGAGTCAAGACCAAGAGATGGGTTCTAGGTGTGGATTTGACGCTGTGTGACCTTGGGTAAGTCAATTATTCTCTCTGAGCCTCAGTTTCCCTACTTCCAATGAGAGGTTGTAATAATATCTACCTTGCAGGGCTATTGTGAAGATCAAGTGAGACACTGTGCACTGGGCAGTTTCTGTCTCTCTTTGAGCAAGGCATGCTGACAGATCTGCAAAAGGCAACTAATGGTTGTCACTGTTGTTACTTAGCCTCTCTGAGCCTCCATCCAGTAAATGAACCCAAGTCCCAGGATTGTTGGGAAGAGCCACTGAGCCAATGCATAAGAAAGTGCTGTGTGCAAGCTGGGCAGTGCTCTACCAGTGAACAGGATTGTTAAACAGTCTAAAGACTGTGCACAACAGACATGGAAACCTATTAGGGCAATGAGACCATGTCTGGACACATCTCCCAAGGAAAGCGTGAAAAGGGAACCACAGAAACAGCACATCGAGGCTCAAACCTCACTTCCACATGTGGAAACATCTGTCAATCTGTGGTCAGACCTGCTGTCCCAGCCAGGCTTCTTGGTCATGTCAGAATAGAGAAGTGGCTGTGGGAATGGCTGCCTCGCCTTCAAGGGGCTGACATGTGGTCTTGGACAGAGGACAGGGGAGGAGGCACCAGGAGCTGAGCTGGAAACATTCCCAGTGAGGGACTTCACACAATCCCACCCTGGGCCCAGCTGCACTGTGGCAAGACCACGTGGCCCCGTGGCTAAGGAACGCGGCCTTTAAGAGGCTGTGTTCGAATCCTAGCTCTGCCCTTACTAGCCAAGTGGCCTTGGACACCCTCCTTTTGAGCCTCAGATTCTCCAGCTGAGCAGGCATGGGCTAATCATACCAACCTCCGGAGTTGTTGGGAGCATTAAACTAGATAATGCATGCCAAACATTTGGCAGACCTGGCACACTATAGGTGCCTTAGTGAGCATCTCTTTAACCTAGAGCCAGCTCTGGGTAGGCAACGTCAGGTTCTCCAAGCTCCATGCCCCCTATGAATGAGGCAGAACAAACAGAGAAGTCCACGTTGAACATAATGTTCGCTACATTCTGCTAAATAGAGAAGGAAGCGCAGGTGCTGTGGACGGACATGACGGTACTATCCCTCGACATGGAGGTGCCGGAAGGTTTTCTGGGAGAATTGGGTCTCAAGCGATGGGAGGGCGGGAAGGGCCTTCCTGGCAGACATGACAGCACAAAGCAACACACACGGGGGCTTCTGCTCCCAAGACAAACCCCTCATCTTTCTGTAGGGAGTCACAGGAAACCAATGTTTCTTCCTTATTCTGAACCAAATGCTCATGCTCAGCCGCCAGCAAAACAGGCTGTTGCCACCACCTCTACAGTTAAGAGTTAGAGAGTGAGCTCCCCAGTGCCCGAAGCATTTAAACACAGTCACTGGGCCAGTCCTGGGCCTCTGACCTCAAATATGTTCCTCTCTGTGTTCAGGGCAGGGTGGGGGCTGATACCTGCAGGCTGCGTTTTTCAGCGAGTTCTGCCAAAGCGAGGCACTGGGGGAGACTGAAGATGGGGCACATGTGATGAGAGAAGCTGGGTATCCCTCCCCTTCCCTGTCTTCCTTCGTGAGCTCAGCGGCAGCAGCCATGTCTCCTCTGTGCTCCAGCTCTCTGCCACAAGCCCCTGGCTGGTACTGGGTGACCCCGATCCCAGGATCTGCTAACCCCACCACCTCCCTGGCTTCTCCATCCTGGGGCGGTGGTGGTTTCTCGCAGTTGTTAATCTCTGGGTTAACTCATCACACCCTCTTCGGCTTCTCGGCTCTCCCATAACCTGTGTGACTAACTCCCTGTATGAAGGCCCTCTGTCTGCAACACCTGAGTGTTTTTCTGCTTTCTTGGTTGGACCCTAAAAGACATAAGTCTTTCCTGATGCCACAAGACAGGAATTCAAGCCATGGACAGAAGGCTGATCGGGAAGGTCCTTCCCAAGCCTGAGAGTCTGGGCTCAGCTTTAGGGCCTCCCAACATCCACGGCCCCCCAACCCATCCTACTGCCAACTTCCCTCTAAGGGGCAACAGACAGGCAGGCTCCACCCACGTGGGCAAACATCCGGGAGCACAAACTACAACCCCCACCCCAAACCGCCAGAAGAGCCCAGTCACCTTTCCAAGGTCCCCCGGAGCAGCACGCTGTTCCGAAGCACAGAGAACTGGGAAGCACCCTCACCCTGTGGCTTTGTGGACTGGCATCCTGTTTGCAAGCCAGGAAAGGCCTCTGGTACCCTCTGGGCCGGCATCTCCATCTGAAGGTGAGGAGACTGAGGTTCAGGCAGGGGAACTGACTTTCTCAAGGGCTCCTAGCAGGCAAGCGGCAGGGCCGGGGCTGGAACCCAGGCCTCCTGGCTCCCCGCCAGCACTCTTTTCTGCCTCCCTTGTTATCCTGTCCCTGGCCCAGCCTCACAGGAAACAGGGGTTCTCAGGCCCCCGGCGAGGCCGCGCATCAGAACTGGCTTCTGGAGGGCAGCTCAACAGGAGCTGCCACCACTGCTCCGGGTGCTGCTGTGGCCTGTCCAGCCTACTTTGGGGACTTCCATGGGCGTGGCCATGTCCCAAGAAGAGTAAATAAAGTCGTTTTCAGTTCTTGATTTAAAAAGTAAGAAAGGGCCAGGGGCGGTGGCTCACGCCTTTAATCCCAACACTTTGGGAGACCGAGGTGAGTGGATTGCTTGAGATCAGGAGTTCTAGACCAGCCTGACCAACACGGTGAAACCTCATCTCTACTAAAAATACAAAAATAGCCAGGCATGGTGGCAGGTGCCTGTAATCCCAACCACTCAGGAGGCTGAGGCCGGAGAATTGCTTGAACCTGGGAGGCGGAGGTTGCAGTGAGCCGAGATCATGGCACTGCATTCCAACCTGGGTAACAGAGCGAGACTCTGTCTCAAAAAAAAAAAAAAAAGTAAAAAAGAATCAGATTGAGTTTTGCCATGGAAACCTGTCCCCAATATATGAACAATAAATTGTGCAGGACTCCCTCTGGGAGGAAAAAAGATTGACAGAACTTTCACCTGGAAAGAAAAATGCCTAGAAGGGGCTGCCAAGCTGTCCACAGAGGTTAAGAATTGGGGAGGGGCAAAGGTGAAAAAACGCTTTGCTTTTTGCTTTATACACTTCTTAGTCATTTCACATTTTTACAATAAACTTGGTTTATCTTTGTAATTACAAGAAGAGAGGAAGAAAACTTATTTTCAGTAAAAATCTCTGTGGTTTGTTAGTGGCGGCGGGGGGGGGGGGGTCTCCTTTGGTCTCCTGGGACCCGGCTGGTTCAGCCTGACTCTCCTCTGGACGAGGGAGGAAGTCCAGGAGCCACACCTTCACTCTGTGGACAGTGCAATAAACTCCCATATCCGGCTGGGTGCAGTGGCTCATGCCTGTAATCCCAGCATTTTGGGAGGCCGAGGCAGGCAGATCACTTGAGGCCAGGAGTTCTGGCCAACATGGCAAAACCCCATCTCTACTAAAAATATAAAAATTAGCCAGGCACAGTGGCTCACACCTGTAATCCCAGCACTTTGGGAGGCCGAAGCAGGAGGATCACTTGAGGTCAGGAGTTTAAGACCAACCTAGCCAACACAGCAAAACCCCGTCTCTACTAAAAATACAAAAATTAGCCAGGTGTAGTGGCGTGCACCTGTAGTCCCAGATGCTCAGGAGGTTGAGGCACGAGAATTACTTGAACCTGAGAGGCAGAGGTTGCAGCGAGCAGAGATTGTACCACTGCACTCCAGCCTCAGTGACAGATCGAGACTCCGTCTCAAAAAACAAAAAACAACAACAACAAACCTCCCATATCCCCTTTACCTAGGCTCACAGATTGTCAACATTTTGCTCCAGGGGTTCTCTCTGAGTATCTGCATAAATTTTGTTTGCTGAGCCATATAGAAGTACCTACACATGTCAGGACCATTCCCCGTGGGCCTCCTGAGAACAAGGAGCTGCTCTTACATAACCAGGAACAATAACCACGTTCAGGAGAGTTCACATTGACACAATACGGCTCCCACCATCCCAACACTCTCCTTTATGTCATTTTGCCATGTGCATGTTTTTTTGTTTTGTTTTGTTTTGTTTTGTTTGAGACTGAGTCTTGCTCTGTCTCCCAGGCTGGAGTACAATGGTGCAATCTCAGCTCACTGCAACCTCCACCTCCTGGGCTCAAGTGATTCTCCTGCCTCAGTCTCCCTATGCCCACCACCGCGCCCGGCTAATTTTTTTGAATTTTTAGTAGAGATGGGGTTTCACCATCTTGGCCAGGCTGGTCTCGAAATCCTGACCTCATGATCCACCCATCTCGGCCTCCCAAAGTCCTGGGATTACAGGCGTGAGCCACCACGCCCAGCCGCCATGTGCATGTTTTTAATATGCATCATCAGTTTTGCGCTGGGTTCTCCTTCTTCCTGCTTCCACCCACCTACGTTTCTCGGGTCCTGCCTGTTCCTGGAGCTTGCAGTGTGCCTTGCCTCTGACTGCTGCAGGTCCACCGCGTTTTCCCGCTGGGGACAAGGCTGCAATGAGCCTACCTGTGCCCTAGAGCAGCGCTTCTCAGAGTTCACCCCGCATCTGATCTCCTGGGGCTCTGGTGGGAATGCAGAGCTGGCTCAGGACTGCAGTGGGGCCTGACCCACCACAGGAAATGTGGACACAGACCATGCTTTGAGCTGTGAAGCCCCTGCGCCGGGACTTGTGTATGATTTTCTTTGGTGGGAAGATTGAGCTCAAGAACTCAGATGCTGTTTCTTGGAGCTTGAGAACTTAACGTCACCAAGTAGGGTCAGTCCAAGCTCGACAATGGCTGTCCTGTGTGTCCGTGCTCCCACGAAGGTCCAGGCCCTTTGCTGCCTCCCTCGCCCCACCCAGACTCCCCTTCCTTCTTTCTGCACCACAGCCCAGGCTGGTGATGGAAACAGCAGCTTCCCATGGTGGACAGGGCTCCCTTCTGTTCTCTCAGCCACGAGCAGCACCCGGAGGGCTGGTGTGATCAGCCTTCCAGGCTTGTCCCAGACACTTCTGTGGGTGAATATTTCTGGAACTGAGTATGAGTTATTACGTGGTCACAGACCTCGGTCTGCCTGCCTTTAGCTCACTTCTGTTTACAGCCCAGGCAACAGAGGCACAGAGAGATGGAGCGGCTTGCCCAAGGCTACACGGCCAGCCAGACAGAAGGACTAGAGCTCAACCACCAGGCAATGGTAAGGAGGAACCCCACTCTCCAGGGAGGAGGTGAGAATGCCTCTCACCAACTGCACTGGGGAGAAAATGACATTCTAGAAAGACCCATCATGATCAGTGGATGGACATTGGACATTTTGAGGTTTTGAGGGTGTGGGAAAGCCAGGTCAACCAGTCCAAGTCCCTGCCTCTGCTAGGGGTGCTCTCAAAATTCTGGAAGTGTGTCCCTGAGCCTCTTGTGGAACCAACACCAGGTCCCTGGTGGTATGATCTCAGCCCCTCTCTGGGCGTGCGGACCTCCTCCCACATCTGTGCAGGTCAGGGCCATTCCTGCACCGCTGCTTCCCTCTGCTCTGCCCACATGCCCCATTCCTGCCCAGGGAGAAGGGGCTCAGAGCAGGTGCCTCACCCTCCCACCTACCTCCTACCTCCTACCACCTACCTCCATGGTTCTGCCTGACAGCTCCTCCCTCTTTCTCACCCACCCAGACCTGGAAGCCTCTCTCCGCTGTCCTAAGCAAAGGACACGTGTCCACAAAGACATTCCCACCTCTAGAGACCACCTCTAGTGCACAGGCACTGCCCGGTGGGCCCCTTGCCCATTCTCCCTGCCCTAGCCTTCTGTTCCTCACCCGCTGTAGCTCCTCCCTTCCTTGGGGCTATCCCTTGACACTTCCCATAAACAGCTTTCCATCACTGACCTGCACCACACCGCTCAGCCTCTGTGCAGACATCACAAAGTCAGAGAGGCCCCTCCCTTGCTCAGTAGCCCAGCCCCGAGGCCGCTCCGTCACGCTGTCCGGCGTGGGTTCTCCACGGCACTCAACGCCGTCTGAACTGTGTCAGGCTTTCTCGGTTGATTATCTGGCTCCAACCACTTGAAAGTAACTCCAGGGACCAGGACCTCATCTGCTGTGTTTGCTGCTGTCTCCCCAGATCCCAGAGAAGGGCTTGGCATGAACGTGGGTGCATGATAAATGCTCACTTCAGGAATGAATAAAGCGCACCTTATAGAGCACATGGTGTTTTCATGGCCGTAACACACTCAGTCCACACAAGCCTGCAAGGTAGGTGGTTACTCGCCCCTTTTGCATATGAGCACATTGAGGCTCGGAGGGGTGAAGGGATTTGGCAGAAGTTACACAACCAGAAAGTGGCAGAGCTGGGACCACAAGCCCCAGTCTTTCTGACTCTGAACCTCTTGCTCTCCCAGGGGAAGGCATGAACCCTGCCCCGGTGCCCTCGGCACTGGGCAACATCTCCCCTTGCATGAGGAGTCTGCTCTGAGTCACCTGTCCTGTCCTGCCCGTTGTTGCTGTGATCAGTGTCATTTGGGAACCCATAATTCCCCACTGGAGTCAGTCTTGCTTGGAGGTCAGAACCTGCTTCATCCCGTTCTGGCTGTGTGAGCCTGGGCAAGCCACTTCGCCTGCCTGGGTTTCAGTTTCCTTGTCTGTAAAATGAGCACAGTAGCCATCCCCACAGCCTGCTACAGCATCAGAGCCCAGTAAACGGGAACTGTTATTCGTGTCACTTTATGCACATGCGGATATTAAAATATTTTCACTACCAAAGTGGTTGCTCCATCCATTCTAGTTACAAAAAATTATAATGACACACAAAGTGAATGAGCTCCTGGCACCCACTGCTGGTTTGGTGAGTAATTTCCAAGACTGTTTTTTGCCTCATCGAAAGAAATCGAGGAGGGGATTAAAATTATAAGCCTCGCCATCCTGCGCTGCTGAGTCCTAACTTGATTCTTCCACTCAGCTCTTTGTCTCAGAGACGTCCCTATGCTTTATCTTTCATTTTTATTTATTTTTTTTTTCTTTCCTTCCTTCCTTCCTTTCTTATTTTCTTTTGTAGAGACAGAGTCTCACTCTGTGGCCCAGGCCGGAGTGCAGTGGTGCGATCGTGGTTCACTGCAGCCTGGACCTCCTGGGCTCAAGCCATCCTCCCCACTCAGCCACCCAAGTATCTGGGACTACAGTGTGTGCCACCATGCTCCGCTGGTTTTTTGTTTGTTTGTTTGTTTGTTTGTTGAGACAGAGTCTCGCTTTGTCACCCAGGCTGGAGTGCAGTGGTACTACAGGTGTGCACCACTACACCTGGCTAATTTTTCTATTTTTAGGAGAGATGGGGTTTCATCATGTTGGCTAGGCTGGGCTTGAACTCCTGGCCTCAAGTGATCCGCCTGCCTTGGCCTCCCAAAGTACTGGGATTACAGGTGAGCCACCGCACCCAGCCCCAGCTGATTTTTTAAATAATTTTTTTTAGAGATGAGGTATTGCTATTTTGCCCATACTTGTCTCAAACTTCTGGTCTCCAGCAATCCTCCTGCCTTGGCTGGGATTCCAGGCATGGGCCACTCTGCCCGGCTGCTGTACCTTTTATGGAATATGCTCCCTCCTGCCTTCTGTTTTGACCTTCACAGGTCTGTGACATGAACTGGGCAGGCAGCATCCCCTTTTTGCGGATGGAAAAACTGAAGTTCCAAAAAGTAAATGACATCTGCCAAAGGTCACACAGGGAGGAAGCGGCTACATCCCAAATCCAGATCTTCCCACTCTGGATGGCTGAAGATGTGTTTTCCAGGATCCACTGCCCACTCGGAGACAGACTGCTCTGTACAGCTTCATTGTTTTCATTCATCCGTTCCTTCCTTCATTCATTCCACCTGTGCCGGAAGCCAGGCCTCCTGCTGCGATGAGTAAGATTCCAGTAGTGGCTGTGTACAATTGGCATTCACAAAGGCAGATGAGAAGTCTTCAGCTGCTCCCCACACCACGCAGGTCTCGTTCCTGTGGGGAGAGCACTGGGAGGAAAGGGGAGAAAGAATCTTCATTTCTTTTCTTTTCTTTTTTTTTTTTCTTGAGATGGAGATTGCTCTGTCGCCCAGGCTGGAGTGCAGTGGCACGATCTCGGCTCATTGCAACCTCCACCTCCCAGGTTCAAGTGATTCTCCTACTCTGCTTCCCAAGTAGCTGGGATTACAGGCATGAGCCACCATGCCCTCCTAATTTTTGTATTTTTAGTAGAGACAGGGTTTTGCCATGATGGCCAGGCTGGTCTCCAACTCTTGACCTCAGGTGATCTGCCTGTCTCAGCCTCCAAAGTGCTGGGATTACAGGCATGAGCCACTGCGCCCTGGCTGGGATCTTCATTTCTATGCTGCTTATAGTTTTAGAGACAAGCAAACATGATTTCTTTTGTTACTAAAAAGAAATAAAAAAAACAAAACCAGTGGGATCCCTAGACAGAGGTACACTCAGGGTAAAGCCAGGTGAGAAACTGGGTGTGGGCTGTGCCCTGGCCTTGCTGAACGGCTTTACTGGGCGGCCCAGGACACCTGAAATCTGAGACGCCAGCTCCTGGGCAAAGTCTCAGAACGTCAAAGGGTAAAAAAGGGAAGCGTGGAACTGTCAGCAGTGCTGAGGCCTCATTAAGAGAGCCCCCAAAACCCAAAGGTCATTTCCTCCTGCACAGTGGATGTGTTTATTTTACATATCTGGCCAAGCACAGGGGAAAAAGCCAGGCTATAGAGCCAAGGGGCCGAGAAAGAAAGGGGAGAAAAGAAAACAGAAAGTGAAGTGGTGTTTTATGAGCAGCTTTAAATCCCCCTCCCACAATGAATCATGAGGGCTGCTAACGAGGACGACTCCAGAAAGTCTAGGGGTGGGAGTCAGGGGAAACAGGGAAATCGGATCAACATGGATGAAAACTCATGTGTGCTTGCTCACACATACACACACATGCACGCACATGCACACACGCACACACATGCAGACACGCATACACACACATGCACACATGTATACACACATGCATGCACACGCACGCTCAAACATATGCACACACACGGAGCTGTTCTGAGGAGAACAGAGGTGGGGAAGAGAACACATAACCTACGAGGTTAAAAACGCCAGCTGGGCCGGGTGCGGTGGCTCACGCCTGTAATCTCAGCACTTTGGGAGGCCAAGGCAGGAGGATAACCTGAGGTCAGGATTTCGAGACCAGCTTGACCAACATGGCAAAACCCCATCTCTACTAAAAATACAAAACAATTAGCTGGGCGGGGTGGTGTGTGCCTCTAATCCCAGCTACTCAGGAAGCTGAGGCAAGAGAATCGCTTGAATTGAAGAGGCAGAGGTTGCAGTGAGCTGAGATTGCGCCACTGCACTCCAGCCTGGGTGACAGAGCGGGACTCTGCCTTGAAAAAAATAAATAAAATAACAACAATGACAACAACAATCCCAGCTGTCCCAAGAAGAGCCCTGTGTGGAGAACCTTCATGGCCGAGGCCAGGGGCAGCAGGGAGACACTGCCACTGGCAGGAGCTGAGCTCCACTCCTGTGGGCTCCCCAGCATCATGGTCACCCTCAGGGAGCACCTGGGCCTCACTGTCTTGTACCCCACCATCCCCTCACATGGGGCCTAGAAGTTAGGCCTGGTACAAGTGTGGTCTCACACATACACACTCACATGCACACGCACACGCACTCATTTACACACACACACACCTCTTTAATGTCTTCTCCTCTGGAGGAATCTTGGCCAACCTCTTTAATGTCTTTTCCTCTGGAGGAATCTTGGCCAACCTCTTTAATGTCTTTTCCTCTGGAGACATCTTGGCCAACCTCCGAAAGGTGGACTGTGACTCCTGTGTTTTCCACAATTGCCAGCCCCTGCCCCTTGGGTGGCAGCAGGAGGCAGTTTCTGGCACACGGGGTGACACTGGGCGCCTGGGTCCGGCCGCGCGCCAAGCTCCTAGTGCAGGGCCTGGTTCAGCGCCTCCAGGAATGGAAGGTTTTCTTTTCAGCATCACTGTGCTCATCCTAGGTAGGGACCTTGGGAGGGCCTGTGGGAAGGGTGGAGAGAAGAAAAGATGGACAGAAGATGCAGGAGGAGGGTGGCCAGGGAGGGAGAGCCCAGGGAACAGTGTCCAGGTCAGCCAGCTCATCAGACACCCAGGCCCACCTCGAGGGACTGGAAGTGGGTCCACTGTAGGGTGAGGCAGGAGCTGGTGGGCAGCCTGTGCCCCTGGCATGGGGCCTGAAGTCACTACAGGTCACCGATACTGGCAGTCAGGAAGGAAAACTGGATGTGGACCCCCTGGGCCCCACGAGGATGGGGTAAGCACACCTACCACTGAGCCTGGGAAAGGGAAATGCGGGTTTGGGAGCCAGGAGGAGACAGAGTTGGCCCAGAAAGATGTCTGGTGTCCACTCAGTCATGCAGGGAAGCTTTGCCCACAGCTGTCAGCCCTCAGCACACCACTGACTACTCCAGGGCTCAATTTCTCGCAGTCTCTGAGACACTGGGGGGTCCCATCTCCCATAGATTTAAGGCTCATTCGAATGCTACTGACTGTCCCTACCCACACGGCCCCTCCCCGCGGCTGCCTCTCCTCCCAGCGCCTCTCCCTCAAGACACTGCCATCAGCAGCTCAGAAGCGGCCAAGAATTTCCACTAATTGCCTCTCCCTGCAAAACAAACAAACCAAAAGGAGTCACAGTTTAAGTGTCTTTTGGTCTGCTGCCTGATCTTCTTTAAGCCCAGCCTGATTTCTTCTAGGTCCAGGTGTACAAAAACGTCACCTTTTCTGACAGTGGAGAAACAGCCACCGAGTTTTCATGCAGGCCACAGGGAGGAGCTTGTTCTGGAGAATAATACAGCAAAGAAGACTGGCGAGTGCAGCCTTGAAACGATTCAAGGCCGTAGCTCGCCCCTCCTAAGCACCTCTCCAAACTGCGGTGCCTCTGTGGGGAGTGTGGCAAAGCTAACAGCAGCTTCTGCCAGAAGGGAGTGCCCGTCTGAGAGCCTGCGGCCACCGTCTAGGACAGGGATGCGGTAAACTCTCTGTTGTCTGAAGGAGGGGCCTGTGGGGAGAGTGACGGGCCTGGTAGCCCCAGAATCTGCCCCCGGTCCACTCCCACCTTCTCCTTTAAGGAATGTGAGCTGCAGGCTTCAAGAGCCCCAGATGTTGGCCACCAGCTTTGAAGCTGCCACCAGCCTTCCCAGGACCAAACTGATGGCCGCGGCCAGGGTAGGAGGAGCCAGCAGCATCCCCCCACCATTTTCTGGAGGAGTCCAGGACAAGTCATATTCTCTAGCCTATGCAAGGTCGCTTGTCTGGCCGGGGTAGCCAGGATGGCCGGGTGCCCATGTGGGTCATGCCAACCTCACGTCCTTCCCCGCCGACCATACTCTGCGTATGGGAGGGGGAGCGATACCACAGAAGTTCTGGCACCTTCCTGATCTCCTTTTGCACTTCCAGGTGTCATGATTTCTGCTCTTGGGGACCTAAAGGTCAGCAGTGTCACCTACAGTGTCCCAGAGAGGGCTGGGTTTCCGTGTGCCTGAATTTCCACGTGCTCTGGACGCCCAGTGGTTCTGAACAGGGTATGGGGCATATCTGGCTGCTGAGATCCCACCGCAGACCTAACAAACAGAATCCTCAATGCCCTGGGCCCGAACAGGACTCCGGGACGCCCCCTAACAATAGCCATGTGAGACACCCTTCTTCTGACACAGCCCCAAGAGCCAACAGACCCAGGATGAAGCCTTATGATGTGTACAGCCTTAAGCAAATGACTGAACCTCTCAGAGCCTGTGCGCTCGTCCCTAAAGTAAAGATAACACTGGCACCTACTCGGTCACGAAGAAAACATGAGCTAACTCAACCCAGGGCTTCACACAGACTAAATGCCTAATAAATGGCAGCTCTTATCATGCTGTTGCTGTGGGGACAGAGAGAGTCCGCTGTGAACGACCACCTTGCCTGCTTTCAGGCTGGAGTCTGTCTGCTCCGCCTTGCTAGCCAAGTCACCCCTGCCGGTCAGGGTTGCCACATATGGGTGTATAGCTTGTGCACTGCACAAAGTGCTAGCACCGGAATTGGGGCCAAAATCCAACGTGACTCCACCGCTGAGCCATGTATGTTGGCATAAGAGGAGTTCTGCAAGGAGCACGTTTTCTCATCTGCCCAGGAGCACCTCGCAAGCAGTGACGGCTGCTGTGAAGCCCGGGCTGGGCTTGCCCCAGCCTCCGCCAGTCCCAGAACCACGGTCAGTGTTTGCCAAGTTCTGTCTCGAGCCCCAGCTCAGCCACCCTGAGAAGGTGGTGGCCAGCATCTGGCTCTCAGTACCTCCCCGACAGGAAACTGCCCAACCCCGCCCCATGCCTCCACCTGGTCCTCGAAGGCTGCAGATTCTTTATGTCTCTGCCCAACATCGCCACTGTCCCTGATGGGGTTTACAGGCCCAGGCCTAGGTGGGAGAGGAAGAAGTTTCAGGTGGGTGGAAGAGAAGAGAATGGCATTCTACTAGAAGCTGGTTTTTAATTTGCATATATAGAAATGCATATATAAGCTGGGTGCAGTCTCTTACGCCTGTAATCCCAGCACTTTGGGAGGCCGAGGCGGGTAGATCACTTGAGCTCAGGAGTTCACGACCAGCCTGGCCAACATGACAAAACCCCGTATCTACTAAAAATACAAAAATTTGCTGGGTGTGGTGGTGGGCGCCTGTAATTCCAGCTACTTGGGAGGCTGAGGCAGGAGAATCGCTTGAACCCAGGAGGCAGAGGTTGCAGTGAGCCGAGATCGCGCCACTGCACTCCAGCCTGGGCGACAAGAATGAATCTCCGTCTAAAAAAAAAAAAAAAGAAATGCACATATATAAATATATTTTTTATTTTTACAATATAATTATATAGAGAGAGTGTGCATGTGAGGGAGAGAAGGAGGACAACTTGAGAAGCTTGAAAATCTATTTATTATTAGATGACATTAGGAAATGATTGGTAGTTTTTTTAGATATTAGATTATGGGGCCGGTTACAGTGACTCATGCCTGTAATCCCAGCACTTTGGGAGGTCGAGGCAGGAGGATTGCTTGAGGCCAGGAGCTTGAGACCAGCCTGGTCAACATGACAAAACCCCGTCTCTACTAAAAATACAAAAAATTAGCTGGGCATGGTGGCATGTATCTTTGGTCCCATCTAGGGAGGCTGAGGCTCAAAAATCACTTGAACCCGTAAGGTAGAGGTTGCAGTAAGCCAAGATCATGCCACTGCGCTCCAGCCTGGGTGTTAGAGCAAAACTAAAAAAATATTATGGGCCAGGCACATTGGTTCACGTCTGTAATCTCAGCACTTTGGGAGGCTGAGGCAGGAGGATTGCTTGAGCCCCGGAGTTCAAGGCCAGCCTGGGCAACATGGTGAAACCTCATCTCTATAAATAAATAAATAAATAAATAAATAAATAAATAAATATGTGTGTGTGTGTGTGTGTGTATTAATTAAAATTAGCTGGGCAGCCGGCATTATGGCGTGCACCTGAGGTCCCATCAAGTTGGGAGGCTGAAGTGGGAGAATCACCTAATCCTAGGAAGTCAAGGCTGCAGTGAGCCGAGATTGTGCCACTTCACCCCAGCCTGGGTGACACAATGTTGAATTAGTGAAATGTCAAAATGTTTACAGCTTACTTTGAAATGTTTTGGAATAGACAGATAAAACAAATACAGCAAGTGTCAGCAGCTATTACATCTGGTTGGTGGCTGCGTGGATACTTGTATGGAGATTTGTTAGATGACTCCTGCACCTTTTCTGTATGTTTGAAAATTTTCATAATGAAAATGTCTACATAATTTCAGGTGAGAAATAGCCTCCAGGGTCACCTCAGTTCTCTTGTTCCCTCCCGACCCTGCACTTCTGTCTTTACCTCCAAGAGGAATGCCCCTGGGCACACCCCTGTCTCCTTTGGGTGTGGGGGCAGGGGTCCTCGCAGGGTGACACATTAGAGCCACTCAGAAGGGTGGGCCATTCACTGCCTCTGATTGTGCCTCCTGGAGCAGGTGACGTTGTCCTGCTCATGTCCCCCTCATCTCCTCAACCTCAGGGATACTCCTTTTGGAGTGTGAAGCTCTACAGAAAGATGTTCCTTGCTTATTTTGTATAATTAAAAAAAGGAGAAAAAGTAGACAAGTCCAACTGTCTGTCCATCAATAGGAAATTGGTGGCAAAATTTCACAGCTATGTGTTAGTACATCCCGACATGCAGGTATGTCCGTGATACTGTGAAGAAAATAGCAACTTGCAAACACTCTGTATGATGTGATGGTTTAAAAAGAAAACATGGGCCAGGTGTGGTGGCTCGTGCCTGTAATCCCAGCACTTTGGGAGGCCAAGGTGGGAGGATCACCTGAGCCTAGGAGGTGGAGGTTGCAGTGAGCCATGATCGCACCACTGTGCTCCAACCTGGGTGACAGAGCAAGATCCTGTCTCAAAAAACAAACAAACAAACAAACAAAAACCTAAAGAAAAGTAAAAAGAAAACACTATATGCATAATCATGATGTATTTCTAAAGAATGATCTGGAAGGTGGCCTAGGGAAGGAACTGTTCACAGTGGTTTCTTCTGGAGAGTGAGATTAAGTGGGGCAGGAGAAACTTTCACTTTTCATGTCAAACATGCCTCCATTTTTGGAATCTCTTTACAATTCTAATAGCACACATCTCAGAGCACTTATTACATTTCAGGCACTGTAATGATATCTAGTACTCACATAGCACCTACTATGTGCCAAGCACTGTTCTAAGGGCTTCACACATATTAACTCATTGAATCTGCACACAATTTATTTGATGTTATGATCATCTTTCCCAGGTTAAAGATAAGGGATGGCCGGGCATGCTGGCTCACTCCTGTAATCCCATTGCTTTGGGAGGATCATTTGAGACCAGGAGTTGGAGACCAACTTGGACAACATATTGAGATCCCGTATCTACAAAATATTTGAAAATTAGCCAGTTGTGGTAGCACTCACCTGTAGTCCCAGCTACTTGGGAGGCTGAGGTGGGAGGATCGATTGAGCCCAGGAGGTCAAGGCTGCTGTGAGCCATGATGGGGCCACTGTACTCCAGCCTGGGCAATAGAGCAAGACCTTGTCTCAAAAAAAAAAAAAAAAAAAAAAGAAAGAAAGAAAGAAAAAATAAAAGGAAAGGAAAGGAAAAAAAAAAAAAGAAAAAACTGAGGCACAGAGTAGTTGAGTAACTTGCTCAAGGTCACACAGCCAGGGATTTAAACCTGGACAGTCCCTCTCTACTGATAGTGCCATTACAACTCTATTCTGTTGCCTCAGAGGCCTTGTTTCATTGGATCCTCACAACAGCTCCCCCAGCAGGTCCTTGCCTCACTCAAGTACTCAAAGAGCAGCTGAGGAGGCTGACAAGACACAGTTCAGGGGCGAAGGCAATTGAAGGCTGGCGTGAGGTTTGTCCTCTTCTCTTCTTAGCAGAAGGAGAGGACCCCAGAGAAATAAACACCTACACATGCATGAGGTCCCACCAGCAGCAAAGCACCTTCTCTTCCACGGACGCCTCTCATGACACACAGTGTTAGACCTGGAAGTCAAGGGGCCCAGCTGCTCACTTAACAGATAAGGACACTGAAGCCCAGAAACAAGAAATGGCCAAAGTCCGGATGAGTTTGGGATGGCCACTCCCTAAGGCCAGGGACTTGCCGGGGAAAGGGGGCAAATGCAGGGCAGAACTGTCCCCCTCAAGGCTCCTGGTCTTACCTTCTGCAGGTGGCGAGGACTGAGTCTTGAAGTCCTATCTGTCTCCACACATGCAGCAAAAGTGGCCCGTTTGGGGACCCCTGTCCAGCACTCACTCTACCCCTCGCTGGGGCCTGGACAGAGGTGTCACACTGCCCCGGAGCCACCCCATAGAATTCTGAGAATAAGAAGTGGTCCGACACCCAGGAGGAGACACACCCAAATGTTCACAGTCACAGATCTGGGGTGTGAAATTGCGGGTGATTTTTATTTCCTTCTTTGTACTTTCCAAATTTTTCAGCGGTGAACGTGCATCGCTATTATAATTAGAAAAAAAAAAAACAGATTGGACTTTTTTTTCTTCAGGAGAAACCAAGGACATATCACAGGAAGTATTTCAGCCAGTAAGTGTCAAATGTGCGAACCAAGAAGGGGAAATGGGAGAGGCAGAGAGGTGGAAAACCAGCATTTGCTGGGCGCCTGCACTGCAGGAACTGTGGTGCCGGGAAGGCGGCATCGCGGCCTCTTCAATCCTCCCAGCTACCCTGGGAGGTTGGTGCTGTGATCTCTGTTTACCAATGGGGATACTGAGGCACAAGAAGGAAAGCAGCTTGCCCAAGTTCACCCAGCCAGCACATGGTAGAGCTAAAATTTGAACCAGACTGTCTTCTTACAAGGCCGCTGTCCTCTCCACCTCCCCATGCTGCCTTTCCAAGAGGTGGTAGAAAACGCAATTTCAAAACCAGTTTGGGCCGGGCACGGTGGCTCATGCCTATAATCCCAGCCCTCTGGGAGGCCGAGGCGGGAGGATCACTTGAGGTCAGGAGTTTGAGACCAGCCTGGCCAACATGGTGAAACCCCATCTCTACTGAAAATATAAAAATTAGCCAGGCGTGGTGGCAGGTGCCTGTAATCCCAGCTACTCAGGAGACTGAGGCAGGAGAATCGCTTGAACATGGGAGGCAGAGGTTGCAGTGAGCTAAGATCACACCACTGCACTCTAGCCTGGGTGACAGAGCAAGACTCCATCTCAGAAAGCAAACAAACAATCAAACAAAAAAACAGTTTGGTTTAAAACCATCCAGCAGAGGACCTGTTATCCAGGGCCTCCCAGAAAAGAGCCTCCAGTCTTCACTATGGAAGGTCTCCTCCAGGCAGCATGGTATTGAAGCCCAGAACAGTGCCTGGTGCTTATTATTTGCCATTATTTTGATGACAGAGCGTCATTTTCATGTTCTGGCACCCTGCTCTGTCTGGCGGCATTAAGGTCTAATGTAGATGGAGCTGAAGTGGACTTGGTCTACCATTGGCTTGCTAGTAGCACTGAAAATTGGTACAATCCGAAGAAATAGCCACAAATGGGTTGAGATCTTTTGACTCACGAGTTCCATTCCCAGGGACAGATTTCTAAGAACTACTTCAGAAACAAGAAGCTGTGTGCACAAGTATGTTCGTATCAGTATTAACTACAAAATTTACTCATCTACTACAAAATCAACTCATTAAATTTGCAAAAAATTTACAATGCAACACTGTGAGGGGAGATGCTATAAAACGTGATCTTTTACAATAGATGGTGGTCACCAGCCTCTAAAGGCCCCCCAAAATCCTTGCCTCCTGGTAATCACATCCTTGTGAAGTCCCCTCTCACACTGAATAGGGCTGACATGGCGACCAACAGGATATGATGGAAGCAACCATGAGTGACTTCCAATGAGAGCTCACGGAAGATGTTGCAGCTTCTGCCTTGGTCTCTTGATCATTCACTCTGGGGAAAGCCAGTGTCATGTCAAATCATGAAAAAACTCAAGCCACACTGTGGAGAGTCCCCTGCAGAGAGGAAGGAAGGCCTCCTGCCAACCGCCATGTGAGTGATGAAGTTGGAGATGGAGACCCTCGAGCAACGGTCAAGCCCCAGTCAGATGTCTGCAGCCCTGAAGGACATCTCAGCTGCAACCACATGAGAGGCCCTGAGCCAGAACTGCCCAGCTAGGCTGCTCTTGAAATTCCTAATGCATAGAAACTATGCAAGATAAATGTTATTGTTTTAAGTCACTAGGTTTTGGGGTAGTTTGTTCCACAGCCATAGATACAATAGATAGATGGCTCATACAGCGGGGTCCCATAAGGCAATGAGAGTGAATGAACTATTGCTATGCACATCAATGTTGATGAATTTTATAAACCTAATGTTGAATAAAAGCAGCAGATACCAAAGAGAACATACGTCTTGGTTCATTTTCTGTTGCTGTAACAGAATACCACAGATTGGGTAATTATAAAAAGAAATGTGCTGGGCATGGTGGCTCACACCTGTAATCCCAGAAATTTGGGAGGCCAAGATGGGTGGATTGCTTGAGCTCAGGAATTTGAGACCAACCTGGGCAACATGGTGAAACCCCATCTCTACCAAAAATTTAAAAATTAGCCAGGTGTGATGGTGCATGCCTGTAGTCCCAGCTACTCAGAAGGCTGAGTTGGGAGGATGGTTTGAGCCCAGGAGGCAGAGTTGCAGTGAGCTGAGATTGCAGCACTGCACACACTCCAGCCTGGGTGACAGAACCAGACTCTGTCTCAAAGAAAAAAAAAAAAAAAGGAAAGAAAGAAAAAGAAAAAAATTTTATATCTTATAGTTAGAGAAGTCCAAGGCTGAGGAGCTGCATCTGATGAGGACCTTCTTGCTACGTTATAACATGGCAGAGGGCATCACATGGTGAGAGGGCAAGAGCATGGCAGTTCAGGTCTCTCTTCCACTTCTTATGGGCCACCAGTCCCAACCATGGGGGGGCCCACTCTGATGACCTTATCTAATCCTAATTACCTCCCAAAACCCCTTCCTCCCCTCCAAATGCCATCAACATATGAATTTGGGGATTGTTTCTAATGCAGGAAATTTGGGGGACACATTCAAACCATAGCAACATACTTTATGATTTTATTAATCAAAGGTCAAAAACAGTCCAAATTAATTTATGCTGTTAGAAATCAGGGTAGTTGTTACCTTTGGAAGGGGGAGGTTGGTGACTGGAACAGGTAAGGAGAGGACCTCCAGGTGCTGGTAATGTCCTCTTTCTTGATCTGGGGACTGGTTACATGTGTGTGCTTAGTTTTCAAAAATTCAAACTAAGGCTGGGCGCAGAGGCCCCCAGGATTTTGGACGGCCGAGTTGGGAGGATCACCTGAAGCCAGGAGTTTGAGACCAGCCTGGCCAACATGGTGAAACCCCGTCTCTACTAAAAATACAAAAATTAGCTGGGCGTAGTGGTGGGCGCCTGTAATCCCAGCTACTCGGGAGGCTGAGGCAGGAGAATTGCTTGAACCCAGGAGGTGGAGGTTGAGGTGAGGTAAGATCGTGCCAATGCACTCCAGCCTAGGTGACAGAGTGAGACTCGGTCTCAAAAAAAAAAAAAAATTCTAACAGAGCTGTACATTTAGGATTTGTGCACTATTCTGTGTGTGCTGTGTATAGACTATTGTGTATCCCAATAAAAAAGTTTTAAATATTTACATATTGTGTATTTCAATAAAAATGTTCTTAAATTATCATTTTATGCTCACTGTATAAAATCTAGACACACATAATCAGGCCTTGGTCAGTGAAACCGGCAGAACCACAGGAGAGTCCGTACAATGATTTGTGGCCCCGTGAAATGTACACGCACATGAAAGGCAGGACGGAAACAAATGGAATGTTTGTGTTGGGAGGCAAGGATTCTGGGTAGCTTTTAAGTATTTCACTGAAGAATGTATTCTTGTCAAAGAGAATGAAAAAAGGGCCTAGAGGTATCCTACATTTCCACATAGTGTCTAACTAAAAAGTAAAACAGTCCTCGAAGGAATATGCTTTTTATTCACCAAAAAATTGGCCACCCAGAATAACTCCTTCCCAGAGATTTTACAAATCGTTCAAGTGTGGTTTCTCTAGCAGAATCAGTTATTGAAACTACCATTTTCCTTAAGGCAGAAAAGTGGAGGTCTGCTCGCCACGCTCGCGGGTCAGCCAGGCTTGGAGGGAAGCCACGCCAAGCAGGGAGAGAAGGTGTCGGCGACATGCTGCGCAAATAAGCAGCAAGTATCAATTTGCTGCAAAGTAAGAAGGAAATGTGTGGGCCTGGAGGATCCTTCCTGGTGCTAATAGAATCAAAGCAGAAACACCACGCTCAAATCCCCAAACAGGCCAGGCGTGGTGGCTCATGCCAGTAATTCCAGCACTTTGGGAGGAGAATCACTTGAGCCCAGGAGTTCAGGATCAACCTAGTCAACATAGCAAGACCCAGTCTCTATTAAAAAAATAAAATGAAATCCCCAAACAGCTGCAGACTCAAGAAATATGGGAGAATTCTTCAGTTTCACTGAGCAACGAACTATGGATTTCCCATAATAGCTATCCGGAAGAAGTCTCTTGTAGTTCTCATGAGAAATAAAACATTCCAATATTCATGTATCATTGTGAAGATGTAGAATCTGTGTTTCACAGCCCCTCCAATATGTCATCATCTTGCTTGAAAATCTTCAATGGCTCCCCCAGCTTGTGACCGCACAGCACAGTCTTTTTTTTTTTTCTTTTTTTTTGAGATGGAGTCTCACTCTGTTGCCCAGGCTGGAGTGCAGCAGCATGATCTCGGCTCACTGCAACCTCCGCCTCCCTCTTTCAAACAATTCTCCTTCCTCAGCCTCCCAAGTAGCTGGGACTAGAGGTGTGCGCTACCATGCTTGGCTAATTTTTGCATATTTAGTAGAGATGAGGTTTCATTATTTTGGCCAGGCTGGTCTCAAACTCCTGACCTCATGATCTGCCTGCTTCAGCCTCCCAAAGTGCTGAGATTACAGGTGTGAGCCAACGCGCCCGGCCAGCACAGTCTTAAAAGGTGTCTCTGACTGGGCCTGAAAGTGCAGGTTCAACTCACCATGCACCCAAGACAGTGTCTCCTTCAGCTTCCAGGCCAAGCCCCCACTGTACCCTTCATCTGGGAACTCCCTTCACCAACTGGTCTTTACAGGGTGAAGGGTTTTCTAAGCTTCAAAGCTGTGGAAGAAACCACAAGGGAAATGTTTGACAGATCCGTGTCACATAAAAATAAAAACTTCCAGTATGATGAAAAAATACAAGCAAAATTAAAACACAAACAACCGGGAAAAAGCTTGCAGAAATGCCACAAACAGATGGTTAGAATCCTTAATTTATACAGCGCTTACATAAATGGATTAAAAAAGACAAAAGTGTCCATGAATAAAAGGGTAAAGGACATAAACAATAAAACACAAATACAAATGGCCAATAAATACTGGCAGGGGGTAGCGTGGGGGAGAATGTTTAATCTCTCTAAGGGCCAAAAAAATGCAAAATAACAATGAAATAACATTAAGTCAGCAAAGATACTGCTCTCTGTTAGCCGAAGTGTAAGAAGATGGCATTTGTACAGGCACTGGGGGTGTGTAAACTAATGAAGTATTTCTGCAAGCCACTTGGTGAGATTTATCAAAAGCCTGAACATGTTCCTACCTTTCATCCACTTTTTTTTTGTTAACATTTCCTTAGAAACTCTGGCTAATACTTTGGTGATATTTATCATTCTCCTTAAAAATGTTCATATTTCCAATTTTTTCCTCTGAAACTTAGAAGTTGAAGTACAGTCAAAGCGGTATATACAGAGATGTCCACTGCAACATAAATGTGTGGCGATTAAAAGCTGGAAACAACCTCGACGTCCTACAGTCAGGAATGAGTGAGGTGATTATGATGGGTCCTTGTGGTTGAAAACATCAGGCAAATAGCCTTAAAATAGCCTTAAAATAATCAAGAGAGGCCAGGTACGGTGGCTTACACCTGTAATCCCAGTATTTTGGGAGGCCAAGGTGGGCATATCGTTTGAGCTCAGGGGTTTGAGGCCAGCCTGGGCAACATAGAGAAACCTTGTTTCTACAAAAAAATACAAAAATTATCTGGGCATGGTGGTGCATGCTTGCAGTCCCAGCTACTCGGGAGGGTGAAGGGGGGAGGACTGACGGAGCCCAGGAGGTTGAGGCTGCAGTGAGCCAAGATTTCACTACTGCACTCCAGCCTGGGCAATAGAGCAAGACCCTGTCTCAAAAAAAAAAAAAAAAAAAAAAATCAAGAGTTCCAGATGATATGGGAAAATGCTTATGGTATAACAGATTTGTAATAGAAATTAAGCTCTAAAATTCATAAAGGAAAAAAAAATCCTCGCCAAATGGGCTGGAAAACACACTATAAATAGTCGTCTCTGGGTGGTAAATTTGGGGGAAATTTGCGTATGTGTTTCTTTACCGTTTTCTGTACTTTCCAAAACTTGTACGATGAGCAGAATTGCTTTGATAATCACTTAAACAATTCAAAACCTGTACAAAAAAAAAAAAAAAATTCCTCCCTGATACCCTTTTGATTTTCCTAGTGAAAAGTTCCCTTTATGAATCTTCATAAAGTAGGTTCAATACGTTTTTGTGAATGGATGAATAAATAGTACTTTTAGTCTCTTGAGAATCGTTTCTCACCTTCTGCTTTTATGGCCCAGTTATTTGTGTTCATGTCTTTTCTCCCTTGTGATCCTGGAAGCCTCTTAAAGGCAGAAATCACGTGTCTTCATTAATTCACATCCAGCCAGGGCCTTGCACCCGGGAGGCATTCAACAGTATTATTTTTTAATGAATAGAGCATGCCATATAGTTAAGTGCGTGTGTTTTAACATTAGATAAATATATTTTTAAACATGAGATCAACATTCTGGTTGCCAAGGATTATTTGTTAAGCCCATTCCTTAGGAAGTCAGAGAACTCCCTGAAAGCCGACGAGGGGATAAAGATGTCATTCTAGTAGCAACTCTGTCCCAGCCTGGTTGCCATCATATGTTTTTGCTAAACACACTGTCTGGTCCAAGGAGCCCCCATTCTGCAACCAACAGAGCCTTGGGTGAGTCACTCATCCTTAGCTCTTTCTTCAATGAGACGAGGGTCCTGGAATATTTCCAGCTTGATGTCATCAAGGTTTCTAAAAAATCTGATAATGCAAGCTGGCTTAGAATTTCAAGTTGAAAGGTAACTTTAGAACACTGCAGATTGAACAACAAAAAATCTCTATTGATAATCAAATCAATACTGTGCACCAGTGATTTGGGCTTCACTTTATGTACATTTTTTAAATTTATTTACATTTTCTGACCAAAAATCAATAAATAGTAAGGGGCAAACTCATGATGCTGGCATAAACCATAGAATTCTTGGAGGATCTGTAAAGATTAGCAGCAATTCCGCAGTAAATTATTTAAGAGATGAGATTAAATCTTTTTTCTTTCTTTCTTTTTTTTTTTGGAGACAGAGTCTCACTCTGTGGTCCAGGCTGAAGCACAGTGAACCTAGTTCACTCCAGCCTTGACCTCTTGAGCTCAAGCGATCCTCCCACTTCAGCCTCCCAAGCAGCTGAGACTACAGTCATGAGCCTCCGTGTCCAGCCTTTAAATCATTTTTTAAAAGCATGTCTACGAAGGAAGGGAATGGAGAGGGCCCTGGGCTTTTCTTCTCTTGCCCCTTCCTTGATTGGAAAACCTCCATTCAGCCACGTGAGAATGAGTCTGCTGGCTTACAGTGACCTCTGCAGACGGCAGGGAGTTGCGTGAACATCTCTGAGCCAAGGAAGGGGAGAGGCCCCTTTTGCCCTCCCTGACCCCTCAAAGTCCCCCCTGCCAAGCAGGACCCTTTTACCCAGAAATGTGGTGCCAATGCACTTGGTGCGTGGTATTGGAACCATTTGGTTCTGCTTGCATTGCGCTCATTAGGCTCCTAAACTTCCTGCTGGAAAAGGCCACTTGGGGTGGCACGTGCCTGTAGTGCCAGCTACTCAGGAGGCTGAGGCAGGAGGATTGCTTGACACTGTTTCTTAAAAAATTAAAGAGAGAGAGAGAGAAGGAGGAGGAGGAGGAGGAGGAGGAGGAGGAGAAGAGGAGGAGGCGGAGAGGAGGAATACACTTGGGTAGCTGGGGAGCTCTGGACAGTTCCACAGCTGGGCTAAGAAATCAGCTTCCCTGAAGGTCACAGTGAGCCAAGATTGCACCACTGCAGTCCAGTCTGGGCAATGGGAGTGAAAGCCTATGAAAAGAAAATAAAAAATAAAAGAGAAAGAGAGAGAGAAAGGAGGGAAGGAGGGAGGGAGGGGGGAGGGGAAAAGAGGGGGGAAGAGGGGAGAAGAGAAGAGAGAAGAGGAGAAGAGGAAAAAAAATCAGCCTCCTCGAGTCTCCTTAAACCCTGCACAGGGGAGGTGACAGCAACCAACCCAGTGCGATGTTAAGCTCTGGAGCCAGATGACCTCTATCAGTTCCTGGTGTGATCTTGGGCAAATTATTTAACCTCTCTAGGTTTAAGTTTCTTTATATAAAACAATGGGGACAAGAATAGTCCCTCCTCTAATAGACTTGAGAATATGAAGAGACTTGAAACATTTTAAAAACTTTAGCACAATAACTGGTACATCGAGTTTAATGACAATTATTATCTGACTGAGGAAATTAGAGAAAGGAAGCACAGGAAGAAACTGAGGTTTATCTATTTCTTATAAGAAATTGGATCAGAAATGTGTCACTGGCTTCCCCAAAGGATGTCCCGAGGCCGTCCCTCCCCGTGGATGGGTGCCGCTTCTTCTGGCGGGGAAGTGAGGCCCGTCCGAGTCAGCAGAGCGGGGACCGCCCCGCCTGGAACCGTGGCCCCTTTTCCTAGTGCCCAGGTGGCCCCTCCCGCGGTCGGCGCTCCGGCCTGTGCCGGGCGTCCAGGAGGGCTCGCTCGGGCTCCCGTGCGCGCTCTCAGAAGCAGGGAACTGGCGCCTGGCGCGGCGGCGGGGACGCTCTCGAGTCCCCAGGCAGTGATCGGGGGCCCCCGGGGGAAGGACGCCGCTCGGGGCCAACCGCAGCGGAGCCCTCGCCCTGCCGCGACCCAACCGCCGCCCAGCCCTGTGGTTCGCGGGCGAAGCGCTTCCTCTAGCTGCCGGTGGCCGGCCGAGAACCAGGGACATGCAGAAGTGCCAGCGTCGAGGCCCACGTGCGACCTGACCTCGCGTGGACATTGGCTGGCTCCGTCACACCCAGACCGCTGGCACTTCCCACCCCACCCCACCTAGGGTGTGAGCGGGTCCCTGCCCTGCCCCGCCGGGGGAGGCGCGGAGGTGTCGGTTCGCAGCGGCGCCGGGGAGCGTCCGTTCGACACAGGAAGGAGGGAAGGAGGCCGGAGGCGCCTTCGCAGCGCGCAGCAGCCCTGACAGATCTGATAAAGAGGAAGGAAGCCGACAACGCTGCTGATCGGGTCTGGCAGCTCCCCAAACTGACGAGGTCCTGCAGCTGTCCCAGCCCTGCTTGCAGAAGTGGCGCCGAAAGGAGGGGAACCGCGGCCCCTGCTGGCCACTTCGGAACCGCACCCGAGTGGTGACAGGAAAGCGAGCAGGGGCTTTAGGGACAAGGCCGGCTGATGCCTCTCGCAGCAGGAGGTGGGGGATGCAGGGCCCCTCTGGGCCCGAGACCTCTACCTCCTGCTTGGTGCGAGAGACCTGCCCCTCAGGACAAACCAACCAAACGTGCTCTTGGCCGGGCGCGGTGGCTCACGCCTGAAATCCCAACAGTTTCGGAGGCTACGACAGGAGGATTGCTTGAGGCCAGGGGCTTGACACCAGCCTGGGCAACAGAGCTAGAATCCTGTCTCTATTTTTATTTATTTATTTTTTTAAAGAATCTATATGTTCCAGCTGGACCTCTGCTTACCTGGCAACCAACTACCTTAGTTGTCAGGGGCCAGGGAGCCAAGTCCACTCTTTTAAGGAGGAAAACAGACACACTTTTAAAGATTGCTGAGCACTATCTGCATATTGCTATATTGCCTAGCTTTGACTGTCATTTACTAGCTGTGGGATTTTGAGCAAGTTTCTTTTCTTATTTAGAGACAGGATCTTGCTCTGTTGCCCAGGCTGGAGTGCAATGGCACAATCATAGTTCACTGCAACCTCGAACTCCTGGGCTCAAGCGATCCTCCTGCCCCAGCCACCCATGTAGCTAGGACCAGAGGCTCTCACAACCTTAATTTTTTTTTTTTTGTAGAGACAGGGTCCTGCTATGTTTCCCAGGCTCTTGAGCAAGTTTCTTAACCTCCACATGCCTCAGTTTCCTCACCCATAAAATGGGAATAATAGTCTCTATCTCATAGGATTGTTAAAGAGACTAAGTTAATATACGTAAAGTGTTTAGAACAGTTCCTGGTGTATAATAAATATGTGTGTTAAATTTAAAACTTTAGATTTTCAGGCAGGATGTGGTGGCTCACGCCTGTAATCCCAGCACTGTGGGAGGCCAAGGCAGGTGGATCACTTGAGGTCAGGAGTTCGAGACCAACCTGGCCAACAGGTTACAATTTTTGTATTTGTAAAAATACAAAAATTAGCCGGGCATGGTGGAGGGCGCCTGTAATCCCAGCAACTAAGGAGGCTGAGGCAGGAAAATCACTTGGACCTGGGAGGCAGAGGCTGCAGTGAGCCAAGATCATGCCACTGCACTCCAGCTTGGGCAGTAGAGTGAGACTCTGTCAAAAAAAAAAAAAAATTCATCATGGGTTGTAGGCTACTGTAAGTAGTTCCTTATTCTGGGGATTTTCTTGGTATCTTTCAACTATTGACTTCTAGTTTAATTCCACTGTGGTCAGAAAACGTATTTTGTATTTCATTCCTTTGAAATTTGTTGAGGCTTGTTTTATGGCTCGGCATAGGGTCTGTTTCACTAAAAGTTCCACATATACCTGAAAAGAATGTACATTCTGCAGTTGTTGGATATAGCATGCCATATGCATCCATTAGGTCAAGTGGTTGTGTTATTCTCTCTTCTGCTATTCCTATGTGTGTACGTATGTGCACACGCACGTGTTTTCCTCCTTGTTCTATCAGTTACTGAGAGCTATGTTAAGAATCTCCAATTATGAGGATGAATTTGACCTCATAATTGCAGACATTTCTCTTTGAGTCAATTTTTATTTAAAGGTGTTATTAGATACACAGAAATGCAGGACTGTTAACATTTTCATAGTGAATGTTCATGATTATCAATGTCCTATATTGTAAAACATCCTTTTTCATCTCCAGTAACACTTCTTGCCTCAAAACCTACTTTGTATGATAGGCACATCTTCTTTCTTTTTATTTACTGTGTCAATGAATTAACTATTCCATTCTTTAATTTCACCCTTCTGGGCCCATATATTTGTCTCTTGTAAATAGCATATATTGGGTTTTGATTTTTTATCCAGTTTGACACTTAACATTGTTCAGCCCATTTACATTTCATAAATTTACTAACAGTGTTGGATTTACAGTTAACCTTTTGCTATTTTTCCAATTTGTCCTATGTTTTGTTCATTTGATCCCCTTGTCCTTTCTTTTGAATTGAATTTTTTTCAACTTCCATTTCCTCCTTAAGTCTTAGATTTTTAAGTTATTTATTCTTGTAGTTCTTTTAGTAGTTACCCTAGAAATTGTGATATTTATCCATGATTTATTATCATTTTCTTAAATTGGTACTTTCATCACTTCCCAAATAACCTAAGAATCTTGCAAGTACTTAACTCCACTTACCTTCCTTCTATCACTATTGTTATATATTTTTTGTATTTTTAGTAGAGTCAGGGTTTCATCATGTTTACCAGGCTGCTCTCAAACTCCTGACCTCAGGTGATTCCACCTGCCTTGGCCTCCCAAAGTGCTGGGATTTGAGCCACCGCACCTGGCCTATTTTGGTGTTTTAATAGTTTTTTATGGTTGTTGCAGCAGTAGTATTGTGTTGCTGTGACCTATATCCTACCCATCGATTACTGTAAGTTTTTATTAAGTCTTGGTATCTTGTCAAACAAGTTCTCTTTCCCCATCTTCAAATATATGTTGGCTATTTGGGGGCATAACTCTTCCACATGAATTTTTGAATCCATTTATCTAGTTTCCAAAAACACCTGTTAGGATCTTGTTGGCAAATATATTTATAAGTAGTCAGAATTTAAATTTTCATGCTTTTGAGCTCTCCATCCATAAATATGGTATGCCTATCCATTGAACAAATTTCTATCAGGCCTTTCAATAATGTCTTGTACTTTTCTCCATAAAGAATTGCACTTAAAAAAAAAAAAGATACAGGGTCTTGCTCTGTCACCCAGGCTGGAGTACAGTGGCACAACCATAGTTCACTATAGCCTCAAACTCCTGGGCTCAAGAGATCCTCCTTCCCCAGCCTCCCGAGTAGCTAGGACTACAGACTCATGCTACCACACTTGGCTTTTTTTTTTGTTTGTTTTTTGTTTTTTTTTTTCCTGTAGAGACAGGGTCTTGCTGTATTGCCCAGACTGGTTTTGAACTCCTGGCCTCATGTAATCCTCCCACCTTGGCCTCCCTAAGTGCTGGGATTACAGGTATGAGCCACCATGCTTGGCTAGGAATTGCACATTGTTTGATTTGATCCTCAATCACTTAGGATCTTTATTCGTTTTTTAAAGCACTTTTTGTTTATTAGAATAGGTAATATATTTACCAATTTCTAAAAACTTAAAAGTATACATTGATAATTTCCCACCCCTTTACCTCAGGCACCCAATTCTCCTCCAGAAAAAAACCAATGTTACCAATTTCTCTATTGGCTTTCAATGTGCTTACTATTTGTATATAGTAGTTATATTAAATTTTGTTCCTCGATCTTGCAACTAGAAATCCAGCTGAATTATTTTTAGTATTTGTAAGTTATTTTGGATTTTATACACATACACACCATCAACATCATTACCTGCAAAGGGCAGTCATTTTGTTGCTTCTTTTCCATTCTTTATTCCTTTCACTGATGTTACTGCATTGGCTAGGATATCTCTAAATAAAGTAGCTGTTAAAGTAGCTGGATAGTAGCTGTGATAGAGGGCAACCTTGTCTTATTCTTGACTTTAACGAGATCGCTTCTGTTTCATTTGCTATAGGTTCTCAATAAAAGTCTTTATCAGGTTAAAAAAAAAGTTACCTATTTTGCTAAGAATGAGTAGCATGAATATTTTAATCAAGTTATTTTCTGTACCTATTGAAATGATCCTATGGTTTTTCTCCTTTAACCTATTAAATGTGCTGAATCACTCATAGAAAAAAAAATAGTAGTCTCAAACACTTTTACCCCAAGTTGTTGTTTATTTTCATGAGGGGGGAAAAAAGAATCCTTTATGATAGTGAAAATATACTTTATTTTTTAATACAATAGCTGCCAGCAATATACTGGTGCTGATGTTCCAAAGATAAAAGAAAATACATGCATTCTATAATAAGCTTTCATTTGCCTGTTCAAGAAATTATAAAGAAAATACTCCAATTCTGTTCAACATTACGGCTTGAGGAGTTGAAATTTTTCCATGATAAAAATATACTTTGTGTGGCCCAAACCTTGACTATTTATAAAGGATGGAGTTTTTAAAAGCCCACATGTATCAATAATGGATGCTCCCCTCTCTTTGAATTA
Organism: Homo sapiens; assembly: GCF_000001405.40. Classification (NCBI taxonomy): domain Eukaryota; kingdom Metazoa; phylum Chordata; class Mammalia; order Primates; family Hominidae; genus Homo; species Homo sapiens. Next base: position 24,843,976 of record NC_000001.11, on the reverse strand, counting down.
AATGCTTAAATTCAAATTAATGCAAGAAATTGGTGAATCATTAAATGATGAAATTTGTATCAAAATGTTCATGAAAAAATACATTTCTATTTCCTCTACATTTTTACTTTGTAGTTATTTTCTAAATGGGTTTAAGGGCACAGAAATAAATGCTATCTACATGCAACTCTGGAGAGATTCAAAACACAACAGAAGTTAACATGCCTAAATCCTAGAGTTGATCCATTTAGTGTAAGAATAAATGTCAGAAATCTCTTAATTGTATACAGATTGCTCAAGGATTTAAAGATAAATTGTGAAAGCCAAAATTACCAAGAAATAAAATCTTATTTGAATTTTATCACAAAAGTTTACAGTCCTAGTAAAAGACAACAGAACTGTATAGAATATCTGCATCTACATCAAAAAAGGGAAGTTTTATCAACTAGAATAGAGAGCTTTCCAACTGCTGAATACAAAAATTTCTCAGAATCTCTTGGAAAACAGATCCATTCAGACTCCAATCTCCTCACTGAAGTAAAACACAAAAGGTGTTTAAATGAAGGGGAATGGATGTTAGTTGTAAAAATAAAATCAGATTATTTCCATTATGGCAATTCATATACTGCATGAACTGTCTACCATGAAAACTTTATGTCCCAAATTTCTCAAGATGTTAAACTATGCTCTTTCCACAAACATACAATGGGGTTAAAGCATGTTGCTGGGTCGTCCTTTTTACTAGCTAGCTTTTGTCCATTTACCAATTTCCATTTCATTTGACTAACTTCCCTGATAAAGTGGTATCTGTGTTTCTACAGAGAAAAATAATTCTGTCTTCATCAAAATCACAATAGACATGCCTTCCTAGAACATTTAGAGGGATGGCCAGGTGTAATCACTGGTTTAATAAAAACAGGAGAATATCCAAAATGAAAATATTTGAGTTTCAAAATGAATTTTCATCACTGTATTCTGAAGAATGTAGTTCTTTCCTCTTGTTAGCCCTCCACCTCGCACCACTCAGTCCACCATTCACTGGAAAGAACAAACCTCACTGCTCTTGAATCTTTTTTATACTTTAAGCTATGAGGCAAGGTTCAGAATCACCAGAATGAATCCCAAGTTGCCACTATTTAAAAAGTAGGTGAAGAATGATAATGCCTGCCTGTGTACTGGTGCAGATGGGACATTTTCACCCACTAAAACCACTGCAAAATAATTTCTCAATAGATAACTGAATAGTGCATCTTCCTTGAACCAGATAAATCATACAATATTTAATTACCAAAAAAAAACCAAGCGGGTACTCAAACTTTTGATAAGCAATAAAGAGTTCTAAGAAAGGTAAGGCAAAGAATCTTCCTGAGCCAAATGGATACAACATGGAGATTTTCTTATCTTTCATACTAAGCTAATTAATGATAGGCTCAAAAAATGCAGTATACTTATAAAAAGCCGCTTTCATAAAGCCAGTGCTTACTAAATGTTAGCATATCAAAGTGGGAGAAACACTGCCATTTTAAAGCAATAAACTTAAAATTTCAAGAAACAGCCTATGAGAAATAGCACTTCCTATACAAATTAGGTATAAAAAAATTACCAAAAATGTATTATAGTCACAATCACAGTCTTTGGAGTAGTACGTAGAAAGTCTGGTTTTGCTTTTGTCTTTTAAAAAAGAGTAAATACATAGCAAAGTTTTATTTTCAGCAAGTTCATCCTCCTGTTAGAACACAAATAATTCCTGGTTTAGGGCTTCAATTAAAAAAAACCCCGAAAAACAAAACAAAAACATGCAGAGTGCTATTCCTCAACATGGCTGTTGGAAAATTTAACTCCAGGAAGTGCAATGAGTGAGATCAGGCAAAACTACAGTAAATACACACTCACCATAACTATAACTTAGTCCCAAAGGAATGAACAATCCTCTATACAAGGTAAATGGGGTGAAATGAGAAAATTGGTGACCTGTGTTTTATCTTTCTTTTATATAGGATGGATAACGCATTCTTTAGGTCATCTACATTAAATGTACTTTAGAAACAAAAATTTACTTGATATTTTGACAAACCCACCCTTCATTCCTTAGGTTAATTTCTGTGTTAATTTTTACATTACTAATCATTGTACTGCTATAGCTAAGTCAACTAAAAATCAGTTATGTAGTGTTGCTCAACAGATGTACAAATAGCAAGCTCTATGATTACGTAAAAACAAGCTTTTTAAAATAAAGAATGCAATAAAGTTCCAAATGAATGGCACAGGGCAAAACACATATAACAAACGTATTTAGACAGAGTATCAGGTGCCCATCAGTTTCTCTTCTAAAGATAAAATGCTTGAGGAAGGTCTTGAGAAAACCCTCACTCCCTCTAAACTTTTAGCTTCTACATGGTGTCAGATGTTACAATTGGTATGAAGGATAAATGCTTTTAGGCAAAAGTAAAAATCTATCTACAAAGCAATATAGCAAAATCTGTAGTGACTTTTGTAGAAAGCTCTCTTCTCTGGTGGTAATATTCGTTAGTACATATCCAGGATAGACTAAATTGAAACAATATTTCTGATACAGTAGCAATCCTTTCATATACTCTTACTAAATATTACAAAATTCCAAAAAATACATAAATATTTCTTGTACCATGCATTATGCACCAGTTTGGGGCTGCCTGATAAAGTCGTGGCTACTATTTTTAACAATTAAACATTGCACCTCAAAAGTTCTGCCATCTATACACAGTGAATGGACACAATGGTGAGGGCTCCTGAGAGATGGCAAGCTACCTCTAAAGTGAAAAGTTTGTGGTGGAGTGTCTCCAAATTAAAGAGAGGGGAACCCGGGTAGGGGAGGTAGCCAGGGTAAAGGATTTTAAAATAATACTGCTTAGGAGTGTATATTTTAAGATAACTACTATACCTTGTCTATCCTTGATCCTAATCTTCAATAACTGCATGTTCGTGCAAAATACAATTTCTGCTCTACAGGAAGGAGTAGCCTGTTAGGAAAAGCGTATTCTTAGGGGAAGACATGAAGACATCTCTTTTACAAACGCGATTTTACTTGGTGAGTCTTTTGGCTACATCACTATATGCTATTTCAACCTCCTTATCACTGGGACAGGTATTGGTGAACTCGTCCCTACTGTATGCATTAGTTAGGTATCTCCAGATGCCAGTCATTTCTTTTGGAATATCAAAGTTGCGATATTTTTTGGCCACCACCTGAAATACAAAGAGATCAAAAGTTAACAGACTTATTTCCACGTCTTGTAAACTAGACATATCTCTGATTTTGGAGCAAATAATTAATGCTCTAAATCTTTGAGAACTGCTTCTATATGAAAAAAAGTCCATCACCATCATTCTAACCAGAGTTTTAAATAATGACCAAGACTGCAAGCTACACCAGGGATTTAGAAGTGTGACAGTGACTGCAAATAACTGCCTTGGACATCCAGAAAGACAGCCAAGTATAATCACTGGAAAATACTTCACAACACACATATGCTATTTTAGATCTGTTTTTGTTATCTTAGGTCTTTATTTACAACTAGCGCTTATTATTATTCTATTTAACAATGTGCCCAGCCCAGTGTCTCATATAATAAATGCTCAATACTTTTTGCCTTCAATAGAGAAAGCAAGGTGTGATCACAGAACAGAATTTGATAACATAAGTCAGTGTGGCAAACTCCAATTCAAAGTCACGCATTATATCTTTGAATTTGTATGCAGTCACAGAAAAAAAAATATTCATCTTTCTTATATTCCTCAATTTTAAGACATAATTTTCCATTTAACTAACTCTAGGGTGCTTCAACTATTGCCTAAACAGCATTGAGTTAAACAACTAGTCATATAAAATCAGAAATGTTTTGAGCACAAAGGAAATGCCACTTTAGTAAATACAATACAAGGTAATGGCAATGCGACATCAACCCCTACAGACCTACCTTGACAATATGCAGTTTGGGCAGCAGGTTGCAATCAGCTAATGTCATTTCATTGCCATCCAGAAATTTACGTGTAGAAAACTTTATGTCCTCCATACTATTTTCATCAATTTCATCAGGGAGAGGAGAATTCAGATATTCATCCAGTTTCTGCAGGGTTTTCAGGAGACCCCTCTCCAGTGCTTGGGGGGGAAAAAAAGAGATGAGAATACTGTAAGAAGGAAAACCACTCAAGTCCCCAAGGAGAAGCAGACTCTTTGAGTCAATAACTGTTTAAAAATGTTTACTCTGAAACAAGGTACTGTAGAACAAAACAGACAAGGCTCCTGCTCTCCTAGAGCTCAATTAGGTGGGGCAGGGGATGAAACAAGTTTGTTCAGGTAAAAGTATAAATAAGCATAATAATGTCAGGCAGTGGTATTTGTAAAAACTTGCTAACAAATGGCCGGGCGCGGTGGCTCACGCCTGTAATCCCAGCACTTTGGGAGGCCGAGGCAGGCAGATCACGAGGTCAGGAGATCGAGACCATCCTGGCTAACACGGTGAAACCTCGTCTCTACTAAAAATACAAAAAATTAGCCGGGCGTGGTGGCGGGCGCCTGTAGTCCCAGCTACTCGGGAGGCTGAGGCAGGAGAATGGCGTGAACCCGGGAGGCCGAGCTTGCAGTGAGCCGAGATAGCACCACTGCACTCCAGCCTGGGCGAAAGAGCGAGACTCTGTCTCAAAAAAAACTTGCTAACAACTAAATGTCCCACACATGAACACAAATGGTCCAACACATTTGACATTTAAACTGGAAAAATGGATGAGAAAAGGCAAGCATATTAATTCAAATCTAGGGATTAAAAAAATCTTAGAGGCAGATTTTTGCCCTCATTTTTAATTCCTGCTCCCCCAGGAATATTTTGATTTATCAGTAAGAAATGTGTTAAGAAATACCAATTCAAACAATCCAAACAGAAAACCTGAGATTTTCAAAACTGTCTTATAATTCACAGGAAGCCAAGAATAGCACTATCTTATACAAAAAACACAAAGGTCAGATTAAGGAGTTCAATTTACAATACTGAACTGGGAGCCTCTTTAACCAAATAGATTAAGATGCTCTGATTGTCATGATTCAGATTGTCATGATTCTGATTGTCATGATTCAGAAGAAAGGATAATAGAAGATCTGTCTGTTGTTATTCCATATTTTGATGGCATTCATTAAAGTGGGACAGAGCACCACTGTATATCTGGAAAGTCAAGGTTAGTGGCCCTCAGCAGAAAGGGGGTAGGAATGTCATTAAAAATATGGAATAACAACAGACAGATCTTCTATTATCCTTTCTTATCCTTTCCTTCCAAAGCCACCTTCCCCCTCACTCTCAGAATAGATGAACTTACACAGATGATTGTGGTAACTGGCCATAAAAGAAAGTTAAATATCATGAGGTGGCAAACCATGTAGTTTTAAGTCTGAATTCAGTTGTGTCCTTTAAGGAAAAAGGTAAAGGCCTGCATCTTAGATATTTTACCAGCAATGTACATATGTCCTAACCCCAAACCTCTTCTTCCAAATTGCAGCCACCCACTCAGCCCTTGGTCCCTTCATGGTAGTCCAGGTAATAGATGGTAGTCTTAGTTAGGTAAGGGGCTATAGGCATAAAAAGGAATGAACGGATTTTAGGAAATAAAAACTAACAGAGTTCAGAAACCAAAGTGAATATGGAGAAAGGGGGGAAGATGTATTCAACAAAATATAATTGAGCCCCTCCTACATGCCAAGTCTTATTCTAAGGATTGTTAAATTCACTGTTGAATAAAACCTAATACATTCCTATCCTCAGAGAGTTTAGATCTTGGGGACAGAGGGTAGTATAGAGAAGCTGGTCAACAAACTAAAGACTCCCAGGGTGAATGCTGGTGTCATTTACTGAGCCATTTACCTTCCCAAGGAGAAACCGATTTAGGGGCTACGGAGATGAGTTCATGCTGAGTTTGAGGTGCCTGTAAGACATGTGAGTAGAGATGTCCAATAGACAGACAAATATGGTTTCAAGTGTCACGCACTGAGCTGGAGCAACGTGTTTAGAAGTTATGAGAACATAAATGAACACCGAAACCATGGAGTAAAGGAGAAGCAGAGGGCCTAGAGAAAGCCCTAAGGAACATCATTTAAAGGATAGGTAGGAGGAATAGTCTGCGGAGAAGACCGGGTTTCACCATGTTAGCCAGGCTAATCTCGAACTCCTGACCTCAAGTGATCCGCCTGCCTGGTCCTCCCAAAGTGCTGGGATTGCAGGTGTGAGTCACTGCAACCGGCCAGATTTCTGAATTTTTAAACAATCTTCCATTCCTGAGAAACCCAACTTGGTTGTACTACCTTTTGTTATGTTGCTGGATTTGGTATATTTTATTTCAGACTTTTGCATCTATATTAAAGAAAGATTGGCTTGAAATTGTCCTTTCTTTTGATGTTCTTGTATGGTTCTGGTATCAAGGCTCCCTGCCCTCAAAAAGCAAGGTAGAAAGCATTCCCTCTTTTCTGTTCCCTGGAAAGGTATATGAAAGTATAACCTTACTTCTTCCTCAAATGCTTGGAAGAGTTCAACAGTGAAGCCATCTGGATCTGGAGTTTTCTTTTTAATTATAAGAAATTTAAATGATATAAGAATATTCACATTTTTAATTCCTCCTTGTGTCAATTTTGTTACACTGTACTTTCTGTAAATTTCTCCAATAGTTTCAAAATTATAAGCATAAATTTTTTCATAATATCCTCCAAAAATCATTTTAATGTAAGATCTGTAGCAATCCTCCTTTTTATTTCCAATATTGGTTTTTGCTGTCTTCTCTCACTTTTCTTGATTTTTCTTTTCAAGGATTTATCCATTTTTTTTATTTGTTAGACTTTGCAAAGAACCAGCTTTTAGCTTCCTTGTTCAATGTCATGTTTGTTTTCTACTTCCTTATATTCTGCTCTTTAGTATTTCTAAACTTTTACTTCACCAATATTTAGCTCTCTTCTTTTCTAATATAGGCTTTTGGAACTAAAAAATTCCCTCTAAGCACAGTTTTAGCCATATCTCACAAATGTAGACATTCTGTATTTTCATCACTTTATTCTTTTTCAATCTGTGGATTATTTAGAAATATACTAATTAATTTTCAAACATGTAGAAACTTTCTAGCTGTAGCTTTTGTTTTTTTCATTTTTGAGACAAGGTTTCACTCCTATCACCCAGGCTGGGGTGCAATGGCACGATCTCGGCTCACTGCAACCTCGAACTCCTGGGCTCATGCGATCCTCCCACCTCAGCCTCCTGAGTAGCTGGGACTATAGGCACATGCCACTGCACCTGTCAAATTTTTGTATTTTTTGTAGACAGAGGGTTTAGCTATGTTGCCAAAGTTGGTCTTGAACTACTGAGCTCAAGTGATCTGCCCACCTCAGCCTCCCTAAGTGCTGGGATTACAGGCATGAGCCACTGTGCCCCGTTCTAGCTGTACTTTTGTTATTGATATCTATCATATTTTCTTTGATTGAGAAACATTCCTCGTTTTCAATTTTTTTGGAAAAATTTTTAGCTTTGTTTTATGGCCCAGCTTTACCATCAATTTTGTTCCATGTGCATTTGAAAAACAAAAGTATATTCTGAAGTACAGTGAGATATGTATATACATATATGAGATTAAATTTGTTCACTGTATTGTTCAATTTTATCTTCTCATTTTTTTCCTTTTGCGGTTGATTCTAACAGTTACTAAGGGGGTAAGTTAAGATCCCCCACTATGACTGTGGATTGATCTGTCTCTTTTAGTTCTGTCAGTTTGGCTTATATTTTCAGGTTAGTTATTTGGTAAGATAAGTTTAGAATTATTTTATCTTCCTGATTAACCTTTTTAAATCAGTCTGGAACACGCTTCATTATCTCATAATGCTTCTTTCCTTAAAGTCTACTTCATCCAATGTCAGTGTGGCTTTGTCAACTTTCTTTAGGTTAGTATTTATACTATTTCATTTTTAGCTCTCCTGGATCCACATTTCATGTATGTATTTGTGTGTTTCATAGATAGACAGATAGATACAGTCTTGTACATAAGCAACATTGTTTTTAATCCAGTTGGTAAACTTTGTTTTTTCATTTGGAATATTTAAATAATGTATATTCAATGTCATTACTAAAAACTCTGGTTCAAATCTGCTATATACTTCTTATTTGTCCACCTGTTCTGTGTTCTTTTCTTCTCTCCTACCTTCCTATGGATTACATTTTTAAAAATTATTCCTCTATTTCCACCTCTATTAGCTTAATATACATCCTTTTCTAGTCTTTGTTTCCTTGACTCATTAAAGTTTAATTATAACTGTTGCCACTTCCAGGATAATGCAAAGACCTTAGAACCCCATTAACCTCCTTTCTGTCCTATATGCTATTATTGTTATGTATTTAATTCTACATTTTTAAAATTTATTTATTTATTTATTTATAGACAGATTCTCACACTCTGTCGCCCAGGCTGGAGTGCAGTGGTGCAATCTCAGCTCGCTGCAACCTCCGCCTCCCAGTTTCAAGTGACTCTCCTGCCTCAGCCTCCCGAGTAGCTGGGATTATAGGCGTGAGCAACCACGCCTGGCTGATTTTTGTATTTTTAGTAGAGATGGGGTTATGCCATGTTGGTCAGGCTGGTCTCGAACTCCTGGCTTCAAGCGATCCACCTGCCTTGGCCTCCCCAAGTGCTGGGATTACAGGCGTGAGCCACCGCACCTGACCCGGTAATATTTTTTACTTAGGAAAATATCAAACAAATTAGAATGTGTTACCTACCTAAGTGATAAGTGGCAAGGTCAAAGATCTACCCATTTTATTATTAAAGGATCATGCTAGCCATAGCCAATGATCAAGTTAGCTTATTTCTTAGATGAAACATAACCAGCAGAGGGCACTGGAACCCAGTAAAATAAAGTTGAGACATTAGCAGAGCTCAACTACAGAAGTGACAAGAGAAACAAGCCACTTAAAAATAAAAAATCAATATAAAACGTTACTGCTCGCCCTCTCCCGTCTCCCTCTCCCTCTCCCGTCTCCCTCTCCCGTCTCCCTCTCCCTCTCCCGTCTCCCTCTCCCTCTCCCTCTCCCGTCTCCCTCTCCCGTCTCCCTCTCCCTCTCCCGTCTCCCTCTCCCGTCTCCCTCTCCCTCTCCCGTCTCCCTCTCCCTCTCCCGTCTCCCTCTCCCTCTCCCGTCTCCCTCTCCCTCTCATGCCGAGCCAAAGCTGGACGGTACTGCTGCCATCTCGGCTCACTGCAACCTCCCTGCCTGATTCTCCTGCCTCAGCCTGCCGAGTGCCTGCGATTGCAGGCGCGCGCCGCCACGCCTGACTGGTTTTCGTTTTTTTTTGGTGGAGATGGGGTTTCGCTGTGTTGGCCGGGCTGGTCTCCAGCTCCTAACCGCGAGTGATCCGCCAGCCTCGGCCTCCCGAGGTGCCGGGATTGCAGATGGAGTCTCGTTCACTCAGTGCTCAATGGTGCCCAGGCTGGAGTGCAGTGGCGTGATCTCGGCTCGCTACAACCACCTCCCAGCCGCCTGCCTTGGCCTCCCAAAGAGCCGAGATTGCAGCCTCTGCCCGGCCGCCACCCCGTCTGGGAAGTGAGGAGCGTCTCTGCTTGGCCACCCATCGTCTGGGATGTGAGGAGCCCCTCTGCCTGGCTGCCCAGTGTGGAAAGTGAGGAGCGTCTCTGCCCGGCCGCCATCCCATCTAGGAAGCGAGAAGCGCCTCTTCCCCGCCGCCATCCCATCTAGGAAGTGAGGAGCGTCTCTGCCCGGCCGCCCATCGTCTGAGATGTGGGGAGCACCTCTGCCCCACCGCCCTGTCTGGGATGTGAGGAGCGCCTCTGCTGGGCCGCAACCCTGTCTGGGAGGTGAGGAGTGTCTCTGCCCGGCCGCTCCGTCTGAGAAGTGAGGAAACCCTCTGCCTGGCAACCGCCCCGTCTGAGAAGTGAGGAGCCCCTCCGTCTGGCAACCACCCCGTCTGGGAAGTGAGGAGCGTCTCCGCCCGGCAGCCACCCCGTCCGGGAGGGAGGTGGGGGGGGTCAGCCCCCTGCCCGGCCAGCCGCCCCGTCCGGGAGGTGAGGGGCTCCTCTGCCCGGCCGCCCCTACTGGGAAGTGAGGAGCCCCTCTGCCCGGCCAGCCGCCCCGTCCGGGAGGGAGGCGGGGGGGGGGGGGGGGGGTCGGCCAGCCGCCCCGGCCGGGAGGTGAGGGGCTCCTCTGCCCGGCCGCCCCTACTGGGAAGTGAGGAGCCCCTCTGCCCGGCCAGTCGCCCCGTCCAGGAGGGAGGTGGGGGGGTCAACCCCCCGCCCGGCCAGCCGCCCAGTCCGGGAGGGAGGTGGGGGGTCAGCCCCCCGCCTGGCCAGCCGCCCCGTCCGGGAGGTGAGGGGCGCCTCTGCCCGGCCGCCCCTACTGGGAAGTGAGGAGCCCCTCTGCCCGGCCAGCCGCCCCGCCCAGGAGGGAGGTGGGGGGGTCAGCCCCCCGCCTGGCCAGCCGCCCCATCCGGGAGGGAGGTGGGGGGGTCAGCCCCCCGCCCGGCCAGCCGCCCCGTCCGGGAGGGGGGAGGGGGGGTCAGCCCCCTGCCCGGCCAGCCGCCCCGTCCGGGAGGGAGGTGGGGGGGTCAGCCCCCTGCCCGGCCAGCCGCCCCGTCCGGGAGGGAGGTGGGGGGATCAGCCCCCTGCCTGGCCAGCCGCCCCGTCCGGGAGGTGAGGGGCGCCTCTGCCCGGCCGCCCCTACTGGGAAGTGAGGACCCCTCTGCCCAGCCAGCCGCCCCGTCCGGGAGGGAGGTGGGGGGGGTCAGCCCCCCGCCCGGCCAGCCGCCCCGTCCGGGAGGGAGGTGGGGGGATCAGCCCCCTGCCTGGCCAGCCGCCCCGTCCGGGAGGTGAGGGGCGCCTCTGCCCGGCCGCCCCTACTGGGAAGTGAGGACCCCTCTGCCCGGCCAGCCGCCCCGTCCGGGAGGGAGGTGGGGGGAACAGCCCCCCGCCCGGCCAGCCGCCCTATCCAGGAGGTGAGGGGCGCCTCTGCCCGGCCGCCCCTACTGGGAAGTGAGGAGCCCCTCTGCCTGGCCAGCCGCCCCGTCCGGGAGGGCGGTGGGGGGGTCAGCCCCCCGCCCGGCCAGCCGCCCCATCTGGGAGGTGAGGGGCACTTCTGCCGGGCCGCCCCTACTGGGAAGTGAGGAGCCCCTCTGCCCGGCCACGACCCCGTCTGGGAGGTGTGCCCAGCGGCTCATTGGGGATGGGCCATGATGACAATGGCGGTTTTGTGGAATAGAAAGGCGGGAAGGGTGGGGAAAAAATTGAGAAATCGGATGGTTGCTGGGTCTGTGTGGATAGAAGTAGACATGGGAGACTTTTCATTTTGTTCTGTACTAAGAAAAATTCTTCTGCCTTGGGATCCTGTTGATCTGTGACCTTATCCCCAACCCTGTGCTCTCTGAGACATGTGCTGTGTCCACTCAGGGTTAAATGGATTAAGGGCGGTGCAAGATGTGCTTTGTTAAACAGATGCTTGAAGGCAGCATGCTCGTTAAGAGTCATCACCACTCCCTAATCTTAAGTACCCAGGGACACAAACACTGCGGAAGGCAGCAGGGTCCTCTGCCTAGGAAAACCAGAGACCTTTGTTCACTTGTTTATCTGCTGACCTTCCCTCCACTATTGTCCTATGACCCTGCCAAATCCCCCTCTGCGAGAAACACCCAAGAATGATCAATAAAAATAAAAAATAAAAAAAATAAAAAATAAAAAAATAAAAAATAAAACGTTACTGCTCAAAAGAAAAAAAAAATAAAAAATAAAAAAAATAAAAAATCAAAAACATAAAATAATAAACATAAATTTTTATTAATTATATTCAGGCCAGCAATAATGCATATAGTTAGCTGAAATGTAAAGTTTATAAATTAACAGGAGAATACAATGTGAGAAACAGCTAGGTCAGTAAGAATTCCAGGAAACGATGAAACACTTTCTATGGGTATATTTAAGAGGAAAAAAGAGAAAAGGAGAGAGCAGAATCTCAAGGTTGTAAAACAAGAGTTAATATGCTTCTTATTAAAGGCAGTGAATGCATGGCCGGGCATGGTGCTTCACACCTGTCATCTCAGTACTTTGGCAAGCCAAGGCAGGTAGATCACCTGAGGTCAGCAGTTCAAGACCAGCCTGGCCAACATGATGAGACCTCGTATCTACTAAAAATACAAAACTTAGCCAGGCATGGTGGTGCACGCCTGTAGTCCCAGCTACGCAGGAGGCTGAGGTAGGAGAATCACTTGAACCCGGGAGGTGGAGGTTGCAGTGAGCCGAGATCGTGCCACTGCACTCCAGCCTGGGTGACAGAGCAAGACTCTTAAACAAAACAAACAAAAAACCAAAAAAATAAAAGTAGTGAATGCAGAACAAGAACATATTAGAGTACAAGGACTTGTTCTTTGATCAGATTACAATGAATGGAATCAGTCTGTGGGGAAGATAATGTTGCCTGAATTCAAACATTGAATTATTGTCTCAAATGCTATTTGAGTGTTTTGACAAGTTTTTGAGCAAATGTTTAACCTTAGACCTGCTCTAAATTAATGTTTTTCCTGAATTATATATATAAAAATCAAATATCCTAAATTTACAAGGTTTATAACATAGTATTCGTCAGTGCAAGACACAGTGGTTCACGCCTGTAATCTCAGCACTTTGGGAGGCCAAGCTGGGTGGATTGCTTGAGTCCAGGAGGTCAAGACCAGCCTGGGCAATGTGGTGAGACCTTGTCTCATTTAAATAAATTTTTTTCAAAAGAAAATTAAGAGTCTAGCATAACATTACAATGACTGTTTTCTCTATAATTTTGTACTTAGCAAAGCACTTCTGATGAAGTCGAATTGCTATACCTGACTACGGTGTTAGTAATTTTTCATAGTTAAGAATGTCATAACAAGGGTATATTAATGAAAACAAAGAATGATGAATTAGTTTGATACAATTATATGTATCAACATAAGGTATGGCCAATAAAACAAACACAAACAGAAATATCAAAAAGTACTAAACAGCATCATTCAATAAACACAATACAGTTTTCAAGACCAATCATCACAAAGGAGTATGTAAATATAAAGAAAATGTCAAAATTAACCACTAGAAGGCAGTAGCAAGCCATCACAAAGTAGCTCCCTGTCTTATAGCTAATAAGTAGCACTATTATTCTCCAATACCCCGATGTAGTAATGCTGGTATCCCTAAGAAGCTATTTCATAAAGCTCTCAAAAAATTTTTAAGTGCAACAGAGCAACAAAATCAGTTTAAAAGTAATTATGAAAGTCAAAACACCCTTTCTTGTCTAAGAGAACACAGCAAAATTACAAAGATTAACACACACCAGGGTCCTAAGTGTAGGGTAATGAATACTTTCATGTTTGTGGGAATATAAACTGGTATAGACTTTTGGAGAACAATTTAGCAAAATAGAGCAAAATTTAAAATGCACAAACTTTTTGAACTATTTGGAATCTAGCTCAAGGACATTCACCAGCAGCATTGTTTATTATAGTGAAGAAAAAAAAAAAACTTGAGACAATCTAGATGTCTATCAACATGGAAATGGTTAAATGAAAATCCATATTATAAAATACAAAGCAGAATTTCTAAAAATTGAGGTAGATCTATATTTTGATATAGAAGCATTTCTACCATATAAGTGAAAAGTATAACTGCATAATGTATGCACATAATACGTACTTACAGAAATGTTTGCAAAATTACATAGAAAAAAGAACACTAAATTGTTGAAGAGGTCATGTAATGTGATTAAAGAGGGGCAATTAAGTTTTATTAAATTTATTTCTATACTATTTTAACTTTTTCAACAATCATGTATTCTCTGTTATTTGTATGATTTGAATGAGTAAAATTCAAGGCAGAAAACATTAAATGTAATAAGAGCACTTCGGTTATTGAAAAACAAGATAATTTACAATGACTAAAACAAAGACTAAAAATTGTAAGCACTGACATGGATAAAACCATATTTTCAAGCTACCTACCGCAGTCTTAATAAAGGGTAACCTTATACAAACAAGTTTTAAGGCTAAGTTACACATCAGTGGAAAATAGAAAGAGGTAATGGGTATTTAAAGATAATTCAATATACAATGCAGGCTTACTGCTACAATAATGCACAACCATCCTCTGACTTCCAACACTTTTCCAGAGAGAAAGGCAGGAGTAGTGGGGAGAGGAGAAAGGAGAGGATCCTGAATAAAAAGGAACTAATCAGAACCTCTAGATTCCTTGCCTCCATCTAAATATAGGAATTTGGACATCATGAAATATGCCTCAGAGTACATTCAACAATGCTAAGTTCACATCTCTTTTATGAGTATTATAAATATCAATGACTGAGTATTATAAATATCAATGACTAGTCACAGTTGGGACCTTAGCAAATTACATAAATTAATGCCATCACAGAACTTAAAAAAAGTAGGAGATCTGGGGACAGGTCATACTTAATACATCCCCACAAAAGAAATTACCCATGAGCTTCTCTTTGACTGCCTAAATGGTTACATAAACTTTTACTCCCAATCAACTTGAACGTGTTATCAAAAGAATTATATATGTGTTATCTATCTATCATCAGTGTCTCTCCCTTTATTCTTCACATTTTACTTGTTTACTTTGTACCCCAACCTAACCACTAGCCCTTCTATTTCAGTTTCATTAGCCCAAAACTGTAGCATTCAGGCATTGAATCCCTTACTTAGAATTAAGTCCTAAAAGGTCTTAAAATTGTCCAAACATATTGGATTTTGAAAATATTTAATAGGTGGTAAAACTAATCAGACTTGTCTACTCTGATTTACCATGTAAAACGACAAATTCATCTCTGTGTAAATTGTCAGCATCTGGGTGGGGGTTGGGGGAAATAAAAAGGAGAATCACTAATTTCCTAGGACTACTAAAGGCATTTGATTGCACTAAATGGATCTGAGGCCTGCGGCAAACATACATAAGGAGGGCCCATTAAGCTCCAAAGTGATTTGAAATATTGTTTTCTAAAGTGTCATGGCCTCAACAGGTCCCTGTGGAGAGAAGTTGCTTGGCAACTGGAACTTTTATTTACCAGCAGGTAATTTAATATAAAGCCTTCTAGATTATGTACCATGTATTATATTATGTTGTTTGTTCTTATTGGTTACAGCATTCTGAGGACAGGAAGAGTAGGTGGCTACTTAAGATAATAACAAATTGATAGGGAAAAAATAGAATACAAAGTTATACTTAAATGAGTCACTTTCTAACCTTTTTATTCCCGCCCCACCCCCACCCCGCCCCATCCTCATCCCTCAAAGGGGAAGCAAACACATTTTATTCCTTTCTCCTCCCCACTAAGTGTCAGAAGAAATTTAACCACCCTCCAACTCCCAAAAAACCACATGGAAAAATAAAAACATAACTGTAACTAAGATTGTTCAAAGAAGTATGCAGCAGGGGCATCTAAGTATAAAAGGGTAGTTTTATGAAAAGAACAGTTAGCTCGCATGAAGCGCAGAACAGAAAAGACACTGTCTGTGGAAAGGAGGGGCTCCAACATAACCACTTGCTTAATGTATAAATTGCTTAGACAGAAACATTAGTCAGGAAAAAAAAAAGCCAATTACTAAAGAAAATTGCTTCCAAACCATGGCAGCTACTGGAATACATTATTAACAGATACAAGCCAGACCTGAGCACTAACATTTTTCCCTTTTTTCCCTTCACTGTAGAAAAACATTTCATGTAGTTAAGTATTATTCCAAAAATCAAGAGCAAAAGACATTGGAATCCAATACTAAATTTTAAAATTGCAGCATTTTATAATAATAGTACTGAAATAACATAAGGAAATTAGCAAGTATTTCACTTTTTAAAAAGATATTCATTCTTGTTTAACCAGCACTGATATTTTCCCCTTTGGTATTCTTGTTCATTTGCTGACATAAACTTCTTCTCAAAAGAATCCCACTCAAGCTAGGAAACTATCTGGAACTATGATAAATATTTTTAGAAGCTAGCATTTTTGGTTATTGGGTTACTTTCAAATAAACACTAATGTGTGCTACACAGTTTTCCCCAGAGAGAACTCTGCTTAACATCCCGAAGAGAAAAGGAAATTACTAAATGCTGTAGTTAAGACAAGGTTCACTGAATGGAACCTCTTCCAAAGAGACCTCCCTACACTATACATTCATTTGGTGAATAAAATAATAAAAATAGTGTCCTTTAATAAATAAAAGAAAATTGCATCTGTACTACCTAAACAACTCTTACCGCGAAAACATGACTTGAAAATGAAATTCCAGCTTGAAGATGCAGAGAAATTTGGAAGGATAGTATGTCTAATTACCCTCTTAAAGCAACTCCAAACATTGCTCAAGGGTAATTAGCAAAAACAACAACAACAAAAACAAAACAAAGCAAAAAAAAAAAAAAAAAAACCTCAGACTGACTCTAGGCTGCAGGCACTCAACAATAAACATTTAGTTACAGTTTAAATTAAGCTCAACCAATCTATGCTAAACCACCACAACCACACAATCCACTGTTTCTGATGCACCATTAATTCTTTGCCTAGCTCCCTTCACAGTAACTTCTCAAAATAAGATGAAATAAACTTCATTCAAGAAGCATTTTATCACACACTTACTATATACTGTGCTACTAGCTAGAAACATGGAAAAATAGCAACATAGGGACTTATTCCAGTTTATTGTCCAATTTCTGACCAACTCTGAAAGACAGTTTTTATTACTTATGGGAATGGCTGGACTCTAAAGTACTCATTTATAATCACTGTCATAATAACAGCCTGTTGTTGTTTGGGGTTTTTTGTTGCAATGTTAATTCAAGTTTTTGTTTTTTACCTTCATTAGCCTCTGGCCTTGAATTCTTGATATATGCAGAGAATTTGGCAAAGATGTCCATTCCAGCAGTATTTGATTCTGGGTGTTTTGGTGAAAGCTTTAAGTACCTAAATAGAAAAAGTGATATGGATTATAGATCCTTCAAAGATGAATTAGCATAAGTTCTCTCAAACCACCATGCTAGCAGTTACTAGACGTCTTTTAATAGTTATTACTATAAGAAATACCATCATTTGTTTTCTATGGTATTTTTAAAAACTGTTTTTTCCTTACGAGACAAAGCTCTGCACTATGTTTTTGTTCACATATTAATATTCTTGGCAACCACAGGGCATGTGCACTCCACCTCCATCTGATAAATTAGAATGCTGGGGAAACAGTTGACTTGTTCAGAGATTTCTGCCAGGCCAATGGGAGTCTTGGAATGAGATTGCTAGAGCAGTGCTGTCCAAGAGAACTTTCTGTGATGATGGAAATGTTCTCTATCTTCATTGTCCAGTACAGTAGCCACTAGTGCCATGTACCTATTTGAATATGAATTTAAATTAATCACAAACAAAATTAAAAATTCACTTCCTCAGTTGCACTAGTCACATTTCAAGTGCTCAGTAGTCACCAGACAGCACAGCTCACGCGCCTTCTCAAACAGCAGTGCCAACCAGATCCTTAGTATGTCCTGCACTAAACCAGCCAGAGAACCCCAACGGCAGGAAAAGCGCCTAGGCTGGTCAAGCATCATGATCACCCATAGCAGGTTAAGGACAAAAACAAAAGGAGGCGGATCAATCGCTTGAAACCTACACCTGGGATTTCCCAAAACCTCCCTTATATTACACATTCCCTAGAATATTTATGAGGGTAGCACCGAACAACAACAAAATGAGATGTCAGAAAGCACACTGACAAGTGTTCTATTGTGTTGTCAAATTTTTCTACTTTTAGAACAGATGTAATACACCAGCTTTCTAAAACACACACAAAAATGTATATTTCACTGTTTAGATTTAAAACACACATACTCTGTGTATATTTCTTCTTCAAACTGGAAAATATATGAAAAAGCTCAATTATTCATCTTCCCTTTAGGAGGACTCATGTCAGCCCCAGGAGTCAGGGCTAGAAGAATTCAGATTCTTAGCCCCATTTTAGGGAAGATTAATCAGCTTGAAGGTCCTGCAAAACGTCACTAGAAAATGGACTTGGGAGCAATAAGACTTTAGAAAAAACCTTACAGTGTACTAATTATTTCAACTCATTTATTTGAAGACATTGTCTTGCCAGCTTTCTTTAAAAACGAAGGGGAAGTAGTTTTCAAAATTCAGTTCAGTTGCAAGTTGTGTTTCAGCTTTTATATTCATGTATCTTCTGTTTACTATTTTGAATTCAGGAAGAGATATATCTTCTAAATATTGGGCAGAGTACTATATTGGTAAGGAAGATATAAAATATCTATGGAACACCTATATGCTCAAGACATCTTTTTTAATAAGTGTACCTAGTCTCTAGATAGCTCTCATTTTTTAAGCTTAAAGATTTATCTTATAAACACAATTATTTACATAAAGAGTTTTTCTGTAAAAATTACAGTGAGTTTCACCTGAATTTAGATATCTATATCTATCTAGCCATACATTAACCACACATCGCCAACTATAGGGCCCTTTACCCTCTCCATTTTCTTTGTTTCTGCCTGGGCTGAAACAGTTAATCACAGATCCACCATCCCTGGATTTTCCTTGACTATACAAACAAGCCTCCAGTTTAAATGTTTGTACTGCTTGTGATACAGGACCATCATTGACTCATTTCAAACAAAAAATAGCGCAGTGAACATAATGCCTTTTCAATACATCTATGTCTTCCTATAGCCAAGTTTCCCAAATTCTCCTTTTCCGCAACCACTATTTAGCTGTACCTAATTGTACTAATGAAGTAAGCCTCATAGTTCTTAAAATAATTTTCGGGAAGGCAGGCTTGAATTACAGATCATTTATATATTCATCATTCATACATACAGTGTAATTCTTGTAATATGCCCTGTTGTCCCTCTGAGATGTATTACTAATTTTGTACTTTTGTGTGTGTGTGTGTGTGTGTGTGTGTGTGTGTGTGTGTGTGTGACAGGGTCTCCCTCTGTCACCCAGGGTGGAGTGTAGTGGCAGGATCTTGCTCACTGCAGCCTCAACCTCCTGGGCTCAAGCGATCCTCCCACCTCAGCCTCCTGAGTAGCTGGGACTACAGGCATGTGCCACCACACTTGGCTAGCTTTTTGTATTTTTTTGTAGAGACGAGGTTTCCCCATGTTGCCCAGGCTAGTGTTGAACTCCTGGGCTCAAGTGATCCTCCTGCCTCAGCCTCCCAAAGTGCTGGGATTACAGGCCTGAGCCACTGCACCCAGCCTGTACTATTAATTTAATGCACAGAATAGTATAGCTATAAGAGAATGTTCACCTCAGATCTCTCATTTTACCTAAAAGGAAATTATGTTCCAGAAAGCTTACACACTTGGCCCCCAAATCACTCAGCTAATTAAAAGTATTGACAAACGAGACCAAGCACAGTGGCTCATGCCTGTAATCCCAGCACTTTGGGATGCCAAGGTGGGCGGATCAATTGAGGTCAGGAGTTCGAGACTAGCCTGGCCAACATGGCAAAACTCTGTCTCCACTAAAAATACAAAAATCAGCCAGGCATGGTAGCGGGTGCCTGTAATCCCAGCTTCTCAGGAGTCTGAGGCAGGAGAATTGCTTGAGACCAGGAAGCAGAGGTTGCAGTGAGCAGAGATCATGCCACTGCACTCAGCCCGGGTGACAGAGCGAGACTGCGTCTCAAAAAAAAAAAGTATTGACAAACTAAAACTGAAATCTCCTGTCCCCAGGTCTAGTGTTTTTGTTTGTTTGTTTGTTTCTATTACAGATTAGATTATCTCTAAAAGATAAATCAAATTCTAAACCAGTAGGTTCAAAATCAACTTTTTTGCATCTTCCCCAAACATTACATTGTAATTTATGCATTATTATTGGCTTTAGCAAATAGCTTGATCAAGCAATGGTTTTCAATTATTGTGAGAACTCATTTTAACACTTAGCAAAAGGGAGGCAAATAATAAAAGGCTAAGTGTCAATGACAGAATAGACATGAGCACCCAGGGTATTTAGACTTTCAGATAAGTCCTTAATTCTGCTTACATCACAGACTCTTAACATTTTAGACTAGCTAAGAATGTTTCCATGCTTTTAGGAAAGATCTCAGGCATTTTCTCCTTTCTGGTGTAAATATAAAAATGAAGGCTGATTAGCCTTGTAAATTCCTTTTTTGTATGTCTTTTTTTTTTTTTTTTTTGAGACAGAGTTTTGCTCTTATTGTCCAGGCTAGAGTACAGTGGCGCAATCTCCGCTCACTGCAACCTCCGCCTTCCGGTTTCAAGCGATTCTCCTGCCTCAGCCTCCCAAGTCGCTGGGATTACAGGCGCCCGTCACCACGCCCAGCTAATTTTTTGTGTTTTTATTAGAAACAGGGTTTCACCATGTTGGTCAGGCTGGTCTCAAACTGCTGACCTCATGATCCACCCGCCTTGGCCTCCCAAAGTGCTGGGATTACAGGCGTGAGCTACCACACCCGGCCTGTATGTCTCATTTTTAAAAAAGGTTTAATAACATTTTATAGCATGCCCCTCCAAATTTATCTCGCTTCCTTCTATTTTATCCTTTTATCAGTAAGTTAGCTAAGTATATCTAGGCTGTTTCAGTTAAAAATCCAAGTCTCAAAGTTTTTTAGCAAAGTGGTTTCTTCATTCAAGCAAGAACTATAAAACATACACAAAAATACTTTCCCCAGAGAAGAAGAAAAAGTTCACTTTAAAACCTATAGCCACACATACCAGTAAAAGTTATCTGATTTGAGCTTTTCATTAGCCTCTCAATGTTAAGCAACTCTAGAATAGACAATTGCCTGTATTTATATTTGTCATGATTAAATCAGGAAGTGTTCACAAAAAACCACTCAGTTCTCAGTACATCAAATGACAAAAACATGTTATTAGAAATGCTAGATTCCAGTCTACAAGCTTGCACAATTCTTCTCCTTTTTCTCCTTATCCTATTTAGAAACAGTCTTACAAGCAGAGCCTGAAGAAGACTAGCAATAAAGACCTGAGACCTCCTTGTTCTGGAAGGAAAAGGCAGTGAGACAGAATGGTCCCTGGGTGCCCTAGAACAATATAGCACAATAGAGGGAAGGAAAATAAATGCAGCTTGTGATCCCAGAAACTCTTCCTCCTCCCACTCATCCCCTAGAAACAATTCTGCATGATGAAAATTATGCTAATTAATTAGCATTTCACATTCTGGGTCCATAGAGCCCACTAAGAAGGCGACATTCCCACTTCAAACATGCTGTTTCAATGCATACAAATAAATAAAAATTCATCAGAAGAGTTAAGATTCACCTGCTTTTTCAAAGCATTCACTGAATTAAGTAAGGGCAGGCACTGTGGCTCACACCTGTAATCCCAGCACTTTGGGAGGCCAAGGAGGTCGGATCACTTGAAGTCCCAGCCTGGCCAACATGGTGAAACCCCGTCTCTACTAAAAATACAAAAATTAGCCAGGCGTGGTGGTGCACATCTGTAATCCCAGCTACTCAGGAGGCTGAGGCAGGAGAATTGCTTCAACCTGGCAAGTGGAGGTTGCAATGAGCCAAGATGCTGCCACTGCACTCCAGCCTGGGCGACACAGCAAGGCTCTGCCTCAAAAAAAAAAAAAAAAAAAAAAAAAGAATTCACTGAATTAAGTTTAATAACCACCTTTGGTCCCACTTGTTCACAGTCAAGTAAACTATCTTTGATTTCTCTCCTACCTTTCCTCTAAACTTGAGCTAGCTTTCAATTTTGTACTCATTAAAGCACAATCCCAATTAAAGACTTAACATTTTCCCTCTTTTACAAAAGCCAAACCCAATAAAATAAGAAGCAGAAAGCAGAGAACAGATGAAACACAGATTTTTGAAGTCATATTGATGTGGCTTCAAAAGTATCCCTGCTCTGCCACCATTAACTGTGAAACCTTGGACAAATTATTTGGATTACATCTTCAGTTTCTTCACAAAGTCTTTGTGAGGATTAACAGAGATAATCCACAAAATAACCCACAAAGCACAATGCATGGTGCATAATTAGTACTTGAGTGTTATTAATAACAGCAGAGGGATAAGCAGCATCAAAAACAATCCCTGGCCAGGCACGGTGGCTCACGCCTGTAATCCCAGCACTTTGGGAGGCTGAGGTGGGCAGATGGCTTGAGCCCAGGAGTTCAAGGCCACAGCTTGGGTAACACGGCGAGACCCTGTTCTCAGACTCCAATTGAAAGTGATCTTACTCTCAACAAAAAAAATACAAAAATTAGCCAGGCGTGGTGGTGTGCACCTGTACTCCCAGCTACTCAAGAGGCTGAGGCAGGAGGATTATGAGCCTGGGAGGTTGAGGCTGCAGTGAGGTAAGATTGCACCACCGCATTCCAGCCTGGGTGACAGAGCAAGGAGTGAGACCCTGTCTCTAAACAAAAACAGAACAAAACAAAGAAAAAACAAAGAAGAAGTAAAAATTTTTACCCCTACAGGGGATTTGGCACACTATGAACATTTATAACACAAAGATTCCTATGTATTTAAACTGAATGAAAAAGACCATCTCTGGTTACAATGTTTCTATGAATATGCTCAAATATAATGGGGCTAGAATTTTTATATAAAAAAGCAATATGAAAATGTTTGTTTTCAAGGTCCAATTTAAAGCTATGATGTCTTACAGAGCATTAGATGCTAAGAATCCAGAATATTCCATATTAACTTTACTATTTCTCTTAATGTCACTTTCCCTCAGAGAGAAATGAGCAAGAATAATGAAAATTCTTTTTTTTTTTCCTTCTTCTTTTTTGAGACAGGGTCTTGCTGTATCGTGCAGGCTGGAATGCAGTGGCATGATCTCAGCTCACTGCAACCTCTGCCTCCCAGGCCCAAGCAATCCTCCCACCTCAGGCTCCCCAGTAGCTGGGACTACAGGCACTTGCCACCATATCCAGCTAATTTTTGTATTTTTTTGTAGAGACAGGGTTTCACCATGTTGCCCAGGCTGGTCTTGAACTCCTGAGCTCAAGTCATCCACCCGCCTCAGTCTCCCAAAGTGCTGGGATTACAGGCATGAGCCACCGCGCCCAGCCCAAAAGTCTTCATTGTTGTTGTTGCTGAAGGATGTAAGAGAATATGAGGAAATGTCCATTTAACTAAAGTCATATGTATGTTTTCAGCACACTAATTTTAAAAACTTATATATACTTGGAAGAATTTATATAATAAGCACTTCAGACAATACTTTAAAACAAAATAGTTTCCTTCATAGAGAATGAATAATAATTCAAACTACTTCTCCATTTATAATTTAATGTTGATACAATGATCTACAGTGACATGAGAGGAAGATCATTTTCAGTTAGTGTCTGAGAGCAAGTTGGCAAATATGGAACCTACCTCTGAGCTGACACTTTTAAGACTAAAAAGGGACCAGTCATGACAGCTTACATGTGTAATCCCAGCAATTTGGGAGGCTGAGGCAGGAGGACTGATTGTGTCCATGAGTTTGAGACCAACCTGGGCAACATAGCAAGACCCCATCTCTACAAAAATTTTTTTAAACTTAGCTGGGCATGGTGGCACACACCTGTACTCCCAGTGCCTCAGGGGAATTGCTTGAGCCCAGGAGGTCGAGGCTGTGGTGAGCCATAATCACACCACTGCACTCCAGCCTGGGCAACAGAGCAAGACCATGTCTCAAAAAAAAAAAAAAAAAAAAAAAAAGACCAAAAAGGGACCTAGAAGTGGGACATAGGGTGCATGCCTGTGGTCCCACTTATTTGGAAGGCTGAGGCAGGAGGATCATCCTAGGCAGGAGGCTAGGAGTTCAAGGTTGCAGTGAGCCAGGACAGCAACACTGCACTCCAGCCTGGGCGACAGTACAAGATACTGTCTATATATATATATATATACATATATATATACATACTTTTTTTTTTTTTTTGAAGTATGGCTGGGCGCGGTAGCTCATGCCTGTAATCCCAGCACTTTGGGAGGCTGAGGTGGGCAGGTCACAAGGTCAGGAGTTCAAGAGCAGCTTGGCCAATATGGTAAAACCCTGTCTCTACTAAAAATACAAAAAAAATTAGCAGGGCATGGTGGCGGGCACCTGTAATCCCAGCTATTCAAGAGACTGAGGCAGGAGAATCGCTTGAACCCAGGAGGCGGAGGTTGCAGTGAGTCGAGATTGTGCCACTGCACTCCAGCCTGGGCGACAGAGAGACTCTGTCAAAAAAAAAAGAAAAAAAGTTATGGTCAGGCGCGGTGGCTCATGCCTGTAATCCCAGCACTCTGGGAGGCCGAGGCGGGTGGATCACCTGAGGTCCAGAGTTCGAGACCAGCCTGGCCAACATGGTGAAATCCCATCTCTACTAAAAACAGAAAAAATTAGCTGGGCATAGTGGTGGACGCCTGTAATTCTAGCTACTTGGGAGGCTAAGGCAGGAGAATCTCCTGAACCTGACAGGCAGAGGTTGCAGTGAGCCAAGATCATGCCATTGCACTCCAGCCTGGGCAACAAAAGTGAAACTCCGTCTCAAAAAAAAAAAAAAAGTTATTTCCACTAAGTTGAATTCATGTTCACAATAGTACCCTACTGAGACGTATAAAGCTTCAATTTATATTCACAAATATCCTAGCTTTGATTTATTGGCATTCTAATTATATGCATGGCCTGAAGGAAAAATCAAGACATGGTTTTCTTAATGTTGGTCTGGAGATACTTTACTGGGGATGAAAGGAAGGTTAGGACTCCTGGGAAGGTAGAGAAAAAAAGAAGCTCCAGGCTCTTAGAAGGGCAGGAAGGATAGTAGAGGATAGGCTTGTAGAATTTTAGTAGAAAAAAAGAATTAAGAAAATAAAATATTAGGCTTAGCACAAGATTGTTAACCAGAGGGCAATTCTGCTCACAACAGATGAGAAGCTAGTTATAGACAGAGGTGTTGTTGCTCATCAGCCTTCCTGCCTACCATCCCAACCATGCACATCACATTCCAGCCACTCCAAGTCTCCCCCAAATATACATATAATATTAATAATAATATACATTACATACTATTTCTGTATAGTATGTGTATAACATATATGTTTATACTATTGATTTAAAATGACTCTTCTGCTCTGGAATACCTGTCACTCCTTTGTTCAACTGCTGAACATCTTTTTTCTTTTTTTTTTTTTAAATTAAGACAGTTCAAGTGTTCTCTCTTCTCTAAAGCCTTTCCTGATTCCATTCACTTCCCCGTCCCACCACCATAAACACCTCTCCACCCATACATGACTGTACTTGTTGAGGGCAAGAACTGTGTTTTATTTACTAATATATTCACAGTGCTTTGTAGTCCATTAATGCTTTGCAGAATGAATAAATCAATAAATAAATGAATGGATGAATACTGAGTAACTGGGCCAGGTACAGTGGCTCACACCTGTAATCCCAGCACTTTGAGAGGCCGAGGTGGGCGGATACCTTGAGGTCAGGATTTCGAGACAAGCCTGGCCAACATGGTGGAACCCCATCTCCACTAAAAATACAAAAATTAGCCAGGCATGGTGGCAGGTGCCTGTAATCCCAGCTACTTGGGAGGCTGAAGCACAAGAATCACTTGAACCCAGGAGGCAGAGGTTGTAGTGAGCCAAGATTGTGCCACTGCACTCCAGCCTGGGTGACAGAGTGAGCCTCTGTCTCAAAAAAAACAAAACAAACAAAAAAAAACCAAATTGAGTAACTTCAGGTATAACTTGTCTTATTGTGCTTTGCTTTATTGAGCTTTGCTTCATTGTGCTTTGCAGATATTACGTTTTTTACAAATTGAAGGTTTATGGCACCCTGAGTCAAGCAAGATGGCGCCATTTTTCCCAGCAGCATGTGCTCACTTCATGTCTCTGTCACACTGTGGTATTTTTCGCAATATTTCAAAACTTTTCATTATTATTGTATCTGTTATGATGATCTGTGATTAGTGATCTCTGATGTTACTCTTGTAATTGTTTTGGGGGCACCACAAACCACACCCATATAAGACAGCACACTTAACTGATTAATATCATATGTGTTCTGACTGCTCCAGTGATTGCTGTTCCCCTGTCTTTCCCTCTCCTCAGGCCTTCCTGCTCCCTGAGACAAAATAATGTTGAAATTAGCCCACAGTTGATGACCCTACAATGACCTCTCAGTGTTCAGGTGAAGGGAAGAGTCACATATCTCTCACTTTAAATCAAAAGCTAGAAATGATTCTGCTTAGTGAGGAAAGCATGTCGAAAGCTGAGACAGGCCAAAAGCTGAGATAGGCTGAAAGCTAGACTTCTTCCACCAAACAGCCAAACAGCATATACAGAAGAAAAGTTCTTGAAGGAAATTTAATAGTGCTATTCCAGTGAACACACAAATGATAGAGAAAAACAGCTTTATTGCCAATAGGGAGAAAGTTTGAGTGGTCCAGATAATCAAACCAGCCACAGCATTCCCTTAAGCCAAAACCTAATCCAGATCAAGGCCCTAACTCACTTCAGTTCTATCAAGGCAGAGAGAGGTGACAAATCTACAGAAGAAAGTTTGAAGGTAGCAGAGGTTGGTTCGTGAGGTTTAAGGAAAGAGGCCATCTTTGTAACATAAAAGTAAAACATGAAGCAGCAAATGCTTATGCAGAAGCTGCATGCAGCCAGTTATCTAGAAGATCTAGCTGATCTATCTAGAAGATCTAGCTGATCTATCTAGAAGATCTAGCTGATCTATCTAGATCTTCCTTCATCACCTTCATCTGATGATCTATCTAGAAAATCTGATCTACCTTCAACAATGATCTATCTAGAATTGATCTTCTAGATAGATCATTGATGAAGGTGGCTACACTAAACAGATTTTTAATGCAGACAAAACCTTCTATTGAAAGATGTCATCTATGATTTTCATAGCTACAGAGAAAAAGTCAACGTCTGGTTTCAAATCTTCAAAGGACAGGCTGACTCTGTTAAGAGTCTAATCCAGCTGTTGACATTAGGTTGAAACCCATGCTCATCTTCCATTCCAAAATTTGAAGAACCCTTAAGAATTATACTGAAGCTACTCTACAGATGCTCTATAAATGGAACAATAAAGCCTGGATAATGGCACATCCATCTGTTCACAGTATGGTTTACTAAATATTTTAAGCCCACTGTTGAGACCCACTGCCCAGGAAAAAAAGATTCCTTTCTAAATATTACTGCTCATTGACAATGCACTAGTCCCCCCAGAACTCTGATAGAGATATACAGGGAGATCATGGTTGTTTTCATGCCTGCTAACACAACATCCATTCTGCAGTCCATAAATTTTGACTTTCAAGTCTTATTATTTAATAAACACATTTCATAAGGCCATAGAAAGTGATTCCTCTGATGGATCTGAGCAAAGCAAAGTGACCTGGAAAAGATTTACCTTTCTAGATGCAATTAAGAACATTCAGCCAGGTCTGGTGGCTCATACCACACCTGTAATCCCAGCACTTTGGGAGGCCGAGACGGGCGGATCATCTGAGGTCAGGAGTTCAAGACCAGCCTGGCCAAAATGGCAAAACCCCAACTCTACTAAAAAATACAAAAAAATTAGCTGGTCATGGCGGCAGGCACCTGTAATCCCAGCTACTCAGGAGGCTGAAGCAGGAGAATTGCTTGAACCTGGGAGGTGGAGGTTGCAGTGAGCCGAGATCGCATCACTGCACTCCAGCCTGGGCGATAAGAACGAAAACTCCGTCCAAAAAAAAAAAAAAAAAAAAAACACGAACATTCATGATTCATGGGAGGAGGTCAAAATAGCAACATTAACAGGAGTTTGGAGGAAGTGGATTCTAACCCTCATGGACGACATTCACAGGTTCAAGACATCAGTGGAGGGAGGAACTACATATGTGTTGAAAATAGCAAGAGAACTAGAATTAGAACTGGAGCCTGAAAATGTAATCAAATTGTTCTACCTTCATAATAAAATTTGAATGGATGAGGAGTTGCTTCTTATGATGAGCAAAGAAAATGGTTTCTTGAGATAGAATGTATACCTAGTGAAGATGCTAAGAACATTGTTGAAATGACAACAAGGAATTTAGAATATTACATCGACTTAGTTGTTAAAACAGCAGGAGGGTTTCAGAAGATGGATTCTAATTTTGAAAAAGGTTCTACTGTGGGTAAAAACACTATCAAACAGGGGTGCATGTTCTCAGGACCTCTTGAGATTAGCCTCAGGCAAAGAATATTTACTTTAAAATTTTTAAATGCTATCAAACACTATTGCATGTTACAGAGAAATCTTTCATGAAAGGAAGAGTCCATCAATGTAGAAAAATTCATTGTTATCTTACTTCAAGAAATTGCCACAGCCACCCCAACCAGCAATCACCATTCTGATCGGTCAGTAGCCAGCTACATCAAGGCAAGACCCTCCATCGGCAAAAAGATTGACTCGCTGAAGGCTCAGATAACCATTAGCATTTTTTAGCAATGATTTTTTTTTGAGACGGAGTTTTGCTTTTGTCACCCAGGCTGGAGTGCAGTGGCACGATCTTGGCTCACTACAACCTCTGCCTCCCTGGTTCAAGCAATTCTCCTGCCTCAGCCTCCCGAGTAGCTGGGATTACAGGTGCCTGCCACCACGCCCAGCTAATTTTTTTTGTATTTTTTAGTAGAGACGGGGTTTCTTCATGTTGGTCAGACTGGTCTCGAACTCCCAACCTCAGGTGATCCATCCGCCTCAGCCTCCCAAAGTGCTGGGATTACAGGCATGAGCCACCACACCCAGCCTAGCAATGAAGTATTTTTAAATTAAGGTACATGCAATATTTTCAGACATAATGCTATTATTGCACACTTAAAACACTACAGTATACTACTGTAAATATAACTTTTACATGCACTGGGAAACGAAAAATTTCACGTGACTCATTTTATTCCAATATTCATTTTATCACTGTGGTCTGGAACCTAACTCGCAATGGTCTGGAACCATACCCTTCAGGGTATGCCTATAATTATTTTAGAACCCTCCATCTCAATAATCCCATTCCTGGAAAATATATCTGGACATGGAGGGCAACAGTCAAGTTAACCAGTAAGAAAGGTTTTGGTCAGTAGAAACAAAACATGTCAATTTTCAGGATAATGAAACTGGAAAAGCCTAAAAGAAACAAATAATGCTTTGAATCTATGCCAATATTACAGTATGATGCAAAGCTGCATATCTGCAATTTAGGTAACTATCATTACAGTACATCCAGGACCTAGAGATCTGGAACACCTCAAAGAAGTAAGTAAATAAAAACTCTGAATCCTAGGGACACAGTCGGAAAAGTCAATGTCCTTGGATTATAGCTTTAGAAAGTTACCTTTAAAATGAACTGAAATCAAATCTCATTGCAGTCCTGTGCCACACTCCTGCTAAGACATTCTTACTGGGTTCAGTTGGAATGTGTCTTTCCCCACCCCTTCTCCTCTTTAAACTTCTCTCTCAGTTTGAGACCTACAGTCCACAAATAACCAGTCTTTCCTGACCTATCAGACACATCCCAAATCTGTTTCTACCACATATTCTACAGCTTAGACAAATCCCCACCTTTCTTAGTATGGCTGATTGGCCTAGCTGGAAGCCAATTCTTATATCTGTGTAGCATTAATTATAAGAAACATAGAAGAGAGTCCTAGTCATTCCAAATTAATGCTGCGAGAAAGATCTCTACTGACAAATAACACAAGCTTCAAAGAAGTGACAATATTTTCATACGTATTTTCCTTGATACTCACTTGGGAGGGCATAAGACTTCTTCAAGAAATTCCTCAATCTTATTTACATCCGTTTTGACTTCACTGTTGAAAGTTATAAATGGTGGGTGGGTCCCGGGAGCCAAGTTCTGCAGGTCTGCTGGCTTCCTGTTGGGCAAAATATTGGTCAAAATCAGATCATTTTTTACTCTTAAACAACAATAATACTTTAAATTCTCAAAGTTGGCCAGGCACGGTGGCTTGCGTCTGTAGTCGTAGCACTACAGGAGGCTGAGGTGGGACACTGCTTAGCCCAGGAGTTTGAGACCCAGCCTGGGCAACATGGTAAGATCCTGTCTCCACAAAACATAAAAAATTAGCCAGGCATGGTGGTGCGTGTCTATAGTACCAGCTACCAGGGAGGCTGAGGTGGAAGGATCACTTGAGCCTGGGAAGTTGAGGCTGGAGTGAGCCATGATCGCACCACTGCACTCCAGCCTGGGCGACAGAGAGACCCTGTCTCAAAAAGAAAATAAATAAATTGTCCGGGCATGGTGGCTCAT
Source organism: Homo sapiens (assembly GCF_000001405.40). Taxonomy (NCBI): domain Eukaryota; kingdom Metazoa; phylum Chordata; class Mammalia; order Primates; family Hominidae; genus Homo; species Homo sapiens. The sequence continues at coordinate 24,813,698 of NC_000001.11, read as the reverse complement.
GTCTGTAATCCCAGCCCTTTGGGAGGCCGAGGCGGGTGGATCACCTGAGGTCAGGAGTTTGAGACCAGCTTGGCCAGCATGGTGAAACCCCATCTCTGCTAAAAATATAAAAATTAGCTGGGCATGGTGGTGCGCACCTGTAGTTCCAGCTACTTGGGAGGCTGAGGAAGGAGGATCACTTGAACCCGGGAGGCGGAGGTTGCAGTGAGCTGAGAATGTACCACTGCACTCCAGCCTAGGTGACAGAGTAAAACCCTGTCAGAAAAGAAAAAGAAAAAGAGAAAAAGAAAAAGAAAAGAGATCAAAGTGGTTCTAAAATTTAAAGTATATAAAACTGAATAAGAAATGGTATTTTTCAGCCGGGCACGGTGGCTCACGGCTGTAATCCCAGCACTTTGGGAGGCCAAGGCAGGAGGATCACGAGGTCAGAAGTTTGAGACCAGCCTGACCAACATGGTGAAACCCCATCTCTACTAAAAATACAAAAGTTAATTGGGCGTGGTGGCATGTGCCTGTAATCCCAGCTACTCAGGAGGCTGAGGCAGGAGAATCGCTTGAATCCCGGAAGCAGAGGCTGCAGTCAGCAGAGATCTCACCACAGCACTCCAGCCTGGGCGACAGAGCAAGACTCCATCTTAAAAAAAAAAAAAAAGAAAGAAAGAAAGAAAGAAAGGTATTTTTCAACCAGGTGTGGTGGCTCACGCCTCTAATCCCAGCATTTTGGGAGGCCAAGGTGGGCAGATCATGAGGTCAAGAGATTGAGACCCTCCTGGCCAACATGGTGAAACTCCGTCTCTGCTAAAAATATAAAAATTAGCTGGGCATGGTGGCATGCACCTGTAGTTCCAGCTACTTGGGAGGCTGAGGAAGGAGAACCACTTGAACCCGGGAGGCGGAGGTTACAGTGAGCCAAGATCGCACCACTGCACTCCAGCCTGGTGACAGAGCAATACTCTGTCTCAAAAAAAAGAAAGAAATAGTACTTTTCCACTAGATATAATAGCTGTAATAGTATTCTAATAAGAAGCAAGCCTCCACAAAATACATAATTTATGGTAAGAAAATGCTTTGATTTTTTTTTTAACCAAAATACAAAATCCATCATTCTCATTCCAAATTAACTAAGTCACTCATTAGAGATAGTGATAGAATGAGGAGGGAAAAAAGATTTTGGAGAGTTAGTGTCTGGTTTCAACTCTGGCCCCAACTAATTGTGTAAAGATGGGTAAGTCATGACTTCCCTAGGCCTTTTTTTTTCTTTTTGGCAAAATAAAAGAGAAAAGCAGCTGAATCCTGCAGTCATCTTCAACTTCAAAAGATTCCAAATTCTGGTGCTATTTCTTTCCCATTATTCTAGAAGTCCAGGCTTGACAAGGAAAAGGATCACCAGATTAGACTATCTAATATCAAAATTACTTCAATACATAAAAGATGGCATAATGAAGGGTAAAAAGCAACAAAGAATGGACAAAGTACTGAGTGAGAAAAGCTTAAAATCTACATTACCTAAGGATTTTGTCCAAATTCATTCCAAAGGTCATCAAAAAAATCAAATAGGTATGGGTCAAAAGAAATTGATGAGAGACAGATAAAACAAGTGAACACACAGAAAAATGTAAAATAGCACAACTATAAAGGGAATTTAAAAGTAAACAATAAGATGTCTTCCTCCTGTTGATTAGGAAAAATTGAAAACACCACAAAACACTGATAAAGATGGTGAAACTGTTATGCTGACAACTACTAACAGCAAGAAGTGTTTGTACTATCTTGTTAAAAAAGCAAAATGGCTCACCCAAACCCACCAATGAATTTTAGGATCAAAAAATGAGATGACCAGATATGGTGTGTTTCCTATGGCACCATGAAGTATTCTTACCAAAGAAGTTGACCCTGAATCTAATCAAGCCTCTGGGGCAGGCTGGGTGCAGTGGCTCATACCTGTAACATTAGCACTTTGAGAGGCCAAGGCAGGAGGATTGCTTGAGTCCAGGAGTTCAAGCGAGACCAGCCTGGGCAACATAGTGAGATCCCATCTCTATAAAAAAATTTTTTTTAATTAGCTGGGTGTGGTGGCATGTGCCTGTAGTCCCAGCTACTTGGGAGGCTGAGATGGGAGGATTGGTTGAGCCCAGGCGGTCGAGGCTGCAGTGAACAGTGATCATATCACTGCACTTCAGCCTGGGCAACAGAGTGAGACCCTGTCTCAAAACAACAACAACAACAAACCAAAACAAAGCAGCCTCTGGGGCAGCTGTTTCTCAAATTGTAAGCCAGGAGACCCTTTCACCAGGTGATCCATTAGGTCAGAACTATTCTTATAATACTAAGGCATCATTTGCCTTTTTCACTCTCATTCTCCTCTCGTGCACATATAGTAAAATTTTCCAAATTTACTTGGCTACTTGGTACAAGATATCACAAGGTAATGAATGCAGAAGCAGACACGAGAAACCTCTTCTAAGATGTGCAAAAATGTAAAAGAATGCCACTCTTCTCACTATTTTTTGTTTTGGGAAATATAGTTGTTTTACATTAAAAATGTTTTATGGTAATAAGTAGTGGGTTCATTATTGTTCTATATTTAATGAATTAGTAAATGATTTTTTTTTTTTTTCCTGAGACAGAGTCTCACTCTGTCGCCCAGGCTGAAGTGCAGTGGTGCGATCTCGGCTCACTACAAGCTCCATCTCCCAAGTTCACGCCATTCTCCTGCCTCAGCCTCCCAAGTAGCTGGGACTACAGGCGCACACCAAGCCCAGCTAATTTTTGATGTATTTTTTAGTAGAGACAGGGTTTCACCATGTTAGTCAGGATGGTCTCCTGACCTCATGATCCGCCCACCTCGGCCTCCCAAAGTGCTGGGATTACAGGTGTGAGCCACCGTACCCGGCCATAAATAAACATTTTTAAAATTTCTCAGGATTTTTTTTTTTTGAGACCAGTCACCAAAGCAGGAGTGCAGTGTCACAATCATGGTTCCCTGCAGCCTTGATTTCCTAGGCTCAAGCAATTCTCCTACCTCAGCCTCCCAAGCAGCTGGGACCAGAGGCACACTCCATCAAGCCCAGCTAATTTTTAAAAAATTTTTTGTAGAGATGAGGATCTCACCATATTGCCTAGGCTAATTTCTCAACTTTAATTTCTAATATAGTAAAATAGGTAGATATAACCCACATAACTGAAAGCTGTTTGAGGCCTTCAATAATTTAAGAGTACAAAGGGGTCCTGAGATTATTTACAGGAAATGCAGGGAGGGGGAAAATGAGAGGACAAAGTTAAATGCTACCACAAGGAAGCAACTGCTAAATTCTGGATTTGGGACAATCTACCTTTCAGCTGAATGGTATTTTTACCAGACACAGGTGGGGGACTGTTATAGATTAAGAAAAACTTAAGAGATATAACAATCAAACATAAAAAGTAGAAATTACTTGGATACTGATTTGAACAAACCAACCAAAAATAAAAAGATATTTTAGAGATAACCAGGGAAATCCCAAATTGTATACTAGGAACTTCAGGAGATCAGAGCATTGTGGTTAGGGAAGAAAATGTCCACATTGTTTGAAGACATACACTGAATTAAGTAGGGATGAAACGACATGATGTCTAGCATTTACTTTAAAACATTTCAGCAAAGAAAATCAGAAAAAAGGGGCAAAGCAAATGTGGCAAGATCTTGATAACTGAATTGGGTTTACGGAGAAGTTTATTCTATTCTTATGCATGTTTGAAAACTTTCATAATTATAAAAGCAAACATAAAAATGTGTACTTCAAGAAAAGTAATACAACAACATATAGTTTCAAAGAATGTTTCTGCCTCCTATTATAGCCCAGAGCTGTTTATCTTGTTATTAAGTTAGCCTGCCTGCCTTCCTTCTTCCTTCCTTCCTGACCATAAATGCACAGAATTTGAATAAAATAAAGAATATTGGCTGGGCATGGTGGCTCATGCTTGTAATCCCAGCACTTTGTGAGGCCGAAGCGGGTGGATCACCTGAGGTCAGGAGTTTGAGACCAACCTGGGCAACATGATGAAACCCCATCTCTACTAAAAATATAAAAATTAGCTGGGTGTAGTAGTGCATGCCTATAGTCCCAGCTACTCGGGAGGCTGAGGCAGAATTGCTGGAAGGCGGAGGTTACAGTGAGCTGAGATTGCACCACTGCACTTCAGCCTGGGCGACAGAGTGAGACTCTGTCTCCAAAAATAGTATTTTTAAATATATCATGAAAGTGAAATACTTCGTCATCAGAATTTTCAAGATAGAGGGGAATCAAAAATCTATAACCAGTTTATAATCTATCAATTTCCCTTGGTCTTATTCATATTCTCTCTCTGGCTCCATCTTTCAATTTAGGTTAGAAAGCCTCAGGTTTCTATGACTACATTCCAACCAAAGAAACAAAGATTTATTTAATTATCTCATTAATTTAAAATTTTTAACTCAAAGTCCAAGTTCTAGAGCCTATCTTGCTTCCTAAACAAAGAAAAATAAGACATATTTCCTATCAACTTCTGTAAGAACCTAACCTCCAAAAGAGGACTTTTAAAAGTCAAAACCTGATTTGATTTTCAACTCTGATGCTTTCACTGAACATTCTTTAGTCTGACAAGCTCAAGTTTTTCACAAAATGAAATAAGTCAGCCCTCCTTATTCATGGGTTCAGCATCTGTGGATTCAACCAACTGAGGATCAAAAATATTTTTTAAAAGGCCATGTGCAGTGGCTCACGTCTGTAATCCCAACACTTTGGGAGGCCGAGGCATGCAGATCACTTGAGGTCGGGAGTTTGAGACCAGCCTGGCCGACATTGTGAAACCCTGTCTCTACTAAAAATAAAAAAAATTAGTCAGGCGTGGTGGTGGGTGCCTGTAGTCCTAGCTACTTGGGAGGCTAAGGCAGGAGAATCGCTTGAACCCGAGAGGCGGAGGTTGCAGTGAGCCGAGATCGCGCCACTGCACTCCAGCCTGGGTGACAGAGTGAGACTCCATCTCAAAAAAAAAAAAAAAATTTTATAGATAGATAGATAGATCTCCCATCTCTACAAAAAATACAAAAATTAGCCAGGCGTGTTGCACATACTACTTGGAAGGCTGAGGCGAGCCATGATCACACACTGTACTCCAGCCTGGGCGACAGAATGAGACCCTGTCTCAAAAAAAAGGGCGGCAGGGCGGGGGCGGGGGCGGTTGCAGTTGTACTGAACATGTACAGACTTTTTCTTGTCATTATTCCCTAAACACAGTGTAATGACAACTTACATAGCATTTACACTGTATTAGGTATTATAACCTAGAGATGATTTAAAGTATATGGGAGGCTATTTGTAGGTTAATATGCAAATACTATTCCATTTTATATAAGAAACTTGAGCATCTGTGGATTTTGGTATCCACCAGGGGTCCTTGAACCAATCCCCCATGGATACCAAGAGATGACTGTAGACCGGGCACAGTGGCTCATGTCTATAATCTCAGCACCTTGGCAGGCCAAGGCGGGCGGATCAGCTGAGGTCAGGAGTTCCAGCCCAGCCTGGCCAACATGGCGAAACACCATCTCTACTAAAAATACAAAATTAGCCAGGCATAGTGGCGCACGCCTGTAATCCCAGTTAGGAGGCTGAGGAAGGAGAATTGCTTGAATCCGGGAGGTGAAGGTTGCAGTGAGCTGAGATTGTGCCATTGCATTCCAGCCTGGGCAACAAGAGCAAAATTCCATCTCAAAAAAAAAAAAAAGGAATGTTTTTTAATCTTGTCATATATAAATTGTGATTACCTGGAAAACAATTTTCTCACTCCAAATTCATAAAACATATCCATTAACATTTTTATAATGAACAGTCAATTAAATGCCTAACTGTAAGTTAATAATATAAGTCTGTTTTTCACAAACAGTTTTTTTTAAGAACACGGTAGATTAGATAAAGGGGAAGAAGGTCTTGTTAGATATGAGTTCTAAATTTCTTTTCAAATAATCAATATGTCAGTATGTTCAATTCCTCACCTTCTGCTTTTAAATTTAACTTCCTCATAAAGTGACCATTTTCGATTACCTGCTCCACCCTGACTCATTCCAATTACCTGCTCTGTCATAACCATTTTTCTGGCCAAACCACTCACCCGGTGACTCTCTTTAAATTAGCCAATCAGAATTACTTTAGTCTGTGCGGTCTAACCCTAGCCAATAGGGGAAAGACACAGCAGCAGGGGCCACGTGAGTCAGGGATAAAAACCCCTTCCCCTACCTTATCCAAGTGTGTGCTCACCATTGCTCCATGTGTAAGAGCGCACCCTTCTATAGAAGTAACTTGCCTTGCTGAGAATTAAAAAGAAAATTTTATATTCAAGTGTTATTTCTTTTGCAGCACCAAAAATTTATTTGTAACAGTCTCAATGCTTTAAAAAAAAAAAACAAACCCAAAGGGGTAGGTCGGGTAGGGCATGTGGGACAAAATAAATAACACCTATTACTTCTATAATTAATTATGAAAGTTTTTAAGCTCTCTAAACAGAAAGATTCTTAATTTTTTAAATTTTTATTCAATTTTCTTTTTTTTTAGAGATGGGGGTCTCTCTCTCTTGCTATGTTGCCCAGGCTGTCCTCAAACTCCTGGTCTCAAATGATCCTCAGCTGCAAGTAGCTGGGACTAGAGAGCACGCCACTGCACCCGGCTCCCAAATAAAAATATTTATTGGGAGAGGGAGAAAACTAGCGTATCAGAGAAAAAAGAACCAAGGCTGAAGAAAAGGGACTGGCTTGAAGTCCCAAATGGAAAAGCTCTACCATTTACCAGCTACATGACTAAGTAAATTACAACCTCTTTGGGTCTGGATTTCCTCTTTATAAGATCTGCTTTGTCTGTAAAGATTAAATCAAATAAGGCACGTGAAAGTGAACTAAAAGTATGCAAATGAAAGCCATTACCACTTTTAGTATCATATTAACAAAGCATTATGCAGGAAATCAGATTGGCAGTTTTAACTTTAATAGAGCTGATGGTTCATAAATGGTTACCTAGCATTAACTGATTGGTAATAAACAAAATCTGATTAATTTAGAGTCATATATACAACCAAGGAAAGTTTAAAGGACATATGATTACCAATTTTCCATTAATATTTGTGATTAGTGAATAGTCTATCTTGTTTTGGTTGAAAGGCTATATATATATTTTTTTAAATAAATAAAGCGATAAAACTGTTTCCAAGGATTAACTGTTGAGATGACAGACAACCATGGCAGGTCCTGATTCCAAATGAAGAATCTGAGAAGAAACTTTAGTGCCTTCAAACGTATTAGTAGACTTCAAATAAATGGACAAGTTCTAAACAGTAATCTGATTCACTCACAAGCTATGTATCAACAAAACAGAATCTAAGATTCTTCAACTTGCAGTTCTCACCTGCCCTCTCAGGCCTCAGGTGTTCTGTTTGACCCACAAAGGCTCATTTTACAGATGTTTCACAGAAATGTAACACTGTAAGAATTGCAGTTTGAGATAAATGAAACTGAGCCAATAGGCAATGGCAAAAAATTTCAAGACATCTTTGGTTTACTTCCAAAAAGGCCTTCAGTAAATACTCAACACTTGATTAAAACTCATTCAAATATTTCCCTTACGTGACATCAAGAGCAAAGTGCACAGAACTCATGCCTTGCAACAGGGTGCAAATATTCTCCAGTGTTTTGGGGTGTATTATTTTTACCCTCATGTATCATGGTAGTCTTTCAGATGAAATAAATTATTCTGTTGTTTCCCATTTTTTTTCTAGATGAAGAAAAGGAAATAAAAACAAAAACCAAAAGGAAAAGAAACGAATGAAAAGGAGGAATCCTATAGGAGCTAATATTTTAAGAGACTTGAGTGGCTTAATTTCTATTAAAATGTAGTTCAGTACAATTGCAACAATTGGAGGAAGCTGGGCTGGTGACTCAGTTCCAGCTGCTTGGTATGAAATGAGTGCAGCATAGCTAGAGAACACCGGAGCTGGCTCTTGAAGATGACCCATCTGTAACAAGTTGACTTGCCCAACGAAGAAAAAAGTACTAGGTATGTAGGCCTTATCTTTTAAATGGAGCTCCTTTTTTCTCCAGAAAGAGAACAATAACAAAAAAAAATCGAGTTCCTTTTTGAAGGTGCTGATTTTCAGGGCATAAAATTAATTCACACATATCAAAGACACTACTGGACACTATATAAACATATAACAACAACAACAAAAAACCTCACAAAAGTTAACACCAGAGAACCAGAATTATTTGTTTCAGAACGCTTTACTACTATTAATTATTCTTTACTAGATTTGCTATATTCTGGTTTGACTGATAGTCAAGTCACTAATTGAACAAATTAATCATGGACTCAACAAAACACACACACCAAGACCCCTTGTCACTAAGAATTTGTCTTTGTCCCAGTTCAACCAGTTAAAGAATTTTACTGATTTGGATTAAATATTGTTAATCTGTCTACTTTTAATGTCAATTTTATTGTCAATCTGTGGAGGAATACTTCAAAAAAAATAGTACCCATGAAAAGATTTCAAATATGGATTCCATAATTCGTTTGTCTTTGTTTTTGTGTTTTTTTTTTTTTTTTTTTGACATGGAGTCTCACTCTGTTGCCCAGGCTAGAGTGCAGTGGCGTGATTTGCCTCCACCTCCCGGATTCAAGCAATTCTCCTGCCTCAGCCTCCTGAGTAGCTGGGACTAAGGCACTCACCACCATGCCCGACTAATTTTTGTATTTTTAGTAGAGACAGGATTTCACCATGTTGGCCAGGGTGGTCTTGAACTCCTGACCTCAAGTGATCACCTGCCCCGGCCTCTCAAAGCGCTGGGATTACAAGAGTGAGCCACTTTGCCTGGCCCAAATATAGAGTCTATAATTTTTACCATCTTGATAACAGTTTAGGAGTAAAGTGTATACTGATAACAGGTTTAGAAAAACATTCACTAATAATTCTATTAATTCAGCTCTTAGCAGCCTCAACAGGATGTATCATCTTTGAAATCGTCTTAAAAAAGAACATAAAGACATAGCAACAAAATACTCCCTCTCTGTGTGTCTATATCTCCCTCCCCTCTCAATCACACACACACACACATCCCCACCCACCCACGTACACACATCCCCCCACCCACCCACATACACACATCCCCCCACCCACCCACATACACACACACCCTCAACCCACACACTCCAACCCACCTACACACACCCCACCACCCACCCACCCACACATACACACACACCCCCACCACCCACCTACCCACACACACCCCCTCCACCCACCCACCCACACACATGCACACACATACACACACCCCCCACACACACAGTGGGTACACATGTGATTCTGAATGCAGTCATAAAGCACAATTATCTTGAATTGGACTGTTCTAACAAGTGCTTCATGTAGCTCAAGTCAACTTTACAAAGGGGAAAAATGGAGTCTGACTTTCCTGTCTGGACAGCAGCAGGAAATAGATGATGTCTCTGAAAGACAGGCTTATCTCATTCCATTTAGTCTCTTGGCATGTGTCATTCATGCTGCTGCTACTGAAGATCATGGAAGTTGAAATGATTTCTTAAGTTACTGAAGACTGTTTTCAGAAAGGTGGAACCACAGAGACATGATCATGAAGATAAAACTATCTGAAGAGTCTATTTGGGAATCAGATTTTTTTCTGAGTTTCTAACTGCCTTTTAAGATATGCAGAACTATCAGTTTCATAGTTCCATTGTAACATTTTAAACTATTACAAAAGTGAAGTTTTTTTCCCTTTTCTCCTGATTTTAAATATAAGGTAACTAACTCCAAGGAAGATGAGGCAGCTCGCCCCAGGTCCCAGTGAAATCAGTGATAGAGCTCTCTCCATACACAGCTAGGTCTCACTCCTGAAATTTTCTATACTATGCCATGGTTGTTTCCCAACTGATGACATGCCAGAACATCTTTAACTCTGCCCCAATTTTAGTATTTTCACTTATATTATCTGAAGCTTTTGTTCAAATCGTTGATGTAAATTGAAATTCTTTGTGAAGCCTGGGCCCTTTTTTTTCTATCTAAACGTTCTTTAAATTGCAATATGAACAGAAAATTAGATTTGGAAATGACTCCCACCAAAGCACGAAGGCTGCTCTGGCAGGCAAGTAATGGGAGATTGTTCACAGCCTCACAAGGGACACATGAATACTACCAGCATAGTCATTAATGCCAACTGAGATTCAAAGAGAACATGTCATACAGTGCCAGAACTAGAAATGGGCTTGTTCTTATGGATGAAATGTCATGTAACAATCATTTTTTTCAAATCATAGAGTGAGCTGCTAAGTAACTCTCAGAGGAGTTCTATTGTTCTCCACTGGTTTGTTCTGGAGTCAGTACTTCTCACCAAGATATTAGGCAATTACCAGGAAAAGCAGGAAAATAAGCACTGTAGGCATATTTTCTCCCCCAAGATTTCTAAAAAGAGTCACATTTAATGTTTTAAGATTAAGAATATATTATGAAAAGTACTACAGGGATGTTTTATTCCTCTGTGATAACTTTCATATATACTGGTGGGTTGTTTGTTTTTGTTTTTTGAACCAATGCTCACTTTCTTGAGGTACTTTCTCTTTAAAATTTTGTTCAAGACTGCAAGTGTGTAAACTCATAGAAAAGATTTGGACGAGGCCAGGCACAGTGGCTAAAGTCTGTAATCCCAGCACTTTGGGAGACCAAGGCCAGAGGACTGCTTGAGCCCAGGAGTTCAAGACCAGCCTGGGCAACACAGGGAGACCCTGTCTCTTAAAAATAAAAAATTAGCCAGGTATGGCAGTAAATGCCTGTAGTCCTAGCTACTTGGGAGGCTGAGGCTGGAGGATTACTTGAGCCCAGGAGCTCAAGGCTACAGAGTAAGCTGTGATCGTGCCACTGCACTCCAGCCTCGGTGACAGAGGCAGACCGTGTCTCAAAAAAAAAAAAAAAAGAAAAAGAAAAAAGGAAAAGATTTGGAAGAATAAAGACCAAACCTAAAATAAATTATCTCTCTGAAGGGGAAGTTGATGACTAGGGGGTAGGGATGGTACAGACTCATTATCACGTACTACTTGCTTAGTTTTAGTTGCCCTAAGAAGCATTTTTTATATTTACTGGAGACCTATGATTGTTAAAGACCAAAAAATATAAGCTTCAATTTTAAGTGCTCTCTACCATTGATTTTACATAAAGCCCTAGGTAATAAACATATATCTTCTTTGATATTTTCTAATTATAAGGCCCTGAATGCCTACCTCCCATGCGCCACTTTTTATATATATAAACACTTAACATATACACTTACACATATTTCCACATACACACTTTAACATATATATACAAATCTGCAAATATCAATCAACCTATAGGAATAATGCCTTTAAAAAATCTGCAAATGAAAAGAAACAGACAACTCTGAAATAGCTATAATGGGTTTACTTCCTTTTCTGACCCAGATTCCCATGTTTATGGCACTATTACTGGTATGTATCACAATTAAAGCACTGTATTAAACTATTCAATGACAGCTTTTTCAAAGAATGGCAGTCAACTCACTTGCTCCAAGCCAAAAATGGAATAGGAGAAATTCATGTATTTTAGGACACAGTAAGGGTGTGTGCCTGGTGGCACACTCTATTTTTAGGAGTTATATTGGGAAACTTGCTTTGTGTACACATGTATAAAAAAAAAACAGTAATAGAAGGGTAACTACATGACTTATTTCATTCTTACATCTCTGCCCAACATGAATAAGGTAATGTCTTCCCAAGAGCTTGTAGTTTTAACTCACTATTCCCAAAGGCTTATTTCTACATTTATATACATAACTAAAGGGGTTCCTTGATGACTTTATGGCTTATGTTCAATAAATTTTAAAGTCTGTAAAATTTCAAATATATGCACTAGCAGTAAGTAAAAATGTATTTTAAGGGAATGACAGAAATCTGAGTACACTAACCTAGAACTTGGAATGGAATTATAGCTCTCAGGTAACTATCAGCATGTGATGCTCAGAGGGATAACATAGATTAATTCTGCCACTTTATCAAGTGATAGGCTGTCAATATCTTTTCCTGGACACTGTTCATGACTTGATATATAATATGGTTTAAATTTCTGTCCTTGCCCAAATCTCATATCAAATTGTAATTTTCAATGGTGGAAGAGGGGCCTTGTGGGAGGTGACTGGATCACAAGGGCAGACTTCCCTTGCTGTTCCTGTGACAGAGAGTGAGTTCTCACAAGATCTGGTTGTTTAAAAATATGTAACACCTCCCCCTTCTCTCTTCTTCCTTCTCCGGCCATGAAAGACATGTCTGCTTCCCCTTTGACTTCTATCATACTTGTAAGTCTCCTGAGGCCTCCCCAGACAAGTTTCCTGTACAACCTGCAGAACTGCCAGTCAATTAAACCTCTTTTCTTTATGAATTACCCAGTCTCAGGTAGTTCTTTATAGCAATGTGAGAACAGACTAATAGTTTTAAAAATCAGTATAATAGCAAATCATGTTGTGACACTTGCATCAAGAGGAATCCACTGCCAAACCCTAGTTTTTCCCATTAATACAACTATTCTTTTTTTTTTTTTTAATTTATTTTTTTATTGATAATTCTTGGGTGTTTCTCACAGAGGGGGATTTGGCAGGGTCATGGGACAATAGTGGAGGGAAGGTCAGCAGATAAACAAGTGAACAAAGGTCTCTGGTTTTCCTAGGCAGAGGACCCTGCGGCCTTCCGCAGTGTTTGTCCCTGATTACTTGAGATTAGGGAGTGGTGATGACTCTTAACGAGCATGCTGCCTTCAAGCATCTGTTTAGCAAAGCACATCTTGCACCACCCTTAATCCATTTAACCCTGAGTGGACACAGCACACGTTTCAGAGAGCACAGGGTTGGGGGTAAGGTCACAGACCAACAAGATCCCAAGGCAGAAGAATTTTTCTTAGTGCAGAACAAAATGAAAAGTCTCCCATGTCTACTTCTTTCTACACAGACACGGCAACCATCCGATTTCTCAATCTTCTCCCCACCTTTCCCGCCTTTCTATTCCACAAAGCCGCCATTGTCATCCTGGCCCATTCTCAATGAACTGTTGGGCACACCTCCCAGACGGGGTGGTGGCCAGGCAGAGGGGCTCCTCACTTCCCAGTAGGGGCGGCCGGGCAGAGGCGCCCCTCACCTCCCGGACGGGGCGGCTGGCCGGGCAGGGGGCTGACCCCTCCACCTCCCTCCCAGACGGGGCAGCTGGCCAGGCTGGGGGCTGACCCCCCCACCTCCCTCCCGGACGGGGCGGCTGGCCGGGTGGGGGGCTGACCCCCCCACCTCCCTCCCGGACGGGGCGGCTGGCCGGGCAGAGGGGCTCCTCACTTCCCAGTAGGGGCGGCCGGGCAGAGGCGCCCCTCACCTCCCAGACGGGGCGGCTGGCCAGGTGGGGGGGCTGACCCCCCCCCCCGGACGGGGTGGCTGGCCGGGCGGGGGGCTGACCCCCCCCACCTCCCTCCCGGACGGGGCGGCTGGCCGGGCAGAGGGGCTCCTCACTTCCCAGTAGGGGCGGCCGGGCAGAGGCGCCCCTCACCTCCCAGACGGGGCAGCTGGCCGGGCAGGGGGCTGACCCCCCCACCTCCCTCCCGGACGGGGCGGCTGGCCGGGCAGAGGGGCTCCTCACTTCCCAGTAGGGGCGGCCGGGCAGAGGCGCCCCTCACCTCCCAGACGGGGCGGCTGGCCAGGTGGGGGGGCTGACCCCCCCCCCCGGACGGGGTGGCTGGCCGGGCGGGGGGCTGACCCCCCCCACCTCCCTCCCGGACGGGGCGGCTGGCCGGGCAGAGGGGCTCCTCACTTCCCAGTAGGGGCGGCCGGGCAGAGGCGCCCCTCACCTCCCAGACGGGGCAGCTGGCCGGGCAGGGGGCTGACCCCCCCACCTCCCTCCCGGACGGGGCGGCTGGCCGGGCGGGGGGCTGACCCCCCCACCTCCCTCCCGGACGGGGCGGCTGGCCGGGCGGGGGGGCTGACCCCCCCCACCTCCCTCCCCGACGGGGCGGCTGGCCGGGCGGGGGGCTGACCCCCCCACCTCCCTCCCCGACGGGGCGGCTGGCCGGGCGGAGACGCTCCTCACTTCCCAGATGGGGGGGCTGCCGGGCGGAGACGCTCCTCACTTCCCAGATGGGGTGGCTGCCGGGTGGAGAGGCTCCTCACTTCTCAGACGGGGCAGCTGCCGGGCGGAGGGGCTTCCTCACTTCTCAGACGGGGTGGTTGCCAGGCAGAGGGTCTCCTCACTTCTCAGACGGGGCGGCCGGACAGAGACGCTCCTCACCTCCCAGACGGGGTTGCGGCCGGGCAGAGGCGCTCCTCACATCCCAGATGGGGAGGCGGGGCAGAGGCGCTCCCCACATCTCAGACGATGGGCGGCCGGGCAGAGACGCTCCTCACTTCCTAGATGTGATGGCAGCCGGGAAGAGGCGCCGCTCCTCACTTCCTAGATGGGATGGCGGCCAGGCGGAGACGCTCCTCACTTTCCAGACTAGGCAGCCAGGCAGAGGGGCTCCTCACATCCCAGACGATGCGCGGCCAGGCAGAGACACTCCTCACTTCCCAGATGGGGTGGCGGCCGGGCAGAGGCTGCAATCTCGGCACTTTGGGAGGCCAAGGCAGACGGCTGGGAGGTGGAGGTTGCAGCGAGCCGAGATCACGCCACTGCACTCCAGCCTGGGCACCATTGAGCACTGAGTGAACCAGACTCCGTCTGCAATCCCGGCACCTCGGGAGGCCGAGGCTGGCGGATCACTCGCGGTTAGGGGCTGGAGACCTGCCCGGCCAACACAGCGAAACCCCGTCTCCACCAAAACCAGTCAGGCGTGGCGGCGCGTGCCTGCAATCGCAGGCACTCGGCAGGCTGAGGCAGGAGAATCAGGCAGGGAGGTTGCAGTGAGCCGAGATGGCGGCAGTACAGTCCAGCTTCGGCTCCGCATGAGAGGGAGACCGTGGAAAGAGAGGGAGACCGTGGAAAGAGAGGGACACCGTGGGGAGAGGGAGAGGAAGAGCAATACAACTATTCTTAACCCTTGATTTAAATCTTTTGGGGAAGGGGATGTATGAATGTTCTTCACCTCAGACCTGTTTGCTAAAGGTGAATAGACATTCCTGAATAAAACAGAGCTTTCTACTCATCACGGCTCTTCTCAGCCCTCTCCACTATGGAAAATAAGCCATAAAGTCATCCAGGAGAGAAACCTACAAACAACTCTTCACTTAGCAAGAACAGACACCGGGCCACAGATAATTGCTCTTATTTTACAATACATTTAAACAAATATGATTAAAATACTTGCATTATAGCTAAAATGCTATAGAAAATTACTGTTATTCTCTGAAAAATAAATTAAATGAAATTGACAACAACGGTATTCAACCTCCTAAAAATCCTTGTCTTTGAAGATCCAGATTATAAAGATCACATGCTTAACACATTTGGGGCCAAGATGATGTCTGCTTAGAAAGCTCTTCATGACTCCATGTTTACACTGGAAAAAAGAAGTCAAGGATTTCACTGCATCCACACTAACACTTAGCTCCTAGTGCTACTCATGAAATTTAAGGTAAACATACAAAAGTTCCTAAAAAAGACTGAGTAGCCACGCAGTATACTGACAGCGTGACTTGTCCAAAATAGTTATATACAAGTTGTTTGTCCATAAACCAGCAGAACTTTAATACAATATATTTCCTTTAGAGAATATGTGCCATCAAGGTGAAAATAGGATCAAACTGAAAAGATAGTTCAGCTTAAGTTGATTGCAAACTGCGACCATGTCTTACCTTTTCAGGTCAACAGTCGTCACACTAAATACAACTCCTTTGAGCCAAAGAATCATGAAGAGCCTCTGGGAAAAGGGGCAGTTTCCTATGCTTTCACCATCACTGCCAGCCTGGAAAACAGAATTAAACATTAAAAACAAGGTCAAAGTGATGATACTCAACATGACATAACTTTTTCTGAATTTTAATCAAGAGTACAAGAAGCCAGGAAAAGTTACATTGTGGAAGGAAGAGTAGAAATTTGGGTCTTTATTATTTTGTTCTTTCATTAGCCTTTTTTTTTTTTTTTCTTTTTTTGAGACAGGGTCTCCTTCTGTCACCCAGGCTGGAGTGCAGTGGTGCGATCTCAGCTCACTGCAACCTTCACCTCCCATCTTAGCCTCCCAAGCAGCTGGAGCTACAGGCACGTACCACCATCCCGGCTAATTTTTAATAGTTTTAGTAGAGACAGGGTTTCACCATGTTATCCAGGTTGGTCTTGAACTCCTGGGCTCAAGTGATCCACCTGCCTCAGCCTCCTAAAGTGCTGGGATTACAGGCATGAGCCACTGCACCCAGCTAGCGCTAGCCTCTTTCTTTTCTTAAAAATGATCAGTCTAGGGCCAGGCGTGGTGGCACACACCTGTAATCCCAGCACTTTGGGAGGCTGAGGCAGGTGGATCACACGGTCAGGAGTTTGAGACCAGCCTGGCCAATATGGTGAAACCCCATCTCTACTAAAAATAAAAAAATTAGCCAGGTGTGGTGGTGGGTGCCTGTAGTCCCAGCTACTCAAAAGGCTGAGGCAGGAGAATCACTTGAACCCGGGACACAGAGGTTGCAGTGTGCTGAGATCGTGCCATGCACTCCAGCCTGGGCGACAGAGCGAGACTCTGTCTCAAAAAAAAAAAATAAATAAATAAATAAAATAAAAAATAAAAATGACCAGTCTAGTATAGCACTGCCCAAGAGAATTTAATGCATGATGGCGATGATCCATATTGCCAATGTCCAATATGGTAGCCACTAGCAATATGTGGCTAGGGAGTATGTAATGGGGCTAGTTCAAGTGAACTGAATTTTTTTGTTTCATTTATTTTAAATTACAGTCATGAATCACTTACTGACAGGGACACATTCTGAAAAAAATGTGCTGTTAGGCGATTCTAGCATTTTACAAGCATCACAGGGTATGCTGACACAAACCTAGATGAGATAGCCTACTACACACCTAGTCTACATGGTATAGCCTATTGCTCCTAGGCTACAAACCTGTACAGCATGTTACTGTACTGAATACTGTAGGCAAGTGGAATATAATGGTAAGTATCTGTACATCAAGACATATCTAAACATAGAAAAAGTAGAATAAAAATACGAATTATAAGCTGGGTGCAGTGGCTCACGCCTGTAATCCCAGCACTTTGGGAGGCCGAGGAGGGCAGATCACGAGGTCAGGAGTTTGAGACCAGCCTGGCCAACATGGTGAAACCCCACCTCTACTAAAATACAAAAAATTAGCTGGACGTGGTGGTACGCGCCTGCAGTCCCAGCTACTTGCGAGGCTGAGGCAGGAGAATCGCTTGAACCCGGGAGGCAGAGATTTTACTGAGCCGACATCGTGCCACTGCACTCCAGCCTAGCGAAGGAGCAAGACTCCATCTCAAAAAATAAAAATAAAAAATAAAAGCAAATTACAATCTTTTGAGACCCCTGGCATATGCAGCACATGACTACAATTTATAATTTAAAACATAAACAATATGTTTTCATAATTTAAATAGCCACATATGACTAATGGCTACTATGTTGGACAGAACAGTAATTCCTAGGGGGTACATAAACCCTTGCCTCAGGGCAAAGGCAAAGTCTGTTATGGGTTTTCTGAAATGTAAAAATCATTTTTCATTCTATCAGACAGTATTCTTCGTAAGGCAAAGTAAAAAGGGAAACTTGTAGGTGTACCCGCCTCCAAAAAAAATTCATTATAAACATCCCATATCCTGGCTGGGCGCAGTGGCTGACTCCTGTAATCCCAGCACTTTGGGAGGCCAAGGCGGGCAGATCACAAGGTCGGGAGTTTGAGACCAGCCTGACCAACATAGTGAAACTCCGTCTCTACGAAAAATACAAAAATTAGCCAGGCGTTGTGGCGCATGCCTATATCCCAGCTACCCGGGGGGCTGAGACAGGAGAATTGCTTGAACCCGGGAGGTGGAGGTTGCGGTGAGCCGAGATCGTGCCACTGCACTCCAGCCTGGGCGACAAAGTGAGACTCCATTTCAAAAATAAAAATAAATATCCTATATCCTGTTTTTTTTTTATTTTTTTTTTCAATTAGAGATAGGATCTTACTATGTTTCCCAGGCTGGTGTGCAGTGGTTACTCACAGGCACAATCACAGCATACTGCAGTTTCAAATTCGTGGACTTAAGAAATACTCCCGCCTCAGCCTCCCCAGTAGCTGAAACTACAGGCATGCACCACCATACCCGGCCCATATCCTGTTGTACACATTCCTTCAGAGAGCAAGAAAATAGCAAAAGATATATTTATAATAACCTATTTCTAATCCTACTTAATGAATGGCAATGATGAGGTAGATTTTCCTAAAATCAGAGTGGTACAAATCTTTTATAGTCCCATCATGTATGCCCCAAGGTGGTTGTTGCTATTGTTTTTAACTTTTATTTTAGGTTCAGGGGTATTATGTGCAGGTTTGTTATACAGGTAAACTCATGTCACAGGAGTTTGTTGTACAGATTATTTCATCACCCAGGTACAAAGCCTAGAGCCCAATAGTTATTTCTGATCCTCTCCCTCCTTCCATCCTCCACCCTCAAGTACAGCCCAGAAATAAGGCCACACACCTATAACCATCTGATTTTCGACAAAGCTGACAAAAACAAGCAACGTCAAAGACTCCATATTCAATCAATGGTGCTGGGATAACTGGCTAACCATATGCAGAAGATTAAAATTGGATTCCTTCCTTATACCATACACAAAAATCAACTCAAGATGGATTAAAGACTTAAATGTAAAACCCAAAACTATAAAAACCCTGGAAGACAACCTAGTCAGTGCCATTCTGGACATAGGAACTGGCAAAGATTTCATGACGAAGATGCCAAAAACAATTGCAACGAAAGTTGACAAACAGGATCTAATTAAACTTAAGAGTTTCCGCACAGCAGAAGAAACTATCAACAGAGTAAACAGACAACCTACAGAATGCAGGTTGAATGGGAGAAAATATTTGCAAAATATGCATCTGACAAAGGTCTAATATCCAGCATCCATAAGGAACTTAAACAAAATTACAAATATAAAACAACCCCATTAAAATGTGGGCAACCGACATGAAGACACTTTTCAAAAGAAGACATACATGTGGCCCAACAAGCATATGAAAAAAAGTTCAATATCACTGATCATTAGAGAAAAACAAATCAAAAGCACAGTGAGATACCATTTCACACCAGAATGGCTATTTTCAAAAAGTAAAAAAAAAAAAAAAACAGATGCTGGCAAAGTTGTAGAGAAAAGGGAACACTATACGCTGCTGGTGGGAGTGTAAATTAGTTAAACTATTGTGGAAAGCAGTGTGGCAATTCCTCAAAGAGCTAAAAACAGAACTACCATTCGACTCAGCAATCCCATTACTGGGTATATACCCAAAGGAATATAAATCATTCTACCATAAAGACACATGCATATGTATGTTCACTGCAGCACTATTCATGATAGCAAAGACATGGAATCAGCCCCAAGTTTAAAAAGGAAAGATGGACTGAAGGAAAAGGAGAGATGGGAAGGAAAGAGAGCTGGAATGCTGGAAGAGAACGTTCTGACATTGCTAGAGATCAACACAGCCTGTTGACTATGACGTCCATGGAAAGTGCCAGAAATAACTCTCCAATAAGTCATTCAAAGATGCTGGTAAAAGTACTGTTCATTATCCTAAAGTAACTCTCAAAAAATTCAGAAGCATTTCAGTAAAATGCCACATCAGTAAAAAGTCATTAATTCCTAAACTAATGGAGAGGTAAAGGGAGTTTAAAAAACAAAAACAAAAAAAGTGGG
Organism: Homo sapiens; assembly: GCF_000001405.40. Lineage (NCBI taxonomy): Eukaryota > Metazoa > Chordata > Mammalia > Primates > Hominidae > Homo > Homo sapiens. The sequence continues at coordinate 24,793,786 of NC_000001.11, read as the reverse complement.
CTTATAGTGAAGATTCTAGAACCCTAATCAGACAGCATGGAACAGTTACAACAGAGCTTGGTTTAAGAAAAAAAAAAAATCCGATCATTCTTTATCAGTAACAAAATATACACAGAATTTGAGGGCAGAATGAATCATATTAATTCCTAATACTACATATAACTTGTACAAAAATGTACTTCCTAAAAAAGGCCTAGTTCTTAAATTTTACTGTGATTACAAATAACCTAAGGAAAACATTTAAAATGAAGACCCCAGGGCCTCATATCTAGAGATTCTGATTCAGCAGAACTCCCGGGTTGGGGCCCAGGAATCCTTATTTTGTTATAGGCACTCAAGGAGATTCTGAAGTAAGGCACCTGCCTGCTGGATACATTAAGAAACACTGGTGTGGGAAGGTTAGGATGATATTTGATTCTCAGAACCCAAGTCAATTTACAGCACTAACTCATCCTACTATATAACAAACTGGTGCCCAAAGTTGCCTTTTTGAAGATACTGACCATTAATAGCATGGAACACTGATAACACACAAGTGGATTTACTACAGACAAGAAAATGTTAATACACTACCTTTCCAATTAGCCTGATAATCCAAATTTGAGATTTACTGAAAAAAAAAAAAAAACAACAGTAATTTGGTACACAAAGAACTAGTCTGACTCAAGGCCTTTATCCTCCTCCACTTAATCTATAAAATTAACTAAAATTTCCCAAGCTGCCTGTCAAAGCAGTGTTAAAATCATTAAGTTGGTAAACGAGACATAATAAAGATATTACATGTAGGAACTTAGAAACACGTTAAACTAAAAGCAGGCTAAAGATGAATGGGGACTGGCTACAGATCAGTCACCATACATAATCTCCTACAGTGGTCTGCAGAGCCAGTCCTTGAGCATGGGCAAAAGAATCTCAGAATACGGAACAGTTCATGAAGACCTGGTCAGGACAGAAATGCCTCTTTCCTTTCACAGGTGACTGCCTCCTTTCTCTAAAATTTTCTAGCAAATTTTCTCAATTTACTTTTGTTTCAGGTATATCAGAAGCTCGTTACACATCTCATACGCCTAATAAGCACTTTCCTTCATGCACACATAAATAAAAGGATGCATATTCTTCAAGACGGACCTGAAAAAAGTCCCTTTTTTACTAACCACTAATGACAAGTCAAATAAGAAAAGTCATCGTCACCATGAACAACTTTTTCCAAAGTCTTAATAGCATCAGAAAATTGGGAGCTACTAGTCAGATGAAATATTTATTTTTATTTTTGAAAATTTTTAAAGTATAGAAAAGGCCACGCACAATAGTTCATGCCCGTAATCCCAACACTTTGGAAGTCCAAAGCAGGAGCATCACTTGACACCAGGAGTTTGAGATCAGCCTGGGCAACCGAGCAATACCCCATCTCTACTAAAAAAATTAGAAAATTAGCCAGTGTGGTGGCACTCTCCTATAGTCCCAGTTATTCAGGAGACTGAGGTAGGAGGATCACTGGAGCCCAGGAGTTCAAGACTGCAGCGAGCCATGATTATAGCACTACATTCCAGCCTGGGTAACAGAGCAAGACTCTGTCACTATTTAAAATATATATATTATATATATACACACACATACACATATACACATACATATAAATACATATATATACACACATGCACATATATATGTATAATTTATGTATATACAGTAAAACTGTGGAAAAATTCAAATTTCTTTTTTTTTTTTTTTTTTTAATTAGGTGGAGTCTCGCTCTGTTGCCCAGGCTGGAGTACAGTGGTGTCATCTCGGCTCATTGCAACCTCTACCTCCCAGGTTCAGGCCATTCTCCTGCCTCAGCCTCCCGAGCAGCTGGGAGTACAGGCGCCCACCACCATGGCTGGCTTATTTATTTATTTATTTATTTTTTTGAGATGGAGTTTCACTCTTGTCACCCAGGCTGGAGTGCAATGGTGTGATCTCGGCTCACTGCAACCTCCACCTCCGAGGTTCAAGTGATTCTCCTGCCTCAACCTCCCGAGTAACTCGGATTACAGGTGCCCACAACCATGCCCAGCTGATTTTTGTATTTTTATTAGAGACAGTGTTTCACCATGTCGGTCAGGCTGGTCTCGAACTCCTGACCTCAGGTGATCCACCCGCCTCGGCCTCCCAAAATGCCCAGATTACAGGCATGAGCCACGCCGCCCGGCCCAATTTTTGTATTTTTATTAGAGACAGGGTTTCACCATGTTGGCCAGGCTGATCTCAAACTCCTGAACTCAAGTGATCCACCCACCTCAGCCTCCCAAAGTCCTGGCATTACAGGTGTGAGCCACTGGGCCTGGCAAAAAATTCAAATTTCTAGAATTCACAAGTCAAAAACCTTCTCCTTTAATCCAAGTTAAATATAAAATTCAATTTCAACAAAATTATAGAATCAAAATTACCCTGTTTAGTATGAACTACACTGAATACAGTCTATTGCTACAGCTGACTGAGGGCATTGTGATACAATGGAAAGCATCCTACACTGGGAGCCAGGATACGTTTATTCTATACCCAGTTTTGTATTAGTAACCATAAAAATTAACATATAGTTATCTAACAATAGCATCTGAGAAAAGTATGCCTTTAAAAAATACTCTTCACTGCTTCTAACAGTTATATTCATTATTTTTAAAATAAATAAAAACTGAAACACTAGAGAAAGTCAGCGTTCCCTTACCCTTGAACCATTAATTTGCTACTTATTCTTCTACATTTTTATTTTCTATCTACATACTACTATTTTTCTTTTAATAGAGATGGGGTTCTAACTATGTTGCCCAGGCTGGTTTCAAACTCCTGGCCTCAAGTTATCCTCCCACCTTGGCCTCCCAAAGTGCTGGGATTACAGGTGTGAGCCACCACGCCCGGCCCATACTACTTTATTCCTTGAAAAATATGATCACATATATATAACTTTTTTTTAGTTTATATATTTTATTTCCAACTTAATGTAACCAATCCTCTGGAGGCTGTAATGTCTCTGCCAGAATACTGTCAGAGATGGCCAGGGAGGAAACCAGGGCCTCCAAACCCTGCCAAGCCCCTGCCCCTGGGATGGGGTCAGAGGAGGCCTAACAGAGTCAGGACTTTGAACATTAACCAGTGGTAATGAGGCCACCTCCACTAGTGTACCAGGGAGGTCACACAGGGAGCTGCAACTCCCATTCCCCCACCCCAGCAGTAATAAGGAGCCTCTTCACCATGGTTGCTGGCTTGTTTAGTTCCAAGTCTGAGATGTATAAGGCAAAAAACTAAGAAACTCACTACCATCTAATTCGGTTTTTCCAGAAGCAGAAGTCTCTCAGAAGTATTAAATTTATTTATTTATTTTTCTTTTCCTTAAAATCACATTCTGGAAGCAAGAAGTATTAAATCTAAAAAGTGGGGCTAGGCATGGTGGCTCACACCTGTAATCCCAGCACTTTGGGAGGCCAAGGCAGGCAGATCACCTGAGGTCAGGCGTTTAAGACCAGCCTGGCCAACATGGTGAAACCCCGTCTCTACCAAAAATACAAAAATCAGCCGAGTGTGGTGGCGCACGCCTATAATCCCAGCCACTCGGGAGGCTGGGGCAGGAGAATTGCTTGAACCTGGCAGGCAGAGGTTGTAGTGAGCTGAGATCGCGCCACTGCGCTCCAGCCTGGGCGACAGAGCAGACTGTCTCAAAACAAATAAAAATAAAAATAAAAAAATAAAAATGAGATAACCCAGTGCGGCACTTGGACTTCTGTCTCTACCTGGTTATAACAAAGCAGTGCCATCTCCCTTCTCCTTTTCCCTCCACAGAAATGTCAAAGGAGTCTTACTTGAGTGTCAGAAGTTTAAAGAGAAGGATTAAACAAGATCCAGAGTCTCTTAACATAGTATGAAAATGTCCATGTTTCAACTGAACGTGTCATACCAAGAATCATATCAAATGGAATGATCTGCTTGAAGCAAATGAAAAAACAGAAAGCCTCAGCAAAAAAAATAGAAGATGTATGTCAGAAGATAAACACGATAATTAAAGTTAAAAAAAAAAGATATAAAGAAGTCCCAGATGGAAATTTTAGAACTGAAAAATACAGTAACTGAAATTTAAAAACTCAGTAGATGGGTTCAAAAGCCAAACGAAGGGGACAGAAGAATCAGTAAAATGAAGGCATAAAAATTACCTAGTCTAAACAACAGAGAAAAACTACACTGAAAATGTAATACTTCTTATATATTTCCAGGTTTTTTTGTTTGTTTATTTGTTTTGAGACAGAGTCTTGCTCTGTCACTCAGGCTGGAATGCAATGGCGCGATCACGGCTCACTGCAACCTCTGCCTCCTGAGTTCAAGAGATTCTCCTGTCTCAACCTCCCGAATAGCTGGGATTATAGGCACACATCACCATACCCAGCTAATTTTTGTATTTTTAGTAGAGACAGGGTTTCACCATGTTGGTCAGGCTGGTCTTGAACTCCTGACCTCAAGTGATTCGCCCACCTCGGTCTCCCAAAGTGCTGGGATTACAGGCGTGAGCCTCCTCGCCCAGCCTGTTTCTATATTTTGAGATCATCCATCTAACTGCCATTCCTGAAGGCTTCACTGGATGCCATCTATTGTCCCAATAATTTTATATCTAGAAATTTATTCTATAGAAACAGTCATACAGATGTCCAAAGATACAAGAGAGAGGAATACTGAGGCCTTATTGTTTGTAACAGCAAAACACTAGAGACCACCGAAGCCCATCAGTAAAAGATTGGTTAAATTTATAGACCACCAACAGAGGATGGAAGTCTAGGCCACCCAATTCAGCCTTTGCTGGCATGGTGAGGATGGAGCCACAGCTTTTTCTGTGGTGTTTATAGTAGAGCAGTAATTATCTAAAAGTTTGTGGTCTTGTTTAGGCTGCCCCTTCCCTGGTTCTCAGGCAAGAGGCAGCAGGATTTGGTTGGAGTTTTTCTTCTCAGTGCCTGCTAGTGTGTCCAGGTTGCTGGCTTCTTTAGCTCCAAGTCAGGAATATAGGAGGCAAAAAAGCAGGAAATTCTATATTCCCAGAAGGAGAAGTCTCTCAGAAGTATTAGATTTAAAAGCAAAATTAAAAATGCATAATATGTGACATATCCATACAGTGGAATATTATTTGACAATTAAAAGCAATGAAGTATGGATACATGCTGTAACTTGAATAAGTGAAAGGAACAAAACACCACATATCACAGCTGGCCTTCCGTATCCACAGATGCAGAACCCGCAGATACAGGGACAACTATAACGGACTTCTACATCCACAGAGGAGTCCTGGAACCAATCCCCCGTGGATTCCAGGGGACAACTGAATATGATACCATTTATATGAAATGTCCAAAATAGGCAAATTCATACAGATAGTAGACTATCTGTTGCCAAGAACTGAGGATGGGGAAGAGGAGTGACTGCTAATGGGTACATGGTTTCTTTTTGAGGTGATGAAAATGTTTTAAAATTAGAACCTGGTGGCCAGGCGTGGTGGCTAACATCTATAATCCCAGCACTTTGGGAGGCCAAAGCAGGTGGATCACTTGAGGTCAGGAGTTCGAGATCAGCCTGGCCAACATATAGCGAAACCCCATTTCTACTAAAAAATACAAAAATTGGCCAGGCGCAGTGGCTCATGCCTGTAATCCCAGCACTTTGGGAGGCCGAGGCAGGCAGATCACGAGGTCAGGAGTTTGAGACCAGCCTGACCAACATGGTGAAACCGTCTCTACTAAAAATACAAAAATTAGCTGGGCGTGCTGGTACGTGCCTGTAATCCCAGCTACTTGGGAAGCTGAGGGAGGAGAATCACTTGAACTTGGGAGGCGGAGGTTGCAGTGAGCCAAGATCATGCCACTGCACTCCAGCCTGGGCAACAGAGCAAGACTCTGTCTCTCCCAAAAAAAAAAAAAAAAAAAAAAAATGGCCGGGCACGGTGACTCACGCCTGTAATCCCCGCACTTTGGGAGGCCGAAGAAGGTGGATCACGAGGTCAGGAGATCAAGACCATCCTGGCTAACACGGTGAAACCCCATCTGTACTAAATATACAAAAAAAAAAAAAAAATTAGCCTGGCGTGGTGGCAGACGCCTGTAGTCCCAGCTACTTGGGAGGCTGAGGCAGGAGAATGCGTGAACACGGGAGGCGGAGCTTGCAGTGAGCAGAGATCGCGCCACTGCACTCCAGCCTGGGTGACAAAGTGAGACTCCGTATCAAAAAAAAAGAAAAAAATTAGACCCTGGTAATGGTTGCACAACTCTGTGAATATACTAAAAACCACTGAACTGTATATTTTAAATGGGTGAATTATACTGTATATGAATTACATCCAATAACTTGTTTTTTAAATATATACATATAGATTATAAATATAAATATATACATGCTGAAGAAGATTTTAATTTGGATTACATAGGTTTGTTTTGTTTTGGTATCTTTAGTAGAGACAGGGTTTCACCATGTTGGCCAGGTTGGTCTCAAACTCCTGACCTTGTGATCCACCCGCCTCAGCCTCCCAAAGTGCTGGGATTACAGGTGTGAGCCACTATACCCGGCCTGGATTACATAAAGTTATGATTTCATGTTACAAAAACATACATGTCTACTGTTTTCTTAAAAATTAGAAAACCAGTCTGAGAAACACATAGTGAGATCCCATCACCACAAAAAATTTTAAAAAATTAGCCAGGTGTGGTGGCTCATGCCTGTGGTCCCAGGCTACTCAGGATGCTGAAGCAGGAGGATCACTTGAGCCTGGCAGGTCAAGGCTGCAGTGAACCATGATCACACCACTGCACTCTAGCCTGGGTGACAGAGTGAGACCCCATCTCCAGAAAATAAAAATAAAAATTGGCCTGGCACGGTGGCTCACACCTGTAATCCCAGCACTTTGGGAGGCCAAGGCGGGCGGATCACGAGGTCAGGAGATCGAGACCATCCTGGCTAACATGGTGAAACCTCGTCTCTACTAAAAATACAAAAAAATTAGCCGGGTGTGGTGGTGGGTGCCTGTAGTCCCAGCTACTCGGGAGGCTGAGGCAGGAGAATGGCGTGAACCTGGGAGGCAGAGCTTGCAGTGAGCAGAGATAGCACCACTGCACTCCAGCCTGGGCGACAGAGCAAGACTCCGTCTGAAAAATAAAAAAAAATAAAAATAATTTTTTTAAACTCGAATGATTAAAGAGAAAACTTAAATAATCCCACTGACAGAAATAACAATGAATCTCTAGATAGAGTCTTAGCATTCATTTGGGTTTTATTCTTATAAAAGGAGTATTTTCTTTACTTTGCTGTCTGGGTGTTCCTCACTAGCCTCACCCTCTTCCCTTCACACCCCTGTGGTAATTCTTGAATTGCATAATACTGGTATTTAATCAGAAACTGCTGGATTAACTCCAATATTGCAGAATAGGGGTCAATGGCAGATGCCAAATATTTTAATGTTTTACTAAGTCAAGATTAAGGAACTGCTCACTTAGAAAACCTAGTTTAATCAGTCTTTAGAATAGTCAGATTTTTAAACACCTAAGAAGAAAAGCTTTAACTTCATTCTTCTCTTTATTTATGTTTATGGAACTGAGGGTAAGGGGTGGTGATGACTAGGGGAAGAGAGAAGTTAGGATCTGAAAGTAAGGACAGGCTCCTGACCATTAAATTATTTTCCTCGACATATTTTCTGGGGAGCGTATAGAGTAATGTGTTGTTAAAGAATGAACTTTAAAACTTTAATACCTCATTTACCTTTAGTATGAATTCATCTAAATTAGCTGTCAAAATACACAAAATGGTTGCTTTGATTTAGACTAACTTAAAAGTCCAAAAACAATGTGACAAATGGGCAAAGTCATCTGGCTTCTATTACCTATTTCTTCAGTTTTTCTTTTTTTCTTTTCTTTTTTTTTTTTTTTTTTTTTTGAGTTGTAGTCTCGCTCTGTCACCCAGGCTGGAGTGAAATGGCACGATCTCAGCAGCTCAGTGCAACCTCTGACTCCTGGGTTCAAGCAATTCTCCTGCCTCAGCCTCCCAAGTAGCTGGGATTATAGGCACCTGCCACCATGTCTGGCTAATTTTTGTATTTTTAGTAGAGACGGGGTTTCACCATATTGGCCAGGCTGGTCTCAAACTCCTGACCTCATGATCCGCCCACCTTGGCCTCCCAAAGTGCTGGGACTACAGGCGTGAGCCGCCGCGCCCAGCCTATTTCTTCAGAATTTTTGCTAAACACATGCTGGAACCAAGTTTGGAGTCTAGCTGTTTTATAAGCTGTTCTTCTACAGGGTCTGCAGAGCATGTGAGAAACCACAGTTTAGAATCACACATACCTAGGTTTGAATCCTGACTTCCCTAGTTCATTAGCTGTGTAATCTTCAGTAAGTTACTTAACATCTGTGAAACTTGACTTACTATGTACCATGTTATTGTGGGGATCAAATAAGTTAGGATACACACAGTTCCTGGCACATGGTAAGAGTTTTTAAAATGTTACTTGACTTAAAGACGTTCCATGCAAAGAACTCAAGGCCTAACAACAGATTCTTCAGTTCCAGCACTTAGTGGTTAGAATCCCTAGATTGCTTTATTCTTTTGGAAAACAAGGAGAGAAGGGAAAAAAATCTAAATATCTTCCACATTAAATTATTCCAACTGACATAGATTACGACCCGATGCTTTAAAAAAAAAAAAAAAAGGTCTACATAAAGTTTAAATGTTCACTAAATAGAAAAAAGCAAAGATATTCTTTTTCTTTTTTCTTTTTTTTTTTTTTTGAGACAGAGTCTCGCGCTGTCGCCCAGGCTGGAGTGCAGTGGCGCGATCTTGGCTCACTGCAAGCTCCGCCTCCCGGGTTCACGCCATTCTCCAGCCTCAGCCTCCTGAGTAGCTGGGACTACAGATGCACGCCACCATGCCCGGCTACTTTTTGTATTTTTAATAGAGATGGGGTTTCACCAGGTTAGCCAGGATGGTCTTGATCTCCTGACCTCGTGATCCGCCTGCCTCGGCCTCCCAAAGTGCTGGGATTACAGAATTACTATGTGTCCAGCTCTGTCTGTATAAATAAAACAGCTAAGCAGAGGATACTGCAAAGACTTCGGTTGCTACCATTTCCTTACTCAGCATCACCAATTCATGAAATCTGCTCTTCAGATAAAAGCTTTTGCCATTTAGAGAGGAAATGATTAGCTTGAAATTACATCAGGATGCCCAATTACCAGGGCTAGAAGAAACTCCAGGACAGACTATTAAGACTTCACTCACATTTACCTTATTGAAGACAAATCTCTCTGCTCGTCCAAAACAAGCTCTTCACATGTATTAATCTAGTTAATCCTGATATCCTCTTGCTCAGCAGAGAATGGTGGTTAAGACCACTAATTTAGAGCCAGACTCTCAGACAACTCCACTACTTCCTACCTAAGTGACTGAAAAACTGGGCCTGTTTTCCTTTTCTATAAAATGGGAATAATAACCTCATTGGATAGTTGGGAGAACTGAATGAGTTCATACATATAAAGGACTTAGAACAGCACAACACTCAAGGGACGGGGTTAGGGGAGTTGTTTGTTGTGTACCTTTCACACTTTTTGATATTTGTAATATGGACATGAATCTTTCATTTTAAAAAACCAAGCAAACAAAAACCCTCCCATCAAAAACATATGAAAATAGAGTGAAACACAAGTTAAAGAATGAATGTGGAAAAACTCTGAAGATAAACAAAATCTGGGTGACAGAGCAAGACTCCATCTCAAAAAAAAAAAAAAAAAATCAAAACTGGAATGAAGAAGTTTGCCCCATGGTTAAACTTTGAATTCCTCATGATGCCTTTTGGACTCAGCTATCTGTAGGCCAGTAACTGGTCACTGTTTGTTAGGGTCAAATTTGGTAAATAACAGTCTATTCCCTTCACGCTATCATGTCTTAAATTTGGACAAACTCATACTTAAACTAAGCCAAATAGAATGTCAAGGACAATTTTGGTGATCCAAAGTCCTTTACAGATCAAGTGCTATTAGATGGTTATATCTGGTTCAGAAGACAATTACAAATTTTTCTTTTTTATTTTTTTGAGACAGACTCTTGCTCTGTCGCCCAGGCTAGAGTGCAGTGGCACAATCTCAACTCACTGCAACCTCCACCCACTGGGTTCAAGTGAGTCTCCTGCCTCAGCCTCCCAAGTAGCTGGGACTACAGGCATGCACCACCACACCCGGCTAATTTCTTGTATTTTTAGTAGAGACGAGGTTTTGCTATGTTGCCCAGGCTGGTCTCGAAATCCTGACCTCAGGCGATCCATCTGCCTCAGTCTCCCCAAGTGCTAGGATTACAGGCGTGAGCCACCACGACCGGCCACAAATTTTTATTACTGTATTATACTACTAAATAATTTGGCGTGTCAGGGGAAAAAAAAAAGATTCTGTTGTGATGTTAGGGACCAGGGCTAATACCTGACTAGCAGAGTAGGCTGGATTTTCCATTTGGAACCTATCTAACCACAGGGCAAGTCACTTAACCTCTCTGGGTCTTAGTTTTCTGGAAAAGGCAGGTGGGGAGAGAGATTAATTTATTGAAATTATAACTGTAACGTAACAACATTACATACACAAGATATATCCCTACTCTTAGGGAATCCACACTGAAGTATTTGGGGATAAAATGCCACAATGTATGCAACTTATGAGAGAAAGAGCAAATAATAAAGCAAATAGAGTAAAATGTTAACAATAGGTAAACCTAGGTAAACAGTATTCTTTGAACTGTTTTTTTGTTTTTGTTTTGTTGGGTTTTTTTTGAGACAGGGTCTTGCTCTGCTGCCCAGGCTGGAATGTAGTGGTGCCATCATAGCTCACTGCAGCCTTGAACTCTCCAGGCTGTAGTGATCCTCCCACCACAGCCTCTGCAGTAGCTAGGAATACAGGCAAACATCACTATGCCTGGCTAATTTTTTTACTTTTTTGTAGAGACAGTTTTGCTCTGTTGTCCAGGTTAGTCTTGAACTCCTGGCCTCAAGCAATCCTCCTGCCTCAGCCTCCGAAAGCGGTGGGATTACAGAGCCACTGTGTCCTACCTCTTATGCTTGTAACTTGTCTGTAAGTATGAAATTATTTCCAAATAAAGTGTTTTTTAAATTATTAATCTAGTTTCCACTTCAGTCCTAATAGTTTCTAAATACATTACAGCTCACTTTTATTGTCCATCATTTATATATTATCTTCAAGAGCAGATAGATATCAATCTTTTAAAATTAAAACTTTTTTTTTTTTATTCATTCACCAGCCATGTGAGGACCTATACGAAACACCAGAGATCTGGTGATGAATAAGAGAAGAAATGGTTTCTGCCTTTGCATTACCTATAGCATCCAAAGTCTAATCTGAATCACTTAAGAATTTCAGAATACCCTAAAAGTACAAAATTTCAATTTAGAATACAATGAAACTCAAAATATACTCCATGACCTTACTACAAATAAAAAAGCACCTGTTTAATATTTTCTCAAAAGTGACATAAACATCTCCCAATAAATCATGGTTTTGTGAGTTTCAGTTTTATGGGCTTGCCAGTGGTTCCTCCTCTGAGTTAGTAGTTCAGCTTATAACAGTACATTTGATGTTCTCTTGCTTTAGTCTAAGTCACTGTGAATTGAAGTCATTCAAATGTTGAATGGGAGAGATGATTCACCTTCCAGTAGTTTTCAAAGGTTATCTGTTGCTGTTTCTTTCAGTAAATGACCAAATTATGATCAATTACCTAACATAATAGTTTCATTAAAAATAAAAACCATAAAGCGTACAATAGTCTTTAAAAATTAGGTCCTACAAGGCCCGGCGCAGTGGCTCACGCCTGTAATCCCAGCACTTTGGGAGGCCAAGGCGGGCGGAACACGAGGTCAGGAGTTTGAGACCAGCCTGGTCAACATAGTGAAACCCCATCTCTACTAAAAATACAAAAAATTAGTTAGGCGTGGTGGCGGGCACCTGTAATCCCAGCTACTTGGGAAGTTGAGGCAGGAGATTCCCTTAAAGTGGTGAGCCGAGATCGCGCCACTGCACTCCAGCCTGTGCAACAGTGCGAGACTCCGTCTTTAAAAAAAAAAAAAAAATAGGTCTCACAAAGTTCTCCATCTTCTTTTCCTAGAATGACTTCCCCACTGATGTCCTTGAGGACCCACAGCACTGCTCCACCCCCACTCCCGTTCATCCTGTACAATAAGGCCACATAAATCTGGACCCTTATGTGACTACAATCACATTAACCTCCCTGAAATGATCACTGCCACACCCGTGCTTCAGGTCAAGCTCAAGTCTCACTATAAGAATTCAGTTACCTTGCCAGACGCGGTGGCTCACACCTGTAATCCCAGCATTGTGGGAGGCCAAGGAGGATGGATCACGAGGTCAGGAGTTCAAGATCAGCCTGGGCAATATGGTGAAACCCCATCTCTACTAAAAAAAAAAAAAATACAAAAATTTGCCGGGCATGGTGGCGTGTGCCTGTAGTCCCAGCAACTCGGGAGGCTGAGGCAGGATAATCGCTTGAACCAGGGAGACAGAGGTTGCAGTGAGCTGAGATTGTGCCACTGCACTCCAGCCTGGGTGACAGAGTGAGACTCTGTCTCAAAAAAAAAAAAAAAAAATTCAGTTACCTGTCCTTTCAATTTCTTTCTTTTTTTTTTTTTTTTTTGAGATGGAGTTTCACTCTTGTTGCCGAGGCTGGAGTGCAATGGTGCGATCTCAGCTCACCACAACCTCCACTTCCCAGGTTCAAGCGATTTTCCTGCCTTAGCCTCCCGAGTAGCTGGGATTACAGGCATGCGCCACCGTGCCCAGCTAGTTTTGTATTTTTAGTAGAGACAGGGCTTCTCCATGTTGGTCAGGTTGTTCTCAAACTCTTGACCTCAGGTGATCCACCCGCCTCTGCCTCCCAAAGCACTGGGATTACAGGCATGAGACACCGTGCCCAGCTGTCCTTTCAGTTTCTATCCCAGCTTCTCAAACTCTGATGTCATCACAACTTATTAGACGATCTTGTAAAAATACAGATTCCGATTCAGTAAATCTGGGGTGACAACCAAGATTCTGCATCTCTTACAAATTCCCAGGGAATAGCAAGCCTATACCATGTATTTAACAATTAATCATGATTTGCCTAAAGTAAAACAAAGTACTCAGAGAGAGGACAAGAAGCACCTACTTTAGATGAGATGACCATGGAAGACCTCTTAGACATAAAGAATGAGAAGGAAACAGCCATGCAAAGAGCCAGTGTGACAAGATTGCCATGAGTACATGAGAAAGTGGTGTTGGCAGGGGCCAGATCGTGAAAGATTTTCTAGACCAAATTAAGTGTTTGAATTTTATGCAAAGAGGGAACAATTTATTCATTAACTTAACAAATGTTTACCAAGTACCTACTATGTCGAAAAAAAGCATTTAATACAACATTTAACAGCAAGGACTGAAGGCAAAGTGCCTGGTTTGAGATATTGATTCTTCTACTTAAGCATGAGTGTGATATTGGGTAAGTTACTTAAACCTCTCTGGGCCTTAGTTGCTTTGTACACATAATGGTTGGGAAGAATACCTACTTCACAGGGTTATCATGAATATAAATGAGTTAATAGATGAAAAGCTCTTAAAATATTGTCCAGCATGTGGTTAAGTGCTCAATAAAACAGTATGTGCCAGAGAACATATTCCTGACTTCATGGAGCTTCCACTGGTGGGAGGGGAAAGGGGGTAAGGAATGCCAGAACAGGGTAACAGGATACCACTGAAGGGTTTTGATGGGTGCAAGATAAGGGCAAAATCTGATTTCCATTTAAGACAATAAATAACACTCTGCCATATGGAAAACAGATCAGAGGCATCAAATGATGAAGAATTGAAGCTGGGTGGCCTCTTGTGGTAGTTGTGGTGAAATGTGCTTTGGATTAGGTAAAAGCAATGGACATGGAAAGAAAAGTGTAGATTAAATTGAATTGGGGTAGCATAATCCTAAAGACGCGTGGATGGTTTGGATGTGGAAAGCGGGAGAAAGAAATCAAGTAATTCCTACTATCTGCTTTGAGCAACTGGGTCAAGGAAACCTCAAGATGGGAGTAAGGGTGAGCCTATACTTTGCTAGAGGATGGAAAGGGAAATAAATCCCTTTAAGAGATACCACAGATCTGTAACCCTGGAATTTACATCTTGGAAATACTTCTCAAGTATGGAGGGCTATAAACCAAAATTAACATTGTTTACCTCGGGACAGATCTGGGGAGAGGTAGGGACAGGAGATTATTTTTATTTTATTTTTTGAGACAAACACTCACTCAGCCACCCAGGCTGGAGTACAGTGGCGCAATCACGGCTCACTGCAGCCTTGACCTCCTGGGTTCAAGCGATCCTCCCACCTCAGCTTCCCAAGTAGCTGGGACTATAGGCACGTACCACCATGCCTGGCTAATTTTTGTATTTTTTGTAGAATCAGAGTTTCACTATGTTGCCCAGGCTGGTCTTGAACCCCTGGGCTCAAGCGATCTGCCCACTTTGGCCTCCCAACGTGCTGGGAGTACAGGCGTAAGCTACCATGCCCAGCCTGGGGTATTAATTTTATATACTTGTGTCCTATTTGTCTTTTTATAACAAGCATGTTTTTCTTTTCTATTCTTTGTAGATTTAAGAAAATTATTTTTTTAATGTTTATACATGATAATCTCATTACTGTCTCTAATCAGTGCCAAAATGTTAAACTGCTTAAATATAATAGAACTTCTTTTGAATAAATGCTAAATGCAAAGTAGTCATTCAAAAACTACTAGATGAAATAACAAATGGAATTAATGTCGTGAGTTTCTTTTGAGTACTTTTGTTACTTGCTTGAAGTATATGCTGAAGATGTAAAGAAAGGCTTTAATCTGTAGGAAAATCAAATCTGAAATATCTCAGCCAGAACCACTTTTTAAAACAAACTGTCAGATGTACAATGACCAGACTTTCCATCTAGGCACAATAGACCCATGATGAAAACGAGTTCTGCTTGTTCACATTTACTTATCAAAAGCCTAAAAGGAGGAACAAGTCTATTATCTCTTCAGAATAACTAATAAATCATATAATTTAAAATATTGACTGTCCGGAGGCAATATCTCTTCTTTTTACAGAGGGTCCATCCTTTTTTCTTACAAATTCTTCATCAAAGACATATTCTTTAGTGGTGGAAAAAAACTGAATGACAACAAATGAAAGAAAGAAAAAAAAGGACGAAAGCTACAGTCCTTTTTTCCTAGTCTGGATCTACCTTGATTATATTCCCTATAAGTATCAACTACAATAAATCAAAATGTTACCAAAATGGTCCAGAAACAAGTTAAAAGCTACTATGTATTGAGTAGTGTATTTTGCAGTTGACATGCACTATATAAAACTAGTTTTATGTATTTCACAATAACCATATGAAATTAGGGGTTGTTTTCCTCGTTTCATATGAGTTTCAGATGAGGAAACTGAGGTTCAGAGAAGCTCAATAATTTGTCATAGGTCATACAACTGAGGAGTGTCAAAACTGAGGTTTAAACTCCAAGGTCCATACTATCTACCAACCACTATGATAGTTTCTTACACCAGAGCAAAGAAGGAGATGCTAGAATCTCACCTGCTTGATCTCAAGATTCTTACAGAACCACCACCATCTCACTCATAGACACTACTATCAAGTAAGATAAATTGCCAGAGCTACGACCAATATAATGTAGGCCACAAATGTTATATTAAATTTTCTAGCAGCCATATTGAAGACTTAAAAAGAGTACTTACTTTGACAGCATGAATACTAAAATTGGGACAATTCAAAACAGATTAGCATGGCCCCTGTTCAAGAATGACGCACAAATTTGTGAAGCATTCCACATTTTCTTAAAAGTAAAAGAAACAAGTGTGATTAAATTTTTTTATTTAACCCAATATATCTAACATCATTCAACACATGATCAACATAAAAAGTTATTACATTCTTTTCTTTGTACTACATCTTTAAAATCTGGTGTATATTTCATAATTATAGTACATCTCAACTCAAACTAGACATATTTCAAACACTGAATAGCCATGTATAGGTAGCGACAATTGTATTGACAGCAGGCATCTAGAGAAAAGGCCTCTGGGCACCAATGTCACCAAGACCAGATACTAAAGATGATGTACCTGACTCATTAACTCAACATTCAAGCTCTCAGAAACTATTTGTTCTTTTTTTTTGCTCTATCACCCAGGCTAGAGTGCAGCGGCGTGATCTCGGCTCACTGCAACCTCCACCTCCCAG
This sequence comes from Homo sapiens, assembly GCF_000001405.40. NCBI lineage: Eukaryota > Metazoa > Chordata > Mammalia > Primates > Hominidae > Homo > Homo sapiens. The sequence goes on along the minus strand of NC_000001.11, from coordinate 24,777,466 downwards.
GTTCAAGCGATTCTCCTGCCTCAGCCTCCCGAGTAGCTGGGATTACAGGCACATGCCACCACGCCTGACTAATTCTTGTATTTTTAGTAGAGACAGGGTTTCACCATGTTGGTCAGGCTGGTCTTGAACTCCTGACCTCTTGATCCGCCCGCCCTGGCCTCCCAAAGTGCTAGCATTATAGGCGTGAGCCACCGTGCCTGGCCTGAAACCATTTATTCCTATTTCAAACAAATTTTAACAGTTTATCTGGTGTACTGAGCCACAACAAATTACAATAGAAAATTAACGGAAATGGGCTGCATCAATAGAGCTAAGTTGGCAAAGGAAGAAATACAAAATACACACACACATGCACGCATGCACCCATCCACACATGCACACACACAAAGGAGATTTAGGTTCGAAAAGCACAATAGCTGAGGCCATTTAGCAGAAAGACAAAAATAGTCTTACATGCCTCAACGGCTCCCGAGGCCATTGTTGCATTACTGAATTTATATTCAGAATGTTGACATTAATTGGCAGTTAAACCCAGCATTTTCGGGTTTTTTTTTGAGACAGAGTTTTGCTCTTGTCGCCCAGGCTGGAGTGCAATGGCATGATCTTTGCTCACTGCAACCTCCGCCTCCTGGGTTCAAGGGATTCTCCTGCCTCAGCCTCCCGAGTAGCTGGGACTACAGGCCCCTACCACCATGCCCAGCTAATTTTTGTATTTTTGGTAGAGACAGGGTTTCCTGACCTCTGGTGATCCACCTGCCTCAGCCTCCCAAAGTGCTGGGATTACAGGCATGAGCCATGACACCTGGCCAAACTCAGCATTTTCAAAAGTCAAGGAAGCATTAATATATTTTAGAAATACTTTCATTTAAAATAAATTTCAGAACTCTGTATTATTTTTGCAATTTTTCTACAAATCTAAAACTATTCTAAAATTTAAAGGTTTCTGTTTTTAAAAAAATAAGTTTGAGTCTTCTAGTAAGACCAGGCAGTTCCTCCTATAGGATCAACTCTGCCTATCATAACAGCTATAACTTCCAGACAAAAACACCTGAAGGCACTGGAGAGTGACAAAAGCAGGCAAATATTGGAGGGGAGTTGGCACTTGGAGGAAAGGAACTGCACTGGACAAGTTTCCCCAAGTTTTATCTTTTAGCCTTGCACCATGTAGGGCAGCTAAAACTCCAATGGAAAATTCACAGTTCTGCTGACTTTAAAAGCCAAAAAACAGTCTAGAGCAACCATCACCACTGCAAAGAAAATAAAGTAAGACACCATTAAAAAGAGAGAGAGAGAGAACCAGCACAGGGGAGCCCTAAAATCTGCATAAATCTGTCTAAATCTCTCGCTGATCCGTGAAACACACATGCACAGAGCAGGCTCCAAGTAGGCCAGCTAAGAGAACTGAACTGAAATGTACACTGCCACCTACTATGGGGGGACAGTTTTGCAGCTTGAATTCAGGTAAGTTAATCAATTGCCTGCTTTAGAAAAGAAAATCAATGCTTTTAAGACGGGCATAACAAAATTTATATATATAAATTATCATTTATCATTTGTAATATCCAGAATATAATCCAAAATTACTCCCTATAAGAAGAAATGGAAAAACCTGACCCATTCTCAAGAAAAAAAAAAAAAAGTAATCAAGGAGACTACCCTAAGATGACCCAGATTCTACAGTTTGCAGTCAAGGATTTTAAGGCAGTTATGGTAACTATGTTCAAATAACGAAAGAAAAATATGCTCAAAATAAAGGAAGATAGGAAATCTCAGTAGGGAAAGAAATCACACACAAAAATGTAAATTCTAGAACTAAAAACTACAATATCTAAATTATTTTTTCATATTACTAGATTGGCTTAACAGTAGAATAAAGAAGGAAAAGAAAAGAAAAGAGAGGGAAAGAGAAAGAAAGAGAAAAGAAAGAAAGAAAAGAGAGAGAGAAGAAAGAAAGAGGTCTGTGAACATAAAGACAGAACCAAGAAATTATTCAATTTGAAGAACAGAAAAAAAAGAGCCTCAAAGACCTACGGGAAAATACTAAAACATTTATATTTTAGAGTTCCAGAAGGAGACAATGAGGAAAAAAATATTTCAAGAAATAACGGCCAAAATTTTCCCAAAAAAAGACAAATTTACAGATTCAAGTTTCATGAACATCAAGCAGATTCAATACAAATAATGCCATACCTAAGTATATCATAATTGAAATAATGAAAAGCAAAAAAAAAAAAAAAAAAAAGAAAGAAAGAAAGGAAGAAAAAGAAAATCTTCACGGTAGCTAGAAAAAAACAACACATTGCATACAAGGAAATAATAATTTGAATGACTGTTGAATTATCATTTGGAGTAATGGAGGCCAGAAAACATGGAATCACTTTCTTTTTTTTTTTTTTCAGATGGAGTCTCACTCTGTCACCCAGGCTGGAATACAGTGGTGTGATCTCGGCTCACTGCAACCTGTGCGTCCTGGGTTCAAGCGATTCTCCCGCCTCAGCTGCCCCAGTAGCTGGGATTACAGGCATGCGCCACCACATCCAGCTAATTTTTGTATTTTCAGTAGAGTCAGGTTTTCACCATGTTGGCCAGGCTGGTCTTGAATTCCTGACCTCAGGTGATCCACCCACCTTGGCCTCTCAAAGTGCTGTGATTATAGGCATGAGCCACTGCCCTCGGTCCTTTTTTTTTCAGACAAGGTCCCGCTCTGTCGCCTAAGCTGAAGCGCAGCTCTCACTGCAGCCTCGATCTCCAGGGATCAAGCCATCCTCCCACCTCAGCCTCGCAAGTAGCTGGGACCAGGCACCTGCCACCATGTCCAGCTATTTTTTCAATTTTTTGTAGAGACAGGGTCTCACTAGGTTGCCCAAGATGGTCTCGAACTCCTGGGCTCAAGAGATCTTCCACTTCAGCCTCCCAAAGTGCTGAGATTACAGGCATGAGCCACCACGCCCAGTCAAGAACATTTTTTAAATTGCTGAAAGAATAACAATAACAACAATAAAAATCAACTCAAAATTCTATTTCCAACAAAACCATCTTTAAAGAATGGAAGAGAAGTCAAGACATTTTCAGATACAACTATTTAGAATGTGAAAGTTTGGCACTAAATGACTTAATTTCAGAAACACAGAACACTAATTTGTTTTTATTATATTAATCCATGATTATTTTATTTAAAAAAGAAGTTACTTAGCTGGGCGTGGTGGCTCACGCCTGTAATCCCAACACTTTGGGAGGCCAAGGCAGGCGGACTGCCTGAGCTCAGGAGTTTAAGACCAGCCTGGGCAACACGGTGAAACCCCGTCTCTACTAAAAATACAAAAGAAATTAGCCAGGTGTCGCAGTGTGCACCTGTAGTCCCAGCTACTCGGGAGGCTGAGGCAGGAGAACTGTTTGACTCCAAGAGGCAGAGGTTGCAGTGAGCCAAGATCGCACCACTGCACTCCAGCCAGGGCCACAGAGGGAGACTCCATTTATACAACAAAAAAAATTAAAATTAAAATAAAAAAGAAACATGCTCCTTTATAATTATTCTCACTTTGGTTACATCAAAAAAAAGTGCATCTCTGGCTGGGTGCAATGGCTCACACCTGTAATCCCAACACTCTGGGAAGCCAAGGTGGGAGGATCACTTGAAGCTGGGAGTTTTGAGACCAGCCTGGACAACACAGTGAGACCCCCATCTCTATGAAAAATAAGAAAATTAGCCAGATATGGTAGTACACACCTTTAGTCCTAGCTACTCAGAAGGCTTAAGCAGGAGGATCACTTGAGCCCAGGAGGTCAAGGATGTAGTGAGCTATGATCTTACCACTGCACTCTAGCCTGGATGACAAAGTGAGGCCCTGTCAAAAAAAAAAAAAAAAAAAAAAAAAGGTGCATCTCAAACTTTTTCATTGTCTAGCCCTCATTTTTAAAAAATATCTGCTAACCAAAGATAAATTCACTAACTGCCAGGGTCTTCCCTTGTTTATCAACTAAAGACAACTATGTTGGGACATAGGTGAAATGCTTCTGCAAGTCAAAATGCAGCAACCCACTTTCCTTAAGGGTATACACATTATACTGTAGTATAAACTAGATTCACAAAGAATCCCAAGAGTACAAGAAAACAATGAAATGTTCAAGAAATTAATATTATTCTTCCCCATCTATGCTTAAGGCAGCTATTTCTGTTCATCAAGTTCTCAGACCAATTTTAACTAGACACTCCACCAAGAGTTCAGTAGTAGAGTCAAAAATCCAATTTTCCCTTTGTAAAAAACCTAAATTCTGCAGAAAGTTTTTTCTTTTTAAGAGATTACATTCCAGGTGAAGTGTGAAAAAAGAGAGATTACAGTTTAAGTAAACAAAAGGAAAATAAAGAATTCAGAGGGTAAATGAGATATGTGGGGGACTTTTAAAACACAATTGCTTGACATGCACAGAAAATTGGCTGTAAGGATATATATCACAATATTGCTTAAAGCCAAATTTCAGACCTCTAAATGACTAAGAACAATGGATTAATGAAGATGACCATAAACAATGAAAAACTGCAATCATGAAAATGCTATACAATATTTTATTAATAGTATAAAATATTAGCTCTCAACAAACATGAATAAATTAATGAATCTTCCTCATTTGTTTTAATTTTGGATTATGTATTTTTAAATGTTCATTAAAATATATTACAAAATCAGCCGGGCGCTGTGGCTCACACCTGTAATCCCAGCACTTTGGGAGGCCAAGGTGGGTGGATCATGAGGTCAGGGGTTCAAGACCAGCCTGGCCAAGATGGTGAAACCCCGTCTCTACTAATAATACAAAAATTAGCTGGACACGGTGGCGGGCACCTGTAATTCCAGCTACTCAGGAGGCTGAGGCAGGAGAATCGCTTGAATCTGGGAGGCGGAGACTGCAGTGAGCTGAGATCGTGCCACTGCACTCTAGCCTGGGCGAGAGAGCAAGACTCCGTCTCTCTCTATATATATACATTACAAAATTAGTTTCCGCAAAAATTATATATTCAACACTGTATTTCAGCTGTGAAAGTTAATATTCAGAATTCTTGTCTATCTTCTTTGCTGGCCTAAAACTTCAAATATCTGAAGAGTATAACATAGCAGGATGTTTCTTACTGAAATATTTTACTTCGGATTTCAATGCACAGGTTACTCAAATATGATGAAGGAAAATTCTATAAATTTGACTGGCTTTAAAAAAAAAAGAAGAAGAAGAATGGTTCTGTGTCTGCTTTATTTTAGATACAACAAACAAAATCTTTCCTTAAACTTTCTTTCAGGAGCTCACCTGGGAAATAAAATATATTCTTTCGGGTCAAAGAATTCACTCCTGAAATATTTTTTCTTTCTTTGGCAAACTGCCTCCATTATCATGAAGAATTTGTATTGGCTCTATTTTTGTTATCTAATAGATTGCTTCTAATTATGAGAATTTAATTCTCTGGATCTGACGTTGGAATCTCAGGGCTCAACTTTCTGCCTAAGCCTAAGCTTAAGCCAAGCCTAAGGCTACCTTGGCATATAAAATAATACAAACTGGACTGAACATCACCTCCAAGAAATACACCCACTTGACAGATGAGGTAGCAGATCAATTAGGATACACATAGGACTTGAACCTGGCCTTCCAGTTACATAATATTCTAGTTCTCTAAACCAATCTGTTAGGTTTAGACCAATAGCTATATAGTGAGTAGCTAGTTACAAAACCCCAATTACATGTCTCAAGTTCAATAACTGAATACTACTTTTAACTCTGGTATTTTACTATGAGGTAATATAGAACACAATAACAGAAAATATTTAATATATTCTCTCTTACATGCTTATATTCCTATACTATGCACACCAATTTGCCAAAAAACACTAATAAATGCTTACTGAATTAATGAATTATCTCCTATATATAAAGGTTTGTGGTAGGGGGTAGATATAAAAGATGAAGAAAATAGTCCCTTAGTCTTTAGAAGAACATAATAATTTTTTAAATTTAAAATATAAAAAGAAGAAAAAAGAAAATAATCCCTTATCCTTGATCTCCTGGAATTTACATTCTAGCCTGGAACAAAAATGTAATTAAAGGTGATTCAGATGAGTGGCAGAATATAAAAATGCACAAACTGCCCCAAACAGTAGGAAAGAGTAGTTCTGCTAAGGGAACAACATGGTCAGAGAAGGATTCAGAACAGATTCCAACTTAGGCTTGGAGAACATTTAGTTTCATGAACTGATCCCTAAAACCCCGAAATATGTTAAGCTAAACTTTTTACACAATTAGTTGTATTCCAAAGTATTTATAGTAAGATGCGCCACAGATGTGTGTATATAGTTCTTCTCTTCAGAAGCATAGCACGTTCGTAAGGGCTTGAGTGTTTAGGAATGCTTGCAAAGGGCTCTAAGAAGGAACACAAGAGTTGGAAATAATTATTGTAAGAATGCTTTGGGGGACTTTTCAAAGTCCTTATTTGAGAAGGACATGTGCTGTGACCAGAAGCAGATTTATTCCATCATTCCGTTCTATTACAATCTCTCTAACCAGCCAATCAGAAGAAATCCTATTACCATTTAGCCATACTGAGATCTGCTTTAATGGTTAAAAATGGAATAAACCAAGAAAATACTAAGTAAAACACGTTTCTTACAACTTACAAAGATGAGTCCAGCCTCACAGTAAAAATATGTGACAAAGACTCAAGGATAAAACCAACTCAAAAAACAAAAAAAAAAGAAGAAGAATTGGTGTGAGGAAAATGACAAGGTCAAGAAATTAAAGAAGCTAATTTATTTATAACCTCCCCTCAAAGGGAGGCATAAGTGACTATGCTTCATATACAAAGCAACTTTTTAAAAATTTGTGTGCTTGTTTTACAGAAAGATTCCTTATAATTTTTTTATTCTTTTTTTAAAGAAGCAAAGGCAGGCAGACTATAAGACTAATCAGTTTGGTAAGTGAGCCAAAAGCAAGGGGGGAAAAAACAGATCCAAAAGCACTGGCTGATCTCATTAGCTTTGCTTAAGAAACTTTATAGATGTGACTTCACTCCTGGATTACACGTCTATATTTAGTTTATACCTAATATGGATAAAGTCTTGAACCAACAGTCATTTCCTCTCTCCACAAAAAGAAACTTCCTTGCCTTTTTTTTTTTTTTCTACCAACCTCTGAAGGGGGAGGAAGGGAGAAAGGGAGAGGGCAGAAAGAAAAGAACTCACAGAAAAATAATTAACAAATTAGTATATGATTTTTGTTAAACTTGAACCATTTAGACATTTCTCAATTGGAAAACAATCCTAAAATCAAAATATGTGAGGCCAAGCACAATGGCTCATGCCTGTAATGGGAGGCCAAAGTGGGAGGATAACTTGAGTCCAGGAGTTCAAGACCATCTTAGGCAACACAGTGAGACCTCATCTCCACAAAAAAATTAATTTAAAAAAAATTAGCTGGGCATGGTGGCACTGCAAGTCCCAGCTACTCAGGGAGCTAAAGGAGGAGGATCACTTGAGCCCAGGAGGTCAAGGTGGCAGTGACCTGTGATGACACCACTGCACTCCATCCTGGGCAACAGTGAAACTCTGCCTTAAAAAAAAAAAAGACATTCAAGTCAGGTTCCTTAACAAGTTTATAAATAAACCCTCTAAAGTGCTTTATAAAATACTAATTAACCAGGCCCCCAAAATGCAACGAGGTGAGGTAATGGAAATTTTAGTTGCCTTTCAAATTTTACCAAGAGAACTGAAAGCAACCAAAGTCATCTAATGAACCATCTAGGCTCACTAGTTGTTAGTATGTTTTAGAAATATCCTTAAATATTCTCAGAATTTTTTTTTCAGGGTGACTGAAAACAGAACATAAGAAATTCTGTTAGGAAAGCATTCAAGTTTCAAATAAATAGAGAAAAATAACATAAACAAAGTTATTGATTCAGGTTCTGAAATCCCAAAGACGTTAGTACAAATCACAGTACTGCTACTTACTGGCCCTGCAACCATACCCAAACAATGATCTCTCTAATTCTCATGTGTTAAACAGTATTGATAGCACCTATTTCAAAGTTTATATGAGGATTAAATTAGCTAACACATGCAAACGGCTGGCACACTGTGCCTGGCCCATAGTAAGCACCCAATGCTATCTATTACCTCATGACCATTATTCTGGCTTTAGTAGGGAAACAAAAACTTACTGATCATTTTTTATATATCTGTTTATTCTGTATAGTGATAAATTAAGTAGCTTCAGAAAACTTATAACATTATTATAAAATAAAGATTTTAAAGTCACTTCATGATTCTTACATTATGTTTTTTTGTTTGTTTTCTTTTGTTTTGAGACAGAGTCTCACTCTGCCACCCAGGCTGGAGTGGAGTGGTGCAATCAGAGTGGCTCACTACAGCCTCAATCTCCTGCTTCAGCCCCACTAGTAGCTGAGACCACAGGCATGTGCCACCATGCCCCGCTATTTTTAATTATCATTAAATAAATGATAGAGATTATATCTACCAATTACAGACATGCTAAAGTTTTCTTTCTTTTTCTTTTTTTTTTTTTTTTTGGTGAGGCAGAGTCTCACTCTGTCGCCCAGGCTGGAGTGCAGTGGCACAATCTCGGCTCACTGCAACCTCCACCTCCTGGGTTCAAGTGATTCTTCTGCCTTAGCCTCCCGAGTAGCTGGGACTACAGGCACATGCCACCATGCCTCCTAATTTTTGTATTATGAGTAGAGATGGGGTTTCACCATCTTGGCCAGGCTGGTCTCGAACTCCTGACTGACCGCCTCAGCCTCCCAAAGTACAGGGATTACAGGCGTGAGCCACCGCACCCGGCCGACATGTTAATGTTTTAAGCTTTATCATCTCATTGTGGTATAAGATGAAAAAGTCTAAAAACAATAATCTTAGATAGAGTCTAGAAAAATTAGAAGACTTCATTTTTACTCCTTAAAAATTACTAAATATAAAACCTGTAGATCTACACTATCTCAACTTCTTCCAGACAAATTAAATAAAAAGAGCTTAATCTCTTCTCTTTAAGAGAAATGTAGATGTGTTAAAAATATAAGCACGTCTACATTTCCTTTAAAGAAAGCATTAGATAAAGGCTAGTTAATATATGACCTGTTCAGTTGTAAAGGTGAATACCACAAAAATCAAGAAATAGTGAAATTTGGTAGCACAGGAAGCCAAAATCCATAATTCAAAAGTACTTTTACCCAGCACTTTGGGACGCCACCACAAGGGGATTACTTGAGTTCAGGAATTTGGGACCAGCCTGGGCAACATGGCAAGATCCCCATATCTTAAAAAAATGAAAATTTTGGCTGGGCGTGGTGGCTCATACCTGTAATCCCAACACTTTGGGAGGCCAAGGAGGGCGGATCACCTCATGTCAGGAGTCCGAGATCAGCCTGACCAACATGGAGAAATCCCGTCTCTACTAAAAATACAAAAATTAGCCAAGCGTGGTGGCAAGCGCCTGTAATCCCAGCTACCCGGGAGGCTGAGGCAGAACTGCTTGAACCTGGGAGGCAGAGGTTGTAGTTAGCCGAGATCATGCCACTGCACTCCAGCCTGGGCGACAGAGCGGAACTCCATGCCAAAAAAAATATATATATATATAATTTTAATTAAAAATTTTTAATTAAGAGTATTTGTACAGAACCAATAAGATCCTATGTCATAGATTATTCCTCTTTACTTTTGCACTTTCACATTAACAAAAAAGAGAGAGAGGAAAAAAAGAAAAACATTCTCACTACTAATGGACTCTCAAGCTTTAGCTACAAGTCCAGCAAGAGCTGCTGAGGCCGATGGACTAAGATGGCAGAGTCCAATCTGACTGTCCTTTAGTTACCTAGTAAGTGTCAACAGGATCAGGGTTCACTGAAGTTAATTCAAGAGCAAACTCAAGCTTAACCTTGAACTTTTTTTGTACTAACCCTGCTCTTTTGATAAAGAATGAAAAGTTCCCACCTGGTGGTAGTGGCAGTCTGGCAGATGCTTCTAATCCTGAAGGTTGAAACCACATATGGTATATTGAATATAATAAACTAACCATAGGCCAAGCCAACATGGTCTTAATTCTGCATTCCTAAAGGCAAAATAGTAAGCAAACAAGGCTTACTATGAGTTAGACTCTAAGGGCTTTTCTTATATTAACTCTTATAATCTTTACAAAAGCCCAAGATTACCCCAGTGGGGACACCAAGGCAACTAGTGAAGGGTAGAACTAGGATTCAAACACAGGCCACATGGCTCGGGAGTCCACACTCTTAGCCACTACATCAAGCTTGTCCAACCTGAGGTCCGTGGGCCACATGTGGCCCAGGACCACTTTGAATGAAGCCCAACACAAATCCATAAACTTTCTTAAAACATTATAAGGTTTTTTTGGTTTTTCTTTTCTTTTTCTTTTTTTTTTTTTTTTTTTTTTTTAGCTCATCAGCTATTGTTAGTGTATTTTTTGTGTGGCCCAAGGTAATTCTTCTTCCAGTGTGGCCCAGGGAAGCCAAAAGACTGGACACTGCATACTCTAACAGCATAATACTAAAGATCCAGTCTTCCATTATGATGACTCAATTGCCTACTTGAAATATTAATTCAAATGGTCTTCAATTCCAAAAGAAACTATTTCAGCACCTAGACAGAAATACTGGCTAGGCGTGGTGGCTCACACCTATAATCCCAGCACTTCAGGAGGGCAAGGTGGGCGGATCACTTCACGCCAGGAGTTCAAGACTAGCCTGGCCAACATAGCGAAACTATGTCTCTACTAAAAATACAAAAAAATTAGCCAGTTGCAGTGGCACATGTCTGTAGTCCCAGCTACTAGGGAAGCTGAGGCACAAGAATCACTTGAGCCCAGGAGACGGAGGTTGCAGTGAGCTGAGATTGTGCCACTGCACTCCAGCCTGGGTGACAGAGTGAGACCCCGTCTCAAAAAAAAAAAAAAAAAAAAAAAAAAAAAAAAAAAAAAAAAAAAAAAACCGTCTGGGCAACATAGCAAGACCTGATATCTAAAAAAAAGAAAAAAGGTGCAGTGGCTCATGCCTATATTCCTAGCACTTTGGGAGGCCAAGATAGGTGGATCATTTGAGGTCAGGATTTCAAAATCAGCCTCGCCAACATGGTGAAACCCTGTCTCTATTAAAAATATAGGCCGGGCGTGGTGCCTCACACCTGTAATCCCAGCACTTTGGGAGGCCAAGGTGGGTGGAACAGGAGGTCAAGAGATTGAGACCATCCTGGCCAACATGGTGTAACCCTGTCTCCACTAAAAATACAAAAATTAGCTGGGCGTGGTGGCACGTCTATAGTCCCAACTACTCAGGAAGCTGAGTCAGGAGAATAGCTGGAACTCGGGAGGTGGAGGCTGCTGCAGTGAGCTGAGATCGCGCCACTGCACTCCATCCTGGCAACAGAGCGAGACTCCATCTCAAAAGAAAAAAAACTAAAATTAAAATTTAAACAAATTTTAAAAATTAGCCGGGCATGATGGTGGGCGCCTGTAATCCCAGCTAGTTGGGAGGCTGAGGCAGGAGAATTGCTTGAACCCACAAGGTGGAGGTTGCAGTAAGCCAAGATGGCGTCACTGCTCTCCAGCCTAGGTCACAGAGCGAGACTCTGTCTCAAAAAAAAAAAAAAGAAAGAAAGAAAGAAGAAAAAGAAGGAAAGAAAAATACAAATGATACTTCAAGTAAACAATCATCCCTGGCTCTGATTTTGGGATCTATGATCTCAAATATTTCAAAAGATATAAAGAACTTTTTACATGCAATACGGAGGCAACGGTATAATCTAACACAGGGGTTCCTGCTGAGTCATCAGGACAATAGCTGCTCTCAACACTCCTAATCTTAATGGCTATCAAGCCACATGCTCAGGGTCAAAACACAGTTGCAGACTCTCCCTTAAAACTTTTTTACTTTGCAAGGAAAAACAAGTAAATCTGTTTATTTCAATCTAAAATATGAACTGAGCCCAGTCATTTGCATCACCCTCTCGACCTATTTCTCTGGCTTCTTGTTAGGCATTTGCTTTTTCCCAATCATGTGATCTTTTAGTTCTTCTTTTCCTCCCAACCTCCTCTGAAATTAAGCCTGTGCACGGAAAAAAATAAAAGCTTCTATATATTCCTTCAGCAAACATTTTATTGAGTAACAATCAAATGAGTTAATATTTCATAGATGTAGTCAACACAGTGCCTGGCACATAGAAAGCACTCCATAAATGTATATATTATTTCAATTAAATATGAAATGCTTTTCCATATATACTTCTTCTATCTCATGCATTTAAGAAATCCAACAGAAAACAGTCAATGGGAACAGTATCTATTCTAAATATAGGAAAACCAGATCTTCCTAGAAGTGAAAAGGCCTCCCAGGCAGTGAGTTACAATAACTCTAGTGGAAAATATTATCCCATCTAAGATAATTGTGTATAGTACGCCTTCCTTATAGCTCATTCATTACTGACACCTGAGGGTACATTTTCTTGCTTCCCAGAGCTTAGAGCAGTTCCTAGTAGGCACTTAGTAAAGACATGTTTAATGAAAGATTTTTTAAATTTGTAGTCTCTGTACTTACCAAAAAACCAACAACAACAACAACAACAAACCTGCAGTGAGAGAGAGTTAAAACACAAAGTAAATAAAAACAAATTTAGGGCTTTAGTGGTGAATCTCAAATTTGCTTGAAAGATTATTTTTAATAAAAGACAAAAGAATCAATTTTGGCAGGAATCCAGATGCCCTTCTGTGAAATGCCAGAAGATACCAGAGTATGAATTTTTTTTTTTTTCCCTTGAGATAGGGTCTTGCTCTGTCGCCCAGGGTGGAGTACAGTAGCACTATCTTGGCTCACTGCAAACTTCGCCTCCTGGGCTCAAGCAATCCTCCCACCTCAGCCTCCCAAGTAGCTGGGACCATAGGCGTGTGCCTCAATACACAGCTAATTTTTGCATTTTTTGTGGAGACAGGGTTTCACCATGTTGTCCAGGCTGGTCATGCAATCCACCTGCCTCGCCTCCCAAAGTGCTGGGATTATAAGTGTGAGCCTTGGCCGGACGTGGTGGCTCACACCTGTAATCCCAGCACTTCGGGAGGCCAAGGCAGGTGGATCACCTGAGGTTGGGAGTTCGAGACCACCCTGACCAACATGGAGAAACCCCGTCTCTACTAAAAATACAAAATTAGCCGGGTGTGGTGGCACATGCCTGTAATCCCAGCTACTCGAGAGGCTGAGGCAGGAGAATCGCTTGAACCCGGGAGGCGGAGGTTGCGGTGAGCCAGAGATTGTGCCATTGCACTCCAGCCTGGGCAACAACTACCCACCAAACAGTGCTGCTAAGCAGATGATCCTTTTCCAAAGCACAGCACTTATAAAGAATATTTTTAGCCAACTATAATTTACTAGCAGTAGGTTAAGGTCTATCAACTATACTTAAGTGCATTTACTCATTCAATAAGACTTACTGAATGCCTATTATGAGGCAGACAATCTACTAAATATCGTGGTGGACGCAAAGATGAATAAGACAAGGAATCTACTCTCCTGGAGCTTACTTTATTATAGCAAAGATAAGACATACATGCAAAACTATCAACAAAATAGATAACCGAAGAGTCATATAAGAGGCATGAAATATGAATCTTGAAGGATTAACAAAGGCAGACACATTTAAATGGAGATTTACAGGATTATGGAGTTTAAACAAATGGGAATGGAAGAGATGGGAAAGGTTGCTTCAGGGAAACAAGATAGCTCATATGGAAACAAAGAAGAGTTCAATTTAGCTGGACTGTAAGACCCAGGAGAAGTAGGAGATAAATTTGTCCAATTAATTAGAGCTAGACTATGAAGGTCATAGACTTGAATGCCAGACTATAGATTTGAACTTAATTCTTTTTTTTTTTTTTTTTTTTTGGAGACGGAGTCTCACTCTGTCATGGAGTGCAGTGGCATGATTTCGATTCACTGCAACCTCCACCTCCCAGGTTCAGGTGATTCTCCTGCCTCAGCCTCCCAAGTAGCTGGGACTACAAGCATGCGCCACAACGCCCGGCTAATTTTTGTATTTTTAGTAGAGACGGGGTTTCTCCATATTAGTCAGGCTGGTCTCGAACTCCCGACTTCAGATGATCTGCCCACCACAGCCTCCCAAAGTGCTGGGATTACAGGAGTGAGCCAGCATGCCCAGCCAATTCTTTCTTTAGTAGAGACCAACAAAATGGTTTTTGCACTTGCAGAGTGTGGGGGTCAGGAAAAGGAAGAACCTGTCTTAGCTGGTTCTTCAAAAAAACATAGTGTTGGACAGTCTGGCTTATACAAAGATGAAGAACAAAATTTCTTCCTCACAGAGTTTACTTGGCCTCAAGTAAAGAAGTAGGAGGGAAGGTTGTATGAAAATTCATACGAAGAAGCAATACATACCACTGAGGGGGACCTAGTGGAATAGGTGGCCATTTGGGAGATTCCTTGAAGGACATCCATTAAACCATGTCTCTCTTTAATTTTCCACTTCTTTCTCTAATAAATCAGCATTCAACCCAGCTCTTACAGCTCATACTTTTTAAAGCCTTCCCTTCATATGTATCCCCCTTTGCAGCTATCAACCTGTGTCTTCTACATAGCCAAGTTTCTTGTTAGAGTTGGCTTTACACACTGACTCCAGTCTCTTACTTCCTATTTCATTCTTCTACCCGCTGTATTATGACTTCCCACCACCACTACTCCACCAAAGCTGTTACTACGAAGGTTGCCAGTAACTTCCAGGGTGTTAAATCCAACAAACACTCAGCTTGATACAACTGGTCACTCCCTCCTTACAAACCTCTCCTAGCTTCTTCCTACCTCACTCTAGTAGTTTTCCTCTCACCACTCACTACTGTTCCCCCACAGTTCCTCTTTGTTCTCCTTGTCTAGCTTCTCCTCCATTACCCAACCCCTAAGTGTTTAGAGTTCCTCAGAACTTGCTTCTAGGCATTTTCCTCACTCTTTACTCATCCACACAATGATCTCATACACTTGTTTTTTTCTTTAGAGAGAGTCTCACTCCGTCATCAGGCAGTGCAGTGGCATGATCATATCTCACCGTAGCCTCTAACTCCTGGGTTCAAGTGAACCTTCCTGCCTCAGCCTCCTGAAGTAGCTAGGACTATAGGCATGTGACATCACGCCCAGCTGATTTTTTATTTTTATTTTTGCAGGGATGGGGTCTTGCTATGTTGCCCAGACTGGTCAAAAACTCCTGGCCTCAAGCAAATCTTCCACCTCAGCCTTCCATAGTGCTGGGATTATAGGTGTGAGCTACCACATCCAGCCTCATACACTTTAAATACCAAATATTCTATGTGTGTGTGTATGTCATATATACATATATGTATGTCATCAAGTCCCAAATATCTCTACCCTGCCTAGACTTCTTTCTGAACAGATCTGTAGGTCCAACTTTCTACCAACATCTCCACTTGACATCTCAGCCATCTTATACTCAACAAGTCAAAACTTGAACTCTGTCTGCTCCTCCTCCCTCTCCATGAACGGCAACTCTTGACCAGTGGCTCTAATTACAAACCCAAGTCATTTCTCACACTTTTCTCTCTCACATACCTCCTTAACATCCTCCTATTGACACCACTTCCAAAATCTACCTCAAATCCATTCTCTTCTCTCCATCACCTTATTAATCCAAGCCACCATCACCTTTCTTGATGGCAATGGCCTCCAAATAGTTGTCCTTATTGCCACTCTTGCCTCCCTTAAATTCATTTTCCACAGAGCCAGGCTACTCATATTAAGATGCAACTCTAATCCTGAAGCTCCCTCACTTAAACCCATCTGAGAACTGCCATTTCTACTAAGGACAAAATTCACATGACATACAAGGCCCTCCATGATGTGGCCCCTGTCAATCCCTCACTCTACTGCTCACTTTTGTTCTCTGTTTTCCAGTCACACCCTTAACTGATTATTTCCAGCCTTTACACATGCTGATTCCTTCAACCTAGAACGCTTTTCCCCTCATTCTAATTACTACTCATCCTACATGTCATTTTCTCAGAAAAGCTCTCACTGAGCCTCCATCTAAATTGGGTTTCCTGCCATTCTTTCTCAAGTTGCCCTGTTCTTTTCTTTGATATAATAACCTACTGTCCTTATTTATATGTTTCTTTAACATATGCCTCTCCAAGTAGATGATAGGTTCTATGAGGTATTAATAAATTTGAATTTAACACGTCAAAAAACTAAACTCCTGATCTCCTCCCCATCAGAACTAGCCCTTCCCACAGCCTTTTCCACCTCAGTTAATGACAACTCCATCATTCTGGCTGTTCAGAACAAAAATCTCAGAATCATCTTTAACTCCTCTTTCTCTCACATTCCACATCCAGTCCCTCAGGAAATTCTGTTGTCTCCATCTTAGAATATATCCAGAATCCAGCAACTTCCCACCTTATTCCAAGCCACCATCATCTCATGCCTGGATTACTGGAAAAGTCACCTCTAATTAGTCTCCCTGCTTCTGACCTTGCCTTCCTAATTGTCATTCTCCACAGGGATAATGGAATGCCCCGTTAAACTGAAAATAGCACCCCCTATCATTGTCAATACTCCTTAACCTACTTCAAAAAATTTCCTTAACCTACTTCATTTTCTTCACAGCATTTAATCACCAGCATTTATCGTTTGCCTCCCTCAACTGAATATGACTGCCATAATGACAAGAACTTTGTTCACTAGGTGTATCCAAGCACCTACAACAGTGTCTCAATAGTTGTTAAATAAATGAATGAAAGAAGAACAGATATTATTCTGGCAAGCAGAAATTGGGGGCAGGGAGAGGGTGGAAAAGCCAAAAGTGTATCAAGTGAAGGAAATATCAGCAAAAGTCTTCCATGAAGGCAGAGAAGTGCAGAGCATGTTTAAGACCAATCTAGATACAATATGAGGCATATCTGCAGCTGCGGTGGGGGTTAAGAGTGGAAATACAAGTTAGATCAATGCCAGATCAAAGACTTTGTATCTAATTCAATAAACAACTAGGGAAAGCAGGATCTATTTAAGATTTTCTTTTCTTTTTCTTTTTTCTTTTTTTTTGAGATGGAGTCCCCCTCTGTCACTGGAGTGCAGTGGTGCAATCTAGGCTCACTGCAACCTCCGCCTCCCAGGTTCAAGCAATTCTCCTGCCTCAGCCTCCCAAGTAGCTGAAATTACAGGCACCCGCCACCACGCCTGGCTAATTTTTTGTAGTCTTAGTAGAGACGGGGTTTCCCCATGTTGGCCAGGCTGTCTCAAACTCCTGACCTCAACTGATCCACCTGCCTCAGCCTCCCAAAGTGCTGGGATTACAGGCATGAACCACCACATCTGGCCCCTATTTAAAATTTGAGGCAAGAAGTATCCATTTTATTTTAGATAGATCAAAATTAGCAGATATAACATGCAACTAATTATTGAGGGAAAAGATAAAAGTTTGTTTTGGTTTGGTTTTTTTTTGAGACACGGTCTCACTCTGTGGCCCAGGCTGGAGGGCAGTGACACGATTATGGATTACTACTCACTGTGGCCTCAACCTCCCAAGGTTCAGGTGATCCTCCTGCCTCAGCCCCCAAGCAACTGGGAATACAGGCACGTGCCACCACACCCAGATTTTTGTGTTTTTGCAAAACACAAAACGATGGGGTTTCCCCACGTTGCAGAGGCTGGTCTTGAACTCCTGGACTCAAGCGATCCACCCACCTTGGCCTCTCAAAATGCTGGGAGTACAGGCGTGAGTCACCATGCCTGGTCAAAAGTTTCTTTAAACAACTGATAATAAGCAGTGTAATAGAGTCAGTAATACTAGCAACCCTTAAACTGTTAGAATACAACACAAACATTTAACTCATCTCTAAATCAATTATCTCATTTAATTTCCCACTTAAATCATTTCTTAAGCTTCTATTTCAGCTAGAATAAAAAAGTGCATGAGACAAAAAAAAAAAAGTCACGTATTGTATAGGAAAAAGATGGTGCTAAGAACCTACCACCAACAACCATGGCTCATTTACTCACCATCTGACTGTCTACTTGGTTATAATAGAGCTCCTTGAACACAAGGGGCTCATTCTTACTCCTTTACCTCTCCAGCACTTAGTGCATGGAAAGTATTCAATTGATGTTTGCTTCTATTATGATCCCCTATACTGTGCTCAACTGTTCCTAGGCAAAGACTGGTTTCTTATTATACTTGAACTATAAAATGGACATATCTTACCTATTACATAGATATTGAAGGAAGAAATTAATACTGAAAAATAACTTTCATTTTTAGAATAGATTTCTCCTAAAGAGCACAAGAGGAGGATCTACCTTCAAACCATTTAATCAATATCCATTCTAGGTGATGGCACATTTCATGTCATACTTTCATGACCTGCTTTCTTCCACCAAAGATCAAATGTTCTAAAGAAGATATAGGCAAAATCTGAGTTTCTTTTATAAAACCTAAATAAATTTTCTTTAAACCAACTCACTTAATTCAATACATGTTACATATCAGATCAGTGCTCATCCTTCACTCATTCAAGTCTTCTGTCATGAACAGCATTAAAATATTATATATAAATTCTCAATAATTCATGCAAGCAAAAATAAAAAAATAAAAATAAAAATAAATAAATAATAATTCATGCAAACTTATTAAGAAAAAGACTAAGGGCCGGGCATGATGGCTCATGCCTGTAATCCCAGAACTTTTGGAAGGCCAAGGCGGGCAGATCACCAGAGGTCAGGAGTTCGAGATCAGCCTGGCGAACAACGGCGAAACCCTGTCTCTACTAAAAATACAAAAATAAGCCAGGCATGGTGGTACGTGTCTCTAGTCCCAGCCAGTCGGGAGGCTGAGGCAAGAGAATCACTTGAACCAGGAGGTGGAGGTTGCAGTGAGCCGAGATCGCACCAGTGCACCCCAGCCTGGGTGACAGAGTGAGACTCTGCCTCAAAAAAAAAAAAATTATCTGGGTGTGGTGGCAGGCGCCTATAATCCCAGCTACTTGGGAGGCTGAGGTAGGAGAATCGCTCAAACCCAGGAGGCAGAGGTTGCAGTGAGCTGAGATTGAACCACTGCATCCAGCCAGGGAGAAAGAACGAGGAAAAAAAAAAAAAAGACTAGGACATACAATAGCAACAACTATCTCTAGTCAAGGGGTTATAAGTAATTTTTATTTTATTTATGCTTTTCTATTGTTTTCTAAGTTGTCTAGAGTAAATACATATAGCTTTTATAACTGGAAAAAAGACACTTTTTTAAAAAGAGCATAATACACACAATGAATATACTAGAAAGCAGAAGGAAATGACATTACCTTTTCAAACTTAGGACCAATATTTAAACTAAAACAGAGAAAGGCTAAATAGGGCTGGGCACGGTGGCTCACACCTGTAATCACAGCACTTTGAGAGGCTGAGGTGGGAGAATTGCTTGAGCCCTGGAGTTTGAGACCAGCCTGGGCAACACTGAGAAACCCCATCTCTATAAAAAGCAGCCAAGCATGGTGGCATGCGCCTGTGGTCCCAGCTACTTGGAAGGCTGAGGTGAGAGGATCACTTGAGCCCAGGAGGTTGGGGTTGCAGTGAGCCGTGATTGCACCAGCGCACTCCAGCCTGGGCCACAGAGGAAGACTGTGTCTCAAAAAAAAAGAAAGAAAAGAAAAAAGAAGGGAAGAAAAAGAAAAAAATTCATTTCAGTCTTGGGTGTGTGTTATGGTCAAGGCTTAAATTTAATTTCTTAAGTGTAATCACCTTCTTTTTTTTCCTAATTAGTCTGTTTTCACAGCTACCACTTTTTCTGTTTTCCTAGGTAGCACAATAATCTAGTTTGGTTCACCTTTAGTTTTTTTGTAGAGACAGGGTCTCACTATGTTGCTCAGGCTGGTCTCGAACTCCTGGGCTCAAATGATCCTCCTGCCCCAGCCTCCCAAAGTGCTGGGGTTACAGGCATGTGCCACCACGCCTGGTCCATCTTTAGTTTTTAATGAATATTCACTCTCGTAATCCACCACCTGTTCTCTACTTCCAAAATAAAGTAACTGGTTGTTAGCAGAAGAAAACATGCAGAGAATTCACAAATCCTTAAAAGTTCTTAAGACCACGTGCAGTGGCTCATGCCTGTAATCCCAACACTTTGCGAGGTCAAGGCAGGCAGACCACCTAAGGTCAAGAGTTCAAGATCAGCCTACCCAACATGGTGAAACCCCGTCTCTACTAAAAAGACAAAAACTAGGCCAGGCGTGGTGGCTCACATCTGTAATCCCAGAACTTTGGGAGGCCGAGGCAGGCGGATCACCTGAGGTCTAGAGGTACAGACTAGCTTGACCAACATGGAGAAACCCCATCTCTACTAAAAATACAAAATTAGCTGGGTGTGGTGGTGCATGCCTGTAATCTCAGCTACTTGGGAGGCTGAGGCAGGAGAATTGCTTGAACCTAGGAGGCGGAGGTTGCGGTGAGCAGAGATCGTGCCATTGCACTCCAGCCTCGGCAACAAGAGCGAAACTCCGTCTCAAAAAAAAAAACATTAAAAAAAAAACTAGCCAGGCATGGTGGTGGGTGTCTGTAATCCCAGCTACTCAGGAGGCTGAGGCAGAAGAATCGCTTGAACCCGGGAGGCGGAGGTTGCAGTGAGCCAAGATCACGCCACTGCACTCCAGCCTAGGCGACAGAGTGAGACTCCATTTCAAAAAAAAAAAGTTCTTAATTACCTCAGCTTTCATCTGATTGTTTGGTTTTGTATTCTTCAATATTTGTTCAGATTCTCTTTTTTCTTCTCCCACATACACAAATAAATAGCTATGCTGCACAGTGGTAAAATTCAATACTTAAGTTATTACAAGTGATTGACATTTTTACAACTATATTATAATGAGAACTAAATCTTTTCATAAGAATGAGTTATTCACATGTAAGTTGGAAGTAATAATTTTGTTACCAAAAAAAGAGAAAGAAAACCTGTCATACTCCTAGTTTATTTCAGCTTCAAGAAACAGCTTGTATTTCAACTTCAAGAAAAGCAAAGAAACCTATGAAAGGATGCTTAAAGGTACAAAATATATGCATGTTGAACTCAGGTCCGTTCCTGGCCCTGGTTCTAATAGTTACTTTTTCAAAACACTAATGTTAGCAGGGCGCGGTGGCTCACGCCTGTAATCCCAGCACTTTGGGAGGCCGAGGCGGGCGGATCACGAGGTCAGGAGATCAAGACCATCCTAGCTAACACGGTGAAACCCCGTCTCTACTAGAAATAGAAAAAATCAGCCAGGCGTGGTGGCGGGCGCCTGTAGTCCCAGCTACTCGGGAGGCTGAGGCAGGAGAATGGCGTGAACCCAGGAGGCGGAGCTTGCAGTGAGCAGAGATCGCGTCACTGCACTCCAGCCTGGGCGACAGAGCAAGACTCCGTCTCAAAAAAAAAAAAAAAAAAAAATCAAAAAATTAGCTGGGCATGGTGGTGCGTGCCTGTAGTCCCAGCTACTCAGGAGGTTGAGGCAGGAGAATCGCTTGAAACCAGGAGGCGGAGGTTGCAGTGAGCCGAGATCGCACCACTGCACTCCAGCCTGGGCAACAAGAGCAAAACTCCATCTCAAAAAAAAAGTTAAAATTTAAGATACTCCTAGTCTACATTTGATACAGTTTTCAAATACAGTCTTATTTATCTGCACTAAGTTGTCACTTTCATAAATTAGACTAACATATTATCCTGGTTTTATTATTTTTTTTTTAATTTTGTTTTTTGGTTTTATTTTAAATAAAGGAAAAAACAGAAACCATATAAGGCTAATTATATGGATAATTCTTTTCTTTTTTTTTTTTAAGAGATAGGATCTCCGTCGGTCACCCAGGCCAGAGTGCAGTGGCACAATCATAGCTCATTGCAGCCTTGAACTTCTAGGCTCAAGTGATCCTCCGGCCTCAGCCTGCCAAAGCTAGGTCTAGAGGCACTCACCACCACCACCACACCAGACTAATTTTTTTTTTTTTTTTTTTGAGACAGAGTCTCACTGTCGCCCAGGCTGGAGTGCAGTGGTGTGATCTTAGCTCACTGCAACCTCCGCCTCCCGGGTTCAAGAGATTCTCCTGCCTCAGCCTCCTGAGTAGCTGGGATTACAGGCGTGCACCATCATGCCTAGCTAATTTTTGTATTTTTAGTAGAGATGGGGCCAGGAGTGGTAGCTCACGCCTGTAATCCCAGTACTTTGGGAGGCCGAGGCGGGCAGATCATGAGGTCAGGAGTTCAAGACAAGCCTGACCAACATGGTGAAACCCCATCTCTACTAAAAATACAAAAATTTAGTTTTTATAGAGATGAGGACTCACTATTTTGCCCAGCCTATAATTTTTTTTTTTTTTTTGAGACGGAGTCTTACTCTGTCGTCCAGGCTGGAGTGTAGTAACACAATCTCAGCTCACTGCAACCTCCGCCTCCCAGGTTAAAGCAATTCTCCTGCCTCAGCCTCCCGAGTAGCTGGGATTACAGGCGCCCACCACCACGCCCAGCTAATTTTTGTATTTTTAGTAGAGACAGGGATTCACCATGTTGGCCAGGCTGGCCTTGAACTCCTGACCTCAGGCGATCCACCCACCTCGGTCTCCCAAAGTGCTGGGATTACAGGTGTGAGCCATGGCAGTGGGCCTATCATTGTTATTTCTTATTTCTTATACCAATATCTGGAACTGACCACTGAGAGATAAGAGGCAAGTCTCGAAATAGACAATATAATTAAAAGCCATGAGAAAATTCACTAGCTGATGCCCTAAATTACATTTACATGTCTTAAATCATCCTTGGACAATAGGTAACCATGACCTAATGTCATTTTCCTTCAGAAAGTCCCTTTCCATTCTCTATGCAAGCGTCTAAAACAGGCAAACCCATCCTAGCTTACTCCTCTACTTGACCAAAATCTTAACTCATGCCTTAATCACACTTCCCATCCTGCCTAACACATTTTCCTTTTATGGACTCACAATTCCCTACTCAGGGGACATCAGAACACGGAGGCTCCACAGCTCTAACGAAACAGGAAGCGGAAAAGGATGGCTCACCATCCTTACTTACTGGCTTCTAGGCACCTCTGCAGGCATCTTCCCAAACCAACTGTGACATTTCCTGACAGCCAGGTTCTTCTCCCAATTGCCTCTTTCCTATCATTATTCATACTCTGTTAAGCTTTTCGTGTGCTCAGTCTCCTAGGCTCAAAGCCTCCTGCCTCTTCCCCATTCTAGGCTCCTTTCTCACAGGTTTTTACATTAAACCAAAATCATCAAATTTGGCCTTTGCCAAAAGTAGCATTATTAGGTCTTCAGGAACAGCTCAGGCAAAAAGTTAAAATAATAGGTTTTCATTAACTTCATACTTTACATTCATTTCTGTCTCCTGAATTTTCCCCCCGGAAACCTCAAATGAATGGCAAATCAATTAGATTCAAGGTAATATTGTCTGAATATTGAGTTAGCTTTTGTTAATTACCAGAACAGTTTTCAGCATCATTTCCTATAGAAAATTTATTTCATTTTTTTCTGTTAGAAAAAACAAAGACGGGGGGAAGTTTGAAGCCTGTCCTTGAAACAATATAAAGAATTCCCACTTTAAACTGTCAAAACAGTCCATCTGTACAATCCATTTGCACCTTCCCAAGTGCCACTGAAAAGTTATTAAACAGACAGCAATCCAAAAACACAGGAAAGTGTGGGGAGAATGAAAAAAGTTAGGAAAATGTATACATTAACAAAAACCCAAGTTAGGTTTTAAAAGTCTCATCCTCAACTTTTAAATAACTTGTCTCCCTGGCACTATAGATCTGAATCACTCCTGGTTCCTTCTTAGGTATCAATCTACCAATTGTTTCCTGCATAAGGAGTTTCCACATAATGTCAAAACTCACATTCCCATTCTTGGCTATTCCGAACCCACCTATTCACCTCCTTTTTCAAGGTCAAGTTTAAGCCTCCTTCCATCTTTCCCCATGTCTCCTAGCCCTACTTAATGTGAGCCCCACTTGACTCTTTAAGCATGGACCATCTTGTATTGTTTTCTTTCCAATAAAATTTGTAAACCTAAAGAAATTAACTGTTTAATAATTTCTTATATCTTCCATAGTACTTAACTCAGTATTAGCACTTAGTTCATGCCGGTACATTCTTTAAGTCATAGTTAATAATAACTAGAAGAGACCTTTGTGATCATCTAGCCCAAGCCCTTCTTTTATACCTTGCTTATATAAAGTATTCTTGACTCTAAGAATTCCACTATTTACTTCTTTTAGAACAGTGGTTCTTAGCCTTGGTTTAGGAATTTCCAGAAAAAAAGCCTCACATTAGAATTTTTTACTGTAATTTCAAGGATTTACAGAACTCCCTGATCCTACTAATAGAGCCCACATTTAAAAATAATATACTATTAGGCTGGGCGCGGTGGCTCACGCCTGTAATCCCAGCACTTCGGGAGGCCAAGGCGGGCAGATCATGGGGTCAGGAGATCGAGACCATCCTGACCAACACGGTGAAACCCCATCTCTACTAAAAATACAAAAATTAGCTGAGCATGGTGGCACGCGCCTGTAGTCCCAGCTACTCCAGAGGCTGAGGCAGAAGAATCGCTTGAACCCGGGAAGCAGAGGTTGCAGTGAGCCAAGATTGCACCACTGCATTCCAGTCTGGCGACAGAGCGAGACTCCGTCTCAAAAAAAAATAATAATAATAAACTATTATCGATGACAAAAGCAGGTGTTTACTATGTGTCAAGCACTCTTCCTAAAGCTTTACATAGGATGGTATACGGTTAGACCACACTTGCCAGCCTCTCTTGCAGATGAAGCTATGTGATTAAGTTCTCTCCAATAGAATGTGACCGGAAGTAACAGGTAGAACTTCTGAGCTGGGGCCCTTAAGATGTGCTTCCTCCATATTTTCCACCCCCCACTGGCAACAGACAGTACTTGTCACCCACCAACTTTGACAATTCAGAAGAGGACAATGCTCTGGGAGTTAGTGGACAAATAAGCTAGAAAGAGCCCGGGTCCCTTAATGACTCTGAGGAGGAAAGCCACCCTAACATCTAAGACATTCTCCTGGACTGAGGGGTGAGAAATAAACTTCCATCATATTTGAACCACTGTTTGTGGGGGGATAACTTATTACAGCAACTTAAACTACCCTAACTAATATGCACAGATTAACAGTTTTAATCCCCTCAGTAACCATATAAAATTGCTATTATTATTATCCTGATATTAGAAGTTAGGAAACTGAAGCACTGAGAGCTTAAAAACTTGCCTGACATACTAGAAGCCAGATTCAAGTCAAGCAGTGTGGCTCCAGAGTCCAAGCACATTAGGAACCTCTGCCAAATATCTCAAAAGAAACAGACTCTTATGTGTTATGCCACCCTGCACCAGATTAACTTTTTACAAACACCACCCCAATCCCAGCAGCTTGGTGACTACTTGCTGACAGTGATCATCCCAGTTCACAGTGGCACAACAACAAGTTTAAATTCCAGCCCATAAAACTGAACTCCGCAAAGGGATTACTTTCTGTTTTTTGATTTGATTGTTTTTGAGACAGAGTCTTGCTCTTGTCCCTCAGGCTGGAGTGCAATGGCACAATCTCGGCTCACTGCAATCTCCGCTTCCCGGGTTCAAGTGATTCTCCTGCCTCAGACTCCCGAGTAGCCGGGATTACAGGCGCCCGCCACCACGACCGGCTAATTTTTGTATTTTTAGTAGAGACGGGGTTTCGCCATGTTGGCCAAGCTGGATGGAGAAACCCCATCTCTATTACTCTCATTTGTGGTTCAAGAGTTAATATTTAGTTTTACCCAAACAAAAATCTTGGTTCCCCAAATTCTGGACATAGCCAAGAAGAAACACTAGTAAATATATAAAAGACTGGCACGGTGGCTCACGCCTGTAATCCCAGCACTTTGGGAGGCCGAGCGGGTGGATCACTAGGTCAGGAGTTCAAGACCAGCCTGGCCAACATAGTGAAACCCCGTCTCTACTACAAATACAAATTAGCTCCTCATCTCTACTAAAAATACAAAAAATTAGCTGGCCATGGTGGCGGGTGCCTGTAACCCCAGCTACTCGGGAGTCTGCGGCAGGAGAATCGCTTGAACTCGGGAGACAGAGGTTGCAGTGAGCCAAGATCGTGCCACTGCACTCCAGCCCGGGTAACAGTGCAAGACTCCATCTCAAAAAAAAAAAAAAAAAAAAGACTGGAAGTATTAAATGGAGAAAAAAAAGAGGTGAGTACATAAAATTACACTGGGTTTGGAGACTGGAGGCTAGAGAAATCAGGATGAAGAACCATGCTTTGATGCTCCAACCATCGGGATCTCAGTAAGTGGTTTCTAATTCCAAAGCATGGTAGAGACATACATTGACAACAAAATGCTCAACAACAGAATTCTCTGAAAGAAGGGCACAATCTCATTTCAAACATTTGGCATCCTCTTAAGTTGCAGGCACTCTGAACCATATGCACACCCTATCCTCAAGGAATTTACTGTCTATCTAGTAGGGGAGATCTGCCTATAAATATATATTCATACAAAATTATACACAACTAGCATTTATTTGCTTACTGTGTACTAGACATTGTTCTAAGATTGTTGCATACTACATATATTAATTTATCCCATAGGACTGTTCTACTAATATCCCAACTGTGCAGATGTGGCACAGACAGGTTTAAGTGATGTATCCTGGGATACACAATTAGTAACTGGACATATTGGATTAGAAACTCAGGCAGTAGGCCAGGCTCGGTGGCTCACGCCTGTAATCCCAGCACTTTTGGAGGCCAAGGCAGGCTGATCACCTGAGGTCAGGAGTTCGAGACAAGCCTGACCAACATGGAGAAACCTTGTCTCTACTAAAAATACAAAATTAGCCAGGTGTGGTGGTGCACACCTGTAGTCCCAGCCACTCGGGAGGCTGAGGGGTAACAAGAGCGAAACTCCGTCTTAAAAAAAAAAAAAAAAAGAAAGAAAGAAAGAAAGAAAGAAACCCAGATTACAAGGGACCTTATGCCCTTGCTAAAAGGTCTCAAATATACCGTATCTGTTGGTGGTTCCCAGCTGGAAATATATACACCTACCAGGCTCCTGAGTGGGGTAGAGAGCATCTCCACTGTTGAGGATGATTGCCATTATAAGCCTTTGTTGTTTTCCTCCCGAGACAGGGTCTTGTTCTGTCACCCAGATTGGAGTGCAGGTACATGATCATAAGCTCACTGCAGCCTCGAACTCCTGGGCTCAAACAATCCTCCCACCCGCAGCCTCTAGGGCTAGGGCTGCAGGCGTGGGCCACCAGGCCCAGCTTAGTTACTTACTTATTTATTTAGAGATAGGGTCTCACCCAAGCTGGAGTGCAGTGGCACGATCACGGCTCACAGCCAACCTCTGCCTCCCAGGCTAAAGGAATCCTCCCACCTCAGCTGGGACCACAGGCATGTATCACCACACCCAGCTAATTTTTTATATTTTTTGTAGAGATGGGGTTTTGCTACGTTGCCCAGGCTGGTCTCGAACTCCTAGGCTCAAGAGATCCGCCTGCCTCAGCCTCCCAAAGTACTGGGATTACAGGCGTGAGCCACTGTGCCTGGCAATTTTTTTAATAGTTTTTGTAGAGACAGGGTCTCGCCATGTTGCCCAGGCTGGTCTAGAACTCCTGCGCTCAAAAGATTCATCCTCCTTGGCCTCCTACAGTGCTAGGATTACAGGCGTGAGCCACCACAGCCCAGCTGCCTTTTTTACTTTTGAGAGGGCATCCTATCTATCCTCCAGATGTTGAGGGTAAAACAAAACAAAAACAAACCAAAAAAACCATCCTGCTGTTATATAGATGACAGGGAGTTAATGGGCTCACAGGCAGACAACTCCAAAAACTACTCACAAGGAAGGAAATGCAGCTGTGAGTTCAGTCATACTATTTGAGAAGGTGCTCATCTCTCTCTCTTAAATGTGAAGCTCAGTGCTAGCTAGACAGGTAGGCTCAAAGCCCCATTACATCTCTTGGCCTTTCCCCTAGCGCCACCACCAAATTTCTAATTTCCATACATGCTATGTGCTTCAACTGTAAATAGTTTTCTTTTACAAACTCAGATACCTCTTGGCAGGTTAACACTGTTCAACATACCACTCTGGACAACCACAGCCTCTGCACCCTCTCTACTTTCTTTTTTTTTTTTTTAATTTTTATTTTTTGAGATGGAGTCTTGCTCTGTCACCCAGGCTGGGGTGCAGTGGCACTATCTCGGCTCACTGCAACCACCGCCTCCCAGGTTCAAGCAATTCTCCTGCCTCAGTCTCCCGAGTAGCTGGGATTACAGCCATGCACCACTATGCGTGGCTAATTTTTGTATTTTTAGTAGAAATGCGGTTTCGCCATGTTGCCCAGGCTGGTCTCAACATCAAGTGATCCACCCCCCTCCGCCTCCCAAAAGGCTGGGATTACAGGAGTGTGCCACCACACCTGGTCCACTGCTTTCAAAATAACTATATTTACAAGGGTATTTCCCCCATTTGCATTTCCCACACGTAGGTTTTGAGAAGAGATCAAGAATGCCCTTTACCACATTTTACCTGTCCTTTTTTCCCCTTTCAAACAAACTGGTCTAGGGGCCAAGCACAGAGGCTCAAGCCTGTAATCCCAGCACTTTGGGAGGCCAAGGCAGGCAGATCACTTAAGGTCAGGAGTTTGAGACCAGCCTGGCCAACATGGTAAAACCCAGTCTCTTCTAAAATACAAAAATCAGCCAGGCGTAGTGGTGCATGCGCTCCTCGGAAGGCAAAGGCAGAAGAATCACTTCAACCTGGGAGGCAGAGGGTGCAGTGAGCCGAGATCGCGCCACTGCACTCCAGCAGCCAGGGTGACAGAGCGAGAC
This sequence comes from Homo sapiens, assembly GCF_000001405.40. NCBI lineage: Eukaryota > Metazoa > Chordata > Mammalia > Primates > Hominidae > Homo > Homo sapiens. The sequence continues at coordinate 24,748,533 of NC_000001.11, read as the reverse complement.
ACCATCTCATTAAAAAAAAAAAAAAAAAAAAAAACAAAAAACCTGATCTGTATCAGTGCAAAGTTTGCCTATGTTGAATCACTGGGTAGCAGAAAACATTTCTTATTTCACAAATGAGACAAACAAGGCTTAAAGAGTGAAAACAAACTGCCTAGGGTCACCCAACCAAGGAGTAAAGAACTGTGACTTGAACCCTGATTCTCTGCCACCAAGCCCAATGAGAAAGGCTTACAACTAGTGGTAGGAAGGATGATTTTCAGTGGTTCTCAACACAAATATGAAAAACAGAAAGGGGATGCAAGTGACTCAAGTTTGGAAAACTGCACACGCCCCTCTGCTATTCTAACTGAAAGATGAAATTAATAGTAAGCAGGGCATTAATCACTGATCTCTTCCTAATTCAGATACTTAATTTTTCTTGTCTTCTTTGATTAGCTCCTCCAATAGAATAATAGAATACTGAATAGAGCCATAACTGATAATAGCTTTATCTTTTTTTTTTTTTTTTTGAGACGAAGTCTCACTCTGTCGCCCAGGCTGGAGTGCAGTGACTTGATCTTGGCTCACTCCAACCTTTGCCTCCCCGGTTCAAGCGATTCTCATGCCTCAGCCTCCCGAATAGCTGGGCCCACCACCATGCCTGGCTAATTTTTCTATTTTTAGTAGAGACAGGGTTTCACCATGTTGGCCAGGCTGGTCTCGAACTCCTGGCCTCAAGTGATCTCCCCATCTCGGCATCCCAAAATGCTACAGGTGTGAGTCACCTCACCCGGCCCGATAGTAGCTTATTCTAAGTTTAATACTGTTCTAAAGTTTCACCGTTAAGTATCATGTTTTACAGATTATTCATGGATGCACTTTTTTTGAGTTTATGGAAATTCCTTCCTATTCCTCACTCAGTAAAAATTTTTTTTAACTCATCTCTGGCCCACTTGTTTCCCTTCTCCATGCTGTTTTCCACCCACCACCCTTCCTTTCTTTCTTTTTTTTTTTTTTTTTTGAGATGGAGTCTTACTCTGTTGCCCAGGCTGGAGTACAGTGGCGCAATCTCCGCACACCACAACCTCTGCCTCCCGGGTTCAAGCAATTCTCCTGCCTCAGCCTCCCGAGTAGCTGGGACTACAGGCACGCGCCACCACGCCCAGCTAATTTTTGTATTTTTAGTAGAGATGGGGTTTCACCATGTTGGCCAGGATGGTCTCGATCTCCTGACCTCGTGATCTGCCCACCTCAGCCTCCCAAAGTGCTGGGATTACAGGCGTGAGCCACCGCGCCCGGCCTCCTTCCTTTCTTGTATTTCAGGTTCCTTCCTACATTCTACGCATCTCAAAGTACTATATCTGCCACTCAAAGTAACCGAAACGCTTTGATATTTTGGGGGTTCTATACCTGTCTGCTGTTTCAGTTCCCTGGACCAAAAAAAAAAAAAAAAAAAAAATCGAAAATTGACAATTGAAAGAAAATCCTAAGGCAAACACTGTTCCAGTCATTACTGAAGACTGCAGAGGTAAATGCAGATTATTTCTTCTCTCCATCTCTTTTGTTTGAGACAGGGTCTTGCTCTGTCGCCCAGGCTGGAATGCAGTGGTGCGACGTGGCTCACTGCAGCCTCGACCTCCCGGGCTCAAGCAGTTCTCCCACCGCAGCCTCCAGAGTAGTACAGGCGCGTAACATCGCTCCCAGCTAATTTTTGAATTTTTTTGTAGAGACAGGGTTTCGCCATCTTGTTCAGGCTGGACTCAAGTAATCCTCCCACCTCGGCCTCCGAAAGTGCTGCGATTACAGGCATGAGCCACCGCGCCCAGCCCTTCTCTATCTCTTAAACACATCCTGAAATGTCCTTTCTTTAAAGTAAAAACTCGGGGAAAAAAAAGAACCCAATAGTTCTAGATGACCATTTACTTTCCGGTATGTTGCCTAGCTCTGAATGAGCCTGGCTTTTTAAGTGGCTGGAAGAAGCTCAAAGTGTTTTTTTTAAGTTTTGAGGGAAGGAGCTGGATCCAGATGTTTATAACTTCGACTCTCTCCTTTGCTAAAATAAAAAGTATTAAAGAGAAAAGCAAAGGAAGAGGGGTAGTATGTGTAAGCAAATAAATTCCACACATGAAAGCTGAAGACACAAGGGAAAACCAACCCTTTAAAGCCCAAGCAAGTTAAGAATTCTCTCCCTCAATTTCTTTCAAAACAAAAGGGCACACACAATCCTTCCCGAAGCAGCAACGCCGGGGGGAGAAGCCAAAATGTTGCATCATACAGAACACTCCGCGCTTGAGAAACGAGAAAGCCAGTAAATGCCCAAGACAGAAAAACACAAGTTGGGAATCTCGGTCTTTTCCGAAGGTCCAAGAGCACCTGCTCTTTGGTAAATTTGTTTAAGATTGCATCGAAAATTAAAGTTTCCGTTTCAGACCAGTGGGGAGCAAATGCTTTTTCAAAAACGCGTTCAAAGAAGTTCGTTTGAAAGCTCATCGGGCGGCGGGCCGCAGTTCGGGCTCCGGGCGGCGGACCGGAGCGCTGGGGAGCGGGTGGGGCCGGGCCCCGGCGCCCGGGCGGGGGGTGGTGACAGGACCCGCGCGCGCCCGGCGCTGGGGCCCCGGGGCAGGCAAGTCCCGCCCGTGGGCTCTTCCCGACCCACCCGGGCGCGGGACGCTGGTCTGGCGTCCGCCGATGCCTACGCGCTGGAGACGGTGGCCGCCGCCCGGGTCCCCAACCCGGACCCCTCGACGGGCCCTCGGAGGCGGGAAGGCGCGGGCGGCCCCCAGACAATGGGCCGGGGGCGCGGGTGCCCGCAGCGGGACGGGTGCTGGCGCCGAGCGGGGGCGCCTCAGGAGAGCCCCGGGACGCCGCTCCCCGCAGCCGGGAGGGAGCCGGGGGATCTGCCGGGCGGGACCGCGAGGCGAGCGCTCACCTTGACGAAGAGCTCGATGAGGGGCTCTTTGTCCTCCTCCTTCAGCCCATTCAGCGGCATCGACAACGCCATGGCCGGCTCGGCTGCGCTCCGCGAACGGCGAGGGCTGCTGCTGCTGCTGCTGCTTCTGCTCCGGGACTGCTCCGGCTGCCGGTTCCCGCCGTGCTGCTCGCTGGACTGTCCGGCGTCGAGCTGGCCACGGCTTCAGCTCCTCAGCACCGCCCCACGCCCCCCGCGCCACTCTGAGCCAGCCGCAGCCCGAGCCGCTTCAAACGGCTGGGAGGGGCGCCGGGGGCGGGGCCTCGGGCTGTAGGCAGGGCCAAGGCGCGGCGCCTCGGGACTCTCCGGGGAAAATAAGGCGGCAGGAGCACGGGGGCGTGGCCTCGAGCGGGGAAGGCGGAGGGACCGCTCCGGAGCCGAAGAAAGGACCTCTGCGGCGCCCCACAGCTGGTAGGGGGCGTGGCCTTGGTGGGCGGTACAAAGCTCAGGCTCTGGCGGGCGGGACCCGGGTACGCCTCTCTAGGGGACTGGTGCGGGGGGGAAAGGAGGGGAGGAATTCCCCAGGGGCCCGAGCCTGACACTGCCTCCCGCCGCAGCGCCTGCGCGTCCTCCGCAGCTGCTGCTGTTGCTGTGCCAGGTGACCTCATGCCTCGGCCGCCCTGGGGAAGCTAGGAGGCGCCTCCTACCCACTCCCCCGCTGCAGCACCCCAGGACTCATCGCCCTTTCCCGCAGCGGCTACCTCCCCAAGTCCCTCTATTACGCGGAGTTGCCTTTTCCAAGACAACTTACTGGAAAGTTTTCATCGCCTGGGGAACACCTTTTTCTTCTGCCTCTGACTTCGTTTTTCCCTTTGACGCTCCTGATCGTTTCGATCTTGGCAGCCAGCATATTCACAAATATATATATATATATATATATTTTTTTTTTTTTTTTTTTTGAGACGGAGTCTGGCTCTATCGCCTAGGCTGGAGTGCAGTGGCGCGATCTCGGCTCACTGCAAACTCTGCCCCGGGTTCACGCCATTCTCCTGCCTCAGCCTCCCAAGTAGCTGGGACTACAGGCACCCGCCACCGCGCCCGGCTAATTTTTGTATTTTTAGTAGAGACGGGGTTTCACCGTGTTAGTCAGGATGGTCTCGATCTCCTGACCTCGTGATCCGCCCGCCTCGGCCTCCCAAAGTGCTGGGATTACAGGCGTGAGCCACCGCGCCGGGCGCATATTCACAAATATTTATGAAACCTTACTGTGTTTCAGGCTCTGAGCTAGCCCTTGGAGAGTAACAACTCCCAAAGCTCAAGATCTTGAACTGCAATCTCAGTGCCTGCAGGCCACTAAGGACTTCCAAGTCGTTGTCCATCTTGTTCCCCACTGCCCACACCCATTTCTTCCCCCCGGCTCACCTGTCAAATTTGAGTGTGCATCAGAATCACCTAGGTGCTACACGCAGCCCCGCTTTTTGTGTTTCCCAGATCCTCTGGGAAAAAGAGAAATCCACATCTTAGCAAGCACCAGGACAATTCTGAAGTAGGTGGTCCGCAAACCAGTTAAACTGCCCTGGGATTTAAGCCCCCGAGGGCAAGAGCTGTGCTTGCCTTGAGATTGTAGGCACCTGGTCCTAGTTTGCTGCTGTTGAGTGCCTGGGGCAAGTTTCACCTCCTCTGGAAACAATTACTTGTGCCCTTTTCTGACTTTCCATAATACTTGACTCACAGCTACTCCTCCCAACTTCCCAGGTTGGGATAAATAGTGAGTTCCAGGAGGCCCAGACATGGGAGGTTTGTCTCCATATCCTCGGTGCCTAGCACATACCAGAATGTTTGAACAAATTGTACGTAGGCATGAAAATACAGTGAAACTTGCAATTTCTTCCTCTGCCAGCCCAAAGTAAGTTGCTCAAATTTTCTCACAGAGGCTCTGTGAAAGAGCCAGTGTATCCCAGTGGTCAGGAACACGTGCTCTGTAGTCTGACTGTTTAAGTTCAAATCTGACAAGGCAGTGTCCTTAAAACCCCTAAGCCTCAGTTTCATTATCTAGAAGTGGGTGGGGCTAATTACTGATTCTTGCCTTACCATATGTGCTGCTCCGTCAGTATGGCTGTTAACTGCATTGAGACTTATTCTGTCCCTACCACCCCTGCAGGCTAGAATGTGGCATCATATTCTACTCTCTCTATGCCCGGCTAGTTCGTTGAAAATAAATAAATAAATTCCAGGAGGCTCCCCTTAGATGGGGGCTTGAACCATGAAAATCCTGAAGTGACTGACTAGACTCTGGACTGAACCGTGTTAATTTTTCATAGAATCATGAACTGAAGCAAAGTTTCCTTCCAGAATCCACCCTCTCTGCCCTACCAAAAAGGAACCAAATGGTGAATCAGTTCAAAGCAGATCTAAGCCAAAAAACAATTCAGCAGAAACTCAATGTACCTGAGAATTGATCAAATTGAGGCCGGGCACAGTGGCTCATGCCTGTAATCCCAACACGTTGGGAGACCGAGGCGAGTGGATCACCTGAGGTCAGGAGTTCGAGACCAGCCTGGCCAGCATGGCGAAACCCCATCTTTACTAAAAATACAAAAATTAGCCGGGTGTGGTGGCACATGCCTGTAATCCTAGCTACTCGGGAGGCTGAGGCAGGAGAATCGCTTGAACCGGGGAGGCAAAGGTGGCTGTGAGCCGAGATCACGCCACTGTACTCCAGCCTGGGCGACAGAGCGAAATCCATCTCAAAAAAAAAGAATTTGAGTTAGAGGCAGCAAATATTCCCGGTGGTGACTTGCCCTTCACAGGCTCCAACTGGCCTCACAGCACCAGGGTATGGAAGGAGGAACAGACCAGGGCCCTTTAGGCTTCATTGACTAAACAGAGATCTTAGCTAGGAGGAAGCCAGGGGCATTCTCCACAGAGCCCTGAGGTGGTGATGATCTCCTGGGCTCCTCCTACCCAACAGGAAGCCCCCCAGGAAGAGGCTCAGACCCAGAGCCTGTGCTTAGACGTAGTCTCAGTCACACCTACAGTTTCCCAAGTTCCGCCCTCATATGGCTCCCATGGATGGGCAGTCAGTCCTGGGAGTGGGTGAAAGGGAAAGAGGATGTTTATGCAGGGGAGGCCCCCTAACCACATAGCAGTCAAGTCTCCTCTTCGAATTTTGAATTGCATGCCTGCTTTACATTCTTTACTCAGGCTTGTTTTTATAGCACACAGAAATCTTTAAGATGGGTGGAGACATGTTGTCTCCTCCCACACACACCCCTCTGACCTCATCTCCTACCATTCTCCCCTGTGCTCTCCACCCCAGCTTCACTGGCCTCCTTTCTAGTCCTTGGATATGCGAAGCACACTGTGGCCTCAGGGCCTTTGCATTTGCTCTTCCCCCTCTCTGGAACATTCTTCCCCCAGAATTTCTGCAACTCCCACTCCCTTACTTCCTTTGGCTCTTTGCTCAAATGTCATCTTCTCAGAGCGCTCTCCCCAAATACCACCCTATGCAACGTTGCAAGTTGCTATCTTTCACTCCACCCTCCACTTTATCTCTCTTCATAACACTTACAACCCTCTGATACATATCTACCTATTTATCTGCTTATTGTCTGTCTTCTCCCACTAGAACATAAATGCCATAAGGGCAGGGATTTTTTGTTTGGTTTTGTTTATGGCTATATTCCTGGCTCAGAGGACAGCTCATGGTACACAATAAAAATTTATGGAGTGGGCCGGGCGCAGTGGCTCACGCCTATAATCCCAGGATTTTGGGAGGCCAAGGCGGATGGATCACCTGAGGTCGGGAGTTCGAGACCAGCCTGACCAACATGGAGAAACCCCGTCTCCACTAAAAATACAAAAAATTAGCCAGGCATGGTGGTGCATGCCTGCAATCCCAGCTACTTGGGAGGCTGAGGCAGGAGAATCGCTTGAACCTGGGAGGCAGAGGTTGCAGTAAGCCGAGATTGCGCCATTGCACTCCAGCCTGGACAACAAGAGCGAAACTCTGTCTCAAAAAAAAAAAAAAATAGCTTATGGAGTGAGTGACTGTACCATGTTTATCCTATGGTTTCATGTACCCCTGACATGACATTTGGATTGTCACGCTCTTCCAGTCTGGGAAGCCAGGTGGTTTGTGTTTATGACTGCCCCTACACAGGGGGTCAGGTTTTCCTCCAGTAAGCCTCCCTTGATGACACTTTCCTCCTCCCACTTCTAACTCTGTGGTGCTGCTCGCTGACTGTCTCAGCCCAAAGTTCTGCAATTTCAGCAGCAGAATGAGCTGCTATGCACATGGACTCTGGGGCCAGACTGCCTGGGTTCCAATCCTGCTTCTGTTATTTACTAACTCAGGATACTTACTTAACCTCTCTGTGCTTCATTTTCTCATCAGTAAAAATGGATCTAAATTAGTACCATTTTCTCGTCTGTAAACATGGATCTAAAATTAGTACCTATTAATATTTAATAGGATCATTGATAAATTAGTCTATGTTAAGAGCTTGGATTGTAAGTGCTCTGTAGACACTAGCTGTTGGTATTATTCCCATCTGTCCATATTCTTGACCGGTCACTGAGCTCTCACACTGCATGCCAGACACCTAGCTGGGTGCTTTCATATCCAATCATATTTATTCATCATGGTCTTGCAAGGCTTGATTTATTTATTTATTTATTTATATTTATTTTTATTTTTTTTGAGACGGAGTCTCACTCTGTCGCCCAGGTTGAAGTGTAGTGGCACAATCTCATCTCACTGCAACCTCCACCTCCCAGGTTCAAGTGATTCTCATGTCCCAGCCTCTCAAGTAGCTGGGATTACAGGCATGTGCCACCACACCTGGCTAATTTTTGTACTTTTAGTAGAGACGGGGTTTTGCCATGTTGGCCAGACTGGTCTCAAACTCCTGACCTTAATTAAGTGATCCACCCGCCTCGGCCTCCCAAAGTGCTGGGATTACAGGCATGAGCCACCATCCCCAGCATTGCAAGGCATAATTTTCATTGTCCCCATTTTACAAATAAGGAAACTGAGGGCCAGGCACGGTGGCTCAAGCCTGTAATCCCAGCACTTAGGGAGGCCGAGGCAGGTGGATCACTTGAGGCCAGGAGCTCGAGACCAGACTGGCCAACATGGTGAAACCCCATTTCTACTAAAAATACAAAAAGTAGCTGGGCTTGGTGGCAGGCACCTGTAATTCCAGCTGCTCGGGAGGCTGAGGCAGGAGAATCGCTTGAACCCAGGAGGCAGAGGTTGCAGTGAGCCGAGATCGTGCCAGTGTACTCCAGCCTGGGTGACAACAGCGAAACTCTGTCTCAAAAAAAAAAAAGATTTCCTCATGCTCCCCAGAATGGCATGCAACTTATTTTTTATTTATTTTTTTAATAGGAGAAAAGTCATACAAATTGATTTCACATACATACACAGGAGCCTTCAGAATGAAGACCCACCTCCCCCATGAATTACGGAAACTTATATATCATCTTGAGGTTACAGAAAGAATGGGAGCTTGCATCCTGGTAAAACAGGCTATGTGAAGGGGGAGAAGAATTCTGTTTAGGGGCAATAAGGGGTTGGGAAGGAGAATGACTGGATGGGGGAGCAGGGATTAACTTGTAAATAGTTTTCTTTAGAATTTAAATGATCCTTGGAGACAGTCATTATCCTCATAAAAAGACCTGTTCAAGTGTGGTCACGTCTTAGTCTTCTTTTCTATATCACAAGATGTAAGTTTTAGCTTGCAGGGCCACAGGTCAGGAACCCTCTAAAGGACCTGCATAAACAAGGCACAAGGCCAGTCTTTCTAAGGGACGTTTATCAGTTCTATAAAGTCTATTTCAATTCCTCAAAGCAGTTTGCTCATATTTTAAAATATCCCATTCTGGTCAAAACCTTGATAAAATAACTGGTGTTTCCAATTGTGTCCCCTTTGCAGGCAGGTGAGTTTCCTGGGTTCTCTTCACTACGGCTTCCAGAACAGAACAGTAGCTTTGATCACCCTGATCACTGCACCATACTGTGGAGGCCGTAGGCTCCCGGTCCCCTAAAAGTTCACTGAAAAGTTACTGACATGAGGCAGATTGGTTAATAGGAGAAAAGGCATACAAATTTATTTAATATATATACACAGAAGCCTTCAGAATGAAGACCCTGACATGCCACTTAAATCTAATAAATGGGGCCGGGTGCGGTGGCTCACGCCTGTAATCCCAGAACTTTGGGAGGCCGAGATGCGCGAATCACTTGAGGTCAGGAATTTAAGACCAGCCTGGCCAACATGGTGAAACCCATCATTACTAAAAAAAAAAAAAAAAATACAAAAAATCAGTCAAGTGTGGTGATGTACGCCTATAATCCCAGCTACTCAGGAGGCTGAGGCAGGAATTGCTTGAACCTGGGAGGTGGAGGTTGCAGCGAGCTGAGATTGTGCCACTGCACTCCAATGTGGGTGACAGAGCAAGACTCTGTCTCAAAATAAATAAATAAATAAAAATTAATTAATTAATTAATTTTTAAAAAGCTAATAAATGGTTTATTTCTAGAATTTTCCATTTAATATCTTTGGATTGTGGGTAACTGAAACTGCAGAAATCAAAACTGTGAATATAGAGGATACTACTGTATAACAGAACCTACTTCAGGAACTCATTGTGAGGATTATATGAGGTAATCCATTTAAAACATTTAATAATCAGCATTTAATAAGTGCTAGCTATTACAGGCTGAGCATCCCTACTCCAAAAACCCCAAATCCAAAATGCTTCACAATCTGAAACTTTTTGAGTGCCAACATGACACTACAAGTGGAAAATTCCACAAAAAAGTGCTGAATACAAGCACTTTGGGAGGCCAAGGCGGGCGGATCACGAGGTCAGGAGATCGAGACCATCCTGGCTAACACGGTGGAACCCTGTCTCTACTAAAATACAAAAAAGTAGCCGGGTGTGGTGGCGGGTGCCTGTAGTCCCAGCTACTCAGGAGGCTGAGGCAGGAGAACGGCGTGAACCTGGGAGGCGAAGCTTGCAGTGAGCCGAGATGGCGCCACTGCACTCCAGCCTGGGCAACAGAGTGAGACTCCGTCTCAAAAAAAAAAAAAAGGTACTGAATACAAACTTTGTTTCATGTACAAAATTATTTGAAATGTATAAAATTACCTTCAGGCTATGTGAATAAGGTATATATGAAACATTAATAAATTTCGTGTTTAGACTTGGGTCCCATCCCTAAGATATCTCATTATGTATACTCAAATACTCCAAAATTCAAAATAATCCAAAATTTGATATCTGAAACACTTTTGGTCCCAAGCATTTATTTTTTTAATTTTTAAGTTTTAATTTTTGTGGGGACACAGTGGGTATATATATATATATATTTATGGAGGTCCCAAGCATTTAAATAAAGGATACTTGCCTGGTTATGGTGACTCACACCTATAATCCCAGCACTTTGGAAGGCTGTGGCAGAAGGATCACTTGAGCCTTTTTTTGTGGAGATGAGGTCCTACTATTTTGCCCTGGCTTGGTCTTGAGTTTGAGACCAACATAGTGGGCAACAACTGGGCAACATAGTGGGACCTCATCTCTCTAAAAAACCCCCAAAATTAGCCAGGCATGGTGGTGCACACCTATGGTTCCAGCTATTCAGGAGACTGAGGTGGGAGGATCACTTGAGCCCAGGAGGTCAAGGCTGCAGTGAGCCGTGATCACACCACTGCACTCCAGTTCTGGGTGATTGAGTGACACCCTGTCTCAAAAAAAATAAATAAATAAAAATAGGGCCAGGCAGGGTGGCTCGCCCTTATAATCCTAGCACTTTGGGACGCCAAGGCAGGATGATTGCTCGAGCCCAGGAGTTTGAGACCAGCCTGGGGAACACAGCGAGACCCCAGTCTTTGTTAAATTAAAAAAAAAAATTTAAGAAAAAAAGATAGATAAGGGATACTCAACCTGTATCACTAGTCATATCAATGTCCTCTTCCTTGGTATACTGTGAGATTCTTGGAGGCAAGGAACCCTGCCATATACGTCTTTACTTGAGTAAAATATTTCACTTCCTTTCTGTGTGATGTTTGAGCAAGTTATGCTCTCTACACTTCATTTCCACATGTAAAGTGATGCTAATTATACTTCATGGTGTTGTTATGGAAAGTAAATGAGTTAATAAATGTAAAGCACATAACAGTGCTTGGCATAGAGTAGATGTTCAATAAATGTTATTATTTTACTATTATATGCATTTATTTCTGGAAGAATACACAAAAAATTTTTAAGTGTTTACTTCCAGGGAGGAGAACTGGGGAACTGAGTCACTGCTGACTTATATACTGTTTTGGTTCCCATTTTGTAACTTTTGTCCTAGGGGTATGTGTTATCTATCAACAAATTGGTTTAAACAAGGGAAAACAGGAGCCGGGCCTGTAATTCCAGCACTTTGGGAGGCTGAGGCAGGTGGATCGCCTGAGGTCAGGAGTTCGAAACCAGCCTGGCCAACGTAGTGAGACCCCATCTCTACTAAAAATACAAAAAGTCAGCTAAGTGTGGTGGCGGGCGCCTGTAATCCCAGCTACTAGTGAGGCTGAAGCAGGAGGGTCACTTGAACCCGGGAGGCGGAGGTTGCAGTAAGCTGAGATTGCACCATTGTACTCCGGCCTGGGCAACAAGAGCGAAACTCTGTCCAAAAAAAAAAAAAAAAAGGGGAAAACAGGGCCAGGCATGGTGGCTGACGCCTGTAATCCTAACACTTTGGGGGGGCCGAGGCAGGCGGATCACTTGAGGTCAAGAGTTTGAGACCAACCTGGCCAATATGGTGAAACCCCATCTCTACTAAAAATACAAAAATTAGGTGGGCGTGCTTGTGGGCACATGTAATCCCAGCTACTCGGGAGGCTGAGGCAGGAGAATTGCTTGAACCCAGGGAGGCGGAGGTTGCAGTGAGCCAAGATTACACCAGTGCACTCCAGCCTGGACAACAGAGTGAAACTCCCTCTCATAAATAAATAAATAAATAAATACAGTTGAAATAGACTTCTGAGTGCAATTAAGCCTGAATGCATGTTCAGTTTCCAGTTCTGTGTGTAGGGAACTGGAGCCTCAGGCAGGGCTTGTGTTCCCTGGCTCACTTGGTTTTCTTCCCTGTCCCATAGTTGGGTGGAAACAGAACTAAGATTAGAACCCAGGACTCCTCATTTGGCATTTGAACCCTTTCCGTTGCTTCCCCATGAGGGACTGAATCCAGCTGCTGTTCCTGGCTCTTCCCACCACACGTGCGCACACATGCACACGCGCGCGTGCACACACACACACACACTCTCTCTCTCTTTCTCTCTCTCTCTGTATTAAAACTATTCGGGCCCAATGCAGATCTGTTCCCCTGGGAGCAGAAACCTGACTATCAGCCCCTTTCTGCCCTGCTCGCCTGGAGACTATCTCATCCTGGGGACATTACAGGTTTCATTTTGTCACTTGGAAGCTGCTCCAGCCAGGAAGGGAACCCGAGTTGACTTGAAGCCAGGCCCTTAATTGGATTGGATCCCTGTGGAGGCCATTAGCCTCTTGCTGCAGCTTGGCAGAGAGGAAATACTTCCTCCCCCACCCCAACCCCCACCCACATCCACCCTGGCCAAGATCTTCCAGAGCTCTACCACCCACATAAGACACTGTCTAGAGTTTCCAATTACTATTACTCTCCCTCTCATTAGGACAGCTTTGTGCTGTCTGCAGACACTAACAAATATGCTAAGTATTGTCAGCAGAGTCTCATTTGATCTCTTCGTCCACTCAGGCTGCACATTTTCAGCGAGAACCTACTGTGTGTGCTGGGCACGCTTCCAGGCCCAGGACAGACAGCATCTTGGCTCTCATGAAGATTACATTCTATTTGGGAAGGCAGACAATAAACAAATACCCGGGCAAGTATGTCTAATCAGGAGATTATAAGAGCTATAAAGAGGAGTAAAGCAGAATGAGGGGCTGGGGAAGGACACGGGGACAGGGAGGAGGAACAGTCTCTCTGATAAGATGACATTTGAGTAAAGACCAGAAGGCCGTGGGGATAATATCTGGACGCACAGTTCTCTTTGCTGGCAAAGGGAACAGCAAGGCCGAAGGCATTGAGGCAGGAATTTCCTTGGTATGTTGGGGGAACGGTAAAGATGCAGATGAGAGATCAAGGTCCAGAGAGTTTGGGTGACTTGTTTGCTCAGACCTCCTGCCACCAATACAGTGGCTTTTGTCCACCACTCTGCCTAGTGAACCCTGAAGAATAGCAGAGGGTTAAAAAAACTTATGCAGCTGGAGGCCAGATGTGGTGGCTTAAGCCTGTAATCCCAGCATTTAGGGGGTTTGAGGCAGGAGGATTGCTTGAGTCCAGGACATCGAGACCAGTCCCAGCAACATAACGATCCGTCTCTACAAATACTAATAAAATATTAGGGCTGGATGTAGTGGCTCACGCCTGCAATCCCAACACTTTGGGAGGCCAAGGCAGGTGGATCACTTGAGCCCAGGAGTTTGAGACCAGTCCGGGTAACATGGCAAAACCCCATCTCTACAAAAAATACAAAAATTAGGTGTGGTGGTGCATGCCTGTAGTCCTAGCTACTCAGCAGGCTGAGGTGGGAGAATCACTTGAGTTCAGGAGGTTGAGGCTGCAGTGAGCTGTGATCATGCCACTGCACTCCTGCCTGGGTGACAGAGTGAGACCCTGCCTCAAAAAAAATAAAAATAAATAAAATAAAATAAAATAAAAATTAGCTGGGTATGGTGGTGCACACCTGTAGTGCCAGATAATTGGGAGACTGTGGTGGGAGGATCACTCGAGCCTAGAAAGTCAAGACTGCAGTGAGCCGTGGCTGTGTCACTGCACTCCAGCCTGAGTGACAGAGAACCTCTCTCAAAAAACAGGCTGGCATAGTGGCTTATACCTGGAATCCCAGCACTTTGGGAGGCCAAGGCAGGTGGATCACTTGAGGCCAGGAGTTTGAGACCAGCCAAGCCAACATGACGAAACCCCATCTCTACTAAAAATACAAAAATTAGCCAGGTGTGGTGGCGTGCACCTGTAATCCCAGATACTTGGGAGGCTGAGGCAGGAGAATCACTTGAATCTGGGAGGTGGAGGTTGCAGTGAGGCGAGATCATGCCACTGCACTCCAGCCTGGGCAACAGAGCAAGACTCTGTCTCAAAAAAAAAAACAAACAAATAAACAAAATAAAACAACCAAACGAAAAACTTATTTAACTGGATAACCCAGATCACCCCGTGATGAATAAATAACCCAATCCCCCAAAGAAAAAGATAGCATTTAGGAGGATATCCATGGCTATAATATCTATAAAAACAAAAGAATAAGAAAAGCAGGCCAGACACAGTGGCTCATGCCTGTAATCCCACTACTTTGGGAGGCCGAGGTGGATGGATCACCTGAGGTCAGGAGTTCAAGACCAGCCTGGCCAACATGGTGAAACCTCGTCTCTATTAAAAATGCAAAAATTAGCCACGTGTGGTGGCACGCACCTGTAGTCCCAGCTACGCGGGAGACTGAAGCAGGACAATTGCTTGATCCCAGGAGGCGGAGGTTGCAGTGAGCCGAGATCGCATCACTGCACTCCAGCCTGGGTGACAGAGCGAGACTCTATCTCAAAAAAAAAAAAAAAAAAAAGAAAGAAAAGCAATATTTAAAACTACCAATCATTAGAAGGTAGAACCAGGCTGGGTGTGGTGGCTCACACCTGTAGTCCCAGCTACAGAGGAGGCCAAGGTGGGAGGACCACTTGAGTCTAGGAGTTCAAGACCAGCCTAGGCAACATAGCAAGACTCTGTCTCAAAATTTTTTTTTTTTTAAAGAAGAAGGCTGGGCACAGTGGCTCACGCCTGTAATCCCAGCACTTTGAGAGGCCAAGGTGGGCAGATCACCTGAGGTCAGGTGTTCGAGACCAGCCTGGCCAACATGGTGAAACCCATCTCTACTAAAAATACAAAATTAGCCGGGCGTGGTGGCACATACCTGTAATCCCAGCTACTCAGGAGGCTGAGGCAAGAGAATCGCTTGAACCCAAGAGGGGGAGGTTGCGGTGAGCCAAGATCACACCATTGCACTCCAGCCTGAGCAATAAGAGTGAAACTCCGTCTCAAGAGTAAAAAAAAAAAAGGAGAAGTAATGTTTGCTGGGTTTACATTATACTGTGCTTGTAACACTCTATGCTGAGCTTCTACATATGAGGAAACTATGGCTTGGGGAAGATAAGTGACTTTCTTTTTTCTTTTTTTTTTTTTTGAGACAGAGTCTCGCTTTTGTTGCCCAGGCTGGAGTGCAGTGGTGCCATCTCGGCTCACCGTAACCTCTGCCTCCTGGGTTCAAGTGATTCTCCTGCCTCAGCCTCCTGAGTAGCTGAGATTACAGGCGCCCACCACCATGCCCGGATAATTTTTTTGTATTTTTAGTAGAGACAGGTTTTCACTATGTAGGCCAAGCTGGTCTTGAACTTCTGACCTCAAGTGATCCGCCGGCCTCGGCCTCCCAAAGTGCTGGGATTACAGGTGTGAGCCACCACCCTGACCGATAAGTGACTTGTTTAAGATCACATAGCTTGGGTTAAACTCAGGTCTAGTTATATGCCTGTCTCTCCTTCTAGACCATAAGCTCTGTGAAGCCAGGCTTATCTCTATATTCACCTTCGTATGGCCAGCATGTAACACAGAGCCCGGCTTAAAGTTGGTGGTCAAAAATGTTGACTAAATAATTAAAGATCTCTAGCTTCACAGCCTGTTCCAAATCTAATACAACACTTTGCTTTCCTGTCAAAATATGCCAGCCTGGGTGACTTGGTGAAACCCTTCCTTTACAAAAAATACAAAAATCAGCTAGACGTGGTGCTGTGCACCTGTAGTCCCAGCTGCTTGGGAAACTGAGATGGGAGGATCACTTGAGTGTGGGAGGTCGAGGCTGCAGTGTGTTGTGATCATGCCACTGCATGCCAGATTGGGCAACACAGTGAGTGACCCTGTCTCAAAAAAAAAAAAAAGTCCATCCAGTCATTAAAATATTCTGCAGCTGTTAAAAATTATAGTTTGCTTAAAGTAAAACATAGTTCATCTATATAATAGAATGATACATAGTCATCAAAAATTATGTTTGCACCTACCTAGACACACACATACACAATTATGTTGAAGGTTGCTGGAATGGAGCTGCTGACAGAATAGGCACTGATGGAGTTCGTCACCAGGATGATGACATTCTGTGCTTCGTGGCCTCAGTTCATTGCTGCCCACTGCTCCACTAGCCTCTGTCCCAACCCCAACCCCAGCCCAGCTTCAGTTTCCTAGCTAAGCCTAACATAGCAGCCTAGAGGGTCAGAAATCATCATCATCATTACCACCACCATTATTATATTATTATCCTACACTAAGTGTAGCCTATTTAGTATTACTCATAATTACCAGTATAGCCTACACTATTACCTTATTCATTTATTTATTTTTGAGACAGAGTCTCATTCTGTTGCCCAGGCTAGAGTGCAGTGGTGCGATCTTGGCTCACTGCAACCTTCACCTCCTGGGTTCAGGTAATTCTCCTGCGTCAGCCTCCAGAGTAGCTGGGAATACAGGTGCCCACCACCATGCCCAGATAATTTTTGCTTTTTTTTTTTTTTTTTTGAGACAGAGTCTCACTCTGTCACCCAGGCTGGAGTGCAGTGGCACAATCTCAGCTCACTGCAACCTCCACCTTTTCCCGGGTTCAAGCAATTCTCCTGCCTCAGCCTCCCAAGTAGCTGGGACTACAGGCGCATACCGCCACACTCGGCTAATTTTTGTAATTTTGGTAGAGACGGGGTTTCACCATATTGGTCAGGCTGGTCTCGAACTCCTGACCTCAGGTGATCCACTCGCCTCGGCCTCCCAGAATGCTGGGATTACAGGCATGAGCCACCGCACCTGGCCTAATTTTTGTATTTTTAGTAGAGACTGGGTTTCACCATGTTGGCCAGGCTGGCCTTGAACTCCTGACCTCAGGTGATCTGCCAGCCTCAGCCTCCCAAAGTGCTGGGATTACAGGCGTGACCACTGCACCTGGCCTAGCCAACGCTGTTACTAAATGAGCACTTAATATGTGCCTGACTGAGTGTATTTCATATACAATCTCACTTAATACCTATAACCTGGGTTGAATATTACTCCCATTTTGCAGAGAAGAAAATTGAGGCTTAGCAGGATTAAATCACTTGCCCAAATCAAACAGCTTAGTAGGTAAGCAGCAGAGCTGGGATTTGAACCTGTCTGTTCTGACTCCAGATGCTGCACCTTGCTATGCTGTCCTGCCCCACTCCTATCACCCATCACCTCTCTGTGGGCAGTGCCCTGTGTCCAGCAGTCTCCCCACGGATGCCCACTCTGCCATTTGCCCTTTGACCTCAGAATATGAAGATGACCTTCATCACGGAGAAGTGGCTCACACCACAGAGCTGGGGTGCATTTCCTACTGCCTAAAGGTGCAAGTACAGCCAGCTCTGGCCCCCAGAGCATGCAAGGGGTGGTCTACTTCCCAGCTGCTTCCCTGCCACAACAGAGCAAAACTTAACAATTCTTTCCATTTGCAAAGTTTGGTTTGAATAAGGACATTTCTTCTCCATTGCTGGAGTCTCATGGTTCATTTATTTGGTACTTGAAGGCCTGAACAGTCAGTCCTTCAGATCACAGCTAGGTAGCACAGGGGGCGTTAAGCTATTTGAAATTCAAGCCAGCAAATGTATTATTTCAAAGCTGACAAGTGCCCTTGACGCTTCAAAAGAATAACCGAGTTCCCCAGCTCTGAGCCGGGCTGAGTCTCTGCAGCCAGAGGAGACGCAGCAAGCGCAGGGACCCGGAAAAGCAGCGGGTCGGTTGTTTTCCCAGCTGCATCCTACGCCCTGGAGGTCCACCTGGCTCACTTGCTGGCAGCTTGGGAGAGACTTGCAGGCTTTGGCTTGGTTGGTTTGTTTCCCGCATGGAACAGTCGCTAATCTCCTCACGTAGAGCTAAGCTTCCTATGGCAGTGTCTGGATTTGAACCAGGACTGCAGGTCCTTGCGTGGAACACTGGGTCCTGCCGCATCGTGTCCTGCTGCGTCTGAGAGCGCACCAGGGACAGTCCATTACAGAAGGACAACAGCCTTGCCTGAGCTGACTGCAGACATGGCCAGGGTCCTAAGGGTTGAGCTCGACACTTATTTTTTTCCCACCTTGTTTGCCTCTTCATTTTTAGGTGAGGCTTGAGAAGGAGTCCCCTCCCCCTCCCCTCCCCCTCCCCTCCCCCTCCCCCTCCCCCCTCCCCCCTCCCCCTCCCCTCCTCCGCTTCCCCACCTCCCCCCACCATGGAGTTTGGCTCTTGTCGCCCAGGCTGGAGTGCAATGGCGCTATCTCAGCTCACTGCAACGTCCACCCCCCTGCCACCAGGTTCAAGCCAATCTCCTGCTTCAGCCTCCTCAGTTCAAGTGATTCTCCTGCCTCAGCCTCCCAAGTAACTGGGATTACAGGCACCCGCCACCATGCCCTGCTAATTTTTGTATTTTTAGTAGAGACAGGGTTTCACTGTGTTGGCCAGGCTGGCCTCAAACTCCTGACCTCAGGTGATCCGCCCACTTTGGTCTCCCAGAGTGCTGGGATTACAGTCGTGAGCCACCATGCCTGGCCAAGGGAAGGAGTATTTTTGTTTGTTTGAGATGGAGTCTCGTTCTGTCGCCAGGCTGGAGTGCAGTGGTGTGATCTTGGCTCACTGCAACCTCCACCTCCTGGGTTCAAGTGATTCTCCTGCCTCAGCCTCCTGAGTAACTGGGATTACAGGTGCCTGCCACCACGCCAGGCTAATTTTTGTATTTTTAGTAGAGACGGGGTTTCACCATGTTGGCCAGGCTGGTCTCGAACTCCTGACTTCAAGTAATCCACGCACCTCAGCCTCCCAAAGCGTTGGGATTACAGGTGTGAGCCACTGCGCCTGGCCAAGGGAAGGAGTCTTTTCTTCCCCTGAGCCTGCCCTTATCCTTTAACTGGTGGATCCGCCCCACAGTATAGGGACCAGTGTCCCTGGATTCACTCAGTAAGGCTCCTGAGAGGGCTGAGTATGTCCAAGCCCCACGAACCCATCTCTTGTTAGCATCAATGGCTTCTCATAGCACAGTGCTGATAGATCAGGCTAAGGGAGGCTCCGTCCCAGTCCCCACAGCACGGGAGGATGGCAAGGATGAAGAATGTAAGAGGGGGACCAAAGCATCAATTCCTGCTGATAAGAAATAAGCACTACAAGAATCAGCAGGAACAGTACATTTACAGGACCTAAAAGTGTCCACACAGATTGCTCATAGCTTGCATGAAGGAAAATTGTAACTTATGCAGAACTAGACCACCCCTTAGCCAGGTGATCAAAATTAACAGCACCCTTTCCAGGCAAACAGACCTCAGGTGCTTCCCGAAGTCACGCCCTGCAAAGCACACTATATCACTTTCGTAATGTTCCAGCTGAGAATGCAAAGCTGAATGTGTTCATGAGGAGACGTCAGATTCACCTGAGTTGAAGAACATTCTGTAAGAAAGATAACTTGCCAGGCACGGTGGCTCACGCCTGTAATCCCAACACTCTGGGAGGCCGAGGCGGGCAGATCACCTGACGTAGGGCGTTCAAGACCAGCCTGACCAATATGGAGAAACCCCATCTCTACTAAAAATACAAAATTAGCTGGGTGTGGTGGCGCATGCCTGCAATCCCAGCTACTCAGGAGGCTGAGGCAGGAGAATCGCTTGAACCGGGGAGGTGGAGATTGCGGTGAGCCAAGATCACGCCATTGCATTCCAGCCTGGGCAACAAGAGCGAAACTCCATCTCAAAAAAACAAAATAAATAAATAAATAAAAATAAAAAGGGTTGGGTGCGGTGGCTCACGCCTGTAATCCTAGCATGTTAGGAGGCTGAGGTGGGCGGATTACCTGAGTTCAGGAGTTTAAGACCAGCCCTGGCAACACGGTGAAACCCTGTCTCTACTAAAACACAAAAAATTAGCCGGGCGTGGCAGCATGTACCTGTATTCCCAGCTACTCGGGATGCTGAGACAGGAGAATTGCTTGAACCCAGGAGGCAGAGGTTGCAGTGAGCCGAGATCAGGCCACTGCACTCCACACTCCAGCCTGGGCGACAGAGCGAGACTCTGTATCTTAAAAAAAAAAAAATTATATGTATGTGTATATCCACATCTATGTCTATCAGTTTATCTCCATATATACATATAGATATGTATCCACATTTATTTTCTCTCTATATAGATGTAGATATGGATTCATATCTACTCTGTAGAAAGAGAAAATAAATGTGGCAAAATGCAAAACAATTGATGAATCTGGGTAAACGGTATTTAAGAGTTCTTTACATTATTTTTGCAAGTTTCCTGTTAGTTTGAAATTACTTCAAATTAAAATAAATGGGGGCCAGGCAAGAGGATCACCTGAGCCCAGGAGTTGGAGACCAGCCTGGCAACATGGTGAAACTCTGGCTCTACTAAAAGTACAAAAAATTAGCCGGGCATGGTGGCTTATACCTGTAGTGCCAGCTACTCGGGAGGCTGAGGTGGGAGGATTGCTATAGTCCAGGAGGTCGAGGCTGCAGTGAACCGTGATTGTGCCACTGCATTCCAGTCTGGGCAACAGAGTGAGACCCTGTCTCAAAAATTTAAATAAGTTAATTAATTACATTAAATAAACATCAAAGAGGTTCAAAGAGAGGGAAAAGCTGGATCCCCAAGTGATATTTAGGGGAATTTCCCCACTCCTGTTGGACTTAAGTGAGGTGCCAGAACTCATCCTATTACTTCTCTTTTTAAGGACTTTGTGGTGAATTAGTTGGTTTCTCTTTTGCTAACAGCCAGGAAGACACTCCAGCTGTCTTAGATCATCGTCCCCGAGGCCAACCCACAGTGTCTGGTCCTTGGGGCTGGGCCTCCTGGGCCGGCCAGCTGGGAAATAAGACAGCACTGCTCACATACTGCATCTTTCCAAAGTGAAACTGGCAAGGGAGTCTGAGCCGCTGGGGCCCACTTTTGAAAGTGGAGGGGAGAGTGCTGTTATGCTTTCTAAAAAGCTACACGTATAGGGTGTCATGGCTCACACCTGTATTCCCAGCACTTTGAGGGGCTAACACAGGTGGATCGCCTGAGGTCAGGAGTTCAAGGCCAACTTGGCAAAACCCCGTCTCTACTAAAAATATAAAAATTAGTTGGGCGTGGTGGTGCATGCCTTATAATCCCAGCTACTTGGGAGGCTGAGGCAGGACAATCACTTGAATCTGGGGGGACGGAGGTTACAGTGGGTCCAGATCGCGCCACTGCACTCCAGCCTCGGCGACAAGAGCAAAACTCCATCGAAAGAAAGAAAGAGACAGAGAGAGAGAGAGAGGAAGGAAAGAAGGAAGGAAGGAAGGTGACCTCACTGAGTGCGGTGGCTCACGCCTATAATTCCAGCACTTTGGGAGGCTGAGGTGAGAGGATTGCTTGAGTCCAGGGATTCAAGACCAGCTTGGGCAACATGGTCAGACCCTGTCTCTTCAAATAAATAAATAAAAAGTTTTTTTAATTAGTTGGGCTTGGTGGCACACACCTGTTTCAAAAAAAAAAAAAGTGTGGCCTCTCTTCTTGGTGCGGAAGTGCAGGGAGGAACGAGTGAAGAGCAGCTGCCTGCCTCACCTGGCCTGGGGTCCTGCAGGTTGAATGGGAGAGGAGAGCTTATTCATGTGGACACTTTGGAGGGAGGGAGTGCAAACCAGGACGGGCAGAGGGCATCTTTGAAGTTTTGTTCCCTGAGCTTGGAGGTGCTCATTTCTGTGGAAACAGCCACTTGGCTGGCAGCACACCGGGGCAAGTCAGCCTTGGCTCCTTCCAGGTGGAGCCAGGGTCTCTCCGAAAGGGGAATCTCTTAAAAGAGCCAGAACAGTGAATGGAAGGGGTGGGAGCCACAGATGGATTCCAAGGATAGCAAGAGGGGACTCTGCGGATTTCAGGAGACAGTCTGTTTTGTTTTTTTGTTCTTTTGATACGGAGTTTCACTCTTGTTGCCCAGGCTGGAGTGCAATGGTGCGATCTCGGCTCACCGCAACCTCTGCCTCCCGGGTTCAAGTGATTCTCCTGCCTCAGCCTCCCTAGTAGCTGGGATTACAGGCACCCGCCACCTGTAATAGCCCAGCTATTTTTTTTTTAGACGAAGTCTGACTCTGTCACCAGGCTGGAGTGCAGTGGCGTGATCTCAGCTCACGGCAACCTCCGCCTCCCAGGTTCAAGCAATTCTCCTGTCTTAGCCTCCCGAGTAGCTGGGACTACAGGCACGCACCACCACGCCCAGCTAATTTTTGTATTTTTAGTAGAGACGGGGTTTCACCATGTTTACCAGGATGGTCTCGATCTCTTGACCTCTTGATCCACCCACCTTGGCCTCCCAAAGTGCTGGGATTACAGGCGTGAGCCACCGCATCTGGCCAATTTTTTGTATTTTTAGTACGGACGAGGTTTCACTGTGTTGGCCACGCTAGTCTTGAACTCCTGACCTCAGGCGATCCACCCATCTCAGCCTCCCAAAGTGCTGGAGTCTGCTGTTGTTGTTGTTGTTGTTGTTGTCGTCGTTGTTTGAGACAGAGTCTCACTCTGTCACCCAGGCCAGAGTGCAATGGCGCCATCTCAGCTCACTGTAACCTCCGCCTCCCAGGCTCAACCGATTCTCATGCCTCAGCCTCCCGAGTAGCTGGGACTACAGGCGTGCGCCACCAGGCTTGGCTAATTTCTGTATTATTTGTAACGACAAGGTTTTGCCATGTTGCCCAGGCTGGTCTTGAACTTCTGAGCTCAAGTGATCCATCCACCTCGGCCTCCCAAAGTGCTGGAGTTACAGGCATGAGCCACCTCACCCCAGCCTATTTTTCTTTTTCTCACTTTTTCAAGATTCAACTCAAGTCCTACGAAGCAAGATCTTCTGGCTCTTGATCTTTTACATATCAGTTTCCCTGTCTCTCAGGCCTAAGGAGGGGGTCAGGCTTATACAATGGCCATCTCCCTGCCCTGCCTGCTGGAGACAAAACCCAGCTTCCCGCCTTTGTCTGTCAGATGCGGGTCTCCCTGCTGAGGCCACCACCAGCTGCTGTGATTCATGGCACTGGACTAACAGGACTTCTCTCTCTCCTTCCGGCTGCCCTCCTCCTGCAGGGATGGGGCTTGGGGAGGGCAGTAGAGGCATGTTGAAAGCATTGGCTTTGGGGTCAGACTGCCTGGAGTCATAGCCCAGCTCTGCCCTTTCAGCTGTGTGACCTTGGGCAAATTATTTAACCTCTCTATATCTCACTTTCCCCATCTGTAAAATGGGGAATAGCAATACCTCCCCTCCGTTGATAGACCTGTCCTGAGGATTGAACCCCGGGGAAGTGAGCACTCAGTAATGTTAGCTATTCTGATTATGCTATCAGCCCCGAGATGGAGGTGGGAGGAGCGAGTTCTGCTTTCAAAGGGGCCGTCTCCACACTCCTCCACTCCCAGCTACTCTGCCCCATGAAGCCCACAGATCTTTGCTTGTGCTGGGACCTCTGACCCTCTTCTCAGGCTTTTCCGGCTGGAGAAATACTTCTCATATTTCAGGATTCAGAGGCAAAGGCTCCAGGGATCTCCCACAAACACACCTCCACCCTCAGTCCAAATAAACCACTTCCTCCTCTGGATCCTGCACTGCTGGACACTGGATGCCACATTGTATTGAAATTATTTGTGTAACCCAGGGGTTCCCCCCAGGCCCCCAGCCAACAGGGGTAACTAGTTCTTTAAAGCTGCTCCCATAGCCCCCACCCAAGCTGTCCCAACGGAACCCACCTCTGCCTTTCCCCCAGCCCTCAGTGGCCACCCGTCTCAGCTCCAGGGGTGAATCCCGAGGAATGTAAGCCAATCAGCTCCTTGCATTGTCTTGGTGCTGTGGTTGGTACAGAGGTGACCACATGACCCAGCTCACCCAATCAGACTGAAGGGAAGGATTTAAATGTCTGGCTTAGGGAGCCGGCCTTCTCCTTGCTAAGGGAGCCGGCCTTCTCCTTGCTAAGGAAGACCAGGATACCTCGTCCCTTAGGTGTTGCTGGCAACCGTCTTGTTACCAAAAGGGTAGTTGCCCTTGAGCTGAAGCCAACCTAAAGGGAGGCAGCAGCGGAGACAAAGTTCCTGGGTCCCTGTGCCATCACTGAACCAGCGAATCAATCCATTCCAAGGCCAAGAATCTCCTGGGACTTCCTGTTGGTAAAATAATAGATTTCTTTCCGCGGGGCACAGTGGCTCATGCCTGTAATCCCAGCATTTTCAGAGGCCGAGGCGGGCGGATCACTTGAGGTCAGGAGTTGGAAATCAGCCTGGCCAACATGGCAAAACCCTGTCTCTACCAAAAATACAAAAATTAGCTGGGTGAGGTGGCACACGTCTGTAGTCCCAACTATTTGGGAGGCTGAGACATGAAAATCTCTTACACCCAGGAGGTGGAGGTTGCAGTGAGCCAAGATCCACCACTGCACTCCAGCCTGGGCAACAGAGTGAGACTCCATCTCAAAAAATAATAATAAAAATAATAAATAGGCTGGGCACACTGGCTCACGCCTGTAATCCCAGAACTTTGGGAGGCCGAGGCGGCAGATCACGAGGTCAGGAGTTCGAGACCAGCCTGACCAACATGATGAAACCCCGTCTCTACTAAAAAATACAAAAATTAGCTGGGTGTGGTGGTGTGCGCCTGTAATCCCAACTACTCAGGAGGCTGAAGCAGGAGAATCTCTTGAACCCAGGAGGCAGAGGTTGCAGTCAGCCGAGATCGCACCACTGCACTCCAGCCTGGGCTGGAACAAGACTCCATTTAAAAAAAGAAATCAATTATTAGCCGGGCATGGTGGTGCGCACCTGTAATCCCAGCTACTCGGGAGGCTGAGGCAGGAGAATTGCTTGAACCCAGGAGGCGGAGGTTGCAGTGAGCTGAGATCATGCCAGTGCACTCCAGCCTGGGCGACAAGAGTGAAACTCCATCATAAATTAATTAAAAATAAATTTTATGTTTAAGCCAATTGAGTCGAGTGTTCACACGTAATCACCTTGCACAAACTCACATTTAATTTATTGAGCACTTGGCCCTGTGCAGTGGCTCACGCCTCTAATCCCAGCACTTTGGGAGGCCAAGGCAGGTGAATCACTTGAACTGAAGAGGTCGAGACCAACCTGGGCAACATGGTGAAACCCCATCTCTACAAAAAATACAAAAATTAGCTGGGCATGGTGGCGCACATCCATAGTCTCAGCTACTTGTGGGGCTGAGGTAGGCAGATTGCTTGTGCTGGGAGGTTGAGGCTGTAGTGAGCCGAGATCATGCCACTGCACTCCAGCCTGGGTGATGGGAGTGAGACCCTGCCTCAAAAAAAAAAAAAATAAATAAAAATAAAAAATTGAGTGCTTAACGTCTGTCAGGCACTATTCTGAGAGCTTTATGTGCATAGATTAACACTCACTGCACTGCAGCCTGGGTGACAGAGTGAGACTGTCTCAAAATAAGCTGTATAGCTGGGTGCAGTGACTCATGCCTGTAATCCCAGCATTTTGGGAGGTCAAGGCGGGTGGATCACCTGAGGTCCGGAGTTCAAGACCAGACTGACCCACATGGAGAAACCCCATCTGTATTAAAAATACAAAATTAGCAGGGCGTGATGGCACATGCCTGTAATCCCAGCTACTAGAGAGAATGATGTAGAATTACTTGAACCTAGGAGGCGGAGATTGTGGTGAGCTATCATGCCACTGCATTCCAGCCTGGGCAACAAAAGCGAAACTCCATCTCAAAAAAAAAAAAAAAGGGCCGGGTGCGGTGGCTCACGCCTGTAATCCTGTGTCCAGAATTGGTGGGTTCTTGGTCTCACTGACTTCAAGAATAAAACCACGGACCCTCGCGGTGAGTGTTACAGTTCTCAAAGGCGGCGTGTCTGGAGTTTGTTCCTTTTGATGTTCAGATGTGTTCGGAGTTTCTTCCTTCTGGTGGGTGCACGGTCTCACTGGCTCAGGAGTGAAGCTGCAGACCTTCACGGTGAGTGTTACAGCTCTTAGGGCTCTTAAGGTGGTGCATCTGGAGTTGTTCTTTCCTCCCGGTGGGTTTGGGATCTCGCTGGCTTCAGCAGTGAAGTCACAGACCTTCATGGTGAGTGTTACAACTCATAAAGGCAGTGTGGACCCAAAGAGTGAGCAGTAGCAAGATTTATTGCAAAGAGTGAAAAAACAAAGTCTCCACAGTGTGGAAGGGAACTCCAGCGGGTTACTACTGCTACCTCAGGCAGCCTGCATTTATTCTTACCTGGCCCCACCCACATCCTGCTGATTGGTCCATTTTACAGAGAGCCGATTGGTCCATTTTACAGAGAGCTGATTGGTGCGTTTACAATCCCTGAGCTAGACACAAAAGTTCTCCATGTCCCAGCTATATTAGCTAGATATAAAGTGTCAACACAAAGGTTCTCCAAGTCCCCACCAGAGTAGCTAGATACAGAGTGTCCATTGGTGCATTCACAAACCCTGAGCTAGACACACGGTTCTGATTGGTGTGTTTACAAACCTTGAGCTAGATACAGAGTGTCCATTGGTGTATTTACAATCCCTTAGCTAGACATAAATGTTCTCCAAGTCCCCACCAGACTCAGGAGCCCAGCGGGCTTCACCCAGTGGATCCTGTACCAGGGCCACAGGTGGAGCTGCCTGCCGGTCCCGTGCCGTGTGCCCACACTCCTCAGCCCTCCGGTGGTCGATGGGACTGGGCGCTGTGGAGCAGGGGGCGGAGCTCGTCAGGGAGGCTCGGGCCGCACAGGAGCCCACGGGGGTCGGGGGAGGCTCAGGCATGGTGGGCTGCAGGTCCCGAGCCCTGCGGCGTGGGGAGGCAGCTAAGGCCCAGCGAGAAGTCGAGCACAGCAGCTGCTGGCCCAGGTGCTAAGCCCCTCATTGCCCAGGGCCGGTGGGGCCGGCCGGAGGCTCCCAGTGCGGGGCCCGCCGAGCCCACGCCCACCCGGAACTCGCGCTGGCCGCAAGCACTGCACGCAGCCCGGGTTCCCACCCGCGCCTCTCCCTCCACACCTCCCCGCAAGCTGAGGGAGCCGGCTCTGGGCTTGGCCAGCCCAGAAAGGGGCTCCCACAGTACAGCGGCGGGTTGAAGGGCTCCTCAAGCATGGCCAGAGTGGGCGTCAAGGCCGAGGAGGCGCCAAGAGCCAGTGAGGGCTGGGAGGGCTGCCAGCACACTGTCACCTCTCAATCCCAGCACTTTGGGAGGCCGAGGCGGGTGGATCACCTGAGGTCAGGAGTTCAAGACCAGCCTGATCAACATGGAGAAACCCTGTCTCTACTAAAAATACAAAATTAGCCAGGCATGGTGGCCGGTGCCTATAATCCCAGCTACTCGGGAGGCTGAGGCAGGAGAATCGCTTGAACGTGGGAGGCGGAGGTTGTGGTGAGCTGATATGGCGCCATTGCACTCCAGCCTGGGCAACAAGAGCAAAACTCCGTCTCAAAAAAAAAGAGTCTAGCAAACCTTTCCAGAGACTTCTCTTGGGCCAGCCTTCCCCATGGACTCTTGGCAGGTGGCTTCTTTCTTCAGGCTCTGAGATTTCTCTACATTCATCCTTCCCGCTGCCTTTCAGGTCTCAAGCCTTCTGCCCTCCTGCCCCATTTCCTTACCCAGAGCCCTCTCTCCTGTCCTCCAGGCCACGGCCAGGAAGAGGGCAGTGCCTTTCGCACCCAAGAAAGTCATCAAAGTATTTGGCCATGCAGAACCTTCATCTCTCCAGCCAAATGCTATGGCCTGGTTTTGTGTGTTTGTTTGTTTTCTGAGACGGAGTGTCGCTCTGTCCCCCAGGCTGGAGCACAGTGGTGCTATCTCCGCTCACCGCAACCTCTGACTCCCTGGTTCAAGTGATTCTCCTACCTCAGCCTCCCGAGTAGCTGGGATTACAGGCACGCGCCACCACGCCCAGATAATTTTTGTATTTTTAGTAGAGGTGGGGTTTCACCAGGTTGGCCAGGCTGGTCTCAATCTCCTGACCTCATGATCCACCTGCCTTGGGCCTCCCAAAGTGCTGGGATTACAGGCGTGAGCCGCCGCGCCCGGCCTGGCTTGGTTTTTAAACTCACATGTGTTTCCTCCCTGGGAGTCTGTGAGGTCCCTGAAGCTCCATGGTGGGTGGATTCTGGCCTGTGGCTCCAGGGCCCGGCCTTATTCCAGTGAGTGTCCAAGGGAGGGAGGATGGAGTTGGCGACCCCTTGCCCTTCCTGTCCTGGTCCCACCTCCCAATGAGTCAGCTTGGAGCCAGGCCTCTTGGCCTTTCCTGTTCTCCTCTCTGGCTCCGGAACAACAGCCGGATGTGAGCTGCGCCCAGGCTGTTTTGGGACTTGGCGGACTGGCAGGTGTTGGCTGACTGTCTCCTGGAGGCCAGGCCCATGACTCGGTTCCCCACATCCCACAGCCGGCCCCTGCTCTCGCCCAGAGGATGGGAGAACCCCATCCCAAGAGATGAGCCATGGATACCAGTGGATGTGTGGGTACTCAGGGTACCCCAACTCCTGAATAGAGGGGACAGGGTCAGAGAAGGCCAGAGGATGAACCCTGAAGCCAGAGGTCTTGGGTTAGAATCCTAGGCATGTTACTTTAACTCTGCCTCAACTGCCTCATCTGTAAAATAACGATGGGGATAATAATAGTCATTCTCTACAAGATTGCTGAAGAGTAAGGCCGGGGGTGGTGGCTCACGCCTGTAATCTCAGCACTTTGGGAGGTCAAGGCGGGCGGATCACCTGAGGTCGGGAGTTTGAGACCAGCCTGACCAACATGGAAAAACCCCGTCTCTACTAAAAATACAAAATTAGCCAGGCGTGGAGGCACATGCCTGTAATCCCAGCTACTCGGGAGGCTAAGGCAGAAGAATTGCTTGAAGCCAGGAGGAGGAGGTTGCAGTGAGCCGAGATTGTGCCATTGCACTCCAGCCTGGGCAACAAGAGCGAAACTCCGTCTCAAAAAAAAAAGATTGCCAAAGAATAAATGCATTTATATCTGTAAAGCACGCAAAGGAGTGCCTAGCACATGAGAAGCACTAAGTTCATGTTTGTTACATGAAAAACATAAATTCAATAAACATTTGCTAAGGGCCCACCATGTGCAGGCCCAGGTCAGGTGCTGGGGACACAGTGAACAAGGTGGACACAGCAGCTGCCCCAAGAAAGGGCATCGGGCATCTCCCGCAGGGGGACCAATTCAGTACATGAAGCGGAGCCTGGGAATCTGTTAGGGCATGGCGCTTACGGTGAAGCTGAAATTTCCATGAACAAGGCTGGGTGCAGTGGCTCATGCCTGTCATCCTCATGCTTTGGAAGGCTGAGGTGGAAGTATCCTTGAGGCAGGAATATCCTTGAGGCCAAGAGTTCAAGACCAGCCTGGGCAACATGGTGAGACCCCTATCTCTACCAAGAAAAATTAAAATCAGCTGGGTGTGGTGGTACATGCCTGTAGTCCTAGCCACTCAGGAGATTGAGGCGGAAAGATTCCTTGAGCCCAGGAGCTATGATTGCACCACTGCATTCCATCCTGGTGACAGAGCCCAACCCTGTCTCTATTTTAAAAAAAGTTCCGGCCAGGCACGGTGGCTCACGCCTGTAATCCCAGCACTTTAGGAAGTCGAGGTAGGCAGATCACTTGAGGTGAGGAGTTCAAGACCAGCCTGGCCAACATGCTGAAACCCCATCTCTGCTAAAAATACAAAAAGTAGCCAGGTGTGGTGGCGCACACCTGTAATCTCAGCTACTTGGGAGGCTGAGGCATGAGAATCGCTTGAACCTGGGAAGCGGAGGTTACAGTGAGCTGAGATCATGCCACTGCACTCCAGCCTGGGCAACAGAGTGAAACTCCGTCTCAAGAAGAAAAAAAAAAATTCCCTGAACAAATAGGGAAACTGACGCCTTGGGGAGGGGCAGGGAGCTGCTTGGGATCACTAAAAATTGGGGATCGCTTTTTTGTGAGGGGCACATAGCTGCTATTGTATTATTGTTTTTTGATTGTTCCCAATTTACCAGGGAGGAACTGAGCCAAGAAGTTAAGTAACTTAGTTGAGATCACATGACTAGGAAATGGTAGAGCCAAGATTGAACCCCAGCCAGCCTGGCTAACCAAACAGTAGCATGAGGCTGATCATTAACTGTCTTTTACTGAATATCCACAACATACTTGCAAAATACATCTTCTTCCTCACACCACCCGATGAAGGAGGTACCATTAAGGTCCGCATTTCACAGATGAAGGAACTGAGCCCCAGGGAGGTTGTGTGATTTACCCAGGGTCTCACTTCTAGGCAGTGGCAGAGTTGAGGTTTCTCGACACAGGGTTGTCCTGCTGCCCAAGACCTCTTAATTCCCAGCTGGCTTTCCCTGGCCAGGCTAGAGCCAGTGCCATCCCCCATCCATCCCATCCCTTCTAGGGTGTACGTGCAGAGAATGCAGAAGTCATTGAACTACGGTCTGGACAAATGGGCATTATGAGCAGGGTCCTTCTGCCAAGCAGCCACAGCCAAGTGGATGCTGTGCTAGACTAGCCACCTCCCCCCTCCCTCCAGCTTGACCCTAAAGTCCAGGATTCTTTGGAAAGATTAGACTCCACTAGGCTGAGAACACCGCGGTGCCAACAGCAAGGGCTTCAGCTCTACTGTACCCTCCACACACATTATGTGAAGGTGAAATTTCACAAGTACCCCAAGAAGAAGGTTCTAGTACTATCCTCATTTTTCAAGAGGCAGGACAGTAGAGGGGTAAGAGCATTGACTTGGAGCAGAGGCTGCCTGGGTTCCATCCCCTACCCGGCCACTAGGTCTGTCCAAGGCTCTGTCCTAGTCATGGCCTTGCTTACTTAACCTCTCTGGACCTCAGTCTCTTTATCACTGGGAAGAGGACGAGACTGGTACCTACACCTCATAGGGAGGATAAAAGAACTAGAAGTATTAGGATATGGGCACAGCACATAATGAGCACCATGTGTTTGCCATTTTATGGAAACTGAAGCTCAAGAAAGTTATATGACTTGGCCTACGTCACATGAGTACCACATGGAAGAGCCAGGACTTGAACTCAAGTCTGTCCAACTCCAAAGCAGCCCTCTCCTCACATACTCAGGGCATTGAGCTCCTTGATGGATGAGTAGAATTTTTAGATTGAAGGAAGGTGGACAATTCAGGTTGTTCACAGAGATGGGAATGGGCTGCATAGCAACTAGTAGTAGTTCCAGGGTGAGTGCCACATCCCCACAGCTCTAACATCCAGTCTGATGGATATTCAAGTCACTGGACACAGGATTCCGAGCGCCTACTCTGTGCCAGGTCAGGTACTAGGTATTGAGAAAGGAGAAAGAAAGCACACACAGTTCATGAAGCTCAACAATCCAGTGGGGGAGATGGATGGGCAAGTGAATCACTATGATACAGTGAAATAATGGCTCTATAGTGCTGAAGACAGGTGCAAATAGTAAATTCTCCCTGGGAAGCAGTTGAGGAAGGCTCCATGGAGGAACTGGCATTTGAACTGGACCTTTAAGAACTGAGCAAGGCCTGGCACGGTGGCTCACGCCTGTAATCCTAGCGCTTTGGGAGGCCGAGGCGAGTGGATCACCTGAGTGATTCAAGTTTGAGACCACCCTCACCAGCATGGTGAAACCCCATCTCTACCAAAAATACAAAAATTAGCCGGGCATGGTGGTGCATGCCTGTAGTCCCAGCTACTTGGGAGGCTGAGGCAGGAAAATCACTTGAACCCGGGAAGCGGAGGTTGTAGTGAGCTGAGATTGCGCCACTGCACTCCAACCTGGGCGACAGAGCAAGACTCTGTCTCAAAAAAAAAAAAGCTGAGCAAGTTCAAAACAGGAAAAGTGAATCCACCCCAGACAGAGGGCCTAGCAGGAGCAAGTGCAGAGAATCACAAGGCACATGGGGCATTCAGGGGAGTGGAGAGTTCCATATGCCCCAGGCAGGGCCGATGAGACTGCAGAAGTGGTTCAAGGTCAGAGTAGGAGGGCCTTTCTGTTGGTCAGAACTCCTGGGTTGCGAGAGACAGAAAACGCAATTCCAAGAAGCTTAGGAAAAAAGAAAATCCGTTGACTCAAAAAACTGAACATTCACCTCCTTTGAGAATGAAAGTTAAAAAGAAAAAACAATAGAGTATATTAGTGTATTTGCTTCAGGTATAGCTCAAATAAATGCTTTCAAGACTTGGCCTCTCTCTCTTCTTCTCTGCTCCTCTCTGCTTCTCCTTGCATTGGCTTCACTCTGAAGCAGGCCCTTTCCAAATGGAGGCTCCAAGCCCAGGGCAAAGAAAGATTCATTTCTCCAGATATTTATTTATTTATTTATTTTGAAATGAAGTCTTGCTCTTGTCCCTCAGTCTGGAGTGCAATGGCGTGATCTCGGTTCACTGCAACCTCTGCCTCCCGGGTTCAAGCAATTCTCCTGCCTCAGCCTCCGGAGTATCTGGGATTACAGGTGCGTACCACCACGCCCAGGTAATTTTTTGTATTTTAAGTAGAGACAAGGTTTCACCATGTTGGCCAGGCTGGTCTCAAAGTCCTGACCTCAGGTGATCCATCCGCCTTGGCCTTCCAAAGTGCTGGGATTATATGCGTGAGCCACAGCGCCCGGCCCATTTCTCCAAACATTTATACACAGGTTCTGAACTTGAATTTCATTGGACTGGTTTAGGTCACGTGACTATGTCTAAACCAATTGCTGTATAGAGGTGGTGGGAGTGGAGGTGGAACAATCGGATTGATCAAGTTGGGGTCACATGTCTAATTCTAGGCCTGAGCTCCACTCGAAACATATGGACTGAGAGTGGGGGCCCAGGTGCTTCCCCAGAAATAGAGAGACTTGGAGCTCATATGGAAAAGGAATGGATGCTGAGTGGGCAAGATGACAGCCTGAACACTGAGGTCATGGTCTTTTAGGTAGTGAGGAGTCAGTGAGGGCTTTAATTTGAGGACAGAGCAGTTTGGACTCAACTTGGGCTTTGTGAGTGAAGAAGGGAGAGATGATGGAGACAGAGATGTTTGTAGATGAAAATCTCTTTGAGAGATCCTGGAGACCTGGGGTAGCAGGCATGGAGAGGAGGGGGAGAGGCAAAGGCTGCCTGGCTGGGATGCCCCAGTTGTTACTGGAAGGGCTGCTTCAAGGACCAAGACCACGTCACCCCCTGGCTACGGGCCTTCAGATGCCAGCAAGAGCGTGGGCTAAGGGCCCAGCCTCCCTGCCCCGCAATGCCCATGACTAACTCTTTCCCTCCATCTGCCCCCGCACTTACTCACCCCCACTGGGCCCCAGAGAATCTGATCTCTCATGGTCCCAGTTGTGAGGTGGTCACCTTGTCATAAGGTGCTGGTAGTGGTGGAGGCTGGGCACCTTCACCCCTCCCAGCCTTAACAACCGCTTTCTTAGTTTCTAACCTCCCACCCCATCCCCCTGGGGCCTGGAACATCACCCCGTGGGCTCCAGGCAGGCCAGCTCCTCTCCCTGGTGAATGGAGCCATTGTAAGATCAGCCTAAGAGCTGGCAGGCACTAGCCTGGCACACGTGGCTCTCCCAGAGTCCCTAAGTCCAGCCATTCTTGGTGCTGGGTGCTTGGGCCTGCTCAGAAATGAAAGAGGAGGACTGAGGGGGCTTGGACTGCTGTAGCAGGTTTCAGGACCTGCTGCAGCTAGGCCCCTGAATATACTATGCTCGGCCTCAGGTCTGAGGGAGGAGGCTGGGGGCCAAGGCTTGACCCTGGAACCTTCAAAACTTTGGAGCAGGAGGGACTTGCCAGTTGGGCCCTGATATATCGGGGGCTTTTACCAAACTGAAAGCTGTGATGTGATAGAAAATGCCAGAACTCTGTTCCTGGTGGTCCAGCCAACCCCACAGAACTCTGGAGGGAGAGGCAGGACACTGAGGCCATCCAGGAAAATTATGAGGTTTGGGAGTTGGTGGTAAGAAAGTGGGGAGTTTGGGACTTGCCATTTCACCACAGACTGCCTTCCAGAGCCTTCCAGACGGAGCCTGGGGTGATGGTGTCAAAATACTTAGCTACTGTTTATTGAAGACTTATTAAGTGGTTAAGCACTGTGCCCAGAACTTCACATACCTTATCTCATTTAGTTTTTATAACATCCATGTAAGGCAGGTATTATCATTATTCTCAGGGCTGTCATGTACTGTTGCCCAGATTGTTCACTGCACAAAGGTACCCAGCCATAGATGAGTATGTGAAGGCTAAAATCCACCCAGTGCTCTACTCACCCACTCTGCTCCTGTTGGGTCTGTGTCTACTATAAGAAGGTCCTCTTTTTCTTATGTTATAGCTGGGAAGTTAGGCTCTGAGAAGATGAAATTACTTGTCAAAATCTTCATAACAGGTAAGTGTAAGATCAGATCTGCTGACTCCAAAATCTCTCAATGAACCACTGTACCCTCTATCTTCAGGCTTATGCACTCACACTCCTCTCTGCTCTTCTCTTTCCTCGGGACCCAACTGCTCACAGTAGGCAACGTGGCAGGAGGCAAAAGCCTGGGCCAGGAGATAGGAGACCTGGGTTGCAGGCCTGGCTCCACCTTAGCATTCACCTTTCCTCTTCACATCTTGGTCTCCTTATCTGTAAAGTGGGAATTTCAATTAGAGTTCTTTAGAAGCAAGAGAAACCAACTTGAGCTTACTGAAAAAAAAAAAAAAGGAAGGCAGTGGAAGAATCTGGGGCTGCCGGTAGAACGGAAGGAGGAGCTAAACTAGGCCTTGGATAGACCAGAAACCTCACTCCAGGGATCCAGCAATGGACGTTTGGGCTAGGTCCCTGTGGCATCCCCATGTCTATGTGAGCCACTGTGCCTGGGAGAGGGACTCATGCCCAGCTCATAGGGATTGCCTGAATCAAGTGGGCTCTGGGTGGGGAGGCTCTCTGCAGGCTGCAAAGTAGATGTGATTCAAGGGAACATCGTATATGGCTCTGTTCCTCCTGTCCCAGGAAAATGTGTGAGCAAGGCCAGCCTCTGGCCCTGGCTTGCCACTGACTGACTGCCCAAGGTTACGTGTCCTTGGGCAAGTCACTTCTTCTTCTGGTCCAGAGTTGTCTACAGAAGGTAGATGATTATCTGTAAGGCCAGTTTTTAGCTCACTAAGGTGTTAGCAACTGATTCCAGGGAATTTCAGACATTCCTGGGAGCAGTTGTTCAACCTAAAAGAATGAATCATGGATGGTGGAATTTTAGGCATCCATGAAGATGATGTTGGGTGGAGTTTTTGTGTGGTCACACCAAGTGGAAAAATGTCCACTGCACGTAGGAGACCAAGTGGGGAGAGGGGCAGCCTGGGCACGGTACCCCTACTTCGCACCTCCAGGACCTCTGCCATGAGAGGGCTACAGAGATCCCGCTCAGGGGCAAGAGGTTGGCCACATTTGAGAGCTGGGTCACTGGAAGGGCTCCAGGCAGAGGAAGAACAGCTGGCTGATGGGAGACATGGAGCCTCCTGACCACTCCTATCCCCATGCCTTTGTCAAACGGACACACATATTCATGGCAGCCGGCTGAGGCACTGTGCAAAAAGGACATCGGTTCTCCTGTCTGGGCCTCAGTTTCCACCTCTGTCAAATGGGGTAAGGTTGCTCTAACCTCATGGGGTCTTTCTAAAAATCAAATGGGACAAGACATCCGAAAGAAAACCAAGGAAACTTAGGATCTTGGTGCTGAATAAGGACTAGAATGTCAGTGTCATGGAGCAGGTCTTCTCTCTGTCTTCTGCACTACTGTATCCTCAGTGCAGCATGGAGCCAGCTGCATAGTAGGTGCTCAAAACATTATTTATTGAGGCCAGGCACAGTGGCTCACACCTGTATTCCCAGCACTTTGGGAGGCTGAGGCAGGCAGATCACTTGAGGTCAGGAGTTCGAGACCAGCCTGGCCAACATGGTGAAACCTGTCTCTACTAAAAAAAAATTACAAAAATTAGCCAGGTGCGGTGGCTCACGCCTGTAATCCCAGCACTTCGGGAGGCCTAGGTGGGTGGATCATGAGATCAGAAGTTCGAGAGCAGCCGGACCAACATGGTGAAACCCCATCTCTAATAAAAATACAAAAATTAGCTGGGCATGGTGGTGGGCGCCTGTAGTCCCAGCTACTCGGGAGGCTGAGGAAGAGAATTGCTTGAACCCAGGAGGTGGAGGTTGCAGTGAGCCAAGATCACGCCACTGCACTCCAGCCTGGGCGACAGAGCGAGACTCCGTCTCAAAAAAAAAAAAATTACAAAAATTAGCCGGGTGTGGTGGCGCTTGCCTGTAGTCCCAGCTACTTGGGAGGCTGAGGCAGGAGAATTGCTTGAACCTGGGAGGCGGAGGGGAGGTTGCAGTGAGCCAAAATCGTGCCACTGCAACTCCAGCCGGGATGACAGAGCAACAAGACTCCATCTCAAAAAAAAAAAAAAAAAGTATTGAGTATTAATAAGTAATATCTATAGGTTTTTATGTTCCAAGCATTGATCTGAATTTTTGTTTTGTTTTGTTTTGCTTTTTGAGATGGAGTCTCGCTCTGTCTCCCAGGCTGGAGTGCAGTGGCATGATCTTGGCTCATGGAACCTCTGCCTCCTGGGTTCAAGCGATTCTCCTGCCTCAACCTCCGGAGTAGCTGGAATTACAGGCATGTGCCACCATACCCGGCTACTTTTTGTATTTTTAGTAGAAAGGAGATTTCATCATGTTGGCCAGGCTGCTCTTGAACAGGTGATCTGCCTGCCTTGGCCTCCCAAAGTGCTGGGATTACAGGTGTGAGCCACTATGCCCGGCCTGATTTTGTTTTATAGAGACAGGGTCTCTCTCTGTCACCCAGGCCAGAGTGCCGTGACACAATCATAGCTCACTGCAGCCTTGAACTCCTGGGCTTAAGCGATTTTCCTGCTTCAGCCTCCCAAGTAGCTGGGACTATAGGTATGAGCCACCACAGCCAGTGGTCTGAATTTTCCAGGTATTCATTCTTTTAATCTTTACAATAATATTGGTACTGTTATTATCATCCCCGCTTTGGAGATAAAGAAAAAGAGATGACGTCACTTGCCCAAGGCCATGCACCTAGTAAGAGATAGAGCTGGATTTTGAACCTAGGTAGTCTGGTTCTAGGGTCCTCTCTTAAGCATAACTCTACCTGCTGAATGGCTGGCTAAGTGAGCAAATTGAATGAATACATGAATGCATGAACAAGGATATGAATACATGGAATTTGGGTTTCAGACTCCTCAAAGCTTTTACTGTAAGAACATGGGCCGAGGCCGGGCGCAGAGGCTCACGCCTGTAATCCCAACACTTTGGGAGGCAGAGGTGGGTGGATCACGAGGTCAGGAGTTTGAGACCAGCCTGGCCAATATAGTGAAACCCCATCTCTACTAAAAACACAAAAATTAGCCAGGTGTGGTGGCACATGCCTGTAGTCCCAGCTACTCAGGAGGCTGAGGCAGAAGAATCGCTTGAACCCGTGAGGTGGAGGTTGCAGTGAGCCAAGATCATGCCACTGCACTCCAGCCTAGGTGACAGAGTGAGAGTCTGTCTCAAAAAAAAAAAAAAAAAAAGATGGGGGGACTGGGCGTGGTGGCTCACACCTGTAATCCCAGCACTTTGGGAGGCTGAGGTGGGCGGATCACCTGAGGTCGGGAATTCGAGACCAGCCTGACCAACATGGAGAAACCCCATCTCTACTAAAAATACAAAAATTAGCCAAGCATGGTGGCAAATGCCTGTAATTCCAGCTACTTGGGATGCTGAGGCAGGAGAATCACTTAAACTGGGGAGGTGGAAGTTGTGGTGAGCCGAGATCACGCCATTGCACTCCAGCCTAGGCAACAAGAGTAAAAATTCGTCTCAAAAAAAAAAAAATACAAAAATTAGCCGGGCGTGGTGGCAGGCGCCTGTAATCCCAGCTACTCAGGAGGCTGAGGCAGGAGAATAGCTTGAAACCAGAAGGTGGAGGTTGCAATGTGCCAAGATTGCACCACTGCACTCCAGCCTAGGCAAAAGAGCGAAACTCCATCTTAAAAAAAAAAAGAGAACATGGGCCGAAACTTCTAGCAAGAATTCTTCTTTTTTATTATCCATCAGCAGACTTTGGCATTTACAGAAAACATTTTACAAATGTAACCGGGTACAGTGGCTCATGCCTATAATCCCAGCACTTTGGGAGGCCAAGGTGGGAGGATTGCTTGAGCCCAGGAGTTTGAGACCAGCCTAAGCAACACAGCAAGATCCCATTTCTACAAAAAATACAAAAATTGGCTGGGTGTGGTGGCGCTCGCCTGTGGTCCCAGCTACTCAGGAAGCTGAGGTGGGAGCATGGCTTGAGCCCAGGAGGTTGAGGCTGCAGTGAGTCATGATCGTGCCACTGTACTCCAACCTGGGTGACAGAGTGAGATCTTGTCTCAAAAAAGAAAAGAAAAGAAAAACAACAACAAAAAATCCCCAAAAATCAAATGCAACAGTGTGTTCTAATTGGTCTTGTCATTTTCCTCCAAATCTGTTCTTCCTCTTTGTCTCCTCCAATTTCAACTCATGCTGTCATAGAGGACAAGCTGCCTAAGCTGGAAATATTCAAGTCATAGTTGACACCTTTCTCTCTCTGACTTGGACAGTCCCTGGTCCAACTCCTCAAGGTCACAGCAGAGACTTTATCTAACATCAAGCTCATCCAGATGTTGATCTCTGTCATCTAACAAGTGTTACAGCTCACTGAGGCCCTTTTATGCTTTAAGATTTTATGAAAAATCGGCTCTAATATCTCACCCCACTGTAATGGGCTTCATGGCTTGTCTGCTGTTTCAGTTAAAACCATTGCAGCAAAATGAATCAGCTGAAACTTAGTGGCTTAAAGCAACATCATTTTGGCCAGGTGCGGTGGCTCACGCCTGT
Organism: Homo sapiens; assembly: GCF_000001405.40. Lineage (NCBI taxonomy): Eukaryota > Metazoa > Chordata > Mammalia > Primates > Hominidae > Homo > Homo sapiens. The sequence continues at coordinate 24,709,662 of NC_000001.11, read as the reverse complement.
AATCCCAGCACTTTGGGAGGCCGAGGCGGGTGGATCACCTGAGGTCAGGAGTTTGAGACCAGCCTGGCCAACCTGGTGAAACCCCGCCTCTATTAAAATATGAAAATTAGCCGGGCATGGTGGTGGGCACCTGTAATCCCAGCTATTTGGGAGGCTGAGGCAGCAGAATCACTTGAACCTGGGAGGCGGAGGTTGCAGTGAGCCGAGATCACACCATTGCACTCCAATCTGGGGGACAGAGCAAGACTCTGTCTCAAAAAAGGAAAAAAAATGTATGTATATATATATCATTACTTCTCATAGTTCTACAGGTTGTGCACAAATCCACAGGATTTTTCACGTGGTTGCAGTCAGTTGGTGAATGGGGTTGGAGTGATCTAGAGGTTTTCTTACTCACATGTCTGGCAATTAACGCTGGTTATCAACTGGGAACTCGGTTGGGGCTATTGGCCAGAACACCTACATATGGCCTGTTAATGTGGCCTGGGCACAGTTTAGCAACTGGATTCCAAGAATAAGTGTCCCAAGAAATAGGAAGTGAAACCAACCAGTTTCTTAAGATTTGGGTCACTTCCATCATACTCCATTAGTCAAAATAGTCATAGAGCCCATATTCAAGGGGATGGCATACAAAACCCCACATGTAGGCCGGGCACAGTGGCTCACATCTGTAATCCCAGCACTTCAGGAGGCTGAGGCAGGAGGATCACTTGAGCCCAGGAGTTCAAGAGCAGCCTAGGTGACATGGTGAGACCTTGTCTCTACAAAAAAATTTTAAATTTCTTTTTTTTTTTGTTTTTTGAGACGGAGTCTCGCTCTGTCACCCAAGCTGGAGTGCAGTGGTGTGATCTCAGCTCACTGCAACCTCCGCCTCCCGGATTCAAGCAATTCTCCTGCCTCAGCCTCCCGAGTAGCTGGGATTACAGGCATGTGCCACCACGCCTGGCTAATTTTTTTGTATTTTTTTTAGTAGAGACGGGGTTTCACCATATTGGCCAGGCTGGTCTCGAACTCCTGACCTTGTGATCCACCCGCCTCGACCTCCCAAAGTCCTGGGATTACAGGCATGAGCCACCACGCCTGGCCACAAAAAATTTTTTAAAAATTAGCCAGGGATGGTGGTGCATGCCTATAGTCTCAACTACTTGGGATGCTGAGGTGGGAGGACCGCTTGAGTCCAAGAAGTTGAGGTGGCAGTGAGCCATGATTGTACACTCCAGCCTGGGTGACAGAGCAAGACCCTGTCTCAAAAAGAAAAAAAAAGAAAGAAAAGAAAAAACAAAACCCCACATCTTGATGAGAGAAATGTCAAAGAATTGTGGGGCCGTGTTTTATAACCACCGCACCTCCCAATCTCTCTGGGGACTTTTGGGGAGGAGGTCCATTTCTCCTAGCCAGCCTCTACCTCTCTTCCTTCTGTATAACCTGCTGCAGCTGAATTCCATTTTTTTTTTTTTTTTTTGGGGGGATGAAGTCTCACTGTTGCCCAGGCTGGAGTGCAGCGGTGCAGTCTCGGCTCACTGCAACCTCTGCCTCCCGGGTTCAAGCAGTTCTCCTGCCTCAGCCTCCCAAGTAGCTGGGACTACAGGCATCTGTCACCATGCCTAGTAGCTATTTTTTTGTATTTTTAGTAGAGATGGGATTTCACCATGTTGGCCAGGCTGGTCTCAAACTCCTGACCTCATGATTCACCTGCCTTAGCCTCCCAAAGCACTGAGATTACAGGTGTGAGTCACCGCGTCCGGCCTGCAACTGAATTCTTGATCTCCTTCAGCTGTCAACTCCCTTGAGGGCCCTTCCACCACCACCCCCCCTCCCCCTCCACCCCCCCCCCCCCCCCCCACACACACACACACACTGGCAGCGCAGGGATAGAACATATAGCCCTTTTTGCTTGATTTTCTCCAAGGCCATGTGTCAAGATGTGGTAGACCTTTACTGATTTGTGGATGGTGGATGGGGGAGTTGCATTGCAATGCAGCTGTGTACAGACAACTTAAAACTGAACATCAGGTTCATTCTTCTCAGGAGTCCTTCAGCCATCCTGGCCCGCTGGTCCTCTTTCCTTTCCTGGCTCCCTCTGCCCACCAGGTTGCCAGACCCTCTCCCACTTTCAACCCACTCTCATCTCCTCTTTCATCTCCCCCCGCAAATTCTACTTACTTTTTTTTTTTTCAGACGGAGTCTCGTTCTGTCACCCAGGCTGTAGTGCAGTGGCATGATCTCAGCTCGTGGCAACCTCCGCCTCCCAGGTTAAAGCGATTCTCCTGCCTCAGTCTCCTGAGTAGCTGGGATTGCAAGCACCTGCTACCAGTCCCAGCTAATTTTTGTATTTTTAGTAGAGACAGAGTTTCACCATGTTGGTCTGGCTGGTCTCGAACTCCTGACCTTGTGATCCACCCATCTTGGCCTCCTGAAGTGCTGAGGTTACAAGCGTGAGCCACAGCTCCTGGCCTCTACTTGCTTCTTAATCCTGAACAACTAATTTCTCTGTCTCCTCTCCTTCCCAGTGCATTCCAGCCTCAGCAAGCCATTCTCTTTCCACAAATATAATGTCCTTTCAGCCAAGAAAAATGTTAAAACATGGCCAGGCAATGGTGGCTCATGCTTGTAATCCCAACACTCTGGGAGGTTGAGGCAGGCAGAAGGATTGCTTGAGCCCAGGAGTTTGAGACCAGCCTTGGCAACACCGTGAGACCTTGTCTCTACAAAAAAAATACAAAAATATTACCCGGGTGTGGTGGCACATGCCTGTAGTCCCAGCTACTTGGGAGGCTGAGGCAGGAGGATTGCTTGAGCCCAGGAGTCAAGGCTACAGCAAGCTGTGTTTGTGCCGCTGCACTCCAGCCTGGGTGACAGAATGAGACCCTGTGTCACACACACACACACAAACACACACGCACAATGTGTTTGGGAAATGCTGGATTAAAGTGAAGCAGGCCTCCTCTGATTACAGCGCCTTCAAATGGTGCTTTCTGTGCTAAAGGCAATGCTCTTACCTGTTCTCTGCTGTACTGTAGCCATTAACCCCGTGTGTCTATTGAGCACTTGAAATGTGGCTAGTGAGACCGAATAACTGAGTTTCAAATTTTATTTATGTTTAATTTAAATAGTCCCATGTGTTTAGTGGCTACCATATTGGACAGCACAGTTTCAGTGCCTGTAATATTCTGAAAGTTGTTAAATGGCTTTTCCCAAAATGTTTGGCCAAAGATATTCTTTTTTTCTGTGAGTCTCGCTCTGTCGCCCAGGCTGGAGTGCAGTGGCACAATGTGGGCTCACTGCAACCTCTGCCTCCCAGGTTTAAGCGATTCTCCTGCCTCAGCCTCCTGAGTAGCCGGGATTACGGGCGCCCACCACCACGCCCAGCTAACTTTTTGTATTTTTAGTAGAGACGGGTTTTCACCATGTTGCCCAGGATGGTCTTGAACTCCTGAGCTCAGGTGATCCACCCACCTCAGCCTCCCAAAGTGCTAGGATTACAGGCGTGAGCCACCGCACCTGGCTCCAAAGATACTCTTTCTCTGTGTGGCGTGCTGTTAGTTTCAGTTTGGGAAATGCTCCTCTAGTCCAATCCTCATTGGACAGATGGGGAAACCGAGTCCGAGAGAGGGAAAGGGGCTTCTCAAGGTCACACAGCAAGTTAGACGCACAGCAGAGGCTTGAACTCAGGTTCTTCTCTCCTAGTCCAGCTCCGCCTCTCTGGTCTGTTGACAGCTTTAAGGACTGAAGCCAAACAGAAAGGCAGACACTGATGTTTGTTTAGTGCTCGCTGTGTAGCAGGAGCTCGCAGATACATTAACTCCTTTCATAACCCTGTGAAGTGGGAATTGAGTAGCACAAATATGCACATGGGGAAACGGAGGCCCAAGGAGCTAAGGGACTTGCCGAAAGCACCGTAGGTGGTCATCACTTAGAATTAGAGATGTGTCCAAAATGAGCAAGCAGCAGGAAAAAGGTGGGGAAGCCACAGGAAGGAGAAGAACAGGCTTCAGTAAACAATGAACAAAGAATAGGGGCGGGAGTAGGAGCACACGAAACTGGCACCAGCCCAGAGAAGAATCAGGGTAAGCAAAGAAAATGTTTGCAAAAACCAAAGCCCAAAGGGCCCCTAACCACCACTGCCCAGGAATGGGCGGGTCCCTGGATCTCAGGCAGCCACTTTATAGGCTAGTGTGAATGGGGGAGGGCGGAGGCCGCTGGTGCGAAAGCTCTGCCCAGTAGGGGCAGTCCTGACAAATTGGTGAGTGGGAGAACCAATCAGTTCCTCTCTTTTATGGGGTTTGGATTTACAAGGTTTAAAAATTGTTTCTAGGCCGGAGCGCTGGCTCATTCCTGTAATCCCAGCCCTTTAGGAGGCTGAGGCGGGAGACTCACTTGAGCCTGGGAGTTTGAGACTAGCCTGGGCAACATAGTGAGACCCGTCTCTACAAAAAAATTTAAAAATTATCTGGGCATGGTGGCATCTGCCTGTAGTCCCAGCCACTTGGGAGACTGAAGTGGGAGGATCACCTACCTGAGCCTGGGGAAGTCGAGGCTGCAGTGAGCTGAGATCAAACCACTGCGCTCCAGCCTGGGTGACAAAGCGAGACCCTGTCTCAAAAAAAAAAAAAAAAAAAAAATTGTTTATAGCAGCCAAAGAAGCAAACCGAGGGAATGATTGGTTTGTACTGACTGAAACTGGCATTAATTGCTGCAGCCACAGACATGAGCAGATGAGCAACGGCTAGTTCAGAAGGAGAAAGGATGACTTAAGAGCCCTCTAACAATAATGAATAATGAGGGACAATGGATGACGTCGTGTTTGTGTGGGTAGCCTAACAGCCTCATCCTGGGAGAGATTCAAGACCTCTTGTCTGGGAAGACGGGGGGAGGCGGCGGGAGGGGGCGGGTTGAAAGGAATTAGACAAGCTGCTGGGCCTGGGCAGGCCTCATTTCTTCCCACCCTCCACAACCACACCCCTCTCTGAGTCTGCCCCCACAGCCCTGAGTGGTGGGCGGTGGCCCCTAGACCCCCACGGCTCCCAAGACCAGCCAGCCAGTCAGGTTCCCTCTGCTGAGAATGTGTGATTGAGATCCAGACACCCAGTCTCTGTTGGGTGTTTGAACCAAGAGGACCTATAAAGCTGGGCCTGGGACAGCCAGGGGCTGGGAGAAAGTTCTGAGCAGGGAAGAGAAGAAGAAAGTGGATGTGCAGACCAGAGGGATGGGGCGATGGCGGGTAATGTCATTTTTTTTTCTTTTTCTTTTTCTTTCTTTTTTTTTTTTTTGAGATGGAGTCTTGCTCTATCACCCAGGCTGGAGTGCAGTGGCGCAATCTCAGCTCACTGCAACCTCCGCCTCCTGGGTTCAAGTGATTCTCCTGCTTCAGCCTCCCAAGTAGCTGGGATTACAGGTGCCCGCCACCACGCCCAGCTAATTTTTGTATTTTAGTAGAGACGGGATTTCATAATGTTGGCCAGGCTGGTCTCCAATTCCTGACCTCAAGTGATCCACCTGCCTTGGCCTCCCAAAGTGCTGGGATTATAGGTGTGAGCCACTGTGTCCAACCCGTAATGTCATTTTTTTTTTTTTTTTGAGACAGAGTCTCACTCTGTCACCTAGGCTGGAGTGCAGTGGCGTGATCTTGGCTCACTGCAACCTCCACCTCCTGGGTTCAAGCAATTCCCTGCCTCAGCCTCTCGAGTAGCTGGGATTACAGGCACCCACCACCACGCCAAGCTAATTTTTGTTTTTTCGTTGTTTTTTTTTTTTGAGACGGAGTCTCACTCTGTCGCCCAGGCTGGAGTGCAGTGGCGCAATCTCGGCTCAGTGCAAGCTCCACCTCCTGGGTTCACGCCATTCTCCCGCCTCAGCCTCCCAAGTAGCTGGGACTACAGGCGACTGCCACCATGCCCGGCTAAGTTCTTGTATTTTTAGTACAGAGAGGGTTTCACCATTCACAGGATGGTCTCGATCTCCTGACCTTGTGATCCGCCCGCCTCGGCCTCCCAAAGTGCTGGGATTACAGGTGTGAGCCACCACGCCCGGCCTAATTTTTGTATTTTTATTAGAGACCGGGTTTCACCATCTTGGCCAGGCTGGTCTTGAACTCCTGACCTCGTGATCCACCTGCCTTGGCCTCCCAAAGTGCTGGGATTACAGGTGTGAGCCACCGCACCCGGCCCATAATGTCATTTAAAAAAAAAACTTTCTGTGTTTGTTTCTGGCCCGTTTGGGAGCACTGGCTGAGTTTCCTGCCCTTGGGTTGCACAGGGATCCTGCCAGTAAATTCCCCCTTCCCCATTTATGCTTAAACAGAGTGAATGGGTTCTGCTGCCCTTGTAACTAAAGTGAGGCATGCGTGTGTGTGTGTCTAGGTATTGGGGGAAATGGATTAAATGCTGTGTGCCTACGAGAGCCTGTTTTCCTTGTGAGGGTATATCCTTGATTGTGGACTCTTTACTCTGAGCCCCCCAGTCTTCCCATTTGACTTGAGGGGTTGGAGGAGAAGAGGCTTTGTTCCCGACAGCCAGCTTTCTATTGTATGAGCCTTTGCCCCTGTGCAATGCTAAGTGCCTTGGAAAAACCACATTCATTCATGAGTCAGTCATTCTACAAATATTTACTGAGTACCTACTATGTGCCAAGCATTGTTTTGGGAGATGGAATGAAGCAGTGAATAAGACAGACAAAAACAAAATATTTTATGCATGCCTCAGTTTCCCTGTCTGGAAAATGAGCATTTTTGGAGCATTGGACCAAAAACTCTTTGAGGTGCCTCTGGGCTGTCAGCGCATGTGGTTTGCTGAGCTGTCCTGCGAGCACTTGTTGCCCATCAAACCTGAATCTGTACTTCAGGCTCCTGGAGGGGGCTGAGCAGGAGACTGGGAACTCGAGAGGCACGGTGGGTGGGTAGTGATGGTTCCTGGGCTCATGTTGCAGGTTCAGCTGGGCCTGCCAGCTGGCCTGGCCCCAGCCCCATTCCCAGCTAGTGGGCCTCTCAAACAGCTGGCCTTCGCCTGTTGCTACTCAACTCTCTCTGTTTGGCTGGGGACTGCCCCACCTGTCCTTTGACTCACCAGTCTGGGCTTCCCGCTTGACCTGGCATGATGGGATCCTGGAATACCAGGCAGGGTTCAAATACCAGCACCACCACTTTCTGGCTGTGTAGCCTCAGGCAAGCTTCTTATTCTCTGTGCCTCTGTGTCTTCCTCTGTAAAATGGAGATTTTAATAGCATCTGATGGCTGGGCATGGTGGCTTATGCCTGTAATCTCAGCACTTTGCGAGGCTGAGGCGGGCAGGTCACTTGAGGCCAGGAGTTCAAGACCAGCCTGGGCAACATGGTGAAACCCTGTCCCTGCTAAAAATAGAAAAATAAGCCGAGCATGGTGGCGGGCACATGTAATCCCAGCTACTCAGGAGGCTGAGGCAGGAGAGTCACTTGAACCCAGGAGGTGAAGGTTGCAGTGAGCCGAGATCACACCACTGCATTCCAGCCTAGATGACAGAGTGAGATTCTGTCTCAAAAAAAAAATAAAATAAAATAACCATCTGACCTCATAGGTGATGGGATATGTGGGGGCACATAAAGTGTTCAATGTGAGAATTACTAACATTATTTACACAGACTTCTGGGGTTGGTAAGAAGCCTCCTAGATTCTATAATATGAGCCTCAATTTTCTCCTCTATGAAATTGGGATAATAGACTGGGCACAGTGGTTCACACCTGTCATCCCAGCACTTTTGGAGGCCGAGGCAGGCTGATCACCTGAGGTCAAGAGTTTGAGACCAGCCTGGCCAACATGGTGAAACCCCGTCTCTACTAAAAATACAAAAATTAGCCAGGTATGGTGGCGGGCACCTATAATCTCAGCTACTTGGGAGGCTGAGGCAGGAGAATAGCTTGAACCTGCCAGGCAGAGGTTGCAGTGAGCCGAGGTTGCACCAATGCACTCCAGCCTGGGTGACACAGTGAGACTCCATCTCAAAAACAAAACAAAACAAACAAACAAAAAGAAATGGGGATAATAAAGAGAGGGGAATAACAGGGCCAGGCCTGTCTTAGGGCCCAGATCCACAGATCCACCTCTAACCACGTGGACATCTTGAGCAAGTCTCTTCTGCTCTGAGGCAGACCCCTTCTTCCTTATTAGCAAAATCTGGAATCTTTTTTTTTTTTTTTTGAGATGCAGTTTTGCTCTTGTTTCCCAGGCTGGAGTACAATGGCGCCATCTCGGCTCACGGCAACCTCCGCCTCCCGGGTCCAAGCAATTCTCCTGCTTCAGCCTCCCAAGTAGCTGGGATTATAAGCGCATGCCCCCACTCCCAGCTATTTTTTTGTTGTTGTATTTTTAGTAGAGACGGGTTTCACCATGTTGGTCAGGCTGGTCTCGAACTCCTCACCTCAGGTGATCCACCCACCTAGGTCTCCCAAAGTGCTGGGATTACAGGTGTAAACCACCACGCCCCTTTTTTTTTTTTTTTTTTTTTTTTAGAGATGGGGTTTTGCTGTGTTACCAAGGCTGGAGTGCAGTGGCACAATCATAGATCAATGCAGTCTCCACTTCCTGGACTCAAGTGATCCTCCTGCCACAGCCTCCTGAGTAGCTGGGATCTCAAGTGTGAGCTGCTATGCCTGGCAAAACCTGGATGCTGTTTGTCCTCCTCTCAGCACCCCTGGCCTTCGGGAGAGCTTCTTCCCAGGAAGTGGATCTCAGCGGGTCTGGGCCACCCGAGGTGGTCTCATTTCCTTACCAAGTGATTGGTTTAGGCAATTCTGGCCAGTAAGAAATGATGGGTTCTCTTCCATCTTAAAAGGGGTGACAAGGGAGGATGGGGTTCTCTTTGTTTCTGAATGCCACTGTGGGCCCGTGGCCCCTGAAACCGCTGCAGAGCAGCCATTCTGGGGCTGAGAAGGAGGGAAGAGCTGATATGCAAAGGATGGAGCTCACCAGGAGGGAAAGAGGATGAGTCTCGAAATCCCTTCCCTGTGGAGCCCCTGGGTTAACGATCCAGAAGTTCCCAGACCTAAAATTTTGGCTTCCTTGTCAGATCAGTGTCTTCATCATTTAAGCCATTTTCAGTTGGCTTTTCTGTTACTGGAAGCTGAGAGAATCCTGCCCAAACCTCCTGAGCCCCCGTTTTCTCATCTACGAAATGGAGATGATGATTTCCACCTCACAGTGGTACTGTGGACGTGATAGGAGAGACTGAGCGAAAGGCCCAGAGATCCCTGCATAATAAGGGGACTCAGCTGGGTGCGGTGCCTCACGCCTGTAATCCCAGCACTTTGGGAGGCCAAGGCGGGTGGATCACAAGGTCAGGAGCTCAAGACCAGCTTGGCCAATACGGTGAAACCCCATCTCTACTAAAAATACAAAAATTATCCAGGTGAGGTGGCGGGCACCTGTAGTCCCAGCTACTCGGGAGGCTGAGGCAGGAGAATTGCTTGAACCCGGGAGTGGAGGGTGCAGTGAGCTGAGATCGCGCCACTGCACTCCAGGCTGAGCGACAGAGCGAAGACTCCATCTCAAAAATAAATAAATAAAAATAAGGGGGGGTCCCTCTTTCCATTCCCTGTCTGGCCAGGAACCAGATGCCCTTCAGTTGCATGACGGACTCACTTCCTGCTGCTCCTCTGTCCCCAGCTCCCCATCCTGCTTCCAAGTCTTGACCAGGTGCGTCCTGTGGCCCAGCACCATGGGAACCACCACAAGCATGAACCTCAGCCACACAAGGGGTCAAAGCAAGCCAAGGAACCAGTGCTGGTTCTCGTGACGAGTGTGCGGTGGTCCTGAGCCTGGGCCTGGAGGCAGCCAGACCTTGGGTCTGAATCATGGCTCTGCTGTGGCCTCCGTGTGTGTCATGAGACAGTTACAGTCACTCGTCTGTGCCTCAGCTGCTTTGTCTGTATCCTGGGAATAACAATGGCACCTGCTTCCCAGCTGGGGTGTGATTACATCAATGAATGTGGGCAGGTGCATTCAGTAGAGGCTCAAAATGGCAGTTCCCTTACTCCTCGGTGCCCCACCTTGGCCCACCACAGTTTCCAGGCCCTTAAAAGCCTGTGACTTCAGGGACCATCTTCTCCAGCTTTTTTTTTTTTTTTTTTTCAGTAGTGCAACTTCCTCAGATAAAAATCTTGTGTGGTCTGGGCATGGTGGCTCATGCCTCTAATCCCAGCACTTTGGGAGGCCAAGGCGGGCAGATTACTTGAGGTCAGGAGTTCGAGACCTGTCTGCCCAACATGGTGAAACCCTGTCTCCACTAAAAATACAAAAATTAGCTGGGTGCGGTGGCACACGCCTGTGATTCCAGCTACTTGGGAGGCTGAGGCAGGAGAATTGCTTGAACCCAGGAGGCAGAAGTTGCAGTGAGCCGAGATCGTGCCACTGCACTCCAGCTTGGATGACAAAGTGAGACTCCATCTCAAAAAAAAACAAAAGATCTTATGTGAACAGATGTTCATAGCAGCTGCATTTGCGATAGCCAAAAACTGGAAACAACCCAAACTCCCACCCACAGGTCAATGGAGAAACCATCTGTGGTATATCCTAGCAACAGAATACCATTCAGCATTAAAAAGGAATGAACTATTGATACATGGGCCAAGGGAGGTGAATCTCAAATTAATAATGCTGAGTGAAGGAAGCTGGGCAAAAAAGAGTGCATGCTGTGATTCCATTTCCATAATATTCTAGAAAATATAAACTGATATAGAGTGACAGAGCCACATCGTGGTTCCTGGGCAATGGAAGGTAGAAAGGAATTAAAAAGGGGCACAAGGAGACTTTTTTTTTTTTTTGAGATGGACTCTCGCTCTAATGCCCAGGCTGGAGTGCAATGGCGCGATCTCAGCTCACTGCAACCTCCGCCTCCTAGGTTCAAGTGATTCTCCTGCCTCAGCCGCCCGAGTAGCTGGGATTACAGGTGCCCTCCATCATGCCCAGCTAATTTTTGTATTTTTAGTAGAGACAGGGTTTCACCATGTTGGTCAGGCTGGTCTCAAACTCCTTACCTTAGGCAATCTACCTGCCTTGGCCTCCCAAAGTGCTGGGATTACAGGTGCGAGCCACTGCGCCTGGCCAACTTTTTTTTTTTTTTCCAGCTCTGTCACCCTGGCTGGAGTGCAGTGGCGCAATTATGGCTCGCTGTAGCCTTGACCTCTTGGGCTCAGGTGATCCTCCCACCTCAGTCTCCCAGGTAACTGGAACTACAGGTGTGCACTCGCACCACCACGCCGAGCTAATTTTTGTATTTTTTTGTAGAGATGAGGTTTTGCCATGTTGCCCAGGCTGGTCTCAAACTCCTATTCTCAAACGATCCTCCTGTCTCAGCCTCTCAAAGTGCTGGGATTACAGGCATGAGCTGTGGTGCCAGGACATGAAGAAACTTTTGAGGGTGAAGGATGTGCTCACCATCTTCATTGTGTTGATGGTTTCACTGGTGTGTCTATGTGTCAAAACTTATCAAATTAACCAGGCACCGTGGCTCATGCCTGTAATCCCAGCACTTTGGGAGGCTGAGGAGGGCAGAATACTTGAGGTCAGGAGTTTGAGACCAGCCTGGCCAACATGGTGAAACCCTGTCTCTACTAAAATACAAAGAAATTTTGGGAGGCTGAGGTGGGCGGATCAGGAGGTCAGGAGATTGAGACCATCCTGGCTAACATGGTGAAACCCCATCTCCACTAAAAATACAAAAAATTAGCCAGGAATGGTGGCAGGCGCCTATAGTCCCAGCTACTCAGGAGGCTGAAGCAAGAGAATCACTTGAACCCGGTGAGAGGTGAAGGCAGCTGGGTTTCTGGATCAGGTGGGGACTTGGAGAACTTTTCTGTCTAGCTACAGGATTGTAAACACACCAATCAGCGCTCTGTGTCTAGCTAAAGGTTTGTAAACACACCAATCAGCACTCTGTAAAAACACACCAATCAGAGCTCTGTGTCTGGCCAACGGTTTGTAAACGCACCAATCAGCACTCTGTAAAAACACACCAATCAGCACTCTGTAAAAATGGACCAATCAGCACTCTGTAAAATGGACCAATCAGTGCTCTGTAAAATGGACCAATCATCAGGACATGGGCGAGGCCAAGTAATGGAATAAAAGCTGGCCACCTGAGCTCCCAGCGGTAACCTGTTTGGGTTTCTCTCCTTGCTGTAGAAGATTTGTTTTTTTGCTCTTTGCAATAAATCTTGCTGCTGCTTAGTCTTTGGATCCAGTCTACCTTTAAAAGCTGTAACACTCACTGTGAGGGTCTGTAGCTTCGCTCCTGAAGTCAGCGGGATCATGAACCCACTGGAAGGAACAAACGCCTCTGGAAACACCACCTTTAAGAGCTGTAACACTCACTGCAAAGGTCTGCGGCTTCACTTCTGAAGTCAGCAAGACCACGAACCCACTGGCAGGAAGAAACTCCAGACACATCTGAACATCTGAAGGAGCAAACTCTGGACACACCATCTTTAAGAATTGTAACACTCACTGCAAGGGTCCGCGGCTTCATTCTTGGAAGTCAGCAGAGCAAGAACCCACCGGAAAGAACCAATTCCGGATACCAGGAGGCGGAGGTTGCAGTGAGCTGAGATTGTGCCACTGCACTCCAGCCGGGCGACAGAGCGAAACTCCGTCTCTAAAACAAAAACAAACAAAAAAACAAATAAATTAGCCAGGTATGGTGGCGGATGCCTGTAATCCCAGCTGCTCCGGAGGCTGAGGCTGGAGAATCACTTGAACCCAGGAGGCAGAGGCTGCAGTGAGCAGAGATTGCGCCACTGAACTCTAGCCTGGGCAACAGAGTGTGACTCTGTCTTTAAAAAAAAAAAAAAAAAGTATATTTTACATGCTCAATGTGTCAGTTTATTTTATGTCAATATGTCAGTTTATTGTATGTCAATTTTACCTCTGTGAAGCTGCGAAGTCACTATTGTGGAATCCCAGTGTGTAAAAGCTAAAAGCTAAGAATGGAGCAGCTCTGGATGGTGGGGTGAGGGCTGGAGTACCAGTCCCCATCTGCCCCTGAGGATTATCCACTTCACGCCTGGCCTCCACCTGGCACATTTTGAAAAACCACAGATGCTTTTGACAGAGCCTTGCCTAAAGTCCTGCAGACTGAGTTGAGCAGAACCAGGAGCAGAAACTGGGGTTCCTCCCTGTGTGGCCAGAACGCTGCAACAGGCACTGGTGATGGAGGCCATGTTCATCAAGGGCCTCAAGGATGGCCCAACAGCACAGCTGCTAACCAGCCCTGAGGGTCTACTCTGTGCTAAGCCCTAGTTCTTGGGGAGGGGTAAGGAGACCCCAGTTGCTTGTCCTCAGGGAGCTCTCCATCTACTTGGGAACAAGAAAGAACTGGAATTCAGGAAGCACCAGAAACAGAAAATGACACAGATGACTTGAGTGTCATCTGGGTGTCACACTTGAGTGTCCTGGGCTGGGGAGCTGTTGACCACACCCAGAGAGGGCAGCACATGTGGCATGAGCCTTTTCTCCAGCAGCCCAGGAAGAAGGCACAAGGAACAACACTTTGTGGCAGGGGTAGCAAGTGGTACGCCAGATCCACACTATGTAAATGCCCTCGAGGGAATGTCCCTTATTCCACAGTAGGGATGCTGATACCCAGCGAGGAGAAGGGACAAAACCAGAACAAGAGCCGGCGCCTCCTGACTCCAGTTCCAGTCACTTGCCAAAGCTGCCCCTTGGGAGGGTTTGGCATTTGTGCATCGCAGTGCTGGAGTCTGGTGTTCCCCTTGGTAGGACAGGCTATGGGGACTGAGTCCTGGACCATGAGGCCAGGGCAGGGCCATGACACAGGCTGAGGGGGAGGCATGCAACCTACCCATCCAGGCCTCTCCCCAGCTGTTGCTGGGTCAGGTGCTGACAGACTTTCTCCCTGCTGAGCCCTCTGGCATGCTTGGAGCTCAGTGGTGATAATCCAGAACTTCTCTTCCCTTGGAGGGCTCTTGCATGGAGGCAGAGTTCTAGATAAGGACCTAGAGCTTTGCCCTTTCTTCCGGCCCACCCTCCTCCTTTCCTGGGGACTTAATGAAGAACACCAGGGACGGAAGTAGTCACTCTTGGGCAGGGACACTTGGCCGCCCTAATCAGCCTGCCTACTTCCTGCCCTGGCTCCTGCTCTGAGATTAAGAAAAACAACAACCTCTTAAATTTAGACAACTTCTTTGCCATACATGGGGGATGCTCACATACATGCCCTTATTAAAAATGTTTTTACCCAATCCTCACAATTTGGATGACAAATTATGATCCCCATTTTACAGATAAGGAAACTGAGGCTGAGCAAGATGAAAGATTTACCCTGGCCTTAGAATTAGTAAGTGTTCAGAGTTTGTTCGTGAACCTAAGTCTTTGTTTTTGTTTTGTTTTGCTTTGTTTTGAGACGGAATCTCGCTCTTGTTGCTTAGGCTGGAGTTCAATGGCAATGGTGTGATCTTGGCTCACTGCAACCTCTGCCTCCCGAGTTCAAGCGATTCTCCTGCCTCAGCCTCCCAAGTAGCTGGGATTACAGGCGCCCGCCACTGCGCCTGCCACCGCAACTGACAAATTTTGGTATTCTTAGTAGAGACGAGGTTTCGCAAGGTTGGCCAGGCTGGTCTCAAACTCCTGACCTCAGGTGATCCATTCGCCTCGACCTCTTGATGTGCTGGGATTACAGGCGTGAGCCACCGCATCTGCGCAAGTCTTTGGTTTTGTACTTTTTTATTCTTTATTTTTTAAAGGTCCTCTACCATTTCCAAGACATAGTCTTTCTCTGTTTCCCAGGCTGGAGTGCAGTGGCACGATCACGGCTCACTGCAACCTTGATCTCTTGGGCTCAAGCCATCCTCCCACCTCAGCCTCCTAAAATGCTGGGATTACAGGTGCATGCCACCATGCCTGGCCCCTCAAGTCTTCGGACTCCTAGCTTTCCCCTCCCTACTCCTATCCTTGAGCTCCTGTGAATGCCTAGAGGGAGTGTTATGTGATCGAAAACAGATGAGTGCTGAGATGTTCAAGCTGAATTTGAATCCCAGTTACATGGCTTACTTTTGCTGGACTAGTTACTCCACCCCTCTGGGCTTCAGTTTCCTTATCTGTAAAAGGAGATAATTATAGTAACCACCCATCAGGTTTGATGTGAGAATGACACAAAGCAGCCACATGTGAAGTACTTGGCACATAATAAGCAGAAAGCACTTAGTGAACCACAGCTGCTGTTTAATCACGGGTCCTGCTGGTGAGGCCACGTCTGTCCCGCAGCTCTCTGCACGTACCCTGTCTTGCTGCTGAGCCTCTGTTGCCTCCAGTGCCTTGCCCCGTGTCCTTGCTGGCTGCTGGGAGGATCAGATGAGATGGTGAAGGGCAAAGGGCATGAAGTATGCAGCTTTTTCTCTGCCGGGGTATGAATGACCACGCAAGACCCGGTGTGTTGGAAGTGAGGCTGCTCCTAAAATTTCATCATCTTCTCTGGACAGAAGTGAACTAAGAAAACCCCAAAGCATCCTCAGATATGTTAATACAACCTTCTGCATTCAAAAAGGAGGAAACTGTGGCCCAGAGAGGAGCAGGGACTTCCTCAAGGTCACACAGCAAGGCTGAGTGGAAGCTGGCCCAGAGCTCTTCCCACCTGGCCACATGATTCCTCTGTCTTCCTTCCCCCGAAGGGACTGACCCAGAGAGACCTGGAAATTGTTGCCCAATGTTTAAGGGCAATTACAGGATGGAAAAGCCATGTCTTAGCAGGAGTGGCCAGTGGAAGGATGAGTACCATGGTCAGGAGTCCATAGAACAATGTGGTTTTCCTGTACCCAGCATCACTGGTGGCCATGGGACAGTAGTGTGTACCCACTATGTTGCCCAGGCTTGTAGTATAAAGGACCAAGGCTGAGCATGGTGGCTCACACCTGTAATCCAGCACTTTGGAAGGCCAAGGTGGGCAGACCACCTGAGTTCAGGAGTTCGAGACCAGCCTGGCCAACATGGTGGAACCCCGTCTCTACTAAAAATACAAAAATTAGGCCGGGCTTGGTGGCTCACACCTGTAATCACAGCACTTTGGGAGGCCGAGTGGGCAGATCACGAGGTCAGGAGATTGAGACCATCCTGGCTTACACGGTTAAACCCCGTCTCTACTAAAAATACAAAAAATTAGCCAGGAGTGGCGGTGGGCACCTGTAGTCCCAGCTACTCGGAGGCTGAGGCAGGAGAATGGCGTGAACCCAGGAGGGGGAGCTTGCAGTGAGCCGAGATCGCACCACTGCACTCCAGCCTGGGCAACAGAGTGAGATTCCATCTCAAAAACAAAAACAAACAAAAAAAAAAAACAAAAAAAAAGGACCAAGGCCAAATGTGGTGGCTTACGCCTATAATGCCAGCACTTGGGGAGACTGAGGCAGGAGGATTGCTTGAGCCCAAGAATTCGAGACCAGCCTGGGCAACATGGCGAAAACCCATCTATATTAAAAATACAAAAAAATTAGCCAGATATGGTGGTGTGAGACTGTAGTCCCAACTACTTGAGACGCTGAAGTGAGAGAATCATCTGAGCCTGGGAGGTTGAGGCTGCAAGTGAGCCATGATAGCTCCACTGCACTCCAGCCTGGGTGACAAAGTGAGACCCCTTTTCAAAAAAAAAGAAAAAAAATAGGACCAAAGACTGAGAAGGTGAGAAGGGTCCACCCTTCCTCCCCTAGAGTCTGGGCCCAGCTCCCACCACTGCCCATAAAAGGAGCATAGTCAGACAAGGCAGATCTGGAGGATAAGATGAGGAAGATAAAAATCATTCTTTGAATGGTATGACTTAGAAAACCTAGGTCAAACTGGCTTCACCATAAGGGGAATTAACTGGATTCGAGGTGAGTCCTCAGGTGAGGGCTTCCTCCAGCAGCTCGAGTGGCGTCACTACGGTGTGGTTTAAAATCAGTCCATGCGTTCTTTGGCACTTCCTTTAAAAGGAATCCTAGTTATGCTTCCCTTGGCTGTGGGCTGGACATAGTGACTTGCTTCTAATGAATAGAAAAAAAGCAAAGATGATAGTGTGCAGGTTGTAGAAGGCACTGTGGCTTCCTTCTCTCTATCACACACACAATCATCATCATCATCATCGTCATCGTCATCGTCATCATCGCTCTGGGGAAAGCTAGCTGCTATGGAGAGCCCGCTTGGTGAGGCACTGAGACCTCCTGCCAATTGCCACATGAGTGCACCATCTTCAAAGTGGATCCTCCAGCCCCATCTTGGAAGTGGATGACTGCACCCCTAGCCAACATCTTAACTATAAACACATTAGAGACCCTGAGCCAGAACCACTAATTGGGATCTCTTCCAATTTCCAATCCTCAACTCTGGCGACTCTGGGAGATAATAAATGTTTTTTGTTATTGTTGTTTTTTTTTGTTTTCAAGACAGAGTCTTGCTCTGTCACCCAGGCTGGAGTGCAGTAGCCCGATCTTGGCTCCTTGTAACCTCTGCCTCCCGGGTTCTAGCAATTCTCCTGCCTCAGCCTCCCGAGTAGCTGGAATTACAGGCGCCTGCCACCACGCTCGGCTAATTTTTGTATTCTTAGTAGAGACGGGGTTTCACCATGTTGGCCAGGCTGGTCTTGAACTCTTAACCTCGTGATCCACCTGCCTCGGCCTCCCAAAGTGCTGGGATTACAGGCATGAACCACTGCGCCTGGCCCAATAAATGTTTTAAACTGCTAAATTGGGGGTGATTTGTTACACAGCAATAAGTAACTAATAACACCACAGACTAGGTTCTATTTCTTCTTTCATTGTTTTCTTTTTTTCTTATTTTGGAGACAGGGTCTCCTTCTGTTGCCCAGGCTGGAGTGCAGTGGTGCAATCACGGCTCATTGCAGCCTCTATTCAAGCGATTCTCCTGGGCTAAAGTGATCCACCCATCTCAGACTCCCAAGTAACTGGGACCAAGTAACTGGCTAATAAAAAAAGATTTTTTTTTTTTAGTAGAGAAGAGGTCTCACAATGTTGCCCAGGCTTGTCTTGAACACAAGCTGAAACGATCCTCCCGCCTTGTCCTCCCAAAGTGCTGGGATTGCAGGTGTGAACCACTGTGCCTGGCCTAGGTTCTTTTTCTTCTTGAAGTCTCTGGGCTCTGCCTTCCTCTGTATGTTGACTTCATTCTCAACAGAAATTTTTGGGAATAAGAGCTACTGCATCTCTAGCTCTCACATCCCCTTAACACACTGTCCAGGGAAAGAGAGTACCTCTTCCAGTACTCCTGTAGAAATGAAAAGCAGCTTCTCTCCCTCAAAAAGCTCCACTGACTTCTCTTGGCAAATCCTTGGCTCTGACTGAGGTAGTGTTCATTTCTGTGACTAGAGAGATTGGATGCATATGGCTTCTCCTCCAGGGTCATCAGAGCCCACCCTGGAAGAGTGCTACCAACCCCACCCACTAGCATAGAATTCCAGTAGAGCCCAATATGGCTCTGATGGTGGGAGAGACAGGGAACATATGCTGGGAAGCCATGTAATAGCCATGACATCGGGGTAGTACGTGGAAGGCTCAGAACAGAAAATTCCCCACAGGCCCCAGAACATCCTCTAGAGCAGCAGTCCCCAACCTTTTTGACACCAGGGACCAGTTTTGTGGAAGACAATTTTTCCACAGGCAGCAGGAGCATGGTTTCAGGATGAAATCTTCCCACCTCAGATCATCAGTCATTAGATTCTCATAAGGAGCACAAAACCTAGATCTCTCAAATGCACACTTCACAGTAGGGTTCGTGCTCCTATGAGGATCTTTTTTTTTTTTGACTGGAAGTCTAGCTCTGTCACCCAGGCTGGAGTGCAGTGGCTCGATCTTGGCCCACTGCAACCTCCGCCTCCCGGGCTTAAGCGATTCTTCTGCCTCAGCCTCCTGAGTAGCTGAGACTACAGGTGCGTGCCACCACACCCGGCTCACAGTGAGCCAAGATTGTGTCACTGCACTCCAGCCTGGATGACAGAGTGAGACTTCATCTCAAAAAAAAAAAAAAAAAAAGGCCAGGCACGTGGTGGCTCACACCTGTAATCCCAGCACTTTGGGAGGCTGAGGCGGGTGGATCATGAGGTTAGGAGTTCGAGACCAGTCTGGTCAACATGGTGAAACCCTGTCTCTACTAATAAGGCTTAGAGGTGAAGGGGTGGGTTCTGGAGTCAGACAGACAAGATCTAAATCCTGGTTCTATTGCTCACCAGCTATGTGACTTTCTTTTTTTTTGAGACAGATTCTGCCTCCCAGGCTCAGGAGATCTTCCTGCCTCAGCTCCCAGAGTAGCTGGGACTACAGGTGCGTGCCATCACGCCTGGCTAATTTTTTTGTAGAGATGGGGTTTCTCCATGTTACCAAGGCTGGCCTCAAACTCCTGGGCTCAAGCAATATGCCTGCCTTGGCCTTCTAAAGTGCTAGGATTACAGGCGTGAGCCACCGCGCCCAGCCTATGTGACCTTTGTGTGCCTTGGTTCCTTCATCTATAAAATGGGAGAAGAATGCCCAGGAACACAGGTGGAAGAATTAATGAGATGCAGTAAGGGCTCAGTGCTGGAATTACAGGTGGGAGCCACCGCACCCAGCCTGTGTGAAAATTTTAAGAATTAGAATCAGGCCGGGCACCGTGGCTCATGCCTGTAATCCCAGCACTTTGGGAGGCCAAGGCAGGTGGATCGCTTGAGCCCAGGAGTTCAAGACCAGCCTGGGCCACATGAAAAACCCAGTCTCTACAAAAAAATTTTTTTAATTAGCCAGGCATGGTGGCATGCGTCTGTAGTCCCAGCTACTTGGGAGGCTAAGGTGGGAGGATTGCCTGAGCCCAGGAGGTCGAGGCTGCAGTGAGTTGTGATCATGCCATGTACTCCAAGCCTGGGCAACAGTATGAGACCCTGTCTAAAAAAAAAAAAAAAAAAATCAGAATCACTTTGCTCTAAAACAGATCTTTCAGATAATAAGAGCAGAGCTATGGCAGCCAGGTGTGGTGGCTCACACCTGTAATCCCAGCACTTTGGGAGGCCAAGGCCAGCGGATCATCTGAGGTCGGGAGTTGGAGACCAGCCTGAGCAACATGGAGAAACCCCATCTGTACTAAAAATACAAAAATTAGCTGGGCATGGTGGCACATGCCTGTAATCCCAGCTATTCAGGAGGCTAAGGCAGGAGAATAACTTGAACCTGGGAGGTGGAGGTTGCGGTGAGCCAATATCACACCACTGCACTCTAGCTTGGGCAACAAGAGCGAAACTCCACGTCAAAAAAAAAAAGAAAAAAAGAGTAGAGCTATCTGTAGCTATTAAAGAAGAGAAAAAATAAGAGGAAAACAATATTTGCTGAGGATTTATTATGTACCAGGCATGGCACTAAACCTGTTTAGAGGTCCTGTCTCATTTAATCCTCACAGCCTTATGAGGTAAATACTATTATTAACCCTGTTTCACAGGTAATGAAACAGATGCACAGAACAACTGAGTGTGTTCATTGACTGTCATTCATTCACTCAATGCCTCGCCTGTGCCAGGCCTTGGGGACTCCCCAGTACACAAAGTAGACAAAGGCCCAAGTCGCCTGCTGTTGAAGGACTAGAAAGTGGGTTCCCTAGGACCCTCGGGGGAGCGTCTTCAGAGCCCAAGTGCATGACCACGATGGAACGGGATCCTCATGAAGTAGTGAGTTTCCTGCCACTGAAGGTATGCAAGTGAGAGCTGGGGACTTGCTGGGAAGGAATTCCCGCTTGGGATGGGCTGGAGCCAGTGGACGGCAGGAGCCCTGTAGCTGTTCTTCAAGTTCTGCAATCCTACAGGGAACCTCTGAGCACTGAATCAAAGCCTCCCACTTGCAGGATAAAAGGTGGGGAGGAGGAAAAAGGAAAGGGGAAGAAAGCATGGAGAAGCCGGAGGGGCAGGACTGACCTCAGGGCATCAGCTCCACAGCAGGCACCCAGGCCCGGGTGCCACCTAGTGGAAGGCTCAGAAAACGAAGAGAAGGCCAGAGAGAGGGACAGAGACGAAGAAATTGAGAGTGACGGATGAGTGTGTCCCTGAGCTAACTCAGGAGCCCTACCTCAGTGTCCCAGACCCTTCTGAATAATGACACTGGATATAGTGAAATTTAAGACTTTTTTCCCCTGTATTTTGACCTCTCTAAAGTCAGATACGTCTTACAATGAATGCGGTGGTGGTTTAATAGGTGGTGGTGCATCCTACAATTGCACGTATGTAAGATTTGATGGAACACTGAAAACTGTCATTGATGGAGCCCTTGTGACATGCCAGGCATGAGCTAAGCCCTCTACCTGTATGATGTTATTGAATCCATGCCCATTTAACAGAAGAGGAAACAGAGGAGGCTGAGGGAGGTGAAGTCATGTGCCCAGGTCTCACAGTAAGTATGTCTGTGGCTGAGAAGCTGGCTGCAGGACTGCTGACCACTGCTACACTGCACAGCTCCCCTCTCTGTGTCACCAGTCACCTTGTTTTATCACTGCCTGAGTGTCCCCTGGCTCCCACCCTCGACCCCTGCCCACATGCCATGATCTCCGCTGGGACAGGGCCTGTGTTTCATTTGTCTAATTTAATGCTCACAAAAACCCTGTGAAGGTGGGTACCATCACTACCATTTGACCTACAGAGGTTAAAGTTTAAATAAATAGAAGCATCTGGCTGGGTGTGATGGCTCATGCCTGTAATTCCAGCACTTTGGGAGACCGAGGCGGGCAGATCACTTGAGGCCAGGAGTTCCAGACCAACCTGGCCAACATGGCAAAACCCTGTCTCTACTAAAAATACAAAAATTAGGCTGGGCATGCTGGCTCACGCCTGTAATCCTAGCACTTTGGGAGGCCGAGGCGGGTAGATCACCTGAGGTCAGGAGTTCGAGACCAACCTGGTCAACATGGTGAAACCCTGTCTCTACTAAAAAATACAAAAAAAATTAGTTGGGCATGGCACGCTCCTGTAATCCCAGCTACTCGGGAGGCTGAGGCTAGAGAATCACTTGAACCCGGGAGGTGGAGGTTGCAGTGAGCCGAGATTGCACCACTGCACTCCAGCCTGGGCGACAGAGCAAGACTCCGTCTCAAAAAAAAAAAAAAAAAGTATGCTATAATTCTAGTTCATATTATGCCCAGTGAAAAAAAGAATATTAAATATTATGTGTATCTGGTATGATCCTGATATTTGTAGCTATGAATGTACTTATAGAGAAAAAACCTGACTCATTTTATATATTAGAGGAGAGGAGCTCAGGGTGGGTTCGGTGTAGCCAGGTAGGACATTTGACCTAGGACAGGTGTCTTTGATTATATTAGGATGGTGGGATTGCCAATAATTTTTTCTCTAGATTTTTATGTTTTCCAAATTCTCTAAAAATGAGCATGTCTTTTTAAAATTAGAAAATATCCTATAAGGCCAGGCGCGGTGGCTCACGCCTGTAATTCCAGCACTTTGGGAGGCCAAGGAGAGCAGATCACTTGAGGCCAGGAATACCAGACCAACCTGGCCAACATGGCAAAACCCTGTCTCTACTAAAAACACAAAAATTAGGCTGGGCACAGTGGCTCATGCCTGTAATCCTGGCACCTTGGGAGGCCGAGGCGGGTGGATCACCTGAGGTCAGGAGTTTGAGACCAGCCTGGTCAACATGGTAAAACCCCGTCTCTACTAAAAAAATACAAAAAAAATTAGCCGGGCATGGTGGCACATGCGTGTAATCCCAGCTACTGGAGAGGCTGAGGCTGGAGAATCAGTTGAACCTGGGAGGTGGAGGTTGCAGTGAGCCAAGATCATGCCACTGCACACGCCAGCCTGGGCAACAGAGCGAGACTTTGTCTGAAAGAAAAAAAAAAGGCATCTAAAATTATTTTTAAATGACTGGGTAAGAAATTTACAACGGGGAGGACTGTGGCTGTGTTTTGATGTTGGCATAGGGGTGACTTTTATTTATTTTCCAATTTTCCTGGCCATAGAAAACACTTTTAAAATGTATGCTATAGCCGGGCACAGTGGCTCACACCTGTAATACCAGCACTTTGGGAGGTCAAGGCGGGTGGATCACCTGACGCTGGGAGTTCGAGACCAGCCTGACCAACATGGAGAAACCCTGTCTTACTAAAAATACAAAATTAGCCGGGCGTGGTTGGCACATGGCTGTAATCCCAGCTGCTCGGGAGGCTGAGGCAGGAGAATCACTTGAACCCGGGAGGCGGAGGTTGCGTTGAGCTGAGATCACACCATTGCACTCCAGCCTGGGCGACAAGAGCAAAACTCTGTCTCAAAAAAAAAAGAAAAAAAGAAAAAAAAGAAAAGAAAATATCATATTAAATGCATTTATAAGTCCAACAAAGATTTGGACAAGAAAGGACATACCAGGCTAGGTGCAGTGGCCCACCCTGTGATCCCAGCACTTTGGGAGGCCAAGGTGGGAGGACTGCTTGAGCTTAGGAGTTTGAGACCAGCTTGGGCAACGTGGCCAAACCCCACTTCTACCAGAAATACAAAAATTAGCTGGGCCTGCTGGCATCCGCCTATAGTCCCAGCTACTCAGGAGGCTGAGGTGGGAGGATGACTTGAGCCCAGGAGGCGGAGGGTGCAGTGAGCTGAGATCACGCTATTGCACTCCAGCCTGGGCGACAGAGCAAGACTCTGCCCCCACCGGCCCCCGCCCTGGCCACCCCCCACCAAAAGAAAAAGGACATTCCAGGCAGAAACAGCAAGAAGCAAGAAAAGCAAAAGAAAGAAAGTGGGAAATCCCAGGGTATGAGCCTTGAACCAGCCATGAGCACCTGGCGGATGCTCGGCAAATCCCTACTGCCTGGGTGGGTCCGACCGGGCTGAGACCAGTTAGGCTTTGGCACCTCCCTCTGGTTGGCTACAGAAGCCAAGCCCCCACGTTTAAAATGCCAGAAGCCCCGGGCCTGGTTGTGCACTGAGGAGGGTCTTGGTGAAGAAACACATGCTGAACTTCATAAGGACCGTTGTTTCACACCCTTTTCCCAGGTGCGGCTTTTCACTCCATGTTACCAGGGTCCACTGGAACCACTTCTCCTCCTACTTCAGACGCCCTGGCTGACCTCACCTGGTCTTTGTTTCCTTCACTACAACAGAAGTTGGGCAATTTTACGAGCACCCTGGCTGAGGCAGTGTGATAGAGTGGGAAAGTGCCGGGGCCATGAGTTTGCTATGGTGTGTGGGAGTGTGGGGACCTTGGGCTAGTTAGTTCGGGGCTTTAGACTATTTTTTTTTTTTTTTGAGATGGAGTCTCGCTCTGTCACCCAGGCTGGAGTGCAATGGTGCGATCTTGGTTCACTGCAACCTCCACCTCCTGGGTTCAAGCAATTCTCCTGCCTCAGCCTCTCAAGTAGCTGGGATTACAGGCGCCCACCACCACGCCCAGCTAATTTTTTGTATTTTTAGTAGAGACGGGGTTTCACTATGTTGGTCAGGATGGTCTCGATCTCCTGACCTCGTGATCCGCCCGCCTCGGCCTCCCAAAGTGCTGGGATTACAGGTGTGAGCCACCGCGCCTGGCCCAGATCAGTGGTTTTCACTTTTTTTTTTTTTTTTGGCTAGGTCCTACTAGTGGCTCTATTTTACAGAGAAAGTTTGAACTATAACTTCCTCCTAAGGACTCTGCAGGCCAGTTTAAAAACTGGCAGCCTAGATATCTATAAAGTAGATAGTTTTGATTTTGTTAATTATAAATCGCATTAGAATACTTTTTTTTTTTTGAGACGGAGCCTCACCGTGTTACCCAGGCTGGCATACAGTGGTACAATCTCGTCTCACTGCAAACTTCACCTCCCGGGTTCAAGCAATTCTCCTGCCTCTGCCTCCTGAGTAGCTGAGATTACAGGCGCTTGCCACCACACCTGGCTAATTTTTGTGTTTTTAGTAGAGACAGGGTTTCACCATGTTGGTCAGGCTGGTCTTGAACTCCTGACCTCATGATCTGCCCACCTCAGCCTCCCAAAGTGCTAGGATTACAGGCGTGAGCCACTGTGCCTGGTCTAGAATATTTTTTATTTTATTTTTATTTTTATTTTTTTTGAGACAGAGTCTTGCTCTGTTGCCCAGGCTGGAGTGCAGTGGCGCGATCTCGGCTCACTGCAAGCTCCGCCTCCTGGGTGTCAAGTAATTCTCATGCCACAGCCTCCCAAGTAGCTGGGACTACGGTGTGTACCACCGCGCCTGGCTAATTTTTGTATATATATATATTTTTGGTAGAGATGGGTTTTCACCATGATGGCCAGGCTGGTCTCAAACTCCTGGCCTCAAGTGAACCACCTGCCTCAGCCTCCCAAAGTCCTGGGATTAGAGGCATGAGCAACCATGTCCAGTCTAGAATACATTTAATATTGCAACCCCATACACACACACACACACACATACATGAATATATATACACGATCCATGAAACAATACTTAACCCGCTATATGCGATTCAGACTCAAGTTTATTGTTTTCTTTTTCTTTTAATGCTAGTTGTGATACATTAAATTTTACAATTCACTCATGGGTCTCAACCTACAGTCTGTGAAACACTTCCTTAAGGTAGCTTCCAGCTAAGGAGTTTACAATTCTACTGATATTAAGTTGTTCCCGTCGTTCCTCCTGCCCCATCTGGTGAGAGGTATCCATAGCCCTCTGCAAACAGGGTGCTTCTCTTGGGACTCAGCACCCATCAGCTCCTCCTCTCTGATAGACATGAAATATAAGGGTCAGCATCTTGGCAGAAACCCCGAGAGAAAAAAAAAAAAAAAAGCTCGGGGCAGTCTGAGCTATGTGAGTCATGCAACATTTATCAAGCTCACAGATATAGGAGCATGGGACTTTAGTCATCCCTCTTCCCCACAACCCCATGCTCCGGGGCAACTGTTCAAAGGCATTTTGTTCCTGACTAGCTGCCTCACCCACTATCTTCATGCTCTTGGAATCTGTGATACAAAGAACAATGTACGGCCAATCAAGAACTAATTTTTTTTTCTTTGAGACGGAGTCTCACTCTGTTGCTCAGGCTGGAGTGCAGTGGCCTGATCTCACTGCAACCTCCGCTCCCCCGGTACAAGCGATTCCCCTGCCTCAGCCTCCCGAGTAGCTGGGATTACAGGAGTGCACCACTGCGCCCAACTAATTTTTGTATTTTTTAGTAGAGATGGGGTTTCACCATGTTGAGCAGGCTGGTCTTGAACTCCTGACTTCATGATCTGCCCGCCTCGGCCTCCCAAAGTGCTGGGGTTGCAGTCATGAGCCACCGCGCCCGGCCCCTATTTTTATTTTGGTTTTTTTTTAAGACAGTCTTGCTCTGTCGCCCAGGCTAGAGTGCAGTGGCATGATCTTGGCTCACTACAAGCCTCCCAGGTTCAAGCAATTCTCCTGCCTCAGCCTCCTGAGTAGCTGGGATTACAGGCACGTGCCACCACACCCAGCTAATTTTTGTATTTTTAGTAGGTATGGGGTTTTGCCATGTCGGTCAGTCTGGTCTCAAACTCCTGATCTTAGATGATCTGCCCGCCTCGGTCTCCCAAAGTGCTGGGATTACGGGCACGAGCCACTGTGCCCGACTGAGCTTATGTGATAGATGTAATAAATTCTTGGTAAACAATTTCAGAACTGCCTCTTCTTTATTCCTTCAAGAGACCCATTTGTAACTGCTGCTAATTGGAGTGTATATTTAGGACAACCTGAATCTATCCTCTTGGGTAGCCAACCTCAAGCTCTGGGCTCTGTACGTAGTCTTATTTTTTGAATCTCGTTATTCAAGCTTGACATTCTTATAATTATGAAAGCCTGCCAACCTGCTACATATTGACAAACATGAAACGTTTTTGCCAAGAGCTTTGGAAAAACCTGTACTTCAGATCCTACTGTGAACCCAAAGTGTCTGAGACAGGTCTCAATCAATTTAGAAAGTTTATTTTTGCCAAGGTTAAGGATGTGGCCATGGCAGCCTCAGGAGGCCCTAATGACACGTGCCCAAGGTGGCGTGGGTACAGCTTGCTTTTATGCATTTTAGGGAGCCATGAGACATCAGTCAATACGTGTAAGATGTACGTTCAGTCTGGAGAGGCAGGACAACTTGAAGCAGGGTACAAGAGGAGGTTCCAGGTGATAGGTAGATAAGAGACAAAAACAGTTGCATTCTTTTGAGTCTTTGATTAGCCTTTCACTGAATATACAATTTATATGTGACAGGAAAGTAGAGAAATAGTCACCTATGTTTTAGTTTGGCTCAGTGAATATACATTTTTACATAAAAAAAATAGGGCAGAGGGGCTGGGTGCAGTGGTTCACGCCTGTAATCCTAGCACTTTGGGAGGCCGAGGCCGGCAGATCACTTGAGGCCAGGAGTTTGAGACCAGCCTGGGTAACATGATGAAACCCCATCTCTATTAAAAATACAAAAAATTAGCTGGGCATGGTGGTATATGCCTGTAGTCCCAGCTGCCTGGGAGGCTGAGGTGGGAGGATCGCTTGAACTCCGGAAGCAGAGGTTGCAGGGAGCTGAGATTGCACCACTGCACTCCAGCCTGGGCGACAGAGGGAGACCCTGTCTCAAAAAATAAAATAAAATAAAATAAATAAAAGAGGGCAGAGGAAGCAATCAAATATGCATTTGTCTCAGGTGGCCAGTGGGATGACTGTCTCTCCCGCACCTGTGAAGACGAGCCATCAATTTACATTGCCAGGGTGAAATTCATCATAACTGTTTTATAGTAAAGATGTTGAGTAACTGTTTTATAGTAAAGATGTTTTATAGTAAAGTAAAGGAATTTCCTCGTGGGCACATTGTGAGGGAGGTACGTCGCTTTTTTATCTTTGCAGCTATCTCATTTAGAAATAAAATGGGAGGCAGTTTTACCTGATGCAGTTCCCAGCTTGACTTTCCCGTCGGCGTAGTGATTTTTGTGTCCCGAGGCTTATTTTCCTTTCACGCTACCAATTCATCAAACTAGGAGCACAGCAATAACTGAGTCCCTAAGAGCCAAAGGGCAACGTTCGGTATGAACTAAGATGGGTCTTTCAAATCAAAAATATGGGAATCTTAGAGTTGATCTTGCAGGATTGAGCAGAGTTGGGGCCTCAAAATACGCCTGCCTGTATGTAGAAGGATCGCTCGATTCTGGGAGGTGGAGTTTGCGGTGAGCCAAGATTGAGCCACTGCACTCCAGCCTGGGCAAAAGAGTGAGACCCTGTCCAAAAAGAAAAAAAAAAGCCTGCAGGGTGGGTGACTCACATATGTAGTCCCAGCACTTCAGGAGGCCAAGGCAGAATTGCTTGAGGCCAGGAGTTCAAGATCAGTCTGGAAGACATAAAGAGACCCCTTCTCTATAAAAAAATTTTAACACAATTAGCCAGGCAGGCCAGGTGTGGTGGCTCACGCCTGTAATTCCAGCACTTTTGGAGGGTGAGGCGGACAGATTGCTTGAGCTCAGGAGTTTTGAGACCAGCCTGGGTAACATGGCGAAACCCCTTCTCTATTAAAAATACAAAACATTAGCTCGGCATGGTGGCGTGCACCTGTGGTCCCAGCTACTTGGGAGGCTGAGGCAGGATGATCCTTTGAACCCAGGAGTTCAAGGTTCAAAGTACAGTGAACTATGATCATGCTGCTGCACTCCAGCCTGGGTGACAGAGACCCTGTCTCTAAAAAAATAAAAAATTAATGCCATGCAATTTTCAACTTCTAAACTTGGATTTCTTGGGATAATAAGCTACACCCTAAACCCCAGTGTTTTCCTAACAACCACACATTTGGGTGGTGTTTCTATATCCACTTTTTTTTTTCTTTTCTAAGACAAGGTCTCGTTCTGTCACCCAGGCTGGAGTGCAGTGGTGTAAATATGGCTCATTGCAAGCCTCGACCTCCCAGGCTCAAGTGATGTTCCTGCCTCAGCCTCCCAAGTATCTGGGACTATAGGCACACACCACTATGCCCGGATAATTTTTGTATTTTTTGTAGAGACAGGTTTCATCATGTTGCCCAGGCTGGTCTCAAACTCCTGGGCTCAAGTGATCCACCTACCTTGGCCTCCCAAAGTGTTGGGATTATAGGTGTGAGCCACTATGCCGCACCCTACATTCACTATCTTATGTGACTGTTATAATATTAGAAGTTGGACAGGTATATTGAGGAATTTTTTTTTTTTTTTTTTTTTTTTTTTTTTGAGACAGAGTCTTGCTCTGTCACCCAGGCTGGAGTGCAGTGACACAATCTCGGCTCACTGCAACCTCTGCCTCCCAGGTTCAAGCGATTCTCCTGTCCCAGCCTCCCAAGTAGCTGGGACTACAGGCGTGCACCACCACGCCCATCTAATTTTTGTATTTTTAGTAGAGACGGGGTTTCACCATGTTGGCCAGGATGGTCTTGATCTCCTGACCTCGTGATCCACCCGCCTCGGCCTCCCAAAGTGCTGGGATTACAGGCGTGAGCCACCGTGCCCCACCGAAAATATTGGGTTCTTTATCAGATGGTAGGAGGGACAATATTAATTAGAACTGCACCTACCAGTTACCTTGTCACACTCTCCCTGAGTCTCCTGATCCTGTTTATAAAATGGGAACACATTTTGGTTTGGCCATAATTCCCTATTCTCAACCTCCACATATGAGTATGAGAGTACTACAAATATCATCAGCTCCACTCTACGGACTCTGAGTCCAGCCCTGGATCTAATCCTATAGCCACAACTTCAGAAACATGCTCATGCAGATACAAATCAGCTTAAAGTGGCATTGAGGAATACCAGCACATGAACAGATGCTCACCATCACCAGCCATGTGGCAAATGCAAATCAAACACAGTGAGATAGCACTTCACGCCCACTAGGATGGTTATAATCAAAATGACAGATAATGACAAGTATTGACAAGGACATGGGGAAACTGGAATCCTCACACACTGATGTAGGAATGTAAAATGGTGCAGCTGTGGCTGGGTGCGGTGGCTCACGCCTATAATCCCAGCACTTTGGGAGCCCGAGGCAGGTGGATCACCTGAGGTCAGGAGTTCAAGACCAGCCTGGCTAACATGGTGAAACCCCACCTCTACTAAAAATACAAAAATTCGCCAGGCGCGGTGGCGGGCACCTGTATAATCTCAGCACTCAGGAGGCTGAGGTAGGAGAATCGCTTGAACCTGGGAGGCAGAGGTTGCAGTGAGCCGAGATCACACCATTGCACTCCAGCCTGGGCAACAAGAGCAAAACTCCGTCTCAAAAAAAAAAAAAAAAAAAAAAAGGTGCAGTTCCTAAAAACATTAAACATACAGTTACCACATGACCCAGCAATTCCAAATCCTAGGCACATATATCCAACAGCGTCAAAGCACATGCCCACACAGAAACTTGTATGCAAATGTTCATAGCAGCTTTATCCTAGTAGCCAGAAGGTGGAAATAGCCCAAATATTCAACTGATGGATAAACAAAACATGGTAT
Organism: Homo sapiens; assembly: GCF_000001405.40. Taxonomy (NCBI): domain Eukaryota; kingdom Metazoa; phylum Chordata; class Mammalia; order Primates; family Hominidae; genus Homo; species Homo sapiens. Next base: position 24,679,249 of record NC_000001.11, on the reverse strand, counting down.
ATTCAAACAAGGGAATACTATCGAACAGTAAAAAGAAATGAAGTGGCTGGGCACGGCGGCTCACGCCTGTAATCCTAGTGTTACCAGAAAGGGGTCCTGATCCAGACCCCAAGAGAGAATTCAGGGTGAGTCCATAGAGTAAAGTCAAAAGTCTGTTTATTAGGAAAGTAATGGAAAAAAAAGTCTACTTCATAGGCAGAACAGCGGCATGGGCTGCTCGACTGAGTATACTTATAGTTGTTCCTTGATTATATGGTAAACAAGGGATGGATTATTCATGAGTTTTCCAGGAAAGGGGCATGGATTTCTTGGGACTGAGGGTCCCTCCCCACTTTAGACCATAAAGGGTAACTTCCAGAAGTTGTAAACTGTCACCGTGCTGGTGGGAGTGTCTTTTAGCATGCTAATACATTATAATTAGTATATAATGAGCAATGAGGATGACCAGAGGTCACTCGTCACCATCTTGGTTATGGTGGGATTTGGCCAACTTCTTTACCACAGACTTTTATCAATCAGCAAGGTCTTTGTGACCTTTATCTTGTGCCAACCTCCTGTCTCATCCTATGACTAAGAATGCCTAACCTCCTGGGAATGCAGCCCAGCAGGTCTCAGCCTTATTTTACCCAGCCCCTATTCAAAATGGAGTTGCTCTGGTTTGAACACCTCTGACACCAGCACTTTGGGAAACTGAGGCAGGTGAGTCACTTGAGTCCAGGAGTTCGACACCAGTCATGGTGAAACCCCATCTGTACTAAAAAAATGCAAAAATTAGCCGGGCATGGTGGTGCATGCCTATAATCTCAGCTACTTAGGAGGTTGTGGTGGGAGGGTTGCTTCAGCCTGGGAGGTCGAGGCTGCAGTGAGCCATGACTGCCTCACTGCACTCTGGCCTGGGTGACAGATAGACATCCTGTTTCAAAAAATAAAAATAAAAAAATAAAAAAGAAATGAAGCACTGATGCCTGCTATAACATGAATGAACCTGGAACACACTGTGCTAAGTGAAAGAAGCCAGACAAAAGGCCCAATATTGTATGATTTCAGTGAAATGTACAGAACAGGCAAATCTATAGATAGGAAAGTACTTGCCAGGGGCTGGGGCTAAAAGAACTGTCAGGGTAATTGAAGTGACTGTTAATGAGCGTGAAGTTTCTTTTTGGGGTGATGACAGTGTTTTGGAATAGATATTGGTGATGGTTGCATAACCTCTGAATACCACTGAGATGGTGAATTTTACGGCATGTGAGTTAAATCTTAAAAAAAAAGAGAAATAAATTGCCTTAAATGGGGCTGATCTAAAATCCGTTTTAGTCACCTAAGCTAAATTTTGCCATAATTACAAGAATGGCTATGTGTCGTGTTAGAATGGGAAGCTGTCTTTGTGGTATCATTGCATTATATGTATTAACTGACACATTTAAATCTTCAGAAACTCTTGAGATAGATTCCGTCATTTCCATTGAAGAAGAAATGGCACCACTTCAAGGTCAAGTAACTTGCCCAAGACCACACAGTAGAAGCTATGGTAGAAATCCTGGTTCACCAGACTCAGTGTGCAGTCTGCAAATTGTTTGCATGTCTGCATACCCAGTAGGTGGATGCTCCTTAAGGACAGCAACCATCTTTTCTTTTTTTTTTTTTTGGAGTGAAATGGCACAGTCACTGCTCACTGCAGCCCTGACCTCCCAGGCTCAAATGATCCTCCCTCCTCAGCCTCTGGAGTAGCTGGGACTACAGTCACATGCCACCATGACCTGCTAATTTTTAGGCTTTTTGTAGAGACAGGAGTCACCTATGTTGCCCAGGCTAGTCTCAAACTCCTGGGCTCAAGCAATCCCCCCACCTCGACCTTCCTAAAGTGCTGGGATTACAGACATGAGCCACTGCGTCTGGCCTCTTCATTTTACCTCAAACCCTGGTAGTATCTGGCCAGTACGGATGTAATGATAATTAAATTTATTCATTCATCGAATGAATACACTGGAATACGGTGTACAGTGGTACACTGGTTTGTACCACTGGGGACACAGCCATGAATAAGACAACTTCCTAGCGAGCAAAAATGCATCACTTTAGGTAGCAAAAGTTGACATCCATGAAAACAAAGGAGAGGGAATTAGGGAAGTGTCTGAGGCAAACCAAGTAAAGAAACAAGCAATAAGAGCAGGAGTGCCTTCCAAGATAAAGGCACAGTGGGCACGGTACAAAAATCTCTGAAAGAGAAGTCAGCTTTTTGGAAAAAAAGGAAGACAGGGTGGCCAGCATGGCTTGAGTAGACTGCTGAGTGACAATAAAGTTGCCAAAGCCAATTTGGCCCAATCCTATTAGAACTTGCAGGCCATAGTAAGAAATCTGCGTTTTATTCTAAAACAGCTTTCTGAGGATTTTTAGCAGACCTGTGATCTGACTTGGGCTGTAGGGAACAGCATGCACGGGTATTGGGGAGTGGACAGTATGGCCACTGATTGTAAGGACTCTTCAATTTTGAATAAATCACAGTGACAGGCACTGAAATGGACTGAGATCAGGATCGTATAAAAAATCCTATTTTGGACATGTTAATTTTGGTATGCCTTTTATGGTATTATGGCCGGATGTGGTGCCTCATGCCTATAATCCCAGCACTTTGGGAGCCCGAGGCAGGCGGATCACTTGAGGTCAGGAGTTCGAGACAGCCTGGCCAATATGGTGAAGCCCCGTCTCTACTAAAAATAAAAAATTAGCAGCCAGGCACGGTGGCTCACGCCTGTAATCCCAGCACTTTGGGAGGCCGAGGCGGGTGGATCACCTGAGGTCAGGAGTTTAAGAGCAGCCTGGCCAACTTGGCGAAACCTTGTCTCTACTAAAAATACAAAAAATTAGCCGGGTGTGGTGGCGGGCACCTGTAGTCCCAGCTACTCGGGAGGCTGAGGCAGGAGAATGGCGTGAACCCAGGAGGCGGAGCTTGCAGTGAGCCGAGATCGCGCCATTGCACTCCAGCTTGGGCAACAGAGCGAGACTCCGTCTCAAAAAAAAAAAAAAAATTAGCCAGGCATGGTGGCGGGTGCCAGTAATCTCAGCTACTAGGGAGGCCGAGATGGGAGAATTGCCTGTACCTGGGAGGGGGAGGTTGCAGTGAGCTGAGATCGCGCCACTTGAACTCCAGTCTGGGCGACAGAGCAAGACTCCGTCTCAAAAAAAAAAAAAAAAAAAAAATTAGCTGGGCATAGTGGCATGGTGGTAGGCCCTTGTAGTCCTAGCTACTCGGGAGGTTGAGGCAGAATTGCTTGAACCCGGGAGGCAGAGGTAACAATGAGCCGAGATCGCACTACTGCACTCCAGCCAGGCAACAGAGGGAGGCTCTGTCTCATATAAATAAATAAAATAAATGGCATTATCAAGCAGGTAGCTCAACAGGAGCCTAGCTCAGGGAGAAGTTTGAACTGGAGATTAAACACCTCAAACATAAAGATGACACTTAAAATCACGAGACTAGGGATTAAGTATAGGGAAGGCAACCAAGCACAAAAAAAGGCATACTACATCACTGCATGTTTAAAAGGACCCTTTAGAGACAAAAGTTAGTGAGGTAGGAGGACGACTAGTGTTGCTTAAAAGAACACGAGTGTGAGTCAACAGAGTGAGTGATTGAGCCCAATCCTGCAGAGGTCTAATAAAATAAGGATTCAGAACTGATTGTTCAATTTGGCAAAAGGCAGGCTATGGCTAATCTTTTTTTTTTTTTTTTTTTTTTTTTTTGAGACGGAGTCTTGCTCTGTCGCCCAGGCTGGAGTGCAGTGGCGGGATCTCGGCTCACTGCAAGCTCCGCCTCCCGGGTTCACGCCATTCTCCTGCCTCAGCCTCCCAAGTAGCTGGGACTACAGGCGCCCGCCGCTACGCCTGGCTAATTTTTTGTATTTTTAGTAGAGACGGGGTTTCACCGTTTTAGCCGGGATGGTCTCGATCTCCTGACCTCGTGGTCCGCCCGCCTCGGCCTCCCAAAGTGCTGGGATTACAGGCGTGAGCCACAGCGCCCGGCTATGGCTAATCTTAAGACCAGTCAAGTGGAGGAATAAAAGCCTACGGAGTAAACAAATGGACTGAATGATTGGCTAGACCCAAGTACAGTTGACCCTTGAACACAGGTTTACACTACATGGATCCACTTATAGGCAGATTTTTCCACCTCTCCCATTGCTGGGACAGCAAGACCAACCCCCGCCCTCTTTTTCAGCCTCAGAGATGCCCAGGCTGGAGTGCAGTGGTGTGATCATGGCTCACAGCAGCCTCAACTTCCAAGGCTCAAGTGAACCTCCCACCTCAGCCTCATGGGTAGCTGAGGCTATAGGCACACACCACCATGCCTAGGGCTTTTTTAAAAAAAGTTTTTTGGAGATGAGGTCTCGCTATTGTTGTCCAGGCTGGTCTCAAATTCCTGGGCTCAAGCAATCCTCTTGCCTCGGCCTCCCAAAGTGTTGGAATTACAGGCATGATCTACCATGCCTGGCAGGTACATTTTTAGGAAGTAAAAAAATTATACTTGAATTTTTGCCTGTGCAAGGGGTCAGTGCCTCAACCCTCTCATTGTTCAAGGGCCAACTCTACTCTGACGATGTTCACTGGTTTGTTCCTATTGGAAAGGAAATGTCAGCAAAAATCATCTTAGAAAATAAGTATTATGTGCTTTTCTTTTATCATAGAATTGTAAAATCAAAAGGAGCCATGTAGAAGGCCCTTGAAAATTCTTAAGTTGCTGCACACACATAAAATTCTATTATCATGGATAGAGCGTAGAGTCACTCACTCTACACTACCTTAGTGCAGTCCCTATAGAAGTTTCATCAAGCTTTTTTGCTTGTTACAAATCACTTTAAACCTGTAAAACACCTGTAAAAACAGCTCCTCATTGTTGAAGGTATATTTACTGTCCATGTCCTTTGAAAGATGTTTTTACCATCTTTATTTCAATAATTAACTGTGGTGAGTGCTGTAAAGGGAAAGTCTCAGCATGTGATTGGAACATTTAGAATACTGGTGGGAGAAGTCCACCAGGCAAAGGGAAGAGCACTGCAATCAGACAGTGTCTGTGTCTTCCCTAAGGCAGAAGGAGCGGTGCGGTGGCTCGCACCTGTAATTCCAGCACTTTGGGAGGGCGAGGCAGGCAAATCACAAGGTCAGGAGTTCAAGACTAGCTTGGCCAAGATGGTGAAACCCCATCTCTACTAAAAATATTTAAAAAATAGCTTGGCGTAGTGGCGGGCACTTATAATCCCAGCTACTTGGGAGGCTGGGGCAGGAGAATCACTTGAACCCAGGAGGCGGAGCTTGCAGTGAGCTGAGATTGTGCCACTGCACTCCAGCCTGGGTGACAGAGCAAGACCTCAACCAAAAAAGAAAAAGAAAGAAATTAAGATTGTAGGCATTTTCTTCCTTGTTTTGGTTCAACTGCCAGAACTTAAAATCAAACTATACATGCGTCGACCTGCTCAGCTTAGGTTTCTGGTGAACTTCTTTCATACGAATGTTGCTGTTTTACCTCACACTATGTTAACAACTCCAAGTTTCCCCAAATTTTCGTTCCACTTAGTTTTAAATGCAAAACAGACTTGGTTGTAGATAGCCAAATATTACGTGCGCACGCACACACACACGCACATACACACACACAACCCCCCCCCCCCCACCCCGCCCCTGACAGAGGGTGTTCCAGTCATTCCTTAGCCTTTGTTCACTTCCTAACATGCCAGCAGGCTCCTTCTGCCTCAGGGAAGACACAGACACTGTTTGTCTGACTGCAATCCTGTTCTCTTTGCCTGGTGGACTTCTCCCACCAGTATTCTAAATGTTCCAATCACATGCTGATTCCCTTTATAGCACTCACCACAGTAATTATTGAAATAAAGATGGTAAAACCTTAATTTCATCACCTTTTCTTTCCCCTGCCCAACTCCCAACACACCAAAAGGTTTACATAAGCACTACTAAGTAAGAGTGGCAAAATTTTTAAATTTAGAAATTTATTCTGTTTAATCCACAAGCTTTATATAGCTTTAGTTTAAAAAAAATCAAAACAAAAAAAAAATCAAAACAAAAACAGTGAAACCAAGACACTATTCCAAAGTCTGGGCCCTTCCAGCCTTCCAAATACAAGAGGCTCTGAAAGTTGTATATACCAATTGGAAGAACAAGACAAAAATATGAACAGAGCCATGACATTTCATTAAACAAATTGTATGTAACTGAAGGATCCTTTCTGGGACTAGCTCATTGCCTTTACAAAAGAAAAAAAACAAAACAAAAAAAACAAAACCAGAATAACAGAATGAGAGTCCAGTGTTCCAAATCAACTTGTTACACATCAATATAAACCCACAGTGTCCTGGCAAACAACATGCTTTCATTTTCTGTCTCATCCTAGAGCTCGAATCCTGATTCATTTCAGCAGAGACTCCACAGGCAACAGGAAAGATTGTGGCATTAAAATATTCATTTATACTTTTGTGGTAGTTCAAAACAGTGGTCTTATTTCTGGGCAAGCTTACAGACCATACAAGGTCAGAAGCATAACTTAAATGGGAGCTAAGACTCAAATGAAAAAAATAAGAAGAAGAAAGAAAAACAAAAAGAAAATCAAAACCAAAAAAACAAACAAAAAAACCCCTCTGGGAATAGCTAGGGCATTTAAAGGAACCATAAAAATGCCAACAGTATTTAAACCCCCTTTTTTAAAAAGGGAATTTTTTTTTGGCTTAAAATATTTCACTCAATGAATTATGTCAGCTGTCAATGAAAGAATGTCACTAATACACTGTGGACACCTTTTGCAATGTAAATCCATGCCCCCTTTTTTTACATGTTGAACTTCAACCTAGCAATTATTACAACAAATGTTATAGTCTAAAGCTCAAACACATTTTAGCAATTTTGAAATTGAACTGCGTACAAACCAAATAAAATTTACATCATAACAAACATTTCCCCCTAAGACTGTGGGGACACTTGGGCCTTCCTCATTGATCTCAGGGCCTTTTCACGCAGGTGCTTTTCTAAATCATCAAGGTTATCTTCAGCTTCACTTTCAGTCTCCTAAAAAAAACAGAATTTACACGGTTAAGTCTTGAGACCCTGGTGGGAAATGCCGAGTAAAGAGCAGAATCAAAGTGTGGGAGGGGAACATCACACACCGGGGACTGTTGTGGGGTAGGGGGAGCAGGGAGGGATATACCTAATGCTAAACGACGAGTTAATGGGTGCAGCACACCAACATGGCACATGTATACATATGTAACAAACCTGCACATTGTGCACATGTACCCTAAAACTTAAAGTATAATAATAATAAAATTAAAAAACAAACAAAAAAAAAAACCAACCTCACAAATCTTTTGAGTACTGAACTGTATGCAAATATAATGGCCACTGTGGATAGTTAATATTTTAAATAAATAAGTCACCTTTATAAAAAAAAAAAGTGTGGGGATCGCTGCACAACTGATATACTAAAACCCAGGGAACCACAAACTTTAAATGGGTGAACTGTATGGTACGTGACTTTTATCTCAGAGTAACTGGCTAATTAGTAGAAAAAACAATTTTGCTACTTCTCAAAACAAAATGACTTTGCTATCTGTACGTAAACTGCAAGACAGCCATATACAGAGTTCATAAATACCTTCTTCGGCTCTGGCGCTGCCACTGGCTCTTCCTGTGCTAATGTGGTTGTGGCAGCTGCAATGGCTGCAGGGGTCACAGCAGCTGCAGCAGCTGCAGCCACAGCCTTTTCCTTCTTGTGTTTTTTGTGCTTCTTGTGCTTCTTATCCTTTTTGTGTTTCTTGTCCTTCTTTTTCTTCTTTTTCTTTCCACCTCCTTCCTGATCTGAATTCTAGGAAGAAAAAAAAACAACACCCAGCATTTATAATCAATCTGATTAATATTCTGTCCAACTGAACATTTTATTTCCTCAAATCCCCAATGGACAAATCTCAAGATTTCCGAAAGGCTTTGGAGGGTGTGAGTGGGGAAGGCCCAAGGCCAATTATCACCAAGAAAAGTATTCAAAAGTCAGGGGCTATCTCCAGGATGAGCTCAATTCCAGCTCCTGAACTATTTGACCTTAGACAAATTGTTGAACTCTTTCTGAGACCTTTTTACCTAAAATAAGTGTAATAATCCCTACCTGATAAAGCTCTTGTGAAAATTAAATGAGAATATCTGTAAATCACCCATAATACTTGCCTAACATGTAGCAGACTTTTAATAAATGGTACCAGCCATTAGTCTAAACACATGCCTGTATGAATGCCATGTCTCTAGCTACCATCTGAGCTCTCCTATCTTTAGAGTGGGGATGACTGGTTCTTCCTCATGACACACATACCAAATTTATGCAAAAAGCAGGCTCCTATAATTTAATCCATAATATTTCAATTTCACACTTCTAAGCAATTACTTAAAATTCCTCACAAGTTAGCTTGCACAACTATTCAGTCAACCCAATTAAATATGGACATCTGAGGCCACAGCAGGAGGATCACTGGAGGCTAGGAGTTCAAGATCAGCCTGGTCAACACAGCAAGACCCTGTCTCTACAAAAAGTTAAAAACAAAAAACCAGCCAGGTGTAGCAGCATGTGCCTATAATCCCAGCTACTTGGGAGGCTGAGGCGAAGGGATCACCTGCGTCCAGGAAGGCTGCTGTGAGCTATGATCATCCCACTGCACTCAGCGTGGGTGACAGCATGAGACCCTGTCTCAAAAACAAACAAAAAACAGATGGACACCTAACCACTGATTTTATGCAATACAGAAACCTGCCCAAGATCAGATGTATAACTCACAAATGGGAAAAAAAGTTTAAACACCAATATTTTAATGCCCCAATGACATTTTCTCTGCTTCAAAGTGACCATATACATATTTATAAAAGGGTGTCCAAAATAAGGCAGACACATACTCTTGGCGGTGATGGGCTCGGTGTTGGGCTTTTGGCCTTTTTGACCGGTACAGCTGGTGACCAGTTTGTAGACGGTGACTGAGACTGGACGGGGGATGGAGGTGCTGGGGGCTTTTTAGCTGCTGGCTCAGGAGACCCGGAGACAGATCGGGAGGATGAGACCCTTCTTACAGACTGTGGGCTTGGGGAAGCAGCCCTAGACAAAAAGGAAAAAACATTCAGCATTGAGAACAGCCATCTCTCTTCACATGAGAAAACCACCAACTACACTGTACAACCAGGTTATGAATTTCAAATATACCACTTAGATTGCTGGTTGATTCAACTAACATATATCCAATTTACATTACCTATGTTTCCCAGAGGGTGGCTAAAGCCCCATAATCCTCTATCTATTCTGTTAATGATGCTTCTTATGTAAGATTAGTAATGTCAGTTCCTTACATCACACACAAGAAATGTTCAATGTCTTACTCAAGTTTAGTTTTGGAAGCATACCCCTCAAAAACAAATTAATAACTGCTAAGAACCAAGTAAAAGCCTGTGGCATTTAACTTATACCACAGAAACTATCCCAAAAAATGGAATAAGATCTGTAAATAGTACCTCAAGTTTGACTTAAAAGCTCATATTCATAACTTATTCCTTTTATATGGGGGTGGGGGGAAGCTTCCAAATATAAACAGCTATGTAAGTATTCCTAATGGAAAAGCATAAAATATTTTTACTTTTTTATCTTTTTAGGTTCCGGAGTCCTGGAGACTCTCCTAATGGGCCTAGTACTTGGAGACGGGGACTGCCTTCTTTGGGGTGATGACGACGCTCCTCTTCGAACGGGTGGAGGACTTGAGGAGGTCTGAGGAGCTCGAGGCCGTGGTGAGGGCGAATGCCGTTTGTTTGGTTGTGGTGATCGGGCCTCCCGGGTAGAGCGGCTTGGGGAAGACCCTTTCCTATGCTTGGATGATAATGAAGGTGAACGTCTCTTGGTGACTGGGGAGCTTCTTTGTTTGGGAGGTGGAGAATGGGAGACCCGCCGCTTTGGTGGTGGAGATGGTGATGCTCTTCGTTTAGGAGGGGGAGGAGGTGAAGCCGTTCTTCTCTTTGGAGGTGGAGAAGGAGAGTATCTCCTCTGTATTGGAGGAGAGTATCTTCTAGGAGAAGGTGAGCGCCGACGTGGGGGAGGAGAAGGAGTCCTAGGAAAAAGATACATAATTAAGCTGAAAGGCTCAACAAAATACAGAAACAGGATGAAAAGTAATCAGTAGGTTTGGCTATACTGTAGTTAGCACTAGGCAAAGGGAATATATTTATAAGTGAACATGCTATCTTTATATTCTCACTTAAATATCAATAAAACTTGTTTATCTCAGCTGACTGCAACACAGGACACTGTCTGCAGGACTAAGTACAAAAAAGAAAAAAAGACATTTTGATTAACAAAAATTTGCAATTTTCAGAAGATGTGAATTTGTCAATCTTTTAACATCTATACAAAATTAACGTTTTTTGAAAACAGAATCTTGCACTGTATTAACTGAACATCAGTTATTATATAATAACCAAGTAACTGTATTAGCAAAACTCTATTATGGTCACCTTAGGAAGTCTGCACTTTAAAGAGGTCTCCTATGTGGTATCCTCTCTGAATGAGCATTTGGACACTGTATGAATAATTAAGAGTTCACTGCACAAGCCTTAAAGACACTTCTACCTCCCCTCAAAGAGACTGTTCCATTTTCTGTCTCAAAAGGCCACTTTTCAGGCCAAACTGCCTAATTTCCTCTTGGATATTGCAGACTTTTAGATCAAAGTAAATTCCTGCCCAGAGTTAGCTTTACAATAGGCCATATATTTTGGCAATGTGGTAGGGCACAATTTCATCACTGTATCTGGGTAATTACTTAGTAATTCTCAACTCCCATTTCCTCACCTGAAAAATGCAAACAATACCAACTATCAAGCAAGGTCGCTTTGAAGACTAGTAGTAAAGCATATAAAGCACCTAGCACTTTGCCTGGCACTTAACAGGCATTCAAGAGTGGCAGCCAGGCTGGGCAGAGTGGGTCACACCTGTCATCCCAGCACTCTGGGAGGCTGAGGCGGATCACCTGAGGTCAGGAGTTTGAGACCAGCCTGGCTACCATGGTGAAACCTCATCTCTACAAAAAATACAAAAACTGGCTGGGTGTGGTGGCAGATGCCTGTAATCCCAGCTACTCGGGAGGCTGAGGCAGGAGAATCGCTTGAACCCAGGAGGCGGAGGTTACAGTGAGCTGAGATCGGCCACTGCACTCCAGCCTGGGTGACAGAGTGAGACTGTCTCAAAAAAAAAAAAAAAAAAAAAAAAAAAGAGTGGCAGCATGTCATTACATTGCTTGGCAACATATCCGAGCAATGACATTAAAACATTTTCCCCTAATTTTCACTTTAAAATAGTTGTAAAGAAGAGCTACAAAAATAGGAGATTTGCCACTTCACCATGCTAATATTTTATATAACCATAAGAAAATTAGCAAAACTGTAAAATGAACCTCAGTGATAACTTAGTATTACTAAAATAGCAAACAACCCAGTTTTCCACTACTGAATGTCCCTTTTCTGTTCCAGGACTTAATCAATGTTCCTTTTCTGCTCCAGGACCCTACATCTCTTTAGTTCTTGCCAATCTGTGACTGTTTCTGTCATTGTCTTTCATGACTGACACTTTTGAATACTGGTCAGGTATTCTGTAAAATGACTTTCAATTTGGGTTTGTCTGATTATTTCCTAATAATAAGACTGAGGTTTGGCATAATTGGTAAGCATACTACAGAGGTATCCAGGAAATACACGATGCCAATGTTTTATTGAGGATGTTATCTTTGATTATTTAGGTAAGAGATATCTGCCAGTATCCTCTAAATTTTCTCTTTACAATTACTAGTCAATACCATCTTTTAATGTATTAACATCTTTATGACAATACATGATTCACCTGCTATAAAATCTACCTATTTACCCATTTAAGGTCCATTTAAAGTATACAATTAAATGATTTTAGTATATTCATATAGTTCTGCAGCTATTACCATCCCCATGTCCACCCCACCCTAATCTGTTTTCTATCTCTATAGATTTGTGTATTCTAGACTTTTCATATAGATGGAATCATACGTGTTCTTTTATGACTGGCTGAACAATGCTAGTCTGCTTACTCTAATAAGATATAATCATCAGAAAGATTCAGAGATCCTTTTGTAGTTCATAAGCATGATGATTGGGTTTTCACATGCACACATGAGCTGTGCCTCTCTCCAACCTTGTTAGGAAGTGAGCACCATTACTCATCTGATGTTATCAGGGGCGGGGGGAGTTGGGGAGATGCTCCAGTTAGCATATTTGACAAAGTACCTTCGTCGTGGTGGTGGTGTGGGAGTCCTGCGCCGTCGAGGAGGAGGGGCGGGAGAAGGAGACCGTCGCCTTCTGGTGGGTGGTGGGGATGGACTTCTCCTCCGTCTACCACTAAACCAAGAAGAATTATAGTTAATTTTTTTTCTTTTTTTTGTGTGTGTGTGATGGCGTCTCACTCTGTCGCCCAGGCTGGAGTGCAATGGCATGATCTTGGCTCACTGCAACCTCCGCCTCCCAGGTTCAAGCAATTCTCCCCCCTCAGCCTCCTGAGTAGTTGGGATTACAGGCACCCATAATCATGCCTGGCTAATTTTTTAAAATATTTTTGTAGAGACGGAGTTTCACCATGTTGGCCAAGCTGGTCTTGAACTCCTGACCTCAGGTGATCTGCCTGCCTCAGCCTCCCAAAGTGCTGGGATTATAGGTGTGAGTTACCACGCCTGGCCTATATAGTTAACTTTGAGTCAGTGGCATTTATAGTTAAGTGACCCAGAAGACACGGTTTCAATTATCATTAACCCCAAGGGCAGCAATGGTTACTAAGTTTCAGAACAGTGTTTTTCAAACTACAGGTCAAGATCATCAGTCAAGACCCTGGGTGGCAGCATTAAAAAACTTAATAAAACCAGAGTGTTTTACTTGTGACAAGGGTAAGTACCGTTTTGTGAAATTTTTCTTTTACTCTGGATCACAATACCAAACATTCTTGACATGACACAGAGTGAAAAAGTTCGGCAACAGCACATAAGAGCACTGCTTTTTATTGGGGATGCACATTAGAACCACCTAGGAAGCTTATGTGAGATTTATGCCTACCAGGTCTGGGCTAAGGTCCAGCCAGGTGTTTTTGGGAAAGGCTCTCCAGGTGATTCTAATTCCTTATTAGGAATCAACTGCTTTAGAGACTCTAATACAGAAATTCAAAAATGCCAATAGTCACAAGTGGCTTAAGACCCAAGTCTGGACGTCTCTGCTCCAAGCTCTTAATTTTTTTTGCCCAGGACAGGACTCATGCTTCCTGTGAATCTGGAATTATGTTTTGTCTTGGTTCCCGTTAGAAACTAAGAAATCTCTGTTAACTGAACAGACAAAATCCTAAAAGTCACCACTAAATTTTTCAACTTAAATCTGCTTATGCTTTGTGGGGACTAAGACCTCACACTAAATACATATAAAATATTCAAAACCAGGCTCTATCTCCCCTTCTTTTCTTGAGACAGAGTCTCGCTCTGTTGCCCAGGCTGGAGTGCACTGGCACGATCTGGGCTTACTGCAAGCTCTGCCTCCTGGGTTCACACCATTCTCCTGCCTCAGCCTCCCAAGTAGCTGGGACTACAGGTGCCCGCCACCACACCCAGCTAATTTTTTGTATTTTTAGTAGAGACGGGGTTTCACCGTGTTAGCCAGGATGGTCTTTATCTCCTGACCTCGTGAACCACCCGCCTCGGCCTCCCAAAGTGCTGGGATTACAGGCGTGAGCCTCTTTTTTTTTTTTTGAGACGGAGTTTTGCTCTTGTTGCCCAGGCTGGAGTGCAATGGCACGATATCGGCTCACTGCAACCTCCACCTCCCGGATTCAAACGATTCTCCTGCCTGAGCCTCCCGAGTAGCTGGGACTACAGGCATGCGCCACCACGCCCGGCTAACTTTTTTGTATTTTTAGTAGAGATGGGGTTCCGTCGTGTTGGCCAGGCTGGTCTCAAACGTCTGATCTCAGGTGATCCACCCAACTCAGCCTCCCAAAGTGCTGAGATTACAGGCATGAGCCACCGCACCCGGCCTCTATCTCCCCTTCTAAAATACGATACTGAAGCATAATTCCAAATAATCCTTCCTCCATCTCTAAATCCTAGGAACCTGATGGCAATTTCTAATGGCATTAAACTTGAAGCTGCTGGTATATAACTTAAAATACTTTTTAAATGACGAGAAACAAAACAAAAACATCCTGGAGTAGAGCAATAAACATTAGTGTTGATTTTACTGCTGTGAGGAATCTCTTTCCAGAACAGAAAGTAGTGCCATAATTTGGTGGGGGGGTGGGGAGGGAAGGGGAGATGAAAGAGAAGAAATTGCACCACTAATCTAACTCTGTAAAGCAATTGTTTAGTTGCTGTGCTAGCAACTTCACAAAAGCCAGAGATAATTATAGCTGGGAAAGGAATGCTTTAGCAGCCAAACTAATCTTTTTTAGGTTTTTATCTTTTATTATCATGGAGCAGTTTCCTCCACAGTGTAAATACCCCGTGCTTTGCTCCATCACAAACACTGCTCACTGGTTCCTTTCCAAGAAAACACTCTTATTGATGAGATTACCTAAAACAACACAGCTTCAAAAACTGAGCTACAAAAAGGACAGTGGGATAGCTTCAGCAAGGATAAATACTTCAAAATTCAGTGGCAGCTAAGGCCCCAAAAGCAGAAAGCTGGTTAAGACAGACTAGTGTAATGCCAAATGTATAGGTCTAAGATCCAACTTTGTCACTTTGCGGCCCTAAGAAACTACCCCATCAGGGCCGCTATCTTCTCACTTATGAGAGTAAGGCCTGAATTAGGGATTTGGCTCTAAAATTTTACAGTTTTATGGTCACAGTGACACTAATAATCAAAAGTTTCAATAAAGATATGCAGGTCGGGCCCAGTGGCTCATGCCTGTAATCCCAACACTTTGGGAGGCCGAGGCGGGTGGATCACCTGACTTTAGGAGTTTGAGACCATCCTGGCCAACATGGCGAAATCCCTTCTCTACTAAAAATACAAAAATTAGCTGGGCATGGTGGCATGTGCCTGTAGTCCCAGCTACTCAGGAGGCTGAGGCAGGAGAATCGTTTGAACCTACAAAGCAGAAGTTGCAGTGAGCCGAGGTCGCACCAATGCACCCCAGCCTGGGTGATAGAGCCAGACTCCATCTCAACAAAAAAAAAAAAAAAAAAAAAAAGAGAGCTATGCAACCCACCTTTCTAGTACTGGAAAGACTGAACAGGGCCAAAGCCTTCCATTCGCTTTTATTTATTATTATTATTATTATTATTATTATTATTATTATTTTTGAGAGGGAATTTAGCTCTGTTGCCAGGCTGGAGTACAGTGGCGTGATCTCAGCTCATTGCAACCTCCGCCTCCTGGGTTCAAGCGATTCTCCTGCCTCAGCCTTCCGAGTAGCTGGGATTACAGGCACGCGCCAACACTCCCAGCTAATTTTTGTATTTTTAGTAGAAATGGGGTTTCACCATGTTGGCCAGGATGGTCTTGATCTCCTGACCTCGTGATCCTCTCACTTTTAATATTTCTAAAGTTTCTCCCTAGTTTTTCCTTGCCCTCCCTAATGTCACCACAAATACAAAGTCCCTCCCCCCAAATCTAAGGAGCAATAATCCTATCTCTGGAAAAGTATCCAGATACTGTTAAAAATCTGCGTGCTGCTTGATGTAAGTTGATGCAAATTATCACAAAAGAGCACAACCAGATATTAAAAATCTAAGTTCAAATAAGGGTCTAAACCAAATAGCTCATGTATAATTCTCCCTATCATTAATCTAATGTGTTAAAAAAAATACTCAAACCAAAACAACTTAGGATCTGCACATTCACAGCCACAGCCACCATATATTTAAGAATGAGATGAGGTCACCTAAATAGGAAATTAAGTCACTACAATTTTTGACATGTAACCCTAATTTACAAAGTAGTGTCTAACCAACCTTTTAGTCACTGGCGATTGCCATCGCTTTCCCATCTGCATCCTGAGAGCAGTGGAGAAAAACAAATGTCAAGAATTCCATTCACTAAATTATTTACTTGGGTGGATTAAGTACCATTAATGGAGACATTTTTAAATATTCAAAGATGTTCAGGAGTTACTGCTATAATAGTTTGGTTTATTTTTCTAATCATGCACACATATATGACATGGTGGTTTAAAATTTACCAATTCTAAATTAATTATTAATAACCACCAATAAAGCAAAAACAAAACAAAACAGAAACCCTAAAAAGCAAACAAAAATCCAACCACATCCAAATACTTGAAGGAGTTAACCAAATTCTCAAATAATCCCAAGTTATCAAATTTCATCACAATTACAGAACATCAGTGAACATCACTGAAGCAAAGATGTTACCGAGGGGAAGTCTCTTTTTGGCGCTTTCGTGGTGATGGAGAAGCACTCCGGGAAGGGGAATGTCTCCGCCGCCTGCCAACCTCACCATTCTTCACATGGGATCTCTTGGGTCGTTCATCTTCTGAGGAGGAGGAGGAGCCAGAGTCTATAATTACAAAATTAAAAAAATATTACATTAGGTTTGTGCTTGAATCTGTCCAAGTTTTCTGAAATCTAGGTGGATGGAGTGTTCACTAGGGTAAGCAAGCATGTATACAGGCCATCAGTTCTGAACAGAATCATTATCAATATATGATCAATGATTTCAAAGCCAAGCATATTATTTAAATAAGACATAGAAATAATTTCCACAGTGTAATCCAATCAAGATGGCATACTCTAAGAAGTTTGAGCTGGGCACGGTGGCTCACCCCTTTAACCCCAGCATTTGGGAGGCCAAGGCAGAAAGACCGCTTGTGCCTCCTGAGTAGCTGGGATTACAGGTCTGCACCATCATGCCTAACTAATCTTTGTATTTTTAGTTGAGACAAGGTTTTGCCATGTTGGCCAGGCTGGTCTCGAACTCCTGACCTCAAGTGATCCATCTACCTCAGCCTCCCAAAGTGTTGGGGTTACAGGTTAAGCCACCATACCCAGCCTGGTATATTCTTACAATAAAAAATGCAAATAGTAAAATAATAGGGTAGATTATTATTATTTTTTTTGTGGAAACAAAGCCTTGCTCTGTTGCCCAGGCTCCCAGGCTGGAGTGCAGTGGCGCGATCTCAGCTCACTCACTGCAACCTCTGCCTCCTGGGTTCAAGGGATTCTCCTGCCTGGGCCTCCCAAGTAACTGGGATTACAGGTGTGCGCCACTATGCCCGGTTAATTTTTGTATTTTTCGTAGAGATGGGGTTTCGCCCTATTGGCCAGGATGGTCTTGAACTCCTGATCTCGGCCTGCTCACCTCGGCCTCCCAAAGTGCTGGGACTACAGGTGTGAGCCACTGCGCCCAGTCTAGATTTTTAATAGGGAAAGATGTTCTAAATATACTGTTAAGTTAAAAAGTGAGGCAACATATCTACAGTTGAGCTTCTGTGGGGTTTTTTCTTTTCCTTTTTCTATATGCACAGAAAATTTCTGAATAAAAGCTTTAGGAGGTTGGAAAAAGAATGATACGTTTCCAATTTTATACTTCTGTTTTCTGTTTCACTATTGTATCCTAGGGACCTATTACTTTTATAACAATGTAACAGAAAATTAAATTTTGCAAAAGGACTTAAAACCAAAAAAAGAAACAATCCTGCCTCCTCAGACAGATTTCTATGTAGGCAAGTAAGTACTCATGCTGCACACACAGATGTTTATATACCAAGTATTTTTTAATAGGAAATACAGGTAGAAAAAAAACTTTCATCACCATCCATACCAGATGAAGACTGCTGGTTTTGTCGTCTGTATTGGCGTCTCTGCTGCACAGAATCTGCTGCAGCCATTTTGCCACCTTTATCTTCTTCTGAAAGATGGATGCATTTAGAAAGTGTTTCTTTAGTTAAGCATATAGAAAATTTGCAATTTGAATAGGAAAATAGTCTCTCAAACCTTCATTTGGTTGGATCAAAAATACAACTACTATATATTTTTTTTAAAAAGAGTTTAAAATGCCAATTCACAGGCTGATTTAGACTATCTTCACCAAATATAATAAAATTTATTTAGGCATTTACTACAGGTCAGGCTGGTGCCAAGCATTTTACAAGCAGATACAGTTAACTGTCAAAAACCTCTACTGTCCCTATTTCGGAGATGAAAGAAGAAAGGCTCAGATAAGTTAATTAAAACAGAAACAGTTAAATTCTGGAATGGGGGATTCCACCCAAGTCTGTCTGCCTTCAGAGTCTTAGCTCTTACCCTATACTTAATCTTCAAGCAGAAGGGGATGACCAAATGTGCAAAAAATCAAAATCAGCTTTAAGAAAAACAAAAACAAACAAACCAAAATCACAAAAAAAAACAACAAACTTACCCGATTCAGATAACTCTACTTTTCTAGGCTTCGGTGCTGGTGAAGGGGATTCTCTTTTCTCAGTACCTTTATGTTTTGTCACTAAAAAAGAATAAGAGTGGAAAAAAGCTTACGTACAAAAAAAGGTCTATACAAGATGCTTTTCTTTTAATTTTTAAAAATTTATTATTATTTTTAAATAAAGATGGGGTCTCACTATATTAGTCAGGCTAGTCTTGAACTCCTGACCTCAAGCAATCCTCCTGCCTGAGCCTCCCAAAGTGTTGGGATTACAGGCACAAGCCACTGTGCCCAGCCAAGATGCCTTCCTGCTATTACAAAAATGGGTGTGACTACTCTCAAAAAGAATTTATGAAGACTTAAAAAATTCCTGTAAGACCTTGTTGTCATATCTGAACATTATCTGAAGTGAGACAAGAATTTTTAAATGTTTAATGAAAAGCCTCAAAAAGTTCTACAATGATTTTCAAATCTTGAGATTCTCCCAAGAAAACCAACAGTTAAAGGAAATTGGGAGCTGCTACTGAGTAGAACAAGCTCAGTAAAGTAAACCTCTGTGTGCTACACGAGCTCCACAATCTAAAATACACACCCTCCACACCCACACTCACTCCCTCACACTCAACTTCAGAGACTTCATCAACATGAAAGCTTTTAAGCAACCACAATAGGTGGGTTCAGAAAAGTAAAAGATGATAAATGATTAAGAAATAAGATCTCATGAAACTTTCACAAAGATATTTGGTCTAGAAAAGAAGAATGACTGCCCAACAGGTTAAAGGTTCTTTATGTAGAGCATAATCTTCACAATAGCACAGGGGATTTAAACTACCCATGAAAAAAAGCAGACCGCCACAAATAGTAAAAATGATTAAATACAAAGACGAGGATTCTTTCCAAAGAGCTAGAAAGAAAAAAAGGCATTTCTATACCTCAAGTAGTAGGAGAGCAGTGGGTATCCTATGAATTATCCAATTGTCTTTTACCAATAACATAGAAATATGGTAACTACCTTTTGTAAGCCTGCTGTATTAGACACACTATTAACACAGTAGTATCACATCCCTTTCTCCCTGTTCCATTTCACAAGAGAGGAAACCTGAGGCTTAAAAAGAAGCAACTTCACCTCAGTCACAAAGACAATTTAAGTGAGCTAAGATGTGAATCCAAGAATCTATTTTTAGGCCATGGGTTTTAATCTCAACAACTAACTCTGCTTATAGTATCTATCCATTGCTACAACTAAAATCATAAGTATATTCACATATAAACATATATATACCATAAATTAACCTAAAACACCACTTGAGAACATCCCAATAAGAAATAAACCTACAGACAATTTGATCCTCTCAGGATCCTGATACCTGTTTTGTGTGATTAAAGCAATTGCCATGGAATGTTTGACTCAGAATACAGATACATCTCATTTAACAGACACTCACATTCAGAATTCTGTAATGGTTTATTCCAAGGGGCAGTAATTAGAGAACCAGTGATCTAACACAGTAATCGCATCTTTGCTAAAGAAGTCAAAATGAAGAATTTACCAGTATGCCTTTTCAATGAACAGACTTTTCCCTTTCTCTCTCTTTTTTTTTTTTTGAGACAGAGTTTCGCTCTTGTTGCCTAGGCTGGAGTGCAATGGCATGATCTCGGCTCACTGCAACCTCCGCCTCCCGGGTTCAAGGGATTCTCCTGCCTCAGCCACCTGAGTAGCTGGGATTACAGGCATGCGCCAACCACGCCCGGCTAATTTTGTATTTTTAGTAGAGACAGGGTTTCTCCATGTTGGTCACGCGGGTCTTGAACTCCCAACCTCGGGTGATCCACCCACCTCTGCCTCCCAAAGTGCTGGGATTACAGGCGTGAGCCACCGCGCCCAGCGACTTTTCTTAAAATTTCTACGTAATAAGCCATTTGGACAAATCACTGGATTGGGTAAAGAATGGCTATCACTCAATTAGATATCAGGAATCATGACAGTGCAAATAGCAAACTATACTTAATACTTATATTTTAACAAATTCAAAGAAATAAAAATATTTTAAAATTGTTAACTATTTGAGGCTCTTTTTCTAAGTCCATATTCTCTATTTTTAAGTGTTACTTAATCCTCAATTTCTGCAAAGATATTATGGGCACGTCGTTAAAAAGTGCATGTCCAAGTTACCACACCTTAGAGAACTGGGTTCCCAAGCTTGCTTTGGAAGCTGATTGTTTGGATACATTTTCCCCTAAGAAACATTAAAAATGTGGTTATGCTTACAAGATAGTTGGCAAAAGCCTACTCATTATATAATACAAGTGAATTTAACATTATTTCCATTCTCCCCCAGTGGAAATACACATCTGGAGTTGCATCCTGATTCAATTTCTCACTAATTACTCAGCTAAAGTAGTCTTTATTAATACATTTGTATTAGCTGGGTGTGGTGGCATGTGCCTGTAATCCCAGCTACTCGTGAGGCTGAGGCAGGAGAATTGCTTGAACCTGGGAGGCAGAGGTTGCAGTGAGCCAAGACTGCACCATTGCACTCCAGCCTGGGCGACAGAGCAAGACTCCGTCTCCAAAAAAAAAAAAAAAAAAATTTATACCATCAAACAACTATCATTTATATACTCCTACTCTGGTTTAATACAATTGAATCACAGCATTATTAATATTATAACAGCACTTCAGATTTCTATTTTTCTAGATGAGACTTTACACCATTTACTTTATGTTAATGTTGTTTTAAGTATTCAAGGGACAAAATCATTCTAGCATGAAGTCAGAAATCGTAGAAGGCAACTTTAAAACCACAATTTTAAATTTACTCCAACAGTCCTATTAATTATTAATCTTAGACCTGCCCAAAAGATCACTTATAAAGATAAGTTACTCTGTGACCAACAATAGTAAAATAACCATTTAAGTGTCCAGATAGCACAATGTATGTGGCCAAGCTAATCTAAATAAATCAAAATTACCACACCGTCACCACCAGTATTGATCATGTTAACATACTTCGCTGACTGTGCCACTGATTTCAAGCACTATTTTATGTACTAAGATAATGCCAATTTATGAAATGTCAGTAATTACAAATGTTTCCCCTAAGATCCCTTCAGATGACTGTATACTGTATTCCAAATAATTAACCTGTAAGTTCCCCAAAACACTTTTCCTGCCTCCCTCCCACTCCATTTGCCCACTATCAAGAGCAGAGCCCTAAAGCCCTGATTAGTGGCCACTAGGGAAAATATTAACTGTAATATCTATTACATTTCAATGATGTTACTGTTCTAAGCAGCAGAAACTGCAAAGTAATTTCTGAAATCATACTACCAGATAGAGAAGCTAAAGAATTTCAACCCTGCCCTCCATTTCTCACCTTTAGCAATCAAAGAAGAGTTCTGGGGTAGGA
Source organism: Homo sapiens (assembly GCF_000001405.40). Classification (NCBI taxonomy): domain Eukaryota; kingdom Metazoa; phylum Chordata; class Mammalia; order Primates; family Hominidae; genus Homo; species Homo sapiens. The sequence continues at coordinate 24,657,389 of NC_000001.11, read as the reverse complement.
AAGTTGTGAAAAGTATTCACTATTTAACTGGGAATGACAACTCAAGTTTTATTCCTAGTTGGTTGACCTTGACCAAGTCAACTAACCTGAAAATCTGTTTCTTGATGACAACTGTTAAGGTCTTTTCTAGCTCTGAAATTTCATCACAGAGGGCTGGGATCAGTTTAATATAAAAGGTTGTCTGGGCCGGGTGTGGTGGCTCACACTTGTAATCCCAGGGGTTGGAGGCTGCAGTGAGCTATGACTGGGCCACTGCACTCCAGCCCGAGTGACAGAGTGAGATGCTGGCTCTATTTAGCGGGGTGGTGGGGAGAGGTTATTTCCAAGTAGGTCAAACCAATATTCAGCTCCAGTGGTCACAGGGGAGACTGACTACACTGCCTGTAGTGCCTCTCTTTGGGTAGGTTGTTTGAACACGGAAGCCCTGTCCCAAAACCCACAGAAATACTTATTTTCACCATGGCTTACTTCTTTCCTATGTACATATCCACTCTTGTCTTGTTTGCAAAAAGTATATGCCAAAACACAAGAAATTAGCATCTGTGCAGATGCTTTTTAAAAGTACCTAATAATTCTTAACAATCAACCTATTTTAACAAGGATTGGTCCCTCTGTTCAGGTACTTTTGCAACTCTTAGGCTATATGATATAAATAGAAAAAAATCATCACTTGATGTGTTTTTGCAAAGTAACAGGTAAAAACACTTGTTTTTTTCCCTGGAGAGCTTTGTGGCTCCAGACAAAGAATAAATATTCAGAAGTACAAACTTTACAGGAAAAGACAAAATAGGCCAGGGCCATGGGCATCAGATTTGGACATGGTAACTGAAAATGGACTGAAATTTTCCCAATGCTGAAAAGCAGTATGGTACATGAGGTTATGAAAACAGTGATCCCGAAGCCCCTCTCTCAAACTGAGGACTGAACCTGGAACAGTTACAGGCTTCTCTACTTTCACTAGCTGCTTCTCTAAGGGGCCAACAAAAGTGGCCATGTCTTATTTAATGAACCTATCACTACAATAAAAATGTCACAATTCAGAAAACATTACTTTTTACAGACTATCATAATCTGCTGGTCACCCTTTCACTCTGTCAGCTTATCTATGCCTCATTGTCACAGATACAAAAAAGGAAAGCAAAATTTGCCTTTCTAGGTATCACCACATTGCAGCCTTGGGGAGTGGGGAGATAAGGCAACAGGGTGAATAATTAGCAATGCTGGTCTCATCAAGCTCATTAAAATGTATAATGAAAATTTTGCCCATCCCCATTTCTTTGTTTCTAACCTGAAATTTTTTCTCTCTCTTTTTTTAAGAGTCAGGATCTCGCTATGGGGCTGAGGCCAGCCTTGAACTTCTGGGATCAAGTGATCTTCCTGCCTTAGCCTTCTGAGTAGCTGGGACCACAGGCTCATGCCACCACACCTGGCTCTAACCTGAAATTTTCAATATGATCATAATAACCCCAGCGTGTGTTAACCTACAGATTGCTCCTTAAAACTCAATTGCTTTAGCAGCTTTTAAGATCCTCCCCATCCCTTACTACTCACCTTTTAGGCTGTATATCATTCCAGCCCTAAGCTCCAGAGAGCCTGGTTCAAATGGACACTACAGTTTTTTCCATGCGTATTTAATGCTCACAGAACAAACCCCAATAGACCACAACCTTCACTCAGACTAACACAGCATTCTACTTGCCTGGCAGGTTCACAGATCATAAATTCCTCAGAAATCAATCTGCAGAATAAAGCAAGGACAACACTCAGAAGAACCCTGCCTAGAACCTAAATTAAAAAAACAAATCAGCTTTTAAGAGGACACCATGTCCTTTGCTTGGGAGCGCAATGCGACCAAGAAAGAACTAAAAGAGAATATGAAGTCCTCTTATTTAAGATATCAAACCAAAAATCTTCAGGAGAAAAAAAAGTTAACTGGTCTCATAGTAATAAAATGATCCCTTATCATGCCAACGCAAACTTTGATATGTTACCCCAACTCAAACAGCCCACGGCTGGTAAAAGATTTCTCCACCTGCGCAATGCCACAGGGCATTGCTAAAAACAAAACCCTTTTACACATAAAAAAGCCCCAAGATTTTAAAGCAGGAAAGAGGTAGGCTTATAAGTAAACCTACAGAGAGTATTAGATACAAATATTATCTAGCTATTTCATACTTTGAGAGTGAGCAGGGGGCAATAACTGACTACGCTTTGTAGCCAAAGAAAGAGAGACCATGTTTCATATGTGTTTGATTTTTACCTTTACCTGAAGTTCTCCCTGGAGACACAGAAACACGACTTTTTCTTGTACGGTTTGACTGCTGGGGTGTAGGGGAATGCCGAGTTTTGGGTGGTGGAGTTGCAGGAGGTGATGGCCTGTGCCTTCGCCTTGGAGGACTTGCTGAAGGAGATAACCTACGAGTTTTCCGAGGGGGGCTGGATGTCCTCTTGGGAGGCTTCTTTGGTGGTGACCGTGAACGAGATGAAGAGGATGATGAGCTACTCCCAGACAAGGATGCTGACGAACGTCTTCTTCTGTGGAATAAAGTATTCATATTCACTAATTGCACACTTATAAAGAACGGCCTTACAGGTATGAACAGTTTACACAAAAATACAGCTATTTTAATCCGACTTTTGAGTTTATGTAGCTAAGCACATAAATGAGTCCAAAAGAATGGGGGAAAAAACCATAACCTAGGCCAGGAAACAGCTAGTTCTGAGATTAATATAAACAACTTAATCTGATAAATACTTCTGTCTGTGTTCTCTCTCCAGTTATAAAACTTGTCAGGTTGAATGCTATAATAAAATAACTAACTAGTCCTTCTGCCTTAGGAATGGTATTGGTGTTTTGGAGTTTGCATATAAAATTTGGGGGCAAGGTATTTTCCATTTAATAACACAATGTTGAGAAACCTTTAGGTTGCATTTTTAAAAAAGATGTGCAAAACTAAGAATTCATTTAGCTACATAAACTTAGAAGCAGGGGCCTCTCGAATTCTGCGGCAAAATTTGTGTTAAGTTCTGTTGCAATTATGTGTACCTGCAGAATTCACCTTTGGCGGAAGAATTCCTGAGAACCTGAAAAAAAGAAACCCTACCTTAAGTGTGAGATAAAAACTGGCTGAAAGGGAATCTTAAACAATCTGTAAAATATTGACTGCTAAATGGCTGAGTAAGCACAATTTAAACATGCTGTTTGCAAAACTCCAGTATAAGAAATAGCTGTTTCCACTAATCTTGTACTAGGAAGCACCAGCATTACTTTTCTCCTAAAAGGGAATTAGAAAAGTGTGATGCCTGAAAATTGACTGACCATTTACCTCACTAATTTCCTCTATGAGCACAACACATCAATTCTTTGCAACAGTAGTAATAGTTCAATATATCTTAACAACCCCTCCCCAAAGAAAATTTTCAAAATATGGGACTCTGAAAAACCTGACTGCAGAAACAAAGTAACTTTACAGAGCTTACTTGATTTTTCCCCTCTTTATTTCCAAATTGATTTGGTTCCCTGAAAAGAACTTTAAAAGACTCAAACAAAAAATTCTGTCCAAAATAACTGGAAGCTTAATCATCGGCATTTCTTCCCAAGCCAGGTGAAACGTATTGCAAGAAGGCACAAAAACTGCTACCAGTGCACTAGGACTCTACTTTGGGTAGACTTAGCCACTAATTTTTGTTTAAAGTGATATATCCAAGATTCAAATATTTTATCTTATGCTCATTTTAGAATGATGTAAAAAAAAGAACACTGGTACAGTTGGGGTTTTGAAAAATAACCAGACACTAAACTAGTAATAGCAATTATATCTATGGAATATAGATATATTCCCCCACGGATTATGGAAAACTTCCAAGTTATGCTATTTCTGTCTGAATTACTTATAAGCTTCATTACTTCTATAATGAGAATTTTCTGAGAATTTTATAAAAAATTCATAAAAATACTTTTCTCAAAGTATAACAGCAAATGAATTACTTTAATACTGGTAAAAGGAGCTTACTGGCCCTATAATCAGCTACTTTTCAGAAGCCAGTTAAAAGCCAAAGAGAAGGTGGCCAATTCTCTTACTTAGTATGATTTCTTGGTGAAGTCTAGAAGGGTAAAAGTTAACAGAAAAGTATCAATAAGATGAATTTCTCGTTTACTTTCCAACACCAGACTAGACACTTTTCATAACACGAACAACTGCATTACACTTCAAATGAAACAGACTCTTTAGAAGACATTGTCTAATATCACCTATCAGTTCTTTCTTCCAGGGGACACTAATTTACAGATTATCCTAAAAGAAAGATTATCCAGAAGTGTCAAACACTTGACACTTCCAAATTTAAAAAATCTTACCGTCTTACTGGAGATCTACTCCTTCTATGCCTTGGTGGAGGAGGCATTCTTCTTGGCGGAGTTCTTCTTCGAGGAGATGGCCGCCTTCTTGGGCTTGGCCGCCTTCTAGGTGAATACGATCTGCCATAACAAAGAGAATTAGGTCCTGAATAAACCAGGAGTGAGGAATTTCTTGGCTTAGTTTTCTCAATGGCCACATCTAAAAAATAAATTTCAAAGATCAAAATTTTCCATTTATGTAGATTTTTATGGTACACAGAAAAGTGTCCTCAAATTCTCTGTGTACATTCAAAAAATATTTGTACTAAACATCTTCTACCACTTTGAAATTATTTATCTAATTGTACCCAGTAGAGTAGTATATAAAACCTAAGATCTTTGTTGATCTTAAAGCCACAACTCACCTTGATCGGGATCTATGGCGCCGTCTAGGTCGAGTGTGAGAAGGAGAGCGGGACCGCGTCCGGGATCTTGATTTGGAGCGTGACCGAGATCGTGGTCGGGTCTTCTCCTTCTCCTTTTCTTTTTTGGAATTTTTTTCCGGAGAAGGTTCTTTAGGCTCTGGTATAGGTTCAGGTTTGGGAACTTTCAGAATGTCACTGTGGAAACAAAAGCTTTTTTTTTTTTTTTTGCCTTCTTGTACTCAGCCTTCTAAATCATTACACAATGATGTAATAAAGTATTTCTAAAACTTTTCAAAATTCACAGACTTGTCTCTATCTCCAAAAGACACATAAGTATGTATGTACCTATCACTGAAACCCAGAGAGCAACTAATAATTCCAACCATGTACATTTTCTTTTCTTCTTCTGAGACAGGGTCTCACTCTTGTCACTCAGGCTGGAGTGTACTGGCATGATTTTGGCTCACTGCAGCTTCAACCTCCCAGGCTCAAGTGATCCTCCTGAGTAGCTGGGACTATAGGCATGTGCCAACCATGCCCGGCTAATTTGTGTGTGTGTGTGTACATATATATATATATATATATATATATATATATATTTTTAGTACAGATGGAGTTTCACCATGTTGCCCCAGGCTGCTCTCTAACTTGTGAGCTCAAGCGATCCACCCACCTCAGCCTCCCCAAGTGCCGAGATTACAGGCATGCACCCCCGCATCTGGCAACCACATACATTTCTTAAAAGTGCGAAGTTGTCCACAATACGTTGAGGAAAAAAAGCAAGTTACAATATATAAAATACCTGAAACAATACAACCAAAAGATAGTAATGGTCACCCTCTGGGGCATTTTCTTCTAATATACTCTCCTAAACAATTTCTTTTCAACAAACTAATTTTATAATTTAAAAAATCTAAAAGGAAAATAAGTAGTTTTATTTTAACTCAGATGTCATATTTGCAGTCACTATTAATCTAAAATTGTGATTATTTATAAATGAATTTTTATATACTTGCCTAGTAGAAGTAGCCTCTTGTACTGAAGGTTCTTTTACTTTCACTGAAGGTTCTGGGAGCTCTGGAGTTTTTTCCTTCTTTTCTGGAGCAGGGGAAGGACTCCGGCTCTTGGTTCTGTGACGGGGAGATCGAGAATGACTGCGCTTTCTCTCTCTCCTGACAGGGGAAGATCGTCTTCTAGGGGAAGGAGATCTGGATTTGCGTCTAGGATGAAAGTAATTTTTTTCAGGTTTTTAAATAACATGGATTGGAAGAGAGGAGTCAAAGGGAGAAGTGAGGATTAATCTTTAGTTACACTACTGTTTATATCTGAGATGTTTCCCTATGGAAATAAGACATGCTAACCTAATCTACTTGACAGGGAAGAGAAAGACAAGCAAATGAAAGATAACATTCTCGAGTATATCAGTTATAAGGGAGAAAAGCACTAACTTGGGACTCTAGACTTAGGTTCTTAATCATTCCCAGAGATCAAAAGACCAACTTTTCAGAGGCAAAGAGGATGCTTTAAAGCAAACAATGATAATCCTTGACAACAAATCAAACTCCCAAACATAAAACATTTAGATGCGGACAGATTACAATGGAGTTCATCAGGAAGAGCCTCAGTATGCCAGAAAAATGACTAATACCATTAAAGCAACATGTTCTTCAGAAAAGAGAAATATACATCAAACATCCAGAAGATAGCTTTTTTGCGAGAGGAGAAGCCCTCTTTCTTAACAGTAGCCTGCCTAACTCGAAGGGTTTTTCTCTTATTCACACAGAAGGAAAATGGCAGACATACTTCATCAATAGTCAAGTAGTTACCACCATGACAATTTGTGCTTAGCTCTATAAATATTACTTCCATAAGGAGATTTTAGTATCAAATATATAAATGAAAGGGACAAAGAAATTACCTCTTCTCTTTACTAATTCCAGCAGACATTTATGAAAGAAATAAGCAGAACCCTAAAAATAAAAAGCCTAATGGAGTTCTCACCTTTCACCACAAATATAGAAGCTGAGCCGTGGATTTAAAAATGTGAACCTAACAATAGTCTCACTGGAAGAAGAAAACAAATAAATGATCTGAAGTTTGGGTTCAGTACAACCATCTAAGAAAAGCAGAACAGGGAATTAGGTAAGTATTACATGAACGGCTAATGAGTACAGATTTCGAGTACAGATTTCTTTTTAGAAGAAAGGAAATGGAAAGAAAAAGTGAGTCAGAGTACATTTTTAAAAACCCAAATTAACTGTTATGAACTAAAGCAATATGGAAGAAAAAGTTTAAAGTTTTGATTTAGGAATTTAGAGTTGGATAATTTATGAACATCTGCGAGACACTCATGGCTAAATTATCTGTCTCAAACAAAATATGACAGATTTCTTTAGTCCAGAGGCAAGGCACAGGTCACCATGAAAACTGCATGATGGAACAAATTCCTTGAATAGCGCTGTTAGATTCCTTTTTAACTAAGGAAGTTTCTTAAGACCTAAAGTACCTGTAAAACATCAGTTATGCATCTATTGTATGATACCTTCTTGGGCTACGAGACCGCTCCCTTTTTTCTCTGCTGCTTTCTTTTTCTTCCTTATCTCTTTTATCTTTGTCTTCATCTTGCTTTTTCATAGATGCCAGTTTTTCTTGTTCAATCTGCAAAGACCAGGTTTTCAAAATACACATAGTTGAACATTTGAGAACAAACTGAAGACTACTTTCTACGTGTGTTAAACACCAATGCTATTATCATTTCATCGGCCTCTTCTTTTGAACCAGACCTGTTCTTTCTTCACCTACACTACAGATACGCATTAAGACTGGTATTATCGCCACTCATTTACAAATAAATATTCACTGAAAGTTAATCTCTAAGACCTGAACTAAAGAGATGTTTTCAAGCTTACTTCAAAAAAATAAAAATAAAAATAAAAAATAAAATAAAAAAGAAAATCACTTTCACATTGACCTTATTCTTTCTGGGAGTTCATCTGTATTGCCCATATTAAGAGTTTATGCTGGCTGGGCACGGTGGCTCACGTCTATAATCCCGCCAAGGGCGGGCAGATCACTTGAGGTCAGGAGTTCGAGACAAGTCTGGCCAACATGGCAAAATCCCGTCTGTACTAAAAATACAAAAATGAGTTGGATGTGGTGGTGTGCGCCTGTAATCCCAGCTACTCAGGAGACTGAGGCATGAGAATCGCTTGAACTCAGGAGGTGAAAGCTGCAGTGAGCAGAGACCACACCACTGCACTCTAGCCTGGGTGACAGACTGAAACTGTGTCTCAAAAAAACAACAAACCAAAAATCCTTATGCTTACCTTTCAGTGTTAAATTCAAATTTCTTTTAAGCTACATGCACTCACATATTAAGAATTTGTAAAAATCTAGCAAATCACTAGACTGGGAAAATGACATTCTAAACTCAATGTTTGGTTGGAGGGAGGAGCAGTGAACCAAAACTGAATGTTTAAATACAGTACAGCAAAGCAAAACTACATGAAGATCCTAGCTGAGTCATATACTACCTAAGGTGTCTCGGCAGCCTGGCCAATACTCTCAAATCGACATTACAGAAAAGAAAAGGTTATTACCTGTCTTTGTTTTATTTCTTCTTTCTTCAGTTCTAGGAAAGCAGAAGGGATTCCCGCGATGTTTTCTTGTGCACTTAGCAGCAGGGGCCACAGTTCTCCCATAAATTCTCGAGCATTTTTTCCATTCAAAAATCCAGTCAGGTTGATTTGCATCATTTTGGAGTCTGGATTCTGCAAAAAGACACGACAGGAAGAAAAACAGGTTACTTCAAAACCAACCAACCAACAAATCAACCAACCTAAAACTCATTTAAATTAGTATTTTTTAAGTCTACCATAGGGGCTTAGACATATATATAGTCCTTACTATTTTACAAATAGTCTTCCCTAGTAGCTTCTCAGCAATATAATCTCTAACAGATTACCAAATTCTCTCTCACTCTACCAAAAGCATCAGAGCAGCCTGTTAATCCTTTGTGGATTTCGTAAGTATTTTTAGACTCTGTGGCTGTTAGTGGGCCTTACATTTATTAACTTTAAAAACCATCATGAAACATCCACAAATTCTAGTATTTACTAACAAGAAAAGTATTTGCTTGCCTGGAAATTTTCCCCCAATGAGAAACGGAAAAAGTACATAAACTGCTCCCTAACACTACAGATAGCTTTGCATAAAATATCTATTGTCCAGTTATGAAAACTAACAAGTTATGCATGCAGTCTGTAACTTCTGAGGGCTAAGCTAAAGGCCTGAGTTTTATATAAGGAAAATCTATTATAACAATGCCTCAAATTCTCAACTGTCCACAAAGTGCTAAGAGGTCAAGATTTCTCAAAAATAATTGGGTTTTTAAATGCTAAATCCGTTGGTCAAGCAACAAGGTCTGTATAACAAGCACAGCTCAATAGCACAAAGCAAGTACAGATTCCAGGTGTCTTCAGTTTCTTCTTGGAACCTTGGGGGTTTGGAATCGCCAAGTCCCCTGTAGAGAAAGATGTTCCCTTGGCTTGCTTCCGACTCCCTACTGCAACTCAACCACCTTGAGTTTAATGTTATATCATTTATCTAAATTGCAAAAGACGAACAAGCAATAATGAGTACACAACCACAAAAAAAGAATTGTCTTAAAAAGTTCTAAACTTTAATCTCATGCTCACTACAAGGGGAATACTACCAGATACTTAGGTTTTTAAAATGCACTAAAATACACATCAGTAAAGCATTTCTCCAATAAAATCTATCTTCAATCATCATTTAAAAAACTTTCTCCCCTGTTCCTGGTTTTCTAAGATGCATATACTTTATAGAAAGTGCATTCTTAAAATTAGTCTTTAAAAATATTCAAAACAAAATACAAACACCAAATTATTTTAAAACTAGAAATACCTTATCAGTTGAAATGCCAACTGTTCTGTCAAAACATAGGGTGAACTCTTTGGGGGAAATGATTAATGTAAAAGTAAATTCACATTGGTATATATGCAAAAAGGTCATATGGTACATATCTTAACTGTCCTTTGGGTTGCTGTGGCAAAACAGAAACTGTCTTACAATAAGAATGTTCTTAAACATCAGTTATATCATCATATTATCTCATGTATAAAGGAACAATTATATGCTGCCAATTTGTCTGAAGTTTAAGTATAAACAAAAATCCTGTCTCTAAAATGTAACTGATGACTAGCTGACATGCAGCTACAAAGACCTTAGTTCCTTTAAAAACAATATCCAATCAAATCAGAATTGCCCCTCATGCTTCACATAAATGTCCATCTCATAATAGTATTTTAAAAGAGCAGTGTACAGCTTTACCCAATTGCTCTTTCCTGTTTGTGTTTTTTGTTGTTGTTGTTGATGTTTGGCCACTTTACACAACTCACCTCCAAACACACACTGCATCATCAAGGGAGTTGGGTCAGAGCGACATTGGGACACTCACTCTGCTGTGACCTAATAAGGTGATGGTGCTATACTTCAGACGCAAGGAATAACTTCCATTTTGGTTCAGGCCTTTTAAATCATAAATCACATTATCATTAGAAAATTGCTGTCAAAGTAACTTAACATGTAACAGCAAAATTACAAACAATAAGTTTGATTTTTCACCTGTGTAGCTTTCAAAACTATGCACCTTCACTAAACTTCCAGCCTTAATAGTTGTTTACAAAGTGAATTCTTTTCACAACAAACATTGTAAAATAACCCTTCTATATTTGCACTCCATAGAAAAAATTCAGTTTCCAAAGATTCACAAATTATATCACATATTCAGAAACAAGAGCCATTTGTATATTAGTACCTTCACTTCCAGCTGGTTGAATATAAACTCAATCACAACATCATCTTCAAACCCAAGGATTTCCGTTACTCTTTTTGTTATCCAAGGCTTTATAACCTCCAAATTTACTTTGCTCATGTCCACCTGATGAAACATAGAAACAATTAAGTACAACTTCACAATCCTAAAAAAAAATGCTCAAGTTAGAGTTCTGTCTACCAAAGTTCCTTTTAGCTTAGTTTTTTTGTTTGGCATAGTAGAATCTGCTAATTTTTTTTTTTTTTTTTTGAGACAGAGTCTTGCACTCTTGCCCAGGCTGGAGTGCAGTGGTGCTCAGCTCACTGCAAGCTCCGCCTCCCAGGTTCGTGCCATTCTCCTGCCTCAGCCTCCCAATTAGCTGGGATTACAGGCACCCGCCACCACGCCCGGCTAATTTTTTGTATTTTTAGTAGAGACAGGGTTTCACCGTGTTAGCCAGGATGGTCTCAATCTCCTGACATTGTGATTTGCCCGCCTCGGCCTCCCAAAGTGCTGGGATTACAGGCGTGAGCCACCTCGCCCAGCCACAATCTGCTAATTCTTATATGGCTGTGCCACGTGTGGTGGCTAAAAGGTGGTTAATGTTCAATTATGTTTTTCTTAGCATTCAAGTTACAATGCATCTCCAAAACAACCCCAGAACTTGAGTCAAGTAAGTGTGCTATAAAGATGCACAACAGTCTCATCCAGAAGAATACCTTTTTTTCTAGGCATTCTGCAAATTTCAGCTGCTTCAGTAGTTTCTTCTGTTTGTTGCTGAACCGATTATCCTGTTCTGCACTTGTTCCCTGCAGGAAGAGAACCACATCTTAACTAAGGGTTCAAAGTTAAATCCTTACTTTTTATCACCTACGACCTTTATAGCCAAAATAGGGTAACCAAGTAAACACAATACCAAACTAGTTTTCATAGATGAGAAATGCATACTCCTTCCCCAATGTAGCTGATACTTGGAAAACTTGACTGGATTTTTAAATTATCAAGTATATGTTCATCATAAGTCAAACCTAAAACAACAGTATACAGCATAAAGCCAACACCTCCTCATATCCAATGTTAGATTTGATTTGTATCCTTTCACACCTTTTCCTATGCTAATAGATACGTAGGGCTTTTCTGTTTAAATGAGAACACATTGAAGTATTTGAAATTTCATTCTTTTTTGAAAGCCAGTTGCATGCTTGCAAAACTACTGTGGCAATGCATACAAACAGGGTGAAAGGAAAAAAGAACATCCCAGGACTGTGCTGTTAGTCTTCTACAACTTTTAGGAACTTGGAATGAGTGAAGAAGACAGGGTTACCTAAATAAACTCAATTTCAGCAAAGAACCTGGAAAAATGAAAGCTTACAAATACTACCTTAGATCATCGAGTGATCACTAATTATTCTTTTCATTTTGTCATTCCTACTGGCCCAATTAAACACGGAAATAACTGGCTGTGCCATCTGAAATGTACTGATTGGTTCACTGAGTTGGCCACAGTCCCCTGGAAAGCGATCAAAAAAAATTTTGTTTGAGAAGGTAAAAACTGTGCCACTACTTAGCCGTAAGATCGTAAACCAAGTTACCCAGCCTCTCTGAGGATAGTTCCTTCCCTGCTAAAATAGAGGTATAGAAACCTACTCTGCAGGGTTGCTGTGTACATACCAGAAATAACATATGTAAAGTATCTGGCATGTGGAAGAAGTTCATTGAATGGAAGATATAACTTCTATACTACCTGAAATAGTTCATCTGGTTGGCAGGGTACTAGATAATGACCCTAAAATATTTTAACTTGGATCTTAAATCCAGTTAACTCTTGTATTTAAGCAATTGTAGGCTGTGTACTAAAAACTCGCCCCTCTCCCAGACCTTTACCAATACCACAAGCAAACTTCATGTTAAAATTTGCTCATCAATCACCTTACTCTTTTATTTATTTGGACTCCTTTCCACAGAAAATATTTTGACAAAAGTCAGAAAAGGCTTTCACTTGTTTCAAAATACTACTTGCACTGCAGAAAATATTGAATATTTACTACAAAACACTTTGATGGAAATTACAAAATGGACAGTTCATAAGCAGTTTGCAAATTCGATACGCTAATCTGAAACTATCATTCCAAAATAAGTATCTTACTGTTTGCCTAAGAACAGCTGGTTGTTCTTAGGTAAAATACTTGGGGGATAACATTCTAACATGACGAAAAACTCGTTGGCATATTTAAAGCCAATTAAAGAAGGATTTCAATGTCCAATTCGGAGTGTCCAAAGATATTTTTACTAAAGTTCTGGCCCTCCTCCCTTCCAATTTTTCCTTTGAAAACACACAAACTGCAAATTACATGCTCTAAAGAGAAGAGCTAACGTGTATTTCAGAAAACGGATATATTGGCTTAGATCAACTAGTTTCTATACGACTTCATTCTGCATTAACAGTTTGCAAGCCCTGAGAGACCAATGGTGCTCAACTCTAGTCCTGTGTCCCTTCTAGATCTTGATCTAGTACTAATTTCCTACAGGAGGGGACTATGGGACACACAGGCTCCAGCACGAGCCTGATAAAGTGTGGGCCCCGAGAACCAACTACGACGGAGTAACTTCCCTGCCTGCAGGCGATGGGCAGACGACGCTGGCAGAGCCTAGGTAAGAGTTACCTTTCACCAGCGGACTCCAAGAGTAAAACACGATGGTGGCGGGTGGTGAGGGATGTGGAGGGCGGGAAGGAATTGAATCACTCCACAACCTGCCTCCATACCCGCGCATAGTTTTCGTTGCACCCTCTACCCTCACAGAACCTTAAATTCACATTGTCCCAACAAGTTATCTACGTCCCCCTCCCTGAAGGGATATCAAATTGGGCGGGAGCTCCCGCGAACCCTGACCTGGCGCCTCCACGAAGGCTTAGGACCTGGAGGGAGGACGTTGGGGGGCGGGGAGGGCGCTTTTTCAAAAAAAGCCGCTGAATGCTTCTTCCTGTTCTCCCTCCCCTAAGGTGCTCTCCCAAGATGTACCCCCAAACCATATTCTCCCTGCCCTGCCGCCACCAGTGACCTTAGGGCTTTCCTTTGGCCTCCCACTCGGGACTTCCTCCTCCGGCTCCGCTAGGCCCCAGGACCCGGCGGCACGCACGGCGCTCGGCCTGCAGGCCCCGCCAGGCAGGCGGGCAGCGAGGTACCATCCCGGCCCATTCCCGCCGCCATTTTCCGGCCACCGTCGCCGCCGCGTAGGGGGGACCATTCCGGAGGAGGAGACTGCGCAGGGGCGCACCGGTCTCCGCCGCAGCGCACGGGGGGGGGGGGGGTGCGCCGGCTCTAGGAGGAATCCTTAAGATCTCCGAAGCTCCCCTCGCTGGCCACCCTGTGCCAAGCTAAGGTCTCCTACCAGGCCTTACCGAGAAGTCCCTGGCCTCACCCCGGCGCCCGGCGCTTCTACTTACGCGGAAAAATCCCGCGTCCATCTTGCCGCCTCGCTCGGAGATCGCTCCCTATCCCAGGGTACACCGCGCCGCCGCGACGGAGGGCGGGACCGGCGGAGGGAAAGCCGAGCGCCGGGACGCAGCGCGCGTCGTTGCGCCCGCCCCCTCCGGCCGACACGAGGCCGCGCCTGCTCAGTGCGCCGAGAGCCCGCCACGCGTGCGCACGAGCGCCAGCGGGGGCGGGCTTCTGTCAGGCCCTAAACTCCCCGGTAGGTAGTGGAGGAGGCGAACCTGACGACCGCAGCCAATGGGAGCAAAAGGGAAGGCCGTCGAGTCGCCCCGCCCTGCAAGTCCTTTTGTGGCGCGTGACCATCCTTGTTCGCGCAATGTGACGTGACCCATCCTTCGACCCGTAGTGGAAGAGGCTTGGCGTCCTGGAGTTCCATGAAGCGATTGAAGAGAAAGGCTGTTACCTCAGAGTGACGCGGGCGAGGCGGCCCGTGCGCCGACGAGAGGCCTGCGGCTTCCCTCTCGTTGTGAAAGTTGTGATTGTGTAGGTTTTACGCGTTTACCAGACGAGAGAGGATTGTCTGTAAAGCGGTCGAGCCTGGCAGCAGACATGAAATCTGCCTTGTAGCTCAGCTTGCTCAGCCTTTGGAGGAAGCTGGAAGTGTCCAGTAGATGGGTTTCGGTTTCGGCGGCCCGGTAATCACGCCGCTGGGCAGGACGCCCGCCAGAGAGCCGTGGTCCTCGGGCTCTGCCTCGGGCTCTCCCCAGCCCGGGTCTCGGACTCCGAGAAGCACCAGCTTCCTCGCAGCGCCTCGCCTGGCCGCCCTGGTGCCTCTGCTCTGGCTGCGAGGGCCTTGGGTTGGATGCGCACTGCTAGATTTTCTTATTTTGAAAATTATTGGCCGGGCGCGGTGGCTCACGCCTGTAATCCCAGCACTTTGGGAGGCCGAGGCGGGCGGATCACGAGGTCAGGAGATCGAGACCATCCTGGCTAACACGGTGAAACCCCGTCTCTACTAAAAATACAAAAAATTAGCTGGGCGTGGTGGCGGGCGTCTGTAGTCCCAGCTACTCGGGAGGCTGAGGCAGGAGAATGGCATTAACCCGGGAGGTGGAGCTTGCAGTGAGCCGAGATCACGCCACTGCACTCCAGCCTGGGTGACAGAGCGAGACTGTCTCAAAAAAAAAAGTTATTTTTATCTAATAAAGCAGAGATGGGGGTCTCGCTCTGTTGCTGGTCTCGAACTCCTGGCCTCCCAAAGTGCAGGGACTTCAGGCCTGAGCCACCGCGCCCGGCCCCACTCTGCCAGCTTTTTCGCAAGCGCTTCTCGCCCTTCTCGCTTCCCTTTCTCGGAGGGAAAGCCGGCGTCCCTTTCTCAGAAAGGCCTCCTCCGGCCATCTTTTGCATCGTTCCCGCCCCCACACACACTCTCGCCTCCCTTTTCTCTTTTTTTCCATGGCACTTAGCCCACCTGAAAGTATGTGTGTGTTTGCTCTCGTGGCTGGAGACACTAGCTGTGTGCTGGAGACATCCCTGCATCTCCAGCTCAGACTTCTCTCTTGACCGTCCCACGTGCCCCAAGTTGAAATCCTGATTCCTTCGCCCTCCATCCACCAAAACCACAAACCACCTGCCCTTCCCAGGGTCTTCCCTGGCTCCCGCTGACCGCAGTGGCTTTCCTTTGGTGTAGGACGCAAGCGTGTGTTACTCTTGACTCCTTTCCTTTACCTCGGCTTTCAAACCATCAAGAAACCCTCCCTGCTGTCATCGTGGTTCAGGGCACCATCGTCTCTTCCCTGAACTGCGCTAACCCCCTAAGTGGTCTTCCTGCTTCTACCCTGGCCACTCAGCATCTACTCTAAGTGTAGCCGGCAGGGTAGTTCTGTTAGAAAACCTTAATCAGACACTTTTCTCAAAACCTTCCAGCAGCCTCTCATTTTTGTTAGAACAAAAGCCAAAATCCTACCTGATGCACGCTATTTCGTCTTTGATGTAATCTAGAATGCTCTACTTCCAGATATCTTTTTTTTTTTTTTTTGAGACCGAGTCTCGCTCTGTCGCCCAGGCTGAAGTGCAGTGGCGCGATCTCGGCTCACTACAACCTCTGCCTCCCGGGTTCAAGCGATTCTCCTGCTTCAGCCTCCCTGGCAGCTGGGACTACAGGTGCGCACCACCACGCGCGGCTAATTATTGTATTTTTAGTAGAGATGGGGTTTTGCCATGTTGGCCAGTCTGGTCTCAAACTCCCAACCTTCACTGATCCTCCCGCCTCGGCCTCCCAAACTGCTGGGATTACAGGCATGAGCCACCACGCTGACCTACTCCTGGATATCTACTGGGCAAACTTAAAGTCCCCACTGCCCCCCCGCAGATGGGGTCTTGCTCTGTCTGCCCAGGTTGGAGTGCAGTGGCAGGATCTCGGCTCACTGCAACCTCCACCTCTCAGTTTCAAGGAATTCTCCTGCCTCAGCCTCCCAAATTGGGAGCTGGGATTACAGACGCCCGCCACCAAGTCCGGCTACTTTTTTTATCTTTAGTGGAGATGGGGTTTCACCATGTTAGCCAGGCTGGTCTGGGACTCCTGACCTCGTGATCCACCTGCCTTGGCCTCCTAAAGTGCTGGGATTATAGGCGTGAGCCACCGTGCCCGGCCTGGGCAAAGTTTTTACTTTAAAGTTTTTACTCGATGGTCACTCACTGAAGCCTAACCTGACTGCCTTGTTGGAAGTTGCTCGGATATCCTCTCTACATCCTGATGCCCGTTACTCTTTTTTTTTTTTTCATAGCTTTTATCACCTAATATGCATTTAACCTGTTTTTTTTTTTTTTTTTTTTTTTTGAGGCAAGGCCTGGCTCTGTCACCCAGGCTGGAGTGCAGTCACGTGATCTTGGCTCACTGCAGCCTCCGCCTCCTGGCTTTAAGCCATCCTCCCACCTCAACCTCTGGAGTAGCTGGGACTACAGGCCCGCACTACCATTCCCAGCTAATTTTTGTATTTTTTGTAGAGATGGGGTTTTGCCATGTTGCCCAGGCTGGTCTCGAACTCATGAGCTCAAGGGATACCTGCCTTGGCCTCCCAAAGTGCTGGGATTACAGGTGTGAGCCACTGCGCCCGGCCGTTTAACCTGTTTTTAATGTTTGTTTATTGTCTGTTCCCCACACTAGAATGTAAGTGCCCTAAAGTCAGGGCTTACTGTTTTGTTCATTCATGTGTCACTAGAAAAGTGACACATGGCATGGGTTCAATAAACATTTGTTCAGTGAATGAAGGCTTTGTCAGACGGCCAAAGACAGGGAAGTGACAGGCCTCCACAGAACAAGCCACTTGACCAGATGGGAACTATGAAATCACAACACCCCACATCTCCCTGACTATTCTCTATGGTTCTGATTAGTCATTCTGTTTTGGGCTTCCTTCACTGTCTCTGTCTGTTTGCTGTCAATCCTATAAATGTTGTTTTTTCTGGTAGTTCTGTCATTGACTACTTTTTCCCTCAACAAAGGTGCCCTCTCTGACCTCTCGGTTTTGATTACCTTTCATATTTCAAACCTGTGTATCTCAGGCACAGGCCTGCTCCAGACCTATATTTTCAACTTCCTGCTCACCTATTCACTTGGATGTCCCATAGGCACCTCACACTCAACATACCCTAAACTGAATTCATCTTCATCCACTTGCCTTCAACCTTCTGGTTTCCCATTCTCAATGAATGAGCCCACCTTTCTTTCTATCATGATTCTTCTCTCTTCCTCACACTCTACAACCAACTCTTGCCTTTTCACCTCTCTTAATAGCTTATGCCTCCCTCTCCTCATCCGTTACTTCTAAGTTGCAGCCACAATAAACTACAGATGCTTGTCTGATTATGAACAGATTTAGATTTCGAATGGCAATTTATTTGTCTATATATTGGTAAGCCTAAAATGACTAAGAGATGATTCAAATGGCACCTCTTCATCAAGCCTTTTCTGAACAACCTTCCAAAAAGGACACCCTCAATCCCCTCACTCTGTCTTACCTTTTTCTTTCTTTTCTTTTGGAGAGAGGGTCACTCTGTAACCCAAGCTGGAGTGCAGTGATGCAATCACAGCTCATTGCAGCCTCCTTAATTTCCCCAGCTCAAGCAATCTTCCTGCTTCAGCACCCTGAGTAGCTGGGACTACAGGTGTGTGCCACCACACCCAGCTAATTTTTAAATTATTTTTTAGAGACGGGGGCTTTATTGTATTGCCCAGGCTGGTCATAAACTCCTGGGCTCAAGTGAGCCTTCCACCTCAGCCTCCGAAAGTGCTGGGGTTATAGTCGTGAGCCACCATGCCTGGCCTATTTTTCTTTTCTTTCTTTCTTTTTTTTTTTTTTTTGGAGACAGGATCTCACTGCGTCACCCAGGCTGGAGTGCATTGGTGTGATCTTGGCTCATTGGTGTGATCTTGGCTCACTGCAGCCTCCACTTTCTGGGCTCAAGTGATGCTGCCACCTTAGCCTTCTGAATAGCTGGGACTACAGGCTCACACCACCACGCCTAGTTAATTTTTGTATTTTTTTCTTTTCGAGATGAAGCTTCACCGTGTTGCCCAGGCTGGTCTCAAAATCCTGAGCTCAAGCAATCTACCTGCCTCATCCTCCCAAAATGCTGGGATTACAAGCACGCACCACTATGCCCAGTCCTATTTTTTATTTATTTATTTATTTATTTTTTTTGAGACAGAGTCTTGCCATCTCCCAGGCTGGAGTGCAGTGGCCCGATCTCGGCTCACTGCAACCTCCGCCTCCCAGGTTCAAGTGATTCTCCTACCTCAGCCTCTTGAATAGCTGGGACTACAGGCATGCACCACCACGCCTGGCTAATTTTTTGTATTTTTAGTAGAGACAGGGTATCACCGTGTTAGCCAGGTTGGTCTTGATCTCCTGACCTCGTGATCTACCCGCCTCAGGCTCTCAAAAAGTGCTGGGATTACAGGCATGAGCCACCGTGCCCAGCCCCTTATTTTTTTTTAAATAACACTTAACATTTCCTGGGATTATTATCTATTTTGTTTATATGTTTACTATCTTCTTCCTTTTTTTTTTTTAAATAAAAAAGCTCTATGTGGGTGTGGATTTGCCCATCCTTGGAGCTCAATAAACATTTGTCGAAATGAGTATATGAATGAGAGTCTAAGGCTGGGCATCATGGTTCATGCCTGTAATCCCAGGACTTTGGGAGGCCAAGGCGGGAGGATTGCTCCAGGCCAAGGGTTTGAGACCAGCCTGGACAACATAGTGAGATACCCCCAACCCCACTGCCCCACCTCTATTTTTAAAAAAGAGTCTAAGACTCAATTTCCAAAAGTATTTCTATCAATGAGTGTCTGTTGGTTAAAATGTTGCAACCACTGATTCTATCAGTAAGAGTCTATACCGGAAAATCTGCTGAGGCCGATGAGCTGCCTACCTGATGATCCCTGCAGATGCAGTGGATAACTACTTGGCAGTGAAAGTTTTTGCAGACACCACCTGTTGCTCACTTTGATGCTGGGCAGATCAAAATAGGTGTTGGCTGGGCACGGTGGCTCACGCCTGTAATCCCAGCACTTTGGGAGGCTGGGGCGGGTGGATCATTTGAGGTCAGGAGTTCAAGACCAGCCTGGCCAACATGGTGAAACCCCGTCTGTACTAAAAAATACAAAAATTAGTCGGGCAGTGGTGGCACACGCCTGTAATCCCAGCTACTTGGGAGGCTGAGGCGGGAGAATCTCTAGAGCCTGGAAGTGGGAGGTTACGGTGAGCCAAGATCGCGACACTGTACTCCAGTCTGGGCGACAGATTGAGACCCTGTCTCAAAAAACAAAAACAAAAAAACAAACAACCAAAATAGGTCTTAATGCCGAGAAGCCACTCCTAGTGAACCTACCATGGCTCTTTTGCTGGGTCTGCTCTTTGAATCCTCAAACTCTGAGCCTCAGAAAGCTAATAGGCATCCAACCTTGGTGCCGATCGTCAAGGCACAGACTCAGATTTTTCCATTTCATCAACAGCTTTTCCTCATTGCTTGGTGATTGATGTTGATGGTTTAGGAGTTTCACCTGTTGCTTGTTCCCTGTGTTCTTCAGAATCCCTCCTACCGAACATTTATTCCATAGGCTGGGGCAGGTTTTATACTTTTCTTATTTTTGTTATCATCTTCACTTTTGTTTCCATCGTTTGCCTCTTCCTTCCACTTCTGCTTTTGTGTTTCCTGGATACAACAGGATTAACAGTCTTCCTAAAGTACTTCAAAAATGTGTAAAAAATGTATAAGCTTAAATTTACCAAGGAAGCTGTGGAATCCAACCAATAGCTCAGATGAAAATGACTGAAGAATAGAAACAGATGCATTTGCTCCAGGAGATATTTTTGAGCACATTAGTGAGTATATTATCTATTGCCGCATAACAAATTACTCCCCACATTTAGCAACTTAGAACAATAAACATTTGTTATCTCTCATTGTTGCTATGCATCAGGAATCTGGGGAGGCTAAGTTGGGTGATACTGGCTCAGGGTTTCTCAAGAGTATATAGTCAAGGTTACAGTCAACTGGGGCTGGAAAATATATTTCCAAGAAGACTCACTTATATAGCTATTGGCTAGAGGCCTCAGTTCCATCCCACAATGATAGGGCATCTTTGGTTTCCATGACATGGCAGCAAATGATCCAAAAGAGAGCAAGACAGAAGCCACAATGTCTTTTGTACCATAACCTCAGAAGTCATGCACAATAGTTTTCATAATATCCTATTGGTTACACAGGTTACCCCCATTAAGTGTTGGAAGGGACTACAGAAGGACATCAATATTATGTCCTTCTGTAGCAGGGGGAGGGTCATCGGGGGTCATCTTGGAGGCTGGCTACCACAGTAAGTGTGTAAGTTGAAACTATTTCAGTGTAGCAGCTTGTATACTTCCAGATCTAGAATGGATGTATTCTTTCTCTCTTTCTCCCCTCAGATCTTTGCACATATTCTGTTCCCTTGGTCTGAAACCACTGTTCCTTCCCAGCCCTTCCTTTGCCCTCCCCACTTTGCCTTTCTACCCTTTAACCCTTTAACTGGCCAGCTCTGATTCTTCCTTTAGGATTTAGTTTAGATATGACCTCTTCCAGGAAGCATTTCTGCTTAGTAGGGCTCAGTATTTATCATCTGATTATCTTTTAGGGAGTTGCTGAGCCTCCCAAAAACCCTGGGTCTAGACCTTCCAAAACAGGATTCAATTTTTCACATATGGTCTCATAGCATATTTTCCACTATATTCTAATCATACACACACACACACACACACACACACACACACACACACACACACACACACATATCTCTACTCTCTTCCCTATGTAAGAGGAACTGTTTGGAGACAAGGACTTTGTCTCTCTCATCTCTTTTTTCTCAGTACCCAAACCAGAATTTGGCAAATAATATGTTCTAAGTAGACGTGCAACAAAAATGCATCTTGGCCAAAATACAGAATGGTTGAGTGTTTAAAATAGTATTTTGCCAAAGCTGAAGATTTACATCGTACAATAAACTTTTGAGATAAAAGAGTAAACTTTTGTTTTTTTGAGATGATGTTTCATTCTTGTTGCCCAGGCTGGAGTGCAATATCGATGCTTTATGATTTCTGAATTTCTCTTGGTCTTCTGTATATTTATTCCATGGTCAATAATTGCATGACACTTTTATTTGTTGCTTCTCCATTCTATAAATAATCAGATTCACTGAGGTTAACTATATGAAGGCCAGAAGTCTCTTGGCAAGAGAAATAAAAGCTTAGTTGAATTTATCATTAATATATAAAGCTGCCAAACTATAAGATTTCTAGTTGGGTTTGCATATACAGATATCAAATAGATGAGACATGGAAGTAGCAATCTGAGATTTCCTGAATCTCACAGTTTTCTAGTCTGATAACAAGAGTCACTAGATGGCGTTCTACTCTCTCAGTATAATGTGCCTCTAATCGGGCAGGACTTGTTCCAAGACTAACTCAACTATCACAAGAGCATGTAGTTTGATTGGTTGTTTTTTACTGAGCCCTTCCTATATGCTTAGCATGGTGTTCTTAGATAGTAAGGGGCACAAAGGAAGTGTAAGTTAGTCCTTGGAGAGTTCATAATATTACCAGAAGAATAACAGCAACAGGCATCAGAGAAAAACGTAACATCTTTGCTTGTCATCCCATGGAAAGACCTCCACAGATGTTATATTCAAGTATTATGTTTGCTTTTTTTTTTTTTTTTTGGAGACAGAGTCTCGCTCTGTCACACAGGCTGGAGTGCAGTGGTGCGATATCAGCTCACTGCAACCTCCGCCTCCCGGGTTCAAGCAATTCTCCTGCCACAGCCTCCCGAGCAAAGCTGGGATTACAGGCATGCGGCATTATGCCAGGCTAATTTTTGTATTTTTATTAGAGATGGGGTTTCACCATGTTGGCCAGGCTGGTCTTGAACTCCTGACCTCAAGTGATATTCCCGTCTTGGCCTCCCAAAGTGCTGGGATTACAGACGTAAGCCACCGTGCCTGGCTGCATTTTTTTTCTTTTCTTTTTTTTTTTTAGATGGAGTCTCACTCTGTTGCCCAGGCTGGAGTGCAGTGGCATGATCTCGGCTCACTGCAACCTCCGGCTCCCGGGTTCAAGCAATTCTCTGACTTCAGCCTCCTAAGTAGTTGGGATTACAGGCATGTGCCAACACACTTGGCTAATTTTTGTATTTTTAGTAGAGATGGAGTTTTACCATGTTTGCTAGGCTGATCTCGAACTTTTGACCTTAAGTGATCCGCCCGCCTCAGCCTCCCAAACTGCCGAGATTACAGACGTGAGCCACTGTGCCCGGCCATGTTTGCATATATATATATTTTAGGTGGAGTCTTGCTCTGTCGCCAGGCTGGAGTGCAGTGGCACGATCTCGGCTCACTGCAACCTCTGCCTCCCAGGTTCAAGCAATTCTCCTGCCTCAGCCTCCCAAGTAGCTGGGACTACAGGCACACCACCACGGCTGGCTAATTTTTGTTATTTTTAGTAGAGACGGGGTTTCACCATGTTGGCCAGGATAGTCTCATCTCTCGACCTCGTGATCTGCCCATCTCGGCCTCCCAAAGTGCTGGGATTACAGGTGTGAGCAACCGCGCCCAGCCCATGTTTGCATATTTTTAAAACAAGAGCTGGAAGAATAAGAGCAGCACCCATCAGATGGGAAATGAAGAACCATGGTTGGAATTCCCTGTACCTGTCTATGTTCTCTCTGTATTTAGATGGCAGTACTTTTCTTTTATATGGGATTTCATAATAATAATTACCATTTTGGGGGGGTCATATTATGTCAGGCTTTGTGTTAATGCTTTAAACACTTTAGCTAATTCAGTCTTCACAATAATATCTAGCAGATTGTTACAGGCTGAATTGTCTCCCCCTCCCAACCCCTGGCCGAATTGTCTCCCCCTCTCAACCCCTGCCCTGTCCCTTCACCATCTCCAAATTCATATTGAGGTCCTAACCTCCAGTACCTTGGAATGTGACTGTATTTGGAGATAGCGTCCTTAAAAAGGTAATTAAGTTAGAATGAGACCATTAGGTGGGTCCTTATCCAATATAATTGGAGTCCTTATAAGAAGGGGAAATTGGCTGGGCACAGTGACTCATGCCTGTAATCCCAGCACTTTGGGAGGCCGAGGTGAGCGGATCACTTGAGGTCAGGGGTTCGAGACCAGCCTGGCCAACATGGTGAAACCCCATCTCTACTAAAAACACAAAAATCAGCTGGGCGTAGTGGCAGGTGCCTGTCGTCCCCGCTACTTGGGAGGCTGCGGCAGGAGAATTGTTGAACCTAGGAGGCGGAGGTTGCAGTGAGCCAAGATCGTGCCACTGCACTCCAGCCTGGGTGACAGAGCAAGACCTATCTCAAAAATAAATAAATAAATAAAGAAGAAGAGGAAATTAAGATACAGACGCACACACAGAGGGAAGACCAAATTAAGACATAAGGAGCAGACGGCCACCTATAAGCCAAGGAGAGATGCTTCAGAAGAAAACAACCCTGCTGACACTTGATCTTGGACTTCCAGCCTCCAGAACAGTGATAAAATACACTTCTGTTGCTTAAGCCACCCAGTGTGTGATACTTTGTTATGGCAGCCCTAGCAAGCTAATACATCGGTATTATTCCTGTTTTACAGATGAGTACAGTAAGGCGTGAGAAAAAGTGAGTTGTGTAAAATCACACAGGCAACATACAACAGAACTTACTTTCAGGGTTTGGTCCATCTGCTTAGGGTTAAGACCACATTACCAGTTGCTTGACATTCATGTAGGTGTTAAAGCAAATGGCTGGAGGAGGGAATATAGACAGATCTTATCTTTCTGGTGAATGAGCAAACAAGCCTTTCTTCATCTGGCCAGTGACTGCCTCCCAGCTGGTTCCCAAATCCACAAGGTGAGAGGAAGGGAAAGCCAGTGAGGCCTGTGCCAATTTTCTTCACCTTCAGGCCCAGCAACACTTGGACAGCAGGGGTCATAGTGGTCAGTGATTAAAAATCATCCTTGACTTCATTTAAAAATAATCAATAGCTCTTGTTGCTCTAAGTGGCCTTTCTTTTTTCTCTTTACCTCCCACACCCAAATTCCCTAGCTAGGCAGGGTCCTTAACACATTGTCTTGTAAATGTAGGGCTGGCTAGAGACCATTCAGCATATATGATAAACAAGACTTCTCTTTTGACCCTGGAGAATTGTAGTCCAGTTACCCATGGGCAATAGATAAAGACCCTTAGGCTGGATAGGTATGAAGATGAAGTCTATGAGTCCATGAATTATTGAAGTCCAAGTTCCAGCCCATGAGGGTTGCTTACATTGCAGGGAGGGTCATCACCCCTTATCAAGTGGACAAATTGCGGCTATTTGCTTATATGTCAAACCTACAACCAGATAAGGGGGGGTGGTAGAACCAGGATGTGCAGCAATCATATCTAGAATCAACATATTCACTAATATGCATATAGCCAATATGCATATAGCAAGGATGTGAACAACACCACCCCTATGGAAACTATTCACAGAAAGGAAGCTCCCAACTACAGAAAAGAAGAAGGCTAAGCTTTCTTTTTTTTTTTTTTTTTTTTTTTTTTTTGAGACGGAGTCTCGCTCTGTCGCCCAGGCGGGACTGCGGACTGCAGTGGCGCAATCTCGGCTCACTGCAAGCTCCGCTTCCCGGGTTCACGCCATTCTCCTGCCTCAGCCTCCCGAGTAGCTGGGACTACAGGCGCCCGCCACCGCGCCCGGCTAATTTTTTTTGTATTTTTAGTAGAGACGGGGTTTCACCTTGTTAGCCAGGATGGTCTCGATCTCCTGACCTCATGATCCACCCGCCTCGGCCTCCCAAAGTGCTGGGATTACAGGCGTGAGCCACCGCGCCCGGCCAGAAGGCTAAGCTTTCATAGCTCCATAACACTGGCTTCCACAACAGGAATGCCTGTTATTCTTCCATTCTGCTAAGTCTCAGGCAGCAGCTGGAAAGAGAGTGAGGAGCTTCTATATGTACAAGGTAACTAATGGACCATCGTAGACACTCACCTAGAGATTAAGATACTGTGGCCTTGGCTGGGCTCAGTGGCTCATATCTGTAATCCCAGCACTTTGGGAGGCCAAGGTGGGTGGCTCACTTGAATCCAGGAGTTTGAGACCAGCCTGGACAACAGGGCGAAACTCTGGCTCTACAAAAAATAAAAGATTAGCTGAGTGTGGTGGCATGTGCCTATATTCCCAGCTGCTCTGGAGGCTGGAGGACCACTTAAGCCCAGGAGTTAGAAGCTGCAGTGAGCAGTGAGCTATGATTTTGCCACTGAACTCCAGCCTGGATTTTTTTTTTTTTAAAGAAAAGCTGTTTTAGTGAAAGCTCAAGAGATGGGTGAATGGGTGAAGGAGAGAAATCTTTATAATGCCCTGAGAGGCTGGAGGCTAATCTATATAATAAAGGGAAAAGAGTGTTGGCTGGTCATGGTAGTTTACGCCTGTAATCCCAGCACTTTGGGAGGTAGAGGCGGGCGGATCATATGAGGCCAGGAGTTCAAGACCAGCCTGGGCAGTATAGCGAGACCCCATCTCTACTAAAAACATAAAAATTAGCCAGAATGATGGCGCATGCCTGTAATCCCAGCTACTGGGGAGGCTGAGGCACAAGAATTGCTTGAACCTGGGAGGGAGAGGTTGCAGTCAGTGGCCACTGTGCCACTGTACTCCAGTCTGGATGATAGAGTGAGACCCTGTCTCAAAAAGAAAAAAAAAAGAGGGTTAAAGAGAGAAGAGATTGTTTGGAGAGGAAGAGGCAACAGAGCAGCTACAGGTATCAGGGAACTGAACAGAAGTAGATAGGATTATTAACTGGGTCCCCTTTGCTGGTTTTTGAAAAATATGATTGGATTTTTGGATTTTTTTTTCACTATTTTTGACTACTGGACTCTTTATTTGAATGTGTGATACTAACATCTGGGCCATAAAGGACCCAAGATTTATTCAGATTATTCAGATACTTAAAACAGAGAAAAATGACTCTTCACTTATTATTATCATTACTACTTTTAGAGACAGGCTCTTGATCTGTCACCCAGGCTGGAGTGCAATGGCACAACTATAGCTCACTGTAACCTCAAACTCCTGGGCTCAAGCTATTCTCCTGCCTCAGCCTCCCGAGTAGCTGGGACTACAGGCATGTGCCAAATGTGCCAACATGCCTGGCTAATTTTTTTTTTTTTTTGGTAAAGATGAGAAGGTCTTGCTATGTTGATCAGGCTGATCTCAAACTCCTGGCCTCGAGCAATCCTTCCACCCATCTACACCTCCCAAAGTGTAGGGATTACAGGCATGAGCCACCACGCCCAGCTGCAGTACATTTTTGGTGGTGATGGTCAGGAGGTTCAGACATCAAGCTTGCCATAAAACTCAAGTTTACTTCTCCTTGATTATAAACCCCTCCCACACCAGCGTGATTCCAGTTCACCTGAAACTCTAAGAATATTCTGCCATCTTGGTAGATGGTCCTCTGTGATTGCTGTGGTCGGTTACTGAAGGCTTTTTTTTTTTCTCCTGACTGACATTTGTGAATCCAGCCATGTACCAGAGGTTTGTCATAAACCCCTGGCCTATAAGGCCATCTCCCTGGACAAGAGAAGTGTTTTCCGCTGTAACCCACAAAAACTAGGTAGGAAAGGAGAGTAGAGTCATGTTTAGATCTCTTGGGTTATGATGAAAATTGCTTAAGAAAATTAGATTTTAGGCCGGGCACGGTGGCTCACACCTGTAATCCCAGCACTTTGGGAGGCCGAGGCAGGCGGATCACGAAGTCAGGAGATCGAGACAATCCTGGCTAACACGGTGAAACCCCATCTCTACTAAAAAAATTAGCCAGGCATAGTGGCGGGCGCCTGTAGTCCCAGCTACTTGGGAGGCTGAGGCAGGAGAATGGCGTGAACCCGGGAAGCGGAGCTTGCAGTAAGCGGAGATCGAGCCACTGCCCTCCAGCCTGGGCGACAGAGCAAGACTCCGTCTCAAAAAAAAAAAAAAGAAAGAAAATTAGATTTTAGACAATTTAGTTATGGGCATGTGTCAGAGTTTTGTTACAATCATGTTACAAGGGAAAAGGACTTTAGTAAGCCAATTAATAAATTTGCTCTCTTAAAGAAAAAGAAAATGAGTACATAATCACTGAGAAGAGATAAAGAAAGAAAAAAGGATTGGTTCAAGATTACTAGGCTCTT
The DNA here is from genome assembly GCF_000001405.40 of Homo sapiens. NCBI lineage: Eukaryota > Metazoa > Chordata > Mammalia > Primates > Hominidae > Homo > Homo sapiens. The sequence goes on along the minus strand of NC_000001.11, from coordinate 24,629,597 downwards.
AACAGAATACTCACAGGTAGCCTCTCAGAAAAAAGTCAATCGGATAGAAGTTTTTTGTTTTTTTTTTTTTGGAGACAGAGTCTCACTCTGTCGCCCAGGCTGGGGTGCAGTGATGTGATCTTAGCTCACTACAATCTCTGCCTCCCGGGTTCAAGAGATTCTCCTGCCTCAGCCTGCTGAGTAGCTGGGACTGCACGCATGCATGCACCACCACGCCCGGCTAATTTTTTTGTATTTTTAGTGGAGGTGGGGTTTTACCATGTTGCCCAGGCTGGTCTCAAACTCCTGGCCTCAAATGACCCACCCACCTCAGCCTCCCAAAGTGCTGGGATTACAGGCATGAGCCACCATGCCTGGCACCCAGAATAAGTCTTAATCATAGTTCATCAGAAAATAATGTAAACATTTTCTCAAGAATGGTATTTTTTTTCCTAGAGAAAAACTGGGAATTATATCCTACAAAAACATTTTGCCTCAGATCAGGTTTAGGACAATTTCCCTTTTACCAAGATTAAATGAGTTGATACTTGTAAAATGTTTATCATAGTGCTTGGTACAAATACTGTAGAAGTGTTTGAGAAAGGGAGAGAAAGAGAAAGAGGGAAGAAAAGGTACACACATGGTTGGGCGCAGTGGCTTACGCCTGTAATGCCAGCACTTTGCGAGGCTGAGACGGTCAGATCACTTGAGGTCAGGAGTTTGAGACCAACCTGGCTAAAGTGGTGAAACCCCATCTCTACTAAAAATACAAAAACTAGCTGGGTGTAGTGGCGCATGCCTATAATCCCAGCCACTTGGGAGGCTGGGGCAGGAGAATCGCTTAAACCCGGGAGGCGGAGGTTGCAGTGAGCTGAGAATGTGCCACTGCACTCCAGCCTGGGCAACAGTGCAAGACTCAGTCTAAAATAAAAAAAGAAAAGAAAAGGTATACACAAGAATGCTATAGAAGTGTTTATGAGAGAAAAGAAGGGAAGGAAGAAAGAGAAAGTTCTTAGAGGTCACATTTCTCTCCTAACTCTTGTTAACAAAAACTATTCAAAATTTGGGAATAGAGAAAAATAAATTATTGCATGTCCTTTCAGTGCTTAGGGCCATTGCCTAGCAAGCTCGCTCACAGATTATTCAGTTCTTTATAGGAATGTATTTTTATTTCAGTTACCATTTACCGTTGATTTATTTACATTGAGATACTTTGTAAGGCTAGATTTTAACTTGTAGGAAATTGAGAGCAATGCAAATAATTGTTGTCCAATAAGAATGGAAATAAATTTTGTTTGATAGAAAATTAACCCCAAAGATTTTATTATTTTTTTTTTTTTGCCTTTTGGACATTAGCCGGTTTTTCATTTTTTAATTTTTTTCCTGATTTTCAGTCTTTTATTCTCTCCATTGGGATGATGTTTATTGATCTGTTTTTAAATTCACTGATTATTTCCTTGGTTGTATTCAACCTGATGTTAATCACATTCAAGACTTTTTTTTTTTTTTTTAAATTTGAAATAGGGTCTTGCTTTGCCCAGGCTGGAGTGCAGTGGCTCCATCAGGGCTCACTGCACCCTCGACCTCCTGGGGTCAAGCAGTTCTCCTGCCTCAGCCTCCCGAGTAACTGGGCCCATGGGCACATGCCACCACACTTGGCTAATTCTTTATATTTTTTGTAGAGATGAGGTCTCACTATGTTGCCAGGTCTGGTCTCACACGCCTGGGCTTAAGTGATTCTCCCACCTCAGCCTCCCAAAGTACTGGGATTACAGGTGTGAGCCACTGCGTCCAACCAACAAAGTATTTTTTGGCTGCGCATGGTGGCTCATGCCTGTAATCCCAGTGCTTTGGGAGGCTGAGCGGGGAGGGTTGATTGAGCTCAGGAATTTGAGACCAGCCCGAGCAACATAGCGAGATCCCATCTCTACAAAAAACACAAAAATTAGCTGGGTTTGGTGGCGCATGTCTTGTACTCCCAGCTATTCAGGAGGCTGAGGTGGGAGGATCACTTGAACTGGGAGGTGAAGGTTTCAGTGAGCCAAGATCTCAGCACTGTATTCCAGCCTAGGCACTAGATCGAGACCCTGTCTCAAACAAAACAAAACAAAGCAACAACAAAAAAAAGGCCAGGCGCAGTGGCTCACGCTTGTAATCCCAGCACTTTGGGAGGCCAAGGCAGGCGGATCACAAGGTCAGGAGATCGAGACCATCCTGGCTAACACGGTGAAACCCTGTCTCTACTAAAAATACAAAAAAAAAAAAAAATTAGCCGGGCGTGGTGGCGGGCGCCTGTAGTACCAGCTACTCGGGAGGCTGAGGCAGGAGAATGGCGTGAACCCAGGAGGCGGAGCTTGCAGTGAGCTGAAATCACACCATTGCACTCCAGCCTGGGTGACAGAGGGAGACTCCATCTCAAAAAAAAAAAAAAAAAAAAAAAAAAAGTAAAAGCAGCCAGAGAAAATAGATGCATTACATAAAAGAGAACAATGATAAGAATTACAGTTGATTTCCGATTAGAGGCTAGAAAATAATGGAACTACATCTTTGAAGTGCTGGAAAAACAAAAATCAACCTAAAATTCAATATCCAGTGAAAATATTTTTCAAAAATAAAGGTGAAATATAGATATGTCTGATAAATAAAAGTTGAATGAATTTGTCACCAGCAGACTCTTACCACAGAAATTCTAAAGGAAATTCTATAGGCTGAAAGAAAATGATAGCAGTTGGAAATTTAGAAATACAGGAAAGGCTGGGCACGGTGGCTCACGCCTGTAATCCCAACATTTTGGGTGGCTGAGGCGGGTGGATCGCTTGAGGCCAGGAGTTCGAGACCAGCCTGGCCAACATGGTGAAACCCATCTCTACCAAAAATACAAAAATTAGCTGGGCGTGGTGGCGCGTGTCTGTAATCCCAGCTACTCGGGAGGCTGAGGTAAGAGAATCGCTTGAACCCAGAAGGCAGAAGTTGCAGTGAGCTGAGATCACGCCACTGCACTCCAGCCTGGGCGACAGAGTGAGACTCTGACTCAAAAAAAAAAAAAAAAGAGCCGGGCGCGGTGGCTCACACCTGTAATCCCAGCACTTTGGGAGGCTGAGGCGGGCAGATCACAAGGTCAGGAGATCAAGACCATCCTGACTAACATAGTGAAACCCCGTCTCTACAAAAAATACAAAAAAAAAAATTAGGCGGGTGTGGTGGCGGGCGCCTGTAGTCCCAGCTACTCAGGAGGCTGAGGCAGGAGAATGGCGTGAACCCGGGAGGCAGAGGTTGCAGTGAGTTGAGATCGTGCCACTGCACTCCAGCCTGGGCGACAGAGTGAGACTGTCTCAGAAAAAAAAGAAAGAAAGAAATGAAGGAAGGAAGGATGGAAGGACAGACATTGAGATTGGTAAATAAAGTGGATGAGTATTTAAAAAGCCAATTTCTAGGCAGGGCATGGTGGCTCATGTCTAGAACCCCAGCACTTTGGGAGGCCAAGGCGGGTAGATTACTTGAAGCCAGGAGTTTGAGACCAGCCTGGGCAACATGGTGAAACCCCATCTCTACAAAAAATATTAAAAAAGTAGCCGGACATGGTGGCGCATGCCTGTTGTTTCAACTACTCAGGAGGCTGAGGTGGGAGGATCACTTGATACCTGAAGGCTGAGGCTGTAGTGAGCTGTGATTGCACGCCACTGCACTCCAGCCTGGGTGACAGAGTGAGACCCTGTCTCAAAAAAAATAAAAACAAAAAATACCACAAGAAGAATAAAAAGACAAGTTGCAAATTGGGAGAAGATATTTGCAATAATATCATAACTGAGGAAAGGCTAATATCTAGGATATATTCTTTTATTTCTTATTTTTTTAGTAGAGGTCAGGTATCGCTCTATTAGTCAGGCTGGTCTCAAACTCTTGGCCTCAAGTGATCTGCCTGCCTCGGCCTCCCAAAGTGCTGGGATTACAGGCGTAAGCCACCACATCCAGCCAAGAATATATTCTTTTAAAGCAATTCCAAACAGATGAGAAAAAGACAGGCAGCCCAACAGAAAAATGGGCAAAGACTTGAACTGGCACTTCACAGAAGAACCTATCAACAAATGCAAAAATGCTTGACCCCAGCTGATCCAAAGGTAGTGAGTTGACTGTTTACAGTTAGCTACAGATCATACTGTTTGTTCTATTCTTTCACCCTTCTCGCTGCTGCATTTGACTAGTCCAAAAAAGAAAGAAAGAAAGAAAGAAAAATGCTCAACTGATTAACACATGACAAGATGCTCAATCTATGTAATAACCTGGGAAATGCAAATTAAGATCATAAAATACCAACTTATATCTGTTAGATTATTCAACATTAAGAAGTCTGGTAATACAAAGTGTTGTTGAAGATGTGAAGGTGTGAAAACTGTAACTCTTATATATTGCTGGTAGAAAGGTAAATTGGGGGCCAGGCGCGGTGTCTCACGCCTGCAATCCCAGCAGTTTAGGAGGCTGAGGTGGGCGGATCACCTGAGGTCGGGAGTTCGAGACCAGCCTGACCAACATGGTGAAACTCCGTCTCTACTAAAAATACAAAATTAGCCAGGCATAGCGGCGCATGCCTGTAATCCCAGCTACTCGGGAGGCTGAGGCAGGAGAATCGCTTGAATCCGGCAGGCGGAGGTTGCAGTGAGCCGAGATCGTGCCACTGCACTCCAGCCTGGGCAACAGAGCAAGACTCCTTTAAAAAACAAAAACAAAAACAAAAAAAAGCTGGCATGGTGGCTCACGCCTGTAATCCCAGCACTTTGGGAGGCCAAGGCGGGCGGATCACGAGGTCAGGAGATCTAGACCATCCTGGCTAACCTGGTGAAACCCTGTCTCTACTAAAAATACAGAAAATTAGCCGGGCGTAGTGGCGGGTGCCTGCAGTCCCAGCTACTCGGGAGGCGGAGGCTGAGGCAGGAGAATGGCGTGAACTCGGGAGGCGGAGCTTGCAGTGAGCCGAGATGGTGCCACTGCACTTTATGCTGGCGATAGAGCGAGAGTCCGTCTCAAAAAAAAAAAAAAAGGTAAATTGGAAGAAACATTTTGGAAAACAATTTGGCATTATTGAATAAAATTGAAGATGTACAAACTTTATGACTCAGCATTTCCATTCCAAACTCTTGCATGTGTGCACCAAGAGAAATGTATGGAATATTCACAGTAATATTTTTCCCGCTGGCACAAAACTGAAAATAACATAAATGTCTGTCACCAAGATAATGGATCAGTAAACGGTAATATGTTTAAAAGGTGGAATATTATGCAGAAGGAAAGAGAATTAAGTATAGCTACAGGCAACAAAATAGATAAAACGAGAAATATAACATTGAGTGAAAAAAATTGCAAAAGACTATACATGTTATGAGCTCATTTATAAAAAGCTGGAAAAAACTAGGAAAACTAAATATTGTATTGTTTAGGGAAGCATCAATCTATGATAAAATCATTTTTAAAGTGAGGAATGTTCAGGAAAGTGGTTCCCTCTGGAGAGTAGGATGGAAGAAGAGAGGGAAAGGGCACAGAAGTAAATTGCTCAACAGTATTGGTAAGGCTTCAACTCTTGATTTGAGTTAGAGGGTGTTCAAAGCCATTTAAAAAATTGTTACAGTGTGTAGTTGCTCACACTTATAATCCTAACACTTTGGGAGGCTGAGGCAGGAGAATCGCTTGAGCCCAGGAGTTCAGACCAGCTTGGGCAACATTAGAGAGACCCTGTCTCTACAAAAAGAAAAAAAAAGGAAAAAATATATATATATAATATTAGATGAGTGCAGTGATGTGGGCTTGTAGTCCCAGAACTTTGGGAGGCTGAGGTGAGAGGATTCCTTGAGTTCAGGAGTTTCAGGCTGCGGTGAGCTATGATCATGCCACTGCACTCCAGCTTGGGTGACAGAGCAAGACCCTGTCTTGAAAAAAGAAAAAAAAAGTTACATTTACAGATATAACACAATGTGGGTAGAGGATAAACTTGTGGAGAGAAAAAGCAGATTGTCAACAAAAGATCAAAAGATTTTTTTTTTTTGACATGGTCTTACTCTGTTGCCCAGGCTGGAGTGTAGTGATGTGATCTCAGTTCACTGCAGGCTCGACTTCTGGGGCTCAAGCAATCCTTCCACGTAGCTGGGACTACAGGTGAGCACCACCACGCCTGGCTAATTTTTGTAGAGACAAGAGTCTCGCTATGTTGCTCAGGCTGGTCTTGAACTCCTGGGCTGAAGTCATCTGTCCGCCTCAGCTTCCCAAAGTGCTGGGATTACAGGCATGAGCCACCAGGCCTGGCCCCAAAAGAACTTCTTAATCGCTGGGATGCAAAAAACACCAACAAAGTGACATTTTCTTTCTTTCTTTCTTTCTTTTTTTTTTTTTTGAGATGGAGTTTTGCTCTGTCGCCCAGGCTGGAGTGCAGTGGCGCGATCTCGGCTCATTGCAACTTCTGCCTCCTCGGTTCACGCCATTCTCCTGCCTCAGCCTCTTGAGCAGCTGGGACCACAGGCGCCCGCCAGCACACCCAGCTAATTTTTTGTATTTTTAGTAGAGACGGGGTTTCACCGTGCTGGCCAGGATAGTCTCGATTTCCTGACCTCGTGATCCACCTGCCTCGGCCTCCCAAAGTGCTGGGATTACAGGTGTGAGCCACTGTGCCTAGCCCGAAGTGACATTTTCAAAATGCTGAAGGAAAAAAACTTTAAAATTTGAATTTTTTTTTTTTTGACAGAGTCTCGCTCTGTCCCCTAGGCTGGAGTGCAGTGGCTCAATCTTGGCTTACTGCAACGTCCACCTCCCGGGGTCAAGTGATTCTTCTGCCTCGGTGTCCCAAGTAACTGGGACTACAGGGGTCTGCCACTATGCCCTGCTAATTTTTGTATTTTTAGTAGAGGTGGGGTTTCACCGTGTTAGCCAGGATGGTCTCAATCTCCCGACGTCATGGTCCGCCCACCTTGGCATCCCAAAGTGCTGGGATTACAGGTGTGAGCCATCACGCCCGGCCATAGTGAGATCTTTTAAAAAAATATGTTCAGTGAGGAAAATAAAAAAAAGAATATCCGGATCACATTTAAGTAAAATTCAGGGGAAGTTCTCTCTGATAAGGTTGACCTTTGAGCTGAGCAAAGCCTGCTTTTAGAGGAGGAGCAAGACTGTGGATTTGTGGAGGAAGAGAATTCCAGGCGAAGAGAACAGGAGGTGAAAGGTCCTGAGGTGGGAGTGTGTTTGGCATGTTCCAGGCTCCTCTGGGAGGTCAGCAAGTGGCTGCAGTGGAGCAGGGGAGAGAGCCATAGGAAGCGAGAGGGGTTGTGAGGGGCGAGATCCCCCAGGGCTTTGCCCACCCCACCCTCTCTTACTTCCTAGAGATGCTTAGGCTTTTGCTTGGAATGCAATGAAACTCCATTGGAGGCTTTTTAGCACAGAAATGAAATGATCTGGCTTATTTTTAGATCAGCATGGTTACTGTGTAGAGGCAATGCTAGAAGCTGAGAGAGCAGTAAATAGGCTGTTACATTGACCCAGGGCAGAGGTGATCATGACTTAGAATAGGGTGGTAGAAGAGATGGAAAGGGCAAAATAAACAAACAAAAAAGAGCTTCAAAATGTCTTTAAGACCTAAGGATAGGGTGTATATATATATATATATATATATATATTTTTTTTTTTTTTTTTGAGTTGGAGTCTTGCTCTGTCACCCAGGCTGGAGTGCAGTGGCATGATCTCGGCTCACTGCAACCTCTGCCTCCCACGCTCAAGCAATTCTCCTGCCTCAGGCTCCAGAGAAGCTGGAATTACAGGCACATGCCATCACGCCTAGTTCATTTTTGCATTTTTAGTAGCGATGGGGTTTTGCCATATTGGCCAGGCTAGTCTCGAACTCATGACCTCAACTGATCCACCTGCCTCAGCCTCCCCAAAGTGCTGGGATTACAGGTGTGAGCCATCACACTCAGCCAAGATATTTTTTTAAAAGTGCCAACCATAACAGAAAAAATTGAAAACCTGACATTAAGTTAAACACATTTGTTCATCAGTAGATACCACAGAGGGTACAAAGACAAGTTGCAAACTGGAAGAAGATATTTAATTTAAAAACAGAGCAGACAACTACTAATGGGTGGGTGTGAGAGAATGAGAGGAATCAAGGGTGTTGCTGAGGATTTTGGCCTGAGAATCTGGAAGAATGGAGCTGCTTGTTACTGAGTAAGAAAGACTAGGGGAGGAGTAGATTTAGCTGAAAAAAACAAGAGTTTGGTTTTGAGATGTTTGAGATGCCTATTAGATATCTCAGCGAGCCTGGGAAACACGGTGAAACCCCATCCTAAAAAAGATTCAAATATTAGCTGGCTATGGTGGCGCAAGCCTGTAGTCCCAGCTGCTCAGGAGGCTGAGGTGGGAGGATCGCTTGAACCCAGGTGATCGAAGCTGCAGTGAGCAGAGATTGTGTCACTGAACTACAGCCTGAGTGACAGAGTGAGACCCTGTCTCAACAAACAAACAAACGAAAGAAAAAGAAAAAAAGATATTCAAGTGGAGCTACCAAGTTGTGTGTTGGCCATTCATGCCTAGGATTCAGGAGAGAGATTTGATGCTACACATTTAGGAGCTGCAGCATATAGATGGTATTTAAGTCATGAGGTCAGATGAGGGTACCAAGGGAGTGAGCATAAGTAGTCTGGAAGTCTGACGGCAAACTCAGGCTCTCCATTATTTACAAGCAGAGAAAATGATGAGGAGCCTGCAGAAGAGATTGAAAAGGAACGGCCACTGCATTCGAAAGAGAACCAAGAGAAGGCAGCGTTGCAGAGGCCAAACAAGAAGATAATTCCAGAAGGAGGAAGTCATAGGCTATGGCCAATTTGGCTAAGTAAGTAGATAGATGAGGGTGGAGGACTGAGTAGATTTGGCAAGGACAACTTAGTGCAACGAGGGATGAAAGCCTGATGGGAGAGGGCTCTAGAAAGACATGGAAGAGAAATGGATGTAGCAGTAGAGACAGCACTTTCGAACAGGTTTGCTGTCCAGGAAAGCGGAGAGGTCGAGCAGTGCTTTGAAGGGGCCTGTGTTGTCAACGGAGGGTTCTTGTTTGTTTTTAATCTGAGACATAATAAAGAAATTAGAGGAGGATGTCTATAGTGGGGAAGAAAAGTAGAAGTGAGGCTGGGCGTGGTGGCTCACACCTGTAATCCCAGCACTTTGGGAGGCCGAGGCGGGTGGGTCACCTGAGGTCAGGAGTTCGAGACCAGCCTGGCCAACATGGTGAGACCCCATCTCTACTGAAAATACAAAACGATTCATCGGGCGTGGTGGGGGGGGCACCTGTAATTCCAGCTACTGGGGAGGCTGAGGCAGGAGAATCACCTGAACCCAGCAGGAAGAGGTTATAGTGAGCCAAGATTGCACCACTGCACTCCAGCCTGGGTGACAAGAATGAAACTCCATCTCAAAAAAAAAAAAAAAAGTAGGAGTGGAAATTCAGGATGAAGTAGAAAAAAATTATAAAACAGGAGGGGCTCTACATGGTCAAAGATGACAGTGTGCCATGAATTGGAGAGAATGGTAGAACCATCTCATCTGGGGACCGAGAAACAAACAAAATGAAATAAACATCACCCTCTTATCCCCTTTTTTTCTAAGTGGAGCAAACTGTCCAATTCACAGATCCTTCAATTTGAGGTTGTAATTATGCATATATGAATTTTTAAAAATCCCTTTTACTCCCATGGGCCTTCCAGGGCAAGAACTGGAAAGCTGGAAAGAATGAATAAGTTGGTTGTTATATTTCTCTGAGATCAATTAAGCCACTGCAGCATTCTGTAAGACCATGGGGGCCCAGGTAAAATGTATTCAAGAGATTGAATTTCAGCCAGCGAGGGACCCTCCCTGATAATAGCTGAGCTGAAGTCAGACAAAGAGGGTTTCATATCGCCAGCGACCTGAAGGTCAGTCTTGTTTCTACCTGCTTCTCCCAAATGTGGACAGTCTGGCAACGGCCGGGATGGTAGTATCTGCTGAACCACAGGAGTTTGCTTCTTTGCCAGGAAATTTTCTGTGAAGGGAATGGGTGTCCTGGGACAAAGGGCTACAGTACTGAGACAATGCCCCTGCTGTGTGCCCCCATCCAGTGGGCCTGAGATGATTCCTGGGGACATTTTTGTTGGGTTACTCCACACCCACAAATAGCTACTTAAAAAAAGAAAAAGAACAAAACTTAACACTTAGTGGGCTATTTGGAAAAGGCATTTTAAAACTAACAGATACACAGATGCGCCTGTTACTTCTTGCAATAGGCTCTAAATTGTTCTCCCAGCCTCCAGTCTCTCCCACACCAATCCATTCTGCACATTGTAGCAGAATTAATCTCCTTAAAGCACAGATCTGATCTTGCCACTTCTCCACTCAAGCATTTTCAGTGTCTCTCCACTGCCTTCAAAATAGCCAAGGAATGAAGATCTGTCAGCCTCTTTTCTCTTCCCAGCCCATCTCCCGCTATCTCCTTTGGGCTTCTGCGAAACCGAAGCTTTTCTCTCCTGCAGAGCGCTTTTTTTTTTTTTGAGATGGAGTTTCGCTCCTGTTGCCCAGGCTGGAGTGCAGTGGCACGATCTTGGCTCACTGCAACCTCCACCTCCCAGTTTCAAGCGATTCTCCTGCCTCAGCCTCCTGAGTAGCTGGGATTACAGGTGCCTGCCACCACGCCTGGCTACTTTCTGTATTTTTAGTAGAGATGGGGTTTCACCATGTTGGCCAGGCTGGTCTTGAACTCCTGACCTCAGGTGATCCACCCACCTCGGCCTCCCAAAGTGCTGAGATTACAGGCGTGAGCGACCACACCTGACCCAGAGCTCTCTTCTTTATTTCTCTTCTTTTCCCACTTCCCTTCACTCACTCCTACTCCATCTGTTTTTTTTTTTAAGACGGAGTTTCACTCTTATTGCCCAGGCTGGAGTGCAATGGCGCAATCTTGGCTCACTGTAACCTCTGCCTCCCAGGTTCAAGCAATTCTCCTGCTTCAGCCTCCCAAGTAGCTGGGATTACAGGCTTCTCCACCATGTTTGGCTAATTTTGTATTTTTTAGTAAAGACGGGATTTCACCGTGTTGGTCAGGCTGGTCTTGAACTCCTGACCTCAGGTGTTCCTCCTGCCTCAGCCTCCCAATGTGCTGGGATTACAGGTGTGAGCCACCGTGCCTGGCCCTACTCTATCTGTTTTGTTTTGTTTCTTTGAGACAGGGCCTCATTCCGTTGCCCAGGCTAGAGTACAGAGGTGTAATCGTAGTTCACTACAGCATCAACCTCCCAGGCTCAAGTGACCCTCCTGCCCCAGCCTCCCAAGTAGCTGAGACTACAGGCATGCACCACCGTGTCAGCTTTTTTTTTTTTTTTTTTTTTTTTTTTTTTTTTTTTTTTTTGCTAGAGACAAGGTCTTCCTAAGTTGCCCAGGCTGGTCGTGGACTCTTGGTGTCAGGCAAATCCTCCTGCCTTGGCCTCCCACAATGCTGGGATTACAGGCATGAGCCACTGCCTCTGGCCCCTACTCAATCTTTTACTCTTAGTTTATATGTTATTTATTCTGGGGAGCCCTTCCTGATTCCCACTCCCAATCTATGAACCTCCAGACTGAGCTAGGTGCTTCAGCAAGAGGTGTATATAACACCTTGAACTTCCCCTATTGCAAAAGAAATTGTTCTATATTGTGGTTGTTTGTTTAATTGTCTGTCTTCTCTGGTAGAGGATGATATGGTTTGCTGTGTCCCTACCCAAATCTCATCTTGAACTGTAGCTCCCATAATTCCCATGTGTTGTGGGAGAGATCCAGTGGGAGGTAATTGAATTATGGGCACTGGTTTTTCCCATTCTGTTCTCATGATAGTGAATAAGTCTCATGAGATCTGATGGTTTTATAGAGGAGAGTTCCCCTGCACACACTCTCTTGCCTGCTGCCATGTAAGACATGACTTTGTTTCTCATTCTCCTTCCACCAGGATTGTGAGGCCTCCCCAGCCATGTGGAACTGTGAGTCAATTAAATCTCTTTCCTTTATAAATTACCCAGTCTCAGGTATGTCTTTATTAGCAGTGTGAGAACAGACTTAATACAGGGGATAAGTTGTGAGGACCACAGGTAAGTCAGGGACCATGTTTATCTTGCTCATCGTATTAACTCCAATGACTGGTATGCGCTTATAAAAGTAAGCAAGAAAGATGCTGGCCACAGCGGCACCCCTGTAGTCCCAGCTACTCAGGCAGGAGGATTGCTTGAGCTCAGGAGTTTGAAGGCATCATAGCAAGATCCCATTTCTTAAAAAAAAAAAAATAATAATAAGAAAGGAGGAACAAATGAACTGAATGTTTTTCCTTGACTTCAAAGTTTTACTCTTGCCTTTATTTATCCCACCTGACCTCTCTTTGCCACAATTCCTATCAATAAAATTTCTACAGAAACTACACATATACAGTCACTCAATTCATGATAAGGTGATGCTATAGTAACACAGGAAAAGAATAATCTTCTTGACAAATGATTCTTAGTTAATCAGATATCTATATGGAAGAAAGGAATATTGACCCCACCTCCCACACATGGCAAAATCAATTTCAGACACATCACATATCCAGATACAAAAAGTAAAACAATGTGACTTTTAAAAGAAAACATAGAAGAAAAATCTTTAGGTAGGCAATGATTTCTTAAGCAGAATACAAAGAGCACTAATTATAAAGGAAAACATTGATAACATTTAGATTAAAAATGTATTTTCCCTAAAAGAAACCATTAAGAGATATAAAAAGGCAGACACCGAATAGAAAAATAATAGAGAAAAAAAATCAACAAAACCAAAAATTGGATTCTTGTAACAATCAAGAAAATTGACAAAGCTTTAGCTCAATTGAACAAAGAAAAAAGGAGAAAAGATTCAAATTACTAAAATCAGGAATGAAAGAGACAGCATCACTACGATCTTTCAGAAATAAAAAGGATTATAAGGGAATAGTATAAAAAATTGTATGCCAAGAAACTAGCTAACCTAGATAAAATGAACAAATTCCTGAAAAGACACAAGTTACCAAAACTGACTTAAGAAGAAATAGAAAATCTGAATAGACCCATAACAAGTAAAAAGATTGCATTAGTAATAGTAGTTAAAACAACAACAACACACTTCTTACAAAGAAAAGCTCAGACCCAGATGGCTTCACTGGTAAATTCTACCAGATGTTTAAAGAATTAATACCAATGCTTCCAAAAAATAGAAAAGGAGAAAATGCTTCCCAACTCATTCTATGAGGCCAGTATTACTCTGATATGAAAACCAAACAAAGACATCATAAGAAAACTACAGACCTATATGTCTTATAAATATAGATGCAAAAATCCTCAACAAAAACATATGAAAATCAATAGAGGTAATATCCCATATTAATAGAATAAAATATGAAAACAATATGATTATCTTGATAAATATAGAAACAGCATTTGGCAAAATTCAACTCCCTTTCCTGATAAAAACACTCAAAGTAGAAACAGAAGTTAATTTCCTCAACCTAAAAAAGGCCATCTGCAGAAAAATTCATGGGTATCATCATATTTAATGATGAAAGACTGGTTGCTTTCCTCTAAGATCAGGAAGAAGACAAAAATGCCTGCTCTCATCACCTCTATTCAACCTAGTACTGGAAGTTCTAGCCAGAGCAATTCGGTAAGAAAAAGAAATAAAAGGTATCCAGATTGTAAAGGAAGAAGTAAAATGACCTCTATTTGCAAATGACATGATCTCATATGTAAAAACCCTAAAGATCCCACAAAAAACAAAAAACCTGTTAGGGCTAATTTTAAAAATTCCTCAATATTGCAGTATACAAAATCAACAGGCAAAATTAGTTGCATTTCTATGCACTAGCAATGAAAAATTCAAAAAGGAAATTAAAACATTTATGATAGTATCAAAAAGCATAAAATACTTAGAGAAATATTTAGCAAAAAAGGTGAAAGATTTGTACACTGAAAACCAAAATTTCTTTGCAAAAATTAAAGAAGACCAAAATAAATAAAAATACATCCATGTTCATGGAACAAAAGACTTAATGTTATTAAAACGGCAATACTACCCAATTTGATCTACAAATTCAACTTAATTTCTATCAAAATCCCAGCTGCCATTTTTGCAAAATTGACAAGCTGATACTAAAATTCATACAGAGATACAAGAAACCTAGAATAGCCAAAATAATCTTTTTCTTTTCTTTTTTATTTTTTTTGAGACGGAGTTTTGCTCTTGTCCCCCAGGCTGGAGTGCAATGGTGTGATCTCAGCTCACTGCAACCTCCGCCTCCTGGGTTCAAGCGATTCTCCTGCCTCAACCTCTGAAGTAGCTGGGATTACAGGCAGGCACCACCATGCCCGGCTAATTTTTAGTAGAGTTGGGGTTTCACTGTGTTAGCCAGGCTGGTCTCAAACTCCTGACCTCAAGTGATCCCTCCACCTTGGCCTCCCAAAGTGCTAGGATTTCAGGCATGAACCACCACGCACGGCCCAAAATAATCTTGAACAAGGAAAACAAAGAGGGAGGACAGGAAAAAGTTTGAGGACTCACACTTCCTGATTTCCAAACTTATTATAAATCAACACAGTGTGATAATGGTAGAAGAATAGAAATATAGATCATGGAACAGAATTCAGAGTCCAGGTATAAACCCTCCTATTTATGGTCAACTGTTTTTTGACTAGAGTACCAAGATAATTCAATGGGAAAAAATAGTCTTTTCAACATACGGTGCTGGGAGAAGTGAATATCTACATGCAAAAGGATAAAGCTGGTCCCCTATCTCATACCATATATAAAAATTAACTCAATAACTTGGTCCTCAGTTTGATCAGAATAAAAAGAAAAAAATTAACTCAAAATGGATCATAGACCAAATTTTAAGAGCTAAAACTAGAAAACACTTACAAGAAAACATGGGAGTAAACCTTCATTACTTTGGATCAGGCAATGATTTCTGAGATATGAAATCAAAAGCACAAGTGACAAAAGACAAAAATAGATGAATTGGGCTTTGTCAAAATTAAAAATGTTTGGGCCGGACATGGTGGCTCACGCCTGTGATCCCAACACTTTGGGAGGCTGAAGCGGGCAGACCACCTGAGGTCCGGAGTTTGAGACCAGCCTGACCAACATGGTGAAACCTTGTCTGTACTAAAAATACAAAAATTAGATGGGAGCGGTGGTGCGCGCCTGTAATCCCAGCTACTCAGGAAGCTGAGGCAAGAGAATTGCTTGAACCTGGGAGGTGGAGGTTGCAGTGAGCCAAGATTGTGCCATTGTTCTCCAGCCTGGGAGACAGAGCAAGACTCTGTCTCAAAAAAAAAAAAAAAAAATAATAATAATAATAATAATAATAATTTAAAACATTTGTGCTGCAAAGGACATCACCAAGAAAGTGAAGAAAAGACAACCCACAGAACAGGAGAAAATGTTTGCAAATTATATATCTTATAAGGGACTTGTATCCAGAATATAGAAAGAATTCTTACAAGTCAAAACAACAAAAATCAAATAACCCAATTTAAAAATGAGCAAAGAAGTTGCAATAGACATTTCTTCAAAAATGATATAAAAATCACCAATCTGTACATGAAAAAGATGTTCAATATCATTCACTAGGGAAATGCAAATCAAAACCACCATGAGATACCATTTCTTACTTATTAGGATGGCTAGAATAGAAAAGATGGACAATAACAAGTGTTAATGAGGAAGCGGAGGAATGAGAACCCTCATACATTACTGGTGACGATATTAAATGGTGGCGCCACTTCAGAAAACAGTTTGGCATTTCCTCAAAAGGTTAAACATAGAGTTATCATATCCTGCAGCAATTCCTCTCCTAAGGTATATGCCCAAGAGAATTAGAGCCTATGTCTGCACAAAAACTTGTACATAATGTTCACGGCACCATTATTATTATTATTATTTGTTTATTTTTGAGATGGAGTCTCACTTTGTCACCCAGGCTGGAGTGCAGTGGCACAATCTCGGCTCACTGCAACCTCAGCTTCCCGGGTTCAAGCAATTCTCCTGCCTCAGCCTCCCGAGTAGCTGGAATTACAGGCATGGGCCACCATGTCCAGCTAATTTTTGTTTTTTTTTTTTTTTTTTTTTAGTAGAGAAGGAGTTTCACCATGTTGGCCAGGCTGGTTTCAAACTCCTGACTTCAAGTGATCCGCCTGCCTCAGCCTCCCAAAGTACTGGAATTACAGGTGTAAACCACCGCGCCCGGCCTCACAACACCATTATTTATAATAGCCCAACAGTGGAAACAACCCTGTTGTTCACCTGATGAATGGATAAACAAAATGTGATATATCTATATAATGGAATATTATTCGGCCATAAAAAGGAATGAAATAGTGATACATGCAACAACATAGATGAACCTTGAAAAGTTATGTTAACCAGAAGAAGCCAGTCACAAAAGACCACATAGTGTGATTCCATTACATGAAATGTCCACAATAGGCAAATCCATAGAGACAAAAAGTAGAGTAGTGGCTGCCAGGGGCTGGGGAGAGAGGGCAGTGGGAAGTGACTGCTAACGGGCACTGGAGGTTCTTTTGGGGATGATAAATTTGATAGTGGTGATGGCTGCACAAGTCTGTGAATATATTAAAACCACTGAATTGGGCCCTTTACAGAGGTGAACTTTATAAATAAATTCTATCTCAATAGAGCTATTTTTTTTCTTTTAAAGGCAAGCCAGAGGTGGCTCATGCCTGTAATCCAAGCACTTTGGAAGGCCAAGGCAGACGGATCACTTGAGATCAGGCGTTTGGGACCATCCTGGCCAACGTGGCGAAAACCCGTCTCTACTAAAAATACAAAAATTAGCTGGGTGTGGTGGTGCATGCCTGTAATCCCAGCTACTTGGGAGGCTGAGGCAGGAGAATCACTTGAACCCGGGAAGCGGTGGCCGCAGTGAGCCGAGATCACAGCACTGCACTCCAGCCTGGGCTACAAATGGAAACTGTCTCAAAAAATAAAAAAAAAAAATAAAAGAACTTAAAAAGGCAAGCTATAGGACAACAAAGGACTTATTAATATATCCAGAATGTGGCCGGGTGTGGTGGATCACACCTGTAATCCCAGCACTTTGGGAGGCTGAGGTGGGCAAATCGCAAGGTCAAGAGATCAAGACCATCCTGGCCAACATGGTGAAACCCTGTCTCTACTAAAAATACAAAAAAAAAAAAAAAAATTAGCCAGGTGTGGTGGTGCGTGCCTGTAGTTCCAGTTACTTGGCAGGCTGAGGCAGGAGAATCGCTTGAACTTGGGAGGCAGAGGTTGCAATGAGCCGAGGTTGTGCCACTGCACTCCAGCCTGGGTGACAGAGTGAGACTCTACACCCCCCCCAAAAAAGAAAAATATCTACAAATAATAATAAAAATGGAAGATAACCAAATACAAATATATGAACTGAGCTGATCACAGTGGCTCATGTCTGTAATCCCAGCTACTCGGGAGGCTGAGGCAGGAGGATTGCTTGAGGTCAGGAGTTCAAGGCCATCCTGAGCAACATAACAAGACTTTGTATTAAAAAAAAAGTAAAACCAAAAAATAGACTGAAAAGTAACTTCTTAAAAGATGAAATTCAGTTGGCCAATGACATAAGAAAAAGTGATCAATTCCATTAATCATCAGGGAATACAAATTAAAGCCACAATGAGAGACCATGGCACACATATCAGGATGACTGAAATTAAAGATTTTGGAGATATCCTAGTGTCAGTGAAGGATGGGGAGCAACTGGAATTCTCATACGTTGCTAATGGGAATGGATATTGGTACAACTCTTTGGAGAACTGTTTGTCTCTGTTGACTAAGGCTGAGTATACACATATCTTATGACCTAGCAATTACTCTACTGGAAATGTTCCCAACAGAAACATATATACAATCACCAGAATATTCCTAGTAGAACCACTGGACAATCACCAAAATGTTCATAGTAGCACTATTGATTACAGACCCAAACTAGAAACAACTTTTAGATATATCAGACAGCAGAATGGATACATAAAACCTACTTATATTCACAAAATGAAATACTACTGCAAGGAGAATGAATTATCTTCAACTACATTGACAACAGGAATAAATATTAAGAATACAATGTTATAAGAAAGAAACCAGAAACAGAAGAGTTGACATTGTATTATTCAACCTGTAGACAAGGTCGTTCTAGGGTGGTAAAAGTCAAGAGAGTGTTTACCTTTGTCAGAGGTGAACAGAGTAGGAGGAAAAGGAGGGTATCTGGGGGCTGATAATATTTTATTTCTTCATCTTTATGCTGGTTACATGGGTGTTGTCAGTTTGTGAAAATATTTTGAGCTGCAGATTTTTTCAAGCTGTGTGTTTGTGTGTCTGTGTGTGTGTGTGTATTGCACTTAAATTTAAAAAAACACTTTACTTAGAAGCATCCTAACCATTCTCCCAGATTAATTTTAAATACTCCCCCCACCAACTTTTTTTTTTGAGATGGAGAGTTGCTCTGTTGCCCAGGCTGGAGTGCAGTGGTGCGATCTCGGCTCACTGCAACCTCTACCTCCCGGGTTCAAGCCATTCTCCTGCCTCAGACTCCCAAGTAGCTGGGACTACACGCATACGCCACCATGCCTGGCTAATTTTTGTGTTAGCAAGTGATCTGCCCACCTCGGCCTCTCAAAGTGCTGGGATTACATGTGTGAGCCACCGCACTCAGCCAATACCCCTTCATTAACATTCACCAAGTCACAAAGTCTCTGGATACCTACAGTTGGAGACAACTCTACTTTCTCCAAGATTCCACAGCACTTGGTAGAGTCCTTGGATGACTCAGCCTCATCTAGAAGCATCTGTAGGGAAAAAACAAGAGCTTTGGAGTCCTGGGTTCTAGCGCGAGCCACTTCCCAGGTGGGTGACCATGAGCAAATTCCCCACAGCTGTTCAGTTCTTAGCTACACACAGCAAGAAGTGATTCTGCTGATATAAGGGGCTCAGGTAGTTGCTGGAATCTCCAGAAGACCCAAGCCAGGCTCAGAGGTATGCTGCAGGTGTGTCTAAATCACACTAAAGAGCTCGTCTGGTGCAGGCACCATTGCTGTTGCTGTGGGCATCACTCACATAGCCAACCCTATGGACACTCAGTAAGGTACTGCTACTAGAATCCCTGATATAGCTGCCTCTTGAAATGGAGAGTGCCATATACATGCCACCAGGACAGATTCTGCACAGTTCCTGCCCTTTTATGTTACCAACTTTTAGATCCAAAGTCCATGGCAGGAGTGTCTGATCAGTCTGATTAGCAGAAGTCCAGGTCATGTCCCTCACCCTCGCTGCAAGGGATTCTGGCAAAAGAAGTATCTGGCCTCTTCAGCTTTCATAGCAGGAGGTAGTCTGGCTTCTTAATGTAGAGTATTTCCCAAACATGACAACAGTCACCAAAAGAATGACAAATGTTCATTGCATCACTCAAGGACAAGTTACCTTGCTGAACCTGTTTCCTGATCCATAAAATAGGATAATGATGGCTCCTACGGATAGGAGTTATAAGGATTAAAGTTGCTGATGGTTATAAAGGGCCTATTCTCTGCCTGGCACACAGTAGGAGCTTCATTTATGGTAAACATCATTACTGGTGTTTTAGGGTTCATTCTAAGGTCTCCAACAATTCCAGCAGTCCCCATCCTTGGCATCTCAGTGCCTCTTGTGTTCTAACTACAGGCTGTGAAGTGGGATTTCTTTTGTCATATCTGAGCAAGTTAACAAGTTTTCTAACTCACAGAAATGTCTGTTGACAGCCAGCCCATCTTCAGTCTTTAAAAGTGATGAAGCAAATGACACAATGTTTGAAAAGACTTCCCCTTAGGACTCTTTTCTTTTTTTTAAAAAGACAGATTCTTGCTCTGTTGCCCAGGCTGGAGTGCAGTGGGACGATCTTGGCTCACTGCAAGCTCCGCCTCCTGGGTTCTAGCGATTCTCCTGCCTCAGTCTCCCAAGTAGCTGGGATTATGGGTGCCCGCCACCTCACTTGGCTACTTTTTGTATTTTTGGTAGAGACAGGGTTTCTCCATGTTGGCCAGGCTGGTGTCAAACTCCTAACCTCAAGTGAGCTGTCCACCTCAGCCTCCCAAAGTGCTGGGATTACAGGCATGAGCCACCACGCCTGGCCATCTTAGGACTCTATTTACTTTGTCAGGGAAAGGAAATTTTAGAAAAGGTATTTGTTAGCTCTAAACTTAACTGAAATAAACTCAACACATTTGATTTAAACCTTTTTATTGTCAGATATTTTTCTTTAAGCATTTATTAGCTTTGATTGTTTCAGTGGCCAAATAAGGCAGCATCTGCTAAGAAAGGCACCTCATCAGAAACAAAATACATAACCACGTGGTGAGATCCCTGCATGAGACCAGCTGCTAACTCCTTGAGAGCAGCAATTGTGTCTTAATGTACTTAGTAGCACCTCAACTTGCACATAGGAACCCTTCTTACAGGATGTTTATTGAATCATCTTCATTAGTCAAAAACGAGACACTCAAATCCTTTTATTTGACTCGCCCTCACCACTCCATCTCCCCTTCTTCCCTCCAACTCCAAGCCTTCATTTAGCAAAAGAACATATACCAGAGGGTAACCCTTAGAAGACTGCACTGTGGGCAGAAGAGTCTAGTTTTAGGGTTGAAATATGCTTTGAGACAGGGTCTGGCTCTGTCACCCCGGCTGGAGTGCAGTGGCGCGATCTCAGCTCACTGCAACCTCTGCCTCCCAGGCTCAAGCCATCCTCCTACCTCAGCCTCCCAAGTAGCTGGGAATACAGGCGTGCACTACCACGCTTGGTTAATTTTTGTATTTTTTGTAGAGACGAGGTTTCGCCGTGTTGCCCAGGCTAGTCTTGAACTCCTGGGCTCAAGTGACTGACTGCCTCTGACTCCCAAAGGGCTGGGATTACAGGGGTGCACCACCACAGCTGCCCCAAAACAACTTTTTCAAGCCGAATATGTTTAGGGGAGCATATTTGTTTATGGCTTGAGCCCTCAAAGAAATGGCTTTGCTCTGGTTAGATGCCATTCTACCCCTTGCTCCTTGGGCCTAAGTAGTAGCTTGAATGAAGCAGGAATCCTTAGCACTTGGATGTGTTGAGAAGGGGCTCTTTTGGCCGTGAGCATGGATGCCCAAAGGAGTTAGAAGTGGCTTTTCCCTCACCTTCAGCCTGGAAGCCAGAACCCTGATCTCTACTCAAACACATGGACAAACCCGTACTCCCCTTGTTCAGCCCATAAAGAATCTGTGCTGCTTTGAGCTGGGCCAGCAGAGGAGTGTGACTTCACAAAAAAGACAGACTTTGGAGTCAAGAGACCTGGTTTTGAGTCTTGTCTTTGTGACTTACTAGCTGTGTGACTTTGGAAAAGTACTTTGTTTTCTTTCTCTTTGAATCAGAAATTATCATCTGTTTTGGAAAAAATAATTCCTCCCCAGGTTTTTGGGAAAATTTAATCCTATGAGATAATTTATGTGAAAGCATCTTACAAAGTCCTTGACACTTGGTGGATATTTAAACACAGTAGGAAGAAATAATGACCAGAGAGGAAGAATGTGCCAGTATTTCTCCAGAGCTATTCCACAGAGTATTTTTACAGTGGGATATCATGAGCTGTGTGACCCTGGGTAAGACCTCTTACCTCCCTGACTCTTGATTTCCCCTCATAATGGATTTTTCTTTTTTTGAGATGCAGTTTCACTCTGTTGCCCAGGCTGGAGTGCAGTGGCACGATCTTGGCTCACTGCAACCTCTGCCTTCCAGGTTCAAGTGATTCTCATGCCACAGCCTCCCTAGTAGTGGGATTACAGGTGCATGCCACCATGCCCAGCTAAATTTTGTATTATTAGTAGAGACAGGGTTTTGCCATGTTGGCCAGGCTGGTCTCAAACTCCTGACCTCAAGTGACCCGCCTGCCTCAGCCTCCCAAAGTGCTGGGATTACAGGCATGAGCCACGACACCTGGCCTCAGAAGGGATTTCTGACCCCAAGAGGGAGAGACTCCTAAAATTTGAGGTTAAATGTCAAAGTGTGTCACTTTCTTTAACAGAATAGAGATTTATTACCTTGTTTCCAAGATGCCATCAATTATAAGATCACAAGTTTTTGAGAGGAAGTAAAGAACTACAATTATATTAATGAACCCATCAATTGCAAGATATGTTCTGATTTCAGAATCATTAAAATGTGAAGAAATGTCTATCTTGCAATTGAAAAAAAAGCCTATAATAATAATAATGTTGGCTCCTAGGCTGGGCACCATAGTCCATGCCTGTAATCCCAGCACTTTGGGAGGCCAAAGCAGAAGGATCACTTGAGGCCAGGGGTTCAAGACCAGCCTGGGCAACACAGCGAGACCCCATCTCTACAAAAATAAAAAATAAAAAAATTAGCCTGGTGAGGTGACACATACCTGTAGTCCCAGCTACTCTGGAGGCTGAGGAGGGAGCATCCCTTGAGCCCAGGAGTTCAAGGCTGCAGCGAGCTGTGAGCGTGCCACTGCACTCCAGCCCAGGTGACAGATTGAGGCTCTGTCTCAAAAAAAAAAAAAAAAGAAAAGAAAAAAGAAAAGAAAAAGAATCCTGGTTCCCATTTATTAAGCATCTCCTGGGTGCCAGGCGCTATACTCCAGATGTTTTCCTAAGTCCTTCACTTGTTATAGTGCCCCAATGAGGCAGGTGTTATCATTTCCACTTCATGGTTAGGAAACTGAATATAAAGAGGTTGAGTCACTTTTCCAAGGCCACACAACCAGGAAGTAGGGCTTGGATGGTAGGACTTCTTAATTCCAGATACTTTCTCTTCTTGGTAGATTGTTCTCCAGGCTAAGGAGTCACAGACGAGGTTGCTATAGAATAGAAATGGGTTGTGAATGTGTTGCTTTGAACATGTCTTGAATCTGCAAGGTGACCAGGAAGGACAAAGGTAACATAGATAGAGTTGTAATCTAATTAATCTCCAAATACTGGTCCTTGGAGGGAAGGCATTAACAGGACAGTCAGCGTGCTCAGAATCCAGATAAAGGGGAGCCAAAGACCAAGACCGTCAGGGTTGATACAGCCCAGAGTGGGAGAAGGACCCTGATCAGCCACCAGGATCATTCCAGGCCCACGGACAACACAACAAGCTCCTACCCTAGAGGCCACTATTCTGCAGAGTCACCCTATTCCATCACTGACTCTTTACTAATGAAGCAGAAATCTTTTGAGGATAATTTAGTTCTTCTTGCAACCTTTCTTCAAGAGGGGAAAATGTGCTGAGCAATTGTCATGAGCCAGCAGGCAGAGATGTAGTACTGGAACAAGTTATACGTTAACAAGGTTTTCTGGTTAGTTAGTCCAAGTTAGTTCCCCTGTGCCTGGTTATGGGATTGAATGTTTTGCTCTGTGAAGCAGTGGATACGGCGCTTCATCTGATATGAACCCCGTGACAGATCCTATTGTGATACTCTCAGCAGTGCTCCCTGACACCTGGCTCCTGGGCTATCTGTCTATCTGTCTAACTACAGTGTGGGGGAAAGCCAAGCCCACATTGGTGGATTCCCAACATAGCTCTACCTCATCAGATGACAAAAGAATGTTCTGCAGCTTTTTGGTGGGGTGGCGGCAGGGATGTGGACACAGTTGGGGTAGGGCAGGGCAGACAAGGTTGAGGATTGCTGGAAGCATCAGAGATTGCGTCAAAGATGTCTCTGTCGACCTGACCAGAAGAAGCTCATTGTGAAGCTGCCAGAGAGTGTGCCTCTGGGTCTTGACTCTGGAGAGGCTCTTTGGACAGTGGTGGAGATAGCGCCAGGGTAGAGGTCATCGCGTCTCCACCTGGACGTCAACAGGACTGAAGGTCACAGTTGCTGGGTGTTGGCTGCCGTTGCTGTTTGGGCCCACGGCAGAAGGGGCGGTTGGCTTGGGGCCCTTGGGCTCTAGTTCCCGCCTCGTCCTCATTTTCCTGTAGGGAGATAATGTGCACATGGTTGAGTCTTTCCCCTGGTATGCCGCGGGGAATGGGCTCTGCGACTACAGTTCTGGCCAACAGATTAATGTAGATTAATGTAGACATTAAATCACATTGCTTACTTGCCACCACAGAATTTTACAACTGGAAGTGACCTTAGGCATCAGCTAGTCTGCCCTTCAATTTTTTCACTTAGATCAGATATTTAATTTTATTTGTTTCTATTAAGGAATGAGTAAGATGTCAGAGGTGGCTATATAAAAGATAAAAATAAAGATATTACATTTTTTATGTTCAAAGTTGTAGCATGTATTACATTTTCCAGCCTCATTATGCTTGCTAAGTTTATTGCTAGAAATATTTAAGAACTTTTTACATAATTGAAAAGAGAATGTACTGAAAACATTTATCTTGGCTTCATTTAATATGCCGTAAAATTCAATAATGAACAATAATTATTAATTCTTTTTTTTTTTCTTTTTTTGAGACAGAGTCTGGCTCTGTCACCCAGGCTGGAGTGCAGTGGAGCGATCTTGCCTCACTGCAACCTCCGCCTCCTGGGTTCAAGCGATTCTCCTGCCTCAGCCTCCGGAGTAGCTGGGATCACAGGCACCTGTCACCATGCCCAGCTAATTTTTGTATTTTTTAGTAGAGATGGGGTTTCAACATGTTGGTCAGGCTGGTCTCGAACTCCTGACCTCAGGTGATCCACCCACTTCGGCCTCCCAAAGTGCTGTGATTACAGGCATGAGCCACCATGCCCAGCCAAATTTTTGTATTTTTAGTGTAGATGGGGTTTCACCATGTTGGCCAGGCTGGTCTTGAACTCCTGGCAAGTGATCCTCCCCACTTGGCCTCCCAAAGTGCTGGGATTGCAGGTGTGTGCCACTATGCCTGGCCAACAATTATGAATTCTCATGTCTTCATGGTATTTCATCTTGCTGACATATATATATATATATATATATATATATATATATATATATATATATATTTTTTTTTTTTTTTTTTTTTTTTTTTTTTTTTAGACAGTCTTACCCTGGTTGCCCAGGCTGAAGTGCAGTGGCACAATCTCAGCTCACTACAGCCTCAACATCCCAGGCTCAGGTGATTCTCCCACCTCAGCCTCCCAAATAAGTGGAACTACAGGTGCACACCACCATGCCTGGCTAACTTTTTGTATTTTTAGTAGAGACAGGGTTTCACTATGTTGCCCAGGCTGGTCTTGAACTCCTGGATTCAAGCAATCCACCTGCCTCAGCCTCCTGGGGTGCCGGGATTATAGGCGTGAGCCACTGCACCCAGCCTTATAATTATTTGTTAAAAATGTCAAATCTTCAGGGAAGTTGCACAAATAGTACAGTTAATACTCTAATACTCTTGTTACAATTTGAATGTGGCCCCCAAAAAAGCCTGCATTGGAAACTTAATCCCTAATTCAACAGTATTGAAAGCTGGGGCCTAATGGGAGGAGTTTAGGTCATAAGGACTCCACCCTCATGAATCCATTAATGCCAATTATAAAAGGACTTCTTAGGCTGTGAATTTGATCTCTTGCTCTCTCTGGCTCTCTCTTTGCCCTTCTATCGTGGATAACAGAGCAAGAAGGCCCTTGCCAGATACTGGCCCCTCAATATCTTAAACTTCCCTGCCTCCAGAACCGCAAGAAATAAATCTCTTTTCTGTATAATTTACCCAGTCTCAGATATTCTGTGATAGCAGCACAGCATAGTCTAAGACAGCCCTTCACAGAACAATTGACTAATTACTAACAATTTGCCACATCTGCTTTTTTTCTCTCTATTACTTTCTCTTTCTCTATTGTCACACACAGTTTTTTAGAACCGTGAACCATTTGTGAGTTGCAGGCATCATGCCACTGCACTCCTAAATACTCCTAAGAACAAAGACATTCTGCAATGTATCTATAATGCAATTATCAAGCTTTGAGACTCTTCATTTTAAACATGACAACATACAGGCAGGAGGAGGTTAAATAACTTGCTTGATTTTGACAAACCAAAGACTACTGAACCCAGGTTTCTCACTTCCCAGCTCAGGCATCAGTGCAAACAGGGTGGGTTGAGTGGATTCTCCATTCAGATTACGACCTAAAAAAGAGGTTCAGAGCTCCAGCAACAATGGAGAGAAATAAAGAGTAGACATTGGGGTTTGATGCCACTCCTGGTTTGGGATAGACCCAAATTGTAATATCCTAAATTTTTTTTTAAATAATTTTTTAATGTTATTATTATTATTACATGTAATTGTGGGAGTATTTTCTTTGAAACCAGATGAACTAGGTTTGAATCCCAACTGTGCTAATTAGGGCTGAACAACCTTGGGCATATGATTTAGTCTTTCTGTATCTGTTTCTATACCTACAAAATTGAGGATAATAGTAGTACCCACCTCGTGCGGTTGTTAGATGAGGATTAAATGCATTAACACATGTAAGGAGCTTAGAACCATGCCTGGCATGTGGTATGAGATCAATATATGTTAGCTACTTTTATTTTATTTATTATTTATTTATTTTATTTTATTTTGTTTATTTTTTGAGATGGAGTCTCACATTGTCATCCAGGCTGGAGTGCAGTGGTGCGATCTCAGCTCACTGCAACCTCCGCCTCCCGGGTTCAAGTGATTCTCCTGCCTCAGCCTCCCAAGTAGCTGGGATTACAGGCACCCGCCACCATGCCCAGCTGATTTTTTGTATTTTCAGTAGAGATGGGGTTTCACAATGTTCAAACTCCTGACCCCGTGATCTGCCCGCCTCAGCCTCCCAAAGTGCTGAGATTACAGGTGTGAGCCACCACGCCCGGCCTAGCTACCTTTATTTTAAAAACTTTTTTTTTTTTCCAGAGACAGGGTCTTGCTATGTTGCCCAAGCTGGTCTCAAACTCTGGGGCTCAAGTGATCCTCCTGCCTCAGCCTCCTGACTAGCTGGGGTTACAGGCAGAGCCACCACACCTAGCAGCTCCCTTTATAAATAATATTCATATTCTTTTTTTTTTTTTTTTTTTTTTTGAGATGGAGTCTCGTTCTGTCGCCCAGGCGGGAGTGCTGTGGCGCGATCTCCGCTCACTGCAAGCTCCGCCTTCCGGGTTCACGCCATTCTCCTGCCTCAGCCTCCCGAGTAGCTGGGACTACAGGCGCCCACCACTGCGCCCGGCTAATTTTTTGTATTTTTAGTAGAGACGGGGTTTCACCGTGGTCTCGATCTCCTGACCTCGTGATCCGCCCGCCTCGGCCTCTCAAAGTGCTGGGATTACAGGATAATATTCATATTCTTATAAAAACAATGCGTGTTTACCATTCCTCAAAAATTAGGAACATCCCCCTCCCAGCAAAAACTAACAATGCCATCATGTAGACACACCAGTTGTTAAGACCTTGCTGTGTTGCTTTCCCTTGGATATGTGTATGGGTAACCTATGTGTATGATTGAGATTACCATGTATATATAGTTTTGTAAACTTTGACAATATATTGGAAACAGCTTTCCTTATTAATCAGTGCACTTCTAATACATATATATATGATTTTTTTTTTTTTTGAGACGGAGTTTCGCTCCGTCACCCAGCATGGAGTGCAGTGGCGCGATCTCGGCTCACTGCAAGCTCCGCCTCCCAGGTTCACGCCATTCTCCTGCCTCAGCCTCCCGAGTAGCTGGGACTACAGGCGCACGCCGCCACACCCGGCTAATTTTTTCGTATTTTTAGTAGAGACGGGGTTTCACCATGTTAGCCAGGATGGTCTCCATCTCCTGACCTCGTTATCTGCCCATCTTGGCCTCCCAAAGTGCTGGGATTACAGGCGTGAGCCACCGTGCCTGGCCCATATGCAAATATATTTGTATAGACAGGGTCTTGCTATGTTGCCCAGGCTGGACTCAAACTCCTGGACTCAAGCCATCCTCCCGCCTCAGTCTTCTGAGTAGCTGGGATTACAGACCACACTACCACACCCGGCCACGATACCTTTTTAAAGAAATGGCTTCTAGGTCTTCTATGATATGTTTTATTTATAGTTTTTTAATTTTGATTTCTTCCCTGAAAAGAATTACCTTCCATCAAGGTTGTGACTGAAGGTAATTACACATAAGGTGATAACATATAAAATTTATTTTTTGTATGATCAAATTATATTCTTTTATTTCCCCTTATACGTCTCCAGAAAGCAGAGTCAGGGTACATGCTTCCAGTATTTGTCATCTCAAATACTTA
This sequence comes from Homo sapiens, assembly GCF_000001405.40. NCBI lineage: Eukaryota > Metazoa > Chordata > Mammalia > Primates > Hominidae > Homo > Homo sapiens. The sequence continues at coordinate 24,601,370 of NC_000001.11, read as the reverse complement.
TGTGGCCAGCTCATACAACCTAGAAGAGAGATCTCTGAGAGAAGAGGTCTGAACATTCCTCTATTATCTGTAAATTACAAACAAATGTTTACCACAGTGCTCAAGACCATTATCATTGTCATTATCATTACTACGTTTAAAAAATATTTCTCCAAGTACAAAAATAGTCACTTTGAAATTCCTTCAACAGAACAGACTGCAAAAAGGATCCCCAAGGGTTAGAGCATTTACTAAAGGCTGAGGGATACTGCCAGGCACACGACGGACACCCATATATCACCTCCCATTTATTCTGATGTCACTGAAGGGACCGTCCAGGCAGTTCCAAAGCCCAGGGCATCCGTACCTGTTGTACATCTTCAGCAGGATCAGAACCACGGTGAAGATGATGATGACAACCACCACAACGGCAGCAACAATGGCTCCAGAACCTACAGAAAGGAGAGAAGCAGAGACCGTGAATGTGCAAACTGAACGCAGACCAGGAGGGCGCCCTGCTGTGGCACCTGACATCCTCACTAGGTCAAGGGAGGCAGGAGAGAAGGCAACATCCTGGGACACTCCCAGTTGACCCCAGGACAGTCACATCTGGAGTGGCTGTGCACCCCTGCCCCGAGCTGCGCTTGAAGGACCCTGTCCTTAGCACATCATCTGCCAAAACTCTGCCTTAGGCAAAGTCCTGGTTCTTATCAGCTCCAGCATGCCTCAAACTTCTGGGAAACAAACAAACAACATACCCTCCCCTCCTTTTGATAATGCAAAAGTAGCATGTGATTTTTGTAGAAAATAATTTTGAAAATATAAATATGTGCAAAAAAGAGGGGGTCGTTGAAGAACTCACTGGCCCAACAACTGCTGATCGTCTGCATATCTACATTCACCAATGTGATCGTGTTGATGCATGGTAAATATCTATCAGCCAGGTGCAGTGGCTCATGCCTGCAATTCCAGTACTTTGAGAGGATGGGGTGGGAGGATCACTTGAGCCCAGGAGTTCGAGACTAGCCTGGGCAACATAGCAAGATCCTGTTTCTAGAAATAAAAAATTAAAAATTAGCCAGGTGTGGTGGCATGCACCTGTAGTGCCAGCTACTTGGGAGGCTGAGGAGGGAGGATCTCTTGAGCCTGGGAGGTTGAGGCTGCAGTGAGCCAAGATTGTGCCACTGCACTCCAGCCTGGGTGACAGAGCAAGACTCTATCTCAAAAAATAAAAATAAATACATAAATAAAAATCTGGCTAGGTGCAGTGGCTCACATCTGTAATCCCAGTACTTTGTGAGGCTGGGGGGTGAGGATCACTTGAGCCCAGGAATTCCAGACCAACCTGGGCAAGATGGCAAGACTCTATCTCTGTATAAAAAATTAAAAAAAAATACCCGTTATAGTTTTTAAATAATTTAATACTTATATGTTTCAATATCTGTCTTAAAGGAAATATTCCTAAATATGGAAAAATATGTACTTGATAAAAATGGAACCATGGCCAGGTGTGGTGGCTCACACCTGTAATCCCAGCACTTTGGGAGGCCAAGGGGGGGGGGGGGGGGGGGGCGGATCACGAGGTCAGGAGTTCGAGACCAGCCTGACCAACATGGGGAAACCCTGTCTCTACTAAAAATACAAAAATTAGCCGGGCGTGATGGCATGTGCCTGTAATCCCAGCTACTCAGGAGGCTGAGGCAGGAGAATTGCTTGAACCCGGGAGGCAGAGGTTTCAGTGAGCCGAGATCGTGCCACTGCACTCTAGCCTGGGCGACAGAGCAAGACTCCTTCTCAAAAACAAACCAAAAAAAAGGAGCCATGTTTCACATACTGTTTTATAACAATATCATAATCATCTTTCTGTTTAATTATATATTTTTCTTCATGACTTTCCATGGCTGCATAGTACTCCATTGTTTGGGTGTACCACAATCTGTTCACCAATTCTCTATTGAGAATACTTATGTTTTCAGTTTTTCACTATTAAAAACAAGGCTGTGATGATGTCCTTGTAGTTTAATGTCTTAGACTCTAATTTCAATATTAGTTCTCAGCTCCAATGTCACACTCCAATTTTAATTTCTTTCTTGTTTTTTTTTTTTTTTTTTGAGAGGGAGTTTCACTCTTGTTGCCCAGGCTGGAGTGCAGTGGCACGATCTCAGCTCACTGCATCCTCTGCCTCCCGGGTTCAATCGATTCTCCTGCCTCAGTCTCCAGAGTAGCTGGGATTACAGGTGCCTGCCATTACACCTGGCTAATTTTAGCATTTTTAATAGAGACGGGGTTTCACCATGTTGGCCAGGCTGGTCTTGAACTGCTGACCTCAAGTGATCTGCCCCCCTCAGCCTCCCAAAGTGCTGGGATTGTAGGCGTGAGCCACCACACCCGGCCTCCAATTTTAGCTTCAAGATCAACATCCTTGTCGGAATTGATACTGAAAATATCAAGAACTGCTGGGTTTGGTGGCTCACGCCTGTAATCCCAGCACTCTAGGAGGCCGAGGCAGGCGGATCACCTGAGGTCAGGAGTTTGAGACCAGCCTGGCTAACATGGTGAAACCCCGTCTCTACTAAAAATACAAAAATTAGCTGGGCCTGGTGGTACAAGCCTGTAATCCCAGCTATTCAGGAGGCTGAGGCACGAGAATCGCTTGAGCCCGGGAAGTGGAGGTTGCAGTGAGGCAGTGAGCCGAGATGGCACCACTGTACTCCAGCCTGGGCGGCAGAGTGAGACTGTGTCTCAAAAAAGAAAAAAAAAAGAAAGAAAAGAAAAGAAAATAGAAGAGATTACATACATCCACCCAATATATATTTATATAGTATATGTTACAACCATTAAAATATGTGCATACAAGCATAATGTAGAGCAAAAGAAGCCAGATACGAAGGAGTGCATATGGTATACCTATAGGCCATTTATATAAAGTTCAAAACCAAGCAGAACTAATCGATGGTGGTAAAAGTCAGAATAGCAGGTCCCCTTGGGGGGGTGGAGGATGGTGATTAGAAGGGGAACCACGACCTCTAGGATACTGGTGGTGGCTCTCTTTTTTGATTTGGGGACTGGTTGCGCAGGTATGTTCACTTTGTGGCAATTCACCCAGCTGGGCACTTATGATTTATGCACATTTTGAATGTAAGTAATGCCTTATAAAAAGTTTACTTAAAAGCAAACAACCGTGTGCAAATATTCATAGGAAGAAACACTGGAAGGGAAGAAGCAGAGAGGGCGGGAAATCCATCATGGGGCAACTTAGGTTTTTTTCCTTCTTGGGGAGACTTTAGTTCTGGGTTTTTCAACCTCAGCTGGCTAATTCTTTGTCGGGGAGGCTGTCCTGTGCATTGCAAGATATTTAATCTTATCTCTTGCCTCTATCTACTAGATGCCAGTTGCAATGCCTCCAAGTTCCCCCCACCCCCACCAAACTGTGACTACTAAGATATCTCCAGACAATGCCAAATGGCCCCTGGTGGTAGGGTTGCCAGATAAAATCAGAATTTTCAACAAACAATGGATACCGTTTTAGTATAAGTACATCTCAAATATTGTATGACACATACTAAATAAGGATTCATTGTTTATCTTAAATTCAAATTTAACTGGGCATTCTATATTTTTATTTGCTAAATCTGGTAACCCTATCTAGCAGGGCAAAAACACCTAGTTGAGAACCAACCAATCTTTCCTTCTTTCTCTTTCTTTCTTTCTTTTTCTTTTCTTTCTTTCTTTCTTTCTTTCTTTCTTTCTTTCTTTCTTTCTTTCTTTCTTTCTCTTTCTTTCTTTCTTTCTTTCTTCTTTCTTCTCTTTTGTTTTTACAGGAGAACCTCCCCCCCTTCTCCTCCCCCTCCCCCTCCCCCTCCCCCCCCCCCTTCCTTCTCTTTCTTTTTTTGACAGTCTCTCTCTGACACCCAGGCTGGAGTGCAGTGGTGTGATCTCGGCTCACTGCAACCTCCACTTCCCAGGTTCAGGCGATTCTCATGCCTCAGCCTCCCAAGTAGCTAGGACTACAGGTATGCACCACCACACCCAGTTAATTTTTGTATTTTTAGTAGTAGAGATGGGATTTTACCATGCTGGCCAGTCTCAAACTCCCAACCTCAGGTAATCCACCCACTTTGGCCTCCCAAAGTGCTGGGATTACAGGCGTGGGCCACTGTGCCCGGCCAAGAACCACTACTTTCAGTTCAAGAAAAACAGAATTATTCTCGTCTTCCTGATAGTGATTCTCTCTACCCTGCATTTCCCTCAGGACTGTTTGGAGACACACCTCCTCAGGCCTCTGTAGGTCTGCCCACCCAGCCAGCAGCAGGATAGCCCATGGGACCCCGTCCTGGGAGCAACCCCTTCTGACTCTTCATGGAAGAGACACATCCTGCCCTTCATCCAGCCACCTGCCAGAACCACAGCCTGAAGCTGTTTATCCCTGTGTGTAGGGAAGTCTGTCCCATGCCCAGGGGTATATGTGTAGCCAGCTGAAATGGCTGACACACACCCAAGCGTCTCCTTATACCATCAATTGATTTTCTGAAGAGTCATCCTGAAATTTTTCCTTCCGGGGCCACTAGTTCACGGCAAATGCCTCCCCAGAACTCACTCTTCCCGCCTACATTCATTTACTCTTTCATCAGTTGATGGGATGTTTTTTTGCCTTGCAATATAGTATAAAAATAGCTACTTCGGATTTTTGTTTGTCTGTTTGTTTGGAGACAAGTTCTCGCTCTGTCACCCAGGCTGGAATGCAGTGGCACAATCTCAGCTCACCACAGCCTCGACCTCCCAGGCTCAAGCGATCCTCCTGCCTCAGCACCCCCCGTGTAGCTGGGACTCCAGGAGCGTCACCACCATGCCTGGCTAATTTTGGTATTTGTTGTAGACATGGTGTCTCCCCATATTGCCCAGGCTGGTCTTGAAATCCCAAGCTCAAGCAATCTGCCTGCCTTGGCCTCCCAAACTGCTGGGATTACAGGCATGAGCCACCATGCCCAGCAGTAGCTACATTTTAAGGTGACCCATTTAGAGCCATTTTATAAGAGATTCAAATTTCAGTGCTTTCTAGGTCCCAAGACTTTTTAACGAAAACAATAGCAATCGTAGTAGTAGTAATATTTTTTTGTTTGTTTTGGAGGCTCACTTTGTTGCCCAGGCTGGAGTGCAGTGGCACGATCTCAGCTCACTGCAACCTCTGCTTCCCAGGTTCAAGTGATTCTCCTGCCTCAGCCTCCTGAGTAACAGGTGCACACCACCATGCCCAGCTAATCTTTGTATTTTTAGTAGAGATGGGGTTTCACTATTTTGGCCAAGCTGGTCTCAAACTCCTGATCTCAAGTGATCCACATGCCTCAGCCTCCCAAAGTGCTAGGATTAAAGGTGTGAGCCACCACACCCAGCCAATAGTAATAAAAATAATCATCATCATTAGGTACTTAGTATGTTACCAGAGGCTGTGCTAAACTGTCAACCTGGATTATCCCCTTTAGTCATCACAACTGCCTTATGTGGTAGCTTCTTTAATATCCCCATTGTATAGATGAGGAAACTGAGGTACAGAGCAGTAAAGACATGTGCTCCATCTCAAAAAAAAAAAAAAAAAAAAAGACACAGTCCAGTCCCCATTTGCCCTTCCCTGGAAGACTCCCACTCAGACAGAAATAGCGGTTCTGTCCCCTACCCTTCCACAGCAGTGCCCTGCAAAGAAACACCACCGAGGCATATGTCCATTGCTTTGTCTGTCATTAATGCTGCAGTTGGCACGTGGCAGAACTGGGCCTGAGACCCAGGCAGTCCACCTCCAGAGCCCACACTCTTAACCTCTGCACTATGACCATGACACTGGTCCTGCCATCCTTCCCCCAGCCTCTAAGCGAATTTGACCTTACTCTTATACAGGAAGTCTTCTCCCCTGGTGGTCATGTTCAGTGAGAAGAAGGTGGTATCCCCCAGAGGGGTGGCTGTGGTCATCTCGATCCTGATGAGAAAGAAGAAGATATTTTGTTTAAAATTAGATAAATCCTTATTATTGCTACTTGATGCCTCTTTTGGTCTTTATCTGGATGACTGTAGAATATTCAAGCATGCAGTTTCTCTTGGCAGCAAGTAAATGCAAAACCCATTATTAGATACCGTGGGTGGGGATTTAATACTAATACCCGACATTTGTAAGGAACTTTGTTTTTCTAAACTGCTTAAATTTATTCAACCATATTTACTCAACTCCTTCAAATATCTGGATCAATCTCTCGAAACTATGTGAGGTGAGTTACTGTTGCCATTTTACTGGTGAAATCAAAGTCCCCAAAGCTACCTGGAGTCCCAAGTTGACCTAACAGAATTTAACCAAAGATGTCAATCAACCTCCCACTCCAGTGGGCTTTTCTCCACGCTGCAGTGACACTTGAACTGGCATTCCTACTTTCAAAGGCTTTACTATATGAGGAGGCAAAAATAAATAAATAAATAAACAGATGAAAAATTAACTATGATTTAAAAAATTTTTTTTTTACATAAAGGTCTTGCCCTGTCGCCCAGGCTGGAGTGCAGTGGTGCAATCACGGCTCTCTGCAGCCTCGACCTCCTTGGGCTCAGGTGATCTTCCCACCTCAGCTTCCTGAGTAGCTGGGACTACAGGCATGTGCCACCAAGCCTGGCTGATTTTGAATTATGATTATGAAGCAGTCAGTGACATGAGCCATTGGGCTATGAGGAACAATTTCATGGAAGAGATACAGTTGAATATGCCTTGAAAAATGGGCATGGTTGGGGCGTAAGGGGAAAGAGAACAAAGGCTGGGTTGCACAAAGCCTTCAATCGGAAGAGAGTTAATGCAGTTTGGGAATCTACCATGTACCAGGCTCTGTCTCAGGAGACTTCACACACTATATTATCGATTTAATCCTCTCAGGCACTGAGAAGTGGCTGTCATCTACACCCTCCTACTGAGCAAGCTGGGACTCAAGGTGGTTGAGTGAATCAACCGGTCATACAAGTAGGAGGTGGAGCTTGGACTCAAACACTCTCTGAGTGTACAATGTATTTTTTTACCCTGAGGCCACTAAGAATCAAAATGCACAAGGCTACAATGTTACATTTGAGGGGTGAGCCAGGACCTACACAGTTAGTATGATGTCACCACTGGAAAGAAGTTTTGAGATCCTCCACCAAGAACCATAATCTAGGCACGATGATATTATAATCACTCTGGGCCTGGCATGGTGGCTTATGCCGGTAATCTCAGCACTTTGGGAGGCTGAGGTGGGCAGATCACCTGAGGTCAGGAGTTTGAGACCAGCCTGGTCAACATGGTGAAACCCCGTCTCTACTAAAAATACAAAAATTAGCCAGGCATGGTGGTGGGTGCCTGTAATCCCGGCTACTCGGGAGGCTGAGGCAGGAGGATCACTTGAACCTGGGAGGTGGAGGTTGCAGTGAGCAGAGATTGCACCACTGCATTTCAGCCTGGGCGACAGAGTCACTCTGTCTCAAAATAAAAAATAAATAAATAAATAAATAAATAAATAAATAAATAAATAAATAATCGCTCTGAACTATAGGGGTCAAGAATATAAGGAAGCAAGCCAAGCTTGGCTTCATTATTTCCGAGTGGCACTTTTACTCCAGCTGCTGACAATTTGGAAGCCCACGAAGGGTCTACATTGAGAGAATTGCCTAGGCTTGTTTGTAATCTTAAGAAGCCATAGGCCTCAACACAGCCATCTACTGGAGAAAGAGAGATTCTGGACATTTTAAAAAATGGTGTATAAATTTATTTTCTTTTTAAAAGTAAGAAATGTTTTTTAAATTATGAAGACAAATATTACAGGAGCCCACGTACTGACCATTCACATTTAGCAAATGTTTACAGTCATGTTTTCTTCAGTTTTTCTATTTATTTATTTATTTGAGATGGAGTCTCACTCTGTTGCCCCAGCTGGAGTGCAGTGATGTAATCATAGCTCACTGCAGCCTCAACCTCCCAGGCTCAAGTAATCCTCCCACTTCAGCCTCCTGAATAGCTGGGACTACAGGCATTCACCACCATGCCTGGCTAATTAAAAAAACTCTTTTTTTTTTATAGAGGCTAGATGTCATTATGTTGCCCAGACTGGTCTCAAACTCCTGGACTCAAAGCGATCCTCCCACCTTGGTCTCCCAAAGTGCTGGGATTACAAGCATGATCCCCTATGCCCAGCCCAGTTCTTTTTTTTTTTTTCTTTTGAGGTAGAGTCTTACTCTGTCACCCAGGCTGGAGTGCAGTGGCACAATCTCGGCTCACTGCAACCTCTGTCTCCTGGGTTCAAGTGATTCTCCTGCCTCAGCCTCCCACGTAGCTGGGATTACAAGGGCCCACGACCACATCCAGATATTTTGTATTTTTAGTAGTATGGGGTTTCACCACGTTGGCCAAGGCTAGTCTCAAACTCCTGACCTCAAGTGATCCACCAGCCTCAGCTTCCCAAAGTGCTGGGATTACAGGCGTGAGCCACCTTGCTCTGTTGCCCAGGCTGGAGTGCAGTGGCATGATCACGGCTCACTGCAAGCTCCGCCTCCCGGGTTCACGCCATTCTCCTGCCTCAGCCTCACGAGTAGCTGGGACTACAGGCGCCCGCCACCACTCCCGGCTAATTTTTTTGTATTTTTAATAGAGACGGGGTTTCACTGTGTTAGCCAAGATGGTCTCGATCTCCTGACCTCATGATCCACCTGCCTTGGCCTCCCAAAATGCTGGGATTACAGGTGTGAGCCACTGCGCCTGGTCCCAGTTCTTCTTTATAAGAAAAAAAATCAGACATAGCTGAAATCCCTTTTGTATTCTATCTCAATCCTATTTCCTCTCTTCCCCAAAGTAACCACTCCCTTGACCATTAGTGTGTATTCTTATCAAAGTTTTAAAATGTTTACTACATAACATATATATTATATATATCCATAAACATTGTATATATTGTGGCTGTACATATCTATGAAACACATCTATTAAATATCAACGTGGCACCTACTAAGTGACTGATGCTGGGCTCAGTGCTGGGAGTACACAGGGAATACTAGACGAACTCCTTGCCTTGGGAAGCTCATGTTCTAGTGAGCACGACAGACTATAGGTTTGATCATATGATTCTGGGGCTCAAAAAACAATCATTTCCCCCTGTCGACACTGCAATATCCAGTAGTGAAAGCCCTTCACTCGCTGGTTCTACCCTCTGTTTCCAGCGTCTCAGCTACTCACACCACCCTCTGCCAAACTGCTGTGACAGCAGGGCACTCCCTCTTCCCCCATCATATTTGGTCTTTGCTGCCTCTGGGCTGGCTGCCCCAGGCATTGGCCTCCCCAGTCCCTGCCCAAGGTCTCTCCAGAGAGTCCTTATCTATGGGCTGCGGCTTTCCTGCTCTCCCAGCTCTGATGGAAGCAGGGGTCAGCACCCACCTTGAAACACACCCACTAGGGTCAGGCCATCTGCATTCCAGCTCAGGGCTCTGGTGGCAGTGGCCTGCCCCGGGGGCTTCACAGGGTCAGAATGGCCTCTGTGGCCTGGCCCTGTTAATCTATAAGGTGGGCTCTGCCTCTCCCTTCTCTGTGCTCCCTTAATCCGGGGCCCTGCCTAACCCTCCCTAGCTCTTGTCTACCCCTCCTTCCAAAGACCAGACCCTCCGGACTCCCAGACTCAAGCTCCCACCAGGAACCCCGTGTGGCTCTGCCTGACCTCCCCACTCCTGCCACTCTGTCTCCCTGCCTGGGCTTCCTGTCTCCCAACACCTGAAACAGGCCCAGGCTAGCCATGCCCTATTGCTCCCCAAGAAAAAGAGCGTAGCCTTCAAGACACGGCCCAGGCCAGGCACGGTGACTCATGCCTGTAATCCCAGCACTTTGGGAGGCTGAGGTGGGCAGATTACTTGAGGTCAGAAGTTTGAGGCCACCCTGGCCAACATGGTGAAACCACATCTCTACTAAAAATACAAAAACTAGCCGCTTGTGGTGGTGCACGCCTATAGTCCCAGCTACTTGGGAGGCTGAGGCAGAAGAATCGCTTAAACCTCCAGGAGGTGGAGGTTGTAGTGAGCCAAGATTGCGCCACTGCACTCCAGCCTGGGTGACAGAGTGAGAGTCCATCTCAAAAAAAAGACACAGCCCAGTCCCCAGTCGCCCCCCAAGGAAGACTCCTACTCATACTGAAATAGAGATTCTGTCCCCTACCCTCCCACAGCAGCTCCCTGCAAAGAAACATCACCAAGGCATGTGTCCACTGCTTTGTCTGCCATTAATGCTACATTTCATTGTCAGGTCCTTGAGGATGGAGACTATTTCTTGTTCTTTCTCATATCCTTTTACCTTCCTCAGATAAAGTGTCTGGGTCTTCTCTCCTTCGCCGTGCAAGGGCTGGAATGAGTAACTGAATTTCTCCCAGCTTCATTTGCTCATCTGTAAAACGAACTGCCTCTCCCTTTCCCTAAGGGAGCTGAGAGTGAGAAGTGGGGTATGGAAAGTGTTTTTCAGTGTTCACTAAATGGCAGCTCTAAGTATTATAGTGAATATTAGTAAATATTTGCTGAACTAACTTAGAGACAGGGAAATCTGGAGCTGAAAACTAGGAGACATTCTTTCTATAAAAATAAGCACAAATTAGCCAGCCTGGTGGTGGTGTGTGCCTGTAGTCCCCACTACTTGGGAGGCTGAGGAAGGAGGATCACTTGAGCCCAGGAGTTTGATGGCACAAACTACAGTGAGCCATGATGGCACCATTGCATTCCAGCTTGGGTGACAGAGCAAGACCTTGTCTCTAAAACTAAATAAATATAATAAAATTTTAAAAGCACAGACAAGTATGAGAATTTGGAATGAAAGCCTTTCCCACCCAGCACTGCCCACCTCTACTCTCAAGGGGAGATGCCGGCCCTGCCTCAGTACGTGAAGGGTATTAGCATGCATTTCCCTAAACCTTCTCCTTCTAGCCTCACCAACATCAAGCTAAGAAGACTCACCAGTGAGGCTTTCATACAATTCCTTTTAAATACAGAAAAGAGATACAAATAGGTGGCTGCGGATCAAGGTTTGCTTAGTGAGAGAGACATGGAACAATCATTGGCCAACCCAAACCCATGGACATATTCACCGTGATACCAACACGCACAAAAATGACAGAAGCCACCATTTGAGTGTTTGCCGTGTGCCAAGACCTTGTGACAGATATTTTCTATCCATGCCCTGATTCAACTAGCAAAATGCCATGTAAGATAAGTTTTCCTTTCCCCTTCTCTCAAATGAAGACCCTGAGACTTGATAATATAAAGCCAACTCTCAGCCGGGTGCAGTGGCTCACACCTGTAATCCCAGCACTTTGGGAGGCCAAGGCGGGTGGATCACTTGAAGTCAGGAGTTTGACACCAGCCTGGCCAACATGGAAAATTAGCCAGGTGTGATGGCAGTTGCCTGTAATCCCAGCTACTCTTGAGGGAGGCTGAGGCAGGAGAATTGCTTGAACCCGGGAGGCAGAGGTTGCAGTGAGCTGAGATCTCACCATTGCGCTCCAGCCTGGGTGACAGAACAAGACTCTGTCTCAAAATAAAAATAAAAATAAAAACATAAAGCTAACTATCCACACTTACGTAGCCCCAAAGCTACAGAGCTGGTTTGTGAACCTGGGTGTTGCATGTGGCAACGTCTGCATCCTTCCTACCACACCACCCTGTCCCTGACACACACTGGTGGGGTCTATGACCAGTCACTGCAGGAATACATGGAGGCACACACATGCACACACATACACACACTGACCAGTAATGCAGCCACCTAAGGCCACCAGGACACAGGCTCCTCTACAGGTCCTGCAGGGGTGACCTCCTGGGTGCCGAGTTCCAGGTGCAGACTGTCTTTTGGATGGGCCCAGTAGCTCTTCTCTCTCAGAGAACAGTGAGGAATCTCAGAGCATATCTTGCCTCATCTCGGGACTGAGGGCTCTCAATTGCATCTCTGTCCCTGCTGCATCAGAGAAGGTGGGAGGGAGGGTGGTAGCACAGCCATGGCCAAGCATGTGGGTGTTTTCATGTGTGGGGCCCCAGCAACAGTTGTTAACCAAGTGAGGGCCAGCAGGAGCACTTCAGTATCAAACGTCCCTAAGACCAGGGGCCATGACCATAGAAAACACAAAGAGGACAGGGAGAGGGAGGCCAGTCTTCACTGACAGAGGTTAATTTAATAATAATAATAATGCGCTATGTGTCCGGCACCGCACTCGGTGCTTTATGTTGGAGATCTCACTTAATCTTCATACCAGTCCTGTAAGGAGGGCACAGGCACTTTGTCCATTCTGAAGATGAGGAATCTGAGGCTTGGAGCAGAGAAGAAACTGCCTTAACTTCACAAGGCTAATATGAAAACTATGCCAACCATGCCAGGATTCAAACCAGGGTCTATCCGATTTCACAGCCCCTTCTTCAAAAACCCTCCCAGCAAATCCACAAAGCACAGGTGGCCCAGCATCCAGGGCCCAAATCAATGTGGGGCTTTGATGAAAAAACCCACACAGGCCAGGGTTCAGCAGACAGACGAGGGCCCTTGCCCCAGGCCTATGACCCTGACCCTGACTCCTACCCAACTACTCCTGCCCTTGGCCACACTCTGAGCCTCTGTGTTCAGCAGAGCCTCGATCACATTTACAGAATCTACAAGGGACTGTTGTTTTCTTGGGTTGTTTACAAAGGCCTGTGTGGGAGGCGAGTTTGGGAAGTGATGGCAGGTCATAACCATTTATTCACGGATCCATCCTTCTCTGACTAGCTCTTGGCCAAGTCTAAGAGCTGAATGTGGAAGATAAACGCTGTCAGACTCCCACCTGTCCAAAATATCTCCCCTGAAGCTCTGCCCTAGGGGTACCCCCTCTCCCTCTGGCCTGGCTTACAAGTTCCTCCCTGGATAAGACAATAGAGAGACTACCAACCCCGGCAGACCTCTCCTCAATTGACCACCTGTAACTCAGAGCAGGTAACCCACGAAAGCCCTCGACCCACCAAAACATTGGGATTGATTTCTCCCAATCTCCTGAGGGATGGGAGATTCAGCAGGACTTGATCTCCTCCACAGACAAGTGGCTCACTACTCCCAAGCAGCTCCTGGAGATATTGGGATGTTTTAATGGTCAGAAAATTGACCCTAAGGCCAGGTGTGGTGATGTGAACCTGTAATGATAGCTACTCGGGAGGCTGAGGTGGGAGATTCGCTTGAGCCCAGGAGTTTGAGGCTGCAGTGAGCCATGATCAAGCCACTGCACTTCAGCCTGGGTGACAGAGCAAGATACCATCTCAAAAAATTAAAAGGAAAAGAAAATTGAGTCTTTTCCTCTCAGAAGTCCCATCTTTCTCACTAAAGACAGAGCTGTTTTCCTTTCTGTTTCTTTCTCTTTCTTTTGCCTATTAAACCTCCGCTCCTAAACTCCTAAAAAAAAATAAAAGAAAAAATAAAAGAAAAAGAAAATTGACCTTCATATTGGCATCTTGTAATTTTTACTTATTGGTGCAAATTATCTCTCCACAAAGGTAAATCTGCTACCTCTTCTAAGTGAAAACCTGTCAGGATTAAGAGCACTTTTCTGGTGGGGAGTGGTGGCTTATGCCTATAATCCCAGCATTTTGGGAGGCCGAGGTGGGTGTATTGCTTGAGCCCAGGAGTTCGAGACCAGCCTGGACAACATGGTGAAACCTCTTCTCTACAAAAATACAAAAATTAGCCGGGCATATTGGTGTGCACCTGTAGTCTTAGCTACTTGGGAGGCTGAGGCTGGAGGATTGCTTGAGCCTGGGAGGCAGAGGCTGCAGTGAGCCAAGATCATGCCACCACGCTCCAGCCTGGGTGACAGAGTGAGTCCCTGTAAAAAAAAGAAAAGAAAAGAAAAGAAGGCACCTTTGACCTTTGTGCATGAAAGGTTCAATTCAAACTTTCACCGATGGAACAGAGCAGTTGGGGTAGCTGGTATCACCACATCAATGTTACCTCCCACCAATAGGTGGCGATAGTAGTTGTCTGTAGGTTGGTAACCATCCTGCGAAGCCAATCTGTTTTTAAGCAGAGGAGCTTTCTGCCCTTCAAAACACCAATTGTATGTCCTCTGACGATTTTCTTCTCTGGGGTAAATATTCTCAGCTCCTTCAAACAAGCCTTCGGGTGATGGTGTCCCTCATGGGTTCCTCATTCCTCTGTGTCAAGGACTCCCCTAAGAATGACCCCAAAACTGGACACATGACTCCAGAGGGGGGCTGACATGTTCAGAATGACAGTTTTCTTGATACTTATCAGATGTGAGCCTGAATTCTGCTATTTACTAGCTGTGTGACCTTGGCCAACTTTCTTCACCTCTTGGTTTTCTGGTCTGTGAAATAGGAATTATAAAAGTCACAACTCCATAGGGTTGTTGTGAGAATTAAATGAGATGAAGCATGTCCTATACTCAGCACAGTGCTGTACACAATATCTATCGATATTACCCTGGATTGATAAAAAGAAATAGCTCACTGGCCTTACAGGCAGCCACAGCACACCTGCTGAAAGATGGCCCCCAACTCTTTTTCACATTTATCCTTATGCTCGTTAATGGCCAATCAAAGCCCCAAGATCACCAAGTGAAGGTGCTTTTTTTTTTTTTTTTTTGAGATGGAGTCTCACTGTTACCCAGGCTGGAGTACAGTGGGACGATCTCAGCTCACTGCAACCTCCGTTTCCCGGGTTCAAGTGATTCTTCTGCCTCAGCCTCGCAGAATAGCTGGGAGTACAGGCACCTGCCACCACGCCCAGCTAATTTTTGCATTTTTAGTGGAGACTGGGTTTCACCATCTTGGCCAGACTGGTCTTGAACTCCTGACCTTGTGATCCGCCCTCCTCGGCCTCCCAAAGTGCTGGGATTACAGGCGTGAGCCACCGTGCCCAGCCGTGAAGGAACTTTATAAACTGCAAAGTGGAAAGAGAGCGGCAGTGACAGTCGCATGATGACAATATCATGATGGTCTGCTGTCCATTCGCCAGGACTCCATTCTGCACTTGTGCAGATGACTTCCTGACAATCAGGACTTTGCATTGATCCCTGTTAGCCTTGACCGTGTTGATTTGGACCCTCAGGAGAGACATTTCCGCTCCTCCTGGGTGGCTAAATGACAGTGCTGTGACACAGCACATTGTCTCGGGGCTCATGACCCAGCAAGGGCTTTGGGGTTGCCTAGACCTGGATTTTCATCTTTGCCTCATCACTGACCAGCTTGATAAACTGAGCCGCTCTTTCATTTGTAAAACAGGGATAACAGCCCCTGTCTCGTGGGGTTGTGAGAATAAATGAGATACCATAATTGCCCAACAGAGTGCCTGGAGTGCTCATGCCAGTTCCCAGCCCTTCTTCGCTTCTCCCTGGCTCCAGTCTGTGTTCTCCCTGCTCTCTTTGGAGCTTGAATTCCTTGTTCTCTGTCTGGTCAAGTTTTGGGCTGCATTTGGTCAAACTCAGGTATAAACAGGGAGGTGAGGGAGTCAGACCATGAACGCTGGTGTCCCAAGGAGGGGATCTGAGCAGGGATTCACCAGGACCTCTGAAGGACCTGATCTTCCTCTCCATCTCCACTGAGAGCAGAGACAGAAGAAATAGTGAAATCTCCCCCAAAGAGAAAAAAGTCCTGATGGGACCGGTGGGACACAGGGGCTGTGGCTGGGCAGGGGAAGAGCAAGCTGTGGATTCATAACCTGAGACTCGGAAGACCAGGATTTCCCTTGTCACTCATTTGCTACCTGATCCTGGAAAGTCCTCTCCCTTCCCTGGACCTTGGTTTTCCTGCCTGTAAAATAGCCCAGTTTGGAGATCATCTCTAAGGGCTTTTCCAACCAGTGATTCTGTTACATGGAACTGTTCATAGCTTCACAAGAACCAGTGTCTTCCAAAAGCTTATTCTTCTTTGTAGATATGGACTCAGGGGATGTGAGGAGAGGGAAGTCAGCGTGAGCACATCACTCTGGAAAGCAGCGATCCTTCCTAGAAGGCACTAGAGACTGGAACAAACCGAGGCAGATTCCATGAAGGGGCTTTGATTTGGCAACAGCAGTGCACAAGAAAGGAAACCCGGGAATGAACTTCCAAGCACTCTGTAGGGTACATAGTCACCCGAGCCGCCTGAATCCTTCATGGCCATTTCCTTCACCCTCTATTCCTCTTGGATCCCTTATCATAAGCTCCCCACCCCGTCTGCCCTGTCTGTTCATGGCTCTGTGTATCACAGCTCCCAAAGTTGGGGTAGGAATTCTGCCGTGTGCTCCCCTGAACTGGAGGCCATACACAATTACATACTGAACATGTGTTCCTTGTAGTTGGTTCCCAGAAATAAGGGAGCACATTTTCTGCTCCATTTACCCATCTATTCTTTCATCCTGCTATCCACTCATGCCCCCACCCACCCACCCGCCCACCCACTCACTGGGCACACAGTCCTTCCACCCGTTCTTCTGTCCATCTGTCCTCCCATCCATTCAATCAATGCCCACCCTGTGCATAGGACTGAGAAGACGCAAAGAGGGCCGTGGGTCTGTTTTAAACCAAAGAACAATACATAAATAAATAAAATAAAAACCAAAAAACCAGAGGGGCCAAGGGGATTATGTCCTGAGGAACTCAGACCGAAAGAATGAGAAAAGGAATTGTTTCCTTTCAGAATCTTTTCTTCAATCACATGTACTGGGCATCAACCCCACCCCACCGCCCACCCCATGCCTAGCCCAGCACTGACCACAGAAAGGTGCCTGATCAATATCATACTGCAGTCCTATGGCAAAAGCCGCAGCCTGTGGCTCCAGAAGTCTGGGTTTCAGGCCCACCACACACAGACTTCAGGGGAAGTCTTACTTCCCCACCCTGTCAAACGGTGGCTCAGATGTCCTTTGCTCTGATTTTTGTGACCCACATTGTAAGAAAAGGGGACTCCAGGAGCTTCTAACCCAAGACCTGCAGATATGATAAGCTGAGTGTGCTAAGAGTTATAAATAGAAACCCCAGCTGAAAGTGGTCACAAGGCTTACTTTGCTGGTGCCAAAAGGGTGGCACACACAGTGCCAGAAGTCGGTGGGAGGAAGAGACCCGTGGACATTGTGGTGGAGATTGACTGAGAGCTAGAATGTGACCTGTGGCTTCCGTCTACCTCTCAGTCTCTGGGCTCAAGCCAAGGACCCAACTCTTGAGAGTCCTCGACCTCCATAGGAGCTCCCATGTAAATCTCCAGGTGTCCCGCTGTCCCTGTGGGGCGGGGGGAGGGCACAGGGTTAATGGGTTTATGCCCCTCAGTGAATATGTCAGAGGATAATAATGCCACCTCGATATTCTAGGCCAGGAGGGAAGGAAGCCCACACTCAAGCAGACCCTATGCAAGTGCCAGGCACTGTGCTTTCACATGCTTCCCCATTCAATCCACACAGCGAGGCAGGTCTTTTCATCTCCACTGTGCTGATAGGAAACGGAGGCTCAGAGAGGTTAAGGGACTTGCCCAAAATCTAACAGCAGGTCAGTGGAGGAGCTGAGTCTCAAACTCAGATCTCCTACTCCAAACCGTCCTCGGCAATCCTGGTCCCCGGGAGGTAAGCAGTATTCCTG
This sequence comes from Homo sapiens, assembly GCF_000001405.40. NCBI lineage: Eukaryota > Metazoa > Chordata > Mammalia > Primates > Hominidae > Homo > Homo sapiens. Next base: position 24,583,794 of record NC_000001.11, on the reverse strand, counting down.
GGGACACTCTGATGGTCAGTGACCCTGCTAGGGAAGGATTCTGCTCACCTGCTCACTTTTTTTTTTTTTTTTTTTTTCTGAGACGGAGTCTTGCTCTGTCACCCAGTCTGGAGTCCAGTGGCGTGATCTCAGCTCACTGCAACCTCCACCTCCCGGGTTCAAGCAATTCTCCTGCCTCAGCCTCCTGAGTAGCTAGGATTACAGATGTGCGCCACCACACCTAGCTAATTTTTTGTATTTTTAGTAGAGATGGGGTTTCACCCATGTTGGCCAGGCTGGTCTCGAACTCCTGACCTCAGGTGATCCGCCCGCCTTGGTCTCCCAAAGTGCTGGGATTACAGGCATGAGCCACCGTGCCTGGCAACTCTCTGCTCACTTTTCTTTCTACCTGTTGATATTTTGAGCCCAAGAGGTACAGCCAGGCCTCAGAGTATGGCAGAGTTTCTCATCCTTGGTACTACTGACATTCAGGCCAGGTAATTCTTTGGTGTGAGGGGCTGTCCTGTGCATTATAGGATATTCAGCACCATCGCAGCATCCTTGGCCTCTCTGCTCACTAGATGCCAGTAGCATCCCACCAGTTAGAACAACCAAAAATGTTACAGGACATTTCCAAATGTCCTTGGGAGACAAAATTTTCTCTGCTTGAGAATCACTGGAGTAGAGCTATTTGGCCTGCCTCTTAACAGTTTCCTATTCTCCCTATCCAAGAAGAACTAGATAAGAAGGAAAATGTCCAGTCTGTTTTCATACCTGTGGATAAACAACCAATAACCATGATGATGACGACGATGGCGATGACCAAAAGCACAATTACTGCCATTGATCAAGTGTCTTTTACGTGCCAGTTACCATGCCAAGTACTTTGTATATGTTTTCTCCATATATTATTCCTATTTTACAGACATAGGAGCTGAGGCTCAGAGAAGTTAGGAAACTTGCCTGAGGCATCTGTGCTGATACATGGCAAAGCTAGGATCTATACGTTTCCTATTGCTGCTCTAACAAATTATTGCAAATTTAGTGGCTTAAAACAACACACATTAATCTTCTTTCAGTTTAAGAGGTCAGAATTCTAAAGTTGGCCTTAGTGGGCTAAAATCAAAGTGTTAGCAGGGCTGTGTTCCTTCTGGAGGCTCTAGGGGAGAATTCATTTCTGGGCCTTTTCTTGCAAGCTGCCTGCATTCCTTGGCTCGTGGTTTCTTCCTCCATCTTCAGACCAGCAGCGTAGCATCGTCTTACCTCGCTCTCTCTGATCTCTGCTTCCATCATCACATCTCTTCCTCTCTCTGTGACCCTCCTGCCTCTCCCTTATAAAGAACCTTACGATGACATTGGGCCCACTCAGCTAATCCAGGATAATCTCCCCACCTCAAAGTCATGAACTTAATTACATCTGCAAAGTTCCTTTTGCTGTGCAAACTAACATATTCTGAGGTTTGGGGGATTAGGATGAGGATGTTTTTGGGAGGCCATTATTCAGCTTCCTACATAGGAGTTGGGCTCTTATCTGTCTGATCCCAAGGTGTGCACTCTGAATCCACTCCTGCTTCATCTACACTGCCTTTACACGCAGACACACAGGCCAAGCACCACGGGAGGCACTGAGGTGGATCCGATGTGTGCAGGGGGTGGTCGGCACGAGCAACGAATCAGGAGGTTGCGCATGAGAAGGGCTGTGAGAGACGGACAGAGAAAGAGTCCTGGAGCCGCTAGGCCAGCTGGGGTAGGGGAATAGGGAGTGGGCTCAAGAGGCAACTGGGCAGGCCTGATTCCTTCCCTGCTGAGCAAGCTGATTTCATGTAAGTCTTAGCACCAACTTACCTCTAACTTCACTTCAAAGGTATCCATAGTTCATCCTGTCCTGAAGGACCGGTCCAGCCCAGCCCCTGCCAGCCAGAATTCTATCCCATCTGTGGGATTTATTTGCCTAGTTAACTCATAACCAATCTCAAATCTTCCTTTCCAGAGTTCCTCCCTGCCAAGGGCTTAGAAGGTCTTTGGTCTTGTAAGGACTTTAGTCTTGTAAATGTCTACTAAAGTAGACTGTCTGCTTTAGGCCCCTCTCTGGCCAGTTCTGATTTGCAAGGATGTCTTTCAGCTGTCTGGCCCCTCCATGAGCCTCATCAATCCCTTTACAGACTAGAGGAAGTGCGCTGGGTTGGTTAGCTGGGCTCTCTTTCCCAGACAGGCAGAGCCTTGGACTTCTCCCAGCGACTCTCAGTCCGTGCAGTAACTTAGGGTGGTTTCTCTAGGCTACTGAACACAATGAATTTCCTGCCTGCAGGGAACTTACAGGTAAGAAGGATGAATTCCGGTTGGCCTTATCTTGACATAAACAAAGTTTGGGATACATCTTTTAAACAAAAGAAAGCAGGGGCCGGTCACAGTGGCTCATGCCTGTAATCCCAGCATTTTGGGAGGCCAAGGCAGGTGGATTACTTGAGGCCAGGAGTTCGAGACCAGCCTGGTCAATATGGTGAAACCCCATCTCTACTAAAAATACAAAAATTAGCCAGTCGTGGTGGCGGGTGCCTGTAATTTCAGCTGTTTGGGAGGCTGAGGCAGGAGAATCGCTTGAACCTGGGAAGTGGAGGTTGCAGTGAGCCAAAATAGCACCACTGCTCTCCAGCCTGGCATCGCAGCGAGACCTCGTCTCAAAAAAAAAAAAAGCAGAAAGGACTTCTGGCTGGTTCAGCAAACTAGATGGAGCACGACTATTCATCTCTGCTTCATCCTGAACCCCCTGGCACATGACAGTGAAGGAATCAAGAATCAAGAGGCGTCAACTCTCAAGGCCAAAGGGTACAGAAGAGAAAACAACCACACTGGAGAGACGCCAATCCAGGTTTGAAAGCCGGAAAAGCCGACGGCTGAGTATGACTTAACAGCCTGGAAAAGGCAAAGGCCTAAACCTACAGACTAGGAAACCAATTAAAGCTGATTGCACTGAAGAAGCCCCCCAGACTCAGGAGTGAGTGGTGACAGAGATCACCAAACGTCAGGGTGCCAGGTGGGGCTAAACAGAGGAAGACTGCCTGGGCGCAGTGGCTCACGCCTGTCATTCCAGCACTTTGGGAGGCTGAGACGGGCGGATCACCTGAGGTCAGGGGTTTGAGACCAGGCTGGAACTTGACAAAACATGGTGAAACCCTGTCTCTACTAAAAATACAAAAATTAGCCAGGTGTGGTGGTGCATGCCTGTAGTCCCAGCTACTCAGGAGGCTGAGGCAGGAGAATCGCTTGAACCTGTGAGGCGGAGGTTGCAGTGAGCTGAGATCGCACCACTGCACTCCAGCTTGGTGACAGAGCAAGACTCCATCCCCCCACCCAAAGAAAGAGGAAGACAAAAGTTAAGGCGCAGCTCCACTCTGCCCCCCTCCACCCCTTCCCTCCGTCCTCACCACTGTGGGCCTCCTCCACCCTGCAGAACAGAGTGAGTTCTGCCCCCGTCTGCAGAGGCAGCCAGGAGGAGGTAACCCTGCACTGCCTGACATGATAGCCACATGTAGCCATGGCAAGTTAAAGAAAAATTAATTACACTTAAATACAATTAAGAATGTAGTGTCTCCGTTGCATTAGCCACATTTCAGCTGCCCAGTACCCGCCGTGGCTGGTGGCTCCCGCATTGGACAGCACAGGATGGTGTCAAGTCATTTTGGGCAGTGCTGCCGCAGGCTGTGGCCCTCACAGTGTGGTCCATGGATCAGCAGCACCGGCAGCTCTGGCGCTTTGTTGGGAATGCAGAATCTCAGCTCCACTCAGGCCTGCTAGCCAGAACCTACCCCTCGGCCAGACCCCAGGAGATTCATAGGCACATTTGTCTGGGAAGCTCAGCTCTGCCAAAGGCTAATCTCTGGCTGAAAATGGGAATGTCAAAGCCTAGGCTCTGGGAAACAGACCAGCCAAAGGGAATAGACCTACAGATACTGATTGACTAGAGAATCTTCTAATACAATGGCCAGGTTCTGTCCAGTCGGCCTATGGAGAGGCTGCTAGTTGACAAGCTCTGCCCACCTCACCTAGAGTTTTGAACGGATTTTTGTTTCCTTATTTATTTATTTTTGAAACAAGGTCTCACCCTGTTGCTCAGGCTGGAGTGCAGTGGTGCAAATCATAGCTCACTGCAGCCTTGAATTCCTGGACCTAAGTGCAGCCTCCTGAGCAGCTGGGACTACAGGTGTGCACCACCATGTCTGGCTAACTTTTTTAATTTTTAGTTTTGTAGAGATGGGTCTTGCTATGTTGCACAGGCTAGTCTTGAACTCCTAGACTCAAGTGATCCTCTGGCCTCAGCCTCCCAAATTGCTAGGATCACAGACATGAGCCACCACCCCCAGCCTATGTCTTACTCTTAAATAGGAACAGATAGCCAAGGAGAGGAGAAAAGACCTTTGAGAGGAGAAAAGCCCCAAGCATGACAGACAGCAAACAAAACAATGAACAGATGGAGGCATTTAAGGCAAGTAGAGACAATGCACAGAGAAGAAGAAAACATTGATATATTCAGACAGCTAAGATATTGCATCTATAAAACAAGAACAGGATGCTATGAGAAAGGACACTTTTGGGCATGAAGTCTTTAAAAAAAAAAAAACCCCCACCCTACCCCATGCACCTTTTCCCAGGAAGCCCCTGGAGGATGCACCCACTAAAGTGAGCGAGGGGTGAAGCAAGAGAAGGGCAGGGATTCCAGGGACCAGGGGCTCCAGCCTCCAGTAGGAAGGAGCAAGAAGATGCCGAGGTCCGCGCTGCCGGGCACAGTCTGCGGGTAACCAGCCTGACTGGGGTGGGGGAGGTTCTGTCAGCCAAAGAAAAAATGAAACCTGTAGATTTTCTGATGTGTTTGTCTAGATGGAAAGGAGATCTACTCTTCTCTTCTGTTGGAGAGTTTGCCGGATGAGTTTATGATAGAAAACAAAGCTCTCAGTCAGGTGTAGTGGCTCTTGTCTGTAATCCCAGCACTTTGGGAGGCTGGGGCAGGAGGATTGCTTGAGGCCAGGAGCTTGAGGCCAGCTTGAACGGTATAGTGGGACCCAATCTCTACAAGAAATAAAAATAAAAATTTGCTGGGCATGGTAGCATGTGCCTGTAGTCCCAGCTATTTAGGAGGCTGATGTGGGAGGATCACTTGAGCCCAGGACGTTGAGGCTGCAGTGAGCTGTGATTGTACCACTGCACTCCAGCCTGGGAGACAGAGCAAGAAACCGTCTCAAAAAAAAAAAAAAAAAAAAGAAAGAAAGAAAAAGAAAACTAAGCTCCCTCCCCCAACAGGCTTAGGGATTAAAACTCCTCCTTTCTATTCCAGCTACCCTCCCTCCCACCCCACTCCCAATTTCTCTTCACCACACCACACACCCTCTGTGGAGGCTCTAGGAAGCAACTCCGTGTCCCAGGATCCTGGAGACCCCAGTTGGAAAACTCCTGTGTCCATTGCCCTCTCTTCTACAAATGGGGAGACTGAGGGCCAGCAAAGCCCCCGGGAGCACATAGACAGAGGAAGGTTCATTGGTAGTTTATTTGGTACAATTTTTTTTTTTTTTTTTTTTGAGACAGTGTCCCACAGGCTGGAGTGCAATGGCATGATCTTGGCTCACTGCAACCTCTGCCTCCCAGGTTCTCGTGCCTCAGCCTCCTGAGTAGCTGGGATTACAGGCACATGCCACCATGCCTGGCTAATACTTTTGTATTTTTAGTACAAACAGGGTCTCACTATGTTGCCCAGGCTGGTCTCCAGCTCCTGGCCTCAAGTGATCCACCCGCCTCAGCCTCCCAAAGTGCTGGGATTACAGGCGTGAGCCATTGTGCCTGGCCTATTTGGTACATTTTTTAGACCTCTTTTCTAATTCATTCAAAACAAAATGCGCAACAGCAGCAGCAAGAACCAAACCACCCCTAAAGGAGCCATGGCCGGGAGGCGACTTGTAAGACCCCCGACCCCCGGCCCATGCATCTCTCCTTTAAGCTTTCCTCGCAACCACCCTGCTGTCGTAAGGCACTAAGTCTCCCAAAAGCTCGAACTGAGGTTTCCGAGTCACTTCATAGTCACCTACAAAAAGCAAGACTATGTAGATGTAGTTAATATCTATGCCATGAACAGGGCAACTGAAAACTTCTGAGAAAAAAAATTGGGGATGGGAGTGCAGGAAAAAATTCAACTCCAAATGAGTGCCAGCAATCTCTTTGGAACCAAGTGTGTTGACTTCCAGAACCAAGGCCAGGCCGGGCATGGTGGTTCAAGCCTGTAATCCCTGCACTTTGGGAGGCCGAAGTGGGAGGATCACTTGAGGCCAGGAGCTGGAGGCCAGCCTGGGCAACGTAGTGAGAACCCATCTCTACAAACGAAAAACAAACAAAAAAACCAAAAAAAAAAAAAAAAAAAAAAAAAAAAAACAAGGCCAGTGCCTTCTTAGAAACTCCAAAAATCTGAATTTATCCCTAATGGATCTTTCAGTGGTCTCGCTTTTGTTTCTCTGTCTCTTCCTCTGCCTTATCCAAGGGCTTGGCTAACCACAAAGTGTTTGTTATTAATGAGTTAAGGATGACAATTCTCTGGGAGTATCTGCATTTTAATATGAAATTCTAGGAAATCTAGTGCTCTATAATTTTAGCATGTGACATCCTTTTTATTTTTTATTTTTATTTTTATTTTTTTTGAGACGGAGTCTCACTCTGTCGCCCAGGCCTGGAGTGCAGTGGCGCAATCTTGGCTCACTGGAACCTCTACCTCCTGGATTCATGTGATGCTTCTTCCTCAGCCTCACGAGGAGCTGGGATCACAGGCATGCACCACCACGCCCAGCTAATTTTTTTGTGTGTGTGTGCTTTTAGTAGAGACAGGATTTCGTCATGTTAGCCAGGCTGGTCTTGAACTCCTGACCTCAGGTGATCCACCTGCCTCAGCCTCCCAAAGTGCTGGGATTACAGGTGTGAGCCACTGTGTCCTGTGTAACATCCTTTCTTTGAGTCCCAAGGTCTTGGTCTATGGGGCTCACTACCTCACCTACTTAACACGGCCATCTTGAAAACTCCAACAGAGAGGCCTGAGATGGGGGGCAAGAACCCTGGGCTGGAGTTAGGAATCCTGGGTTCTAGTCTCACCCCTGTTACTTACTTTCTGTGTGACCTGGGGCAGGCCACTTGTTCTGTCTGGACTGCAGTTTGCCCTCCTGCAAACTGAACAGCTGGGGACCAGGGACCTCCCTCTCTGGCCCCTTCCTCCTTGTGACTCTTCCAGCCTCTCACTTGGTTCAGGACACCCTCCCCGAGGCTTGTTTGCCTCCACACCCTCCATTCCAGAAGGAACACCCCTCCCCTTTCCTGCCAAGCCTGGGCCTGGCAGCCGCTGGACTCCAGAGAGGACAGGAGTTGGGGAAACAATCCCAGCCGTTCAAGCTGCCCACGGTGTGAGCTGGCCAGTGGCCAGTCACAATAGGCCCAAAGATACAGAGGGGCGTTTGTCTGGGGGACCTGCGGTGTCATTTAAACCTACACTCTCGTCTTGGCCTGCCGCCTGTCTTTTCTTCCCACCCTCTCAAGCAGCAGTGCCAGCCCCCAGCTTTGTCAGGAGGTGGGATGTGGATGCCGCACAGACCTAAGTGGCCTTTCTGTGGCTGGGAAACTGGACCAAGAAAGGCAGGTCGGGGGACAGGCAGGGGAGCCATCTGTGCAGGGTGGCAGTGGTGAGGGTGGAGGATGGGGACAGCGAGGGAGGGCAGGAGAAGCTCTGGACGGGGCAATGCGGCTGTGCAGAGAGGATCAGGATGAGGGAGCTAGTTCTGACTCCTTCACTAACTAGCCAAGTTACTGTGGGCAAGGCGCTTTCTTCTCCTCTCCAGGACTTAGTTTCCTCATTTTTTTTTTTTTTTTTTTTTTTTTTGAGAGTGCAATGGTGCGATCTCGGCTCATTGCAACCTCCGCCTCCTGGGTTCAAGCAATTCTCCTGCCTTAGCCTCCCAAGTAGCTGGAATTACAGGCACATGCCACCACGCCCGGCTAATTTTGTATTTTTAGCAGAGACGGGGTTTCACCATGCTGGTCAGGCTGGTCTCAAACTCCTGACCTCAGGTGATCCAGCCGCCTCGGCCTCTCAAAGTACTGGGATTACAGGCATGAGCCACCACGCCCGGGCAGTTTTCTCAGTTTTAAAACGGGGCAATTGCTCCTAATCTGTGAGGACTGGGTTAAATACAGTGATGAGCTTGCAAATGCCAAGTGTGGCTTGGCGAAGACAAGGGTTTGGGCTCAGATGGACCTAGGTTCAGATTCTGCCTCTGTCACCTTTAAAATCACTGTTGTAGACAAATTATTCACCCTCCAGGAGCCTCATTTCCTCATCTGGATTGTAAGGATCAAATAAGAGCTGACAGAAAGCACCCTGCCCAATAAACCTGTCTGAACGAATGAAGACTCAGTCGGGTGCATTATGACTTCTGTGGGGCTCTCCCAGCGTAATACATTTTCGTGGGCTCTAAAAATTTTATTTTTTTTCCAACCCGAGGGAAAAAAACTGAAACTTTTTTGCTGCTCTAAAAGTTCTTTCCCCTGCTTGATTTTAAAGAAATTAAAACATCTTTTTTTATCTGAGACAAAGTCTCACTCTGTCGCCCAGGCTGGAGTGCAGTGGCACGATCTCGGGTCACTGCAACCTCCGCCTCCCAGAAATTAAAACATCTTAATGGGCCCTTAAAAGTATTATGGGCCTTGGCCAGGTGTGGTGGCTTATGCTTGTAATCCCAGCACTTTGGGAGGCCAAGGCTGGCGGATCACCTGAGGTCAGGAGTTCAAGACCAGCCTGGCCAACATGTTGAAACCGCATCTCTACAAACAAAAATTAGCCAGGCATGATGGTGGTGCCTGTAATCCCAGCTACTTGGGAGGCTGAGGCGGGAGAATTGCTTGAACCCGGGAGGCAGTGGGTGCAGTGAGCCGAGATCATGCCATTGCACTCCAGACTGGGCGACAGTGTGAGACTCCGTCTCAAAAAAAAAAAAAAAAAAAGTATTGCGGGCCTTGTCTACTGTGCCTCGTGCTCCTGGTACTGCTGGTTCAGGGTTCTCTCAGAGCTGACCTGTCCTGGACACCGTCTCCAGTGTCTACTGGGCCCCTGATGTTGTCTCTGAAGAATCTGCTGTGGAGCTCAGAGTCCTGGGACATGGTATATGTCGGAGTTCTCCAGAGAGACAGGATCAATGTGTTATACAGATACAGAAGAGGGGACTTACTAAGGGAATGGGCTTATGCAATCGTGGAGGCTGCGAAGTCCGGTGACAGGCTATCTGCAAGCTGAAGACCTTGGGACATCAGGAGCGTGGCTCAGTCCAAGCCCGAAGGCCTCAGCACCAGGGACACTGATGATATAACTCTCAGTCCCGTTGGCCGGGCGCGGTGGCTCATGCCTGTAATCCCAGCACTTTGCGAGGCCGAGGTGGGCAGATAACTTGAGGTCAGGAGTTTGAGACCAGCCTGGCCAACATGGTGAAACCCCGTCTCTACTAAAAGTACAAAAATTAGCTGGGCATGGTGGCACGCACCTGTAATTCCAGCTACTCAGCAGTCTGAGGCAGGAGAATCACTTCAACCCAGGAAGCAGAGGTTGCAGTGAGCCAAGATTCCACTGCACTCCAGCCTGGGCAACAGAGCAAGACTCCGTCTAAAAAAAAAAAACCCCTCTCAGTCCCAGACTGAAGGCTTAAGCACCTGGGGGCCGCTGTGTGGGTCCTGGAGTCCAAGGGCCAGGGGGCCTGGAGTTCTGCTGTCCAACACAGGAGATGAGCGTATCCCAGCTCCAGGAGCTAGACTGACATATTCCCCCTTTTTTCTGTTTTTTTTTTTTTTTTTTTGTCCTCTCTGGGTCCCCAGCAGAGTGCATGGTGCCGCCCACACTGGGAGCGGATCTTCCCCGTCTAGTCCACTCAGACTCGCTCGCTAATCTCCTCTGGAAACACCATCACAGACACACCCCAAAATAATGCTTTACTAGGTTTCTAGGTTTCTTTTCTAATTTTAATTATATTTTTTCTGGAGATGGGGTTTTACTATGTTGCCCAGGCTGGTCTCGAACTCCTGGGCTCAAGAGAGCCTCCTGCTTCGGCCTTCCAAAGTTCTGGGATTATAGGTGTGAGCCGCTGCACCTGGCCGGTTTCTAGGTTTCTCAGTCCAGTCAAGTTTTTGTTTTTGTTTTTGTTTTTGTTTCTTTTTTGTAGGGGGGACAGAGTCTTGCTATGTCACTCATGCTGGAGTGCAATGGTGCGATCTTAGCTCACTGCAACCTCTGCCTCCCAGGTTCAAGTGAGTCTCCTGCCTCAGCCTCCTGAGTAGCTGGGATTACAGGCACACACTGCCACGCCTGACTGATTTCTGTATTTTTAGTAGAGACAGGGTTTCGCCATGTTGGCCAGGTTGGTCTTGAACTCCTGACCTCGTGATCCACGACCTTGGCCTCTCAAAGTGCTGGGATTACAGGAGTGAGCCACTGCGCCCAGCCCCAGTCAAACTGACACCTAAAATTAACCATCATAGACACTGATGCCTTGCCCACTACAGAGCTAAGCTCAGGGGTCTGTGTTTGAGCCGAACCACCTGGTTTCAACGTGATATGAGTCCTGTCCCTGAAGGCTGATGGGGCCTGGGAGAACCTCAGGTGTGAAGGCTGGGAGGACCCAGGTCTGCCCCATAGACAGGCGTGGAGGTGTGTGAGCAGGGCCTGGCTTTCCTAGACCTGGGGTGTAGAGGGTGGACACTTCCCACACAGTCATGGTTGCTCCTTCTGGGTGCCTTTTCCATGCCCACCACTGGGCATGGGCTTCATGTTCACAGTCCCATTGGATCCTTATCAAACTCCATTCTGCTTCACACCCAGGGTCACTGAGGCTCAGAGAGACTGAGTAAATCGTCCAAAATCACAGAGCTACTGGGGCAGGATTGGGATCCAGTTTTCTGCTTCCCAAACCAGGGCCTGGCAGCACCCATCCTGCCCGCTCCTTGACGTGCCAGAGGAAAAGTGGAAGAGACTTTTAGGACGTGCGGAACGTGCGAGGCAAGTGTGAGCTGGGGGTCCAGGAAATGCAAACATGAGCAGGAACGAGGTTTGGGGAAGGATGTGGTGGGTGTGCTGGGGTGCTGAGCTCTCCAGGGGGCCTGTGTACTCCTAGGAGGAGGGGGCTGAGCAGTGGGGAGGGGCGGTGAGTGTGTGAGCAAGTGTGCAAGCGAGTGTGCCTCTGTGGGCTGGTGTGTCCAGAGCCGGCCCTGGCACGGGGAGCTTGGCCAGGCGGGGCTAGCAGGTTCTTCACTTCCTCTCTGAGCTGCCCAGAACCATATCTGTTACCCACAAACCATAGCAGGTGCCGAGCTCAGCCCCAGCCTGCACCATTCAGTGACCACTGACTGCCTCGGGAAAGAGCAGGTCAGAGGCACAGGAAGGAAGGGTCTGATGGGGTTGGAGCCTCAGACCTGACATTTACCTTGGACGGGAGAGTCCTTCTTGGGGATACGGAGCCCATCTCTACCTCCAAGTCATATCCCAGTGGGGGAACGCCCTCAGTGTGATCCATCCACCCTAAGGTGGAGAGGATAGAAAAGCCCTCTCCCCTTAAAATCCATCAACTGTACAGCCACCCCAGAGAACTTTCTAGAAATACATCTGAGCATGCTCGCCGCTGCCCCAGCTTTGGATGGCTACTCATCAGCTAAGGTGAATGAAGTCCCAATCCTCAGCCAGGCTTTCACCACCCAGCAGCATCTAGATCTGTGCTGTCCAGCGTGGTGCCCCTGGCCACGCATGGCTATTTGAGCCTCGGAAATGTGGCTGCTGTGAGTTACAATGTATTTTAAGTGCAAAATGCCCATGGAATTACAAAGACTTAGGACAAAATAAAAGAATGTAAAACATCTCATTCATAATTTTTTTCTTCCAGGCGCGGTGGCTTACGCCTGTAATCCCAGCACTTTGGGAGGCCGAGGCAGGCGGATCACTTGAGGTCAGGAGTTTGTGACCAGCCTGGCCAATATGGTGAAGCCGTGTCTCTACCAAAAACACAAAAATTAGCCAGGCGTGGTGGCGCACACCTGTAATCCCAGCTACTCGGGAGGCTGAGGCAGGAGAATCTCTTGAACCCGGGAGGCAGAGGTTGCAGTGAGCCGAGATCGTGCCATGTCACTTCAGCCTGGGCGACAGAGCAAGACTCCATCTCAAAGAAAAAAAAAGTATATATATGAAGTTTTTTTCTATTGACTACATGTGGAAATGTTCATATTTGGAATATGCTGGGTTACATAAAATATCAAAATTTAGCCTGTTTCTTTTTTCTTTCTTTCTTTTTGAGACAGAGTCTTGCTCTGTCACCCAGGCTGGAGTCCAATGGCGTGATCTCCACTCACAGCAACCTCTGCCTCCTGAGTTCAAGTGATTCTCCTGCCTCAACCTCTTGAGTAGCTAGGATTACAGCTGTCCACTACCACGCCTGGCTAATTTTTGTATTTTTAGTAGAGACGAGGTTTCACTATGTTGGCCAGGCTGGTCTTGAACTCCTGACCCCGTGATCCGCCTGCCTCGGCCTCCCAAAGTGCTAGGATTACAGGCATGAGCCACCGTGCCCAGCCTTCTTTTTACTTTTTTAATGTGGCTACCAGGACATTTACAATAACATATGTGGCTCACATTATATTGGACAACACCAAACCACACTCTGTCCTTCTCTCTTTGCTTTATACCCAAGGACGCTGGGAACTCCAAGAGAAGTCTCAATGTCCCTCGTTGTGAAGCAGAATGGGGTTTGATGAGGATCTAATGGGACTGTGAACATGAAGACCATGCCCAGTGGTGGGCATAGCAGAGGCGCCCAGAAGGAGTAATTATGACCGGGTGGTAAGTGTTCACCACCCACACCCCTCTCCTACCAACACCAACTCATTCATTTGTTCATACATTCATTCATTCAGGAAATATTCATTAATCATATATTATGAGCTAGAGACTGTGGCACTGAGCAAGGATCGGGCACAGGGCACCTGGCATGTACCTTCCCCCCATGTGTGGTCTGCATCACCAGGAGGCAGATGAGACACTAACACAGAGGTGCCGTGAGCTCAGAGGCTGAGGGTTCTGAGCAGGGGCCTGGGGGAGGGCAGGCCACCTGGAGCAGTGGAATTTGAATGGCACCATGGGGTCATTAAACTCTTCGGCTGTGGGGTCAGACTGACCTGGATCTGAATCCCAGGAATATAATAATAGCTTGTATGTACTTAGTTCTAAGCGCTAAGCCCCCTGTTAAGTACTTTGTTTGTTTATGTATTTAGTTTTTGAGTGAGATCTTGCTCTGTTGCCCAGGCTGGAGTGCAGTGGCACAATCACGGCTCACTCCAGCCTTGACTTCCCCAGTTCAAGGGATCCTCCCATCTGCACTGCCCAAGCAGCTGGAACTATAGGTGCAAGCCACTGCACTCGACTAATCTATAAAAAAATTTTTTTTTGTTAGAGATGGGGCCTAACTTACTTTATGTTTATTTGATTGTTTCTAAGCAAAAAGCATATTGTTTGTTAAAATTTCTAGCCTGGGCATGGTGACTCACGCCTGTAATCCCAGCAGTTTGGGAGGCCAAGGTGGGCAGACTGCTTGAGCTCAGGAGTTCAAGAGCAGCCTGGGAAACACAGGGGGACCCCGTCTCCACAAAAAAAAAAAAAAAATTTCCAGGTGTGGTGGCTCACATCTGTGGTCCCATCTAGAGGTTGAGGTGGGAGGATCACTTGAGCCCAGGAGTTCAAGGCTGCAGTGAGCAGTGATTGTGCCACTGTACTCCAGCCTGGGTCACAGAGCAAGAAAAATTGTCTCAAAAAAAAATTTTTTTTAAGTGAGGAAACTGAGGCCCAAGGAGGTTAAGTAACTTGTCCAAGGTCACCAACTGAGGAAGGACGTGACCCCAAAGAATCTGACTTCAGAGTCTGCACCATGTTTTGAGGGCTTGAAAGTAAGAGGAGCATTTAATGAGCACTTACTGTGTGCCAAGCACTTTTCTAAAAACTTTATAAGTAAGCTTTTATTTGTATAGTTTAAATTTTTATTTGTATAACTCATTTCATTCCATGCCAGCCCTAGGAGGTGGGTATCATTATTTCCATTTTACAGGTAGAGAAACTGAGGCCCAGAGAGACTAAGTATCCTGAGGTCACACAGCCAGTGAAAGCGGCAGAACTAGGTAGAACTTAGGCCAAGTACACCACAGTTCATGCTTTTGACCACTCCACTTTACTGCTGCCGCTCAATCAATGAACATTGTTACTATTATCATTTGACTGGGACTTTATGAGGTGGGAAGGGAAGAATGCCAGTCTAGCTGGGAAGAACAATGGGAGTGAAGTCTGGGGAGGAGGGGGTGGGAATGGGCACATTAGGGAAGGAAAGTGTAGGATGTGGTGAGTGGGTGGGAGAGTGAAGGTCCCAGCACAGTGAAGTCTAGTGCCCAGGGAGGGCCAGAGTGGAACCTAGATTCAAGAAATATGTTGGGACTGGACATGGTGGCTCATGCCTGTAATCCCAGCACTTTGGGAGGCTGAGGCAGGTGGGTCACCTGAGGTCAGAAGTTTGAGACCAGCCTGGCCAACATGGTGAAACCCCGTCTCTACTAAAAATACAAAAATCAGTCGGGCATGGTGGCAGGCGCCTGTAATCTCAGCTACTCGGGAGGCTGAGGTGGGAGAATTGCTTGACCCCAGAGGTTGCAGTGAGCTGAGATCGCACCATTGGGCGACAGAGCAAGTCTCCAAAAAAAAACAAAACAAAACAAAACAAATATATTAGGAATTAAAGCTGTGGAAGAACTTCCTCCACAATAAGAAACTAGCATGCTCTGGGCTCTCAAGAACCCCTACATTATGAGCCGGGTATGGTGACGCATGCCTCTAGTCCTAGCTACTTGGAAGGCTGAGGTGGGAGGATCTCTTGAGCCCAGGAGTTTGAGTCCAGCCTGGGCAATATATCGAGACCCCTGTCTCTAATAACAACAACAAAAAGGATCCCTATTATGGGATTCAGTTTATTATGGATTCAGTTTGAGATGCTTGAAAATGAACCAGTAGTGGTCAGAGCCAGACTGACCTGGCTCGGCTGGGTGGCCTTTAGAAAGTTACTTAACCTCTCTGTGCCTTCATCTCCTTTTCTGTAAAGTGGAGGTAATAACAGGACCCTCTTCATGGGATTGCTGTTTAATACTACTACTAATAATAATAAATATAAAGTCTCTGGCAGTGTTTGGCACAAAGCAGCCCTTTAATATATTTCCTTTCTCTCCCCTCCTCCACCTCTAGGAAGATCTCCCCAAACCCCCAGCCACATGAGAATCGAGGTTAAAATCAGCAATGGATCTAGCATCACCGAGGTCCCTGGGGACCCCAGGTCAGTAAGGTGAGGGAGGAAGAAGACAGGGCAATGTCAAGCCATCCAGTTTCCAAATGTGTCTAAGACTGAGAAAAAGGAATAACTAGAACTTGTTTCCCTCTCCTTCCTGCTGTGTCAACTCTGAGTTATATAACTGAGCTTCTCTGTGAGGTGCCCCGTGCGGGCCTCCAGGAGGCAGGGTTGGCAGTGACATAAATAAATATTTCTGTGCTCTCTGCCCCCGGGCTCAGGTTCTGAGCAAATACCACAGCCTGAGAGGGAGGCCGTGACAAGGAGGAAGCTCTGGACTGTGAGTTGCCCCGTGTTCCAGGCCCAGCCCTGCCTGGAAGGATGTGAACGGGTCACAGGCGGGTGCCTAATTAGGTGACGAGCGGTCACGGGAGTGTGACCTGGAAGGAGAGATTCCAATACGGCCAGGGCGTCGCGGAACCCTCGGTCGATTCTCTCTATGGGTAGAATCAAGCCCACTCTCCTACCCCACCTGGTGTTCAATGCCCTTTACACTTCAGCCCCCGCCACCTCTCTCCTGCCTCCTCTCCCATCCCACCTGGGCACCCACATACTCCACACCCTGGCTCCTTGAGACTATTGAGTTTTCCCAAGGTTTGTCCCCTCTTTGGGAATGTCCTCCACTTCTTCCCTCCTCCATGAACTAGAAAGAGGGTGGAGACAGAGATCAGGACTTTAGAATTAAATTGGGGATTGAACTCCGGCTTAGTTATGTCCCCTTGGGCTCACAACTTAGCCTCCATGCCTGTTTCCTCAACTGTAAAGGAGGCTTTGCGACTCCTCTCTAGTTCCTTCTTGTTACACTCAAAGGAGATGATAATTGTTAATATTAAGTGTCAATCACTTAGCCTTACTGTATAGACCAGGCCTGTGTAAGGGTTTTGTGTGCATAAGTCACTTAGCAGTGCACGTTAACCCCCTAGCAGAATGCCTGGGCCCTAGTGGGTGCTGATAATGTCAGTTTCCTTTTTCTCCAAGACCTGCCCAAAGCCTCTCCTCCTATCTGAAGGAGGTCAGCCTCCTCTGAGACTCTTCACAGCATCTCATAGGTACCTTAGTTATAGCACTTATCACCTGAAAGTGTTGTTATCAGTAGGGAGGTCCGGCTTCCTTTCTATTCTAGGTGCTCCCTGGGGGACCTGCCTTACTTATAGCCATCCTGCCAGCACCCAGCACAAGGCCTGCTGTTTAGAAGGCACTTGAATGAATAAATGCGTGAATGCATGTGTGCGTATGGGCTGCGTGGAAGAGATGGGGTTAAGCAGGTGCCTGAGGATGGGTTGGCTCCGAATATACGCTTAACTCTCTGGGGTCCGGATCCCTGAGCTCGGGGCCTGGACCATCACAGCCCCTCTCAGCTCTGTGCAGACTCAAGGGACAAGTCACAGCCTCCTTTGTACTTTTACATTGCTTGGACTTGGATATTTTTCTAGTAAAAAACCAGGATATTTGTCCTGGCAAAGGGTTTTTGGGCCATGAGGCATCCAAGAGGGGATCTAGAAGCTATGGACTGGAATTTCCAGAATTCAGGTTTATGAATCATAGACTCACCTCTACAGTGCCTAGCCTGGCCTTGCACCCAGCATACAATAATTGTCTAATAAATGCTTAGTGGATTTGAGGCAGTGTGCTTTTTATGCCATTGTGGGGCTGGGATATGTCACTGTGAAGGAATAGAAGCCTCCAGCCTCTTCCCTGGGGAGCCACTTGTTGAAGGAATTAGAATTACAGACCTTTGCTTTCTGCACAGTTTCTCCATTGTTCCAAAAGCAATGATCATTTCCAACTTGCTACAGAATAAAGTTCTAATGATCTGTTGTGGGAATCAAGGTCTTCCATGAACTTGCCTCAGTCTTATTCCACCAGCCCCTGTCTCCTCTTCCCTTCCCCCGCCAGGCAGAATGAGCAATTTCCTGTCTCCAAAACCCACCAGTGCTTCCCAGCTATGCAAATTGCAGTTTCCAAAGACAGCCTCATAATATCTCCCATCCCATATTCTCTCCTGCAGTGTGACCCGGCCACTGCCCACATCAAGAGGCAGAGTCCATTTCTCCACTCCCTTGAAGCTAGGTGGGCCCTGTGACTGCTTAGACCACTAGAATATGTCAGAAATGGCCAGGCGCATGGCTCATACCTGTCATCCCAGCATTTTGGGAGGCTGAAGTGGGAGGATCACTTGAGCCCAGGAGTTAGAGACCAGCCTGGGAGCATTAGTCTGTTTTCTTACTGCTATAAAGAACTGCCCAAGACTGGGTAATTTATAAAGGAAAGAGGTTTAACTGACTCGAAGTCCAGCATGGCTGTGGAGGCCTCAGGAAACTTACAGTCATGGAGGAAGGAGAAGGGGAACCAAGGTAACTTCTTCACAAGGTGGCAGGTAGGAGAGGTGCCAAGCGAAAGGGGAAGAGCCCCTTACAGAACCATCAGATCTCATGAGAACTCACTCTATCACGAGAACAGCATGGAGGAAACCACCACGATGATTCAATTACCTCCATCTGGTCTCTCCCTTGACAAGTGGGGATTAAGGGGACTATGATTCAAGATGAAATTTGTGTGGGGACACAAAGCCTAACCATATCACTGGGCAACAGAGTGAGACCCCATCTCTACAAAAAAAATGCAAAAATTAGCCAGGCATGATGGTGTGCACCTGTAGTCTCAGCTACTCAAGAGGCTGAGGTGGGTGGATTGATTGAGCCAGGAGGTGGAGGCTGCAGTGAGCCATGATCACGCCACTGCACTCCAGCCTGGGTGACAGAGTAAGACTGTCTCAAAACACACACACACACACACACACACACACACACACACACACACAATCTTCTATCACTTCTAAAAATGGCCAGTGTCACTTGCCATTAATAGAAGGTAACAATGAAATAAATTAGATGAAATAGATCAATGTCATTAAATTCTAGCTAGACAATGTCACCTCCCAACCTGTCCAAGCCTAGGACTCACTCTCTCCTTGTTGAAAAGAGAACAAGTGTTGCAGTGACATTGGTACCCAGACTCTGGGTTCCAATATCTGGGCAGTTACAGTGTATCAGCTTCCAGGTCCCTGGATCCAGGATGTATGTGTCCTTGAATTCAACAGTTCCCTGTCAAGTTCAGTTTCAACCTCCAGGGCAGCCTTGAGATTCCTCCACTTTCCTGGTTATGGCAGATGCTGTAGCTCCCCAGTCTGGCCAGTTTTGCAGTATTTTGGGAGCCTCTAGCCTTTCCTACATTAAAAAAAAAAAAAAAGGTGTATAAAATCCCCTCCTGCCTAAAATGCCAAATACTGCTTCTATTTCTTGCACTGAAGCCTGACTTCCCACAGTTCTTGCAGGATCTCCTGAACATTTCTTTCATTATTTATTTCCTGCAAGAGTATTTTCAATGTGGGTCTTTGTGTATTCCACCTTCTGAGGCTTTATTTGCCTAAGAATATTTTTATTATGACCTCATGTTTGAATGACAAATTGGCTGGCTTTAAAATTCTGGATTGAAAGAGTTCTTTTTTTTAAATTACTAGTGACATCACTTCTTTGACTTTATCGGGTATTGCTGTTGAGAAGAATAATGCCAACCCAGTTCTTGTTCCTCTGTACGCCATCTGTTATTTCTCCCTGCTCTTCTTCCTGGTCTTTCATATTCTTAATTTCCCCCTGATACCTATGTGTGAATTTTTCCTTATTCTTTTCTACTGTTGGTTACTCTATGAGCTCTTTCAATCTGTACTCATTTAAAAAACATTTTTGGAACATTTAAATCTCCATTATTTCGTCAATTATTTATTTCCTCATCTCCACTTTTATTTTTCTTTCCTTTTGGGAATCATACGTATACTCTCCATCTCTCTCAGGTTTTTTTTTGTTTTTTTTTTTTTTTTTTTGAGACAGAATCTCACTCTGTTGCCCAGGCTGGAGTGCAGTGGCGTGATTTCAGGTCACTGCAACCTCCAGTCTCCCGGGTTCAAGTGATTCTTCTCTTGCCTCAGCCTCCCGAGTAGCTGGAATTACAGGCGCCCACCACCACACCGAGCTAATTTTTGTATTTTTAGTAGTGATGGGGTTTCACCATATTGGCCAGGCTGGTATCAAACTCCTGATCTCAAATGATCTGCCTGCCTCAGCCTCCCCAAGTGCTGGGATTACAGGCGTGAGCCACTGCGCCTGGCCTCTCTCAGCTTCTCTTTTCTATGTGTTGTCTCTGTTTCTTTCCCTGTTGCTTTTGGGGATAATTCTCAATCTGATCATCCTATCTACTCGCAAATTCTTCAGTTGTATCCATCCTGATATTCAGGCCATCTATTATGTCTTTTATTTTTTAAATCTTAAATTTTTCATAGCTAATGTTTTGGCTTGATTCTCTCTTATGACTTTTTTTCCTGTTCATTGCAGCAGTTTTTTAATGAAAGATGTATGTAAGATTACTTTATTCCTACATCTTCCCAATTGCATTTTCCTTGTATTTGGCCTTTTCTGTTCCTACTTGGTGAGATTTAGCTTTTGGCTCAAGGATCTCAGTCTTTGTTCAGGGTTAAGAGCCCTGCTGGGGCAAATGGCCAGCCTTCTCCCGCTGCATATGTCCAGTGCAGACAACGTATTTCTTCCCATAAACTTGGACTACTTTGCTAATTTGCTGACCTCTATAGTGTCCTTGTGCAAACTGAGCTTCTTCATCCTTTCAGATGGGCATGGACCGAACATTATATTTCTGTCTCAGCTCTTTGGAAAAAGAAGACATAATCTTCCTGTAAATATGGGAAGCTGCGTTAAAATACCGCTTATGGTTCTTGTGAGAGTCACAAAGATTTCTTGACTTTCAGAAGTCACTGAATTTCTTTTTCTTTCTTTTTTTTTTTTTTTTTTGTTGTTGTTTTTGAGAAGAAGTTTCTTTATTGTTGCCCAGGCTGGAGTGCAATGGCGTGATCTCGGCTCACCGCAACCTCCGCCTCCCAGGTTCAAGTGATTCTCCTGCCTCAGCCTCCTGAAGTAGCTGGGATTACAGGCATGCACCACCACGCCCAGCTAATTTTGTATTTTTAGTAGAGACGGGGTTTCTCCACGTTGGTCAGGCTGGTCTTGAATTCCCAACCTCAGGTCATCTGCCTGCCTCGGCCTCCCAAATTGCTGGGATTACAGGCGCAAGCCACCTTGCCCGGCCAAGTCACTGAATTTCATTTTGGCCACCGTTGCTTCAGTGATAGCTGAGAAAGGGAAGTGCCTGTGACTTTTTGTTCTTGTATTATTTCATGAATTTCTTCCTTTATCTCCTTAAGTATAATCATGCTTTACTTTAAAATCTTGGTCCATCTGCTTCGGTAATTCTGCTCTGAATGGCATATGTGGTTTGATTTATCTTTCTTTTGTAGTAGCTGCACTTCTCAAGTGTCTAATTATTTTGGCAGGTGAGTTCCTGTCCCCCCCCAGGGATGCCAGCTCTCTGTCTGGTAATGTGCCCTGGAGAAAGGGCATAAGGAGGGGGAAGGGATGAGCCCCAGGGCAGGAAGCTTCCTTGGCTTTTCTGCCTGGCACTCTGCCAAGTTCACCTTTAAGTTCCCAGAGAGAAGCAGGCTCAGCAGGAGGTAGACTCTGCTTGGGAGTTTCCCCCAGCTGGGGGTGGGTGTGGGGGTGGGACTGTAGGGGCATTAGTGGAGAAGTCAATGCCTGATCCCTTGCCTGTTTTTATAATTCCTCACTCCAGCATGGCTGTAGCTGCCAATATCTGCACCAAAGTGACAGGCAGTGATTGTTTCAAGACAAAGAGCAGGGGACCTGAAGCAGGTGAGTTTCCCTGAAGGGCAGAATAGTGGAAAGGGTAAGAGTTCAGGCTCCGGGGTCTGTCAAGCATTTGTTCATTCCACATGGAAAGCTGGTATGTAGCGGGCATTGTGTTGGGTGATAGGGAGACAGTGGGGAACCGGGCACAGTCCTCACCCTCAGGGAGGTTACAGTCTGACAACAAACTAACAGACGTGGATCCATGTTGGCACTGCCAGCTGGGCAACTCACTTAGTCTTTCCAAGCCTCAGTTTCTTCATCTGCAAGATGGAGATGATAATAGCACTCATTTATAGGGTTCCTGAGGCTTATCAGGAGACAAGGCTGCAAAGTGATTCGTAGAATGCCTGGCACATTAAAGGCTCTCAAAAATGTTAATTATTCTTGTTATTATTGTGACGAATGACGCTGTTACTGGGAATTAGGTAGGAACTTGGAGCTGCTTAGAAAAAAGATAAATGAATTGCTTTTCATCCTCTGGGCAAACCAGTTACCCTTAGGAGGCAGAACATTCAGAATTTCAAAGAAGGAGGATTGAGTAGGCATGGATCTTAAAAAGTTGAGGTAAAAAGCAGCAAGGCAAAGAAACAAAAAACCAAGTTTCATTTTCCAGCAAGAACTATTAATATCATTAAAGGTGTTCAGATTTTGGATAACTGGTCTCCTTCTCCAGTTCTTTGTCCCTCCCTCCTTTTTCTTTTTTTTTTTTTTTGAGACGAAGTCTCGCTCTTGTCCCCCAGAGTAGAGTGCGGTGGCATGATCTCAGCTCACTGCAACCTCTGCCTCCCAGGTTCAAGCGATTCTCCTCCCTCGGCATCCCAAGTAGCTGGGATTACAGGTGTGTACCACCACACCTGGCTAATTTTTTATTTTAAGTAGAGACAGGGTTTCACTATGTTGGCCAGGCTGGCCTGGAACTCCTGACCTCAGGAGATCTGCCCGCCTCAGTCTCCCAAAGTGCTGGGATTACAGGCATGAGCCACCGCGCCCGGCCCCTCCCTTCCTTCTTTCTTGCTCAAGGCAGTACTGTGAGGTTAGAGCTTCCACAGTGAAGGGCCTGGCTGGAGTTTCATCCCTGTGCTTGTTAGCTGGAGGACCCACGTCTCCATTAGGTGCAGGTGGCATGATGCCCAGATTACTTTTAGGGTCCCACAAAAAATGTTTTTATTTCTTTTAAAATCCAGAGGAAAAAGCGACTTTCAGGTTGAAGAAGATGTTTTGATATACCCATGCAGTCATATAAATATCACTGTAAGTATTTCTTTTTCTTTTTTTGAAACAGACTTTCACTCTTGTCACCCAGGCTGGAGGGCAGTGGTGCGATCTCGGCTCACTGCAACCTCCGCCTCCCCCATTCAAGTGATTCTCCTGCCTCAGCCTTCCAAGTAGCTGAGATTACAGGTGCTCGCCACCGTGCCCAGCTATTTTTTTTTTTTTTTTTTTTGTATTTTTAGTAGAGATGGTGTTTCCCCATGTTGGCCAGGCTGGTCTTGAACTCCTGACCTCAGGTGATCCGCCCTCCTCGGCCTCCCAAAGTGCTGGGATTATAGGCATGAGCCACTGCGCCGGGATGATTTTAAATATTTCTTATGGGGCATGGGTCCCATGAAGGCAAAATCGCCCCAGGCTCAGGGAAGTCAGAATGCATCCCCAAGGGCACCATGGAACAATAATACTCATCTCTGGGGGTGTTAAAGGGCCAGGGCTTGTATAGCATTCTGCACTGTGTGGGCACCTAAGAAGCTCTCCGCAAGCAAGTTAACCATTTGTTTTCCTCAATGAACTGCAAGTTGAAACCTTAGGAAACCCCCATGAGGGTCATGGGATTGGGCACAGCAGCGAGGGGAAAAGTTGCACAACTGCTTTTTTTTTTTTCTATGAGATAGGGTCTTGCTCTGTCACCCAGGCTGGAGTGCAGTGGTGCCATCACAGCTCACGACAGCCTCAACCTCCTGGGCTCATGTGATTCTCCCACCTCAGCCTCCCGAGGAGCTGGGACCACAGGTGCACAACACCACACCTGCTAAAGTTTTTGTTATTTGTAGAGACAGGGTCTCCCTATGTTGGCCAGATTGGTCTCAAACTCCTGGGCTCAAGTGATCCTCCTGCCTTGGCGTGAGCCAACACCCCGGGCCCACATTTGTTTTTTATTACACGACAGACTAAGGAAACACCCCAGGTGGAGGAACAGATGAAAACTTCAAAGCAAGGCCACTGTGTTCCAGGGTGTGCACGAAACCAGACAGGCAGCAAAAAGAGCTCTTTCTGAATTCCCAGTGCAGGTGTCAGCAAGCCCTGAAGAGGTGGGCTGAGTGAATGAACAAATGAATGAACCAATGACGAGTGAATTGTGGGACGAATTTTTAAATCCTGAGGTTGTTTGCCCCAAAAGGTAGCTCCCCAGACACAAGTTTCTTCAGAGGCAAAGGGAAACAAATTTTTTTTTTTTTTTTTTTTTTTTTGAGATGGAGTCTGGCTCTGTCGCCCAGGCTGGAGTGCAGTGGTGCCATCTCGGCTCACTCCAAGCTCCGCTTCCCGGGTTCACGCCATTCTCCTGCCTCAGCCTCCAGAGTAGCTGGGACCACAGGCGCCCGCCACCACGCCCGGCTAATTTTTTGTATTTTTAGTAGAGACAGGGTTTCACCATGTTAGCCAGGATGGTCTTGATCTCCTGACTTCGTGATCCACCTGCCTCGGCCTCCCAAAGTGCTGGGATTACAGGCGTGAGCCACCGCGCCCGGCCACAAATTCTTAATAGATGATTGCAGAGGGTACTATCGTCTCTGGTTAAATTAGGAAACTGAGGCTCAGAGAGGTGATGTGGCTTGAGGCAGAGTACAGGGCTTAACGCCCTGCTCATCTCTGCCTCCTCGGGGCTGTTACTTGGAGCAAAGCCCTCCAAGCCCAGAGGCCCCAAGCAGGTACCAGCCCCGCAAGGGCCCCCACAGTTCAGATGTGTCCAGCCCAGGCAGGAGGCCCTTCGGAGAAGGCCTGAGCCCAGCTAGAGAACAGGCCTCTCTGTCTTAGAGGTTGGCACACCCTCTGTTCCTTCCTTAGACTAAACTGCAGCCACTACCTCGGGGAATTTCAAACCACATGAGAAGGTCCAGCCCCACTAGCCAGCTCCCCCTCTGGCTCCGCCCCCTCAGCTTCACCCACACCCCTGCCCTGCTCAGGACTCACTGCTGGCTCTTTTCTTGGCTCAGCCCCTTTCCTTCTTCCTGCCGCCTCCTGCCCACCTAGGATCTATACTTCTGATTAGGAATTCTTTTCAGTGTAAACAGCAAGAAATCCATCCTGCTAGGTCCCAAAGCAAACAGCGGGACTCCAGTGGCTGAGATGCCAATGACTGCCTCAGGAGACTGGATGGATGGAGATGGGGAAACCGATAGGGGAACTAGAACAAGGCTTGGAGGTTGTCCAGGACAAACAAACCGGCCGCTGCTTCCGGGCTGACTTCAGAGGCCCTTGGACAGCAGCATGCAAAGTGGACATCTTACCACAGGCACTTCTGGCCAGCAACAGGTTTAGCCCAAATTACAGAAGTTCTGTTTTGGATATTTCTCTTCAATATCAAATATATATATCTTTTTAAAAGTCAGGTGAATAGATGTAATTTGGGGTCTTTCTTTTCATCATACATGAGGTTTTTTTTTTAAGAAATTAAAAGAGTTTATTGGGCAACTTAAAATCCACTTTACCTTTCTTTTCTTTTCTTTTTAACCTTTCATCCCAATTTATTGGATGACTGAAAAATAAAGGGAAGTGTTGCTGCATTTACAATTCCTGGAGAACGCCACCGCTTACTGAGTGTGGAAAGCTGTTGGAGTTAGGAGAAATGGTCTTCCCCAACTCTACGTGACCCTGAACATCACGTCCAGATCCTGGTTTGCAAACCCTGAGAGTGACAGTGCGCTCCGCTCCCTGTAGAGATCCTGTCACCTCTAACACACTATGACCCTGTGTCCCAGGAGCAACAGGATGAGGGGGGGTCAGCTTGGACGTCACTTTCTCCTCTGGGAGCCCAGGGAACAGTGACATAGTGTGAGGCCTCCCCTCATGTGTCAATGTCTAGCACTAGATCCTTCTCTGAGAAAAGGCATTGATGATGGCAGGAGAAAGGGTGGAGGTACAAAATGTGAGAGAGGGGATGGGGACAGTGGGGGGACCACACGATGAAACAAGAAGCTCATGGTCAGTGTTGTCGGAATCTCCTCTCTCAAAGCCAAAAGCTCCATCCTCAGCCTGGGTGGATGCATTCCACATAGATTCCTTGAGCCCCTCCTGTGAGCCACACACCATGCTAGGTGGGGACAAAGTGAGAAGCAAGGCAGCCTTGCTCCCTGCTTTTCTAGAGCTTAGGGCAAAACACCGATATTAAACAAGGGTTGTTGGCAATTATGGAAAGTGCTACAAGGAGAAGCTTCGAACTTGGCCCCCTTAGGGGGTCCAGCGCCTCCCAACTGTTCATGTACTCCTCCAGTCTCCACCTGCACTTTAGAACTTTGCTTCTCACATATTCGTGGTCAACCCAGGGAGATGGAAACCCACTGCAGCTGCCTGCCAGGACGTCACAAAACTGAAACTAGCTTTGCTTAGAGTGGCTCTACCTCAAGGACACAGCTCCTTCCTGACTTCAGGCAGGAATGGCCATAGTCCACATGGTGCTACGGAGCCCAGGAACTGGCCCAGGGGATAAGCTGTTGATAGGAAACCACTACACTAGATTCCCACAGAGCCCAGCCAGTTCCTCAAGCCCAGCTCACTATATGCCCAGCTCACCGCACGCGCCGCGGCTGGCTGGCTTGGCACCATGCTGCCTCCCCACAGCTCATCTCGGCCCCAGCCAGCACAGAGCCCAGCAGGGACAAGGTGAAGAAAGCCACAGGCCATGAAGGGGTCATGGGAACCCCCTTCCCATTTCCTCCTCCCCTCCCACCAGGCATTCATGGTCCTTTGGTGTCTCTTGGCTGCCCTTCTGTCCCCTCTCCCCACTTAGAGGACATGAGTAAAGGTATTGGCCTACCTAGAGTTCCTGCCCCATCATCCACTCCCACGGGCTGATGGGACTCAGGATTCCAGGGTATTATGTGCCCTCTTCTATCCCGGTGCTCTGGCTGTGCCTGTCACTTTCTACTACCACCACCAACACACACACGCACACACACGCACACACGTGCACACACCCACATGCACACACATGCACACAAGCGCACACACACACACATGCACACATACACACATGCACCATAAGAGGGGGTGCCTATAATCTGTTGCTCTTGGCTTCTGCTTATAACTGTTCCATCCACCTAGACCACTGTCTCTAGTATCCATACCCACCTCTTAGAACCAGCCATCTGTAAATTCACTATTTGTGCCAAGCATTGTACTTCATATGCATTCATTCATTCATTGGACAAATATGTATTGAGACCTACTGCATGCTGGGCACCGTGCTGGTGCTGGGGATACAAGGGTGAACCAAATAGGCATCATCCCTGCCCCCAAGCAGCTGCTAGCAGACATTAATAGCTCATGTTCATTGAGTGCCTACTATATACCCACCCTGTATTAAACACTTTATGAGTTATCTGATTTAATCTGTCAGAGAAATTGTTTCATTTAAGGAGCACATCAAACTGAAACATAGAGAAAAGTGTGGACTTGCCCGAGACTGTTGGACGGCCTTGGCTGAGGGGTAAAGCAGGGACTCCAAAGCGCTGCCCTAACCACCACCTTTCCTTTCCCTGCCCCACTCAGATGCCACCTCCTCCAAGGGGCCTTCCAGAATCTTCTCCCAGACTCAAGGGCTGCCTTGGTCTCTCTAATCCAGCCTTCATATTTGACACAGCCATCTCCTCCCACAAGGATACCCAGAGGACTGGAGCCGTCTCTGCATCCTTCCTCAGGAGCGCTGCTGGATGAGCGACCCCCGAGCCCCTCCAAACGTGCTGTGGATGGAAACTACGGCCCTGGGCTCCTTCTCTGCCGTGGGTTTTCATCTCGCTGAATCGCAGATCTTCCGGAGGGGCCTCTGCATAGGGCAGACCCATCAAGGCGCCCATTTAACAGATGGGGCGGATAAGGCCCCAAGTGGGTAAAAGTTCCTTTATCTCCAGGCCGGGTCAAGGTCGACTCCCTTTTCTTCCAGCGAGCCTCGGCCCCTCCGCCAGATGCTTGGGTGGGGAGGGGACAAGGAAACGACCTCGTCTCCAAGACCCACTGGAGATGATCAGCCTCCCTCCCACCACCCCGGACCAACGCCCTCCCGCGCAGACCCCAGGCACTTCCTCCAACAGATGTGGGGGTGAGACTGGGGACCCCTCGTCCCCACCCCCGGGCCCTCCTTCGCCCAGCGCGGCCGGCAGGTGGACAGGAAGCCACCGCACCTGGGCCGGACCGCTCCTCGCTCCCCGCAGCCCCGGGCAACCCCGGCGACCAGGCGCCTCCTACCTGCTCTGTCGAGCCCCGCTCGGCCTCCCGCCGGCACCGCCGCGCTCCCAGCCAGGGTCCCCGCCGCCGCCCGGCGCTGCCACCCTGGGATCCCGCCCCCGCCCGGGGCGTCCCGCCCCCGGCCCCGCCCCGTGCAGGTGATCCTGGGGAGGCCGGAGAACGCGCCGGGGGTGCCAGGGTCCCGCACACTGGAGTGGCGGCGCCTCCCCGTGGTGTCCCCGCTCCTGGGTCCTTTTTGGGACTGGCTCTGGCACTCCCGGGCACTCAGTCCAGTAGAGAAGTCCAGCAGGAGGCTTCCAGGTCGGACTCCTCCGCGGGGTAAAGAGAGGGAAAGGGCCTCACAAACACACCCAGGTGAGCTCCAGGCACTTTGAGTAGGGTCTTTAAAGGAGCACGGCGCTAATCTGATTGAAGGTTTTGAGGGGCAGCTGGAGATTCAGACAACCACAGAACGTTAGACCGGGAGGAAACAGGCTTGGCAGCCGGCAAGTGTCAAGAACTCTTGCCGCTGTAGGATCAAAGGCTCCTTCCTCCCCAGGCTGTCGAGATTCCAGCTGTATCCCAGGAGCCCAGGGCGATATCCCTGGCAGGCAGCGGGTACTCAATCAATATTTATAGAAAGCGGGAAGAGATCTCGGAGAGGGGATCTCTTCTCTCAGAAACAGGGAAGCTGAGGCCCAGGAAGCAAAGGTGAGCACAAAGTCTTATAGCAGGTTAGTAACAGTATCAGGAGTGGAGGCTGGTTTCCCGGTTCTATTTTCAATTGATTTCCAGAAAGTGATTGCATCTGGGCCGACTGCCTTGCCGCTCAGTGCCTGTGAGATGCTTTCAAACTCTCCTCAGCTAAGAACTAAGATTTTTATAGGAAGAAAACACGTATTTTTATAGGAAACTCCAAGGTAGTATTTATTTATTTATTTATCTTTGAGACAGGATCTCACTCTGCAGCCCAGGCTGGAGTGTGGTGGCACAATCTCGGCTTACTGCAACCTCTGCCTCCTGGTTCAAGCGATTCTCTTGGCTTAGCCTCCCGAGTAGCTGGGATTACAGGCACATGCCACCACACCCGGCTAATTTTTTTGTGTGTGTATGTATATATATATTTTGGTAGGGACAGGGTTTCACCATGTTGGCCAGGATGGTCTTCAACTCTTGACCTCAAGTGATCCACCAGCCTTGGCCTCTCAAAGTGCTGGATGAGCCACTGCTCCCAACCCATTTTATTTTATGGAGACTGGGTCTTGCTCTCCTGCCCCAGCTGGAGTGCAGTGGCGGGATTTCGGCTCACTGCAGCCTCTAACTCCTGGGCTCTAGCGATCCTCCCACCTTGGCCTCCCAAAGTACTGGAATTACAGGCATGAGCCACCATGCCCAGCTGCAAGGTGGTATTAACAAATATTGATTGAGAGTATAATCCTGTAATTCTACTTTCTCATCAAAGACTTGAGACACTTGAGTATGGTCTTTAAGGAGCATGGTGCTAATCCATGGCTTCAAGAGCTTCCCTGTTGTGGGGGAGGCAGACCTGGTTACAGGGAGAGGCCACAATGTGGGGAGAGGAGTCCAGTGGGAGCCTGCTCTGGCCCTGAGGCCTGAGTTCCACAGTAAATGGCACTGGGGGGGGCCACTTCAGGATGCTTCTGGAAGTTTTTCCAGGTTTGTTTGTGGGGGCAAGAGCCCCCAGTGCATGGTCTCAGGTTCAAATCCTGGCTCCACTGCTTACTATTCGCAAGATGGGAGTAGTTTCTGAGACTGTTTCTTTCTGTAAAATGAAGAGAAGATACTTCAGTATAGTTGCGGTGAGGATTAGAAATGAGATCACACTTGTGAAGTGCCAGGTAAGTGGGAGAATGATTATGCCAAGTGGCAGGAGCTGGGAAGGGGGACTTTGATGTCTTAGGTCCTTCTCTGTGGGGTTTGGTAGTCTTCAGCCTTCTGTTATCTATGGCTCAAGCCCACCTTCTGCTTTGTCCCTTAATCCAGGCTGGCTAAGCCACAGGACACCTGCCCTGTCAGAATGAGTTTGTGCACACCGACAGTAAGGGGTTTGGGAAGGGAGCTCTTCCTTGCACCAGCCCTCCCATAACCAGGGTCAGAGACACCAGCCAAGCCCAGGAGGCAGAAGCATGAAAAGGCTCTTCATCGCGCTGCATATTCACTCATTAAGTGCTACAGAGTGTTCACTATAGGCCAGGCACTTTGCAAGGTGGGGCAGAGTCAGTGGTGGCCCCTCCCTGCCCTGTAGACCTCACCTTCCAGTGGGGCTGGGGTTGAAGGGACAGATGACCCAAGCACAAAAGATGGTAACAAAATAGTGAGACCATCTGAAAAGTTCTAAAGGAAATAATAATATGGTGTCATTGATTATTATGGGTGGGAGGGCAGGGGCTCCCACAGAAACCTATCTGCCAGGGGAGGACAGGGGAGCTGAGACCCAAAGGACAAGCAGGCAGGTGAGGAGGGGCTGGAGCTGGGGCCGGGGAGCACTCTAGAAGGGAGCAGGGTGGGATAGGGTGGGGGAAGCAGCAGGTTGGTTTGTGCAAA
The DNA here is from genome assembly GCF_000001405.40 of Homo sapiens. NCBI lineage: Eukaryota > Metazoa > Chordata > Mammalia > Primates > Hominidae > Homo > Homo sapiens. The sequence continues at coordinate 24,553,625 of NC_000001.11, read as the reverse complement.
GATCCTAAGGCCAGTATAGCAACCAAAGCCAGGGGTGGTTTCAGGGAGAGTGGACAGAATGAGGTCAGAGGCAGGCAGAGATCAGATGCAAGGTCTTACAGGTCAGAGTAAGGATTTTATTCCAAGGACTAGGGAAAACCATGGAGGGTTTCCCGTTGCAATTAAGGAAAGCAACAGGCTGGGGGCGGTGGCACACGCCTGTAATCCCAGAACTTTGGGAGGCTGAGGCAGGAGAATCACTTGAGTCCAGGAGTTCAAGACTAACCTGGGCAACATGGCAAGGTCCCATCTCTACAAAACAAATTTTAAAAATTAGCCGGCCATGGTGGTGCATGGCTATAGTCCCAGCTGCTTGGGAGGCTGAGGTAGGAGGGTCACTTGGGCCTGGGAGGTAGAGACTGCAGTGAGCTGAGATCGCATCACTGCACTCCAGCCTGAGTGACAGAGCTAGACCCTTTCTCCAAAAAAAGAAAAAAAAAAAAAGGAGAAAGGGAAAAAAAAAGATTTTGAAAGCAATTTAATGGAATAAAAAAAAAGTGTGGTGATTTTTCATTTTTAAAATAAAGAGGATGTTTATATATAAATCAGTTTTATTAGTCAATGAAAATTGCTTATACAATTACCCAACATCCCAGCACTTTGGGAGGCCAAGGTGAGAGGATCACCTGAGGTCAGGAGTTCGAGACCAGCCTGACCAACATGGCAAAACCCTGTCTCTACTAAAAATACAAAAAAAAAAAAAAAAAAATAGCTGGGCGTGGTGGCGCACATCTGTGATCCCAGCTACTCGGGAGGCTGAGGCAGAAGAATCACTTGAACCCAGGAGGCAGAGGTTGCAGTGAGCCGAGATCACGTCGCTGCACTCCAGCCTGGGTGACAGAGCGAGACTCTATGTCAAAAAAAAGAAAAAATTACCCAACAAACCACTCCAGTTTCGGATGTTACCCTATGGAGTCTGAGGTGCTGGGGGATTTTAAAATAACAAAAAGCGGCTGCTTCCACGTGGAAAATACCCAGAGACAACCAGTTATCCTTCCTTTTCTTATTAGCAGAAGATGTAACTACAAACTAGCCTTTGAGCGGCTGTGTTTTCATCTCCTGGCCAGGCATGTCCAGTCTTTCATGTCTCCCCTCAAAGCCTTAATCTGCTGTTTATGGCTTTTGAGATGGTTGCTGGGGAAACCAGCCAAATGTCATGTGGGATTAGAATGCAATTTCAGGGGAGGAGACGAAGCACAGAGAATCATGAGTCCAGAGAAACCCAAGTCCACATTGTTTAATCTAGTACAGAGAGAGAGAGGGAGAGAGAGAGGGAGAGGAGGCAAACATACCTAGGCCAATTGATTTTGAAACAATTCCCTGTTTTTCAACTAAGTAGGCAGAGAGTAGAGGGAGCAGCAAAGGCCGCAAGACACAGGCCAAGGTTCTAAATGACCTACAGGGCTCGTAGTGCAGTGTGTCATGTGGCTGATCCCAGATGGACATGTGCTGGGCGGACGTGAAGTGCAGGGGAGGACCAGAGCCCCTTCCCAAGCGCTGCTGTCCTGCATGTGGTCTAATTCCCATCTTACCTCTAGGAGCATCTGGCGATGGAGGATGAGAAGACAAGAGAATGACGGGGGCAGGGTCAGGGGTCTAATCTCCTTGCGAGCCACCTGATCTCCCCGGGCCTCTGTTTTCTCATCTGTGAAATGACGGGTTGGACGGCCTTGTCTCTGAGGCCTCATCCAGTTCCACGGTAAGTCTGATAATCGTGAGTGTGCCTTTAAACAGCCAGCCCAGGTCATTACCTGACAGCTTCCTCATTTTTTATGCTACATTTTTAGGAATGTGCGTTAGCGCAAACCATTTGTTGGTAATTACAAGGGAAAAACTTCTCAGAATGAAAATAGGAAGCTGTAAATTAATTTAAGTCCTTCTGCCATCAGCGGAAGCCACGCCTCCTCACCTTGGCAAGGAACCTGTGCTCTCCTGGTGGCAGTCAGCCCATTCGCAGCTATCTCAGCTGCTGAGTCCTCCTCCCCTGGTACCTCCTTGGTCTATCCTACTATCACAGTCACCCTAGGAATCCCAGAGTGAGAGCAGAAAAAACACACACCGAGAGAAGACGCAATCTAATGGCTACTCCGTTTACTTGCTGTGTGACTTCAGGCAGGTCTCCTAACCTCTCTGGACATGAGTTTCCTCTTCTATAATTCATTCATTCAGTGAATATTTACCAATAGCCTGCTGTGTGCCAGTGATGAATAAAAGAGATGACAATTCCTGCTCTGATGAAGCATGCATTCTGATGGGAGAAAAACAACAAAAATGAAGAAGCCAGGCTGGGTGCCGTGGCTCATACCTGTAATCCTAGCACTTCGGGAGGCTGAGGAGGGTGGGTCACTCAAGTCCAGGAGTTCAAGACCAGACTGGGCAACATGGAGAGACCCTGCCTCTACAAAACATACAAAAATTAGACTGACGTAGTGACACACGCCTGTAGTCCTGGCTACTCAGGAGGCTGAGGTGGGAGGATCACTTGAGCCTGGGAGTTTGAGGCTGCAGTGACCTGTGATTGTGCCACTGCCCTCCAGCCTGCGTGACAGAGTGAGACCCTGTCTCAAATAAATAAATAAACAAGCCAATGATATGGCATGTTGGAAAGTAATAAGTGCTTTGGAGAAAAATAAAGGGAAGCTGGGATAGTGATATCTGCCTACCCCAAAAGGCGTGGAGCATGAATGAGTTTATAACCTTACTTTCAAAGAGTAGGCCAGGCATGATGGCTCACGCCTGTAATCCCAGCACTTAGGGAGGTCGAGGCTGGCGGATCACTTGAACCCAGGAGTCTGAGATCAGCCTAGGCAACATAGTGAAACCCCGTCTCTACTAAAAATACAAAAATTAGACAGGCATGGTGGCGGGTGCCTGTCATCCCAGCTACTCAGGAGGCTGAGGCAGGAGAATCGCTTGAACTTGGGAGGTGGAGGCTGCAGTGAGCGGAGATTACAACACTGCACTCCAGCATGGGCGACAGAGCGAGACTCTGTCTCAAAAACAACAACAACAACACGCACATGCACACGCACAAAGAGTAATTACTCTTGATATTTGCATACACCCTTGTGCAAATATCAAGATTAATTATAGTATTATAGATGGACATTGTGTTAAATGAAAGCATTTACAGTAATTCTAAAGGCCCAGGAAATGGGGTAATCCAGGGAGTGAGAAACCAAGTTTGGGTGAACTCGGACATCCCCCAGCCCTGGGTGTCTCAGTCCTGGTGGTCCCTCAGAATCCCTTGGGGACTTTGGAAAACTCTGCTAAGGTTGCACTTTACAGCCATAGAGCTAGAGGCTCTGCAGTGAGGCCAGACCAGTCATGGGTTTTTATGAGGTGCCCAGGTGATGCTAATGTGTGACCAGGGTTGGGAGCCACTGAGGAGCCCAAGATCATAGAGAGGGAATGACTTGCTCAAGGGCTGGCACCCAAAGTGCTGGGATTAGAGGCGTGAGCCACTGCGCCTGGCCATTTATACTTACTTTTAATTGCATACAGATTAAGGGATGGTTTATGAAGAAATTTCTAGGAAAAGAGTAGTAACTTCTGGGTTTTTGGGTCATTGCCATGGAAAGGGGAGGTAACTCCTGGATGTTGGGTTAGCTGACATGGAACACTGGTGGGTGCATCTCATGGAAAGCTGCTTCTGCCCTGTCCTTATTTTAACTACTCCTCAGTTTGATTCAGCATCCAAGTCCCCCTCCAGAGTCTAGTCCCACCTTCTACCTCATGGCTACTGTTAATGATCCAAAAGGATCCCAGTTATGAAAGATAATAATATGTCAACGTGATGGAAACCCAGTCTATCCTGTCCTCTGCTCTGGTCATTTGCCTTAGGAGGTAGATTCCTCACCTCAGTTCCTTTCAGGAGAACAGTGGGGGCTTTGAGGCTGGTTTAAGATAAATAAAAAGAAAGAAAGCAAAAAGCCAAAAGGAGCCAATGGGCCATCTCTGGCAATTAAAAATCTCTGATCACATGACCAGGTGCAGTGGCTCACGCCTGTAATCCTAGCACTTTTGGAAGCTGAGTGGGTGGATCACTTGAGGTCAGGAGTTTGAGAGCAGGCTGGCCAACATGGTGAAACCCCATCTCTACTAAAAATACAAAGATTAGCTGGGCATAGTGACATATGCCTGTAATCCCAGCTACTTGGGAGGCTGAAGCATGAGAATCGCTTGGACCCGGGAGACAAAGGTTGCAGTGAGCCGAGATTGCATCACTGCACTCCAGCCTGGGTGATAGAGCGAGACCCTGTCTCAAAAACAAACAAACAAAAAAACCACTGTGATCAGGTTTGTCTAACAAATAATCAAATGATCACAATTACAAAAAACAAAACACAATTTCTGAAAAAATATCTGGCATTTGGAAAACCACTGTCCTGCTTTTAGAAAGTTCTTCCTGAGCTGTAGGATTGAGTTTTATTAAACTTATTCTATGGGGACTGGAAGTTACTTTTTCTGGGATATACAGGTGTTCGCTCAGTTAGACACATGCGTGAGTTCATTTGAGTGAACACTTCCTGAGAGCTTAAGTGGGCAAGGCACTGAGCTGGGCTCTGCGAGAGACACAGAGGCTGCGTTCTCTGCTTTTTTCTTATGTGTTCGTTCCCTTACCGGACCTCTCTCCTCCCCATCATGCCAGGTTCCTCATTCTTCCATGTGTTTTACCATCCACTGTGAAATTTCCCCTGTACGTTTTCTACTTCCTAAACTATGTGAAAACTACATTTTTAAACACAGAATTCCTTCCAGTGATTTTTTTTTTTTTTTTTTTTTTGAGACAGAGTCTTGCTCTGTCATCCAGGCTGGAGTGCAATAGCACGATCTCAGCTCACTGCAACCTCCACCTCCTGGGTTCCAGCAATTCTCATGCCTCAACCTCCCGAGTAGCTGGGATTACAAGTGGCTGCCACCATGCCCAGCTAGTTTTTGTATTTTTAGTAGAGAAGGGGTTTCAACATGTTGGCCAGGCTGGTCTCGAACTCCTAACCTCAGGTGATTTGCCTGCCTCAGCCTCCTCCCAAAGTGCAGGGATTACAGATGTGAGCCACTGCACCCGGCATCGTTTATTTATAAAGTCAGAAAATCTAAATAAAAACATGTTATGAAATTATTTCCTTTCTTGGATCTTTAGGTGCTTAAATAGGGAAATGGCACAAAACCAAAATATAAGTGGCTAACCCTATTAAAAATTTAGAGTAATGATAAAATACTGTTCTTTATGTATACTGGCATGTATGATATGTCTCTTCTTATGACGTGGAAGACTGGGATAATTGTGTTGTTTCACATTCAACATCAAGATCATAAGGAAGCTCTGTGGTAAATATCATAAAAACTCTCTGTCTGAAACTCTCTATACCAGAACTTACTTTGGGTACATTTATCAAACATGCTTAAAATCTACTTCTCGTATCTTGCCTGGAGTCAGAATTGAGTGGTGAAAAAAATGAAGACCAGATAAAAATCAGTGCTTACTTATTAGGTCTCTAAACTCGGACTAATTCACCAATGAATAAAATACTCTCCCCTTTTGGTCTTTATAAAGTTTCTTGAGATATTGAAGTTTACTGTGATTGAAGTTCACTGTGATAGCTATTTTATTTTTGTTTGCCCTGCTTTCATTTCCCTTTCTTGGGTAAAAGCCTTGCCCATCTGGCCTCAGGGATGGGCAGGCAACCCAATCTGGCCAATGAGAATCCCACTGCAATATGGAATCATAGAAAGAAGCTCTCCTTCCACCTGAGTTGTTGGTTACCATGTTCTCTGCTGCGAGCGGACATCCTTTTTGCAGTAAGAAGGAATTTGGTGGACACACAAAGAGAGGTAGAGACAAAGACAGCTGAGAGATGAAGAAAGAGTCCTTACCCTATGCCCTTCTAAGCTCTTAACAGAAGCATTTAGAGCTATACATTTTCCTCTCTACTTTAGCCCCCTTTTTCTCCTACTACATTGTACCAGGCTGGTCTATGACCAATACCATATGGCAGAAGTGATGGTCTGTCATTTCTGAGATTAGGTTATAAAAAGACTTCATCTTGGGCTCTCTCTCTTTCTCTCTCTCTGATCACTCGCTCGGGGGAAGCCAGCATCCATGTCCTGTGAGCAGGCTTCTGGAGAGGCCCCTGTGGCGAGGAACTGAAGCCTCCTGCCAACAGCCATGTGAGTGAGCAGGGAAGCAGACTGTCCAGCTGAAACAGGAAATTCCCCTTGACCTCTTTGTGAGCCTTGCGACAGGGGTGCCTCACTTACTTATCCCACAGCTCTCAACCCCTCGTGGGATGGGGAGCACAGGTGAACAGGTGCAGGAGCTGGGGCAAGTGCTTTTGGGCACTGGTAGGAGCAAAACTCCCATGGCAGCATCTAGAGGGGAGTACCTGTGACCCCCCCCCCCAAGAGACTGGAGGAGTGTTACAGTGAACACTCTTTTTAAAAATTATTTATTTATTTATTTATTTATTTATTTATTTATTTTGAGACAAAGTCTCGCTCTCTCACCAGGCTGGAGTGCAGTGGTGTGATCTCTGCTCACTGCAACCTCTGCCTCCTGGGTTCAAGCGATTCTCCTACCTCAGCCTCCTGAGTAGCTGGGATTACAAGCGCACGCCACCACGCCCGGCTAATTTTTATATTTTTAGTAGAGACGGGGTTTCACCATGTTGGCCAGGATGGTCTCGATCTCTTGACCTCGTGATCTGCCTGCCTCAGCCTCCCAAAGTGCTGGGATTACAGGCGTGAGCCACCGCACCCGGCCTACAGTGAACACTCTTTTAGCTTCTGCCGTTCACAGACGGCTTAAGTGTTAAACAGCTCAGTGGGCCCTCTCTCCACCTTTTCACGTGAGGTGGTTGCTTTCCACCAGCGAGGGCAGAGGGTCAGTGTGACAGCCTTCCGTATCCCAGGCTCTTGTCTGGATCCAGAAAAAAATCAGGTCACATGAACAAATTGAAGGATAGTAAATGCGGGGGATTTTATTGCTGCCAGAAGCGGCTCTCAGATGGAAGGAAAGCTGGAAAGGGGATGGAGCGGGGAGGTGGTCTTCCCCTGAAGTCTGGCCATCTCCAATCGGACTTTTCTCCAAAGTCCCACTGTCAAGCCGTCCCTCTGAAGTCAAGCTGCTTCTCTCTGACATCCGGCTGCTTCTTCTCTTCTCCCCTTCTCTGCTCTCTGCCAGTGGAGCCTGGGGTTTTTATGGGTACAGGATGGGGATTGGGTGGGCCAGGGGTGGTTTTGGAAAGGGCAACATTTGAATGGGAATACAGGGATTTTCTAAGTTTGGGCCATGTTTCCAGGCTTGAGGGTGGAGCTTTGCCAGGGTCCCTGTCCTTTTCAGCCTAGAATTTCTCTGCCTCCTGTCCTTATCACAGCCTTGCTGATGACTTGATGGCAACCTCTGAGAGACCCTGAGCCACCACTGTCCAGCTTAGCCACTCCCAGATTCCTGATCCTCAGAAACTGTGAGATAATGTTTTCTTGTTTTAGGCTGCTAAATTTTGGGATAATGTGTTGTGCAGCAATAGATAAGTAATACACCCCTTAATGGATTTTTATTAAACCTGCAGTTTAACTGTCTCCTTTTTCTCTAGCATGAACAACTAGTTAACTTCTCTCCGGGAAAACACACCTTAAAGTGTTCAATTCATATAATTGGACACATCTAGAGACAGGAACTAAGCAGGAGGGTAGCTCTGTGCCCTTTCACAATAGAAGTCATTAGTATACAGTATCTAGGATTAGCAGGATGCCCAAGGGCTGCTTCTCATTTGCAAAGGAGACAAATCTCCATTCTAGACTTTCCAACAGTTGTTAGAAATATCTAATGGGATAGAATAAATAGCCTGCCAAGTAACTGAAGTTATCAAGGAAATAAGTCAGAGGAGGCTAGTCCATTTAGTCCATAAAAGACCTTTCATTCACAGGGCTTACTCAGGCAATTTCTGAGAAATCATTTTTGGTTTAATTTCCTCCTTTGGGGGAAGGAGCCTGGTCAAATCTCTCAGGACAGAATACTGTATAATTTCCCATCAAAGATCTCAATTATTCAAAAGATATTTAAGAAAGATAGCACCAGGCCGCGAATTAACCTGATTACTTCTTTGAACCAAAAGGAAATGGTGAATCTAGAGTCAAACCACATGCAACGCTCTTCATTTGTAGCTCAGAGAAGAATGAATGATACAGTATATTTTTTTCCATCCATATGGGAGTACATTTAATAAAGAATTTTCATCTACATAATGTAGTAAAGTAAAAAAGAATCTGTTAACCCTTTAAAGTCTATCAAAAGGTGATATAAAGTCTCATAGTAAATCAGACTTATTATCCTTAATCAATTATCCTGCAATTATCCTTGATCAGTGTGCAATTATCTTGCACATTATCCTTGATCTGTGCAAGATGCCTCTTATGTTTGGAGATATATGTTTAATGTGTATCTTTTTATTTATATGTATTCTTGCAAAGTGCATTACTGTCTTTGTGCAGTACTTCACATAATGCAAATGTTAGATACATCTTCCTCCTTTTGGCACTCAGCTGTTTTCAAGATATATCCATGTGGCTGTGTATATGGCTACTCTTGCTGCATGGTTCTCCATAGTGTTCATTTTCCAGTTGCAAATACCAGTTTGTCTCCATAAATAATGGTGCAATGAACATCCTCAACATAGCTCTTTATGGCCCTGTGTGAGAATCCCTTTGGGATATTCTTGGGACATCTCTCTCTCTGTCTCATCTATCTCCAGGAGCAGAACTGCAGAGTCAGAGGTTTTGTTCTTACTTAGATGACCAAGGACTGCCAGTTTGTTCTTCAGAATGACTAAACTAGTCTATACTTCCACCAGTTTTATATCAGATTTCCTATATGCCCTCCCTCTGGCTATACTTGGCATTAATTGCTTTTACATTTTTGAGAATCCAATAGGTATAAATGGCATCTTGTCATTTTAATTTGCACTTTATCTGATTACTAGGTTTTAGTATTTCTTCATAGGCTCATTGTTTTCCTTTTCTGTCAATTACTTTTCATATCCTGTAGCCTATTTTTCTATTGGGCTGCTTTTCCTTGTCAATTTGCAGAATCTCTTTGCATTTTATAGTTATTTCCCCTGTGTTAGTGTCAGAGGTGTTCAAACCAGGGTGACTCCATCTTGAATAGGGGCTCAGTAAAATGAGGCTGAGACCTACTGGACTGCATTCCTAGGAGGTTAGGTGTACTTAGTCACAGGATATTTACAGTTAAGGGTACAAGTTAATAATGTTAATGTTAATGGGAAATAATAGACCCAGGAAATGTCCTGATGTCCCAATATCTTAAGAACAAAAGCATTTTTAGTTTAAGAATATGTTTCGCTTTAAAGATAATAATATAGATGCTTGTGGAAGACAGCAGTTACGCAAAGATTAACAGTCCTTTGTCACAAACCTTTGTAGTAGAGCACATCTCCGCCATGATTTTTGCTTTATCTTATATATAAACAAGCATTGTATCTTAGGCAGGCACGTTCCCCCTTGTGCTTTTGGGAACGCCCTACTCTGTTTATGGAGTATCTATTCTTTCACTCCTTTACTTTACTTTCTTTTCTTTTCTTTTACTTGAGACACAGTTTCACTCTGTCATCCAGGCTGGAGTGCAGTGGCACAATCTCGGCTCACTGCAACCTCCGCCTCCTGGGTTCAAGCGATTCTCCTGTCTCAGCCTCCCAGGTAGCTGGGACTACAGGTGCGCACCACCACGCCTGGCTAATTTTTGTATTTTTAGTAGAGACGGAGTTTCATCATGTTGGCCAGGCTGGTCTCGAACTCCTGATCTCAAATGATCCACCTGCCTCAGCTTCCCAAAGTGCTAGGATTACAGGCGTGAGCCACCATGCCTGGCCCATTCCTTTACTTTCTTAATAAACTTGCTTTTACTCAGCTAGGCACGGTGGCTCACGCCTGTAATCCCAGCACTTTGGGAGGCTGAGGTGGGTGGATCACCTGAGGTCCAGAGTGCGAGACCAGCCTGACCAACATGGAGAAACCCCGTCTGTACTAAAAATACAAAATTAGCCGGGCGTGGTGGTGTATGCCTGTAATCCTAGCTATTCGGGGGGGCTGAGCAGGAGAATCGCTTGAACCTGGGAGGCGGAGGTTGCAGTGAGCCGAGATCACACCATTGCACTCCAGCCTTGGCAACAAGAGTGAAACTCCGTCTCAAAAAAATAAAAATAAATAAAATAAACTTGCTTTCGCTCTACTCTGTGGACTCATTCCGAATTCTTTCTTGCATGAGATCTAAAAATGCCCTGTAGGGGTCTGGATCAGGGCCCTTTCCGGTAACATCAGGACTGCAAATATTTCTCCCTATTGTGTGAACATTTTCATGGCATTCTTCATTGAACATGAATCATTGATTTTGATGTAACCAATTAGAATTCTTACCTTATAGCTTATGCTTTTAAAGTTTTATGAAGTCTCTCCCTGCCTCTAGGTCACAATGATATTCTCCCACAATTTGTTCTATTAGTAATTTTACATTCTAGATTTAGGTCTTTAACTTTTAATTTTCAGCATTTAACTTTTCCAAACATTTCGGACCACAAACTTTTCCCAAGTAACTTACTTTGAAATACCTTACTGAAATATCTAATCTACAAATTGCTTACATTTATACTTTCTATGTCTCAGAAGACCCGGGGAAGCTTGGCAAGATGAGATCTTTCCTGTGTGTGCAAGAATTTTAATCTTTTCTTCTTCTAGATTAGAACATTTTAATGTGTTCATTGAGGGCAGGAACATAGTGGTGGCTCACTCCTGCCCTTTAAACATACTTCTCAGTGATAATAGGACTCTGATACATCTGATACATACATTGTATGCGTTTAACTTGAAGCCAGTCTATTAGGTAAATTACTTAAATCTTGATTCTTGTATTTCCTACTCTGCATTAAAAATTTTGTTTTTGGCCGGGTGCAGTGGCTCGTGCCTGTAATCCCAGCACTTTGGGAGGCTGAGGTGGATGGATCACCTGAGGTCAGGAGTTCAAGACCAGCCTGGCCAACATGGTGAAACTTGTTTCTACTAAAAATACAAAAATTAGCCAGGCATGATGGCGTGCGCCTGCAGTCCCAGTTACTCGAGAGGCTGAGGCAGGAGAATTGCTTGAACCCGGGAGGCAGAGGCTGCAGTGAGGTGAGATTGCGCCACTGCACTCCAGCCTAGGCAACAGATTGAAACTTGGTCTCAGAAAAAAAATTTGTTTGTGTGTGTGTTTTGTCCTAGGTTCTTTGCAGTGGTTTTCCAATTTTCTGTTTTAGCCAAGGAATCCTTAGCTCAAGTGGAAAACATGCTAGGACCTTTAGGTATAGCAAATAATAGGAGAGTTGAAGCAGGAGTGAAAGGCCCCAGGAACCTGGAAGCATGGCGCCCCCTGGAGGCAGCCCCACAGAACACAGCTTGGAAAAACTTCAAAGTGGAAATGTCCTCAGCGACTCCGCTTTAGTTTTTTAAAAACAAAAAAGGCCAGGTTCGGTGGCTCATGCCTGTAATCTCAGCACTTTGGGAGGCCAAGGCAAGTGGACCGCCTGAGATCAGGAATTAGAGACCAGCCTGGGCAACATAGGGAAACCCTGTCTCCACAGAAAATACAAAAATTAGCCGGGTGTGGTGGTGCACACTTGTCATCCTAGCTACTTCGGAGACTGAGTTGGGAGGTTGGGGCTGCAGTGAACTGTGTTCATGCCACTGCACTCCAGCCTAGGCGACAGAGCAAGACCTTGTCTCAAAAACAAAACAATATCAAGAACCTTTTTATCCAGATACATTTATCCAGAAAAATTAGATTTTGGTGTAACAAAGTAGTGGAGTGTGGTAGAAAGAATGTCAAGAAATGGGTTCTAGTCCCAGGTCCATGACCATCCAGATGTGTGCATTTGGCAATGCCTCTGGGGCCACTTTCTTGTAAAGGTGTGTTGGGGGTGGGGTTGGGATGGAGGAGGAAGTGGAGGGAGGCAGGGGCAATAGAGGGGTGTGTCTGGGTCTGTTCTGCTGAGCTCTCACAGGGGTTGAACTCAGGTCCCCATTCTTCCCCCAGCCCCTTGAAAAGGAGCAGCTTTGTTTACCTTTCCTTTTTGTAATAGTTTTACATTGGCTTTGTGTAAGATTTCATTTGAACAAAGAGCAGAGTCCTATGGCTTAAAAATAAGTATTCGAAATCCCACTGCACTAGATAACCTCTACTGTCATTTATAGTTCCACATTTTGGAGATTTTTTTTTTTTAACCGAGACAAAAAGTAAGTCTTTACCCGGAATAAATCATTTTTAACCAAAGGGGAAACCAGGGTAAAAGGTTTCTTGGGGAAGAGCTGAAAGTGCAGTGGTTATTTACAGAGTGAGCAGTGACTCACCACCTTGAACTCTGGCACTGCACGGCATTAATGTTCAACAGGACTCTTGTGAAAGGAACAAACACAATATTGCACTTCTCTGTCTTATTAGCTAAATGTAAGTGATGCGTATTGAAAATACTACACACAAAAAAACTCAACTCAATGGACTGATTTAAAAATAGTTACTAACTTTATTTGTATTCGTTTTAAAAACAGAACTTGTTACAGGTAATCACGAAGCTTCCAAAAAAAAATTACATTCTGCTTTTGTCATCTTGATAGGACAAGGAATGTTTAGATGTCCTTAAAACACAGGGTAAAGTTGACAAATAACAAACTACTACAAACTATGGATTGTCACTTCAAGCACACTAAAATGTGGAATACATGTACATAAATTACTGACCAGTTTTTTGCAATACAAAGAGTATGCACTACAGCTTATATACCATAAAGGTAACATGCCCCAAAATATAACAGAAGATCACAAACACGTTCGGAGAAAATAATAACTTTGACTCTTGGGTTCAATTAAGATTGAAGTGAAATGATTGGGAAAGTTTTCTGAAACTTGAAGGGCACGCACATTATAGCAGAACCGTCAATCAACAATCACGTGGGGTTGAAAAGCAGCAAGAAGAATATGGCACGGTAACAGGGGTAACCACCTTTCTCTCTCCTCAGTCCCCAATTTGAGTTAGGAAGATTGAGGACTAAACAGAAAACAGTATTTAAAAACATGTATTATCTGCATAGATAGAAATCTTCCATTACGATGAGAGTGAACATTCGGTCAAAGCTATGCAGGAGTGCCAAGAGTCTGCAGGATATGATTCTGTTTCAAAAGGAAATATATAGGTTTACATCCAGACAGACCACATAACGAATTTAGTGAAAGATCTTTACGCTGTTATTTAAGTGGGTAGAGACGCTGACTCAGCCCCAGGTTAGTTCTTGACCTTGGCTAAAAACTCTACTTTGAACGTGATGATTTTTATAATCTTTGTCAGTGAACCCAGCAGTTGTTGCTTTCAGTTGTCTTATGGATTGTACATTTGGTAATAAGAAAACAGTCTCCAAATGATTAACATTTTCCCCTGATTCACAATGAAACAACGGCATTCTGACGAAGATGATCCATACACCGAGGGGAGTTTAAAAGACAAATAAGTATTCAGCGAATTGTAGGACAAGGTTCATAAATCTTTTAAAACTTTTTAAATAGTGAGTTTCTGTAACATGGACTTACAGCTCCAGCTAGGAAGCAACTATTGCCCCATCTTTTGTTCCTTTATATTGTCACCCCAATTATAAATAATTTGTTTCTTTTAGTACAGGAAGATATAAATGCAAATGTGCAAAAAAAGGAAGAAGGAAAGATGGACCAAGTTCACCTGTTTGGTACGTACAGGGTCCACAGCTCTGCAGAAAGGGGAGAAACCTGGTAGACAGAGGGCCTGACGCACCATAGCATTGAGCACATTTTCCACTGCTTAATTATGTGTGAGATTTTCCCTTTTAAAATAAATCTATGGTCTGTGAAATAGTCTGTATAAAAATATGAAGCCTTGAATAGGCCAGTCATAGCAGTTCCGTCTTGAATAGAACTCAATTTTACAAGCACGGAGTGAGAGTATCATTCCACTGCAAACTCTTTTATTTCCACAACATATTAGATCTCATTCTGCTTTAGTAGAGTTACCTCTTAAGTACGACTATTAGTCATTTCATTAATATGAAAATCTGGGAAGGCCCACATAAAATACCAACATAATTGCTGGCTACCAAGATAAAATTATTTAGGCAGATTCCAGCCCCAATGGTTCAATGATAACAAAACTACAAAACATGGGACATCAAATTCATTAATAAAATTATTAAGTCACCTCTTCCATCGAATGATGAGATTTTTCTTATTCACTGTTTCCCATCAGGGAAAAAAGAATCCTCCCACCTCATGCCTTTTTTTTTTTCTGATGCCAGGAATTAGTATTCATTGCCTCTTTAAGAGGCCAATGCAAAAAAAGGTAGAAAAAGCCCTAGCCCAGGAGTTGGGATTGCCAGTTGTAGTCCCTGGGTTGCCTTGCTGGGGGTGCCTAAGTCAGTGCCATAACCTCAGTTTTTCTAATCTGTGTAACATGGGGATAGAGTATATGATTTCCAAGGTCACTTTCACCTCTGTGATTGAGCCTCTAAGAAAGCCAAATCTTTTCACTTTGTAATCATGACATTTTTAAAAGATGGAGTTAATATGAATGGGAAACTTTTTTTTTTTTGAGCCAGGGACTTGCTATGTTGCCCAGGCTGGTCTTGAACTCCTGAACTCAAGTGATCCTCTCACCTCAGCCTCTCAAATAGCTGAGACTACAGGCACACACCACTGCACCTGGCTAAAGACTATATTCTTAAAGAATAAAAGTACTGCACTTCACCTCTATCTCCTGGTATCTCTTCAATTCAAACACACCATTAATGACTACAATATTTTATTTAAGGCCGGGCGCAGTGGCTCACGCCTGGTTAATCCCAGCACTTTGGGAGGCCAAGGCAGGCGGATCACTAGGTCAGGAGATCGAGACCATCCTGGCTAACGTGGTGAAACCCCGTCTCTACTTATAAAAAAAAAAAAAAAAAAAATTAGCCGGGCGTGGGAGCGGGCGCCTGTAGTCCCAGCTACTTGGGAGGCTGAGGCAGGAGAATGGCGTGAACCCGGGAGGCGGAGCTTGCAGTGAGCCGAGATCACGCGGCTGCGCTCCAGCCTGGGCGACAGAGTGAGACTCTGTCTCAAAATAAATAAATAAATAAATAAAAATAAAAAATAAAAAATATTTTATTTAAACCTTTATGTTGAACTTAAAAGTTCCTTGAAGCTTTGCTTTGGCTCTTAATTACTGGTATGTTTTTGAGTACAACATTTTGAAGAAGCAGAATGTGAAAAGACTAATTTGCTTTCCAGCTGAGTTTTAGTTCTCGAAGGCAATGGAACTGTTGCTATCCACTTCTGCCTCTTAGTACCTTAAACCTCAGAGATGCTCACTGGAACACTTTTTACATGGATTTGTCTTTGGTTTCATCAGGTGAGTGTGCTACAAAAATCTAGAACCTAAGAGCCAATGCAGCGTCGGTTCTGTGACTATCCTTGTTAAGTGTTACGGTTTTCTAATCCTTCACAAATGTTTTTTTCCCAACACAAAGCACCATTATCTTTCCTCACAATTTTCAACATAGTTTGATTCCCATGAAGAGGTTATGATTTCTAAAGAAAACATGGCTACTATACTATCAATCAGGGTTAAATCTTTTTTTTTTGAGACGGAGTTTCGCTCTTGTTGCCGAGGCTGGAGTGCGATGGCGTGATCTCGGCTCACCGCAACCTCCGTCTCCCGGTTCAGGAAATTCTCCTGCCTCAGCCTCCCAAGTAGCTGGGATTACAGGCATGTGCCACCATGCCAGGCTAATTTTGTATTTTTTAAGTAGAGACAGGATTTCACCATGTTGGTCAGGCTGGTCTTGAACTCCTGACCTCAGGTGGATCCACCCACCTTGGCCTCCCAAAGTGCTGGGATTATGGTGTGAGCCACCACACCTGGTCCTATCAGGGTTAAATCCAAGTAATAACTCAATTTCAAAAAAATTGCAGAAAAGCCTATTAAAAGAAAAAAAAAACCATGAGACTTATCTCTTGTAAATTTGTTACATGAACTAGATATTAAACAGCCAAAAAAGGACAGCGATGATAGTATCTGTTAAGATCCTGGTTCATTTCACAATATGAAAAAGTTGATGGGTACTTAGTAGCTTTTTTAAAAAAATTCATTTTATTATATTATACTAGAAAAATGAAAATATTAATACTTTCCATTCAGAAAAGCTTAAATGACTCGTCTCTAATTTTGGTTTAAAGTTTTCTTCAATTTATTCAAGGCTCTCAAAAAAAAAATAGAAAAGCACTGTAATTTGCACTGCTTGACTGTAAAATGTTTTATGTGTTAGGAATAGAATATTCTTTAATGGGCAGGCAGAGAATGAAAGCCAAGCCAAATAACAAAATCTCATGGGTTTTGATCACTTAGAAAATTACAGTGAATCAATATTACCTAAAAGGAAATTCAAAAAATTCCCAATTGTTGATAATACATGTCTCCTGGCATACAGGGTCCATCTTGCAGTAAAAAATGGGCACAATGCTGAGTTCAGAACTGCAGAGTAAATTTATTGGGTGGTTGTCGGTTAAAATGACAAATGATGATCTGAATTCAATACATTAAATTGCTGATAGAATTGCAAATTTCAACTGAATTTACATTGAGGCCTAGCAGTGGTAGTTGGCTACAACTGGAACAGTTTATCACCTCAGGGTATTTGAGGGCAAGGAAGATACAGAAAAAAAAAAAATTAGGGGTATGCAACACAGTTTAAGTGCTCAGAAATAAATTTTACCACAGTGAGAACGAAACCACAATGACATGTTACTAACACTGTGCAGACGTCATGGTTGAATGCCTGCGTTCTGTTCCTTCCTGGTGGCAGCCGCCTTGGTTCATTAGTTCTCATGTTTGCAGCTCCTTCACATGCCCCGGAGCTTCCCAAGTGTGCCACTCAAAGGAAACAGCACAGTGAGTGGAGGCCAGCAGACCCACCCGGCCCAAAACAGAGCCTTCTCAGTTATGAGACTTTTCTACAGAAGGGACTTCAAAGTCTAAACAGACCAGAGAGAGTTAAAAAGATCCTGCTGCTTCTTAGGGAAGTTCAAAGGTACATTCTGACACCTAAGTGGGAAACAATTCTGTTTTAGGAAAAGTGCCAACTGCAATCCGGGTACAAAATTTCAACAAAAAGAAAAGTAAAACTGAATGATCTCCCCCTCATTCCCTAATTCATAGAAAAATAGTAGGTGTGACTTTTGTTTCAAAGCAAGCTGAAAAATGGTTAAATGGACAATTTACAAATGGTCTTCAGAAAACCTTATCATTACCTTTTCTAGTTGAAAGTCCATGAATGACATACATAAACGTACACATCATAGCCAAAAAACTCAAGAACTAGTGGTTAACAAGATACTGGAAAAGGTGAAGGATAAAAACTGGTGAATGAAGGTAGCTGGGTGGTCTACAGGCTAGAACACGGTCACGAACGGCAGAATGCAGTAGCCACCTGCGATCCTAATCATTCAAGCTTACTGGTGATACGTCCCACTTCTAAAGTGGCCGTCCTTCCTGGGCAGCCATGTCTGGAGGGCGCCACATCAGGAATGAGGGCCTGTGCATTGCTTTGTCCCAAATTCCAGATAAGAGCAACATGTGGGTGGATCTGTGTCGTAAGACTCATCCTCAAAGTGGATTTGGCATTTCTTCCCCAAAGCTAATTGAACAAATACTTGAGAACCATGATTTCTATGAATTATTCTGTATTTCTGGTTTCTTTTCCTGCAAAAAATTTCATGTATACTGAGTAACAACCTTTGATCGATTTATTAATTAGAAGCTATTTATACCAGTAGAAAAATACCCACAAACAATTAAAATTATAAGACTATTTTTAAATTCATAAAAATGGTACTGTACTGGGTGTGACTACATTTCCAGTTTTTGGTGTCTCATGTGATACAGAATCAGGAGGACTTACATGGCTGGAGGGGAGGGGAGCTGTTTTCCTAATTTGTTACTATTTAAAAATGGTTAAGGGTGGCCACATCTTGGGGGCTTCTCCTTTAATGTAAAGTCCCTTTTGGAATATCACTTAAAATCTGGGACAGGTCAAATCAGCTGCTACTCTACACGACCGTGTCTGCAGTACAGGCGTGGTGAGAAGACCTATACCTCACTCGGCAGAGTCTCACCTATGCTGTTCGCAGCAACGCATCGGCCGCAGGCACAGAGCGCCATGGCCAGAGCCCACCAGGGCAGCCGCCTCGCACCACAACCAAGGGCCTCACAGCGCGCAATCAAAGGTCTGGGGCTCATTCAACGCTGCGGTCGGAGGGTCGGGGCGCCTCGTCTGGGCAATTTTCTGTTTGGGGTTTTTTGTCTCTTCTTCCTCTTCAGTTTCACTTTCACAGACATGAACCACCACGCTGGGTGTCGACTCTGTTCCCGCGTGAAGTTCATATTTCTCTCCTGCAGAGGCAAACAAAATAACCATGACAAAAGCATCACTTCCAGCAAAAAGAACTCTTTTGTCCCTTGCAACTTTTTGTTCTACTCCTATTTTAATGGGTGATTCTTGTTCTTTAAATCTTTAAATACTATGTTAGAGTATTTTATCTTGTTTTGGTGTTAAAGATTTGATACTTTAAGGCTTGTATAAAATGTTGTTTCAGTACTGAAGTCTTGGGAGTTAAAATGCAAATGCTAATTATTGTTTTATGAATAATATGAGTTAATCTGTTTAATTAATTAATTTATTTATTTGAGATGGAGTCTCGCTCTGTCGGCAGGCTGGAGTGCAGTGGCACGATCTCGGCTCACTCCAACTTCTGCCTCCCAGGTTCAAGCGATTCTCCTGCCTTAGCCTCCCGAGTAGTTGGGACTACAGGTGTGTGCCACCACGCCCAGCTAATTTTTGTATTTTCAGTCGAGATGGTTTTTTTTTTTCTTTTTTTTGAGATGGAGTCTTGCTCTGTCGCCCAGGCTGGAGTGCAGTGGTGCGACCTCGGCTCACTGCAAGCTCCGCCTCCCGGGTTCACGCCATTCTCCTGCCTCAGCCTCCCGAGTAGCTGGGACTACAGGCGCCCGCTATCACGCCCGGCTAATTTGTTTTTGTATTTTTAGTAGAGACGGGGTTTTATCATGTTGGCCAGGCTGGTCTCGATCTCCTGACCCCAGGTGATCTGCCTGTTTTGGCCTCCCAAAGTGCTGGGATTACAGGTGTGAGCCACCGCACCCAGCCAAGTGACTCTGACATCATAATGGTTTCAGTTTGGGAGATACTTGTAAGGATCCAGGCAGCATAGGCACTCCCTTGATTATAGGAACTTGGATATCTAAGACACAGCTCTAACGTCTAAAAACAGCACTGAATCACTTCTTCCTCAAAATGCCTCTTTTATTCCCCTACAAGAGACATAACTCTGTCTTGGGTGGACAACTGTCTGAACCAGCATCACATCGGTTTCTTATATGATTTTAAAAGGAAGAGAGGTAGAGAAAGTAAAGAGAAGGAAAAAGGAAATGAAAAAGAAATGACAAAAATATTGAAGGAGTGAGATGATATCACCACCAATTCCTTGTAATATATTCAAAGTAGTTGTTGTTTGTCTGATACTTGGTGGGGCTGGGGAGAGAAGGCACCTCATATTCACTAACTGCCTATCAAGTACTAGCAAAATCTGTAGTAGTAAAAATTAGTTACATTTACTGAGTATTATCTATACATCATTTAATACTTAATTTTTTATTTTTACTTTTTTGGAGACAGAGTCTTGCTTCATTGCCTAGGCTGGAGTACAGTGGTACGATCTCGGCTCACTGCATCCTCTGCCTCTTGGGTTCAAGCAATTCTCCTGCCTCAGCCTCCCAAGTAGCTGGGACTATAGGCGTACGCCACCATGCCTAGCTAATTTTTTATATTTTAGTAGAGACGGGGTTTCCCCATGTTGGCCAGGTTGGTCTCGAACTCCTGACCTCAAGCAATCCGCCCACCCTAGCCTCCCAAAGTGCTAGGATTACAGGCGTGGGCCACCACACCTGGCCCTCATTTAGTACTTATAACCACACTGAATGGTGCATATGATTCTCCCTGCTTTATAGATGGAAAAGCAGAAGCTCAGAAAATGGAGGCTAAGTAACTTGTTCAAGATCACAGAGCAAGCAGATGCCACAGCTGGAATCTGAACCCAGGTGTGTTTGACTTTATCCTCTGCTCTAATCATACTGCCACAATGCACACTGCTGAATACGATCTTCAATACAAAAGTTTCTTGGGGAAGAAAATAGGAAAAATAGAAGTTTATTACCTGGTCCCAATTTGGAAACAGCACAGAGTAAATCATAATTTATAACAGGCATCGCATCTTCGCTCTGCTTCCACCCCACCGGGGGAGAGGCTGGAGGGGAGATGAGGAACTGCTTGACAGGCTGGGGCGGCAGGAGATAGGACTTGTCCCGCACTTCGCCGGACATCTGCACCTGCAGGGAGCGAGACGCTCAAAGCCAGTTTGCAAACCGGGCTATGTTTTCTTCATTTTCACCTTTATGTTGACTGTTCCATCTTTTTGTAGAAAATTAAACATTTCTTTTTTTTTTTTTTTTTTTTTTTTTTTGAGACGGAGTCTCACTTTGTCGCCCAGGCTGGAGTGCAGTGGTCCAATCTCAGCTCACTGCAAACTCCACCTCCCGGGTTCACATTCTCCTGCCTCAGCCTCCCGAGTAGCTGGGACTACAGGTGCATGTCACCACGCCCGGCTAATTTTGTTTTCATATTTTTAGTAGAGACGGGGTTGCACTGTGTTAGCCAGGATGGTCTCGATCTCCTGACTTCATCATCCGCCCACCTTGGCCTCCCAAAGTGCTGGGATTACAGGTGTGAGCCACCGTGCCTGGCCTATTTCTTGTAAACAGTCTATAATCTCCAAAAGGGTGGGACTGGGTCTGTTTGGCTCACCACTGGCCACTCAGTGTACAGCACATGGCCACACACAGTAGGTGCTTCATGAATATTAACTGCATAAAAAATAAATGGATGGGCCAGGTGTGGTGGCTCACACCTGTAATCCCAGCACTTTGGGAGGCCGAGGCGGGTGGGTCACCTGAGGTCAGGAGTTTGAGATCAGCCTGGCCAACATGGTGAAACTCTATCTCTACTAAAAATACAAAAATTAGCTAGGTGTGGTGGCATATGCCTGTAGTCCCAGCTACTTGGGAGGCGGAGGCGGGAGAATCACTTGAACCTGGGAGGCGGAGGTTGTGGTGAGCTGAGATTGCATCACTGCACTCCAGCCTGGGTGACAGAGTGAGACTCCATCTCAAAAAATAAAAAAATAAAAATAATAAATAAATAAATAAATGGATGAAGAGAGAAATGAACGACAGCAACTACTAAATTCCAATCTTAGAAGACATTAGGTTATATGGACTTATTTGTACTCCATCTCAAGAGACTCTACCAAGAAACGTCAAGACATCTCTTTCATTTAGGTTTTTACGTGGAAGGCAAGAAAACAAACCTTTTTTTTTTAATTTGTAAGGGAGACTGAAAAAAATGTTTTGAAAATAAAACAGTGCATTTAATACACGAGTAATCTCCTGATTTTGCCCACTCTTCTCAGAAGAAATTGGTTTCTCAGAGAGTCACACCAATGCAGGATTAGAATATACTAAGCGTAGCCAATTTTTGGTACCCTACAGGGTCCTCTGCAATTTCAAAGTCGAAGACAGCCCTTTTGTACAGTTCCGTGACCTCCCTGGTTCCTCATATGAATTATGGAAATGATTTAAGAGACCATTTTCTCAGTTTTCCCAAGGATTTCATGTCTTATTTCATGTATACCATTCTAGATGCACAGGAGAGAAGTTAGTTTCCGAACACTAGGGTGTCAGGGCGTAACCCACGCAGAGTCCCAGTTGAGCAAAGCTGCCAGAAAAATCAACTCCTTCAACTACTAGTCTCAGCAAAACAACTTAGGAGGTAAATGTGCTTAATAAATACACGAAATTATGTATCTATAAAATAAAGGGAAAATATTTTTGTATTATTTGCTGATTGAGATGGTTCACTCTACACACCTCTGCTATAATAATATAGAAAACGGTGAAATAAAAATATTTTTGGATGGAGAAAAACAAGTTTAGAGAACAGTGTTCTCTGCACGGTGAAGTACCTGTGCAAAATATAGCTTTAGCTTCTGCCCATTGAAGTCTGTTTCGTGGAGTTCTATTCGCGCTCTTGCTGCCGCTTCAGGTTTGCTGAAATTTATTCTGACTCTTCTAAAGCTTTTAAACAGCTGAAAAGTAACCTGGTCATCATAGATGGTGAAGAGTGCTTCAAATCTTTCCTACAATTAAGGAGCAGCAAGGCAAAGGGAAGGGGAGGAAAAAAAAAAAAGAAAAACCTTTAACAGAAGGGGAAATTTAAATCATGAAACCTAATTAAGAACTCATTATAAGTTAACCTTTTCTCCAAAAAAAGTATACTTTTCTTGCACATATACAAGAACAGGTATCCTGTAATTTAGCAATTACACTTACTTTATGTATTTGTTTGAGACGGAGTCTCATTCTGTTATCCAGGCTAGAGTGCAGTGGTGTGATCTCAGCTCACTGCAACCTCCACCTCTTGGATTCAAGTGATTTTCCTGCCTCAGCCTCCAAAGTAGCTGGGATTATAGGGGCCGGCCACCATGCCCGGCTAATTTTTACATTTTTAGTAGAGATGGGTTTCACCATGTTGGCTAGGCTGGTCTTGAACTCCTGACCTCAAGTGATCTGTCCACCTGGGCCTCCCAAAGTGCTGGGATTACAGGCGTGAGCCACCAAGCTGGGTCGTGCACTTATTTTAAATGTAATTAACTTTATTAAATATTGTCCATATTCAAAGGTTATAAAATGAATGCAAGATATAAGAGAATGATACAAACATGCCCAATTCTAGAACACTGCTATTGTTCTGATGTCCCCGGTGGGACAAGGTTGGTTTTTCCCTCTGTCACATTCCTTTCCTCCTTCAAAGTTGTCATTTCTGGAATTTTATCATTCCCTTGCTTTTCTTTAGAGTTTACAACATCTATTTGTATCTCTAAAAATGTTATCATGTTATAGGTATTCTTCCACAACTTGCTTTTTTTGCTTAGATCTTGCTCCTGAGGTTCTCCCTTGCTGTTGTGTGTGACTGTCTTTTTTTTTTTTTTTTTTTTTTTGGAGATAAGAGTCTCACTCTGTTGCCCAGAATGAGGTGCAGTGGTACAATCTTGGCTCACTGCAGCCTCAACCTCTAGGGTTCAGGCAATCCTCCTGCCTCGGCTTCTTGGGTAGCTGGGACTATAGGCACCTGCCACCACATCCAGCTAATTTTTTGTATTTTTAGTAGAGATGGGGTTTTGCCACATTGCCCAAGCTGGTCTCAAACTCCTTGGGCTCAAGTGATCTATCCTCCTTGACCTCCCAAAGTGCTGGGATTATAGGTATGAGCCACTACACCCAGCAAGACATCCATTTCTAAGTACTGTTTCAGCTGTTCTCCACCAGTTCGTTTAATTTTGTTTTGTTTTTTTTTTTGAGATGGGGTCTTGCTATATTGCCTAAGTTGGGCTCAAGTGATCCTCCTGCCTCAGCCTCCCAAATAGCTGGGAGTAGAGGCACGTGCTACCACACCCAGCACCTGAACAGTTTTGATATGTTTTATTATTTATTTTTTAAAATAGAAGGCAGGGCACAGTGGCTCAAGCCTGTAATCCCAGCACTTTGGGAGGCTGAGGTAGGCGGATCACTTGAGGTCAGGAGTTCAAGACCAGCATGGCCAACATGGTGAAACCCTGTCTCTACTAAAAATATAAAAATTAGCCGGGCATGGTGGTGGGCGCCTGTAATCCCAGCTACTCGGGAGGCTGAGATGGGAGAATTGCTCGAACCTGGGAAGCGGAGGTTGCAGTGAGCCAAGATCCTGCCACTGCACTCCAGCCTGGGTGACAGAACGAGACTCTGTCCTAAAAAAAAAAAAAAAAAAGAGAGACAGAGTCTCTCTGTCACCCAGGCTGGAGTGCAGTGGTGTGATCAGAGTTCACTGCAGCCTCAAACTCCTGGGCTCAAGCCACCCGCCCCTACTTCAGCCTCCTGAGTAGCAGGCACCACCACAACTGGCTTTTTTTCTTTTTTTTTCTTTTTTTAAATGAGATGAAGTCTCGCTATGTTGCGCAGGCTGGTCTCAAACTCCTGAGCTCAGGCAATCTTCCTACCTTGCCCTCCCAAAATGCTGGGATTACAGGCATGAGCCACCATGCCTGGCCACACCTGGCTAATTTTATTTTATTTTTGTACAGACACAGTCTCAATGTCTTGCCCAGGCTGGTCTGGAACTCCTGGGCTCAAGCATCCTTCTGCCTGAGCCTCCCAAAGTGCTGGGATTAAAGACGTGAGCAACTGCGCCAGTTGATTCTAAATACTCTCTAATTTCCCTTATGATCTCTCCCTGTCTCATGAATTATTTAGATGTATGTTTCTCAAATTGCAAATAGATGGGAGTTTTTTATCTTTTTAATGTCTAACTCATTTTCCCTCTGATTGGAGTAGGCTATCCACAGTGATAGTAATCCTTTGACAGTTTGAGGCTTGCTTTTGGTTCAGTGTCATCAAATTTCATAAATCTACATGTGCTTACAAAGAGTGTGTTTGCGCAGCTGTTTGGTACAGTATTATAAACATGTTCAGTATATCCAGCTCCTGTGCTTTACAAGTTCTATATCCTGATTTTTTGGGGGTCTGTTTCAACTATTATCAGGAAAGATCTATTAGATTCTCCCACTATTAGGTGGATGTGTTATTTTTTCGTACATTTGGTCACTTTCGCTTCCTACCTTTTAAGGCTAAGTTATCATGTGCATACAAGCTTATGATTTTTTTCTCTTCCTGGTGAATGGAACTTTTAATCATTAGGTAGTGACCCTCTTCGTCTTCCAGATAAAGGAATGCCCTTTGTCTTAAAGTCTATTTTGTCTGGCATTAATATAGCTGGTGTAGCTTTCTTTTGATTATGTATTGCATGGAGATCAATTTTCAGCCTTTACTTCTAACCTTTCTGTATCCTTATGTTTTAGATATGCCTCATAAAAAGAATACATGTGTGTATAATGCATGTGTGTGCCTGTATGTAAATAAACACAGTTTGACACTCACTGTCTTTTCACTAGAGGAACTAGTCCATTGTTGATTACTGATATTTTGGGATGTCTACCATCTTATTTTATCTGTTTGTCTCAGATTTTCTGTGTTCATTTCCTTTTTCTTTTTTTCTTTTTTTTTTTTTCTTTTTTTCCAACTATTTTTTCTCTTTCTCTATTTTCCTCCCCTGAATGAAATTCCCATGAAAGATGCTAATGTACGTTTGGCAACTTCTTTAAAGATGCCTAACTCCCTATAGCCACAGTTTCTCTTTCACAAAGGCAAAACAATCAAACCTTTTTCTCAAAATTCATACTGGGACTATGTAATTCCACAAAAAATGCATTTTGGGGTGAAAAGCATTGGAAGAATATCTGAGCACAAATTATTTTATATAATTTGCAGTACGTGTATATCTCCTGAGTATTTTGAGATGGACTAGAGAAAAAGAAAGAGAGCAATATTTGAGTCGTTCATGAGGCTGAGAAAAAAATTATTTTCCCATTTATTAATGAATTGGGATAATGAAAAGCCTAATTTCAATCACTAGAAGAAAAGCAACATTAAATTTTCTTTACAGAAAACATATTTAGGCAATAGTTTAATAAATGAAATGCAATAAAATGGATCCAAGAAACTTCTCAATACCTTTAGAAATATTCCTTAGGCTTGGCAATGGTAACACAATAAAAGGAACCTATAAATTAGCTTTGTTCTTGCTTCGCCTATGTAAAGATCTTTCAATGATCTGTTGATCCTGAAGTGCAAATTATACACTCCCTCATTTATTAACTTCTCTCAATTTGAACATTTACCTGCCACTTTGCAACATTTCTCCAACTAGATAAAATATAAAATAATTTGTGCACCAATATTTATTCTTCCAGTGTTCAAATATCCTTCATTATTGAGGAAACATCATTTATCCTAAAAACTATGTATTTTTTGTCAATTCATTTAAAAAAATATATTATGTCAGACCTTCTACTCAGTCTGGCTTTTCAGTGGACTGCAAGCTGCTTCCAGCAGGGGGCAGTTTTAAGATTAATCCTACTCTTATTTACTATCGTGTTTCCATATATTAAAGTAATACAGAAAGCCATGCGCGGTAGCTCACGCCTGTATTCCCAACACTTTGGGAGGCAGAGGCAGGCGGATCAACTTCGAGACCAGCCTGGCCAATGCGGTGAAACCCCATCTCTACTAAAAATGCAAAATTACACACCTGTAGTCCTAGTTACTCTGGAGGCTGAGACATGAGAATTGCTTGAGCCTGGGAGGCAGAGGTTGCAGTGAGCCAAAATGACGCCACTGCACTCCAACCTGAGTAACAGAGCAAGACTGTCTCAAAAAAAAGTAATATACATAAATAACAAAATATTATATAGATATAGTAAGGATTTTAAAGTAGCATATCAGTTCTTAAAAGGGAAGGTGAATATGTAAGTATATTAAATGCTGATAATTATTATTGCTTCTGGATACATTTCAAAGTTTCTTTAGCATCCATTTCAAAGGTGGCTAGCTTTGTCGCTTTTAAAGAGAATTAGAATTGAGATTTTGCAAAATCACATCCCATTTGGTTCTTGGTATTAGCTTATTTTAAATGTATTTTAAACATTAAGAAAATACTAAAATTCCTATGTGAGATAGTTAAGAAATATTAACATTGAACACAATGGAAATTAAGGAAGAACTAATTAAGAAAGAATAGCTTATAAAATATTAGTACTTTGTAATTCTGTACATTAAACATTTTCCTTGCCCAAGGGAAAAGGCTCATGTATTATCCCTAGCCCCCCACAACGAATTCTTCCTAGTACCAACGCATCGTATGACAGAAGCTATCTTGCAAACAGTTACTTGATAATCATATCCTTCTTCCCATTTCCCTTCAAGATAATTTTTTTTTCAAATTCCAGAAATACACTGTAACTGAATGTAACATGCAGATGACAGCAATGGGTTATACGGCGCTCTCTCTCTCTCTCTTCCAAAATCCAATACCTGTGATAGGATTAAGAATTATAACAAAATGGCCAGGCACAGTGGCCCATTCATCCTAGCACTGTGGGATGCCAGGAACTTGAGACCAGCCTGGACAACACTGCAAGACCCCATCTCTACAAACAATTAAATAATTAGCCAGGCATGGTGGCATACGCTTGTAGTCTTATCTACTCGGTTGGCTAAGGTGGGAAGATTGCTTGAACCCAGGAGTTCGAGGCCGCAGTGAGCCACAATCTCACCACTGTACTCCAGCCTGGGCAACAGAGTGAGACCCTGTCTCTCTCTCTTAAAAAGAATTATACAAAAATGAAGCCATGCAAGAACCGATTAGCAAGCTTTTACTGAGTTTTGTGTTCTTTCTCTCTCCTCCACACCCATTTTCCCCTTGAAGTAGCATAAATATGGTTATGAAATACGTGAATTCTAGCTGTGAGGTGCTTTGGAAGCATGAAGAATTAACTTGGAGGCAAAACCATCAGTTTCCTATTTGTGAAAAATGGTTACGAGCCCTCAGCTGGTAGCTTTGCCCTTCTGTGAGTCCACAGACATCCCCATGTAGATTCCTGAGGCTGCCCCTGATAACCCGGCATTAGCACGAAAGGGATTTAGAAGATTGCAGACGGCAGGGGAAGGACATAATCTATGAAAATGGACTGAAAATGACTTGCGATAAACAGGAAGGATCTGCAGCTGTTCATTCAAAAACCAAATGACTATTTTTCTCCTTAGAATTATTTCAGAAATAGCTCACTTTTAGAAATTTCTGAATTCTCTAATGATATAAAATTAACATCATCCTGTTGGGTGATGGCCGCATATTTATTTGAGAAAAGATAATGGGGATTCCATTAAAATAAAAATCATCATTAACCACTTAACTTTTTCTGTAGTCACTTAGTATCCCCCTCTGGCAGCACAACGTCTACAGGCATAACACAAACAATGCAGCCTAAAAACCAATGCCTGAGGCTTTTTCCTATGATGTAAGTAGGTTTTCCACAAAATACAGACCAGAAGCTGCCTTCATATGCTAAGATCACCTGTGCAGTTAGTCAGTCATCAAAATGACAGTACATACCTTGTACCTAAAATAGCTAAGAACAACACATAACCATCAACCTTCTTGGGAACTTAAGAAAGAGTGCTTGACAGCTGGATAATAGGCATCAGTAAAGGAGAAAAGTGGAAAAGGCCATATGGGAAGGTCAGTTTCAAGGAGCAACAGATGAGGATGGCAGCCAAGTGTGTATTTCCTGACCTTTCTGGATCCACCATGGCTCCACTCTGTTGCCCCATCCCAATTCGGAGAAGGCAAGGTTTAGCTGTTTCACTGAAGAACAAACTGGGAACATGATTTTGCCACACACCTTTGCTTTGGACTGAAAAAAAAATGAGGAGCCCACCACTTCTATTAAACATTAAAGAGTGGGAGGACGGGAGACTGATGCACGAGAATTGCTTGAACCTGGGAGGCGGAGGTTGCAGAGAGCTGTGATTGTGCCACTGCACTCCAGCCTGGGGAACAGAGCGAGACCCTGTCTCAAAAAAAAAAAAAAAAAAACAAAAGAAAACAAAATAAACAGAGTAGGAGGAACGATTTTACTCTTGAGAAGGAATGGCTTGATCCATTCAGCAGTGAAATTATCTTTAGCATCCTAAGGCAAGAGATTTATATTCTACGTCTTTCTGTAAATCTGATCTAGAAAATTCCATTTCTCCAGTGTCCAGAGCCTGCAGGTCCACTAATATCAAAGGCAAGGCCTCCATTTCTGCCTGGGGGTAGGCAAAGTGCTTTTGGTTCTCATCAATCACCACTGACTAAAACAGCCAGAGAGATGGACTTTACTAAACAGAAAAAAGTGCACATACAGCTAGACATGGTGAATTTAAAAACTTTACTTTGATAATCTGAGTACTTGTAAAATTCTGGGACCTACAGTCAAAAGTGCTAGAGGGGAGCAGAATATATGAAAAATGCAAAAACCTTTGATAACCTTTATTATTTATGTTGCCATCATCATTTTTCCAGATCAGAAAGAAACCTGTAACTGAATTAAAATTCAAGAAAATATGGAATGCTAGCTATTCAAGATGGATTTTTATGTTTTAATGGCTACTGTATTTATAAACACAAACTCTGACTTATTGGAACTCCTTATTTTTTATCTTTTTTTCTCAGTCTCTCAGGCTGGAGTGAAGTGGCGCGATCTTGGCTCTCTGCAACCTCTGCCTCCCAGGTTCAAGCGATTCTCCTGCCTCAGCCTCCCAAGTAGCTGGGATTACAGGCGTGCACCACCACTATGCCCAACTCACTTTTGTATTTTTAGTACAGATGGGGTTTTGCTATGTTGGCCAGGCTGGTCTCGAACTCCTGACCTCAGGGTGATCCACCCACCTCGGCCTCCCAAAGTGCTGGGATTACAGGCCTGTGCCACCACGCCTGGCCAATATATAAAATTTTAAATGATGTAAAATACTATTTATTTCATTAGTGTTTTAGCATACAGTTTAGCATATAATTTTCAGCATACAGATCATACACATATTTTGTTAATGTATACTTAAGCTACAAATATCGTTGAAGGTAATTGAAGATGCTTATCTCAAAATATATTACATTATTTCATGGCCAGGCATGGTGGCTTGCTTGAACCCAGGAAGGGGAGGTTGCAGTGGGCCGAGATTGTACCACTGCACTCCAGCCTGGGAAACAGAATGAGACTCCATCTGAAGAAAAAAAATATATATGTGTGTGTGTGTGTGTGTGTGTGTGTGTGTGTGTGTGTATTAGAAATAATATAGATTTGATATACCTTTATATATGTGTGTGTATACATATTTGTGTAAATATATGTGTATATATATTTAGGGATTTTGAAATATCCATAGATATTTCAATTTCCAAATGTTTACTGTTACAGAGACAGTTGATTTTGGACATTGACCCCACATCCTGCAATCTTCCTAAACTCACTTATTCGTTCTAACAGCTTTTATGTAGATTCCGTTCTAAAGAGACAATCATGTCGACTCCAAATACAGATAATTTAAAATCCCAGCACTTTGGGAGGCCAAGGCGGGCGGATCACCTGAGGTCAGGAGTTCGAGACCAGCCTGGCCAACATGGTGAAGCCCCGTCTCCACTAAAAATACAAAAAATTAGCCGGGCGCAGTGGCAGGTGCCTGTAATCCCAGCTACTCGGGAGGCTGAGGTAGGAGAACTCTTTGAACCCGGGAGGTGAAGGTTGCAGTGAGCTGAGATTGCGCCATTACACTCCAGCCTGGGCAACAGAGTGAGACTCTGTCTCAAAAAAAAAAAAAAGTGTGTGTACATACACACAGAATATCAGGCTCAATCAGAAGAAATGCTGATATTTGACCACTTTTGACCAACAAATATAGCAATTTCATATGGTTCAACCTATTAAAGTTTACAGATTTCGTGGAAAATGAGAAACCTGAGTTCAGGATGATGGTTATCTCTGGGAGGAGACATGGGATTCAACTGTATTAGTAAAATTTTATTTGCTAAATTGGGTGGGCACGTGGGTGTTTTTTATATTAGTCTATCCTTTTTGCATAACCTAAAAATTGCCTTTTTTATTTTGAGAGTCTGGAACAGCGCCTTACATAAGAGGAATAACCATAACCAAACTTGGAAGCGTTACCTGTGCCTTACCTGGGCTCCTTGGAGAAGCAGAGGCAAGGCAAAGGCACACACGCTGAGTGTTTGTTTTGGGAAGTGACCCCATGAGACAAGCGTGGAGGCCTGGGAACAGTGGCACCGGGAAGGAGGGCAAGCCCATTCTCTGTCCCTCCAGGTCGCGTTTTCAAGCTGGTCACCTCTGTGGGCAACTGGGGCTTGATCTGCTGGGGAGCCAGTAAGAACCTGCCTGAGAACTGTTGGCTTCAGTGTCAGAACACAGAGGAGCTTATTCACCGGGTTTAGTTTTCCACTGGTTGAGGGCTACCCTATGGGACTTTAACTCCCTCATGCTTCCAAGTCTGTGCATGCATCAATAAGGCTGAGCATCCTTGTTCAGGCAGCACAGAAATGCTGGGATGGAAAGACACGGCAGCTCAGGCCAGGTGTGAGGTCACACCTGCACACAGCTGGCTGCTCCAGCAATGACTAGGTGAAAAGAGGGTTAAAGTGGAGCCAAACAGGTGTCCAATACATACATACCGCACACACATGTGTGTGTATAAATATATGTATGTGTATATTTAAAAATATATTCTTGGTATATACATATTACCAAGAACACTAAACTCAAGAAAAATAGGCTCTTTTTGCATTATTTTTATTGTGGTCAAATATACAAAACACAAAATTTATCATTTAACCATTTTTAAATGTACAAGTCAGTGGTATTAAGTACAGTCTTACTGTGTGACCATCACCACTATCTGTCTCCTGAACTTTTCCATCATCCCATACAAGCTCTCAATACATTAAACTGTAAATATTTTCCCCACCCCCCCCAGCAACCAATATTCTATTTTCTTTTTTAAAAAAATTTTTTTTGTTTGTTTGTTTTTGAGACAGAATCTCACTTTGTCACCCAGGCTGGAGTACAATGGCACGATCTCAGCTCACTGCAACCTCCACCTCCCAGGTTCAAGCGATTCTCCTGCCTCAGCCTCCCGAGTAGCTGGGACTACAGGCGTATACCACCATGCCCAGCTAATTTTTGTATTTTTAGTAGAGGTGGGGTTTCATCATGTTTGCCAGGCTGGTCTCGAACTCCTGACCTCAGGTGATCTACCTGCCTTGTATTCCCAAAGTGCTGGGATTACAGGCGTGAGCCACTTTGCCCAGCCTAAATGATACTTTTAAAAGCATGCTATTATGAGCTGTGCCATAGAGGGTAGCACAGTTCCAGCACATAGAGGAGCCTTCTCTCTGAAGATGCTACTGCATCTTCTAAGAGTTTTATAGTTTTAATTCTAACGTTTAAGTCTTTGGTTTTTTGTTTTGTTTTGTTTTAGGAGATGGGGTCTCACTACGTTTCCAGGCTGGCCTCAAACTCCTGCGCTCAAGCAATTTTCCCACCTCAGCCTCCTGAGTAGCTTGATCCATTCTAATTTTTTATTTGATATAAAATAAGGATGCAACTTCATTCTTCTGCATGTGGATTTCAGTTTTCCCAGCACCTTTTGTTGAAAAGAGACTGTCCTTTCACCCACAGAATAGTCTTGGAACCTTTGTTGAAAATCATTTGACCATATATACAAAGGTTCGTCTCTGGGCTTTCTATTCAATTCCATCCATCTCTATGTTTGTCTTTATGCCAGTACCACACTGTTTTGATTACCATGGCTTTATACTAAAGTTTTGAAATCAGGAAGTGTGCATCCAACTTTGTTCTTTGTTTTCAAGACTGTTTTGGCAATTTGGGATTCCTTGAGGTTCTATATGAATTTCAGGGTAGGTTTTCTATTTCTGCAAAAAAAATCATTGGGATTTTGATAGGGATTGAGTTGAATCTGTAGAGCACTTTAGGTAGTACTGACATCTTTTAATTTTATTTTATTTTATTTTTATTTTATTATTATTATACTTTAAGTTTTAGGGTACATGTGTACAACGTGCAGGTTTGTTACATATGTATACATGTGCCATGTTGGTGTGCTGCACCCATTAACTCGTCATTTAGCATTAGGTATATCTCCTAATGCTATCTCTTCCCCCTCCCCCCACCCCACAACAGTCCCCGGAGTGTGATGTTCCCCTTCCTGTGTCATTGTGTTCTCATTGTTCAATTCCCACCTATGAGTGAGAACATGCAGTGTTTGGTTTTTTGTCCTTGCGATAGTTTGCTGAGAATGATGGTTTCCAGTTTCATCTATGTCCCTACAAAGGACATGAACTCATCATTTTTTATGGCTGCATAGTATTCCACGGTGTATGTACTGACATCTTAATGTTATTAAGTTTTCCAGTCCATAGATACGGATGTCTTCCCCTTTATTTGTGCCTTCTTTAAATTTCTTTCAACAACGTTTTGTAGCAATGTCTATAACTCTAAACCCACTGTATAAAATACAGACTTGACTAGGATTTCTTAATTCTAAACTATGATTCTCTAGTATTTAATTGAGCCTCAAAGCTAACTAAATTACTAATTCTTGGCCAGAACAGCACTATAAAACCAATTAAACAAACACTTAGTGAAACCTTAGGATGTTTCATGCTCTGTTAAAAACACAGTTAACTATAACAGAGATATTCTTCCTTTGAATCCTCTTTTTTAATTCCCAAATTTAAAACATCACTTTCCTTAAAGGATTCTACTTTTTCTGGGCTGAAGGCTATGCTAGAATGTACAAACAATTGATTTAGTCTAAAAATCATAAGATCACTTCACTCAGCTTCCAAATATCATTTACTTTTCTTAAATAATATTTTTGATACTTCTTTAAATGGAAGGTACAGAATCAAAGCTTGAAAGGAAGATTTAAATTGTGCATATGATTATACAAGCCACAAAAGAATTTAGGCCAGTGTATCTGGGAGCATAATTTCAGATTAAATCTCCTACGTACTATTTTGCCTCACTCAGCTCACAATTCTGTTTCTCGATCATAGCATTGCATCACTAAGCCTCAACAACCATCTTACAGAATCCATTCATTCAACAAACATTTAACAGGTGTTGCTTTGCACTGGGAACTCAATGAGATGCTCAGTGTCACCCATCACAGAGCAGGACAGCAGAACAAGTAGTGATGTCTTAATATCCCTCAACCACCATAATCAGAAACACAAATCAAATGTCCTATGGTGAGGAGGTCAGATAAACAGTTTTATATACAAAGGGCAGTACTTTGCAAGGGGACTAGATTCTACTGCATTTCTTTGTACAGGATGTCCTGCTGAGAAGACTGCTAACACTAACATTTACTGAGTCCCCTCAAACACCAAGACCTAAGGCAGAAAAAAACAGTCCCATTTCTCATGTTATAAAAACCTAAATTATATTTTGAAAACTCCTCATGTTCAAACCAGAAGCAAGATTAATTTGCTTCTGGAGGGGTCAGGCATGGTGGATCACACCTATAATCCCAGCACTTTGAGAGGCAGAGGTAGGAGGATCGCTTGAGCCCAGGAGTTTGAGACCAGTCTGGGCAACATAGCAAGACCTTGTCTCTTAAAAAAAAAAAAAAAAAACATCAGGCCAGGCACAGTGGCTCACGCCTGTAATAACAGCACTTTGGGAGGCTGAGATGGGCAGATCACTTGAAGTCGAGAGTTTGAGACCAGCTTGGCCAACATGGCGAAACTCTATCTCTACTAAAAATACAAAAATTAGCTGGTTGTAGTGGCATGCACCTGTAGTCCCAGCATTTTGGGAGGTCAAGGCAGGCAGATCATCTGAGGTCAGGAGTTTGATACCAGCCTGGCCAACAGGGTGAAACCCTGTCTTTACTAAAAATACAAAAAAATTAGCCGAGCATGGTGGTGGATGCCTGTAATCCTAGCTACTTGGGAGGCTGAGGTGGGAGGATTGCTTGAACCCGGGAGGCAGAGGTTGCACTGAGCTGAGACTGCACCACTGCACTCCAGCCTGGGTGACAGAGTGAGACTCCATCTCCAAAATAAATAAATAAATAAATAAATAATAAATTAGCTGGATGTGCTGGTGCATGCCTATAGTCCCAGCTACTCGAGAGGCTGAGGTAGGAGGATTGCTTGAGCCCAGGAGGTCAAGGCTGCAGTGACCTATGATCATGCCACCACATTCCAGCCTGGGTGACAGAGCAAGACCCTGTTGCTTTTTTAAAAGACAGAGAAAAAAAAAAACTGGGGTTAAAGACAGCAAACAAGCAAATACAATCACATTGGGACAAATCCAAATCTGTCAAAGAAAAATGAAGCACTAAGCCTGTCGCACTCCTGATGGAGCTATTGATTAGCAGAGTACATGCATAAAATTAACAACCCTATAGCTGAGAAATATACATTGAAAGATAAGTCCTTTTCTCCACCTATTTTTCTTACAGTTTATTTTTCTATGATTTATTATCCCTCCAACACTATTTTTAAGAAATATTGATAAAAACATAGAGCCAAAATCTAATGATCTAGAGCAAAGATTACATTTACATGATAATGGCACCTGTGTTATTTATTCTACTATTCGGAAGAATGTAAAAGCTTACTCCAATAGTTAGAAGCTTATAAAGACAAAAACTTTTTCAAGCTGGGAAAAAAAAATTTTTTTATAGAGATGGGGTCTTGCTATGTTGGCCAGGCTGGTCTCGAACTCCTGGGTTCAAGCAATCCACCTGCCTCGGCCTCCCAAAGTGCTGGGACTATGGGTGTGAGCCAATGTGCCCAGCCAGAAATTATTTTTTGAAATTAAAGTGTTTAATTGCAATCGGGATTATTCTGCCTGTAATCCAACAAAAGCAACTGTTTTATTTTTTGCACATTCATAGATAACCTGAATAAACAGCTGATTTCAGGAGAAACTACAACAAAATAAGACACTGATAGAAGAAAAATGTAAAGGAAACATTTGATTCTGCCCATATCTTAAAAAATGTTTCTTTAATAGAAACGAGGTCTCACTCTGTTGCCCAGGCTGGTCTCAAACTCCTGGTCTCAAGCGATCCTCTTGCCTTGGCCTCCCAAAGTGCTGGGATTACAAGCATGAGCCATCATATCTGGCCTTGATTCTGTCCATATTTTATATCCAACTGATGATCTATAGATAACCATAATATAAACATTTTATATTTTGTCATTTCAGATATTACTGTTAAGGGTATTAAATACAATTTACTAGGAAGTCCGCTGAACTGCTGTTATTAGAATTTCTGCTGGGATGATTTCCAGTATAAATTTACGTTAGATATAATCCCCAAATGGTTTAAAAAATGAAACCCAACAAGGACCCACCCTTTTTGCAGGTTAAAAATTTCCCAGGCTACAGTTAAAAAGAAAAGGTTGAAATAGAAAAGATTGGCCGGATACGGTGGCTCACGCCTGTAATACCAGCACTTTGGGAGGCCAAGGTGGGCAGATCACTTGAGGTCAGGAGATCAAGACCAGCCTGGCCAATGTGGTGAAACCCCATCTCTACTAAAAATACAAAAAAATTAGCCGGGCATTGTGGCATGTGCCTGTAATCCCAGCTACTCAGGAAGCTGAGGCAGGAGAATTGCTTGAACCTGGGAGGCGGAGGTTGCAGTGAGCCGAGACTGCGCCATTGCACTCCAGCCTTCCAGCCTGGGAGGCAGAGAAGGACTCCATCTCACCAAAACAAACAAACAAACAAAAAAAAAACAAAAAAAAACAAAAAAATAGAAAAGATTGTGACGTTTCTTGAGAGAATTCCTACATATATAATTTTAACATAAATTGGCAATTCATCTGGTTTTTTACAACAATAAACAACAAGGTTAACTTATTTATAACATAAAAACTTAGAGCTCTTAGCATGAAACTCAAAAGGATGATTTCAAAATGTCTAAATTATGACTGAACTTGGGAAAGCAAATAGCATTTGTAAATGAAACAACCCTGAAAGACACAAAGTTGGCGAGTGCAGCCCCCTTCCCTGCTCCGCTTGGGGTGGGTCATCTCCAGGCGGGTGCAATCCGAGAGCTCCCTGGCTCCCTGCTCTGCCCTCTTCTCCCATCACTCTGCCATCCACGTGCTGTGGGCTGAGCTTCCTGACGTGGAGCTCTGATGGCCGCTCTGTGCTCAGAAACCCTCCGACCGTTTCCCACAAAAGGACAAGCTCCTGAGCTAGATGTTCATGAGATTTTGCTGGGTGGCCGCATACTCACTCTTCTAGTCCGATTTCTCCTGACTCTGGCCAAATATCAGCTATGTGCTAAGCACACAGAATGGCTTGCTACTCCCGAAATGGCCCACACTCTCCCGATTCAGCTCTTTTCTCATTCTGTTCCCCGTGGCCAAAATTCCCTTTCCCTTCCCTGCTAAAATCCTACCCAGCTCTCACAGCCCTTCTCCAATGCCACCTCCCTGTGAGATCTTTTATTCCAACTGGCTGTGATCCTTCCTCCTTTCTTACCTCAACGCACTATTTAAATTATTATTATTATTTTATTTTATGGAGATGGGGTCTCGCTATATTGCCCAGGCTGGTCATGAAACCCTGGGCTCAAGTGATCTGCCCGCCACAGCCTCCCAAAATGCTGGGATTACAGGCGAGAGCCACTGCGCCTGGCCCTGTTCTTTCAAGTGTTTCTTTCTTTCTTTTTTTTTTCTTGAGACTGAGTCTCGCTCTGTTGCCCAGGCTGGAGTACGCTGGCGCAATCTCCGCTCACTGCAACCTCTGCCTCCCAGGTTCAAGCGATTCTCCTGTCTCAGCCTCCTGAGTAGCTGGGATTACAGGCACCTGCCACCACGCCCAGCTAATTTTTGTATTTTTAGTAGAAACGGGGTTTCACCATGTTGGTCAGGCTGGTCTGGAACTCCTGACCTCGTGATCTGCCTGCCTTGGCCTCCCAAAGTACTGGGACTACAAGCATGAGCCACCACGCCCGGCCACTTTCAAGTGTTTCTAAAGGCACTAAGATTCCATTTGATAACATAATTGCTTGTCATCCCTGCTGCCTGGCCTTGATTCTGCTGCAGGGCTGGACACCATGAGGCAGAAGCTGCATGACTCACACTCTATCCCCTGAAGCAACTGGCACCAGCGCCTGGCACACCGTAGGCACTCAAGTATGTCCTGAGTTAAACGGTATTGAAGTTCTGCTCCAAGAAAGTCATCGGAAGGGAAATATTTTGGGTACATCGGCTGAAAACTAAAGGGCCAGTGATAGGGTTTTGAGAAAAAGCTCAGAACAAGGAAGACACATCCCAGTGGCAGAGCTATTTTACTTTTGTGGGACTAAGACCTATAGCCTTTTGTGAGGTCATGACGGGGAAAAACAAAACAAAGCACACACACACACACACACACACACACACACACACACCTCTCTTTCTAGGTAAATAATAAATGAACTAAAGGAATCTTTAAAATAATAAGCTCAATCATTTTCCCCAGTTATAGAAACTAATACAAGAAACGTGAACAATTTTGTTACGACAAAATCATAAATAGTCCTAATAGGTTTTATGTAAATCAGCCCCAGGAAAAAGCTGAATTCCTTCTTTTGTGAATGCACTCCCAAGTAATAGGAAGCCCGGCTAAAGATCCCCAGGTTTTCTTTAATTGTAGTCTCCGAAAATGAATAAGTGAATAAATAAGTGAATGGATTGAATAAGACTTGACTCAGAGTTCACTAAATGCCAGTGCTTCTTAAAGTGTCTATGGAGAAGAACTGGTTTTGAAACATTTCCTAACTGCTGCAGACTGAAACTCTTCTAAAAATACAATAAAAATTCTGCGGCAACATCTAAAAGTGGACA
Organism: Homo sapiens; assembly: GCF_000001405.40. Taxonomy (NCBI): domain Eukaryota; kingdom Metazoa; phylum Chordata; class Mammalia; order Primates; family Hominidae; genus Homo; species Homo sapiens. The sequence continues at coordinate 24,514,991 of NC_000001.11, read as the reverse complement.
TACACTTTCTTTTTTTTTTTTTTGAGACAGAGTCTCACTCTGTCCCCCAGGCTTAAGTGCAGTGGCATGTTCTCAGCTCTTTGCAACCTCTGCCTCCCAAGTTCAAGTGATTCTCCTGCCTCAGCCCTGCGAGTAGCTGGGATTACAGGCGCGCACCACCACACCCGGCTAGTTTTTGCATTTTTAGTAGAGACAGGGTTTCTATATGTTGCCCAAGCTCGTCTTGAACTCCTGACCTCAGGTGATCTGCCCACCTCAGCCTCCCAAAGTGCTGGGATTACAGGTGTGAGCCAATGCGCCCGGCCTAAAAGTGGACATACACTTTCTATACTTAATTTGTCAGGGACCAGTCAAGCTCTGTTTCCCCAAATCCATACACATTTAACATGCTACAAATGTAGGGAAAGGGAGGATAGATGCCTACCTTCTGCTCTCGTGCCTCAAACACTGCTTCATGGACGCTGCAAGCAAAAAGTGAGGTAGGCAGATCACTTAAATCCATCATCTCATCCAAATCATCTTCATTTTCACCAAAAATCATCTCTTCTTCCTCTTCTTGGTCAGTGCTACACAGATCTGACTGGCTATCATTCCAAGATTTCATAGTGTCCCTCAGCATTATCCCCCAAAGTGGGCCTTTTCCTTCTGTATAGTCCTAGGATGTCTATCAGGCACCCACTGTTAAAAAAAAAGAAAATGCAGAGGTAAAACTCCGAAGACCAAATAATGTTCCAATCAATCAATGTCTCCAGGCTGCAATTCATCAAATGAAGCAATTTTATTTAGAACGATGAATCAATATTTAAATCAATGCATTACAGTCCTCGTAAGTGAATTCTAGATACGCTAATTTGATTTGCTTAGCATATTTTATGTAACATATTTCACTGGCAATGATTTATTAAGAAAAAAAGGCAAAACGTTTTCTAGTGAACCTAGGGAAAAAAGGGTAATATAAAATGAGATCATATCAATATGTATTCTAGTTTATAAGCAGTAGAAAGAAAAATGTGAACCAGAAGAGCCTCCACATATTTGTTTGGGGTTTTCCATCTACAACACTGTAACTGGCACAGCCAAATACAACCCACACTAATTCTCTCACCATCTGTACCCTGAAATATGGTCTGTGATGAGCTGACTCTACCTCTCCTAACCAATTTGTTCTTTTTGAATACACTTGAAAGAATTAAGTTACACAGAATCAAAAGCTGTCTATAAATTCAGTCTTTGTTAATGTTAGAAATATTTGCGGTAGGCAAAATTTAACACAGAAAATCAAAAAGAGGGCCAGGTACGGTGGCTCATGCCTATAATCCCAGCACTTTTGTTTTTGAGATGGAGTCGTGTTGTGTTGCCCAGGCTGGAGTGCAGTGGCGCGATCCCGGCTCACTGCAACCTCCGCCTCCCGGGTTCAAGCGATTTTCATGCCTCAGCCTCCACTACAGGCGTGTACCACCATGCCCGGCTAACTTTTTATATTTTTTTGGTAGAGATGGGATTTCACCATGTTGGCCAGGCTGGTCTCCAACTCCTAACCTCAGGTGATCTGCACACCTCAGTCTCCTAAAGTGCTGGGATTATGGGTGTGAGCCACCACATCTGGCCAATCCCAGCACTTTGGGAGGCTGAGGCAGTGATCAAAGGATCACTTCAGCTCAGGCGTTCAAGACCAGCCTGACAACATAGTGAGACCTTGCCCCTACAAAAAATTAAAGAAAATTAAAAAGGTGTCCTTTTTCTGAACTTTTTTTTGAGACAGAGTCTCGCTCTGTCACCCAGGCTGGAGTGCAGTGGCACAATCTCGGCTCACTGCAAGCTCCGCCTCCCGGGTTCACACCATTCTCCTGCCTCAGCCTCCCAGGTAGCTGGGACTACAGGCGCCCGACACCACGCTCAGCTAATTTTTTGTATTTTTAGTAGAGATGGGGTTTCACTGTGTTAGCCAGGATGGTCTCGATCTCCTGACCTGGTGATCCGCCCAACTCGGCCTCCTAAAGCGCTGGGATTACAGGTGTGAGCCACCGCGCCTGGTCCCTTTTTCCAAACTTTAAAAAATAACCAATTTTAAGGCAAATGTCTGGAGCTGACAGTGTCCCTGGGTGGAATAACAGGACAGAATCTGTCTCTCATAGGCTGTTTCTATGCATGTCTGCCTCTTCCAATGAAGTGCACATCACATGCACCAAGCAGAGAGCCTTGGACATGACACATTTCAAGATGCGGAGGCAGAATTTAATAAATACGTAGCAGGCACAGACAAACTAAGTGATTATGATTACTACCTCAATACCACCTGATTTGTGATTTTTCCCTTTTATTTCAAAGAACAGAAGGTCACAAATACATTGCTTACACACAGTATAATACAGAATGGTAATTATGGAATAAAAATAGTGAGGTTTTTTGGTATTCTACAATATCAATCAAGACTACTTCTAAGAAGTAAAATCTTTACTCATTTGTATATACATTTTCTGAGTGCCTACTGCTTGGTGTTGGGGAGTGAAGAAAACATGGTTCCTACCCTCAAGGCACTCCCAGCAAAGCCAGCATTTCTCCTCTTCAACAATGCTAAGCACCCAATCTCCTAAAGAACCTCGTTCCATCAGCTGTCAGCTGTACTTAATTTTTTTTTTTTTTGAGACAGAATTTTATCCTGTTGCCCAGGCTGGAGTGCAGTAGTACGATCTTGGCTCACTGCAACCTTCGTCTCCCAGGTTCAAGCCATTCTCCTGCCTCAGCCCCCCAAGTAGCTGGGACTACAGGCATGTGCTACCATGCCCGGGTAATTTTTGTATTTTTAGTAGAGACAGGGTTTCACATGTTGGCCAGGCTGGTCTCGAACTCCTGACCTTAAGTTATCCGCCCGCCTCGGCCTCCCAAAGTGTCAGCTGTACTTTCAATTTCTCCTTCTCCACTTGTTCCTCTTCCTCAGCAAACATGTGTTCCTGCGAGCCCTACCATCTGGATTCTACCCTCCCCTCATGCTCCCCCTAATTCTCCTTCACCTTCCTACCAGCTTCTGGGAAATGTGATCTCTTCTTGCCGTGCTCCCTCTGCTCTAGTCACTCCTGAATTAGGTGCAGTTTGGCCTCCACACTACCTTTTGGCTGCAGCTGTCCTCCTCATGGATGGCAACGGCTTCCCAACAGGCATCCCACATTTTATCATGCGTCACTTTATCACACTGCACTGCATTTTTTCCAAAGTGAAGGCTTGTCACAACCCTGCACTGAGCAAGTCTATCAGTACCGCTTTCAAACGGGATGTGCTCACTTCATGTCTGACATGTTCTGGTAATTCTCACAATATTTCAAATTTTTTCACTATTGTTTTATCTGTTATGGTGATCTGTGATCAGTGATCTTTGATGTTACCATTGTAATTGTTTTGGGGCACCATGAACTGCACCCATATAAGATGGCAGACTTAATCAATACATGTTGTGGGTGTTCCTAACCGACACGTGTTGTGGGTGTGCCTAATCAATACGTGTTGTGGGTGTTCTTCACCAATACACATGGGTGTTCTTAATCAACGAATACACGTCGTGGGTGTTCTTAATCAATGAATACACGTCGTGGGTGTTCTTAATCAATGAATACATGTTGTGGGTGTCCTTAACCAATACATGCTGTGGATGTTTTGTTTTTTTGTTTTGTTTTGTTTTGTTTCTGAGACGGAGTCTTGCTTTGTCGCCCAGGCTGGAGTGCAGTGGTGCTATCTTGGCTCACTGCAGCCTCCGCCTCCCGGGTTCAAGCGATTCTCCTGCCTCAGCCTCCCGAGTAGCTGGGACTACAGGTACACGCCACCATGCCCAGCTAATTTTTTGTATTTTTAGTATAGACAGGGTTTCACCATGTTGGCCAGGATGGCCTCAATCTCTTGACCTTGTGATCTGCCCACCTCGGCCTCCCAAAGAGCTGGGATTACAAGCGTGAGCCACCACGCCCGGCCATGGGTGTTCTTAATATTTGTTGTAGGTGTTCTAACTGCTTTACTGAGTGAGGCCATTTCCCCGACTCTCTCCCTCTCCTCGGGCTCCCTACTCTCTGAGACACGACAATATTGAAATTAGGCCAATTAATAAACCTTCAATGGCTTCTAAGTGTTCAAGTGAAAGGAAGCATCCTGAGTCTCTCACTTTAAATCAAAAGCCAGCAGTGATTAAGCCTGCTGAGGAAGATACGTCCCCAGAGGCCAAAAGCTAAGTCTCTTGCACCAATCAGTCAAGTTGTGAATGCAAAGGAAAAGTTCCCAAAGGAAATTAAAAGTGGTACTCCAGTGAACACACAAATGCTAAAAAGGCAAAAACAGACTTATCGCTGATACGAAAAGTCTGATTGGTCTAGATAGAAGATCAAACCAGCCACAACATTCCCTTAAACCAAAGTCTAATCCAGAGCAAGGCCCTAACTCTCTTCACTTCTATGAAGGATGAGAGAGCTGAGGAAGCTGAAGAAGAAAAGTCTGAAGCTAGTGGAGGTTGGTTTATGAGGCTGAAGGAAAGGAACTGTCTCTATAACATAGAAGTGCAAGGCGAAGCAGCAAGTGCTGATATGGAAGCTGCAGCAAGTTATCCAGAAGATCTAGCTAAGGTCATTGATGAAGGTGGCTACACTCAACAGATTTTCAATATAGACTAAGTAGCCTTCTATTGGAAGAAGATGCATCTAGGACTTTCATAGCTAGAAGTCAATGCCTGGCTTCAAAGCTTCGAAGGACAGGCTGACTCTTTTGTTAGCGGCTAACATAGCTGGTGACTTTAAGTTAAAGCCAATGCTCATTCACCATTCTAAAAATCCTATGGCCCTTAAGAATTGTGCTAAATCTACTCTGCCTGTGCTCTATGAACGGAACAATTCAGCCTGGATGACCGCACATCTGTTTATAGCATGGTTTACTGTACGTTTTAAGCCCATTCTTGAGACCTACTGCTAAGAAAAAAAGAGAGATCCCTTTCAAAACATTGTTCTCGTTGACAATTCGCTTGGTCACCCAGGAGCTCTGACAGAAATATACAGGGAGATGAATGTTCTTTTCATGCCTGCTAACACAATATCCATTCTGCAGCCCATGGATCAAGGAGTAACTTTGACTTTCAAGTCTTACTATTTTAAGAAATACATTTCGTAAGTATACAGCTGCCAGAGATAGCAATTCCTCAGATAGATCTGGGCAAAGTAAATGGAAAACTTTCTGGAAAGAAGTCATCATTCTAGATGCCATCCAGAACATTCGTGATTTATGGGAGGAGGTCAAAATCGCAACATCAACAAGTTGGGAAGAAGTTGGTTTCAACCCTCATGGATGACTCTGAGGTGTTCAAGACATCAGTGGAGAAAATAACTGCAGATGTGGTGGAAATACCAAGAGAACTAGAATTAGAAGCGGAGCCTAAAGATGTGACTGAATTCCTGCAATCTCAAACAAAACCTGAATGGAAGGGAGTTGGCTTCCTGTGAATGAGCAAAGAGGGTGGTCTCTTGAGATAAAATCTACTCCTGGGGAAGATACTGTAAACATTGTTGAAATGACAACAAAGGATTTACAATATTCCATAAACTTAGTTGATAAAGCAATGGCAGGGTTTAGAGGATTGGCTGCAATTTTGAAAGAACTTCTACTGTAGGTAAAATGCTATCAAACAGCATCACATACTACAGAGAAATCTTTCGTGAAATGCTGTTGTCTTATTTTAATAATTGCCACAGTCACCCCAAACTACAGCATCACCACCCTGATCAGTCAGCAGCCATCAACCTCAAGGCAAGATCTTCCACCAACAAAAAGATTACGACTTAATCGTTTGCATTATTTTTTGAGATGGGGTGGGGTCTCACTCTGTTGCCCAGACTCTAGTGCAGTGGCGTGATCATGTTCACTGTAGCCTTGACCTTCCCATGCTCAGGTGATCCCCCCACCTCAGCCTCCCAAGTAGCTGGAACTACAAGCACACACCACCATGTCCGGTTAATTTTTGTATTCTTTGTAGAGATGGGGTTTTGCCATGTTGCCCAGGCTGGTCTCAAACTCATGGGTTCAAGTGATCCACTCGCCTCAGCCTCCTAAAGTACTGGGACTATAGGTGTGAGCCACCACACCAACCGATCATTAGTATTTTTTAGCAACAAAGTATTTTTTAAATGAAGGTCTATAAATTTTTTTAAGACATATGCTATTGCACACTTAATAGACTATAGTATAGTGTAAACAAGACTTTTATATGCACTGGGAAACCAAAATTCGTGTGACCGGCTTTATTACAATTATCTGTAACGAAACCCGCGATATCCCCGAACAAGCCTGTAGTTGAAACCCAGTGTCAGGTCTCAGCCTATCTCTGTAGCACATGACCTGGCTGCCTATTCCATTCATTCTTAGACCTCCCTGTGTCCCTGCCTTCTGGGTCTTGCCTCTTCCTGGCCCTTCTTCCTCACCAGCTCTATCTTTTTTACTGCCTCTTTCTCCACATCCTCATCCTTTTTTCATCTTTCTCTCCTGCGTGACTTTATCCACACTGGAGTATTTAGCTGCCTAATCACCAGAGGTTCTCAACTAAGTTCCTGCCTCCCTGTGGTTCACACACACCTGTGTCAATACTGGCTCTCATTTCGTGCAACGACCTTAAGACAGGATGAATGTCACCAAAGTTGGGAGGGAAGCCAGAGCAGAACCTTGAGCAATAAAGAGGATGGGTAGTTTGGAAAAGTACCATGTCCCCAAGAGCCTGTGATCTACCTGTTGGTCTTTCCTGCCTACATACCCTGAAAATCAGTCATCCATATGGGTACATTCAAATTTATATACCAAGACTCACTCTCAATCCTGAGTTCTAGTCTTGTATTTTTCACTTTTTCTTTCTTTTTTTTTTGAGACGGAGTTTCACTCTTGTCCAGGCTGGGGTGCAGTGGCGCAGTCTCGGCGCAGTGGCGCGATCTCGGCTCACTGGCGCAATCTCGGCTCACTGGCAACCTCTGCCTCCAGGGTTCAAGCGATTCTCCTGCCTCAGCCTCCCGAGTAGCTGGGACTACAGGCACATGCCATCACACACCTAGCTAACTTTTTGTATTTTTAGCAGAGATGGGGTTTCATCATGTTGGTCAGGCTGGTCTCAAACTCCTGACGTCAGGTGATCCCCCCGTCTTGGCCTCCCAAATTGCAGGCGTGAGCCGCCACCACGCCTAGCCGTATTTTTCACTTTCTATTGAATATATCTATCTGGGTGGCCCACAGGTACAACAACTGTTTTTAACTTACTCATTTATCGTGCCAGAAATCTCCAATCTGGAAAGGGGCCCTGCGGAAGCGGGGCAGGGAGTGACAGTGTATCTCACTGTGGCTTTCATTAATCTTTTCTTCAAGACAAAGTTGTCAGGTGGACTTAGCTCTTACAGTGCTTGGTTCATTTTTCTGTTATACACTTACATTGTGATTATTTGTTTACAAATCACTCCTAGCTACAAGACTGTATCTGTGAAACCCCAGGCCCTGGCATAGTTTCCCGCTCACAGTGTATGCTTAATAAGGGAGGCTGAATAACAGCAGGTAGTATTTTAGTTACCCCACTGATATGTCAGCACAGACAAAGGTAAATTGAATTCTGCATGGGATTAGAGATAGCTTCCCAAGGAGGCAATGGTGAGACTTCAAGGATGAACAGAATTTCAGGAGGAAAAGAATGGGGAGCATTCCACACAAAGCCAGCAGGACATGAACAAAGGCAGGAAGACAGTAGGACCAGCATGCACAAAGGTCACGTGATCTGGCATGGCTAGGGTGCAAGGTGTTTGGTGGGGGTGGCATGAGACAGTCGGAAAGGCAGGTATGGGCCAGGTTGCCAAGCAAGTAGGGTTACAGAGTTTTGACACAAAAACCATGTCAATATCAGCATGCCATTGTGGGTTTTTAGGCAGGGAAATGATAAAACCAAGTGCAATTTAACTTTTAGTATCTCTAAAGGTGGGCTGTCTTTGTATCTTATCTCTTAGAGGCACTAATGTTTCTATCCTATTCCCAACCCATTAAAAAGAGGTAGAGAAAATACTGTGCCCGGGTTTTTGGAGGCTGGTAAGTTGGGGAGCTCTGGCTGACTAGATTTTGAAATTTGAGAAAGTCAACCTATTCTTGATAAGATTTGTTTGTTTCAAGTTCCCTCGTCTAACCCGTAAAAAGATTTTAAAAAACAGAACACAGGAAATAATCCTTCACCTGACTTAAAAAAAAAAAAATTCTTAGAATATCACACCTTCATTTCCTGTTTTCTACCTTCAATTTTGAGTACCTTTTTTTTTTTTTTGATATAACTTCAAACAGAAGTTATAAGAATAGCACAAGGAACTCGGGTATGCTGTATCCTTTACCCAGAGTCACCAATTCCTTCTGTTTTGACCATCTGCTTTATCTTTCTCTATTTTTATAGACATGCATTTTCCTGAGCCATTGAAAGATGGAGCATACCCCTTTTACTTCCAAATACTTCAGTGTATAAGAACAAGATCATTTTCTTATATAACCCATAGGATAATTATCAAAAACAGGAAATTTAACATTGATATAATACTATTATCTAATACATAATTTGTCAAATGCATAATCTGGATTCAAATTTTATCAGTTATCCTAATAATGTCTTAGCTATTTTCCTTCAATTTTTCTTTAGATTATTGTCAAATTATTTGTCGTTTGTCCCAAGATATCTATATTTCTTTCTTTTTCCTTTTTTAGAGACAGGGTCTCTGTCATGCGGGCTAGAGTGCAGTGGTATAATTATAGCTCCACTCCAACTATCACAAGACTAAACTGTTCCTCAGTTTACCAATCCAGGGAACTCTTGACTGGCCCAGCAGAAAGGGCTGAACCGATATCCTCCAGCTCCTGTAAGCAAAAGTCTGTGCTAATCCAGGTTTCCCGTCATCTCCAGCACAACTCTAACTACGGCTGGCTTCTGGCAAATTGTTTCTTCATGGAAATATCAAATGAGTGGAAAAACTCCAAGTAGCATGACCATCTGCTCTGCCACAACAGGCCTGTGACAAAAGTCATCTATCAAGGCAAAATGTCAAGCACATGGCATGGATCTTGCATTTTCTGTTCTGATCAGGAAAACGCAAATTCTTTCTCCTCCAGGATTAAAATAATAATAATTTTTCAAATTAATAGGCTTCCCAACTTGGTGAACATTTCAGTATCTTAGCTAGATGTACTTTTCACTTTTTTTGTATGTTAAAAATGCTACCAAACAATACTGGAAGCAAACAAGTGCTCCATTATCAGCTCTACAAGTGTCCTGCTGTATAACCTTGGGAAAAATCCCTTGGTTTTTCTGTATTTATAAAATGAACAAGATAAAATACATAAAGTGTATAAAATATATAAAATAAACATAGGTGCTTTGGGCTACTAAGTTCCTTTTTTAAATTTCTAAATTAAAAATTTCAACTAAGTTAAACAAAACAAAACACTTGGACTGGTGTGGTGGCTCATGCCTGTAATCCCAGCACTTTGGGAGGCGGAGGCAGGCGGGCTGCCAGAGCTCCAGAGTTCGAGACCAGCCCGGGCAACATGGAAAAACCCCGTCTCTACAAAAAAACACATGGTGCACGCCTGTAGTCCCAGCTACTCAGAAGGCTGTGGTGGGAGGAATACTTGAGCCTGGGAGGCCAAGGCTGCAGTGAGCTGTGTTTGCACCACTGCACTCCAGCCTGGGCAACAGAAGGAGATCTCAAAAAAAAGAAAAAAAAAAAAAAAAAAAAAGAAAAAAGAGAAAAAAAAAAACAAAGCAACAACAAAAAGCCACTTAGGATCGTCAATGCGAAGTTCTGAACGGCTATCACGAAGCCCTACCTTCTATTCTCTACTCATTTACCACTTACAGGTAGAACTGTACTATTTTTTAGTAGCTGTGTGTAAGAAAAATTTCGTGCGACAGTAAAGTAAAACGGGTGAAAATTTGATTTTTGTATTTTGTATGTTTCAATGACCCATGTCTTGTTTTCACAGATAACCTAGAATTGGTCCTGTTATAATTGAAGTTCCACTCCACCAGGAATTTGTCAGCAAGAGACAGATAGAAATAAACAACAAAAACCAGCCTACAAAACATATGAAAACAACAGGTTTTAAAGAATAACTGAAGTTGAGATATATAAGACTGATGCTATTTGTTGTGCTGTGTATAATTTCTTTTCCCTGGATAGAACCTCTACATTCTAGGGGAAAAGTGGAGATTGCTGTCCGACCTCCACCTTCTGTGTTTTTTTTCTAAGTAACAAACGGTGTTGAACTTTAGAGCTTCCATTATTTCACAGGCTTCAGGCTAATGGATTTCCGCGTCACACTATTTTTCATGCTTTAAGTCCTTCAACCAACAACTCTAACACCATATAAAATCTGCTCTTGTCTGTTACCTAATGTTCACATGTTTGAAACCTTTACAAACGTTATATTTCAACAGCAGGAAAAATCTTGTTTCCTAGAAAAGCACTGAAATCTGTTTTCAGGCTAAGAGAGAAAAGGTTTGGCTGGGTGCGGTGGCTCATGCCTGTAATCTCAGCACTTTGGGAGGCAGAGGTGGGCGGATGGCTTGAGCCCAGGAGTTCAAGAACAGCCTGGGCAACATAGTGACACCCAATCTCTACAAAAAATTAGCCGGCATCTGTAGTCCCAGCTACTCAGGACGCTGAGAGGTGGGAGGATCGCTTGATCCTGGGAAGTTGAGGCTGCAGTGAGCTGTGTTTGCACCACTGCACTTCAGCTGGATGACAGAGCGAGGCCTTGTCTCAAAAAGAAGAAAAGAGAAGAGAAGAGAAAAGAAAAGGCAAGGCTTGCCAATGCAGTAAAATGTAAAGCTGATGACCTGGCTAAAGAAGAGACTCAGTTTTCAAGCTTTTCACAGTCTTCCTGGATGGAAAGCCCATTTCTAGATCAATTTAAATCCCCACCAAAAAGAACACATTTGTGTGATGCATATCTGGCTCCTGAATTATGTGTTTACAGAGTTTAAGATATTGAACCAAAGCCAATGAAATAGTCTTAAAACAAATTACTTTACATCGTATGTAATCACAGCTACAGATAAATCAATTGCTTCTTTTGCCAAATAGTACATCAGAGACTTCTATGAAAAGTTCAAATAAATGTGGTGTACTTGGTGGCTTCCAACAAGTGGAAGCGAATATTTTTGGCTTTCAGCACTACAGGAAAACATCACTTTAAATAATCCTTGTTTGTATCTGAAACACGGATCTGGATTGCTTCCTACACTAGAATCCTAATCTCTAAAGGAGATGATCAGATTTTGCACGGAAGCTAGAAGAATCAACCTGGAACAGATCACTCCTGCCCTACCTGTCCAGGCGGCGGACAGAAGCAGACAGACAAGTTTCAAGAAGTTAGGGAGTCACTAATGCGATGGTGATCCACGCACCGTGGGGGAAGCGGGGCAAGGGAGAAAGACAGGGGGCTTCCACCTTCCAGGCGCCCCTACACCGCTCCTGCCTTCACAGGCAGGCTGGGCCTGTCGGCTTTTCAAAAGGTCAAACACACTTGGTGGGAGAAAATCGTTGGTGGAGAAGACAAAACATTTTTGTTTTGTTTTCCGGGACACCACCCTCGAGGCTGCCAGACTAGACCCCGCGCGCGAGAAGGGTGCGGCGGGAGGCGAGGTCGCGGGAGGCGAGGTCGCGCGCGGTAGCATCTCCCGGTCCCGCGGCTCGGAGTGCCCACCCCTCCCGGACTTCTCGGGGCGGCTTTTTTTTTTTTTTTTTTTTTTTTAACTTTTCATGCACCACCCCCCCCACCCGCCCCGCCCCGCCCCGCCCCGCGCTGGGTGCAAACCTGCTGGAGAGGCCGGGCGCCGTGGGGCCTCACCTGCACGCCCCGCCGCCGCAGGACGGGAGCCGGGAGGGCAGCGGACGGGCCCGGGCTGCCCGACGGGGCTGCGGGGAGCCGGACGGCGCGAGCTGCGGGGCCTCTGGGAGCCTGGTGGGCGGCGGGCGGGGCCGAAGGCAGAGCCGGGAGCCGCCTGCAGCAGCAGCCTCGCCGCCACGCCCTCGACGCCGGCGAGAGCGGCCCCCTGGGCTGGGACTAGGGCGGTGTCCCGGCTGAGCTAGGCTGCCGGCGCCGCGCGCCCGCCTCGTCCCCTCCTGTTCTGGCAGGGCGCGCGCACGGCGGCGCAGGCGCCAGAGCCCAGGACAAGGCGGGGACCCGGGCGGGGACCGGGGCGGGGGCGCGCGGGGGCCGGGGTGGGGGTGTCTCGCCGCGCGCGCCCTCCTCCCGCTCCTCCGGGTTCCTGGTCCCCAGCCTGTGGGGGGCTTGGGCTGTAGCGCTGGGGCGGGGGCTTTAGATCACCCCGAAAACAGGACCTCTGGCGACCTTCTCGTTTTCCACCGGGAGCGGAGAGAGCCGATCTCCTTTTCCTGCTAGCCCCGTAGGACAGTCCCCGGAGCAGCTCATAGGAATATGACGAACGTTTACTCAGGGCTGGTTACTATGTACACTGCGCCCCGCGCGCGGCGAGTTTACCTCGGTTCACCTCCCGGCAACCGGCGGCCCGGATATTATCAGATGCTGTGGGCTTCCCGGCGCCTCATTGCCCGAGGAGAGGCGGCCGCAGGTAGCTGAGCTGGAGCTAGCACAAGGTGTGGGACGGCACAGGCTGGGTCCCGCCCTGGCGGGTACAACCCTCTTCCCCTTACCCACTCCTTCCCCTCCCCTCCCATCCCCTCCCCTCCTCTCCTCCCCACTCGTGCTCTTCTCCCTCCTCCCGCTCTCCCTCCTCCTCTTACTCCTCTTCACCCTATGCCCTATCTACCGTTGTCATACAATCCACATGTTTAATGCTTTCTTTTTCGTGTAAAAACCCTTCCACGCAGTCTTGCTTGTCTCCGACGCCTTAGGAGACCATGGGACATGATTACAACTATTACGCAAAGGGAAGAGCCGGGGTCTAAGCTGTTGAGCGAGTTTCAGTGATAGGACCGAGGCTTACATTGGCAGGTATTATTACCACCAATAACAACTATGATGACAAAGCTCCTGAGCCCAACTTGGAAGGCAGCTGGTGTCTCTTCCCTTAGCCGGCAGAGAAGGAAGCAGGGTCACACAGCAGGGAAAATAACTGGGCTCATCTCCCACCTACAAGGACGCGCAGTCACGCAGTGGTGCGCACCCGTAGTCCCAGCTAACTCAGGAGGCAGAGGTGGGAGGATCGGTTGAGGCCAGGAGTCTGAGACCAGCCTGGACAGCATAGCAAGACTCCGTCTCAAAAAAAAAAAAAAAAAGGAATGTGCAGTTAGAAGAAAATCAGCTCTCATTACCCACTCAAGACCTTTCAGAGGCAAAGTGAGGCACAGTGAAGCTTAACATCAAAGGCACTCAGCGCCTGCATCATGGGGCAGGAAGATGGACTAAAATGTGTACAGCACATCTAATCCCTGTTAGATGTAAACTAAGAAATCAGGGTTGGATTATGACCCCAAGGGCTCCCCAGCAGTTGAGCCCAGCATAGTCACCGAGGTATGTCCAGCAGATCGCCCCTCCTACTTCCTGCTTGCTGCTTCTGTGGTTCCTGCTGCCTCCAACCGTGCTGCTCCTGCTCCCCATCTTGTCTTAAACTAAGTTCTTCACTTTCATTCGTTTAACTAATATTGATGGCAAGCTGCTTCTTTTGTCAAGGTCACTCTAAGGACTATAGTAATTATTTTTTCTCTAAATTCCTCTAACACAGCAACTTTTGCAAAAATTGAGGGTTGTTTTTTTTTTTTTTTTTGGTGTTTTTTTGTTTGTTTTGAGATGGGTCTGCTCTGTTGCCTAGGTTGGAGTGCAGTGGCACAATCATAGCCTCAACCATCCAGGCTCAAGTGATCCTCCCATCTCAGCCTCCTGAGTAGTTGGGACTACAGGCACATGCCACCATGCCTGGCTAATTTTTCTACTTTTTGTAGAGACAAGGTTTCACAATGTTGCCCAGGCTGGTCTCAAACTCCTGAACTCAAGCAATCCTCCTGCCTTGGCTTCCCAGAGTGCTGGGATTATAGGCGTGAGCCATTGCACCTGGCCAAAAAATTGAGTTTTCACATCAAATGAGATTGGAAACAGCTGCATTCCATAGCCCTGCCTGGAGATGTCTGATGCACGTTCACACAAAAAAAATGGCCCTGAGAGATCCTAAGTCAAACAACCAGATTAGCTTAATTTAGTTTCCCTGAGGTATTAGGCCCTGTGTGGGTGTTGGGCTTGCAAGGGTAAGGTCCATAGAGATCTGCCACCTGAGGAGCTCACAGATGGGGGAGACAGTGATTGTGATACAGTTGTATTTGTGCACTGAGACATTTGCAAAGTGCTGACAAAGCAGAGGAAGAAGTGAGCAATCCTACATGATGGTTCAGGGAACGGGGTTCGCATTTTCCAGTATTATTCAAGATTCTCTTTTTTTCATGGAATACATCAATCAGACTGGGTTAAGCAGCAAATGGAATGCATTGACTCACATAATAGAAAAGTTTGGGGCTTCAGGCATGGCCGGATTCAGGGGCTTAAACTACGACATTAGGATTAAGTTTTTTCTCTCCATTTTTTTTTTTTTTTTTTGAGACGGAGTCTCGCTCTGTCGCCCAGGCTGGAGTGCAGTGGCGCGATCTCGGCTCACTGCAAGCTCCACCTCCCAGGTTCATGCTATTCTCCTGCTTCAGGCTCCCGAGTAGCTGGGACTACAGGCGCCCGCCACCACGCCCGGCTAATTTTTTGTATTTTTAGTAGAGATGGGGTTTCATCGTGTTAGCCAGGATGGTCTCGATCTCCTGACCTCGTGATCTGCCCACCTCGGCCTCCCAAAGTGCTGGGATTACAGGCGTGAGCCACCGCACCCGGCCTCCATTTCTTGACTCTATTTCCTGTTGACTTTGCGTTCTTAGGCTTCCTTTTCCCCATGAGATGGCAGAATGGCTGCTTACAATTTCAGATCACACCCTTTCCAGCAGAAAGGGAGTTTCTTTTCCCTGATGCTGTCAACAAAAGTCCCAGGACTACATCCCATTGGTCTAACTTGTGTTACCCGTGCATCACTAAACCACTCTCCTGAGAAGGGGCATGGAACATTCTGACAGCTCCTCACAAATCGCGTGGACTGAGATTTGGGGAGAGGTGGCTTCCTGTGCTAGATCATTTCTGTTGGCCCTTCCAGACCTACTCTCCACCCTTTTCCTTCCTGATTTGAACCTCAAGAGGCCAACCTGCATGGACTGCTTCCACAGATCCCTTGTCCTCTGACTTACAGTTGAATTCACCAAATAGAAGACATTGGAAATGAGACCCGAGGGTTGGAGGAGGAGGAAGGTAAGGGTATTATTCCTCTGGCCCCTGCCCTTCTGGGTCGCTGCAGGTTGGCTACATGTATTTATTGAAGCTTCTGTCAACTGGCCTTCTTCACACAGCTACTCTCTCCTAGTTCTAGTAAATTCTCCCTTCTCCACCTCCAGAATTATCCACCCTGGAGGTGATAATGGCTCCCCTCTGTTGCCTGCCACAGTGTATCACACCATCAGCCCTGCTTTTTCCCTCAACCCTGCCCACACATCTGTATGTAACCTTTACTAAACCCCCTTTAGATTAATCATCTGCTGGGATGCTGATGGTTACATTCAACAAAGGAGATTCAAGTCTCTATTACCAAAAGAAAGGGGAATGAATCAAGGGCAGGCAACAGCACTATGGTACTGATATTGGTTTGGAAGAAGTATCACCATAGTGCAGACCACAGATGACTGTGGCTTGGACAGGGTCGTGATGGGGGAAGCAATGAGAAATGGTAGGATTCTGGCTATATCTCAGAGGCAATGTTAACACAGTTTACTGAGGAATTGTATGTAAATCATGAGCAGTAGAGAGGAGCTGAGGGTGGAAGTAGTTGGAAAACATGCATCTGGAGCCTAGGAGTGAGCTCAATGAGTAGTGATTTGGGAGGGAGGCGCGTTAGTTAGTTGAAACCACGGGCTCAGATGAAATGACCCGGGGAGCCCACGTAGAATAGAACACAGAAAGGGCAAAAGGCAGAATCTAGAAGAACAAACACCAGCCTTTCCATGGTGAACAGAGGAAGAGTTGCCATCTTGTATCTATCGTCTAGATCGTGGGCAACTCGATAACTTGAGCGCAAGAACAGAATCTTCCACATCCTTCCTTTTTACCATCGTGTCTAGCGAGGTGATGACCACACGGTGGGTAATCAATGCTTGTTATGAATGAACTTGACAGTTCCACATTTCTAACACTCCCTCCCTCTCCTTCTCATGTGAGGTTTGAGTTACAGGCCGAGAAAAAGAGAAATTGATCCCTGTGGCTCAATCCGTTGAAACCTATGCCCAGGGTGCTAAGCATTTCGCTGCCCTGGAAAACTTCAGTAGAACCTCTCAGACAATGCCACAGATCCCGAGTAGCACACCTCTTGCCTTTTAGGAGAATTTCCAGACCAGCGATTTCATTTCAGATTTTCTTATTCCAGATTTTCTTATTCTTATTTGAGTAGATTTAACAGTAAATATCCTAACAAATCCTTATTAGGTTTGTTTTGGGTTTGTGCTATGAAAATGATACAAGTGGCAAAAGATCTCCATCTCACATGCATACATTAGTAGTGGAATGTAAAAGGATGCAACTGATTTTTGGAAACTGCCAGTTTATCAAGCTAAACGTACACCTACCCTATGACCCAGAAATTCCACTCCTAGATGCAGACTCAAGAGAAATGTAGGGAAATGTCTACCAAAAAAGAGGCTGGTACAAGAATGCTCTTAACATCTTGGCCGGGTGAGGTGGCTCACGCCTCTAATCCCAGCAATTTGGAGGCCAAGGTGGGTGGATCAGTTGGGGTTAGGGTTTGAGACCAGCCTGGGCAACATAATGAAACCCTGTCTCTACTAAAAATACAAAAATTAGCCAGGTGTGGTGACGGGTGCCTGTAATCCCAGTGACTTGGGAGGCTGAGGTGGGAGAATGGCTTGAACCCGAGAGACAGAGGTTGCAGTGAGCCGAGATTGTGTCACTGCATTCAAGCCTGAGCAAAAGAGACTCCCATCTCAAAAAAACAAAAACAAATCAACAACACAAAATATTTAATCATACTATTCTCCAACTGTAAATATCCCAAATGTCCACAAGAGGAATGGATAAGAAAACCATGGTATATTCAAACAATATAATACTACACAGCAATAAAAAAAAATCATGAAATGTTGATACACATAACAACGGATAAATCTCAAAAGCAATTGTTGAGCAAAAGAAGTCAAAACGCATAGATGTATGATTTCATTTATATGAAAGTCAAGAAGAGGCAAAACTAATGTAATAAGCATGAGAATAGTGGTTGCTTCTGAGGGTAGGGATTAATTGGAAAGGGGCACAGAACATTCAGGGGTTATGGAAATGTTCTTCCCATGCCAGTATGTTTGCCAGACATGGTTCTAGGCATTGGGAATATAGCAGTGAACAAAACAGACCTAGTCCCTGCTTTTGTACAAATCCATCTCAGTTCTTTTAATTGGTTGCATTGTTTAATGCATTTTAAATAAGAAAAATGTGGCCTTTCTTTAAATATAGTCTATGACAAATCTGAGGAGCTTTCTTGCTTCGTTTTCAGTTGCTGATGGGAAGGCAGAAAAGTACAATGGAAAGAGTATGGGCTCCAGGAAGTCAGCGCTACCACTGACTGGCTGTGTGATTTTTGGGCAAGTTCTTTAAACCTGTGAAGCCTTACTTTTCTCATCTGTTAAGTGGATTTTTTAAATTATTTTTATAATTTACAAGCAAGGTCTCGCTTTTGTTGCCCAGGATGGTCTCAAACTCCTGGGCTCAAGCGACCCTCCAACCTCAGCCTCCCAAAGTTAAATAGAATTGATGATACCGCCTTGCAAAGTTGTTTTGTAAAGTGCCAGACACATTGCAGATGCTCGGGAAACATGAGCTGGTTTATAATCAGTTTACAAGGAAAATTTTACTTTTGCCCAGTGAGATATAAGCAGAGGGAGGCTGACTTGGCTGGCAGAGGTACCCTTTTGTTTTTTTTTTTTTGTTTTTTGTTTTTTTTTGAGATGGAGTCTCACTCTGTTGCCCAGGCTGGAGTGCAGTGGCACAATCTAGGCTCACTGCAACCTCTGCCTCCTGGGTTCAAGCAATTTTCCTGTCTCAGCCTCTTGAGTAGCTAGGATTATAGGCATGTGCCACCATGTCTGGCTAATTTTTGTATTTTTAGTAGAGACAGGGTTTCACCATGTTGGCCAGGCTGGTCTCGAACTCCTGACCTTGTGATCTGCCCATCTCAGGCTCCCAAAGTGCTAGGATTACAGGCGTGAGCCACCACGCCCAGCCCAACCTTTTGCTGTTCTTTCTTCTAGCCTGCAATGTGAACACGATGGCTGGAGCTCCGGCAGCCATTCTGGACCAGGAGGTAGCCTTGAAGATGGAAGCCACATGTTGGGATGGTGAATCCAAAAGATGAGGAGCCTGTATCCCCTGTGACACCAGAACTGCCATACCAGCCCTGGGTTCCTCCATCTATACTGCCTTCATATGGTAAAGAAATATTCTTGGATCTTGTTAGGTGTCTGTTGCAGCCAAACACAATCCCAACTGATATTCACTGTAAATGATTCCATGGCTCCCTGTAGTACTTCTACAAAGCATCTATCACAATTGTAATTAATAAAATAATTATGCAATTACTGGTTTAATGCCTAAGTCCCAAGTAGAATATCAGTTCCATGGGGGCAGGGATTAGTCTGTTCATGGATGTATTCCCAGCTCCTGTAACAACATCTGGTTCTGGTAGGTGGTAAGTGCACAATAAATGTAGCAGAGTGAAAGGTTGAGAGGAAACGGAGCTGCTTCTGATGAGGAGAGAAATCACTGCATATCGATCGATCTCTATCTCAGACTCATTAATATGCATCTGGGTGTGCTGGATATTTTAATTCATGTTCTACCACACTCTAGATCTCCTATGGGATTTGCATCACAGATGGTACCTTTTCCTGAAGAGCCTTAAATTAACCTGCCTCCCTGGTAACACCCTCATTTGTCTCCCATTCCTGGCAAGTCAGCCATTCCCCCAAGAAGAGAGTTGCAACACGATCCAATAGTTTGCTGGAGGAGTGAAACTTATCAGCCCCACATCCAACATTGGTTGGGAGATGAGTCATGTCGATTTTTGATATTTAAAATTTTCTCATAAAAATTGGACTTGGCTTTTATAGAACATTTGAAAACAAAAAGATAAATTAAAAAATTCAAATCACGTACAATCCCAGGATCCAGAGATAGTCATGTGCAAGGAAAATATCTTGGGTCCCCCAAATCACTAAGCCAAAGGGAAAAATCAAGCTGGGAACTGCTCAGGGCAAACCTGCTTCCCATTCTATTCAAAGTCACCCTTCTGCTCACAGATAGATGTATATCTGATTGCATCCTTTGGAGAGGCTAATCAGAAACTCAAAGGAATGCAGCCATTTGTCTCTTACCTACCTATGACCTGGAAGCCCCTTCCCCGCTTCAAGTTGTCCTGCCTTTCCGGACCAATCAGTGTTCATCTTACATATGTTGGTTGATGTCTCATGACTCCCTAAAATGTATAAAACCAAAGTGTGCTCTGACCCACCTTGGGCACACGTTGTCAGGACCTCCTGAGGCTGTGTCATGGGCATGTGTCTTCAACCTTGGCAAAATACTTTTTTTTTTTTTTGAGATGGAGTCTCACCCTGTCGCCCAGGCTGGAGTGCAGTGGCGCAATCTCGGCTCACTGCAAGCTCCGCCTCCTGGGTTCAAGCTATTCTCCTGCCTCAGCCTCCCGAGTAGCTGGAAATATAGGTGCCCGCCACCACGCCCGGCTAATTTTTTTGTATTTTTAGTAGAGACGGGGTTTCACCGTGTTAGCCAGGGTGGTCTCGATCTCCTGACCTCGTGATCTGCCTGCCTCAGCCTCCCAAAGTGCTGGAATTACAGATGTGAGCCACCACGCCCGGCCCAACCTTGGCAAAATAAGCTTTCTAAATTAACTGAGAACTGTCTTAGATTTTTGGAGTTCAGAGTCACTATTCAATATTTTAGTATACAGTGTTTCTCTCCAATTTTTTGGGTAAGATTAGTATACCATTAGAATCAGCCAATTTGGATCTCTTACCTATTTCACTTAACATATTGCAAACATTATCTTGTGCTTTAAAATACTATTTAATTTTTAATGACTACATAATATTGCATTGTGTTATTTATCTAATTATTTCCTTATTGTTGTAATCAAAGTTTCATTCCAATTTTCTCTTACATAATTAACCATACGATGAATACCTTTATATGTAAAATATGCTGTTGCATTTATGATTATTTCCTCAGCATAGATTCCCAGAAGCAGTTACTAGGCAAGGGGCATGAACATTTAAAAAAACTCTTACTGGAAAATGACAAAATGCATTTCAAAAAGGTTGTTACTCTATTTAATTATAAATGCCTTTCCTGATTGATAGGCAAAAAACAAAAACAAAAACCTCCCCAAACATGACATCTTGATTTTTCACAAATGCTTCATTTGAGATCTGCCCAAGTTCTCTGTGCATTCTTCCACTGAGCTATTAGCATCGTTTGTTTATAAAAACATCTTATACACTGTGGATAGTAACCCTGTGATTACATTTGTTGAAAATTTTCTCTTCATAATTTCCCTTTCGAAAATTCTTTTTGATATAAAGATGTTTTAAAAATTTTATTTGGCCAGGCGTGGTGGCTCATGCCTGTAATCCCAACAATTTGGGAGGCCGAGGCAAGAGGACTGCTTGGGTCCAGGAGTTGGAGATCAGCCTGGGTAAACACAGTGAAATCTTGTCGCTACAAAAAATAAAAAAATTGGCTGGGTGTGATGGCACACACCTTTGCTCCCAGCTACTCAGGAGGCTGAGGTGGGAGCATCGCTTGAGCCCAGGAGGTCAAGGCTGCAGTGAGCCATGATTGCACCACTGTACTCCAGCCTGGGTGACAGTGTTTTGAGACCTTGTCTCAAAACAAACAAAAAACCCATATAATCCTACCACTTTGGGAGGTCCAGGAGGGAGAATCACTTGAGCCCAGGGGTTCAAGACCACCCTGGGCAACATGGCAACCCCTCAATCTTTACCAAAAAAAAAAAAATTAGCCTGGGCATAGTGGCAGGCACCTGTGGTCCCAGCTACTCAAGAGGCTGAGGTAGGAGGATCACTTGAGCCCAGGAAGGTTGAAGCTGCAGTGAGCTGTGATCACACTGCTGCACTCCAGCCTGGGTGACAGGGTGAGATCCTCAGAAAACAATTATTTGTATACAGTGTATTCATCTTGTACTTTATGATCTCTTAGCTTGCTGAAGTCTGATTAATCATGACCTTTCTTTTTTTGGAGACAGGGTTTATCAAGATGTAACACCATGTAAGTCAAGGTAAGCCTCAAACTTAAATACTATTTCCAGTGGTTCTAACATTAATAATTAAAGAACCCACTGCTTCATATATATACAATTTACTATAGATGCTCCTTGACTTATGATGGGTTATGTTCTGATAAATCCATTGTAAGTTGAAAATATCGTTAAGTCATAAGTGTATTTATTTATTTAGAGATGCAGTCTCGCTCTTTTACCCAGGCTGGAGTGCAGGGGTGTGACCTCGGCTTAGTGCAACCTCTGCCTCCTGGGTTAAGTGACTCTCCTGTCTCAGCCTCCCGAGTAGCTGGGACTACAGGCACATACCACCACACCAGGCTAATTTTTGTATTTTTAGTAGAGACGAGGTTTCACCATGTTGGCCACGCTGGCCTTGAACTTCTGACCTCAAGTGATTCACCCGCCTCGGCCTCCTAAAGTGCTGGGATTGCAGGTGTGAGCCACCTTGCCCAGCCCATAAATGTATTTAATACCATATACGTAACCTAGTAAACATCATAGCCTACCCGAAGCATGCTCAGAGCACTTACGTTAGCCTACAGTTGGGCAAAATCATCTAACACAAAGTCTATTTTATGAAGTGTTGGATAGCTCATGTAACTTATTGGTGATGGTACTGAAAGTGAAGGCAGAATAGTTGTGTGGGTACTCAAAGTACAGTTTCTACTGAATGCGTTATGTTTTCACACCATTGCAAAATGGAAAAATTGTAAGTTGAACTATCAAAAATTAGGGACCTGGGCAGGGCGTGGTGGCTCCCACCTGTAATCCCAGCACTTTGGGAGGCTGAGGCAGGCAGATTGCTTGAGTCCAGGAGTTTGAGACCAGCTTGGGTAACTTGCTGAAACCCCATGTCTACTAAAGACACACACACACACACACACACACACACACACACACAAACTAGTCAGGCATGGTAGCATGTGCCTGTGGTCCCAGCTCTTAGGAGGCTGAGGTGGGAGGATCACTGGGGAGGTGAAGCTTGCAGTGAGCCACTGAGCTCCAGCCTGGGTGACAGAGTGAGACCCTATCTCAATAAAAAATTTAAAAAAAGAAAATTGAAGATTGAATATATAAGAACATACTACATATGTATTTCCGGATGATTTATTCTGTTGCATTGATCTAGCTGTTAATAGAAATGGTTTTATTATCTGGAAGGGAATGTTGGTACACATATTTCCAAATACTTTTCAGAAAGGTTGTATCAATTTCTACCTGCCTCCTCCCAGCCCCCGCCCCCGCCTCGACTCTGCCCCCTTTCCACAATCTCACCAAAGCTGCAGGCATTTTCCTTGAAAGTCTTCACATCTTCAGAACACTCGGGCTCCCATCCTGCTCGCGCTACTAACTACAAGTGGCTGTTTAACATCGAGCAAACCTCACATTCTTTAAGCCTGGCTCTCTTCAGCTCAGTGGAAATAAGTGGTACTGCCCTTCTAAGATGGTTTGGGGGCTCAAATGAACCGTTTGTGACAGCACCTAGAAAAGTATAAACTTTCAATAACAAGGTTGGCAATCAGTAACTATTGCATTTTCATTAAAAAGAAACATGTCTTAAAAAAAAAAAAAGACACTCTTGCATAATTTTGAAGATCGGGCATGGAAATATGTCTTCAGCATGTTTGCAAGCCTGGATGCTGGGTGAGATTTCATCTTGCAGTGTTGCTCTAAATTAGAAAGACTCAATCCCATTTGCCCAAAGATTCGGAAGCTGCTGAATTAACTACAGATCCGTTATCTTCGAGGGCATCAGTACTTACGGGTCCACACTGGAAGGAGCTGCTCTTTAAACGTTGCAATCCTGGAATTTGGGGGGAGGAGATATTATTTCCTGATTAACTTCAGCTGCAGATGGTGAAAAATAAGAGCTAGATGGCCATAATCAGAAGGAAGAAGGGGCAGGCAGAGAGCAAAGGAGAAAATGGAACATTAAAAATGGGCAGCGGCTTGAGCAGCCCACCGATTCAAATGAGTCTGAGTTTTCTCAAGTGTCCATCAGGGTTTAGTGAAGAGACAGAAATCACATTAGTGAGTTAAACAGAAAGAATTTAATATAAAGAATTGTTGGCCAGGAGCAGTGGCTTGTGCCTGTAATCCTAGAATTTTGGGAGGCCCAGGCAAGAGACTATCCCTCAAGGCCAGGAGTTCGAGACCAGCCTTGGCAACAGACACCCCATCTCTGCGAAAAAAAAATTTTAATTAGCCAGGTGTGGTGGCGTGTATGGGTAGTCCTGGCCATTCAGAAGGCTGAGGTATGAAGATTCCGTACACCCAGGAGTTCAAGGTTGCAATGAGCTGTGATCGTACCACTGCACTGCAGCCTGGGCAACAGAGTGAGATCTCCTCTCAAACAAGAAAAAAGAATTTGTTACTTAGACATAAAGCTATTACCAGAGTAACTGAACAGGTAAAACTCGAAAGAATCATGGTGGTAGCAACTTTAGAGAGCTATGTCCATTCCTAGTGTGTCCAGAATTGGTGGGTTCTTGGTCTCGCTGACTTCAACATGACTTCAGGAATGAAGCCGCAGACCCTCGTGGTGTTACAGTTCTTAAAGATGGTACGACCGGAGTTTTTTCCTTCTGGTGGGTTCACGGTCTCACTGACTTCAAGAGTGAAGCTGCAGACCTTCACCATGAGGCTTCAGCTCATAAAAACAGCACGTCCAGAGTTCTTCATTCCTTCAGGTGGGTTCGTGGACTCACTGGCTTCAAAAGTGAAGCTACAAACCTTCGTGGTGAGTGTTACAGCTCACAAGGTCACTGCCAACCCAAACAGTGAGCAGTAACAAGAACAGCCAAACAACAAAGGCTCCACAATCAGTAACCAGACCCAATCTGATTGCCACTGTCCCTTTGGGCAGTCTGCTTTTATTCCCTTATTTGGCCCCACCCACATCCTGCTGATTGGTTCATTTTACAGAGAGCTGATTGGTCCGTTTTACAGAGAGCTGATTGGTCAGTTTTGACAGCGTGCTGATTGGTGCATTTACAATCCCTGAGCTAGACACAGAGTGCTGATTGGTGCATCCACAAACCCCAAGCTAGACAGAGTGCTGATTGGTGCATATACAATCCTCCAGCTAGTCATAACAGTTCTGCAAGCCCCCACCCAACTCAGGAGCCCAGCTGGCTTCGCCTAGTGGATCCCGTGCCAGAGCTGTTCGCCAGTCCTGCCGATGCGCGCCTGCACTCCTCAGCCCTTGGGTGGTTGATGGGACGGGGCACGGCGGAGCAGGGGGCGGTGCCCGTCGGGGAGGTTTGGGCAGTGTGGAAGCCCACAGGGGGAGAGGGGTTCAGGCATGGCGGGCTGCAGGTCCCTAGCTCTGCCCTGTGGAGAGGTGGCTGAGGCCCTGTGAGAATTTGAGTGCGGGGTGGGTGGGTCGGCACTGCTGGGGGACCCGGTGCACCCTCCACAGCTGCTGGCCCGGGTGCCAAGTCCCTCATTGCCTCGGGCCAGCTGCTCTGAGTGCGAGCGCCTGCGAGCGCCGCGCACAGCCCTGACTCCTGCCCGTGCTTCTCCCTCCACACCTCCTGGCAAGCAGAGGGAGCCAGCTCCCACCTCGGCCAGCCCAGAGAGGGGCTCCCACAGTGCAGCGATGGGCTGAAGGGCTCCTCAAGCGTGGCCAGAGTGAACGCCGAGGCCAGGGAGGCACTGAGAGCCAGCGAGGGCTGCTAACACATTGTCACCTCTCACTAGGACCAAGGGAACCAAAGGAAGAGGTTGTAATGATTAAACTTTAGAAGAGGTGATTCAGACATGAAAAGGAAGTACCTGTGCTACAACTTGGATGAACCTTGAAAGTATTATGCTAAGTCAAAAAAGTCAATCACCAAAGCCCATATATTATTTCATTCCTAGGAAAATCCAGAATAGGGAACTCTATAAAGACAGAAGGTAGATTGGTGCTTGCCAGGGGCTAGGAGTTAAAGGGTACCAGGAAGTGACAAAGAGTATAGGGTTTCTTTTTTAATTGTGGTAAAATACACCTAACATCAAATTTACTCTTTTCACTATTTTTAAGCATACAATTCAGTGGTATTAAGTAGATTTTCACTGATGTAATAATTAGAGCCTCTTCCTTGGTTCCCTTGGTCTTAGGAATGGACATAGCTCTCTATAGTTGCTGCCTCCATGGTTTTTTAGAGCGTTTACCTGTTCAGTTACCCAGGTAATACTTTATGACTAGGTAACAATTTTTTTCTTCTTTGAGAGGAGGTTTCACTCTGTTTCCCAGGCTGCAGTGCAGTGGTGCCATCACAGCTCACTGCAACCTCAAACTCCATCCATCTCCAGAACACTTTTCATCTTGCAAACCTGAAACTCTGTACCCATGAAACCCTGGACCCATTGACTTCGCAGTTCCCTCTCCCCTCTCCCCCAGCCCCTGGTAGCTGCCATTCTACTTTCTGTCTCTATAAATTTGATCCTCTAGGTACCTCATATAAGAGGAGTCACATAATATTTGTCCTCTTGAGACTGGCTGATCGGACTTGGCCTGATATCTTCAAGGTTCATCTATGCTGTAGCATGGGTCAGGATTTACTACTTTTTTTTTTTTGAGATGGAGTCTCGCTCTGTCACCCAGGCTGGAGTGCAGTGGCGCGATTTTGACTCACTGCAAGCTCCCCCTCCTGGGTTCACGCCATTCTCCTGCCTCAGCCTCCTGAGTAGCTGGGACTACAGACGCCTGCCACCACACCCGGCTAATTTTTTTTTGTATTTGTAGTAGAGACTGGGTTTCACTGTGTTAGCCAGGATGGTCTCGATCTCCTGACCTCGTGATCTGCCCGCCTCGGCCTCCCAAAGTGCTGGGATTATAGGCGTGAGCCACTGTGCCAGGCCAATTTCCTTCATTTTTAGGGCTGAATGATATTCCATTATGTGAAGAGACCACATTCCCTTTATCAACTGATAGGCACTTAGCTTGCTTCCATACTTTGGCAATCATGAATAATGCTGCTGCAAATGTGGGTGTACAAATACCTGTCTGAGACCATGCTGATATGGTTTGGCTGTGACCCCCACGCAGATCTCATCTTGAACTGTAGCTCCCATAATTCCCACGTGTCATGGGAGGGACGCAGTGAGAGGTAATTGAATCACCGGTGCGGTTCTTTCCCATGCTGTTCTCTTGGTAATGAATAAGTCTCACAAGATCTGATGGTTTTATAAATGGGAATTCCCCCGCACAAGCGCTCTCTTGCCTGCCACTATGTAAAATGTGACTTTGCTTCTCATTTGCTTTCTGCCATGACTGTGAGGCCTCCCCAGCCATGTGGAACTGTGAGTCAATTAAACCTCTTTACTTTATAAATTACCCAGTCTCAGGTATGTCTTTATTAGCAGCATGAGAACAGACTAATATGCCTGCTTTCACTTTTTTTGTGTGTATAAATAACTCAGAAGAAGAATTGCTGGATCATGTGATAATTCTATTTTTAAATGTTTTTTGGACTTGCACTTATTTATTTATTATTTTTGAGATGGAGTCTCGCTCTGTTGCCCAGGTGGGAGTGCAGTGGCACATCTTGGCTCACTGCAGCCTCCACCTCCCAGGTTCAAGCATTCTTGTGCCTCAGCCTCCCGGGTAGCTGGGATTACAGGCATATGCCACCACACCCAGCTAATTTTTGTATTTTTAGTAGAGCTGGGGTTTCACATGTTGGCCAGGCTGGTCTTGAACTCCTGACCTCAAGTGATCTGCCCACCTTGGCCTCCCAAAGTGCTAGGATTAAAAGCGTGAGCCACTGCGCCCGGCCTATTTTTAATTTTTAAAGAAACCACCATACTGTTTTCCACAGTGGTTGCATCATTTTCTTTCTTCCTTTCTTTCCTTTCTTTCCCTTCCTTCCCTTCCTTCCCTTCCTTTCTTCCTTCCTTTCCTTCTTTCCTTTCCTTCCCTTCCTTTCTTCCTTCCTTTCCTTCCTTTCCTTTCCCCTTCCTTCCTTCCCTCCCTCCCCCGCCCTCTTTTTTTCTTTCTTTCTTTCTTTCGAGATGGAGTCCTGCTCTGTCACCCAGGCTGGAGTGCAGTGGCGCTGCAACCTCCGCCTCCCGAGTTCAAGCGATTCTCCTGCCTCAGCCTCCTGAGTAAGTGGGATTACAGGTGCATGCCAGCACGCCCGGCTAATTTTTGTATTTTTAGTAGAGATGGGGTTTTACCATGTCGGTCAGGCTGGTATCGAACTCCTGACCTCGTGATCCACCCGCCTTGGCATCATTTTGATTCCCACCAGTGGTGCAGAAGAGTTCCCAGCTTCTGTACATCGTCTCCAACACTCGTTATTTTATTTTCCTGTATTCTTTTGAATTGATGAACATATTCTAAAATTAGCTGTGGTGATGCATATATTTGTGATATACTAAAACCACTGGATTGCACACTTTAAGTGAATAAATTGTATAGTATGCGAATTATATATAGAAAACAGTTTTTTAAAAAGAAAAGTAAGAGGAGGGGGCCCTGTGGACCTGGGACATAGACCTCTGAGGAAGGAGAGCTGTTGTCTTGGGTTGGGGGAGGTTCTGTGAAGCTGGTCGTGCAAGAATTGGAAAGAATCGCAAAACTAGATTCAGCTGCTGCTACGCTAGAGTAAAGTTGTGTTCCTGGGGTGATGTGTGTAGGAACAGGAAGTAGATAAGAAAGAGCAAGTCCTTTCTTCCTCCTCCAGCCTCAGTTGCCCTCACAGGCCCCTCACAGGGAGCAGCTGGTAAAGCAGAGAGATGGTTTGGAGAGTTCCAGCTCCAGCAATAGGTTTGGAGCTGAGAGAAAATAGCTCCAGCAATAGGTTTGTTCCAAAGCCACCAATAGGTTTGGAGCTGAGAGAAAATAGCTTAAGAACTTGCACTTGATCTTGGCAACTAAGAAGGCTTCAGCAGGAATCAGACTGGTTTTGTCATCTCAGAGGCCCCAAGAGGGTCTTCAAAAAGATACCCACAAATTTGGAGGTACAGTTAAACTTGTAAATGTTCGTTGAGAAGTGGATCGATATCTTTGGAATAGTAATCCCCCTCCCTCCCTGTTGTGTCCAAAATGTAGCCTCAAGACCCACATGAAAGGCAGGAAGCTACAAGGGAGGCACAAAGCTCTTTGCCTCCTGCCTGGTGGCTGCATCTCTACTTACACTGCTTCATGGCTTAAAGAAAAATAGTAACAACAGCTAACATTATTGGCCGGGTGCGGTGGCTTATGCCTTTAATCCCAACACTTTGGGAGGCTGAGGCGGGCGGATCACAAGGTCAGGAGTTCGAGACCAGCCTGGCCAACATGGTGAAACCCCTCCTCTACTAAAAATACAAAAAAAAAAAAAATTAGCCGGGCATGGTGGCAGGCTTACAGTAGCTGTAATCCCAACTACTTGGGAGGCTGAGGCAAGAAGAATCGCTTGAACCCGGGAGGCGGAGGTTGCATGTGCCATGATCGCGCCATTGCACTCCAGCCCAGGCAACAGTGTGAGACTCCGTCTCAAGAAATACAAAACAAAACAAAACAAACAAAAAAACCCAGCTAATATTATTGAGGTCTTACCATGTGCGAGGCATTGTTCTATATTCAGTTCTTATAAACACTTACAAGGAAGGGAGTATTACTATCCCAGTTTTACAGATGAGGAAACAGAGGCCCAGAGGGGTTATGTACTTTCTCAAAGTCATCTCAGAGAGTGAACGCCAGAGCCTGGCACCCTTTGCCACGATGCCATGCTGCCTCCCAGAGTCCTGCCCTGTGCTTGTTATGACTTGACAGGCCACGTGGTCTTCCTTTTACCTATGCTGCAGGCAGCATCCCAAAAGATCTAGATGACACTGAAAACCCACCTATGCCTGGGAATTGAACAATGAGAACACTTGGACACAGGGTGGGAACATCACACACCGGGGCCTGTCAGGGGTGGGGGGCTGGGGGAGCGATAGCATTAGGAGAAATACCTAATGTAAATGACGAGTTGACGGGTGCAGCAAACCAACATGGCACATGTATACCTATGTAACAAACCTGCACGTTGTGCACATGTACCCTATAACTTAAAAGTATAATATATTAAAAAAAAAAAAAGAAAACCCACCTATGCCATCAAACCAGAGATCATGGTGAATGGTCCTGCTGCAATACACGTAGCCCCTTGAATGGTTTCAAATGCTGCCAGCATTTGCCTTGATGTCGCTGTGGCCTGACGGGCTGGATTGACATCCTCCTCTCAGAATGCAATGGGGTACTTGGTGAAGACCTGAATCAAAATTCTGGACTGGGCATGATGGTTCACACCTGCAATCCCAGTACCTTGGGAGGCCAAGATGGGAAGATTGCATGAGGCCAGGAGTTTGAGACCAGCCTGGGCAACATAGGGAGACCTCACCTATAGAAAAAAAGTTTAAAATTAAAAAATTAGCTGGCATGGTGCTGACCACCTGTCTACTCTAGAGGATCGCTTGAGCCCAGGAGTTAGAGGTTGCAGTGAGCTATGATTGCACCACTGCACTCCAACCTGGGCAATGGAGCGAGACCTTGGCCCCCACCCCCACCGCCCCCGCCAAAAAAGAAAATCTGAAGCTGAAAAAAATCTACCATTTGAAATGTTTTTCTTTCCTTTCTTTTTCTTTGACAGAGTCTCACTCTGTTGCCCAGGCTGGAGTGTAGTGGCGCAATCATAGCTCACTTTAACCTCCAAGTCCTGGGCTCTAGCTGTCCTCCCACCTCAGCCTCTCAGGTAGCTGAGACTATAGGTGTGAGCCACCTCACCCGGCTAGCTTTTTATTTTTTATAGAAACAGGGTCTCGCTATGTTTTCAGGCTGGTCTCAAATTCCTGGCCTCAAGTGATCCTCCTGCCTCAGCCTCCCCAAAGTGCTGGGATTATAGGCCTGAGCCACCTTGCCTGGCCTGAAATAGTTTTTGATGTTAAGGGTGAAGACTTGAGTTGCCTGAGTTCTGGGAGGGCCAGCTCTGTGGGGCTCTTTGAGAAAGGAGATGTAAGTTAAGTTCTTGAGGAAAGACTTGGGCCCAATGGAATGCAACAGGTCTAGCTTCTCTGGTACTTGGAGAGTCCTAGTGGAGGGAAAGAGAGCTGCCCTTGAGCCATGAAGGCTTACACGGATGGGGGATTGGTGAGGGGAACCCTGCTCATTAAGTCTTCTGAGGTTAGGCATGGCCTGTAGGCTCACACGGAGCCATTTCCAGGGGCTGCTGAGGGCCTGTGCCCTGTCTTGTGGGGAAAACCCACGGTGGAAGGCAGAGCAGGTGGGGAACCCCTGGCAGTGGGAGGTGAGCAGCAGGGGGCTGCCGTGTGCTGGTCTTGAGGGGCAACAATAGCTGAGCAAGATGAGAAAACCCAAGAGATGTTGCAGAGTACACGGTATGCTCAAAGCATTCCCTGAGACTGTCTCCAAAAAACAGAAGATGGGGATGGGGGAGAGAAAATGTCACATTAAGGTGGGCTAATTTCCAGCTATTAGAACCTTGTGATGTAATCATCTGATAGAAAAAGGAAAAGCATTATTAGCCAAAGTCATGGTTTGGTGAGGCCTGAGACATAAGGGTCCAATTGAAATATAAATTAGACAAACTTTTTTTTTCTCTGTTGCCCAGGCTGGAGTACAGTGGTGTGATCTTATCTCACCGCAACCTCCGCCTCCCTGGTTTAAGCGATTCTTCTGCCTCAGCCTCCCTAGTAGCTGGGATTACAGGCGCATGCCACCACACCTGGCTAATGTTTGTACTTTTAGTAGAGACTGGGTTTTGCCATGTTGGTCACACTGATCTGGAACTCCTGATCTCAGGTGATCTGCCTGCCTTGGCCTCCCAAAGTGCTGCTATTACAGGTGTAAGCCACCGTGCCCGGCCAAATTAGACATTTATCCAAGTGGGACATTCGACCAATCAGGCTGTTGGTGTCAGGTGATTTGGCTTGAAGTGAATTGACTCAGAGCCCTACCATCTGTGTATCTCTCTTTTACTTCAAAGGTTTCCCATGCGGTGCTGAGCTTTTTCTTGATTTACAAGTCTTTGATTTTTCAAAAGGCAGCAGTGTATTGCAGGTGCCCACAGAGCAGCAGAGTCTATTTTCCTTCTTTCTTTGAATCACCGTAACTTATTTTGATGGAAACTGATGCCTACAACTTTTAGGAACGTGCTCTTTCTCTTAGATGAGGCATGTCTTGAGCTGGATTCAGAGCAGCTTTCACACTAAGAACCTACCAGTTTGTTACTTTTAGTCCAAAGAAGTGGGCATCGCCTGAATGTCCTGGAAAGGCCCCCGCTGGACAGATATCCAGGGCCTGCTTCCTGGGCACTGTGGACTGTGCAGGGGCACAGCGCCCCACACTCTAAAGGGCCTCACACTTGGTTTAAATGCCCTGCATTTATCATCTTGAAATCCTTAACAATCTCATCTCTGAATATTTTTCCATCTGTAAGCAAAGTCAGATGGGACAATGCAGCCGTGGGCAGATTGGTACAGTATATGTGTCTGCTGTTGTTTGCTGCCCATTCACATATAGCATTCGCCATGCCCCTGAGCACCGAGTTCTGTTGGATCCATCACGTGTGTGCAAAGCAAGTCCACGGTAAGTGTGTGATGGCCGGGCGCAGTGGCTCACACTTATAATCCCAGCACTTTGGGAGGCCAAGGCGGATAGATCATTTAAGGCCAGGGGTTTGAGACCACCCTGACCAATATGGCAAAATCCCAGCTCTACTAAAAAAAAAATACAAAAAATTAGCCAGGCATGGTAGTACAGGCCTGTCATCCCAGCTACTCGGGAGGCTGAGGCATGAGAATTGCTTGAACTAGGGGAGGCGGAGGTTGCAGTGAGCCGAGATCGCCCCACTGCACTCCAGCCTGGAAGACAGAGAGCGAGACCTTTTTTTTTTTTTTTTTTTTTGAAGACCGAGTCTTGCTTTGTTGCCCAGGCTGGAGTAGTGCAGTGGCGCGATCTCGGCTCATAGCCACCTCCGCCTCCGGGGTTCAAGCGATTCTCCAGCCTCAGGCTACCAAGTAGCTGGGATTACAGGCGTGCGCCATCACGCCTGGCTAATTTTTTTGTATTTTTAGTAGAGACAAGGTTTCACCATATTGGCCAGGGTGGTCTCGAACTCTTGACCTCAGGTGATCTGCCTGCCTCAGCCTCCCAAAGTGTTGGGATTACAGGCGTGAGCCACTGTGCCAGGCCGACCCTGTCTTAAAACAAGGTTAAGTGTGTTATGTTTATGATTCTGTGGGGGGCCAGGATGGGGGTGGGGAAGGGCTGGCCTAATGGGAGGCCATGCTTTCTCTTCCAACCCAAACTTTCTGTAAACACAGAAAGAAGGCTGTGGACAAGGAGCCCTATCATGTCCTCCTTACTAATGCTACCTCCTGTGTCAGCCAACAGCTTACACTGACAATGATGACATAGAGAGACAGGAAAAGGTGGGGCAACCCACAGTGTCTTTTCCTTTCAGTCTTTTTTTTTTTTTTAAAGAATCGGGGTCTTGCTGTCACCCAGGCTGGAGTGCAGTGGTATGATCATAGTTCACTGCAGGCTTGAACTCCTGGGCTCGAGCCATCCTCTCACCTCAGCTTCCTGAGCAGATAGGACCACAGGCATGTGCCACCACTCCTGGCTAATAATGTTTAGTTTCTGTAGAGTCAAATTCCTGGGCTCAAGCGATCCTCCTGCCTCTGCCTCCTGAGTAGCTGGGACTTCTGGCGTTTCCTTTTAGTCCTTCTTGACTCATCAACAAGCTGAAGGCAGAGAGAGGTGGTAGAATGTGTGCAATCAATAAATGAAATAAACACAGTTGAGTGTGTTTCATGCAGGGTTCTCACTGTTCTGGTAAGAACAAAATACGTATGTATGAGCTATGAAACACAAATTCTATACTACAGTGATTACAGATACGAGTTAAGTGCTCTTATATTTGCATTTAAAATGGGTATTGCAGAAAACAAAGATGAATGGGTAAAAAATTCATGCTAATCATTTAAAATTTTAATTTGCCTTTACTGAAAATGACATTAAGTAACACATTTAAAAAGTCAAGAGAGAGACTGTTGTTAAAGAGAGAAAAAAGCTTTTAGAAGTCCCTTGGTGGCACTTTTTCTTGGTTTTTGAACTAAGGGCCCCTCCATTTTCATTTTGCACTGGGTCCTGGGGAAAGGAAAGCCTCCAGGCACAAGATACACTGCCTGCTCTGTCACTGCTAGGGCCACCCCCACAGCTTCCATTTCCCTTTCTTGGTTCTCTCGCTTCCTGCTTCGTCCTGACACTGTGAAGTGTCATTGCTCCCTCAGTTATAACATTCACCACACTTTATGTGGTTTGCTTTAATTTCTGACTGCTCTGCATGGGGGAGGGGCACTCTCTCTCCTTCTCCACTGTATATCCAGTGCTTAGCTCCTAGTAAGTGCTCAGTGACACTTACTTTTCATTTTTTACTATGAAAACTTCACATAGGCTGGGCGCAGTGGCTCATACCTGTAATCCCAGCACTTTGGGAGGCCGAGGTGGGCGGATCACCTGAGGTCAGGAGTTCGAGACCAGCTGGCCAAGATGGTGAAACCCCATCTCTACTAAAAATACAAAAATCAGCCAGGCGTGGTGGCGTATGCCTGTAGGCCCAGCTACTTGGGAGGCTGAGGCAGGAGAATCGTTTGAACCCGGGAGGCAGAGGTTGTGGTGAGCCGAGATCGCACCATTGTACTCCAGCCTGGGTGACAAGAGCGGAGCTCAGTCTCAAAAACCACTTCATGTAGACATAAAATAGAGAAAGTAATTTAATGAACCACTGCCCTGTCTGCATTATCCTGCCATTCTTATATTAACTCAATTATTTTATTTTTTAAATTTTTTGAGACAGGGTCTTGCTCTGTCGCTCAGGCTAGAGTGCAGTGGTGCAATCATGGCTTACTGCAGCCTCCATATCAATGGGCTCAGGTGATCCTCCCACCTCGGCTCCCCAAGTAGCTGGGACTCCAAGTGTGCACCACCATGCCCATCTAATTTTTTGTATTTTTGTAGAGACAGGGTCTCACCGTTTGTAGAGACAGGGCCTCTCATGCACCATGCATTGTGTGCATTGTTTTACCAGGTTGCCCAGGCTGGTCTCAAACTCCCGGTCTCAAGCAATCCTCCCGCCTCGGCCTCTTAAAGTGCTGGGATTGTAGGTGTGAACCACTGTGCCCGGCCTCAGTCATTTTAGTCTCTCTCTTTCAAGCTGTTGAATTTCCTCAAATGTCTTGCGATTCTTGGTGGACAATCCCATTTATAAATAAAGAACTACAGTACTTACTAGAGATTTCCTTTGCAGTTGTGTGCATTTGTTTACCCGAAGGCGTACCATCATCCCCTGAATGTGAGGGGGGATTTTCATCTTGGAGGAAGTGAGCAGGCCTGGTCATCGGCTTCCTCCTCAGGTGCATGAGCATGGAGCTGCTGGCTGCCTTGGGACAAGACATCTGCTGAAGGACATGGGACTCGGCTCCAGCTCTCCATAGGTCTGTCTCCCGACAGAACAGAGCTGGAGGTCCATTCGTTTCCTTGCCTGCTGCTCCAATATCCCTACCATGGGCCGTCCACAGCCAAATCTACCACTCTTTTTTTTTTTTTTCAGACGGAGTCTCAGTCTGTCACCCGGGCTGGAGTGCAATGGCGTGATCTTGGCTCACTGCAACCTCCGCCTCCCAGGTTCAAGCCATTCTCCTGCCTCAGCCTCCCGAGTAGCTGGGATTACAGGTATGTGCTCCCATGCCTGGCTAATTTTTGTATTTTTAGTAGAGATGGGGTTTCACCATGTTGGCGAGGCTGATCTCAAACTCCCGACCTCAGGTGAACCACCCGCCTTGGCCTCCCAAAGTGCTGGGATTACAGGTGTGAGTCACCGCGTCTGGCCATCTTCCGCTGTTTAGAGTAATTCTTAGGGTTCCCTCTGGGGCTGATGTTGTTCTGTGTCCACAGGACCTATAAATAGTCTTCCCTTTAATCCAGATTGCTGCCCATAGCACACTTGTTCTTCTCACTTACTGTCTGAGCTCAGAGCCACTCTGGGGCAGAGAGGAGGTGAATGTGTGTGCCTAGGTTGCCATGTTGAACAGGAACCACTAACAGATATTCTTGGCATGGTTAAATAATTGTTTTCTCTCCCACTTAAGGTCAGGGAGTGTCTCTTTTTCAATCTGTGGTCTCCAGGGCTCATCCAGAGCCTCATGGGTCTGGGTCTCCTTTTTTTTATTTTTTTCCCTGAGACGGAGTCTTGCTTTGTCACCTAGGCTGGAGTGCAGTGGTGCAGTCTCGGCTCACTGCAACCTCTACCTCCCGGGTTCAAGCAATTCTCCTGCCTCAGCCTCCTAGGTAGCTGGGATTACAGGCATACACCACCACGCCCAGCTGATTTTTGTATTTTTAGTAGAGATGGGGTTTCACCATCTTGGCCAGGCTGGTCTCGAACTCCTGACTTCAGGTGATCTGCCCACCTCGGCCTCCCAAAGTGCTGGGATTACAGGCGTGAGCCACTGCACCTGGCCTGGGTCTCCTTTTTATAGGGCCTCTCCTCTAAGCTGAGACACAGCATCAGCTAGTGAGGCTGCCTCCTCAGTGCTTGAGTTTCAGCTCCACAGGGCCCCTCCTCCAGGCACCTGCATTTTAATGATTCCAACCTGTTACCTGTCTTCCCCCAGCCCTAGGGGTGGCAGCTTCTGACAGTGTCCTCTCCACAATACCTTAGCCCTCTTTCACCCTTTCAGTTACCTTGTAAAAAAAAAAATGTATACTTAGTTAACAATTATGTATGTATTTATTGTAGAGACAGGGTCTCACTATGTTGCCCAGGCCGGTCTTGAATTCCTGAGCTCAAGCAATCCTCCCACCTCAGCCTCCCAAAGTGCTAGGATTACAGGCGTGAGCCACTGCATCCAACCCTAGTTAACAATTATTTATGTTAAATTTTCTGTTCCAATAACTGCTGTGGCTTCTGTCTCCTGACTTGACCCTGATGGACATGACTGCCTAAGAAATGATACATACCTGGGCTAGGCAGAGTGGCTCACGCCTGTAATCCCACACTTTGGGAGGCCAAGGCAGGCAGATTGCTGGAGTTCAGGAATTCAAGTCCAACCTGGGCAACATGGCAAATCCTGTCTCTAAATTTTTCTAAAAAAATTAAAAAAAAATTTTAAATTAGCTGGGCCTGGTGGTCCCTCCTGTAATCCCAGCTACACAGGAGGCTGAGGTGGGAGGACCACTTGAGCCCAGGAAGTCGAGGCTGCAGTGAGCCGTGATCACACTATTGCTCTCTAGTGTGGGTGACAGAGTGAGACCCTGTCTCAAAATAAATAAATAAAATAAAATAAAGAAATGATACATGCTGGGCACAGTGGTTCATGCCTATAATCCCAGCACTTCAGGAGGCAGAGGCAGGTGGATCACCTGAGGTTAGGGGTTCAAGACCAGCCTGACCGACATGGTGAAACCCCGTCTCTACTAAAATACAAAAATTAGCTGTGCGTGGTGGTGGGCGCCTGTAATCTCAGCTACTCGGGAGGCTGAGGCAGGAGAATCGCTTGAACCCAGGAAGCAGAGGTTGCCGTAAGTTGAGATCGCACCATTGCACTCCAGCGTGGGCAATAAGAGCGAAACTCCGTCTCAAAAAATAAAAGAAAAGAAAAGAAAAAGAAAAAAGAAAAAGAAATGATACACTACGTATATCAATGAAAGGACAGATGGCCTGGCCCAGGGAGTTTATGAAGACTGACAAGCTAATAGCTGTCATGCTACTCAGAACCCAAGGAAGTTTCATTCTATGCAAAAAATAAATAAAAATAAAGAATTTAAAATAATAGTCTATTGATACATAGAGGACTGAAATTTTTTTTAAAATACAGACTTTGAAATCAGTCATATGTAGGTTTGAATCCAGGCTCTGCCACTTACCCACCAGGTGGCCTTGGACAAATTACTGAACTTCCCTGAACCTCCGTTTCCACATGTGTATCATATAACAGGGGTTGAACAGCTTCCTTGTGGGGCCGTTGTGAGAAGAAAATGCATAAAGTATGTAAAGTGCCTGCCCAGAGTGAAAGCTCAATAAAGGGTAGTGGACCTAGAATGTAGGCGGTGTTAAGAGGATGAGACCAGAGATCATAAGACCTGAGTTAAAGTTCTGAGCCTGCAACTGACTAGCCAGTGACATCCTCTCTGTGGCCCTCCCTCTCCTTACACCTATACCAAGACCAAGCGTGGCTCTACAATGCTGGTCTCATCTTACCGGCTTGCAGCAAAATAGGCAAATAATGACAATGTCTGACATTTTTCATAAAGCTAAATTATTCAGTTTAAAGGATTATTATCTGAGATTTTGTTCTTCTTACTGTTTTGGTGTTAATGTCTTTTTTAAATGAAATGACAGGATAGTAGGGTATTTTTTTTTCCTTCCTATGTTCTGATTTGACAAAATAAGTTTGAAGAAGAGCAAGGAGCTGAGACTTGCCCAAACAGATTGGAAACATATTGGAAAGCCTTGATAATTGGAACAGTGTTACTGGTGAATGTATAGGCAGACCACTGGAACAGAATGGCAAGTCCCAAAACTATAGATATTTAGTGTATTATAGAAGTGGCATCCAATTCTTCAGGGCAAATTGGACTATTCCATAAATGGTATTGGCATAGCTTGGTAGCTATCTCAGCAGAATAAAGTTGGATCCATACCTTGAACTGTGCACCAGAATAAACTCCAATGGCTTTCAGATGTAAACACACAACCAGACTATTGTCTAGTAAGTCCAACATAAAAAAAAAAAAACTAAAAAGACTCAAAGATGACGTGGGGAATTCTTTTATAATCTTGGAGTAAGTTAGACCTTTCAAACTATGTTTCAAAATCCAGAAGCTATAAAAGAAAAGACACTCGATTGTGTAATACAAATATTTATATAAGTAAATAACATATTTATATAGACATAACTATATGTAAAACAAAAAACACAGAAGAAAAAGTCTCTTTCATAGTAAAAATAAATACTAGAAGCAAATCAAAAGGCAAGTAACAAACCGGGGGGAAATAATTGTAGGTGTTATCACAGAGAAAAGGTTAATTGATACCAAAGAGCACTTTCAAATAAATAAGAAACCAAAAGAACCATCGAATGGTGAGCAAAGCCTATGGACAATTTACAAAAAAAAAAAAAAACAAATAGTGGCTGGGCGTGGTAGCTTATGCCTGTAATCCCAGCACTTTGGGAGGCCGGGGCGGGTGGATCATCTGAGGTCAGGAGTTTGAGACCAGCCTGACCAACATAGTGAAACCCCATCTCTACTAAAAATACAAAAATTAGCCAGGTATAGTGGCACACACCTGAAATCCCAGCTACTTGGGAGGCTGAGGCAGGAGAATCGCCTGAACCCGGGAGGCGGAGGTTGCAGTGAACCGAGATCACACAATTGTACTCCAGCCTGGGCAACAAGAGCAAAACTCTGTCTCGGAAAAAAAAAAAAAAAAAAGTACATGAACATATGCAAAGATGCTTAGTCTCATTCCTACAAAGAGACATTTGTGACTTGACAATTTTGATAGAAGATATTTTCATAATTATAAGACAATATAAGAGATTGCTATCTAGTTTCCTGAATCATCCCAGGAGACCTACACAGCTGAGCTTTGTAAGATCAGAGTGTAGGGACAACCGCATAACTGTATTTCTGACGCTATTGTTTAAAAGACAAACAGGAGAGTTAAAGATAGGGCTTTCTGGTTTTTTTTGCGTCTTTTAACTTCTTAAAAAGTAATCCTGAGAATTAAGTGCATCAAAGTTTCTAGAGTGCCTCACATTTCAGTACAAGCTGGAGAAGGCAGAAAGCAATGCTCTCACTGCCATGTGAATCTTCTCTCCTTACACCTGGGCAGCTTTCACAGCACTATGCTCCTACCTGAATACCTTATGGCATCACAATGGGAAAATGTTTGTTTCTTGGCTTGCATTTGCTTTATATTTATAATTTTAATATTCTGCTTGGTGCATTTTGACATTTAATAAGGTCATGACAGAACATGGTGCTGCTGCACCAAACATCGTCTTTTTCTTAAGCAAGCCTTGGACTTTGTTTCCTTTTTTATTGTTTGTTTGAACAAAGAAAGCTGATTTTGTAGAGAAACTAATAAGAAACCTATTAAAGAGAACAAGATTAGCTACAGAGTTAGTAGCCTTTTGCCAATCTCTATTTAAAAATTTTTATTTCATGAAACCAAAAAGTAAAATAAAAACTGAATAAACAAAAAAATTAATGAGAACAAGATTAACGACATAACCTTTTGCCAATCTCAATCTAAATATTTTATTTCATAAAACCAGAAAGTAAAAACTAATAAAAATAACCACTGAATAAGCAGCAAAAAATTAATGAGAACAAGATTAACTATAAACAGTAACTCTTTGTCAATCTCTGTTTTAAAATTGTACTGTTTCATGAAATAAAGTCTGAGAGTTGTGGATGATTCTGAAATTCCCTCCAGGTCTCTGAAAGGCTGAATTTTTTTTTTTTTTTTTTTTTTTTTGAGATGGAGTCTCACTCTGTGGCCAGGCTGGAGTGCAATGGCACAGTCTTGGCTCACTGCAACCTCTGCCTCCTGGGTTCAAGCGATTCTCCTGCCTCAGCCTCCCAAGCAGCTGGGACTACAGGCGTGCACCACCACGCCCAGCTAATCTTTGTATATTTATTAGAGACGGGGTTTCACCATGTTGGCCAGGATGGTCTTGATCTCTTGATCTTGTGATCTGTCTGCCTCAGCCTCCCAAAGTGCTGGGATTACAGGCGTGAGCCACCGCACCTGGCCGGTAGACTGAATTTTATTCCCTCATCTGGTTTGCAGGTGGGACCATTGCAAACGTGGTCCCCAGAGACTCAGCTAATGAGCTTCTGTCCTTCAAGTCTGCACCTTCCTTTGAAACTGGGCCAAAGGTGATGTCCTAACCCATGGCAGACCTTACTCCCATTAAAATCCTGTTTGCCCACACCAGGAGAGGCAGCACAGTGAGGGAAGAGCTCAGGTTTTGGAGTCAGGCAGTCCTGGGCTCAAATACTGGCTCTGCTGTTCACCAGCTATGAGACCTGAGTCTCAATTTCTTTTCTTTTTGAGATAGGGTCTTGCTCTGTTGCCCAGGCTGGAATGCAGAGGTGCAATCATGGCTCACTGCAGCCTCAGTCTCCTGGGCTCAAGCAATCTTTTCACCTCAGCCTCCTGAGTAGCTGGGACTACTGGCACACACCACCATGCCTGCTAATTTTTATTTTAATTTTTAATTTTTTTTTTAGTAGAGATGGGGTCTTGCTATGTTGTGCAGGCTGGTCTCAAATTGCTGAGCTCAAGTGATCCTCCTACCTTGGCCTCCCAAAGTGGTGGCATTACAGGCATAAGCCACCATGCCCAGTCAGTCTCAGTTTCTTCATCTGTAAAAGGATATGATTAAAATTTACCTCATGGAACTTTTATAAAGGAGAAATGAGATATAAATATGAGGTCTTAATATATCATGTGGCATACAGTAAGTGCTTAATATATGAGTATGTATATATGACTCTGTATTTTATTTTTGTGACTGTACAAATAAATATATAGGTACCATACTACACCTGCCTTTGCAAATTGGAAACTTGGAATGAAGAGACATATGTGCTTAGAAATACTTAAGATCAAAAGTGTTCATTATATAATTTAAAAAAGAATAAAGAGAAAAAAACCCCATTGTTTCAATATAATACAATGCCTTGATGGGATGCTCAATATAGTTCTAAGACTTTACATCTATTAACCCATCCAATCCTAAAACAATCCTTAATAATGCTGTTATTCCTGTTTCACAGATGAAGCACAGACAGGTTAAGTAACCTGCCCAATGCTACACAGCTAACAGGTGAGAGAGGAATCAAATCCAAGCAGTGTAGACAGAGAGTCTGTGCTTTTTTTTTTTTTTTTTTTGAGATGGAGTTTCACTCTTGTTCCCTCTTGTTGCCCAGGCTGGAGTGCAATGGTGCAATCTTGGCTCACCGCAACCTCCACCTCCCAGGTTCAAGGGACTCTCCTTGCCTCAGCCTCCCGAGTAGCTGGGATTACAGGCACGTGCCACCATGCCTGGCCAATTTTATATTTTTAGCAGAGACGGGGTTTCTCCATGTTGGTCAGGATGGTCTCAAACTCCTGACCTCAGGTGGTCTGCCTGCCTCAGCCTCCCAAAGTGTTGGGATTACAGGCATGAGCCACCGTGCCTGGCCAAGAGTCTGTGCTTTTAACCACGGTGAAGGTTGCAGGGGAAGCTCAAGTGAGCCTCAGCTGCAATAATGGGCATCTCTAGATCTGTACTGTTAATATACGAACTATATGGAAATGTAATTAGATGAAATTAAACATTCAGTTCCTTGGTTGCACTAGCCACATTTAAAGTGTTCAACAGCCACCTGTGGAGAGTGGCTACCATGTTGGGCAGCATAGACATAGAACACTTCCATCATCGCAGAAAGTTCTACTAGACAGTACTGTTCTAGATAATTCTAGGAAGTATTAGCCAAACATAAGACACGAACTCAGCTGTCACTGCATGGATTTTTAATTAAATACCACTTCATAATGTTATTTGCACCTAGTACTTTTTTTTTTTTAAATAAGACATGCCATAAGTCGTGAAGTTAACAAAATATAAGCATCCGCACAGAATATATTCTAAGGTGACTTCATTTACACCGCTTCTCAGAGAAACACACAAGTAACCTTTTGTCTGCCTATCAGCCAGTGTTGAAACAGCTTTGGAATTCACATGGAAGGCTGCCGGGCTGGTTCCCCAACACTAGCCTGATGGAGTCCTGTATCCGCACCGTGCCGTCAAACTGGCTGGTTTCCACTAGAAAAGCAATGGAGAGTCAGCTCTCCCTTCTTTACCCAGCGTTCAACTCCACACTGCAAAAACTGCATAACCTGAACCCTGCTGTGATGGCAACTGAAGTTTAAACCCAAGTTTGGTGACCTTGCTTTAGGTACCTGGGCTGCTCAAAAGGAGACCGAGGTGTGATATTTAACATTGCTTGCAACATTCAAGAGGGCTTGGGGACGTCAGAGCCATGAGTAACAATAACGAACCAGGGCTATGAGTGGAATCCTGATGTACCCCTTCCCCATCTTAACAGCCAGTGCTGCGTATGGCCATCAGCAGACAGTCCATTTATACCACTGGACAAAGATTGGGAGGAACCAGCCCAAGACAGATGATGGCTCCACACCCACTGTGCTTCCTGACTACTCAAGTGACCTACGTGTGGCTTCCAGTCAGGAAACTACCATTTAACTTTCTGCTCAGCCCTTTCATGGCTCAGGTTGGTGGGATGATGCCACTGCTCCAAACCCGAAGGCAAGGGAGCTTCCCAGGCCTCAGCAGCAGTTCCTGGGTGGCACTGTCCCCATGATCTGAAGCAGACATGAAATTACAATACGCTTTTATTCACTCATCTCAAGAAAGCTGGCTGGCCCAAGCCTAAAAGGCCCATACCAAAAAAAAAAAAAAAAAAGGGAAGGAAGGGGGCAGAGTAAGTTTGGGAGCATATATATGCCCAAATTATTAATGATCACCCGGGTTTGACACATCTAAATAGCCTCCCTGCTCACCTTCTGTTTCTCCCTCCTGCCTCCACTCCCAGCTTTAGAAAAATCATTTGGGAAAGGAGAAATATATAAATAGCAGTGAAACCTGATTTTAATTTCTGCTTTTTGTTTTTTGTTCTTGCAGGCTCGGAGAAGGTAACTTATTCCCCCTTCTGATTCTTCCTCCACACTGAACAAGCCCTCCTTTTCAATCAGTGCTGGTCCTGCCCTTCTCTTCCTCATGAACCATCAGTGGCTCCCACGTCCTCTTGGATACACTTTAAACTCCTTAGCCAGGTATTCAAGACCCTCCATGATTCGGCCTCCACTGCTTATCTTTTTTTTTTTTTTTTTTTTGAGCCATGGTCTCATTGTCACCCAGGCTGGAGTGCAGTAGCATGATCATGGCTCACTGTAGCCTTGGCTCTCTGGGCTCTAGCGATCCTCCCACCTCAGCCTCCTGAGTAGCTAGGATCACAGGCATGCACCACCACACCCAGCTAATTTATTTATTTTTAATTTTTAGCAGAGATGAGGTCTTGCTATGTTGCCCAGGCTGATATAAAACTCCTGGGCTCAAGTGATCCTCCAGCCTTGGCCTCCCAAAG
This sequence comes from Homo sapiens, assembly GCF_000001405.40. NCBI lineage: Eukaryota > Metazoa > Chordata > Mammalia > Primates > Hominidae > Homo > Homo sapiens. The sequence continues at coordinate 24,471,327 of NC_000001.11, read as the reverse complement.
TGCTGGGATTGCAGGCATGAGCCACTGTGCCCAGCTTCCACTACTTAGCTTTGAGACTCATCTCCCACCACCTTCCCTGGCTTTCCTTTCTTTGCCCAGCTCCTCTTAGCTCTGTGCCTTTGCAAATGCTGGCCCCTCTGCCTCGGGGGTGATCACCCTATTTTATATGCTTTATACAAATCTTAGATTTGCCACCCATCTATGAGTGGGGCCAAAATCATCTCCACTTCTGAATACCCCTTTGGGCTCAGGGTCCGACCTTTAGCAGGGTCTCCATGACGGTCATTTTCTGTGGCCCACGACCGCACTTCACACCCATCAGAGATTCCTGGGTATTTGTGCCTCCCTCTGCTGGCCTGGAGGGCAGGAACTATGTCTTATTTTGTAGCCTGGGTCTTCCAAATGCTTAGCACACAGTAAATGCCTTATAAATATTGTTGAATTGATACCCATCCTAAGGGAAAGGGGCCCACTGCCCATTGCCGCCTTAGGCAGTTAAGACCACACAATACAGAAGTGGTTAAGACGCAATACAGAAGTGGTTATCACAGACAACAGATGTCAGTTTTTGGAGTCAAGATACTAAATCAGTATTAAGCACAATCCATAAAGATAAGTGATCTATCACACTGGTCTATTAACACTGTTATCATGCCTATTAAAGGCTGTCTAGGGAAGTGGTGAGTGTAGCTCTAAGTAGTATTCATTGGATGGAGAAATGCCACAGATCCTATGGGGAGTATTTAACCTTCCAAAGGAACCCTAGGGAGGAAATTTTCTAGCAAGACTGCATGGGGCCCTGGGGGTTTTAGCAGAACATCTTTGTAAATTCTTAGGCTTTCCAGATGTGAAATCTCGGGATTGAAGCATCGCATCAGAATCACTGGTGGTACCAGTTAAGAATGCAGACCCGTGGGCCCCACTCCAGTCCCACTTAACAGTGTCTGCAGTTGGGGTGCAGGAATCTGCATTTTACATATGCTTCTAGGGGATCCTTATGCCCATTAAAGTTTGCAAACCTTTATCCGCCCCTCTCAAAAGTATACCATCAGTCTAGGGGAAGACAGTCACATATGCGGCCAGGAAGAAAGCAACAGCCCTGTTTTGGAGAATGCTTGCTTCTCCCAGACATATATGCATGGGGATGAGGACCCAGAGAGTCTCTATTGACTTCAAGGAAATTAACCAGTAACTCAAGCTTGGCTTGTGGCTCTGTAATGGAGAGACGGAGGACAGGTGAAGAGGCTGTCTCTGAAATGAGCATCCCCATCTTTCCAGGGGGCACTGGTATGCAGGAAAAAAATAACACATAAAATGGCCAGATTTTCTACCTATCCTTTTTTAAGTGGTGCAATCACCTTTTGTAAGAGTAAGGGGAACTTTTCTTCCTTAATGGGCTAAAGCATCATCACCCTCTCCTATCCTCCATATTCTTCCCCTTCTCTTAACTTCCTAATTCCTTTGGTGGAGGAGGTGGACAAACAAGTAGTCCTCACAGGACCAAAACCAAGTTTCGTTTTCAGAGTAGATCCAATTTGAACATATCAAGCACATCTTCCCTAGAAGGGCACAGATGACTGGAAGGCAGATGTACATTTCTGAAAACACAAATGTCAGAACCTTCCACCCAGGGTTGGCCCAGCCTGCCATGTGAAGGCAACACGAGTGCTATCACAGATGCGGCATCAGGAGTGTCAGGGTGAGATCAGGCATGCACATGAGGTGGAGGAAGACGAGATTTAGAGATGTCCAGCCTTTCGCTGGATTTGAGAATTAACAGCAGACTCTCTGTCTTGCCTTAGCTCTGAAGGATACAGCATCCTTTGGTCACTGTCAGAGGAAGCTCAGTTACCATCCTCAAGGATGGTAGAAAGGCTTTCCAAATCCCCCTGGGCTAATCCAGGCAGAGGCTGGATTCTATCCCGTCCACCTGGAATAATGCTTCCATCCCCCAACCCTCATCATTTGAAATTTCCAAGACCAAGATAACGCATCCTTTCCCAGAGACAAAGGCTTTTTGAGATCATCATCCATAGAGTTCTCAGTTAGAAACAAAATGAGACTTGAAAGGCAAGTTTTAGGATTCAGGGTTGAACCACTGTCAGCCTGGAGGGGACAGTTATAAATAGAGGGAGGCGAGTCTCATTCCTTCTTGGTGTGCTCTAGGACTCGGTAGGGGACCCCAGAGGCACTTCTGGAGCCGTGCTCTTCTTGCATGACTGGCAGGGTGGCAGGAGCGTAGATCTCAGAAATGTTGTCATTGTTTTCCAGAGCCCCATAGGAAAAAGAAGCTTTAAGTTCAGGCTGGACAGTCATCCCTTTATCGTGCATGTTCTGCATACCTGAAATGAAATCCATTTTCTCCAAATCATTACGCGGTAAGGGGGCCAAGGAGGCCGCATCTCCCTCTATCCCGCCACAGACTAATTATAGTGCTCAGCAGCTAATCATGTGCATTGTCAATTTCCTGAATGCTTTAGATTTAAAAGAGAACACCCACAAATATACACTGGAACTATTACGGTTGCTAAGCAACAAGGGATGAATCTTCAGGAAATATGCACACAGACCAGCTGCTGTCAGGAGGAACCCTCAGTTGGCCTAAAGTGAGGTGGGAATGTCGGTGTGGGCCCCAGGTGGAATGGAACTAGCACTGTGCTTTGAACGTGGTAGATGCCAATGCTTCACTGCTGAATTAAATCAGGAACCAGGAAACTTTGTTACACTGTCGAGGAAAGAGGGTAATTTTTGTGTCATGGGCACCTGAAGGTGACAGATGCATCCTGATGCCAGAGGGAGCATCTTGGACTTTAACTTTAAATTCCCTGGTCCACTTATAGGGGAAGGTGAGATTTGCTTATTATTACTTCTGGGTACTTTGACAAGGGACTCCTACTTACATTTGAGGGCAAAGCCTTTAATCTTTAATTCCTTTACCTTTGTCCTACAATTCCCCTAGTCAGGTCAGGAGGGACGCAGTTTGTTTGTTTATTTATTTATTTATTTATTTATTGAGACAGGGTCTTGCTCTGTCGCCCAGGCTGGAGTGCAGTGGAGCGATCTTGGCTCACTGCAGCCTCAACCTCTGGGGCTCCAGTGATCCTCCCACATCAGCCTCCTGAGTGGCTGGTACTACAGGTGCATGCCACCATGCCTGGCTAATTTTTTGTGGGTTTTTTTGAGGGGGAGAGATGGGGTTTCAGCATGTTGCCCAGGCTGGTCTCAAACTTCTGGGCTGAATTGATCCACCTGCCCCACCTCCCAAAGTGTTGGGATTACAGGTGTGAGCCATTTCGCCAGGCCGATTACTTTTGAGGCCAACTTTTCCTGCCAGGGAATTAAGACTTCAGATTCTGCCTTCAGGCCGAGTCATAAGAAATTGAATGCAATGAAACTATGATGATAATAACAGCTGACATCTAACTGTTTAATATGCCCTGGGCACTGGGCTAAAGCACTTTCTTTTTTGAGGTAGAGTCTATGTTTTCCAGGCTAGTCTTGAATACCTGGGGCTCAAATGATCCTCCTGCCTCAGTCACCCAAGTAGCTGGGATTACAGGTGTGAGCTACAACACCTGACTGGGCTAAGCACTTTAAATAGTAACAGTAACAACAATAGCAATGACAATGGCTTATGTGTATTGAGTATTTAATTGGTGGCAGATACTGTTCCAAATAGTTATAAAGTTCTATCTCATTTGATCCTCAGGATGACTAATAACGAAAATGAAGCAGCAGAAATGAAGCATGTAATTTGCCTGGGATCACACAGCTAGTAAGAGGCAGTGCCAGGGTCCAAACTCGGGGGTTTCAACTTGGAAGTCCATACTTTTTATTTATTTATTTTTTTTGAGACGGAGTCTCACTCTGTCCACCCAGACCCAGGCTGGAGTGCAGTGGCGTGATCTCAGCTCACTGCAAGCTCCACCTCCTGGGTTCACACCATTCTCCTGCCTGAGCCTCCCGAGTAGCTAGGACTACAGGCACCCGCCACCACGCACAGCTAATTTTTTTTTTTTTGTATTTTTAGTAAAGACGGGGTTTCACCGTGTTAGCCAGGATGGTCTCGATCTCCTGACCTTGTGATCTGCCCGCCTCGGCCTCCCAAAATGCTGGGATTACAGGCGTGAGCCACCGTGCCTGGCCGGAAGTCCATACTCTTAACTGAATGCTGTGTGGCTTCCCTATATACCTGCACTTAATCCCTAAACAATCCTATGACAGAGATGAACTACTGTCCTCATTTTCTGGATAAGAAGAGATTCAGAGAGGTGAAGTAACTTGCCCAAGGTCACACAGCTAATGAGAGACCAAGGTGGGATCTGCCACCAGAGACCAAGGTGGGATCTGCAGTGCTCTTACCCACTCTGCAAATGGCCTGGGAAGACCCAGTCTGTGAAAGGCCCTTTGGCTCCCTATTGCATAAGACTTAACTGATGGTTCTTTGAAGGGCACAGTTTAAGAGTCTGTGCTTTGGATTTTGGGGGAGGGCAGAAGAGGGAAGTGGAAGAGCTGAGGAGGTGCCCGTTCTCAGGGAAGAGAGCTGGCTTAACAGGCCTGGATTACCTTTTGGATTTTGTCAATGCCCTCCAGCCAGAGACCAACAGGAATACACCTAAAGTCTAACAAATATGGGTTTATTGACACATTGCAATGAGAGAGGTGTACACGGCGGGGAACCACGAACCATGTAAGAGGGGGTTAGAAAGGAGTTATTGTGGGGTTGGCTTGGACTAGGTGATTTTTGGGGAGGGTTCAAGGAAGTGAGGCTTTGCTTTGGGTTGGATGCTGTCAGGAAGCAGGGCTAATTCCATAATTGGAGATCTTAGCTTTTACCTAGAAGATGCCTAGATTGAAGCTAAAGCTGTGCCTGGTAAAGAAGCGGCAGTCTCTCACATTAGCAAGGTCAGAGGGATGTTTGGTGTTTTTCATGATTTGGACAATGTCCATTTTTTGTCTATGTTTAGTCAGGCTAGCAGAGTAGTCCTGTTTGTGTTCTTTTATTTATTTATTTATTTTTAATTTTAGGAAAAAAACCCTTTTCTTCCCATTCCACCTGCTTGTGTCCTGATCCATCACAGCTGCAGAGTGGCCTTGTCTGCTGCTGATGTTCTGTGAAATTGTTTCTGTTCCACAGGAAAGGGCCAAGGCCTGGCTGAGAGTGCCAGGCTAGTTCCTGGAGGTCAGGGGCTGTTTCTCGATCTCATTTTTAAGAAGTCTTTCAGGTGCTTGAATTACTCAAAGGCTCTCCAAATTGTGATGTGGTAAATTTCTGGAATTTGAATACCTCTTGAACAGCAGTTGTCTGTTGTGAAGATATGAATCTAGGTAGACAAAAGGCAAGATCCTAATGCTGACCAGGGAAACCAAGTGGCTGGAAAAGCACCTCTGTTTAGACTGAGACTGTTCAGCAGTTTTATTCTGCATGTTCTACCTGCCACCAGGTCAAACAAGTGTGTGAAACTTCCAAAGGTTTTTAAAGCAAAAGGGAAGTGAAACCAAATATAACCAGGCATCTACCATGTCCCAGACACCGTGCAAGAGGCCTTTACACATATGACCACTAGCCTGAAAGAAGGAATCCCAGTTACAAGTGAGGATGAGAGGCCTTGGGAGGTCACACAGCAGGAAGGTGGTAGAGTTGGGATTTGAATCCAGGTCATCTGAACTCCAAGCCCACGCTCTTCACAGTACAGAACACCTACAATCGGAAGTGTCCTGACAAGCCACTGCAAGGGCAGGGTCTCCCTGATTCAACAGCTGACTTCCCACTGGTCACAAGGTACAAAGAAAAAGCTGAGAGCCACACCCACAAACATACCACAGAATGTTGATATCTAAGACTACCTTAGGTTACCTTCTATTTTCCACCAGAAAATACATCTATATATATATATATATACACACACAAATACTGATATTGATATATACACATAGTTTGTAAACACACAAACACACATATACATACACATACTTGCACACACAGAGTTGACACCTCACCTATCTGGAATTCAGCTATCCAGCGCCCTCATCTATCCGGAACACAGCCGAGAAACAAGGAAGTTAGCAAAAAAGGAATCTGAGCAGCCAGATTAGACGTTTAAAAAGTTCATGCACCAAAGCTCATGCACTTAACTCCTAGGAGAAATCTTAGGCCCCCAACTCAGAGCTCCTTCATTTTGATTTTATTTGTAATCTGAACAAGCTGGGTTGAAGGAGCACATTGACATTGAGTTGCTATACTCAGGCAGGCTGGCTACAGCAAGAAGGACAGACAACAGCTTAATAACGAGAGAGGAGGAACTAATATAAAAAGTAGACACATAAACCCTGGGGCCATTTAATGTAGGGGCACACCAGTCAACCCTGAGAACACACCTGCATCACAGCGTTACAGCATGAAAACCTCTCGAGTAAGCAGTCCTCTAGACCATCAGTGTGTTTATATTTTGTTCATGAGATTGTGTTAATGAAGGACAGGAGATTATGTTTTAGAGAGAGTTCCATCTTGTATAAATAAAATTAAAATGTTGAGTTAAGTGTGAAAGCTAATGGTCACCAGCAACCTACAGAGTTTAGGTCAGCAAATCTGAGGTTGGTCCAATGTCTTAACTTTTCTAATCCGAATTCCTTTAGGCTAGACAGGCACTCTCCAGTCCTCCGCAGGTCCCACCACTCCCTGCTGGGCAGTATTGGGCTGATTCACATGCTTATGTTACTGTCAGGGCTTACAGACATTTAAATTTGTGTTTCTCGGTATGAATCCTTAGCTCGCTAGGAAATTAGGCTTTCCAGAATGATGCACTCCCTTGTGGCATCCAGGGAGTGAGATTATAATATTTTAATTTCATTCCACTCATTCTCCTTCCCCTTTCTGATCATTTCATTCCAACTAGATGAATGGATTTTTCCATTTGCAGGCATGAAGCCTGGGGCTGCAGATCCTAATTATATTGAGTATGAATCAGAATTTTATTTAAAAGATCCCCAAATAGACACAGAACTGGCAAGATGTGCTCAAAACCAACCGAGGTGCCTCAGCCATTGCCTACCCTTTTGCACAAAATTAAAAAGAAAAGAAAAAAGACAGTGAGAGAACAGTCACACGATAAAGGCACAGCACAGCAGTTGGTTGTCTCTTTTTAAACAGGAAGTAGCAGTCATTCTATATGGATGTTCAGCTAGACCCACGGGGCTTTAACCTTACCTGGCATGGCATCCATGGAAATATAGGGCTCAAATGGAATGGGCTTCTTCCTGTTACGCGTGATTAAGAAGACGCCCAAGAATGCAATGAGGCACCTGCGGAATGGAGATAAGATAGGAAGAGAAATAAGGCCAGGAGCAAGGTCGGGCAGGCACACTTTCAGGCTCAGGTGATGGAAAGAGGTAAAAAGGCTTGCAGGCTGCGGAGGAGGGCTCACCGCCCAAGGAGCCCTGAGAGGCTGCCAGCCTCTCAGGGGATCAGCAGGGGCAGATGCAAGTTGAATAACAATAGCTGGAGTGGCCTCACATGCCCTACACTCTCCATGAGCTGTAATCAGAATAAATTAGACTCTCCTGGGCGAGCTTCTCATGGCTCTTCACTTCCATTCAATCAGGATTCTCGGAAGCTTGCCTTTTAAAACATTTTCTTAAATTGAAGTCATTCATTTCAATCATTACTGAAGTATAGATAGTAAAAATCAATAAAAATTGGAGAGTCCCTGTACTCCTGGTCTCACTCGGCCAGGTAGGTGTATAGCCTTCCAGGTTATTTTTTGTTTTGTTTTTTCCCTTTTTCCTATAGCTTACATAAACAAGCATACTTTCTAAACATTAAGGTATAATTTATAAGCAGCAAAATGCACAAACCCTAGATGTCTAGCTGAATGAATTTTACTTGGGGAATCATCAACCAGTTCAAGACAGAAAATACGTCCATCCCCCTCAGAAAGTTTTCCTGGGCCCCTTTCCATTTCATGCCAGCCCTTCCCCAGAGGTAACTACTATCTTGACTTCTCTCACCATGGATGAAATTAGTCTGTTCTTTAATTCATGTAAGTTAAATCATACAATATGTACTCTTTTATGTCTGGTTTCTTTCATTTGATAAAATGTTAAGATTCATCTTCCTTTTTTATTTTTTTGATTTTTTTTTGAGATGGAGTCTCGCTCTGTTGCCCAGGCTGGAGTCAAGTGGCAGGATCTCGGCTCACTGCAACCTCCACCTCCCAGGTTCAAGCGATCCTCCTGCCTCAGCCCCCCAGTACCTGGGATTACAGGCACGTGCCAGCATGCCAGGCTAATTTTTGTATTTTTAGTACAAAATTTTGTATTTTGTATTTTTAGTATTTTGTATTTTAGTATTTTTAGTATTTTTGTATTTTGTAATTTTGTATTTTTAGTAGAGATGGGGTTTTGCCATGTTGGCAAACCACCAGGCTGGTCTCGAACTCCTGATCTCAGGTGATCCACCCGCCTCAGCCTCCCAAAGTGCTGGGATTACAAGCATGAGCCACCATGCTTGGTCAAGATTCATCTTCTTTATTGTATGTATTAGTAGTTCATTATTTTTTTTCGAGACTGAGTCTTGCTCTGTCGCCCAGGCTGGAGTGCAGTGCTGTGATCTTGGCTCACTGCAACCTCTGCCGCTCGGGTTCAATCCATTATACTGCCTCAGCCTCCCGAGTAGCTGGGATTACAGGTGCAAGCCACCACGCCTGGCTAATTTTTGTATTTTTAGTAGAGACAGGGTTTTGCCACTGTGGTCAGGCTGGTCTCGAACTCCTGACCTCAAGTGATCCTCCCGCCTTGGCCTGCTAAAGTGCTGGGATTACAGGCGTGAGCCACTGTACCTGGCTTATAGCTCATTATTTTAATTGTTGCGTAGAACCCATTGTCTGAATATACTATGTTTTTCCTACTCTCCTGTTGGTAGACATTTGGGTTGTTTCCAATTTAGACCTATGATGAATAAAGCTACTATATAAATACTCATGTGCGAGTCATTTTGTCAACAGATGCTGATATGGTTTGGCTGTTTCCCCACCCAAATCTCATCTTGAATTGTAGTTCCCACAATCCCCATGTGTCATGGGAGGGACCTGCTGGGAGGTAACTGAATCATGGGAGCAGTTACCCCCATGCTGTTCTCATGATAGTGAGTGAGTTCTCACGAGATCTGATGGCTTTATAAGGGGCTTTTCCCCCTTTGCTTGGCACTTCTCTCCTTCCTGCTGCCATGTGAAGAAGGACGTGTTTGCTTCCCCTTCTGCAATGACTGTAAGTTTCCTGAGGCCTCCCCAGCCATGCTGAACTGTGAGTCAATTAAATCTCTTTCCTTTATAAATTACCCAGTCTCAGGTATGTCTTTATTAGCAACATGAGAATGGACTAATACAGATGTACTCTTTCTTTTGGGTAAAGAATCTAGAGGTGAAATTGCTGGATTATAGGGTAAGGCCACTTTTTTTTTTTTTTGAGACAGACTTATGCTCTCATTGTCCAGGCATGCAATGGCATGATCTCAGCTCACTGCAACCTCCACCTCCCAGGTTCAAGTGATTCTCCTGCCTCAGCCTCCCGAGTAGCTGGGATTACAGGTGCCTGCCACCATGCCTGGCTAATTTTTTTGTATTTTTAGTACAGACGGGGTTTCAGCACGTTGGCCAGGCTAGACTCAAACTCCTGACCTCAGGTGATCCACCTGCCTCAGCCTCCCAAAGTGCTGGAATTATAGGCACGAGCCACTGCACCCGGCCAAGGCCAAATTTTTAAAAGTTTGTGATTTTTTTTTTTTTTTTGAGACGGAATTTTGCTCTTGTTGCCCAGGCTGGACTGCAATGGCGCAATCTCGGGTCACCACAACCTCCGCCTCCCGGGTTCAAGTGATTCTCCTGCCTCAGCCTCCCGAGTAGCTGGGATTACAGGCATGCACCATCATGCCCAACTAATTTTTGTATTTTTAGTACAGACGGGGTTTCTCCATGTTGGTCAGGCTGGTCTCAAACTCCCGACCTCAGGTAATCCACCTGCCTCGGCCTTCCAAAGTGCTGGGATTACAGGTGTGAGCCACCTCTCCCAGCCTGTGATTTTTTTTGATGAATGTGTTCTAGACATGGATCTGTGTCAGCACCTACAGACTGGCCTCAAGTTTTCAAAATGGCAGCATGGCATGCTATTATCTGGATATGGCATAATTTTTTAACACTTGTATTCTACTGCTGAGCATTTCTATTGTTTTCAATTGTTTGCTTATACAACTAATTTAAAAATTAATAAATAGCCTCATACATGTGTATTTGCATCCCTGTTGAAGCATTTTTCCAAGATAAATGATTAGAATGGAATACTGTATCAAAAAGTATGCTTGTTTGGATTTTTTGTTGCTGTTGTTAAATTTTCCTCCCACATTCAAGTATGCTAACAGTGTGGTAGTAGGCGGGCCTCCTCATCTTCTTGCCAATGTGGAATACTATTAATCCTGTTAGTTTTTGCAAAATGATGGTATCTCATGTAGCTTCAATATGCATTTCTTAGATCCGAGGTGAGGTTGAGAGACTTTTCATGTGTCAAAATGTGATATTTGAGAAATGCCAAAGAGATTAGAGTCCAAAAGAGAAGGGGAAGATAAAGCCCTTAGAGGAATAAAACGCTCACCTCTGGGGACAAAGCTCCAAAACCCCACAGCTCCTCTGACTCTAAAGGATGGGGCGGCTGTAGCAATAAGGGAGAGAGAGGGGCAACCTGCTTGGAATTCTACACACAATGTTTTGGGGCTGGCAAGCAGGACAGAACTCACCCCAGTGCAAACATGCAGATGTGCAGCACGTCCTCCCCGATGAAGTCCAGGTAAAATATTGCACCTGCAGCAGCAAATCATAGAAAATACCGCTGAGCTGTTTTCAAATCACCCATCTGCCAGTCTGTCTAGGATTTGGCTAAGCTCTCTTCCATTTAGGAAACTAAAATGATCAAAACTTATGACTGTGCCTTACAAGAAGAAAGGAATAAAAGCCATTTAGGGGATCAGGTTGTCAACTTTTTTCCACCTTAGACCCCTCTGATCTCCATGTTGTTTTTTAACTTTTATTGGGGGATAATATTAGACTCACAAAAATGGTGTAGAGTTCCCATGCACCCTTCCTCCAGCTTTCCCCAGTCATATCTTCCATAACCACAGTGCATAATCAAAGCAGGAAAACGACAATGAACACTTACTAACCAAACCACAGACCCTATTTACCAGTTTGTGCCTGCAGTCATCTCCCCTCCATCTTTCTTAAGATAGATAAACAAGGCTTTGTGCTTATGCTGTTAGAGCTTTCTAACCTCATGTGGCCAGTAGATCCCAAGTCTGTGGGTCTACTCCTGTGGTATGGGAGTGGGGTGGGCCTACTGCGCCTGCCCTGAGCCAGCCTTTGTCCAGAATCATCTCACCCACACAGGCCTCCAGCTGTATTCCTGAGCTCCTGATTCCCTGCCTTGACTTCTGTTCTCACTCAACCATGGTGTTTGTGATTCCTTTCAACCTTGACTGGACTTCACGCTTCTTGACCAAGCTTCTTGACCCTGACTTAGCTTATGGCTTCTGGCTGCTCTGGGTCAATGCCTCATGGCCCCTGGTGCTGCTCACAGCATGGGCCCTGGAAGCTGTGCGCCTCGTGTGTTCCTCCTGTGTAGACAGGAACTGCGGCACCACTTGTCTTAAGTGTTGGCAGAGCATAGGGCTTTACAGCCAGGCTTTCACCAAAGGAAAGCACTTAGTTCTTATTGGATTTTTTACTCTGAAGATTTTAGTCACCTATTATGCCATTTAAACAAATTAACAAACAGCTTTATATGATTGCAGCCTCTGAGGCCACTACAGAAAGAAAATGCAAAAAAAAATTAGAGGTGAAATAGAGGAAAAGGGGGCTGTAATGCTAATGATCACTTATTGAGCATTGATGATGTTGCAGTGCTATGCATATTCATAATCTCTAAAATTATACAGAAGAGATTTGTGGTCACTTAGCCAGTGGGGGTTGTGGAGCTAGAAGATAGCAAAACTTGTTAAAGTACACACAGTATGGCATAGGGCACATTTGGATCATACCCATTACAATTCTAGGAGCTAAGTGTTATCACTCCCATTTTATGAATGTGGAGCTGAGGCTCAGAGAGGTTAAGTGATGTTTGCAGAGCTGATGTGCGTCTGTGCTGGGATACAAACCCGGGTCTCTCTGTCTGGAAATCCTGCACATTCTCCATGAACCCATAAATCACTCTACGGGGAGAACAAGTCAGCAGAATCAGCCTCCCTCTGCCCTGGGATAATACCCTGCTGCTAAAGTAGAAGACAGAAATCTAGCAATGGGTCACCCTTACCTGCTGTGATAGCAATGGTTGTGGACAGAATGTAGCCCACACTGGCAATCAAAGAGGAGTCGTACATCTGTGAGGCTTGACTCAAAAACCTTCAACACAAAAGCACTCCAGTCAGTGGGCTGTGGAGACGTTGGAAAGGCTAAGAGCTGACAACAGTAGAGTTTGGTTTGAAATATGAAGATGATACATTTAGGAATGTTCCTTGGGTTTCTAAAAATGCCACCCTCATGTTACAGGACATTGTGTATCCCTAGTCTGGGGCCCATACTTGATTCCCACTCTTCCCCTAGACACACAGCTAAGGCCCATCCCCATTTCCCAATTGAACCATGCCATCATGGTCTCACACCTTTGGCTGCACGGCTCCTGTCACCTGAAATGCCCTTCTCCTCACCCCCCGTATCCCCACCCCACTAAAAAGAGCCATTCCTGCATCTCTTATACCCCTGCCCCCAGAAACTCTTACAGCACTAATCACGTTCTGCCTAGTGTCATAATTATTCTTTTAAACAAAATTTCTTTTTAATTTGAAAATAATGTGATCACTGAAATAAATACAGGAAAAAGAGAAAATTAGAGTCCTTCCTAATCACTCCATCTATGATAAACAATACCCTTGTTTTGGAAGATATTCTTTGCCCTTTCTCTGCATAGTTGCTTACACCATGCTCACCACTCAATTGCTTTTATTTTTTTACTTCGCTTTGTGGCCTAGGCTGGAGTGCAGTGGCAAAATGACAGCTCACCACAGCCTCTAACTACGGGGCTCAAATGCTCCTGCCTCAGCCTCCTGAGTAGCTGGGATTACAGGTGTGAGCCACTGCATGCAGCTTGGCTGTACTAGTTTCTTCACTGGCTGTCCCCCAGCCAGGGCCGTGAATGCCTGAGGGCAGTGAGTGACTACCCTCATCATCTCTGTGTGCTGAGCACCCTCAGTGGGCTGCACTGGCTAGGGAATGAGTAGCTCCTTAGGAGGTGGGCGGTGGCATCTGAGCCATGTTTGTGACACCTGGAGTGCTCAGCACAGGGCCTTTGACTGGCAGGGGCTTCCAGGTGATGACTGGAATTGTTGTAGTGGGACCAAAAATAATAACCAAAATAACAATAGCAAGGCCAATAATCATAGAAGCAGCTCATGTTTACCGGGCATTTCCCTAGAGACATTCTCATAAGAGCTTCATGTGATTCTCTTAGGTAGGGACTGTTGTTCTCATTAGCAGGTGAAGAATCTGTCTTGGAGAAGCTGAGTAGGCGACAGAAGAGCAGAGCAGTGAGGGCATGGGCTGGGGAGCCAGACACCTGGGTTCAGATCTCAGCTCCGCCACTTTCTAGCCTCTTACTCTCTCCGCATCAGTTCCTCGTATGCAAAATGGGGATAATATCCTGTACATCAAAGGAGTGTTGTAAGGACCAAATGAGCTGGTTCCATAAAGCACTGAGAAAAGAGCTGGGCTCACACCGGGCCAGCAGCAGCTGCTCCTATGGTGCCTGGAGGCCATGTAGCTGGTGGACCTTCAGTCTGAGCCTGAGCTTCCCAGGTTGAATCAGCCTTGTGCGCTGCTGAGTCCTGTGTACCTACACAGGTTTTGTCACCTACAAGATTCCTAGAGCCTCTCCTCCCAGGCCCTCTGTTGGGCTCCAGGACTCAAACGCAAACAAGACACAGGCCCTGCCCTCAGGCTGCTGCCTTTTATTTAACTTCATGCTTAGAAAGAGGAGGGGGCACTTTGCCTTCCACTCAGGAAGATTTGGAGGTGATATACTGAAGTCAAGAAATGACAACTTTTCTTTCCAACCCAGCAGACAAGCAGGTGCCTCCTAGGGATGGCCATGCTTCCGAGGCCCCTGAGACGATCATCTGCCCCGGAGAAGATGGGAAGTAAGGCTGCCTCCAACCACAAATTTCTCACATTCTGGCCAGGTGTTGTGGCTCATGCCTGTAATCCCAGTACTTTGGAGGCCAAGGTGGGTGGATCACTTGAGGTTAGGAGTTTGAGACCAGCCTGGCCCACAAAGTGAAATCTCGTCTCTACTAAAAATACAAAAATTAGCCGGGTGTGGTGGCATACACCTGTAGTCCCAGCTACTTGGGAGGCTGAGGCAGGAGAATCGCTTGAACCCCAGAGGCAGAGGTTACAGTGAGCCGAGATGGCTCTACTGCACTCCAGCCTAGGCAACAGAGTGAGACTCTATCTCAAAAAACAAACAAACAAGCAAACAAACAAAAATTATCACATTCTGAGGGAGTGGGGAAAAATCCATCCACTGCTGGCTTCGTATTTCTTTCTTTTTTCTTTTTTAATTCTGTGTCTCAGCTTCCTGAGTAGCTGGGACTACAGGCATGTGCCACCATGCCCAGCTAATTTTATTTTATTTTTTTGTATTTTTAGTAAAGACGGGGTTTCACCATGTTGGCCAGGCTAGTCTCAAACCCCTGGCCTCAAGTGACCCACCCACCTCAGCCTCCCAAAGAGCTGGGATTACAGGCGTGGGTCACTGAGCCTGGCCTGGCTTCGTCTTTTGAGTGGCAGGTGTCCCTCCAGGTGACAACTCAGCAAATTAGCAGCTCCTCTCTCCATGCTGGATGCCAGGCCCTGGGGCATGTTCTGGCCTCCTTGTGGCTTCACAGCATACGTCATCAGGCCCCCAAAAGAGAAGCAGCCCGAATGGCAGGGCCCAGCAGGAAAAGGATTTGTAACTCACGCAGCCTGATAGACGGCGGTTGCCACCATGCACACGAACATCACGTAGAAGATGGGGTAGTCAAGCTGCAGGTTCCCTTGAATGGACAAGACAAGCATCCCAGCCACGGCCTTGACTGTCACCACTGTCATGGAGCCTGCAGATGGGAGACAAGGGCGAATGGGGAGCCTCAGGGAAATGCAGAGAGTTAGGTCCGGAAAGCCAGTCTATAACCCCAAAGGACTTGGGGAGACAGAGGGGAGGGAACAGGAACAGAGTCAAGCCGGCAGTTTGCACAGTGACAGACGCCGTTTGCACTGGGTCTCGTGTGCACCTCTCCCATGGACTCCCATGCTCTGTGCTGACTACATCCTAAAGGAGGGAGGAAAGCCAACCCCCTGAAGGTAATCCTAGACATCACTTCTAAACTGCCAAGCATGGGCAGTAAGTTCAGTTCTCTGAGGCCCGGAGTGCCCAGCACTGTGGCCAAAAGGATCCGAGTGGATCAACGAACTTACCAGTCTCATGGCAACCACAGGAAAAACATGTGTTGGGTAAACAGCTTAGGAATTGTTGGGTTTTTTAGTGCTCAGTCACTTGTATTTTTTGTTGTTGTTGTATTTTTTTTTTTCCTTTTTGTGGACAACAGGGTCTCGCTATATTGCCCAGGCAGGTCTTGAATTCTTGGGCTCAAGCTACCCTCCCATCTCTGCCTCCCTAATAGCTGGGATTACAGGCGTGAGCCTCCGCGCCCAGCTGGTCACTTGTATTTTTAAAAACATTTCTCCAGTGTTTTGGAATGCACACCCCTGTGCATATGTGCAAACATTTCCAATATGTGTGTATCTGTTTTCAAATTAAAGTCATGTGACCCTGAACTTAAATGGTAGGCATGTTATAAAATTTGTACAGGAATATAATTTAAAAGGCAGAGAAAAAATGATTGAAGTTCTAATATTCTCTCTGTGTACCCAGCGAAGCATCCTGCTCACCTCCCTGTGGAGACCCTTGCTCCACCCTACTGTTCAGAAATGTCTTCTAACTGCAGACTTTCAGACTGCCCTGCCAAACAGGAGTTAGAGACAGCCCCCAAGCGTGGTCCAGGTGAAGCCCCCGGTCCCTGCTGCTGTGCTTTGCTTTCCTATTCTTCAGCTTTGGTTTATTTCGCTTTCTCCTGCCAACACCCCCAACACGCAGTGTCTCTTGGGCTCCTCACCCATTAGGCTACTGTTTCC
The DNA here is from genome assembly GCF_000001405.40 of Homo sapiens. NCBI lineage: Eukaryota > Metazoa > Chordata > Mammalia > Primates > Hominidae > Homo > Homo sapiens. The sequence goes on along the minus strand of NC_000001.11, from coordinate 24,455,059 downwards.
AAACGTCAGCAACCACTTAGGCACTTGTCATCAGGTAGTCCTTCTTAGTCAGAAGGGGATTGGCCAATGGCCTCAGAACCTTCTGGCCTTCCTACGTAAGAGGAGAGGATGTTTCAGGGCCGTGATCCTTCCCATCCACTTTGAAAACAAAGTCACCGAGGAATGAAGGACTGATTCATGCTATGATGTGGGTGAACCTCAGAATCATCATGCTCAGTGAAAGAAGCCAGTCATATCAGGCCACAAAGCATACGACTTTATTTATGAAGGTGTTCAAAAAGGCAAATCTACAGGGACAGAAGATAGCTTAGTGGTTGCCTGAGGCTGGGAAAAGGGGAACAGGGAGTGACTGCTAATGGGCACAGGGTTTCTTTTGGGGGTGACAAAATGTTCTAAAATTAGATTAGGATGATGGTTTCACAACTCTATGAAATACTAAAAACCACTGAATTGTATACTTTAAACAGGTGAACTTTATGGTATGTAAATTATATCTCAACAGAGCTGTTAAAAAATTAAGGAAACCCTGTCTTCGGTGACAGGTATCTATTTGGTTGATGGCTTGTGGCGGTGGTAGGGCACACAGTAGGAAGGTTGGAAGAAAAATGCACATATTAGCCACCTGTGCACATCTCATTTAACCCCCACTCCCTTCCGTGACTTGGATGTTCTCATAGGCCCCCCCTTTAGAGAAGTGGACAGCGTGGCTTAAGGAGGGAGGGTCATTAGCCTGAGGCCACTCAAGAGCAGCGCGGTAGCAGGCTTCACCAGCCCTGACACCAGCCTGCTCCTCCGCCTCTGTCTGCTTCTCCTCAGGAAGGATGGATTCCCCACAGCTCTATTTAGCTATAAAATTATATGCAGTTCTAGCCAGGTACAGGGCCTCATGCCTGTAATCCTGGCACTTTGGGAGGCCGAGGCAGGGGGATCACTTGAGGCCAGGAGGTCAAGGCTGCAGAGAGCTAAGATTGTACCACTGCACTCCAGCCTGGGTGACAGAGCAAGACTGTCTCAAAAAAAAAAAAAAAGGAAAAATTAATATGCAGTTCTAGCCTCAAGCTGATTCAGGAGCTATCTCTTCCACAGCACCCATCCCTCTAAAAGGAAAAGAAAAAATAGATGACAAAATCTAGTTTTACCTTTGAATCAGAATGAATCCCTAAGCTCTGATAGGTTTTGCATGGATCTTTTCAGGGCTCAATCGCTGGGGCATGCTCTACTACTACCGTCTCTGAAACAAACTAACTCACCTCATCCTCACTCTACTTTATTCTTCCTCATTGGAATTGTTATTGCCCAAACTTACATGACCTATGAATTTGGCTAGTTGTTTAGTGCTATTTTCTCCCTTTAGATTGGAGGCTCCTGGAGCACAGGAGTTTGCCTCCGGTCAGCAGGGACCCAGCTCCCCAGAGCCACTGATGGAGACAGAACAACCTCAGCCAGTCTCAAGCAACTTCTGTGCCCAGCGGCTACAGCTCTGCAAACAAAACCCACATTTCCATTTGGTGCTTCTTGGTGGTGGCAAAACTCAATCATCCAGATGCCAACTTACCAAGTAACGCCACCAAGAGAAGAATCACGACAATGTTGTTGGCGTTCTTCTCCTTGTAGAAGTAGAGCAGCAAGCAGAACAGAATGATCTCCACCAGCTGTGGAAGGCAGCAAGCAGGGGGGTCAGTGGGGACCACAGAAGTAGGCGAGACCGGGAGACCCTGGTGGGCTGGGCCATCACCAGAGTCACAGGGTTGAAAGGGAATGACTGAGCTATGATTCAGCATTTCCCAAACTACTGTTAGACGTTCAGGGGAAAAGGGAAACACAGAGTGAATCTCTCTAATCCCTGGCTAGTACTGAGAAGGAATTCCCTGTTGTCCTGAGGCTGAAGCTTTGAGGGTGACGTGCTGCTCTCATATCCACTCTTTCTTGGAGGGCCAAGATGCATCAGGCTGAGATGGTTTCTTCCCACTCCACTGCTCCATGGGCATCCCCATTAAAACAATGGGTTGGTCCAAGAGGGAGACACTTGTTCACCAACCTATTTGGTCAAGAATGTGAGGCCAGGCACGGTGGCTCACACCTGTAACCCTAGCACTTTGGGAGGCCAAGGCGGGTGGATCACCTGAAGTCAGGAGTTCGAGACCAGCCTGGCCAACATGGTGAAACCCGGTCTCTACTAAAAATACAAAAAAAAAAAAAAAAAAAATTAGCTGGGCGTGGTGGCATCTGCCTATAATCCCAGCTACTCAGGAGGCTGAGGCAGGAGAATTGCTGAGATCACGCCACTGCACTCCATCCTGGGAGACAGAGCGAGGCTCCATCTCAAAAAAATAAATAAATACATAAATAAAGAATATGAGTATATACTCCCTGTGCTCCCAGCCAAGCTTCCAGTGTGAAGCTTCACAGAGTAGAATGAGGAAGGCCTTTGGAGTCAGGGAGACCTGGGCTGGAACTTAGGTCTGCCTCTAAACTAGTCGTGTGGCCTTGGGTAAGTCACTTAACTTCTCTAAACCTTAGTTAACCCTCTGTGGAGTAGGGTTAAGAATTCTTTTTATGGGCCCATAATCATAGCTTACACTAAATGACGTCTCCTTGTACGCCAGGCAGTGTTCTAAGCATTTTATCTACGTTAAACTCACTAAATCAGCACAATAACTCTACGAAGCAGGTACTACCACGATGGCGTGGCACAGAGGAATTTAAACCTGGACAGTCTGGCTCCCAGGCCCATGCACTTTCCTGCTAGGCCACACTGTCTGGTGCTCTATCAGTAGAAACTTACCACTAGACGATGGCAAGTCCGAGTTTGAGAAGCTCCCCCTCCTTGCATCAACAACTGTTCCTTTCTACCCCTTAAAAGCCCAGATATTTGCTAACACTTTCCCAAGAAGTTAAGCCAGCCCTAGCGCCCAGTGCAACTAAAGCAGAAAACTTTGACAACAGCTTAGTCTCATTTGCCTATCCCAAACCCCTTATCAAAGCTGATTTAGTATAAAAAAAACCCAGAAACATTAATGGGCATTTTGAAACATTTAAAACATTCCTTCTAATTAGAGACCATAAAACACAGCTGCTTTCATTTCCCCGTTTCTTCTTTGTCTTTGTTCCAGTGAATCCATATTTTAACGAGTTGTCATTATAGTCAATGCACGATTTTGTACTGGGCTGTTTTTAGTTACCATAAACAATCTTCATGTTTTGTGAAGTTGTCATAATTATCTTTAATTGCTGCAGAATACTTCATCAAGTGGATGTGCTGTCAATCATCAACATTCCCAACCACTGTGCCTGCATTTGAGGGGTCCCAATTCTTCAGCCATTCTCCATGATTTTTTTTTTCTTTTTCTTTTTTTGAGACAGGGTCTCACTGTGTCACTCAGGCTGGAGTGCAGTACTGTGATCATGGCTTACTGCAGCTTTGACCTCCAGGGCTCAAAGCTATCCTCCCACCTTAGCCTCCTTAGTAGCTGGTAATACAGGCATGCATCACCACACCTGGCTAATTTTTACTTTTTTTTTTCCAAATAGAGACGGGGTTTTGCCACATTGCCCACACTGGTCTCAAGTTCCTGGGCTCAAGCAATCCTCCTACCTCGGCCTCCCAAAGTGCTGAGATTATAGGTGTGAGCCACCACATGTGGCCCGTTCTCCATGATTCTAAAATGAACACTGGAATAGCACTGGACATTATATCATGAGATGGCTGTGCATATGTGGTGCCTCCCAACAGTCCGTGAGTACTGTGGGCATGTCTCATTTATTTTTTATAACCATAGTGTCTAGCACACAGCAGACGCTCAATAAATATTGACTGAATTTGGTTTGGCCAAATCTCTCCAGCTGGCAGCACTGCCTCCCAGTCATGATGAAGTAAGACAACAGAATCATTCACTGAGCATCTACCACCTTCTGGGTGACTTAAATGCTACTTCCTGGATCTCCCAATAGCAATTTTAAGTCCAGAGATTCTTGCCACTTTACAGAGAGGGAAACAGAGAAGGAAAGCGACTTGGCTAAGGCCACACAGCACTTAGGAAGTCTTGGGCTTCAATCCTCTGAGTGAAAGGCCTGTTCTGGGGTAACGCTTTGCCCAAGGAGGCGGTCTTTTGCTCTGTCACCAACTACATGCTGGGGCTGGCTGCCTGTTGGGAAATGACACAGCCCCCATTTCAGGGGAAGTGATCCTCTGCCTTGTGGATAATCTGAGGAAAAAGGATGTTCCAGGGCCTCTAGACTCAATCAGAGACCAGGCTGTTTATGTCAGAGGAAAACAGTGAACACCTTTGTCGGCAGGCCACGGGGAAGGAAGATGGCACCTGAGGCCAGGTGGGCCCGGCCTTCAAATCCAACCCTGCTTTTATGAACTCTGAGCAGGTCAGCTAACCTCTCAGAGCCCTGGTTTTCTCACCCATAAAATGGGAAGAACATTTACTTTACAGGGTTAAGAGAATCTGAGATGATACATAAAAATGTGTTTAGCACAGCGCAGGGCATGGAACAAGAACGTACCAGTAGCTTTATCACATACTTTAGATGTTTTCCTTAATCAGTTGATTTATAGACTTAAAATGGGATAGAACTGGGGCAGAGGACTGAGCTCTGGCGGAGGGGTTAGGAGACAAAATTTCCCGTGTCTCCTGGGCTTCTATCAGCAGTGTGATACTGGGAAAAAAAATAAAATAACATTCTTAAATGGTTTACAGTTTTAACTTTTTCTTCCCCTTACCATAAAAGTTTGAAATGGTTACTGTAGAAATTTTGGACAATTCATAAAGATGAAGAGGAAATAAGAACTGAGTCATAACACTATCTCCCAGAGCCAACTACTGATGGAATTTGCTTTCCCATCCAGGCCTTCCTAGGTATATTACATGACCACATACCTATACACACCTCTAAAAAATAAAACTGACATCATAATGGTTTTGATATTACTGTGTGGGGCACAGTGGCAGTTCATTCGTTCTCATTGTGTACAGTGATCCACTGTGTGAATACAACACAATTTATCCATTCTACTGCTGGGGGGCACTTGAGGAGTCTCCAGCCTGGAGTTATAAAAAATAATGTTGCTGTGAACATTCTCATACATGTCATTTGAGAAACACATGTATGCATTTCTGTTGAGTATAAAATGAGGGGTGGAATTCCTCCATAGGATATGTGGATATTCAATTTGGTAATTAGTGTCAAATGTTTTTCCCAAGTGGCTGTACCAATTTACACTCCCACCAGTAGAGTTTTGATATTACATAAATGAAACAAGCATTTCGCCATGAGCTGTGTACTCTCCAGAAGCACGGTCTTTCATGCTGGTAAAATGTGCCGCAACTCACGGAATCCCCTATTGCTGGGTATTCACGTTTCTGGTTTCTAGGACTTGATCTCCCTCCTGCCATCTCAGGGGGAACGACTGGAGGCTTCTCTTACCATGTACAAAAGGAAAGGCCAGCTCACGAGGTGCCTGGTGACATTCTCGCCTGTCATCTTCTCGTGACTGTTGGGTGCGAATGTCACCAGCAGGTAGGTACCCACGACAGCCAAACCGCAGCCAACAAAGGACAAGACGTAGCGCCCTGCGGGGAAGAGAGGCTGTCACGGACTCATTGCAACAACAGGCCCAAGATACAGTACACGTTCTCAGCCATGAAAAAACAGGCTTCTCCTGCAACATACCATGACCTGGTATTGTTTGTATTTTTGGTTTTTCTTTACTTTAAAAAATAAATGATTTTCCTTAATTTTGTTAAAAAAACAATTAATGTAAAAAAATAAAAAACTTTAATGAAGTATAACATGCATACAAAAAGTGCTTGAGGAATTCTCCCAAAGTGAACACACTCATGAAACCAGCTCCCAGATGGAGAAAGAGAACATTAGCCAGATACTGAAATTTCTCATTTGTGAAATTGATTACTAGACCCCACCCTCAGGGTTACACTATCTTGACCTGTAACAGCACTGATGGCTTTGCCTAGCTTTGTGCTTTATACAAATGGACCCATACGGTGTGATCTCTTTTGACTCAGCATGATGTTTCTGAGATTCGTCTGCGTTGTGGGGCACAGTGGCAGTTCATTCGTTCTCACTGTGTACAGTGGTCCACTGTGTGAATACAACACAATTTATCCATTCTACTGCTGGGGGGCTTTTGAGGAGTCTCCAGCCTGGAGTTATAAAAAATAATGTTGCTGTGAACATTCTCGTACATGTCATTTGAGAAACACATGTATGCATTTCTGTTGAGTATAAAATGAGAGGTGGAATTCCTCCATAGGATATGTGGATGTTCAGTTTGGTAGTTAGTGTCAAATGTTTTTCCCCAGTGGCTGTACCAATTTACACTCCCACCAGTAGAGTAAGACAGTTCTAGTTACATTCTTGTCAACACTTACATTTTGTCTTTTTCATTTTAGCCATGATGGTATTGCACTGTGATTTTAATGTGCATTTTACAGGTAACATTTTAAAGCTAAAATCACTTTATGGGCAAACTAAAAAAACAAATAAAATAAAACATAAAGGCAAACCTTCAGAGCTCAACACGTACCTTTTAAAAATTACCTCATCCTTTCTCAACTGGCTATTTAACCTAACGCCAAGGGAACTATATAATAACTATATAATTACTATCAATATTCTACGCCACAGACCTGTCAGAGAACTGTTAGTGGTCCAGGTGGCATGGCTCTTATCTCTCCCCTGGAGTCTTGTCACACTCCTATTGAACTCTGTAAGGTTGGTGAAAAGCCTCCAAGGTCCGGCCCAGCCCCAGGCAGCCAAAAAATGGCTGAGAGTTCTAAGACACACTTATGGTGACCACAGGCCTCTGGACTTTTCTGGGATAGAACTAACTTTGCCTATTTCATCCCACTGTCTAGAGAAAATGTGATACCATGTTAAATGTCTTTTATCTTTATTCTCAGTACTAGGCCTCGTAAATGTAGGAGGTGCTCAAAAAACGGTTGTTCAATTGTTCAATGAATGAATGAGCCACGGTTAAACTCAATAAAGTAGGTCTGTTATCTAAAGTTTTCTTCAGGCAGGGATGGGTCTTACTCATCTCCACACCTGCAGCGTCCAACACAGGTCTAGCACTGAGTGAATGTTTGCTGAATGTAATGGAACTCCAGGTAAAACAGCCATATTCAGCTGTGCAGGTTGCTCACTGCACAAGGGCACCTGGCTCAATAGGTGAGATGGGCTAAAATCCAGCCCATGGTCTGCTCATCAAGGCTTGTGCCTACAAAACTACAGATGCCCAGAGGGGCCTTCTTTTTCCAAGTCACACAGGGCACTGCTTGGACTAGCACGGCTCTCATCCTAGGATTACCTAGAGTATTCCCAAAGGGATGCAAACTTCTATAGTGGTCTTAGAACCAGCCCTAACCCCCGTGCCCCATCATTAAGACTATTGAAATTCAGTCTGTCATTTGGTCTTCTTGGCAGTAGCTCCAAAGTCTCTACTTTTTTCTTTTGGCAAAGTTCTGCTTTTTTTTTTAGAGTAAAATTCTTTTCTTTTTTGGCCTCTTGGTCCCACCTTGATCTTATTCTATATCAATGATTCAGAGTGGTCCCCAAACTTGGCTGTATATCCACAACATCTTGGAAATTTTCTCTCCCTGAAGTTCTGTTTTAAAATTTTTCAGACATATATTAAAGTTCAAAAAGTTGTATAGTGAGTACCCATAGTCCCAACAGCCAGATTCTAAACTGACCTTTCATTATACTTGTTTTCTCACAAATCTATCCATCTCTCTATCCATGCATTAATTCATCTTATTTTTGATGCATTTCAAAGTGATTTGCAGGCATCAGTATACACTTCACCCTGGGAAGCTCTATAAGAATGCCAATGCCCCGGCCCCGGCCCCAGCCCAGAGCGCAGAATCTCTGAGGACAGAGCTTGGGCCACCATCACGTCACTCCTCAACTCCTCAGTATGGCACATAAGGCCTACACATCAGCCAGTCCTCCATGTCTCACTGATCTCCCTCTCACTTTATTCATTACCCTCTGGCTACACAGCCTTACCGAGACTTGGACAAACCAAGCTTGTTCCTGCCTTGGATCCTTTGCACCTGTGGCTCCTGGTATGTGGAAAACCCGGCCCACAGACCTGGGGATGGCAATCTCCTTAGTATCACCTGGATCTGGGCTTAAAAATCACCTCCTTGTGTAAATTAGTTCAACGATTGTGGAAGACAGTGTGGTGATTCCTCAAAGTCCTAGAGGTAGAAATACCATTTGACCCAGCAATCCCATTAACTGGGTATATACCCAAAGGAACATAAATTGTTCTATTATAAAGATACATGTGCACATATGTTCACTGCAGCACATTCACGATAGCAAAGACATAGAATCAACCTAAATGCCTATCAATGACAGAGGGATAAAGAAAATGTGGTACGTATACACCATGGAATACTATGCAGCCAAAAAAAATGATATCATATCCTTTGCAGGGACATGGATGGAGGTAGAAGCCATTATTCTCAGCAAACTAATGCAGGAACAGAAAACCAAATACTGCATGTCCTCACTTTAAGTGGGAGCTGAATGATGAGAACACATGGACACATGGTGGGGGAACAACACACACTGGGGCTTGTTGGAGGGTGGGGGTTTGGGGGAGGGAGACCATTGGGAAGAATAGCTAATGGATGCTGGGCTTAATACCTAGGTGATGGGATGATCTGTGCAGCAAACCACCATGGCACATGTTGCCCTATGTAACAAACCTGCACATCCTGCACATGTACCCCTGAAATTAAATTAAAAGTTGGGGGGAAAAATCACCTCCTCAGAGAGTCTGACCCTGATCAGTCTAGGAAAGTGTTCCCATCTCCCCAGTCCCCGAAAGCATTCAATTTTCTCTGAAAAACTCACTACAACCTAAAATTATTTCATTTAGTTGCTTGTTTATTGTATCTCTCCCCTCCCACAACACACACACACACACACACACACACACACACACACACGACTATAATCTCTGTGAGCAGAAGCCCCATCTATCCTACTGCTGTATTCCCAGCACCTATAACACAACATGGGACTTAGTAGGTGTTTTGTGGGAAACGCTTCTTCCCCACTTCTTGGGTTTCCATGTGGAGGGACCTCCATTAAAGTGACACTTCTGCCTCTTGCCCTATTGGTCTACATTTCTCAACTTAGGTGGAGCTAATCTTCTTAAAAAAATAAAAAAATTAAATACTGGGGCTTTGATCTTTTTTCTTCCTTCTCTGGCCCAAACTATGTGAGGCAATAATTCTGGCTAAGTGTCTCCACTCTGTAAACCCAAGTGTTTCTTGGGGGGACCCGCCCAAGGTCTGACTGGGAGCTGGAGGGTCCTGTGGGGAGAGTACAAGGACATTCCCTTGGCTGCTCACCTAAGCAGCTTTATGCTTTAATCTAGCTCACCTAAAATGCTCTAATCTAGCTTTTATTAGGAGTAAGGCATGACTTCTGATCATCTGTGTTTGACTCCCATTGCTTTAGAACTCAGTCAGGGAGAGAGGGTTTCTTTTCTTAGGCCTCCTAAAATCCCAATAATAGATGCTCAAAATTGATCCAATGGGGTGGATAAAAGTCCATTTTTAAAAGCCTCACCGATGATTCTGAGGTGTGGCCAGGCTTGAGAACCCCTGATTAAAAAATCCAGCTCTCAGGAGCCTGTTGAGGGCAGAACATAGAACCACAGAGGACAGCAGGAGGCAGATAACCTCTGAATTAGAGTGAACTGGTTTTACAATTAATAAAAAGCGTTCATATAAAATCAAGGACACAGCTCAAATCACTGAACTTACTCAGAAAGTCTTTCGGTTTCCACTTTTCCTTGATGAATATGATTCCTATGATGGCACTAGCTGAAAAATGAAGCACAAAGAAAAGGGAATTGAGGCTGCTGTCAGCTAAAGGGCATCCCTTCACCCATGCCCTCTGGGTGGCTTCTTTGCATTGGAGCTTGGTACTTCCTAACCTGTCACTCATGCTGCCAAAAGCTTGGTTCCTGTGTGATTCCATCTAGGAAAGGGAGGCTCAGAGAGGAGCCTTCCTTCCTGAGGATTTCCTACAAGGCTAGAAGCATTGAGTACCTGCTGTGTGACAGGCAATTTACACAAGTTATTTCTGGCATGTTCACCCTTGGAGGTGGGTACTCTCATTATTCCTATTTGACAAATGGGGACACTGAAGCTGAGAGAGGTAAAGGGCCCACTCGAGATCATGAAGGTGGTAGGGGAAGGCAAGACTTGAACCCAGGACTGCAGGAGGCCAGGCTCTTACTTCTTCCACTGTAACACCCACCTCTGACATTTCCCCCGGCTCTTTCCTCTCCCTGGCTCTTACACGTTCACAGATGTACTCAAACGCCCTTGGGACTGCCCGAAAGGATAGGGCTGGCAGTCACTGTGAACAGACCTGGATCACTCACTACCCTAGTTCTGCCTCTTCTGGCTGTGTGTCCTTGGATATGTCACTTCACCTGAGTCTCAGTTCTCTAGTCTATGAAATACGGTGTTAGATCCAGCTGGCACCAGCTCATAGAATGTTAAATATTTTGTTAAATATTCAGAAAACCATCCGTAGCTTGAAATCAGCCACAGTGGGAGTGATAATGTCTATACCATATAAACTGGCAAGCGCTACAAATCAGGTCTTCCTTTTCTCCTTTCCACTTTTCCATCCCCTTTCTCCATCCCTCCATCTCCTCTTCTTTTTCTTCTCCTTTGTCTCTCTGAGAGGTGGTTTACCAGCCCACCATTGAAAATTACTTTTCTGAATGATAGGGGTAATTCAATGATATATGTAAGTCATTTGGCACACAGTCAATCTCAATAACTAAGCTAATATTATTACTAAAAGTACCTGGAGCAGTGATGGTTAAGTCATAGATATCCAATAAGTGATAATCATTATTATTTTTAATATTACTCCTCACTGGATGACCTCAGAAGCTATAGGGCCCCTTCATTTCCAGTGGCTGATATCTGAAGTTTTATCATTATAACTTGGCCTCTTTAAAAAAAAAAAAGAATTTGGTTATTTGAACCTTATTAAAATTCGAAGACTAATATTTAAAGCACCAGTCACTTAGACACTTATTTCTCATTGTGAAAAAGGTTTGGGAGCCCTTTGGAGATACCTGCAGTGGGCAGAGCAGAGTGATAAGGCTACAGGTATGATCACATACAGGGGCTGGGGAGTAACAGAACACAAATATAGAAAATGGTCTGGAAGTAAGACAACAGGGAAAGGCTGAGACTCTGGCAAACTACTTGCCTCAGCTAAAGACATTCAAATTACATTAAAAAAGTACTGTGTGGGAAAAAACACACACCATGTCTGAGGACCTCATTCACTTTGCAAGCTGCCAGTTCAGCAACCCTGGTTAGGAAAAACCGGGACTTATAACAGGATCAGGGAAAGTAAATAGGTTTCTGCTCCCTTGCCAACTCCTGGTGATTGGTAGTGACTGTTGGAAGCACTGAGAATTCTGAGGCCCCATCTATGCTCTCTAGGAAGGAATGCCATGATTGATTAACGATGTCTGCCTTGAGCACAGCAAGGGAGGGGCACATAGTTACCATGCATCTGCCATCCCTTGCATAGAAGAGAACCTCTTAACTCAAGGAGGAATAAGACCCAAAATATGACTTTCTCCTTTAAGAGCAGAGCAGAGCATCTGGGCAGAGTAGTGCTTGCCAGCAAAATGGAAAGAAATATTTCAAAGCAAGTTCATTGTCCTGGCTGCTATGCACACAAAAAAAGCTATTGTTCACTAATCTACTAACATCTTTTCTTTAAGAAGAATTTTTTTTTTCTAATTCTGTTTTGCTTGTGTTCTCATGAACATTAAAGCTCCCTTGTCTTTTAGTTGGTTCAAATGTTCTGAAACACTGGTTCAGTGATTACAGAAATCACAGAAAGCTGGCAGATGAGAAAGTTAATGGCCAGTGTGGTGGCTTACAATTGTAGTCCCAGCACTTTGGGAGGAAAGGCAGGCAGATAGTTTGAGCTCAAGAATTTGAGACCAGCCTGGCCTGGCCCCAAACCCTACAAAAGCTTAATTTGTTTTTTCAATAGATGAGGTCTTGCTCTGTCACCCAGGCTGGAGTGCAATTGTGTAATCAAAGCTCACTGCAGCACTCAAACACTGGACTTAAGGGATCCTCCTGCTTCTGTTTCCCAAGTAGCTAGGACCACAGATGCATACCACCATGCCCAGCTAATTGTTTTTCTTTTTTGTTTGTTTGTTTCATTTTGTAGAGATGGGGTCTCTCCATGTTGCCCAGGCTGGTCTCAAACTCCTGGCCTCAAGCGATCCTCCCACTTCAGCCTCCCAAGTAGCTGGGATTACAGGTACAAGCCACTGCACTCAGTGACAAGCTTAATGTATCTTGATGGTGAAAAGATGCATGGGTTAAGGTTTATCTTCCTTCTTCTTTTAGAAATAAAAAGCAATTCTAATAAGCCTTCTGAATCTTAAACAGAACCTGGAGCCAGACAGCCCAGTTCATATCCCAGCCCTGTTACTCACTAGCTGTGTCATTTGGGGAAAGTAATTTCATTACCCCGTGCCTCAGTTTCCTCATCTGTTAAATGGGGATAACAACAACATCTCCCTCAACAGGTGGCTGGAGGATTAGCAGAATTAATATCTGTAAGCACTTACAGGGCCTGGTGTGTCTGAAGCCCTTTGTATTAGGCTATTATTATCCAAGCTAAAGCTGGTTTGTTCAATGGGCACCTTTGATCCTGGCGCTGGCACTCTGGTCACGCAGCTGGGAGCACCCCAGGGGAGGGTGGGGCAGCCCTGGTCTTACCTATCACAGAAACTGCGCTGAGGGGCACGATGAGTGACAGCGGCGCGAAGGCGTAGGAGGCGAACACACCCAGCTCGCCCAGAAGCATCAGGAACAGGCCCAGCCACCATGTCTTGGTCTTGAAATAGGCCCGGGGATCCTTGGAGCCTGCCAGGCGGATGTGGCAGTACTTCTAGAAACCCGAGAAATAATGCAATTTGCTCAGATGTTTGGGGAAAAAAATGCTATGATGTAGGTACCCTAAATCCACCCCCAACTTGCAAATAAATTGGGAAGACTTGTCAGGTTCTTGTGGAGTCCTGACTCAGAGAAGAGTAAGACAGTGGGGATCTAAATACTAGATCTAAATTCTAGGACAGTAGCTCTCCAACAGGCTGGGAATCCTTATAATCCCCTGAGAAGCTCTGTCAAAATACCCACCTGGGCCTCATCCTGAGTCAGTCTCGGAGAGGTGTGGATGAGCCTGAAAACAGGCATTTCTAATGCACGTCACAGGCAATGCAGTCTCAGGGTGGGAGCCATAGTCTAAAGATCCCACTTGGCCTGGCCCTTGGGTCGACCTCCTCCCTCTCTCTGCAGTTTCCAGGATTCCCCACGTTTGGATGACTGTGTGTTCGGCACACTCCTTCCTGTCTACATGCCAGCAGCTCTCGCTGGGCAGTTGTGTGGGTATCAGTGGGCCTTGCTCTCCCTGGGGTGGATACGTGGCTCAAGCATGGTCAATATTCTTTTTTGGGGGGAAATGTGAACCTGGGACATCGAAACTGAAGCAGTAACTAAAGCAGGCTAGAAAGTCATGTTGACTTAGAGGGCCAAGTCTGCCATTTGGGGAGGATCATGATGTGGGCTGCCCAGAAGCAGATAAACAACCAGAGATGCTGCCCTGGAGAAAGAAGAGAATGAACCAGACAAGTAGCTAAGAGACCACGTGGTCTCAGCGACACACAGAAACATACACATCCCAGAGCTGAGATGCATAGAGTACAGGTGAACAAGGCACAAGTGTGTGCCCACAGGGATCACAGTCTCCTGCCTGCTCCAGGGAGGGAGAGCAGTTCACTGCAGGCAGAAGCTGGGCAGTGCTGGTGGAGTGAAGCCGGCCAGTGTGCTGTGGGATTCATCCTGTTAGCAGGTACCAAGTCTTATCTGGGTTTCCCAGAAGCAGTCCCTGAGACAAGAATGTGGGAGCAGGTAGTCTGTATGAGATAATTCCAGGGAGCACGAGTAAGGGAAGGGGAAAGTGAGGCAGGGAACAGAGATGAAAGGTGCATTCATGAGCGGATTAGTCCCGTGGGCAACTGGGACTCAGTCCCACAGGGGACCCTCTGAAAAACCCTGTGAATCTCACCTTAGAATCATCCTAGCAGAGGATAAGAGCCTGGGGCATTTATTCCCTGCCTCCCACCCCTGCTGGCAGAAGGCAGCCTCCAGGGGCATTAACGTCCTGCTCCCCCAGTGCACACCCCAACTGTGCCTGCATGCCAGTAACACCAGCTCCTTGGTGCCCCCATGAGAAGCTCATTAGCTATCAACTTGCTACACACCACAGCTGCTTGTGAACTCAGACAGGCCGAGGGGATTTGGAGGTCAGTGGGGGGATCCACAGCAGCTGTAGAGGGCATCCCTGAGGCTTTTAAGTAATGAACAGTGCTGTAATTAGAGTTGAATTTGACAAAACTATGGTAATTCCAGCAGCTTTGCAGCAAGGCAAAGAGGGATGAGACCAGAGCCAGAGAAGCTAGCAGGAGGTCACTGCAAAGCCCAAGGAGAGACAGTGAGGACCTGGCTAGGAGGGCGAGGGCGGGATGGAGTGGGGCCACTGAATCAAGAGAAATCCTGGAACGGCCCACAAGGTATTGTCCCAGGTGCAGCCCAGGGATGCAGTAGGCAAGGCCCTGCAGAGAGGAGGCAGCTGGACCTGGATAAGACACCCTGACTTGTCTGCTGTGTCTCTGTCCCCAGACAGTGCTGGTAACTGAAACTTACCTGGAGGTTAAGTGCAATGCTGACCACGAGGTGCCCGAAGATCGCCAAGAGGGCGCCAATCAGGTTTTCCTGTAAGGAAAGTTCACAGGAGTGGACATGATTTGGGCACAAGCCAGGGGGCCCCAGGACACTTCTGACACTCAACCATTTGCTGCCCCAAAACAAAACCAGAAAAACAATATCAGTGACAAAGCCACACTCCAGACCCACAACTGGAATGTTACTACTGAAGGTTAATCTGGCTGCTTTGCTGGTTTACAAAATGCTGCCCTGAATTGGATACTTTGGTGGCCCGATCACACTGACCTGACAAGGTCTAAACCTGCTGTGCTATTCCCTTTAAAGTATTAACTTGCCACCATCTTGTGCAGAAAAGCAACATTCCAAAATCAGAATTTACAAGAGAAATATAGGCCAGAGAATACTTTTTGCTATCTTGTCAATAGTGTCTTCAATTTCCCAGAGGGTTTCAATGAAACTCTTTTAACTGGCTCACTTGCTTAGGGCATTGTCAATTACTCAATTTATAAAAAGTTAATTTACATCACCTATGAGTTAGGTTCAGACTACCTGGCACGGAATTTTGTACTTTCTAAAATGATTACCAAACATATATTCATTGTAGACTAAATAGGAAATATATATAGATAAAAATAATAATATCTTAGACAAGGTAGCATGAGAAAAAAATGAAAAAAATAACAATAACAACACCACCATAATAGAAAAGTCACTTTTAATTCTATAACCCAGAGATAATGACTATAAACATTTTGGTTCTTATTCCTGCAAACATTTTTCTGTCCATAAATTTACATATCAATGGAAATGTTAATTTACTTTATAAAAATAAGATTACCATCTGTTTTATAATCTGTTTTTTTACTTAACATATTGTGAGCACATTTCCCTGTCAGGCATACCTAATTTGTCATTTTTATTAAATGTCAAATAACTCATTATTTTTGGATGTGCCATATTTTATATCATTGCTTTGCTATTACTGGATATTTAGGCTGTTTCCTTTATTATTAATTTTTCATTTAACTTTATTTTAGAGTCGGGGTAAATGGGCAGGTGTGTTACATGGGTAAATTGTGTAATGCTGAGGTTTGGGTTTCTAGTGAACCCATCACCCAAATAAGTGAACACAGTACCCAATCGGTAATTTTTCAACTCTCACCCCCACCCCTCCCCGTTTTGGAGTCCCCCGTGTCTATTATGTTTCCTTTTAAAAAAACAATGCTGTGATTGAATAGCCTAGTGCACACATTTTTGTGCGTTTGTATGGATTAGTCCCTTGGGACAAATTCTTGTAAGTGGAATTGCTGGGTCAAAGTGTACTAGCATTTAAACCACACTATAGCAAGTCCCCAACACACCCTCCATCCATATTCCACCACTGAACACCAAGGAATGCTCTATGCTGGCCAATGCTGCAACCTCCTTCCCAGCATGTTCTCTTCCCAACCCCGCCTGGTTCCCCTCCCTGGTGAAATCCTGCCCATTCTTTAAGGCGGGGGACAGGCCCTAGGGAATCGGCAGTTAACAAGACAAACAGTCCTCACTGTCATATGTTCAGTCCATCTGGAAAGACAGATAATTAGCAAGCTGCCCCGCAGTGGCCAGAGCTGGCCGAGGCTTCCCCCTCAGGACACAGTCAGCAGTAACAGTGAAGTCAACCCTCCCCCCTGCCCTCTCCTAGATCGCGGGGCTTAGAGAGCTGAGGGCAGGTCTTCCCTGAGAAGGGGCAGTTGGCCAGGGACGGGAGAGGGCAGGAGGACCGAGAGGGAGGCCCACCAACTGAAATCACTATGGATAGCTGTCCTTAACTTCTCTCCCAACAAGGCTCAGCGCTGCCACAGAAGGGAAAGATGTGGAGCCAGGGGACCCCAGTCTAGTCCCAGCTCTGCCACAACCTCACCACACCTGAGATGTGTCCCCCACCTGGAAAAGGTCAGAGCTGGGAACTGATTCTGACTCACCCGATGAGCAGCAAGACAGAATAAAGCCACCTGCAGGCAGAACACGTCCTTCCTGTGGGATGACAGGATCTCAGAGCTAAAAGGCTCGCTGGAGACCTGCCCAGCCAGGGTTTCCCCAGCTGAGTTCCCAGAGATGCTAATGGGGTGCCAAGGCAAGAAAAGCACCATGTAGTTAAAGGCAATGCATCCTCTACCCACTGCTGGGAGGCCCCCAGAGCATGTTAGAGGCTCTCAGGGGAGTTTCTCCTTGTCTAACTCAGGTTCTCAAACTCATTTGGCTCTAGAACTCTTAACCTGGAATCCAGCCATCAGCATCTGGAGTAAACATCTATGACTCTCACTTGACTAACATTTTAATCCTTTCCTTTTCTTCTGATAAACGACACCCTGATTTTGCTGGGGAGGACTCTCCTCCGCCCCCTCCCCATTGGACACGGTCTTATTGGAACTGTCATTCCCAGTGCTCCATCCTCCCTAGACATCACGGCCCAAGTGTGACCCAAGCCAGGCAGCCCAGAATCTCTTTCTCTGGGATCCAGATCTTGGACTGAGAAACACAAAGGCTGAAGAAAGGTTGACTCCCTTCAGCCCAAGGTGAGGCCTGAGCAAATCATTAGTTGTCGCTCCTCAGGACCCTGGGGCCATCCTGGTTCCAGACCTCCTGGTTCCAGACCTTCCTGAAGCCAGGAACAGCCCAATTTTGCTTAAGAACTTGCTTCTGTTACTTGCAACTAAAAAGCTCAACAGAATCAGCACTTTGTGGAAAGCATTTTGGGACATGTTTATTATTAGCCCAACTTCTCATAAACATGAGCGAGGTTTTTTCTTCCCCCTTAGAGCCATGGCTTTGGTGGACAAAAAAGGCAATCTGCTTTTATTTTGTAAAAAGAAATATGTTATTCAAATTTAGTTTTTTGAAATAAAACCTTACCACAGAACTAATTATTATACATCTAACAAATTGTATTTACAAATATAATGAATCTTAGTTTCAATATTTTTTTGAGATGGAGTCTCACTCTGTCGCCCAGGCTGGAGTGCAGTGGCGCAATCTCGGCTCACTGCAAACTCCACCTCCCGGGTTCACGCCATTCTCCTGCCTCAGCCTCCCAAGTAGCTGGGACTACAGGCGCCCGCCACCTCGCCCGGCTATTATTTTGTATTTTTAGTAGAGAGGTGGGTTTCACCGTGTTATCCAGGATGGTCTCAATCTCCTGACCTCATGATCCGACCGCTTCGGCCTCCCAAAGTGCTGGGATTACAGGCGTGAGCCACCACGCCCAGCCAGTTTCAATATTTTAATGCTCCTTGCATACAAAAAATTATTTTATAACTTTCCATTTAAAAAGTCAATTATAGAACATCTGCTTCTGGGAAGATGGAGTAGATGTACTTTTCCCTATTCTTCCTGCTATGTACAACTAAAACCCTGGTCATCACATATAAGGCAAACAAAAGGCTGGGCGCGGTGGCTCACGCCTGTAATCCCAGCAGTTTGGGAGGCCAAGGCGGGTGAATCACCTGAGGTCAGGAGTTCGAGACCAGTCTGGCCAACACGGTGAAACTCCATCTCTACCAAAAAAAATAAACAACCCAAAAATTATCTGGGCGTGGTGGTGGGCGCCTATAATCCCAGCTACTCAGGAGGCCGAGGCAGGAGAATCACTTGAACCCAGGAGGCAGAGGTTGCAGAGAGCCGAGATTGCACCATTGTACTCCAGCCTGGGTGACAAGAGTGAAACTCCGTCTCAAAAAAAAAAAAAGACAAACATAAGACAATTCTGAATGCAGAGAGAAGAAGGCAGACAAGCTAGAAAAGTTGGGACCCCAGGAATGGCATATTGGTGAGCTTCTTGGGTATTCTGTATTCTTTTTGCCTCATACATCCCAAACTTGTAGGCGAAGAAGCCAGCACTCTGGAAATACCAACAGGGGTGGAGCAGGGTAAAAAAAAAACAAAAGCCCCAAGAAAAGCCTCCTCTCACTACCAAAGGACAAGCTGATGGGAAGCTTGGCAAGAAAAACACTTTTAGACAATAACCTCACTATTCTAAACACCACAGAGAACAAGGCATCTGTACATCTGAATGTTTGTGCCCGCTGCCCCCTAAGTTTATATGTTGAAGTCCTAACCCCTAAGGGAATGGTATTAGGAGGTGGTGCCTTTGGGAAGTGACTAGGTCATGCCGGTGGAGCCCTCATGAATGGAATTAGTGTTCTTATAAAAGAGGCCCAAGAGAGGCTGCTCGCCCCTTCCATCACGTGAGGACAGAGAGAGGAAGTGCCGTCTGAGGTGGCGCGCCCTCACCAGACACCCAATCTGCTGGGGCCTTGATCTTGGACTTCCCAGCTTTCAGAACTGTGAGAAATACATTTCTGTTTTTATAAGCTACTCAGTTTATGGTATTTTGTTACAGCAGCCCAAATGAACTAAGTCAGCCCCTCAACTCCCCTGTTGGGACTATCAGGGAAGGCTAAGCAGGGAGCCAGTGGCAAGGTGTCCTCCTCCCCATGGTGTCAACGGAGACCACACAGAGAGGCTAGACTTCTACCTTTGATGCAGAAAAGTTTTAAATTTTGATGAAGTCTAATCTATCTATTGTTTTGTTGTTTATGCTTTTGGTGTCATATTTTGTGACAATAGCATCATGGGTGGGGGAGAGAGATGGAGCTATATAGGTGCGACATTTCATGTACTACTAAAATTAAGTTGGTGTTAATCTGAACTAGATTGTTATAAATTAAGGTGTTAATTGTCATCCTCAGCACAATCACTAAGAAGATAACTCAAAATATATAGTGGAAGAAATGACAAGGGAATTAAAATGGTACACTACAAAATATATCTATTTAACACAAAAGAAGCCACCAATGAAGGAACTGAACTAAAAGAGACAAAAACTTGCTTGATCTAAAATATCACCTTTATTTTCTTCTAAGATTTTTATTTCTTCTAAGAATTTTAGCTCTTACATTTAGCTCTCCGATCCATTTTGAGTTAATTTTTATGCATGGTGTGAGGTGGGAATCCAATTTCATTCACTCTTGTACATGTGGATATCCAGTTATTCCTGTGCTATTTGTTGAAAAGACTATTCTTTCTCCATTGAATGGTCTTAGCATCTTTGTTGAAATCAACTGACCATAGATGTATGGGTTAATTTCTGGACTCTGAATTCTATCCCATTGATTTATTTGTCTGTCTTTATGCCAGTACCATATTGTCTTGACTACTATAGTTTTGTAGTAAGTTTTGAAATCAGAAGTATGAGTTCTTCAACATTGTTCTTCTTCCTCCAAGATTGTTTTGGCTATTTTGGGTCCCCTGGACTTCCATATGGATTTTAGGATCAGTTTGTCTCGAGGTAGTTCCTATAATTTCCCTTGTGATTTTTTTCATTGACTTGTTGGTTATTTAGGAGCGTGTTGTTAAATTTATACATGTTTGTGAATTTCCCACTTTGTTTTTGTGAATTTCCTTTTGTGATTGATTTTTAATTTCATTCCATTGTGATCAGAAAACATACTTTGTATAATTTCAATATTTTAAATAATGAGACTTGTTTTCTGTCCTAATATATGCTCTATCCCAGAAAATGTTCATGTGCACTTAAGAAGAATTTGTATTTTGCTTTTGTTGAGTGGAATATTCTATAGATTTCTGTCAGGTCTAGTTGCTTTACAGTGTTGTTCAAGTCTTCTATTTCCTTGCTGATCTTCTAATTGTTCTATCCATTAGTAAAAGTGGGGTATACGCTATTCAAGTCTTTGGCTATTATCGTGTATTTCTTCCTTTGATTCTGTCAGTTTTTGCTTCCTGTATTTTGGGGCTGTGTAGGTGCATTTATTTTACAATTGTTACATCTTCTTGATGAATTTACCCCTTCATCATAATATAATGTCCTTCTTTGTACCTTGTAACAATTTTATCTTCAAGTCTATTTTGTTTAATATTAGTATAGTTACTCCAGCTCTCCTTTGGTTATTTACATGAAATATCTTTTTCTTTTTTCTTTTTTACTTTCAATCTATTTGTGTCTTTGAATTTAAAGGGAATCTTTTGTAGATAGCACATACTTGAATGTTTTAAAATATATATTCTGCCAATCTCTGCCTTTTACTTGGAGAGTTTAATCTACTTACATTTAATAATAATTAGTAATAAGAAAGGACTTCTGTCATTTTGCCATTTGTTTTCTGTAGTCTCTTTTTTTCCTCAATTCCTCCATTACTGCCCTCTTTTGTGGTAAATAGATATGTTTTCTAGTGTGCCATTTTAATTCCCTTGTCATTTATTTTACTGTGTATTTAAGAGTTATTTTCTTAATGGCTGTGCTGATTATAATTAACACCTTAATTTATAACAATCTAGTTCAGATTAATAGCAACTTAATTTTAGTGTTATACAAAACTTTGCTCCTATATAGTTCCCATCTCTCTCCCCCACCCATTATGCTATTATTGTCACAGATTTCTTAATTCCTTTTAAAACTTAATCATCCAATATGGGTAGACAGAATTCTGCCTTCCTTTCATTTGGAAATTATATCTAACTGGAGCCTCCATGTCTCTCTTTTCCTTCCCAATCAATAAAAGGAACTCAGTTTATGTTTCCTGAATAAGTGACTTAATCTAAGCACAAATAAATGGCAATAATTGAGAGAGTGCTCAGAAAAAGGTGGAATGTCAAAGGAGGAATTTACTCTGGGCACAAGACCTGAACTACTTGGCTTAATATTATGTGGCAAAGGCAGTATGGAAGGACTATAGCTAAAATTTAGGCTCTCAGACTTCCAGCCTGAGGTTTTTTTACATGCCTGGCCTCCTCTTCCAACCTTCACATGGCACCTGGCCTGAGGCAGAGCATACCCAACCCCCTCAACCCATTTGTGGCCTGAAGAGGACTGCAGAAGGCAACCTACAACGTACAGTATCTTGTGGAAACTAAGAGGACATCGTAATCCTAAGGAACTGCTCCAGCACAATAAGTGTGTGGAGTGTGGTTATTCAGAGGTTAGGTTCTAGAGTCAGGCAGACCTCACCTTGAATCCAGCCTCTGTCCTTCATGACACTGTGACTCGGACATATCTTTGGGCATTTGTTTCCTCAACTGTAAAATGGAGTTATTAACGGTACTTACTCCTCAGGGCAGCTGCAAGAATGAAACAAGATAAACCCATGGAAGTAACAAAGCACGATTCCTAGCACAAGTCAGAGGGTTTACGGATACAGATTTCTTTACTATGGGGCTTCTCAGAGCCTTCAATAAATATTAGCTATCATAGTTAGAGTCATCCATCATTAACAATAGGGCATCGTGAGAACTTCCTACGTGTTAGGCACATGCCAGTGGGAGGTGATCGGGTTTACTAGAGAGAGCTCAGCCTTTGGAAACTGACAGACTAGCCTTGTTGTAAAGATTAGAGATGATGACGACAATGATAATCATAAACTAACATTTATCAAGCACTTACTATGTGCCAAGTATTACTCTAAGTACTTTAAACGTATTAACTCATTTAATCCTCATAACAACCTTTTAAGGCAGGTACTATTATCATCTAATTTTACAGTGAGGAAGCTGAGGCACAGAGGATAAGAGATAGCTAGTAAGTGGCTGAAGAAGGATGGGAACCCAGGTAGTCTGACCCCAGAGCCCATGCTCAGAATTATTATGTCAAACTATATAATATATAAAGCTCTATAACAGGCCTGGAACAGGGTAGGTATTGAATAAATAGTAGCTATTATTAGGAGTTGGGGAATTGGTTCTTGACCCAGTGACTCCCAGGCTAGTGCAGAATACAGACACTAAAAATATTACAATCTGGCCGGGCGCGATGGCTCACACCTGTAATCCCAGCACTTTGGGAGGTTGAGGCGGGCAGATCACCTGAGGTTGGGAGTTCGAGACCAGCCTGACAAACATGGAGAAACCCTGTCTCTACTAGAAATACAAAATTAGCCGGGCATGGTGGCACACGCCTGTAATTCCAGCTACTCGGGAGGCTGAGGCAGGAGAATCACTAACCCGGAAGGCGGAGACTGCAGTGAGCCGAGGTTGTGCCATTGCCCTCCAGCCTAGGCAACAAGAGCGAAACTCCATCTCAAAAATATATATATATAATCTATTAGAGATGGGCACAAGAAGTACAGAGAAGGGAGGAATGGCACTCCAGTCACTTGTTCCTTCAGTGCCTAGTTTGTGCCATGCCCTGTCCTTGTCCTCACATAACATACATTGAACTGACTACGTAATCACATTGTGGTTAGGGCTACACAGGAAAGGCACAGGGTACTCTACGTGACAGGGACCTGATCTAGTGTGTGTGTTGTGGGGTGGTCAAGGAAGACATCTCTGAAGAATGATTTCTGAAGGGAGGGCTGAAGACCTGGAGTGGTGGGGGTGGGGTGCAGAAAGCTGTTCCACAACGCATAGGAAGCTCCGGGGGTGGGAACCAGCAAGTACTTTTGAGGAAGAGAAAGATGGCTGGTGTAAGGGAAAAAGACTCAGGGAAAAATGGGATCGGGGAACTGACTAAAGGCAACCCCCTTTAATTCAGTTTTAAAAGGGGTCCAGGGAAGATGGAAAGAAACCAGAGAAGCCCTATTCCAAGACATTGGACCTGGCCTTGGAGATGACAGGGAGGCTCTGAGTGATGTTATTAGGACTATGTTTCTAAAAGAGAAATTATTTCACTTGAACACTTAAAGGTCATAAAATAAATTTTAAAAAGATAGAAATCAGGGTTGCAAGGACCAGAAGGCCATCTTCTTTGGACTGGGGCCAGAGATTTTCTTCCACAAGGTGATACTGACAGTCTTAGGGGACTTGATCACCTATCTTCATGTCCTTCCATGTTCTTTGCCAGCTTTTCGTATGTTCCGCTTTCTCATTTCACCTTTCACGGCAGTTTTTTCCCGTTTGATCAAAGAAAGGCTTGTCCTTCATTTACCTTAGAATCTTACTCTGGTACATTGCCAAGTTGTAAAACCACCAGGAAATCAAGGGGAATTCTGAAATTTTGTTTCCCACTTTTTTTAGTGATAATCAAGATGCTGTAACGCCCATCCCAAGAATGACTTTTCTTCCCTCTGTCATCCATATTCCTGTTAAGGCATGACACTGGAATGGGATAGTTTGGCCCTTGTTGGAATATTCCTAAGCCAGAGTCTGGTTTGACTGATGTTTGGAAAATAAGGACTAGCTTTGTTAATTAGGTTATATTCCAGATCTGTTACACAGATTGAATGAGCTAAATTTCCTGCTCTAAGCTTTGACAAAAATATATTCAAAGCTTGTTCTAAAATAAAATCATTTATACTTGAACTATATGTACAAATACTTATACATTATACTACATAATAAATGTAAAAATATATGTGCATTAAAGTACAGCATAAGCAAAGGAATAGTAAAAATAATATTTCAATTTCCCTGACCCTTTCTAGATATATCAGGTTAACACAAGGTGCCTTTAGGTGAAAAAAGTTACAGGCATAATCGACAATGCCCTTTTGGTAAACGTCACAGAAATTGTGAAAGCAAAACAAATCTTGTTGTTGTAATTAGGAGTGTCCAGTACTTTGCTTTGAACAAAAATGAAGGTGGCTCTGATTGTATCGTTAGCTGATGAAAATAGTTTATCATGATGTGACTTTTAGCATGTAACTTGGAAGGAGTTTAAAGAATTTAGTGATACTGGAGCCTAGCACGGTGGTTCATGCCTGTAATCTCAGCACTTTGGGAGGCCAAGGCGGGTGGATCACTTGAGGTCAGGAGTTCAGGAACAGCCTGGCCAACACGGTGAAACCCCATCTCTACCAAAAATACAAAAATTAGCCAGGTGTGGTGGCTGGCACCTGTAATCCTAGCTATTTGGAGGCTGAGGCAGGAGAATCACTTGAACCTGGGAGGTGGAGGTTGCAATGAGCTGAGATCGCGCCATTGCACTCCTGCACTCCAGCCTGGGCAACAAGAGTGAGACTCTGTCTCAAAAAAAAGGAAAAAAAAAAAAAAGAATTTAGTGATACTGCTATACCAACAGTCCTTCCATTCCAGGTACTTATACTAATGTGAATAAAGTTCTTAGCACTTTAGCTATGGGAAACAAAACTTGCAGTAGAATAGATGCTAAACTCTACCTCATTCTAGCAATCAGTAATATTTATCTTGAATACAGAAATTAATTTTTAAAGAAAGTCTTATTCTTCTCATTCAGATATTCATTTCTAATACTTTTTTTGCTTAATAATCATTGTAAAATTTTACACTGCATTAACAGCTTTCAGTCAATCATACCAATAAATAAACTCTTCTGAACCTCATATCCAAGGAAATTTTAATAAATGAAATTTGATTACCTATTCTACATCTTTTCTTATAGAGAAGTATGAAAAAATTTTCACTGGGAGGCCATCAGGCTGAGACAGCTGTAGGGCCTTGGGTTCCTATGTAAGCAAACTGAATTGCAATGTAACCAGTAAAATGATACTTAAGCACAACCAATCAAAGCATCAACTAACCTCTAACTAGGGACTTTCCTCCAATCAGACCCAAATAAAGCAAGCACCTATCTGTAGCCAATCAAGCCATTTCTTTGCTTTGCTTCTGCATTCAACCTATAAAAGTGTGCTGCTCAGGCCACTAAAGCGGAGCTCTCTGAACCTCTTCCGGTTCTGAGTGCCTGCCCAATTTTGGAATAAAATTCTGTGAGGGAAATAGAATGGAAATACAAATTCAAGGAGAAAAGGGAATGATGTAAAATTTTCAACACATAAAGAACAGCTTATATATTTTTCAGAAGGCTGATAGTGGGTACTGAATGGTCTTTATACCAAGGGCTTCAGTTAACAGTATCTAACAGTACTCAATACTGTTAGATAAATAAAAAATGCCAAGTTTAAATTTGCCAGAAATGGTTCAATACATTCTCCTGCCTCGGCCTCCTGAGTAGCTGGGACTACAGGCATGTGCCACCATGCCCAGCTAATTTTTTTGCATTTTTAGTAGAGACGGGGTTTCTCCATGTTGGCCAGGCTGGTCTCAAACTCCTGACCTCAGGTGATCTGCCCACCTCGGCCTTCCAAAGTGCTGGGATTACAGGGGTGAGCCACCATGCCCGGCCAATATTCAACCATTTTTGATGCATAAAGATGGTAGTTTCATATGGTTCCACCTATAACTGGTAGCTGCTATTTTATTTTTACCGCAAGAGACCAAGATGAGATGGCCTCAGATGAGTGGTTGACTAAATCCACGAGGATTTAGTCTGTCTTCACAGACTAGCCTGAGAATGTGTTAACTCACTACCATGGAAGTGCAGAGCTGCAGAAGGGCAGAGGGAGGCCACTGTGGCCACAGAGACAAGTCAGGGAGTGTGGCAGGGAAGGGTGGGACCCAGAAGTGAAAACTATAAACCTCACAAGGATGAACCCACCTAGGCAGCAAAAACATTGGAGGCCAAAAGGTTATGTATGGGCCAAGGGAAGACTTCCCCATTGCCCTTGGAAGGTTCGCTGAAAATCAACTGATGAAAGGCAGATTAATAGGAGAAAAGGCGTACAAATTTATCTCATCATCATTTTATGTGACATGGGAGCCTTCAGAGAGAAGACCCAAAGACACAGGAGAAACTGTCATTTTTAGGCTTAGGTTCAACAAAGTATGGACGACTGTGTAGAAATATGATTGGACAAAGGGGCCTGATCTAATGCTGATTGACTGAGTGGGGAACCCAGCCAGGTCTGTCTGTTGAGATTCTTCTCAGCCTCTCTGGGCAGCATTCCTTCCTTACATGAGTCAGGACCCTCTCTGGAATGGGGGTCTTCTGACCTATGATCAAACAAAGGTCTGATAATTTCCTTATGGCCAATTTTTACAAAAAAAAGTGGAAGAAAATTAGAGTAATATTTTAGGTTTTATAGCTGGCTTTGGGGAAAGGTTCTGGTGTCTCTCTCTCTCTCTCTCTCTCTCTCTCTCTCTCTCTCTCTCTCTTTCTTTTTGAGACAGGGTCTCGCTCTGTCAGCCAGGCTGGAATGAGGCTGGAATGCAGTGACGTGATCTCAGCTCACTGCAACCTCCATCTCTGGCTATCAAGCCATACTCCCACCTCAGCCTCCTGAGTAGCTGGGACTACAGGTGCATGCCATTGCACCCAGCTAATTTTTGTATTTTTAGTAGAGACGGTGTTTCACCATGTTGCCCAGGCTGGTCTCGAACTCCTGGGCTCAAAGGCTGCCTCGGCCTTCCAGAGTTCTGGGATTACAAGCATGAGCCACCTCAGTGCCTGCAGGGGTTGTGGTTTCTATGACCTGCCCTGGGGAAGAGGGATTGTAGATTCTATGGCTAGCCTGGTGGAGAAGCGGGGCCAGAGAAAGGAGAGCAAGAAAAGGTCAGAGAGGAACTTTTGCTTCTGAGGCTTTCTTTTTCAGGTATGGTTTTCTGATCCCCGATAGTTACTATGATAATAAAGGCTGGTATTGATGGAGCACATGGTGTGCTAAGCCCTTTCTGTGCACCCTTCTCTTAGGGCCACAAACAACACTATGAGATGGGTGTTACTATGAGTCCTATTTTTAGCATCTAAGCCTGACTTCCAGCCTCTTGATGATAATTACTCCTCCAGACTGTCTCCATTGTGTTCTGTGAAGTGTCCTTCAAAGGTGGCACAATCAATTAGGAAAAAAAAATAACCTTATCAGTGCCACATTTCCACTAAGGACACAGATGGCTGAGGTTTCTTTTAAAAGCCATTTCCATAACATATGAATGTCCACATGTAATAACCAGTTACAGACAGACATGATTAGCAATAGCATAATATAACTCCACCTAAGCATTTCAAAGGGCTTCATCAACATTAATTATGCCCCCAAACCCTTGTGAAGTGATGACGGGTCCAATTTTATGAGCATTCAAAGACAGGCCAAGAAGTTGCCACCAGCCCTGGGCTACACTGCTTGTACACACACCTACGAGGCACCCTGCAGTGCCTGGCATAGGGCAATGGGGAGGCAAGGATGACTCCTGCCAGCAAGCTCTTCCTCCAACCCTCAGGTTGGAAACCATAAATGCGGGTGCCCAGTTCTGCTGCAGGGAGGGAATGGGTAGTGCCTGGCCAGCTCCCACCTCTGGACCCCGCTGGCAGCCTTCTCTACCTA
Organism: Homo sapiens; assembly: GCF_000001405.40. Lineage (NCBI taxonomy): Eukaryota > Metazoa > Chordata > Mammalia > Primates > Hominidae > Homo > Homo sapiens. Next base: position 24,427,092 of record NC_000001.11, on the reverse strand, counting down.
TTCTGCTCCTCTTTTTCCTGAGGAACCACCTTGTATGTCTTCACTGGGGTTATTTTAGGGGTGGAGCATTCACAAGTACACGTGCATGGTTAACACAGAACAGGGATATTCCACCTTGCAATCAGTGACTTTGTCCCTTAAGCAAAGACACGGTGCAAACTGGAACATATGGTTCCCAGCTGACAGGCAGGGGTGAGAACTGTCTTGGGTGGCTCCAGGCTTGGGCACTGCCAGATCAGGTTGATTCTTCTGAGGCAACACCCAATCAGGTTCCCAACTTTTCTCGAGTTGACAAGGCAGAGTAGAATTGACACTGTCCATTGAGGTGGAAGAGAGGGGAGAAGGCAGGCAAATATCTCAGGAGCTGCTCCCAGTGGAGATGTGTTACCCAAGAAAGCCCAAGACTTGGCCAAAGTCACGGAATAAGCGACTGTCAGGGTCTCCCCACACCGCTCTGGTTCCAGTATTTTATGGGTGAGGAAGTATGAGGCCTCCCAACTACCAGGAGCCTTATATTTAGGATAACTGTACACCTTCCAAATAGGAAGACTCCTCAGATCACCTGAAGTCAGCAGTTCAAGATCAGCCTGGTCAACATGGTGAAACCCTGTCTCTACTAACAATACAAAAATTAGCTGGAGGTGGTGGCACACGCCTGTAATCCCAGCTACCCGGGAGGCTGAGGCATGAGAATCACTTGATCCCAGAAGGTAGAGGTTGCAGTGAGCCAAGATCACGCCACTGCATTCCAGCCTGGGCGACGGACTGAAACTGTATCTCAAAGGAAAAAAAAAAAAAGGAAGACTCTTGAGAATGAAAGGGGGCTCTATTAACATACACAGGCATAAGGCACAAACCGGGACCACGGTCACTCTACCCATGCTGCAGTCTCTCAATGGAGTGTTACTGGCGAAAGAAGTGAGGTGAAGGCAAAGCTACTCACCCCAACTACGCTACCCATTGACTGTGTGGCCATGGGCAAGTTAATTAACCTCTCTGCGCCAGTTTCGTCACAGGTAAAATGGGGTTATAACCGTACCTATCTCATGAGAGCTTTTGTGAGGATTAGCACAGTTCCTGTTCTATAAGTAAATAATGTTAGTTGCTTTTATGATGATGATTACAATAATCATTGTTAATTGGCTATGAAAGGGTGGCTAAAGGACCTATATTTTATTGCCAGGAAGACTGACAAAGGCTTCATGGATGAAAAGGTGACACTTGCGCTGGAAGGCTGGGTAGGATTTCCGAAGGCAGAAGCAGGGGGTGGTGCAGGCAGCTTCGGTTTGCTTATCTGTAAATTCCGGTCATTCTCATAACTACCCTATAGGATGGGTATAAGACTTACCCACAGAGGCATTACATGATTTTCCCCAAGTTATAATGCTAGAAAATAACAGAGCTGGTGCAGAGAGCTATAATCACTATGCACTCAGCCTGGGCCACACAGGAGACTCTGTCTCCTAAAAAGATAAGAAGAAAGGTAATAGGGCCAGGGATTGGAGCCAAGTCTCTGATTCCAAAGGTCATGCTCTTAACACTCTGTTGTATCTCTATTTTTGTGTCGAATTCTGTCTTGAGGGGTAAACACTTGTGAAAATGTATCTTCCCCACCTCCCTCCTAGACTGTAACCAGGGAAGATCTGTCTTGATGATTTATATTGGGGTGTTCAATCTTTTGGCTTCCCTGGGCCACATTGGAAGAAGAATTGTCTTGGGTAACACATAAAATATGCTAACACTAATGATAGCCACTGATGAGCTTAAAAAAAATCGCAAAAAAAATCTCATAATGTTTTAAGAAAGTTTATAAATTTGTGTTGGGCTGCATTCAAAGCTGTCCTGGGCTGTGGGTTGGACAAGCTTGATCTATATAGCTCCCGCCCCACCCAGCACAAGCTGGAGAGAGTAGGTGCTCAGATGAAATGTCTACTCACTCAACAGAAGAATTGAGACCTGACTTTTCCCAGCTGAGGTAAAGCTTCCACAGTGTCAATGTCCTGCTGGGAGCTGCTTCCTGGGCAGCTCAGCCTGGGGGGCTTCCTGTAGCAAAGTGCCCTCCCCAGCAACCAAAATTTATACGCTGATGGGCAGGGCAGAGGGCAGGGCTGAAACTCAAAGGCAGACAGCTTGCTCCTAACTTCATCCCACCCATCAAGCTGGACTTAAGAGTCTCTCAATATTTTCCTCCTCCCAAAGGTAAGAGATGAGTTGCGAGCAGCCTGCCCAGCCCACATGACCACTTTTCTGAGACCTGCCCATAATGGTAGAGCCTCAGAAACCATGTCTGCCAGGTGGCATCAGCTGGGTGGCACTCCCTGGCCATCACCGACTGGACCAGGTAGACACCTTACCCAAGCTGGCCACTCAGGTCTTCCCTCTTTTAAAGGGGAGGTATGAGTTCTAGAACCTTCCAAGCCCCATTGCCTTTCCTGCCACTGGATTTCATGAGCTACCCTGTAGCCTTATAATAATTTCCCTTTTTGCCTCAGCTTCTCTGAAATGGGTTTTTACTCCTTGCAATCAAAATAGCCTTAACAAAATCGAGAAAGGAGATGGCTTTCCCTCAAAACCCCTCTCCCCATCCCCACGCAGAATTAACCACACCGTCCCCTCTACTCTGTGTACCTTCATCTGTTCCTCTTGGAAACCCCGTGGCATTTCTGAGTCACATATTTCCAGCATGCCTAGTGCATGGTCAGACACTGTGTTAGGTGCTTTTTCATTGATCCACACAGCCGTTGGGAGGGAAGGATGAAAACCAACATTCTACAGATAAGGCAACAGGAGCTCTGCAGGGTTGTACCATACACCCAAGGTCACTTAGCTAAGAAGGAACACTGGGGATTTGGACCCAGGTCCTCTTCTCTTTACCCCACCCAGTACTTCAGTCAACTCAATCATCATCACAACCATGCCTGTCCCTCACCTCAATTCATACATCCTTGGTAGAGTCACCATGAATTCAGCTTTGCTCTGGCATGAAGATATTCCATACTAGGCAACTGAATTGAATTTGTGATTAAAATGGAAACTTACTAGAAATCTCATCAGGGAGAGTGCTCTGAGTTTTCTTAGATTCTTATATTTGTCCATTTGGCATTCATTCATCACAGGGCCAATTGTATTAACTGATTTTTTATATTCTAAGGAGCATGCCTTTCATATGCTAACTAACCAATCCAGAGCTGCAAACATCTCCTTTATTAAATAAACTCTCACACCCCAGATCAATATTTTCCCTGCTCTAAATCAACCCAGGGCTACGTACCAGACAACCCAGAGTTCTTCAAATCAGCCAGTCCTAAACTGTTCGCCATCTTGCCATGCCTTTCCCACAGAAAAACACAATAAAGGCTCTGATCTAAGCTTTCCCCACATGCCCTCTGCTTCTAACCAACTGACCTTGGTGTGTCCCGTGTGGCCCTCTGCAGCATGATATGCCTTTTTTGTGTGTGTGTGTGAGGCGGAGTCTCGATCTGTCCCCCAGGCTGGAGTGCAGTGGTGCGATCTCGGCTCACTGCAAGCTCTGCCTCCCGGGTTCACGCCATTCTCCTGCCTCAGCCTCCCCAGTAGCTGGGACTATAGGCACCCGCCACCGCACCCGGCTAATTTTTTTGTATTTTTGAGTAGAGATGGGGTTTCACCGTGGTCTCGATCTCCTGACCTCGTGATCCCCCTGCCTCGGCCTCCCAAAGTGCTGGGATTACAGGCGTGAGTGCCTCCTTCTTTTAGGAAATGTAAGCAACAAAAATCTTCTTCAATGGCATTAGCCATCCATGGAGTTACTCTGTCATCTCCATAAATTAAGGCCCAGGGAAAACTCAAGAGAACAGCTTCTATCATTACATTAGAAATGGTGTAGACTCTGAATATCGAAAGCAGAATGGAATGTTCTGGTTCCTTCACAGAATGAAAGCACTCAGCACCTTCAATATGTAAGGCAGTATTCACTCAAGCTGACCAGTAGCTCCTGAATTTCCTCTGAAGTCAAGACTGTGCCACCATCAATGTGTTTTCTGACTTGAAGAGAGGGTGATTACCCCTGCGGGGAGGGGAGTGACTAGCAGGGGCACAAGGAGACTTTTGGGTACTAGTAATGTTCTGTTTCTTGATTAGGGCGTCAGTAACATGTATGCACCCTCTTCATTAAAATTTAACATCTAGAGCTTATGATTTGTATATTTTTCTGTATGCATACCATATGTCAATAAAAAGGCTAGATAGGAAAAGTGTTTTCTGATTTGAAACCCTGTTCCATTTTGAATAATGCTCTGTGAAGCACGTGGACACCTCCAAGGATGCGAACAGTAACACTGCCTACTTGAGAAGAGTGTTTTGCTCACTTTGAATATCAGTGCTGCTAAGACGTGGTGGCCTGAGATCTTGATTTCTCAGGATGATGGAGTTGGTGTGGGAAGGAGCTTAGCAGATCATGTGGTCCAGAAATTCCCACACCTGGCTGATTATCTGATTTACCTGAAGAGGTTTTACAAAATGCACGTTCTGGGTTTCTAGCCTAGCTATGCAAAACCACAATTTGCAGGGGAGTAGAGACGAGGGGGTAAAAGGGTGAAGGCAGGGAGAGATGAGTCTGAGGCCTAGAAATCTGCATGTTTTAGAGCTCCCCAGGTATTTCAGGTGGTTAGGCAGGATTGGGGACCATCTATGAACTCTACCTCTTCATTTTACAGAGACAGAAACTGAGGCATAGAGAAGGGATGACACTTGCCCAAGATCACACACCCAGAGATGACAGAGCTGGCCCAAGAACTCAGGTCTCCCAGTTCTCAGTCTGATACCCTTCCCAACAGAGCCCTAGATGAATACAGTAGCTGCATAGGAAGGGGAAACAACAGGCTTTCATGGAAAGAAGACCAAGGAGCGAGATGCCAATGCTGAAACAATCATGCCATCTTGGCTCTGAAACTGGTTTGCTTGGTGAGGCAGAGTCCACTGAGAATGTCAGAGTCAATCTTCGCTCTAGAATGAGTCTAATTCCAGACAAATGTTCATAATTTCCATACATATTCCATCTGGCTGGTCAGAAGGAATTAAAATGACAAAAGCCTTTAATGACCTGCAGAGTCCCCTCCTTGGGCATGCTGGGATGCGGTGGCAGCAGCAGGAGTCAGGACACCGGAGAGTCAGAGCAGCGCCGCAGTTAGGAGCATGGGTTCTGCAGCTGGTCTGACCCGGGTTTAAATTCTGGTTGCACAACTTACTAGTTGTGCCAGTCAGGGCCATTACTGAACTTCTCTGTCTCAGTCTCCTTGTCTCTAAAGTGGGGATAAAGATGGTAACAGCTAGCACTTGACAAACACTGGCCATTATGTGTGGGTCATTGCCTAAGGGCTTCACATGAATAAATTCATTTCATCCTCACCACCACCAGGAGGCAGTTACTATTCCACAGAGGAGGAAACCTGGACCTACTGTGTAGTGCTAGTGTGAAGATTACTCAAGGAAAGGCATGTGACGAACTCAGCACAGTACCTGGGATAGAATAAATGCTCAATAAATATTAGTCACTGTTATTATGATCATCATTATTATCTAAAATTAACAATAGTTCTAGCTCTTCCTCTCAACTTGCTATAGGATCTTAAGAATGTCGCTTCTCACCTCCCAGCCTCACTGTTCCAGTCCATCAAATGAGAGGTTTGATGAGATGATCTCTAAAGTCTCCTTTAGCTCTACGGTATTAGCAGTCACTGATCTTTTTTTCTTTCTTTTTTTTTGAGGTGGGGTCTCACTCTCTCACCCAGGCTGGAGTGCAGTGGTGCAATCTTGGCTCACTGCAATCTCTTCCTCCCTGGCTCAAATGATCTTCCCAAGTAGCTGGGACCACAGGTGGTCCTACCACACCTGGCTAATTTTTTGTATTTTTTGTGTGGTAGGTGCCCTACCACACCTGGCTAATTTTTTGTATTTTTGGTAGAGACAGGGTTTCATCATGTTTGCCCGGGCTGGTCTTGAACTCCAGAGGTCAAGCCATCCACCCGTCTTGGCTTCCCAAAGTGTTGAAGTTACAGGCATGAACCACCACACCTGGCCTCTCTGATCTTTAAAAAAATAATTTTCAATAAATCCCAGTAATCAGATGCTGCACTGATAGGTATTTAGGAACACTTAAATTTGTCATTAAAATCCCCTTGTTAAAAAAGGTGCATTCCCTTTGACCTATTCGTTGTACCTATATGACTATATCTAAGGAAAGGATCAGAGATCAGCACAGAGATTTACACTCCAGGATGTTCATGGTTTACAGCCACTCCAGATTAGAGACAGCCTGAATATCCAGCAATGAGGATCTGTTGAGCAAATTTTGACACAGCAGCTCAACGGATTATTGGGCAATCATTCGAAAAGTATGCTTTCAGTCACTACTTGATGACATGGGGAAATATTCCACAAGTAAGGTCAAGTTAAACAACCAAGATACAAAACTTTATGTGCAATGTGACCCCAAATTTATAATACTAGAAAAAAACAAGGAGATATACTGAAATCCGAATGAAAATTATCTCCAAGTAATGGAGTAGGTGATATACATACATACCTATATATATATATACTTTTTTTTTGGCATCAGGGTCTTGCTCTGTCACCCAGGCTAGAGTGCAGTGGTGCAATCATAGCTCACAGCACCCTCAAACTACTCTTAGGCTCAAGCAATCCTCCCGTCTCAGCCTCCTGAGTAGTTAGGACTACAGGCACATGCCACCACACCTGGCTAATTTTCAATTGTTTTGTACAGGCGGGGTATCACTATGTTGCCCAGGCTGGTTTCAAACTTCTGGCCTCAAGAGATCCTCCCGCCTTGGCCTCCCAACGTGCTGGAATTACAGCCATGAGCCACCACAACTGGCCCAGAGTAGGTGATTTTTTAAAAATCAAATCTTCTAAGTGGGAATGCATTCCTTTTATTCTATACCTTTTATGGTGTTTCTCTGCCTCCCTATTTTTATGTATTTTAATGAGCATCTCTTTTTTTTTTTTTTTTCCTTTTGAGACAGAGTCTCACTCTGTCACCAGGCTGGATAACAGCGGCACCATCTCAGCTCACTGCAACCTCCACCTCCTTGGTTCAAGTGATTCTCCTGCCTCAGCTTCCCGAGTAGCTGGGACTACAGGTGGGCACCACCACGCCCAGCCAATCTTTGTGTTTTTAGTAGAGACGGGGTTTCACCATGCTGGCCAGAATGGTCTCAATCTCTTGACCTCGTGACCCGCCCACCTCCCAAAGTGCTGGGATTACAGGTGTGAGCCACCACTCCCGGCCCATCTCTTGTCTTTTGCTTACACATTCCCTTGTCTGTGTGAAGAGCCTGCCTGTTTCTACCAGTGACAGGCATGCAGACCCCATACATATCTGTTAGCCAATGCAGAGCACTGTGTAACTTCCTTGCTAGGAAAATACAAATTCCCAAACCCCAAAAAAGCCCTTGCCTTGTAGGAGAAGGAGGCCTCGCTTACGGCGCTGGAGCTACTTGTGGGAGGCAGCTGCTGCAGCTTCAGGGCTGCGCTGTGGGATCCGTCCATGGTGGTCTAGTGGCGCATCCCACAGGGCCTGGCCTAGGAGGTGGAGCTGCTGCTAGGCGGGGCCCAGGCCAGATGCCATCTCTCCTTGTGGTGTTCACCTCCCTCCAGCAGCCGTCACTTCCTCATGACAAAAGAATACTTCAAGGCTGTTTTGGCAGATTTACAGCCTTCTCCTCAGCTTCACTCAGAGAAGTGCCAATTTCCGTGGCTCTCCCAGGCAGACAGAGAGGGGTGTGTTTTCCAGTTCTTGCGGTGCTCTAGGGTGGTGGAGAGGAACATTAAAAATGCATGGACAAGGAAACACTGAGCCCAGCTTTGTTATCTGAGAAGAGAATACCATTCAGATAAAACGTAACCGGCCATGACAAGTGAGTCCATTAAAAAAATTCTTCAAAATTCAATTCTAGCAGTTAAAAACAAGTCCTATCATGCCTTTGTCCTCCCCTTAATACAAACCTGACTCATCTATCTCAAAAGCTTTCTCCCTGGCCCTTAATGTTCCCTTTCCTCCTCCACTCTGCTTCCTTCCTCCCATCGCACCCTAACTTAAATCCTCCCTTTTTCCATAGCTCTTGAGCACAAGAAGTAGAATACTAACTTCTCCAGGTCTCAAAAAAAAAAAAAAAACAATTCCACTACCACGAAAAGGGAACTATTTAAGTTTCAGCTTAGGAAGAAAAGAATCAGAAGAAAAGCTACATCCATGGAAAACAGAAGAACTGGCCTGCTACCGAGGATTGGCCTGACACAGGTGAGGTGACACTGGTCTCGGAGGTGGAAAACCTGTGTGACCAGGTAACTCTGCCTCTCAGAGATTCAGTTGCCTCCTCTGTAAAGTGGGGGTAATAATGTGGCCTCAAATAAACCCAGCAATGATGAGAATCCCTACTAATTTCATCGGACTTATATTTTCAGTGCTTCCCGAACTTTTCCTTTTTTTGGAGACAGAATCTCACTCTGTCATCCAAGCTGGAGTGCAGTGGCACAAACATGGCCTCAAGCTGGGCTCAAGCAATCCTCCCTCAGCCTCCCAAGTAGCTGGGACCTCAGACGCGTGCCACAAGGCCTGGCTAATTTTTTTGTAGAGACAGGGTTTCGCCATGTTATCAGGCTGGTCTTGAACTCTTAGGCTCAAGCAGTCCACTTGCCTCAGCCTCCCAAAGTGCTAGGATTACAGGTGTGTGCCACTTCTCAAAATTTGCTACCAAACAGAGAAGAGAAAGTATACTTCTAGTGTCCTAGGAGGCATGGCCAAAACCCTGCTTAAAAGTGTTAGGGTTTTCTTTGAGGACTTTTTATACATTTTTTAGAAATGTATTCTACTGCATAGTCTATGTTTATTTTAATAGAAAAATGTTTTAAATTGCTTTTGATGTGCCATGTGCTACCTGTTTTACCTTTGCCAGGTCATTTAACTTTTCAGCCAGTTTCTCCAGCTGTGAAATATAGATAATAATGTTCCCACTCCACATGGCAGTCATGAGAATTTGATGAAATCATACATGTAAAATGCAGGCATAGCAAATGGTCCATGAATGTGAGCTGCTGTTAAGATTAATTTTATTCTCTCCTGTTTAATTATTTATTTTGTCCATTCCTTTCTCTCTCATGCATTCATCCAACAAATATTTACTGAGGGCTCACTGTGAGCTAAACAATTTCTGCCACTCCCTGAGGCTTCAGAGAGCTGCCTCCTGTGTATCCTGTAGCTTCCAGTTCCTTCTGCTATCCGGCCCTAGGCCCAGGAATTCTGGTTCATGGTGTGGACAGCACATACATATGTGATAAGGGGAACACCATGTCCAGTCCTGGGATACAACAAATGCAGGTTTAGCATAGGGACAGCTACAGAAACCATTTGGCTTGGTTTCACTTTGTCAGAGGGCCTCAGGATGAAATTATTGCTACTACCTGCAGACGAGGTTATATATCCAATATACAGACATGAGATGTAAGCATTCACCGGGTAACTTTATCAGGTAATTCACATCCCATAGCTAGACTTCCCTGCCTGTAAAACCCTATGAATATGTGTTTGCAATCTTGTGGAAAGCATAATTGTTCACTATACTTTCACGTACATGTGAAAAGCATTATTGTGTTACATTTCTGTAAAAATGTTTTAGCATTTGTAATAATCATAAGAGCCTTAAGAGTGGCTCAGGGTTCTTTCTACCTCTGAGAGGCCCCGGGAAGCATTCAACCATGAAGCAGTCATGGAGTTGAGGAGCGCAAACTCCAGTGAGGTGTTTGCGGAATACCCTGTTCAGTTGCTCCCAGCTGAGATCTAGCCCAGAGCCTGACAGTGACTTCTATACATACCAACCAACTGACTAAATGAGATCTAGCCCAGAGCCTGACAGTGACTTGTATACATACCAACCGACTGACTAAATGCAGGCTGGTTAAGCACTGGGTGCACTGTGGCCCCTTCGCAGTCAAGAATGCCTTTCTAAGGCCTAATCAACCACAACTCCAGAGCTTCAACAAGCAGATATACTCAGCCCCACCCACAGGAGGTCAGAGAAAGCCAACAGACCTTAGCGACATGTCAATCAAGGGAGTGGTGGGAACCCAGGCCTCCTAACATCCTTCAGAGTAGTTTGCCCAAGTGCTTTTCTGGTTTTGCTTTTGTTTGTGGTGGTTGGCATTGCTGTGGTTTAATTTTTCTTTTAAAAAGCAGCTTCCCTCTCTGCCTCAGGAACTCGCAGGCCTCTGAAGCATCGCCTGCAAAGATTGAAGGCTCTCCCTCAGCTGGGTGGGAGTCCGGACTGAAAGCCTGGAGGAACCCTTTGCAAGCTGTACTCCCTTATAAGACACATACTTTTCACCTGGTGACTCTCTTTTCCTGATTTCGAAGCATTTCTTCAGGACCTACATATGCCCGAGAGGCAAGCAGTCACCTCTGCGTTGTCAACCACCCCACAATTAGAGCACGTGGTCACTGACCCAAGGAAGGAATGAGAATTCACTAGGTGCTCTGCTTCCATTCCCACCCCGTTTATCTCGATGACGGATTTCACCAATCCCACAGAGCACGTTTTACAAATGAGACAGCCGTGGCTCATAGCGTCTGTATTCGAATTTGCCTCTTTCTGAACAAATCAATAAAACACGCTCTTTCCCACCACCCGACGATCTGGCTTCTGGAGGTGAGCGCCAGTTCCCTGCCAAGCTTCCCGTTCCTCGGCTTTGGCTCACGAGAAGGTTACATTCTTCCGTCCCGTCCCACTGAGCTGGAAACTTACAACTCGAGGAGACAGCACCTCTGTTCCAGAAGCGGGCTTAGACCAAGAACGCCTCCCCTCATCCCACCTGCTAACTCCACCATCTGCTGCCGCCAGGAAGCCCGAGCCGCTCGGCACGAAGAGGAGAAATTCTGGCAAAGTTAACTCCATGTCACTTCCTGGTTTGGTAGAGCCTGGCATCACCTTTAGTAAGGTAGCCCATGCCCCCGCTCCTCTTGGCCTCGATGCAAAACTGGAAAGAACATTCCAAGGCAACGGGACCCAGGTTGGCGAGGCTGGTGACAGTAAGAAGGAAGGGTATGTACACTAGGGGACGTTAGGTGACTTCGCTTTTTCCAGAAAAAAACGAAGGTTAAATTCAATTCCCCTTCCTCCCGGTGTTAATCACTACTCACCGGCGGCGTCTCCTCTAAGGCCCACCTATCAAAACCTTCTGAGAAATGACTCGGACTCTTCGTGCAACCCGGAGGCACAGCCTCCTTCATCCCTTCCCAATTCAGAGCTGCCAAGATGCTGCAGTGTTTTGCTTTCAAAGGTCGCGATTTGATTTGCCAGACTGCCTGCCAGTCAGAAGTTGGCAGGCATTTCGCGCAGGCAAGTGGCTGCGAGGACGGGGAGTAGGCGGGACAGCCCCTGGCAATTGGCTGCGCTGCAAAGCTTGCTTGAAGCATAAGGGAGCGACCTGGGGCTAGAGCTTGGCGCTCACCTGGAGCGGGGACCCCCTAGCGGCCACAGGAAGAATGGTGCGGCGACTCCCCTGCCCCCTCTCCCGCTGTCCCAGAGAGCTTAGGTGGTTGCTCGCCTCCACCTGCCCGGCAGGTGGGCCTGGTTTTAGCAGCCTGCCAGGTGTCCTCCCTTCTTATCCTCATAGCCACCTTCCGGGCTTTGCTCCTGCTGTTCCCCTACCCGACGCTCTCACCAAGTATTCAAATCCAAAACGTCCTTGAAGACCCAGCGCTCCCCAGAGCCCTCGCGAGACTTGGGACCAAACATATCTCTCCTTTCCTGCCCTCCTGGAACACCTGTCGGATACCAAGCCTCCCAGCAATACTGAAGGTCCTGAAACGAGCCCAGCGCTTGGTTAATGTTTCTATAATGTACATAATTATCACGGCCATGATAATTAACATGCGCATGGAGTTTTACAGATGACAAGCTTCTCATCGCTCACACGTTGTCATATACACGCATTTGCTTTCAGATCGTCACAGCCATGAGTGAGACTTGAAGCCCGTTTTACGTATGAAGAAATGTCATTTGGGCCTAGACATCAACAATGAGAAAGAGGCAGTTCTAGTCTCAGATCGTGGGGCAGAGAAAGCTCCTTGGGAACATGGGAGAGGAACGAGTTGGTGCATTGTAGAAACTGCCCGAAGGCCAGCAGGGCTGGTGAGAGATTTTTCTGGGGGCGTGGTTGGGCCTGCGATCTGAGGGACGGGCCAGGGACAGTTTATAAATAACATATTTGGGGGCCGGCGCGGTGGCTCACACCTGTAATCTCAGGACTTTGGGAGGCCAGGAGGATCACTTAAGCCCAGGAGTTTGAGACCAGCCTGGACAATATAGTGGGACCCCATCTCTACAAAAAAATTTAAAAATTAGCCGGGCGTGGTGGCGAGCGCCCGTGGTCCCAGCTACTCAGGAGGCTGAGGCGGGAGGATCGCTTGAACTCGGGAGGCGGAGGTTGCAGCGAGTCGAGATCGCGCCACTGCACTCCAGCTGGGCGACAGAGCAAGACCCTGTCAAAAAAAAAAAAAAAAAAAAAAAAGCTTGGATTTCACCCTAAATTTAAAGGCGAGCCATTGGAGGACTTTAAGCAGGGGAGTGACAAGGTCGCTGAGACCGCCCTGCCCTGAAGCGTGTGAAGAGGGGCTCCTGGAATACTAAGTGGCTGCCCTTGTATAGTCGCCCATGTCAATTTTTTTTTTTTTCTTCTGTTAGAAACAGGGCTTGGGGCCGGGCGTGGTGGCTCACGCCTGTAATCCCAACACTTTGGGAGGCCGAGGCGGGTGGATCACCTGAGGTCAGGAGTTCGAGACCAGCCTGGCCAACGTGGTGAAACCCTGTCTCTACTAAAAATACAAAAAGAATAGCCTGGCGTGGTGGCGAGCGCCGGTAATCCCAGCTACTCAGGAGGCTGAAGCAGGAGCATCGCTTGAACCTGGAGGGCGGAGGTTGCAGTGAGCCAAGATTGCGCCACTGCACTACAGCCTGCTCGACAAAGCGAGACTCTGTCTCAAAAAAAAAAGAAACAGGGCTTGGATGAATGTTAATTCTTTTAGGTATATTCCTTGAAGCAGGATTTTTGAGTGAGCAAAATTCTGAGGCTTTTGGTTTATCACAAGATTTTTGAAGCATGGCCTAGATAAACCTCTTATTAGTTCCCCACCCCGCTACAGGCCCTGATGTAATTAACCTAAGCCCTAAAATTCGGCCGGCTTCTCTGCGGACTTTGAAACGCCTCTAATGATTGGTCAACAACTTTTCACGTTAAAGAAACAGAGGATGCCATTGGCTGGAGTTACCTCGCGGACGGCGGAAGGTGGACTCGCGAATGTTAGGCCTGTGGGTGCCATAGCGACCGGGAGGTTGGGCTGGCCAGATTCAGCTGCCGGGACCGGACCAGGTAGGAAGCAGTTCCGGCGGGGGGACCGGTCCCTGAGGTCGTGGGGAAGAGGACACGGCGCACCATGTCCTCCGCATGGGACGCCCGCGGAGACCCCCCGGCCTCCGGGTGCTTGCGGAATTCCAGGGCTGAGCTAGGTGGAGCCCCGAGGGCGGGAAGAAGCCACCATGGGAGTTGCCCCTGCGTCGGGGCGTGTCCTCGGTGTTTCCACCCGAAAAGTGGTGACAACTGGGGCTTGCCTGCTCCACCGAGCTCCTGCCAGGGGCGTGGGCGTCCGACCCTTCTGGCTCAGGCTCCGCGAGTGCGCAAAAGTTGGGAGGCTTCAGTGCCTGGCAGTGGGTGGACGCCAAAGACCTGATCTCTACTCATAGGTTCACCCCAGCTCAGGGGGTGTCCCCCAGCAAACGACTTCCCTGCTCTGGGCCTCGATTTACCCATCTGTAAAATAAAAGGGTGAGATTGGAACCTGGTGGTCACTAGCCCGCCGCTAAATTTCCTTCCAGCTCCCTGATACACTTTCTCAGCCTATGAAGACTATCGAATGGGTTATTTACCTGAGAGTGCTTTGAAAAAATGTAAGCTGCTTCCAAGATGCTTATAACTGAGTAGATAAAAATCGCCTACAGACGAAACTACTCAGGACATCCAAAAAAATTCTATCTAAAGTAACAGTATACATAGTTTAGTACATGTTTATATACCCTGTACAGTAACATGTATAATGTAAACTGTAATACTTAGCATATATAACGTTTTTTAAAAACACAAGAGATGATAAAATGAAACTGTGCCTATAGTTGTGATCATGTGAGCTGTCCTTGTAGAATCTAACTCCCGCTGGAAATATATTCTGAGCACAGCTGTACACACAATTGCTAAAAGGTGTCTACCTCTAGTATTCATTCATTCATTCATTCCACCAATATTTATGAAGAAAATACTAATTTTAAAAATTCTCAATACTATTATTATTATTTTTGTAGAGACAGGGCCTTGCTATGTTGCCCAGGGTAGTCTTGAACTTCTGTCTCAAGCCATCCTTCCCCCTCAGCCTCTCAAAGTGCTGGGATTACGGGTGTGGGCCACCATGCCTGGCCAATTGAGCAAATACTGTATGTGAGGAAATAGACTGAAGATTCAGAGTTGAACTTTCTACTGGGGAAGATCATAAACAAATAAAGTAATAAACATACAATATAATGTTGGGTAGTGAAAAGTGCTTTGAAAAAGATAAAGCAGAGTAAGGGGCTAGAGAGAGATGGGTTGGTGCTTCTTAAGAGAGGGTGGTCAGGGAAGTCATCCCTAAGAAGGTTTGAGCAGAGAGTCTCGTGAATTTTGTGACAGGACTGCAGGACGATGCCTGGGTCCGGTGAGGAAAGGAGCTCCCCATGCAGCAAGGAGATATGTGGCAAAAGCCAGGGAGGTCCCATGTGGAGAAGAAGATTAGTCTTTAGGTGGTGGGGCACGACAACTGCCTTCAAATTCTTGCAGAATAGTCATATAGAACAGTGGCTTTCAAACCTTTTGACTGTGACTCATGGTAAATGCATTTTATATTGTGACCCAGCATGCACACACGCATATGACAAACTAAAACTTCACAAAAGACTACAGACTATGACTTGCATTTTGAAAATCACCAATGTGGAAGAGAAATGAGACTTACTTTGAGTTGGTTCCAAGGGTGGGAATTAGGACGGATAGAAAAAGAAAAAAAGAGAGAGAGAATCAGCTTTGATACAGGAAGGAACTTTCTAGCAATTAGAACTGTCCAACAGTGAACTTCCCCCAGGAGTTTTTAAACTGTGTTCTGATGAAACCTAGCATTCTGTGAATATTCAAGAGAGTCAAATATTTGCCCCCACCCAGCCATCCCTTATTTGCTTTATATTTTGAAAACTATATGCAATATTGTAACTTCAGAAACCCAACCAGGTAAGGCACGGTGGCTCACTGTAATCCCAGTGCTTTGGGAAGCTGAGGTGAGAAGATCACTTGAGGCTAGGATTTCGAGACCATCCTGGGCAGCATAGGTGAGACATTGTCTTTACAAAAAATTTTAAAACTAGCCAGGTGTGGTGGCAGGTGTCTGTAGTCCTAGCTACTCTGGAGGCTGAGGTGGGAGGATCACTTGAGCCTAGGAGTTTGAGGTTGCAGTAAGCTATGATTGCACCACTGCACTCTAGCAAGTGGACGACACAGCAAGATCCTATTTCTAAAAATAATAATAACAAACCAATCATACCCACTCGGGTGCTAAATGTCAAAATTTAGCAAGTTAATATTTAGTGTGTGCTGCCTGAGAGGTTATTATAGAGGTTAAGGAGTGAGTAGAAGTCAGACTTCCTGAGTTCAAAGCCTGATTCCACTTTTCTTCTAATGTGACTTTGGGCAAGTCACTTAACCCCCCACCAAACTTAAGTTTTCTCATCTGTAAAAAGTGGGGATTATACCTCACTGGATTATTATAAAAATTGCATAAGGTATTCCATAGAAGGCATTTAGGACTGTGCAGGCTCAATAAATGATAGCTATTATTTTAAGTTGTTAATACGATATCCCTGTGCGTATATTAAAACCCTACATTAATACAAGCCTACTGCAGGATAGGCAGTGTTAACCACTTCACATGGATCAGCCTAAGAGGAAGGTACTGTTATCACTCCCAGTTTATGGAGGAGGAAATAGGCTCAGAAGTTTAAGTGACTCATCGAGAATCAGAGCTATTAAGTGGCAGGCCATAACCTTGAACCCAGGACTGGATACTCTGGACTGCTGCGCTGGCCCCCACGTAGGAATCGCTTAAACATATGTTGTTGATTCGGAAAGTGGTATATCTTCACTGCTCTTTCTTAGATTCTAGGTCCATGCCATCCTGTCATGGACAGTTATACAGGTGGACCAGTGAGGCACACCTGGGCAGTGCTCTGTTCACATCTGTCCTGCACCTGCTCTCATCCTGCCTTCACAGGTATGCAGTGAGAAGACTGGAAAGCATTATTAACAGTGTGGTCTTTTGGTGGTAGGATTGGGGATTGTTTTTTATTTGTTTGTTTGTTTGTTTTGAGACGGAGTCTCGCTCTGTTGCCCAGGCTGGAGTGCGGTGGCGCGATCTTGGCTCACTGCAATCTTCACCTCCTGGGTTCAAGCGATTCTCCTGCATCAGTCTCCTGAGTAGCTGGGACTACAGGTGCACGCCACCATGTCCAGCTAATTTTTGTATTTTTAGTAGACATGGGGTTTCACTGTGTTAGCCAGGATGGTCTGGATCTCCTGACCTCATGATCCGCCCACCTCGGCCTCGCAAAGTGCTGGGATTACAGGTGTGAGCCACAGCGCTCGGCCATGGATTGCAGATTGTTTAAAGTTTTTTTGTAATTTATCATATTTTCTTAAATGTTGACAGTGTACATACATTATTATTATAGTAGTCCTCCCTTATTCAAGGGGGATATGTTCCAAGACCACCAGTAGATGCCAGTGAAACAGTGGATAATACCCAAACTGATTACTGTCAATCAGACTGTTTCTGTTCATATCTTCCACTCACAAATTTAATGCTTTTTCCATCTTAACTAAGCACTTATCATGCTCTGTGGCAACAGCTTTTTATAGTTTGAGGTGAAGCACCAAAACTAGCACCAATTTTTTTCCCCTTTGAAATTTGATGGATAGAAGTTTTATTCTTACTGTAGATCTTAGCAACCTCAGAATACAGTTTTTTTCTTGCCTTATTAAGTCAAGAACTTTCACCTTTTCACATAAAGGAGGCACTTTACAGCTTGTCTTTGGCATGTCCAAAGTGCTGGCATCACTACTCTTGTGCTTTGGGGCCATTATTAAGTAAAGTAAGAGTTACTTGAACACAAGCACTGAGACAACGTGATGGTGGATCTGACAATCGAGATGGCTACTAAGTGACTAATGGTGGGGTAGCAAATACAGCTTGAATGTGCTGGACAAGGATGATTCACATCCCAGGTAGGGTGGAGTCAGACGATAGGAGATTTCATCACATGCCTCAGAATGGTGCATAATTTAAAGCTGATGAATTATTTATTTCTGGAATTTTCCATTTAATATTTTCAAACCACAATTGACCATGGGTAACTGAAACTGGAAAATAAAGCTACAGACAAGGGTGGACTACTGTAAAACAGGAAGCTTAATATTTTTCTAATCACTCATAATTCCAGAACACTAATACATTTTTTAATAACAGCTTTATTAAAGCTAGGGCAGTAGATGGTTCTTACTAAAATGGTATAACACTGAGGGGTGGTAAATGAATAGTGGCTGCTTTGGTTATTTTTTGAGACAGGGTCTCACTTTGTCACCCAGGCTGAAGAACAGTGGCACGAACATAGCTTACTGCAGCCTTGACCTCTTGGGCTCAAGTGATCCTCCTGCCCCAGCCCCTAAGGTAGCTGGGACTACAGGCACATGCCACCATGCCTGGTTAATTTTTATATTTTTTGTAGAGACGGACTTTCACCATGTTTCCCAGGCTGGTCATGAGCTCAAGCTATCGCCTAACCTCGGCCTCCCAAAGTGCTGGGATTACAGGAGTGACCCACCACACCCAGCCCTAGGGGCTGCTTTTATAGATACTAAAAGACCTTGTTAAGCTGGATTGGTGATTGTGCTTTGATCATTATTGATTTGTTTCTGTTATTTTGAATCTCTTAATTTCTTGAAGAATGTTGTCAATAATTCTATTAAATATCAAATTTTTAGTATAGATTGTCCACCAAAAAAAAGTTGAAAATTGCTGCTGTGAGGATTACAGAATAAAGTAAGGAAAAATACTGCATGGAAAAGGACCAGTAGAGTGTAAAATCATTTATTCAATCCTTTACTCATTAGTATATATAAATGGTATAAGTTCCTTAGGGAAAAAAATGGGCAAAATGAAACCCAAGTCTGCTAATAAAAAATAATTGCTATGGAAATTAAATTGTGCCCTTGCTATTAACAACTAAAAAGTAGTTAAATGTGTTAAACAACTCACATTGGACAACAGGCACAGTACAATAATCCCTGAAGGAAGAAAAACACGGTGAGTCCTACAATTGCCCCCATTTAGTACTGGGGTCAGTTTTTAGGCCATATTGTAGGAAATCCAAATGAATTCTAGATTTCTGAGTTGAGAAGATAAAAATAAGAATTCAGAGAGGCCAAAGAGGCTAGAATTTATAGGGAGAACCCTAAAGGAAGGAGCTGCACCAAAAATGTTCAGAAACCTGAAGAGAGGTCTCCTTAAGTTTTTGGCTGAGCAGTAATCTGCACATGCATGAGAAGAAACTAAGACTGGGGAAATACCCATCAAAAGGCCATAGGCTGAACAATTTCTGGGGCTTAAACAGAACTGGGAATGTTGCATGTTACCATAAACCAGAATGCAGAGACATGGTATTAGATAGGAATTGGGTAGAGTTCACAGAAATGTCATGCCTTAGTAGTGGGGATAAATTATTCCCAGAATAAAAGCTGCTCTGGACTTGCCATAACAAAGTTTAAAAGCTTGAAAGGGTCAGATGGATCTACAAGTTACTGAAAAGTGTGCCACATCCTTTGCAGGAATATATCAAAACCCAGCACCCAGCAATGTAAAATTCAAAATGTCCAATATCTAATACAAAATTACCAGACATGAAAAGGAAAATATGACCCATATCTGAGAGGAAAATCAACCAATAGGAACAGACTTAAAAATGACAGATTATAGAATTAGTACAAAGAAACCTTAAAGCAGCTACTATGAATCTTACAAATATTCCTAAGGATGTAAAGGAAACTGAACATGATGAGGCTAGAAATAGAAGACATAGAAAAAGAGCCCAAATGTAACCTCTAGAAAGAAAAAATACAATATTTGAAATAAGAATGCAATGGATGGGATTTGCAGCTGATGAGACTTCAGAAGATCAGTGAACTTGGCCGGGCATGGTGGCTCATGCCTGTAATCCCAGCACTTTGGGAGGCCAAGGCAGGTAGATCACAAGGTCAAGAGTTCAAGACCAGCCTGGCCAAGATGGTGAAACCCCGTGTCTACTAAAAATACAAAAATTAGCCAGGCATGGTGGCAGGCACCTGTACCCAGCTACTCGGGAGGCTGACACAGAGAATTGCTTGAAGCTGGGGGCAGAGGGTGCAGTGAGCCGAGATTGCGCCACTGCAATCCAGCCTGGGTGACAGAGCGGGACTCCGTCAAAAAAAAAAAAAAAAAATCAGTGAACTTGAAGACATGACAATATAGACTACCCAAATGAAGGACAGAGAGAAAAGAGACTTAAAAATATTGAACAGAATATCAATAACCTTTGGGAAAATATGAAATGATCTAATATAACTGTAGCCCCAGGAAAGAAGGTGGCAGAGGCAGAAAAACTATTTGAAAAAATAATGGCTGAATATTTTCCAAATTTGGTGAAAACTGTAGCCTACAGATTAAAGAAGTTCATTAAAACCCAAATATTAAAGACATAAAGAAAATTATGCCAAGGTACCATGAAAATAAAATTGCTGAGAGGCACATAGAATAGTCAAAGTAATAGAAATAGAAAGTACAATGGTGGTTGCCAGGGATTGCAGGGAAAAAGGAATGGGGAAATACTGAGGAAACACCATATTGTAGGAAATACTGGGGAAGTACCATATTGGTTAATGGGTATAGCATTTCAGTTTTTCACAATGAAAAGATTTACAGAGACGGATAGTGGTGAGGGTTGCACAACATTATGAATTTGAATTCCACTCAGCTGTGCACTTAGAAATGGTTGAGATGGCAAATTTTTATGTTATGTGTATTTTACCATAATAAAAAATTAGGAAAAATCAAATTGCTGAATGAAAGTGATACACAGAAAAGCTTAAAAGTTGATGGATAAAAAAAGAATTATTACTGACAGAGGAATCAAAATAAGCATTACAGTGGACTTCTCATCAGAAACTATGCATGTCAGAAGACAAAGGAGTAATATAAAAGTTCTTGGGAGAGGTAGGAAGAGAAAAAAACCTATGAACCCATAATTCTATACTCAGTGGAAATAATTTTCAAAAATAAAAGAAAAATAAAGACCATTTCAGACAGACAAAAACCTAGAGAATGCATTATCAGAAGACCTGCACTGCATGAAAAGTTAAAAGAATTTCTGTAGATAGAAGGACTATGACACTAGAAAGAATCTTGAATTTACACAAAGAATTGAAAAGCACTGAAAATGATAAAATACTTTTTTCTTATTTTAATTTCCTTAAAAGATAATTGAGTGTTTAAAAAAATATGAGATTAATAATATATGTAGAAATAAAATGTATACAAAAGTAGCAAAAAGGATGGAAGGTAGGAAATGGAAGTGTATTTTTGTAAAATTCTTACATTATATGTGAAGTAACATACTATTGTTTGACTGTGATAAATTAAAGATGTATACTGTAAACCTTAATCACTATACATAAGTATAGCTAATATGTCAGAAATGAAGATAAAATGAGGCCATAAGTAATATGCACTTACTCTCAAAAGATCCAAAAAAAAGAGACAAGGGCCAATATAACAAGTAGGAAATTGATAGGTTTAAGCCCAGCCATATCAAGTGCTACATTAAATGTAAAAGTTCTAAACACTCCAATCAAAAGGCAGAGTTTGATTAGATTAAAAACCAGGACCTAATATATGTTTTCTTTAAAAAACCATCTCTAAATATAAAGACACATTCCTGCAAGCAGAAGTGTGAAGAAAACTCAATAATTAAATATAAAGACACAAGCAGGTTAAAAGTAAAAGGATAGAAAAAATATAGTGTGCTAATAGTAATCAAAAGAAAGCCAAAATGGCCATGTTAATATCAGAAAAAATAAGACTTCAGAACAAGGAATATTACCAGGGCTAAAGCAGGGTATTTCGTAATGATAATGGGGTCAATTCACCAAAAAGACATAAAAATTATAAATGTTCATGCACCTGGTAATAGTGCTTCAAAATACACAACAACAATTGACAAAGCTTAAAAGAGAAATAAACAAATTCACAATAATATAATATGGGAATTTCAACACTTCTTAGTATTGATAGAAGGAATACATTGCAAATCAGTAAGGATGTAAAAGACTTGAACAGACTATCAACCAATGCTACCTAATTGACATTTATAAAAAATCCCATTCAACAACAAAAGGAAAATTCAAATCAACAACAAAAAGATAACTAGAGAATCCCCCTGACTACTTGGAAATTAAACATCAGACTTCTAAATAAGCCATGTGTAAAAAAGAAATTACAATGAAAAATAAAAGATATTTTAAACTGAAAGAAAAATGAAAACACAACATGTTAAAATATATGAGATGCCACTAAAATGGTGCTTACAGGAACATTTAAGATATTAAATACATGTATTAAGAAAGAAGAAGGCGCTGGGTGCGGTGGCTCACTCCTGTAATCCCAGCAATTTGGGAGGCCAAGGTGGGCAGATTACTTGAGGTCAGGAGTTCGAGACCAGCCTGACCAACATGGTGAAACCCTGTCTCTACTAAAAATACAAAAAATTAGCCAGGTGTGGTGGGAGTGCCTGTAATCCCAGCTACTGGGGAGGCTGAGGCAGGAGAATCACTTGAACCTGGGAGTTGGAGGTTGCAGTGAGCTGAGATTGTGCCACTGCACTCCAGGGTCTAAATTCAATTATTGAAGCTTCCACCTAAAAAGCTAGAAAGAGAAGAACAAATGAAACCCAAAGTAAGCAGGAAGAAAGAAAAAATAATCATAGAAGTCAATGAAATAGAAAATTTAGGAAAGCAGTAAAGAAATATCAATAAAACCACATGCTGTTTTCTTCTGAAAAAATCAATACATTGGTAAACCTATAGCGAGACTTAACAAAAATATGTAAAACACAAATTACCAATATCAGGAATGAAGTAGGGACATCACTACAGAACCTGCAGATATTGAAAGGATAATAAATGACTTTATGCCCGTAAGTTTCGTGATAGATGAAATGAAAAAAATTTCTTAAAATACACAAATTACCAAAGCTCGGTTAAGAAGAAATAGATAATCTGAAGAGCCCTGTATGTATTAAGTTAATGGACTTTGTCATTAAAAATCTTCCCGCAAAGAAAACTCCAGGCCCAGACGGCTTAACTTGTAAATTTAAGGAAGAACTAATACCAATTTTACGCAAACTGTGCCAGAAATTAAGAGAAAAAAACACCTTCCAACTCATGTGATGAAGCAAGCATTACCCTGATGCCCAAATCAAAGACATTTTTAAAATGAAAAGGAAAGCTACAGATTAATAGCCCTCATAAACACAGATGCAAAAATCCTTAACAGAATTTTAGCAAACTGAATCCTTCAATATATAAAAGTGATAATATCTTATGACCAGGTAGCATTTATTCCAGGAACACTAGGTTGTTTTAACATTTGAAAATCAATCAATGTAATTCAATTAATATATTCACAAAGAACAATTGTATGATCATCTCCATAGATGCGGAAAAAGTATTTGATAAAATTGATCACCTGTTCCTGTTAAAAACTCTTAGGAAACAGATTAGAAGTGATAACGAGCTTTTATTTTAAAAAAACCTACAACTAACATTGTACTTAATGCCAAAAGACTGAATACTTTCCCACTCGAGCCAGTAACAAGACAAAGATGTCCATTATTGTCACTTCTGTTCAGTATTGTACTGGATGCCCTAGTCATTGCAGTATTACAATAAAAAGAAATAACAGGCATACAAATTGGAAAAGAAGAAATAAAATGTTTTATTCACATACAACATGATTATATATGTAGAAATTCCTAATCGACAAAAAAGCTACTAGAACTGAAAAAAAAAGTTTAGCAAAGTTGCAGGATACAGCATTAATATATATAAATTACTTATATTTCTCTATACCAGCAATAAACAATGAGAAATTTAAAAAATTTTAAGACCATTTTTTTGACATAAAATATGAAATACTTAGGAATCAGTTTAAGAAAATATATGCAATATTTGTACACTGATAACTGTAAAATATTGCTGAGAAATTAAATAATATCAAAATAAATGGAGAGTATACCATATTAATGGAACATAATACTCAACAAAGTTAAGATGTAAATTCTCCCTAAATTGTTCTATAGATTCAATGCAATCTCAATCAAAATCCAGGGAGGTTTTTTCTTTTAGTAGAAATTGACCTGTAAGTTATATTCAAAAGGGCTAGTACAAGAGCTAATATAGTCGAAATAATTTTGAAAAATAAGACAAAGTTGGAACTACCTGATTTTAAAACTTACTCTAAAGCAAGATAGTGAGCTGTTGGTATAAGGATATACACAGAGTTCAAAAGAACAGAATAGAGAATCTAGAAATAGCACTATGTATATCTAAATAAACACATACACACAGTAGATTTTTGATGAGTGTGCCAAGATAATTCAGTGAAAAAAGGGTATTCTTTTTAGCAGATGGTGCTGGATTAATTGAATCTCCAAATGCAATAAAATGAAAATAAAATGAACCTGACCCTTACCTTAATACTGTATACACAGTTTAATTCAAAATGGATCCTAGGCCTAAATGTAAGAGCTAAAACTATAAAACTTCTAAAAGAAAATGTAGGAGAAAATATTTGTGACCTTGAGTTAGGCAAAAATTGCTTAGATCTGACAAAAGAAATCTTAAAACCTTAAAAGAAAATTTTGACAAATTTGATCAAAATTTAAAAATTTGCATTCATAAGATAGTGTTAAGAAAATAAAAAGGCAAACCTCAGCCGGGGAGCAAATATTTTCAAAACATATATGATAAAAGGCTTGTATCCAGATGTATTAACTTGTACAACTCAATAAATAACCCAATTAAATCCAATTGTTTTTGGGTTTTGTGGTTTTTTGTTTTTTTGTTTTTTTTTGTTTTTTTTTTTTGAGATAGGCTGTTGCTCTGTTGTCCATTCTGGAGTGCAGTGGTGCTGTCATGGCTCAGTGCAGCCTTGATCTCCTGGGCTTAAGCAGTTCTCCCACCTCAGCCTCCAGAGTAGCTGGGACTACAGGCTGGCTAATTTTTTATTTTTCGTAGAGATGGGGTCTCACTATGTTGCTTAGGCTAGTCTCAAACTCCTCGCTTCAAGCAATCCTCCCGCTTCAGCCTCCCAAGGTGTTGGGATTATAGGTGTGAGCCACAATGGCTGTCCCCAATTTTTTTGTTTTAAAGGTAGAAGATTTGAACACACTTCACTAAAGAAGATAAATAAGCACATGAAAATATCCAAATTAAAATGACAATGAGATACCACTATAAAATCACTAGAATGCCTAAAATTAACAAGATTGAGCAAACACATGTTGGTGAGGATGTAGAACAACTGGAACAAAGTACTGATCTATGCAACAATATGGAAGAATTTCAAAAGCATTACACTAAGTGAAAAAAGAGTGTCTATGATTGCATTTCTGTGACATTCTAGAAAGGCAACAATTGTGACAGCAGAGCAGTGGTTGGGAGGGTGCTGACTGCAAAGGGACACAGGGAGCTTCTCAGCATCATAGATAAATTAATATCTTAATTGTGGTGGTATTTAACTTGGCTGTAAACATTTGCCAAAACTTGGAATTGTACAACTAACACTGATGAATTTTATTTGTGTATACATTATGTCTCAGTAAAGCTAAATTTAAATAAAAATAGGCCAGGCATGGTGGCTCACACCTGTAATCCTAGCACTTTGGATGGCAGAGGCAGGCAGATTACCTGAGGTCAGGAGTTCGAGACCAGCCTGGCCAACATAGTGAAACCCCATCTCTGCTAAAAATACAAATTACAGATGGTGGGCGCCTGTAATCCCAGCTACTGAGGAGGCTAAGGCAGGAGAATCACTTGAACCCAGGCAGGGGCAGCGGTTGCAGTGAGCCAAGATCACACCATTACACTCCGGCCTGGGTGACAAGAGCAAAACTCCGTATCAAAAAATAAAAAATAAAAATAAAATCCAAGCCTTCAGTAGTTCTGTAAGCAACATCAACAGTGACTTCTTACGCAGTTCCTACTGCAGGCAGCACCAGCACAATGTGCTTGGGACTTTGGGTCACTGCACTTGGTAGATCTCAGCCGGCACCCACACCATTTCTCAGTTTACCCTGTAGATAGAACAGAACCCATTTGCAATAATTAACCAATGTGAAATGATCTCTACAAATGCTGTGTTTTGCTGTTTCAGGTGCTTAGGAGAACATGCAGTAGAACTTTTCATCAAACAAATGGAACACGTCACAGAATTTTGCTAACATGGACAACTCTGCACAGAAAAATGAACGCACTGGCAAACATCCCAGACGTGCCAGTGAAGTACAGAAAGGTACATGTGTCTTTGCAGGGAGGAGATAGCTCCTGACATATGCTTATTTTAGTACATAAGAGCAAATTTGGGGGGAATAGTAAGTCCTGGGTTATATCCACAGGGCCATCCTTACAGGCATACCAAATAGGTGGCTTTAGGCCCTACTGTTTCAAGTGTGACGATTGGGAAGAAACTGAGAAGAAAGGATGAGAGAAGAAGGAGGAAGTCTGTTAAAAAATAAAAAACTAATAAACAAAACCCAGACTTGTTAGTTCCATGTATCTGGTAAGAATCTCTATCCTCAAATTTAGATATGTAAGAGATCTTTTTTTATTTCCTAGAACTCAACTTGAGTTATGACTGCAAGTCCCCATTCTGCTGGGTTGTTGGAAAGGATAACTCCAGCCATTATCAGCATAAATCCTATCTCCCTCGTGATTGTTTCAAGTTCAGAACTTTCCCAATAGTTAGTGTGATCCCAGGAGGCTGGGTTGGGGTGGGGAGGAATACTCAGGTCATTGGTCAACCATCCACATTGGTGAGATCCCCAGTGTCCCAGCTCATGTGCTCCCTTTGGTTTTGCTAGTGTTCGCCAACTAGTGTTCTGGTTCGTTAGTGTGGCTTAGGAATTATTGCTGAGACAGGAAACCTCATTTTGAGATCCCCCTAGGCTCCAGCGCTTTTTCTTTCGAGGCTGTTACCACCTCCCTGGTGGGCTTCCAGAGTCGCTGCTGCTCTCAAATCCAGAGAGATCTCTCTTTCTTCCTCCTATCCTCTGATTTTGCACTCTCTTTTTCTTTAACATTTCTTTAAATTGAAGCATAAATATATATTCAGAAAAAGTGCACAAATCCTAATTGTATAGCTTAATGAATATTCACAAAGAAAACACCACCTATGGAATAACTTCTCAGACCAAGACAGAATGTCAGCAGCATCTCAAAAGCCCTTGTCCCTTCTCAGATATTATCTCCCTTCCCTGCAAAAGTAAACACTACGGTTATCCTGACTTCTCATATCATTAATAACTTTAGTTTGTTTTTGAATGTTATGTAAATGTGAATCATACAATATGAGCTCTTTTCTCTCAGGCTTATGTTTCAGAGATTTAACTTCATGTTGGTTTGTCTTATCTATGAGTAATTTGTTCATTTTATTACTCTTGTTTGAATACACCACAATTTATTTATCTATTCTACTACTGAAGGACATTTAGGTTGTTTCCAGTTTGGGGCTATTATGAATAAAAACTTCTGTAACTATTCTTGTACTTGTCTTGTGGGACACATATTTATGTATTTCATGGGTCTATACCTGAGGAGTGGAACTGCTGGGTCATAGGGTATGTTTAGGGTAAGCTTAGTTGATATTGCCAAACAGTTTTCCAAAGTAGCTGTGCCAATTTTACCTCCTTACAAGCAATGTATGTGAATTCCAGCTGCTCCAAATCCTCACCAACATTTTAAGCTCATAATAGTTTTAATTTGCATTGCCTGAGATCAATGAGATTGAGCACTTTTTCATGTTGACTGGCCTTTTGGATATTCTCTTTGGAGAAGTGACTGTTCAACTTTTTTGCCCATTTTCTTCTGCTGGGTCTTGTCTTGTCTTTTCTTTTT
The DNA here is from genome assembly GCF_000001405.40 of Homo sapiens. Lineage (NCBI taxonomy): Eukaryota > Metazoa > Chordata > Mammalia > Primates > Hominidae > Homo > Homo sapiens. The sequence continues at coordinate 24,399,717 of NC_000001.11, read as the reverse complement.
TTTATTTATAGGAGTTCTTTAAACCATTCTGTCCTTTTCTTATTTATAGGGATTCTTTATTCTAGAAACAAGTCATTTGTTAGCTGTAGGTAAATGTCATCCCTTATCCTGGGACTTTCCTTTTCACTCTCTTAACAATGTGCTAAGACACAGAAACTCTTGATTTTAATATAGCCCAATTTATCAGTCTCTTTATGTTTAGTGTACATGTCTATTTTATTAATACTTAAGAAATCTTTGCCCATCCCAAGATAGTTTCTTCTAGAAACTCTATTATTTTACCTTTTACATCTAGATCTACAATTCACTTGAAATTGTTTTTGATTGAGGAAGATGCCCGAGTCTGTTGTTTTCCATGTTGACCCAGCACCATTTATTGAAAGGCTGCTCATTCTCTACTACTCTGTATTGCTGTTGCTACCTTTGTCATAAATCAAGTGTCCAGGCATATGCAGCTCTGCTTCTTGATTATTTATTCTGTTCAAATATCATACTGTCCTAATTACTGTAACTTTATAATAACTCTTTAGTAGCATAAGCCCTTCAACTTTGTACTTCTTTGTTTATGCTGGCTATTCTTGACCCCAGTGCATTTCCATATAAATTTATTTTACTTTTTTATTTTTAATTTTTATGGATACATAATAGTTGTACATATTTATGGTGCACACATGATATTTTGATACAAGAATATAATGTGCGATGATCAAATCTGGGTAGCTATACAAATTTTACAATCAGCTTATTAATGTCTTAAAAAAACTCTACTCTCATTTTAATTTGGATTGCATTGATTCTAGAAATCAATTTAAGGATAATTTACATCTTTACAATAAATATTAACTTCTCTAATCCATGTATAGATCCTTTTATTTAAGTTACCTTAAATTGTTCTCAATGTTTTGGAGTTTTCTATGTAGAAGTCTTGCATATCTTCATTATATCTATTGTAGGCATTTGATTTTTATGCTGTTATAAATGGTAATTTTAAATTTTATTTTAAATTGTTTGTTGCTGCTGTACAAAAAAATTAATTGATTTTTGTATATTGACCTTGATTCTGGTGACCTCACTAAATCCAACTATTACCTCTTATAGGGTGTCCACAGATTATTTTGCAATTTCCCCATACACAATCTTGTAATCTGTGAAAATGACAACTTTATTTCTTCCTTTCTCATCCATATATTTTATGTATTTTTAATATATTTTATGTAGGCGTTTGTATTGGCTAGAGACCTTCAGTACAACGTTGAATAGAAGGATAATAGCAGTTGTACTAGTTTCACTCCCTGTCTCAAGGGAAAGCCTTTAATATTTCACAATTTGGTATCCTGTTTGCTATAGGCTTTTGTTATAGACACCTTTTATCAGATTAACAAAGTTTGCTCCTATTCCTAGTTTGCTAGAGTTTTTCTTTTAATCATCAAAGGATATTAGATCTTATGAAAAGCTTTTTCTGTATCTACTAAACAGTTACTTCACCAAAAAAAAGATATACAGAGGGAAAATAGCATATGAAGGACTGCTTAGCATCATTAGTCATTAGGGAAATGCAAATTAAAACCATAATGAGATACCATTACATACCTAATGGGATGCCTGAGATTAAAAAGACTTCCCATTGCTGATAAGAATGTGAAGTCATAGAAATTTTCATACGCTAATAGTGGGGATGTGCAAAAGTACAACGACTATGAAAAATAGTTTGACAGTTTTTTAAAAAGTTAAACATATGATCTAGTCATTCCACTCCTAGGCATTTACCCCGCAAAATGAAAGCTTATGTCCATTTAAAGACTTGTAGATAAAATGCTCATAGCAGTTTTATTTGTAATGCCCCCAAACTGGCGACAACTCAAATTTACATCACCAGTGAATAAACATCATGTTTTTATACAATGGAATATTACTCAACAATAAAAAGCAATGGAGTATTGATATATCAGCAACAGAGATGAATCTCATAGTAATTATGCTGAGTGAAAGAAGCCAGACAAAAAGAGTACATGTTACAGGTATATGATTTTTTTAATCTGTTGAGATACTCGTATGGTTTTTCTTTTTTAGTCCGTTAATATGATGAATTATATTGATTTTTAAATATTAAACTATTTTTGCATTACTGGGGTTGGTCACGATGTATTATCTTTTTATATATTGTCTGGTTTGATTCGCTAAAATTTTTCTAAGGATTTATGTATTTATGTTTATGAGGGCTGCTGACCTCTAGTGATCTTTTTCCCTCTTGTAATGATGCCATATAGTTTTGGTATCAGGTAGTGGTTGCCTCATTGAATGAGTTTGGAAATGTCTTTTCCTCTTCAGTTTTCTGGGACAGCTTGTATGGAATTGATAGGTGGAGTGTTCTATAAATGCCAATTAGGTCAGGTTAGGTAATAGTTTTGTTCAGGTTTCATATATCTTTACTGATCTATCTACTTGTTTAAATTATCGAGGGAGATGTTTTGAGATCTCTGACTATAATTGTGAAATTTTCTATTTTTTCTCGCAGTTTTATCAGTTTCTGCTTCTTATATTTTCAATCTCTTTTTATTGGGTACATCAGCATTTAGGACTGTTATGTTCTCTTGAGGAGCTGACTGCTCATAATGACCCCATTATGAAATGACCCTCTTTATTGCAGGTAATATTTTTTGCTCTGAAATCTACTTTATCTGATAATATCTAACTATCTTTTGATTAGTGTTAGCATAGTAAATCTTTTTCCATTATTTTACTTTTAACTTATTTCTGAGTTTATATTTCAAGTATGTTTCTCCAAGGTAACATATAGTTGGGTCTTTCTTTCTTATCCAATCTGAGAATCTCTGTTTTTTAATTGGGATATTTAGATTATTTACATTTAATGTGATTATTGGTGTATAAGTTTAAGTCTATCATCTTGTGACTTGCTTTCTATTCGTCCCATCTGTTCTTTATTTACCTTTTCTCTGTCTCTTGTATTATTTTTAATGCTTCAATTTTATCTCCTTTGTTAGCCTATTAGGAATAACTCCTTGTAGTATTTTCCTAGTGGTTACCTTAAAGCAACAGTTGGCAAACTTTGCTCCTTGGACCAAATCTGACCCACTGCCTATTTCTATTAATAAAGTTTTATTGGAACACGGCCACCCCAGTTTGTTTATGTATTGTCTGTGGCTGCTTTTACTCCATAATGGCAGCACTGAATAGTTGCCACAGAGAATAAATAGACTGCAAAGACTAAAATATTTACTATCTAGCCAGGCATGGTGGCTCACACTTGCAATCCCAGAACTTTGGGAGGCTGAGGCAGGAGGATTGCTTAAGCCCAGGAGGTCAAGGCTGCAATGAACTATGACTGCACCACTGCACTCCAACCTGGGCAACAGAGCAAGACCCTGTCTCAAAATATAGATCAATAAGATAGATAGATGATAGATAGATAGATAGATAGATAGATAGCTATAGATGGATAGATAGATAGACAGATATGTACTATCTGGCCCTTAGAAAAAGTTCGTTGATCCCTACATACTTTAGAGTTTATAGTATATATCTTTAACTTATCATGGTCTACCATCAAGTGATATTATAACACTTCACATATAGTAGAAGAACCTTAAAACAGTATATTTTTATTTTTCCCTTCCTGGCCTTTATGTTATTGTTGTTAAACATTTTACTTGTACATATGGTATAAACCCTACAAAACAGTTGTTATTTTTGCTTTACATAAATTTTTTTTTTTTTGAGATGGAGCCTTGCTGTGTCGCTCAGGCTGGGGTGCAGTGGCGCAGTCTTGGCTCACTGTAACCTACACCTCCTGGGTTCAAGCAATTCTCCTGATTCAGCCTCCTGAATAGCTGGGATTACAGGCACCTGCCACCATGCCTGGCTAATTTGGTGAGGAGGCCTCCCAAAGTGCTGGATTACAGGCTACCACACCCGGCCAGTAATCATTACTTTTTAAATGTTTAAAATGTTATATTTAAATTATTCAAGGCTGGGTTTGGTGGCTCATGCCTGTAATCCCAGCACTTTGAGAAGCCGGGGCGGGCAGATCATGAGGTCAGGAGATCGAGACCATCCTGGCTAACACGGTGAAACCCCGTCTCTACTAAAAATACAAAAAATTAGCCGGGCGCGGTGGCGGGCGCCTGTAGTCCCAGCTACTCGGGAGGCTGAGGCAGGAGAATGGCGTGAACCCGGGAGGCAGAGCTTGCAGTGAGCCGAGATAGCGCCATTGCACTCCAGCCTGGGCGCAAGAACGAGACTCCGTCTAAAAAAAAAAAAAAAAAAAAAAATTGTTCAATTTATACTCATAATTTTATATTTTCTATTTACCCACATATTTACTATTTCCAGAGCTTCATTCCTTTATGTGATTCAGATTTCCTACTGGTATCATTTTCTTTGGCCTGAAGGGCTTCCCTTAACATTTCTTGTAGCTCCCATTTGCTGATGATTCTTTCAATATTTATATAGTTTTAAAAGTTTTTATTCTGCTTTTGCTTTTGAAGATATTTTTACTGAGTACAGGATTCTAGGGTGACAGGTTTTTTTTTTCCTTTTATTGCCTTAAAGGTGTTGTTTTCAGTATCAATCTGCTGTCATTCTCGTATTTGTTTCTTCATATGTGACATGTCTTTTTTCTCTGCCCAATTTTAACATTTTCTTCTTATCACTTTTTAAGCAATTTGATTATGGTTGGCCTACGGTGTCATTTTCTTCATGTTTCTTGTATTTGATGTTAAGTGACTTTCTTGAATCTGTGAGTCAATAGTTTTTTTAATCAAATTTGGAAAAATTTCAACCATTTTTTCTTGAACTATTTTTTTCTATTTCTTCTCTCCTCATATTTCTTTTTTTGAGAGCCTGATTACATATATATTAGGCTCCTCAAAGTTTCCACACAGCTCACTAATCCTTTTTCTTGTCCTTTTTCTGTTTTATTTTGTATAGTTTTATTTCTAGGTCTTCAAGTTTACTAATCTTTTTTTCCTCTAATGTCTAATTTGCTATTCATCTCATCTAGTGTATTTTTAATCTCAGACATTTAGTTTTCACATCTGGTAGTTCGATTTGGATCTTGTCATTATATCTTCCATATCTACTTAATATGTTCAGTCTTTTCTCTGGCTTCTTGAACATATGAAATACAGTTAGTGCAGCAGTTATAATGTTCTTCTCCACTAATTCTATCATCTGTATCATTTCTGAGTTGGTTTTGATCATTTATTTTCTCCCCACTTTGAAGTATATTTTTCCTTCTTCCTCCTATTAATTTTTTATCAATGCCAGGTATTTTGAATTTTACCTCTTAGGTGCTATTTTTGTAGTCCCATAAATATTCTTGTGCTTTGTTCTGAGATGCAGTTAAATTATTTGGAGACAGTTTGATCTTTTCAGGTCCTGCTTTAAAGCTTTGTTAGCTGGAACCAGAGCAGTATTTAGTCTAGGGGTAATTTTGCCCCATTTCTGAGGCGAAACCCTCCTGCATACTCTATGTTCCATGAATTATGAGGTTTTCCCGCTGTGACTCATGAAAACAGGAGCTATTCCCGGCCCTGTGGAAGCCTCAGGGATTGCTCACTTGAATTCTGCCAGGCGGTTCCTTCTCCAGCCCTGGGTAGTTTTCTCATGCCATGTGTTGGTCAATACCCAGGAACTTACTCAGGGGACCCCGTTGCAGAGCTCCATAGCTCTCCATCTGGGTAGCTCTCTCTTCTCTGGTACTCTGCTCTGTGAACTTAGCTGTCTTGGTCTTTCTGGACTCCCAGATCTATTTCCTCAACTCAGGAAGACCACGGGGCTCCATCTGGATCCCTTCTTCCTGTGCTGTGGTCTTGAGATTTTCTCCTGGCAGAAAGCTGGGGACCATCTTATTGCCAACCTCATTTACTTTGCTTCTCTCAGGGATCCCTGTCCTTTGTTGCCTGATGTCCAGTATCTTGATTGCTTTATATATCTTGCCCATTTTTAACTTTTTTTTTCCAGCTGGGAGGGCAAATCTAGTCCTGTTTTGGTAAGAAATAGGAGTTCAGTCATCCAGAGTGTTTTTCAAAAATTCTACTTTTTAAATTGTTTCATCAAGAGGGCTGCTCTGACACATGCATTTCTGTTATAGCCAGAAGCCTTGGATCTCCTTTCCAGTCAGGCAGAAACCTCTCCTTTCCCCAGGAGAATGTCCTTCCTTTAACCTTTTTTAAATAACTCTCTTTTTACTGCCTCCTCTGCACACTCTCTTAGCTGTTCTATAGGCTTAGGCTTTTAGAAACAAAAGCCAGGAAGTCTTGCAGCTGCTTCTGCCTTTTGATTTGCTGTATAGCTCTCTTAAAGCAAACAAACCAAAAACATAGCCATTCATCTACTTAAATGGGGAGGGGAGGAGAAGAATACATTTACTGTATATTGGTATCCCCAAATATTTTCTACTTAAACACGTATTCAGCTCCTTTTACTTGCTTCATCCTCCACCCAGGCAGATTAGGCTTCAGTGTCCCTCTCCCCATCGTGTTTATTGAGCACTTACTAGAGGCCAGCTCAGGAAGAGGAAGCACAGCTCAGAGCTCAAGAGCCTGGACTCATTAGGCAAATCATGTTCACACCCTACCTGTTCCGCTTAAGTGCTGGGTGATTCGGATGAGTAACTTAATCCCTCTAAGCCTCAGTTTCCTCAACTGTGAAGCTGGTTCATGATTGTACCCCTTGAGGGGTCCCTGTTGTCTTCAGGCTTCCTGCTCTGAAAAGGAGTATTGTTTTTTAAAAAAATTCAGAGATGAAGAAATGAGCCTTACTGATAGTTTCCATACAAACCACCCTCTGTCATGGCTAACACATACTTTCTTCTTTCCTTCTCTTGACTGTTTTTTTTCCCCCATTTCTGCGCGTATTTCCTCTCTGAAGGTTAGGATTCTGATGTTAAAATAATTTGGCTTACTGTTGTGAACAGCCTACAGAGTCAGGATGCACCCCCCCACCCAAAATTTGGTTTGGATGTCAAGACTTACGGTGCCACACACACGCTCATGAAGAGTGTAGGAAAAGGCTTATCACCCACATAGTGAGGCCTTCTGAGGACAGCAGCACAGCCTTCCTAACCTGATCCAATAATGGCTTGAGAGAGCAGGGAAAGGAGCCTGGCTTGGGGGTTTTCTTATGGTTGGAAAGCGAGGCTGGACTGAGGGCAGGGGTCTGCGTGGTTTGAACTTCCAGCTGGTGCCACAGGAGGGAGCTCTGGGCTTTCTCATCCGCTTGCCCAGTGGTAGGGCAGAAGGGAATGAGGGAGTGGTGAAGCTGAAGAGCTATCAGCCATCAAACATCAAAAAACTGGAGTCAGAGTCCATTACACTTACAGGTTAGAGTCTATAATCAACCTGCTATGCAGACAGATGCTGCCAAGTTCTAGCAGTTGTGGAAGTCTCAGCAGGAGGGGAGTTTATACATCAGACATGCATGTATACATCGCAGCCTAGACAAAGGAACTTTTAACTTCAGTTTCTATAGATGATCCCTTTCTGCTTTTTAACCCCATGTCTGCTCAAAACAGAAACGAAAACTTACACCTGTCTTGCACAGTGCCCTGAAAAGTGAGAGCCAGCCCCAGGCTGGGATTTCCCTAACCTCTTTGGATTTTAACGGCCTAATGCTGGTGTCTGAATCTAGGCCAAGGAGCAGTGAGGACGCTTCCTCTGTCCTGACCGCGCCTCGTCCAGGCTGCTCCCAGAATAGTTTTGCTGTCTCCTTCCTGCCTGGCAAGAATGTCTTTACTATCATCTCCTTCCTTTTCTCCGGGACAGCCTGTTTAAGGTACTTTATGTGACCACATCTCACTAATTTAAGAGCTGGAGGGGGGAAGTCCGATAAATTGCCGAGAGGGAAAGAAAGTGGGGAATTTTTTTTTTAATCCGGTTTCGTGTCTGTTTCCTGTCAAAAGGCAAGTTTCTCTTCTCTACCATTTAAAATAAAACTTTAATATACACCTTTGTGTTTTCCACATTTGTCAATCATTGTTTTGTATTCATTTTGATTTTACTCCATTTTTGTTGTTTAGGTTTTACTGCTGCATATCCAACACAATCCTCCATTCCTTTTAAATCTCAAGCTTCAGTAATCCCAGAATCAGAAAAAAAAGGATTCAATAGTCAAGCCAAGAGATTTCCTCATAAGAAGGTAATGACGTTGTCTCAGGGGTTCTTTCGTTTTAGTCTGGATTTTAGCCTTGCGGGACAGGCACGTTCTGTCTGGCTGCTGTGTCTTTCTGTGGACAGTGGAGGGCAGTGTGCTCCCAGGAGCCGCGGCACCAGCTCCACTGAGGGGCACCGACTGGACTAACTGTAAGAACGAGCCTGAAAAATGGGACATCCAGGGAAAAACAACTGTGTCTGGATTTATGGCGCCAAAAATATTGAACTGGACCAAAACTATTTTAAGAAAACAATATATTTTAAAAATCATCATAAAGCTAAAAAATTGCAAAAATTCCCAAGTGTTATCAATTAAGTAAAAGATTAAAAAAAAATCTTCCCCATCCTTGTGAGAGGAAATCACATGACTTCAAATAACACAAGAGGAAAAGAAGAGTCGAATACATCTAGAATTACCTTTGGAGGGCCGGGCACGGTGGCTTATGCCTGTAATCCCAGCACTTTGGGAAGCTGAGGTGGGAGAATTAATTGCTTGAGCCAGGAGTTTCAGATCAGCCCAGGCAACATAGCAAAACCCAATCTCTACAAGAAAAGAAAAGAAAAGAAAAAAGTACAAAAATTAGCTTGGCATAGTGGTGTGTGCCTGTAGACCCAGCTACTCAAGAGGCTGAGGAAGGAGGATCACCTGAACCGAGGAGGTCGAGGCTGCATTGAACCAAGATAGCGCAACTGTACCCTAGCCTGGGTGACAGAGCTAGACCCTGTCTGAAATTAAAAAAAAAAAAATTACCTTTGTAATGAGCCCTGCCCTACTTTAAAAACAAAAAAACAAAAAACAAAAAAAACTTCCTTAAACAATGTGTTATTAGCCGGGTGCAGTGGCTCACACCTGTAATCCCAGCAGTTTGGGAGGCCAAGGTAGACAGATCACCTGAGGTCACAAGTTCGAGACCAGCCTGGCCAACATGGTGAAACCCCATCTCTACTAAAAATACAAAAATTAGCTGGGAGTGGTGGCGCACACCTGTAGACCCAACTACTGCCTCTCCTGAGGCAGGAGAATCACATGAACCTAGGAGGCAGAGATTGTAGTGAGCCGAGATCGCACTACTGGACTTCAGCCTGGGCGACAGAATGAGACTCCATCTCAAAATCACCACCACCACAACAACAATGTGTTATCATATTCCTGTGTCACCCACCACCCCCCCTTCCCTAAATCTTGCCGCATCTCTTTTCCTCTCTAACCTGGAAAGTTCTGCGTGGTTCCTGACCGGTCCTTATTTAATCTTTGGGATTTCTGGGACCTGACTTTCTCCTCTCTCACCAGCAGGGGACAGAAGCAACTCACAGGCGTCCTTAGAGTCTAAAAAGTTTTTCATTCCTTCATTCATTTAAGCAAGACCTTTAGAATACTGTTCTTTTGGAGGAGTCCTCATTTCACATATCTTTTGCTGCACTCTAAAAATGGTTTTCATCTTATTACCTTGCCCAGATGGCAGAGAGGGAATGAGGAGATCTAGGTTCTGAACGGAGCCAAGGCATGGAGTGAGGGGCCTTGGCCAGCCCTGGTGCCCTCAGCCTGATTCCTCCTTGGTAGATGAGAACGCTGAACTAGAGAATGTTTCAAGTTTCTTCCACTTCTGATATTTTAGGATTCTAAGAAAGCAAATAATAAAGAATAGAGTGTACGCACACAAACACACACACACAGTTTTAAATCACTTGTAGGTTTTCTCCAAAGATAATACATATTTGCTCAGGAGTTTTCTTCTCTCCCTAGTTTCTCTGTTTTAACTGTTTGGCTCTTTCCCATTTTCTGTCTGGTTTCCCATTTGTCAATTTAATGATAATATATTGTCCCTCTCCAGGATATTTGCAGCCCAGCCTCCGATAAAAACAATAGCAGCCACCATTTACTTATCCTTACTATGTGTACTTTTAGACTGCCTTTTATCTCTAATCCTCAGAACAATGCTGAAAGGAAGGGTTTATTATTTTAATTTAACAGAAGAGGAAACCGAGGCTTAGGGAAGTTCAATGACCCACCCAAGGTCACACAATGCAGGGTTTGGCACTTAAGAGGCTCAAAGTAAATGTTTGCTGAATCAATGTTGAAAGAATTAGACCTCAACCCAGGTCTAGTTCACTCCAAAGCCTCTTGCTCTTTCCACACACTGCACCACACCTGCCTTTGTGGCCCGCAAAGCTGTAAATTTGGCCTGTGAAAGTCAGCAAGTTTCTGAAAAGGCCTTAGCAACACAGACCAAGCTGAAGACAGGGGAGGATGTCAGCTACCGTGGATGGGCCCCATTCCCCGTGATCTAGTTCTGAACACTCAAATTCAGAAAGCAAGCCGGCTCACTTGTCAAGTTAGTGTTTTAAAAGATGATTGCTTCTCAGAACGTTTTTGACTAAAGGAACCAAGGAGGCAGGTAGCCAAACCTACAGGCAGCATCGAATAGAGATGGGAATTGCTCAGAGATTGGGTTCCAACTTTTTAAATGTGGTCGTGTTACTTGACAACATGAAAACTTTCATCTCAGCATTTGTAAGCATTTTAGAAATAAGGATGGAATTTTATGGAAAGGGCAGGGGATCCATCAATCAGGCTTTCCGTGTCCTACTCTGTCACTGGCTGTGTGCCTTTAAACCAGTCACTTGACTTTTCTGGGCTTCAGTTTCCTCAACTGAAACATAAAATTTGTATTATATAATTTTTGTGGTCTCCTCAAGTTATAAAAACAGAAAAACAAATTCCTATTCTATGTTCGTTCTCATTTTTCCCGAGGGAAATGGCCATTGAGAAGTTAAAGATCTTGTTTAACATCACCTGATAATTTAGTGAGGCAATACAAATTAAAGACAGATTTGAAAACTCCAGGGCTTCACCACCCTTCTTAAAGCATTAGTCACCCACACCGTTGCTCCAGATCGAACATGGCTGCCTCCTCGCAGTAGTCCTGTGGCCCACCTTAGCACATCTTTGACACAGAGAATCAGTGCCCTTTGAAATGTGCACTTACCTTGTGAGGCTAACTTTGCAGTGAACCATCAAGGTCTCCTTGCCCAGCTCACATTCCCCATGAGAATCTTACTGCAGAGTACAGTGAATCCTTCACAGAGCTCAGTGTCGGGACTGGCAATTTTGGCTGCTAGAAATGAAGTCTGTTTTCCTGAACATTTTCGAGTTATTTACAGATGTGCTGGTAACTTTGCGTAGGTGAAGAGACATGCCTGATCTATGTGGCAGAGCATGGCCCAGCAGCCTGCCGGCCATTTTCTACCCCCGCCTCCCTGTTTCTGTCTCCACTTCACCCTGGATTGTGGTCACTGTTTCCCAAACTGTGTACCCCTAAGGACACCACTTAATGTCTTTGCTTCTCTGTTTCCTCATCCTAAAAATAAAGATGTTGTAATAGGTAGGTAAGCCCTTGCCAGGAATGAGTATTTCATGGTTCTACACCTCATCCCTTCCAGGCTTGAATAAATAAATACAGGTAGGACATAGGTACCATGTGCTCTAGATGGGCACAATTTAAAAATATATGTTAATACCATTACATAGTAAATCTACCCTCCCAAATGGGAAGCCAGCCAGTGGTTAATTTGTGATGAAATCGTACAAAGTTAATATTGTTCACTTATTAACTTGATATGACACTAGACCAGGGATGTTTAAATGAAAGAGGTTCAGTTTGCAGAAGTCACCATGTTCAAGGGGACAGCTGCCCCAAGTGTGCCCTCAGCTGCATATCTGACCCACAGTAGGGTCTGTCCTGCCTCCCTGCTCTGTGAAGCCTGACTTCTCTGTATCAGTCACCAGTACCCCTTCCTAAGGGGTCTGCAAACACTGGGCTGGCACTCATGACATGCCAGGTACCCCTCAAAGACCTTTGCATTTATTACCTCATTTAATCCCCATAATAACCCCATGAGCTAAATCCCATCATTATCCATACTTTTCAGATAATGATCCTGAGATGAAAAGAGGGTGAAGTAGCTGGTGCAGTGGAGGCTGGGCAGAGTGAGGATGAACCCAGGTAGCAGCTCCTGGTCCTCAGACCCTGTTTCCCCAGCATCTTCCCGAGGTGGAGGCACCTCCCACAGCTCGTCTTATGCCCTTGACACAAGGTTAATGTGTGTGCTGTCTTACCTCCACCACCTGCCTAGGAGCTCCTTGGGCAGTGGTCATTGCTGTCCTTTCCAGACCCCACAAACCCCTCAAAAATGGATCAAATGCCCCCAACTCAAATCTGCGCATTTCCCATGGAGTCACGACCACACATCCATCCATGAGCACTGTTGTGATACATCTCCTTCCTCCCATTCCTAAACCCTGTGAGCTGCTAACAGGTTGCGCCTGTATCTTCCATCCTTGGCACAGGTCCTGATGCACAGTAGGTTTCAATCAGTGTCCGCTAAATTGCATTTTTGCCCCCATCCCACGCAGGGCACTTCAACAGGCTGCTAATAAGCTGCTCAGTCCCACTCTGAAGGTTTGTGACTCCCAAGGGAGGGTCCTGGCTCCATGGAGGCAGTAGCAGGCAACATCGTGCGTGGTGATGGTGATGGTGATGATGATGATGGCGGGCCGCATCGGCGCTGTTCCACCCACTTTATGTGTATTGACCCCTTCAATCCTCACACTTAGAGGCAGCAAAGGAGACAGTGGGTAGGGCTTCCCTAGAGCACTAGTAAATGCGAGTTCTCTTCCCTTCTCCCTCCCCATACATGTTTTTGTTTTGTTTGTTTATTTGGTTTTTGCCAAGAAACCAAGGAGTGGCTAAGTTCACACCAGTCACAACTTGGATTCTCGTTCTCTGGGATTTGCTCTGAGAGGCTAAATTCATCCAAGTCACAGAATGTCAGTCGCAGGAACTGTTTTTGCACAGGCGAAAGGCCTCTCTGAGGGTGGCATCCGCCCACCTCTAGAAGTCACAGGAGAACGCTTGACATTTCCCTCCCAGAGACCTACTTGGGCGTTGCACGAAGGCGGTGGTGTGCTGGTCAACCACCATTTACCCTCCTCGAAGAAAAGTGCTGAGATGTAGCATCTGCCCGTTTTTGTGACATAAATACTGCCACCGTGGCCAACTTCAAGCCACCAGCAGCAACATTTTGGAATTTTTAACAGTTGTCCTCACAAGCTGCCGCTGGCCAGCTCCAGCTGCCGCTGCCTGGAGGACTCTCTTTTTGCTCACTAAGAACAAACAGGCAGCACTCCATTCCTCCAGGCTAAGTGGTAACAGCCTTCTTGCCATTTGCCTTGGACTCAAGCCAGTATGCAAAGTGGCAGAATTAAAGTGTGTTAAAGCCCAGGAAAGTTGTGAGCTTCAGCAAATGAAAACACGAGATGTCCAGTTAAATTAGAATTTCAGATAAATGGCAACTCTGTTAGTACAAGTATGTCCCAAATATTGCATGGGATATACTAAAATCATCATCTGCAGTTTATCTGAAATTCTAATTTAACTGGGCAGGTAGGATGGAGCCGGCATTTAGGTCTTGCATTTTGTCTGGAACCCCTAGCTCCTCAGACACATATGAGTGCTCAGAAAATTCTTGCAAACTGATGGTCAGGTTCAGAGTGTGGTGATAACCGGGAGCTAGAGGTGTGTGTCTTCACTATCTACTATTTAAACCTAGAAGAGTCACAGTGACACTTCCTGTGTCAGCTTTCCTAGATTCAGGGACTCTGGAAGCTCAAAAGCACCCAAGGCCCAACACCTTGGACTTACAAATAAGGAAGCCCAGAGAGGTGACTTGCTCAAGATCACTTAGCGTGTGGCAGCACTGAGACTACAATTTCTGATTCATAACCCGGTGGGGATTTTTTTAATCCTATGTAATCTCATTTGAGAATTAGTTTGGTTTCGTGGTTAAGAGCAGACTCTGTGGTCAGAATGCCTCGGTTCTGGCTCTGACATTTACTAGTTATGTGGGCCTTATCTCTTTTGGCCCCAACTTCTTTAAAATGGAGATTAAGTGAGCTAATAGTACATGTAAAGTCCTCAGAACAGTGCATGGCACAAAATGAGCACTCGAGAAATTGATGCTTGCCCTGAAAACAGTTGCCTAGAAAAATCTCTTCCTTGTCTCCCCATAGCCCTTCGCATCTGCATCCACAACACGAGGGTTCTCCTGGGCTCTCGGCCTGGGGTGCTGGAGTACCTGGCTCCACAGTGCCTCCTGCTGCCTGCCTCACTCTCCATGGCAGTCAGTTCCTCTTCCGTCCACCGGGGATCATTCTCACCTAAAGCAGGAATCAGCACCCCTGTCGTCACCTCCCATGGGGCAAGGGTGAAAGGACTCACTGCATTTAAAAGTCAGCACAGAAGAACCCGTTAACAGCACTTTGACCCTATCCCTTATATGAAACCATAATTACACACTGCCCAGCCAGACTGGAAAGTCCTGGAAGGCACTGATGGTACCTTGGGCTTTCTACCCTAAGGAAGGCAGTAGGGATGGTGGAGACAGGACAGGCCTGAGTGGCAGAGATTGGAGACAGCAAGCTCTGGAGTCGGGCTGTCTCGGTTCAGCTCTGGGGTTTGCCACTTACTAGCTGTGTCTCTGGGCCTCACTTTCCTTAAAGTAGCCCTGATCATACCTCACTGTAAAAGGCTTGTTGTGAGGAGTAAACAAGACAGCACACACCGTGCGCTTGGCACTGAAGTCAGGTACTGCCACTTACAGCAGCGGGACCTTGGGCAAATTCATCTCCACGTGCCTTAGTGTCTCCATTTATCAACGGGGGACAGTAATCCCTTCATCACTGGCTGATGGTGAAAATGAGACCAACTTTGAAAAGCTTCTGACACCAAGCAGGTACCCAGGAACCTCTTGCCACAGTGGAGCATCCTTAGCATTTCACACCACTCAGCCAACTTCTGTCAACATTTACTTCCCCCTGGTAACTAGCATGGGAAATGCAATGAAAGCCCGATGAGCTCCCGCAGCAGAAATGAACTTGGAAGTGACCTCTCACTTATTCCTCTCTCACATGCCTGCATCATTCAGCACTTGAGCCTCAAGAGCTTGCCTCTTTTTGTCTGAGAGTTAGAAATGGCCTGGTTTGGGTTGAAGGTTGTTTTTGTTTCATTTTGCTTTATAAACAGAAACACTCCCTGGTTTCTCTTCTGAAAGGCTGAGGAGGAAGCTGAGTCAGGTGGGGTGGGGTGAACATGAAATCGCTCACCCTTCCCTTGCCGTGGGTCTGGCTTACCCAATCACTGCACACTGACTTGCACATCAGCCGCATTCAGTGTCCCACTTTAGGCCCATTTCTCTAATGACTTGAAAAAACAACTGTGTTCTTTTGGAATGCGGCAGGGCATAGTGGAAAGAGCAAGGGCTTTGGGAGTCTAGCCTGGCTTGGAATTCCAGCCCCACCACTTGGTAACTGAGACGAAGATCGGGCAAGTCAGGAAATGGTGGAGCTAGGCTGTCACCCACCAAGTGGTGGTAGCGCCTGTGCTGTGGGATTACAGTAAGGCTTAGTGTTAATGGATGTAAAGCCTGTGGAAAAGCACAATGGAATTGAAGTATCTCGATGACACCACCTTCTCTTCCCTTTCAGAATGATATCCCAGGACCTGGGTTCTACAATGTTATTCACCAGTCACCGGTGTCCAACAGTGTCTCATTGTCCAAGAAAGGAACTTGCATGTTTCCCTCAATGGTGAGAACCACTTCTCTTGAGTAAAGCATTAACTGGTCAGTAATTTCCTTCATTCATTGCATAATTATATATTGGACATCTGGTCCTTTCTCTCCAAAGGCCTATGGTTCTAATTAGGAGAGTAACTGCCTCCTCAAATTTCATGCAAGTAAATTGGACCCTGTGTCTCTAAGTAACTTTTTCCCATCTCTACCCACTGCCAGGGTGGGAAGAGAAGCCAGAGGAATCTTGAGAACTTGATCCTTCCAAACCAATTTTGTTATCACTGAGTGCACTAAGCAAGTATTTTCCTGAGATGTTTAGGCATGCCAGGAAATAGTTACTCTTACACATCTTGGTGTAATATGATTTTTACAATGCTTAATCTAATTGGTTGTCAAACTATTGAGAAATCTGATAGGACTAAAAAGAAAGCCGGCAGTGGGCCTGAAAAGTACTGGCCCCACCCCTTTCCTTCTCTTCGTAAGATATGGGACTTAATTTTTGTTGAGGGCTGTAACAATCAAGTAGCTATATGAATTGCCAATGACCCTGACCAGAGTTGGGCAAAGATAGGCTTCTTAAAAATGTTTATACATTGTCAAGAAAAATAGATACAGCAAAATAGATAAATGGTCAAGAAAAACAGATACAGCAAGGGGAAAGATACAAACTAGGGTAAGGCTACCTGAGGAAGAAAAGTGAAAAGTGGACAGGCACGGTGGCTCATGCCTATAATGCCAGCATTTCGGAAGGCCAATGCGGGAAGATCACTTAAGCCCAGGAGTTCAAGACCAGCTCGGGCAACATAGTGAGACCCCATCTCTACAAAATAATTTAAAAATTAGCCAGGAGTGGTGATGTGTGTCGATAGTCCCAGCTACTCGGGAGGCTGAGGTGGGAGGATCACTTGAGCCCAGGAGGTTGAGGCTGCAGTGAACTATGATTTCACCATCACACTCCAGCCTGGGTGACAGAGGCAGACTCTGTCCAAAAAAAAAAAAAGTGAAAAGAAAGCAAGCCCAGACTCTAACATTAAATTAACAAACATATGCCATCTTGTCCCTTTAAAAGTTATAATAATTTCTTGCACAGATGTATTATGATGCCTGACATTGGAATTGATTTTTTTTTTTAACCACACAAAGGGACCATTTAAGACACACTAAATGTAGCTACATCTTATTGGAATTCGAATTTGGCAGAATCGGATACTCAAGGAACAGACCAGCTTTGGAGTTAACTCCCCATTACCGAAGAAGCTGAGTTTGTACATGGCCTCAGTAGGTCCACAGAACAGCCATGCCTCTACCTATTTTTCTGCCACCAGCTCTGCTAGGAAAGAAGCTCAAAAGAAGTGCCGTCTCATGAAGTCCTGGTGTAGAAGACAAGACTTCAGACCTGATCCTGCCTCAGCTGTGGATTCTTGACGTGACCTCAAGCACGTCACCCTTCTGTGTCCCAGTTGCCTCATGAAAGTGGA
The DNA here is from genome assembly GCF_000001405.40 of Homo sapiens. Taxonomy (NCBI): domain Eukaryota; kingdom Metazoa; phylum Chordata; class Mammalia; order Primates; family Hominidae; genus Homo; species Homo sapiens. The sequence goes on along the minus strand of NC_000001.11, from coordinate 24,382,439 downwards.
GACTCCCTGGAGGCACTGGGCAAATTAACGTTGCAATGAGTGAAATGCTCTTTGAAACAGCAAAGCATTATAAACATGCTAAATATTATGATTGTTACCACCTGAGTCACAAACAATACTTCCTGCAACACCTAGGTTTTCTCTCCGAGAACTTCTTTGCTAAATAATGGCACTGCCCATTCCTTCTTGGTGCCAACAAAGAGACTGAATCAGAGGACACGATTGGTTGTCTACAAGGCTTTGCGTGCGGTAACTTTCCAAATGAAAAGCCTGACTATCTGGAGGAGAAGGGGCCCAAGGCAAGAGCTGAGTGTTACAGAACCTAGCCACGCCTTTCAGGCCTTTAAAAAATTCAGAACCAAACCCTAAAGAAGGCAGACTTTGAGCTGCTCAGGCTTCCCCCTCTCCTCCCTTTCACAAATATGGGAATTTGTATTTATAGTTATGTTACACTCAGGTATAAGCACTTAAGGTCCTGTACCTGGGGATGGGTGCCTGAAGTGGTCGATGGCGATCTATTAGGAGATCTCTGCGTTTTACCTCATTCCCGTGTGAACTGGATGAGAATTTCATATCCCCCACCCCACCGCCTCTTTCAGTAACTTTCACCTTTAGCACCTCCTCCGCTTCTGCATCCCAAGACTTAGAGGGAATTAAAAGTAGCTCTCATCAGAGAAAGATCAGAATGACCAGTAGGAATGTGATTATGGGTGAGGCTGACCAAAAAACTCTGTGGGTCTATAAATTTTAGAAACTTCCTCATGACTGTTGAAACAACTACACCCAACCTTTTGAGAGACCTGTCATCTCTCTAAGTCTGAATGATATAAAGAGCTTTATTAGTATATTCCAAATCTTTGCTCCAGAATCTTCCACAGGACTGACTAGGAGAAGTGTATGAGGCAGGTGGGTGGAGAGTTTGATGGCCTCTCTGTATTTGCATGCTGGCAGGAGTGGCTCTAGAAAAGTTAGTAGGTGCTGGAGAGAAGTTCATAAATGCCGGCATTTGGCCAGATTGGAGGCCACAGGCCTGGCAAGTAAACCAAGGGGTGTGTAGTGTTGGTGAGTGAGTGTTACTGTAGCCACATTCTGAGACTAATTCTATTACGATACTTTATAAAACATTGCCTCTACTGGGACTTTTTTGGGAAGAAGTTTTTTCATTTTCAAAATGTAAGTTGTAGGTGTTCTAAACCAAAAAAGAGTCTATGATTGAATGGGCTTGCTGTTATCCCAGAGCCATGTCGCTCAACCCTTTCCCCTTTAGAATGGGCTCTCTGATCCATGTCATGTAGTGGAGGCTGACTGCTTGGGTAGGAATGCTGGTCCTCCGCCTGAATTAGCTGGGGAAGTTCAGCTTCCTCATCTGTAAAGTAGAGATAATCATAAGATCCACTGCTCAGGGTTGTCCTGAGGATTCAACACAAAAACCCACCAAAGGTATTGGTTAACTCTTGGCCAGAATGAAAAAGATGAAGCACGTTCAAAGCTGGGGTGACCTTACTTCTAGGAGCATCAGCAAATCCTTACACACTGCATGTAGCCACTTCTTATTAGAATTCGAGTTTGGCAGAGTTGGATACTCAAGGAACAGATCAGCGTTGGAGTTAACTTCCCATTACTGAAGAGGCTGGGGTTGAGCTGGGGCTTGAACCCAGGTTAGGCTCTGAACAACTTAGGCTCTGGACAAGAACACTCCCGCTTCTGGTGCTACACCCCCCCAAATGCTAGTGGGGGTCCATAAACCAGACGCTGAGGACCGTCACCACCAAGCACAGAGTGAAGTAGGGGGGCCCTAATGCCTTCCTTTTGGCTCACCCACTTTCTGTGTTTGTGTAGTTATTGATTCCTATCAAGTGAGAAAATCCAGGGCAATGTTCTCAAGCTTTTGACCATTAAATAGTGGGAAATTTTTTGTTTTATCAGACTCCAATACTTGCCATGCTATCTTAGGGGAAAGTGATGTTATCACTGAGTTTCTGTGACTTTTGTCCCTGTTCTTTTGACAAACATTGATTCTGTTTGTTTTTTAACTGAAGATAATTTATCGTGGCTTCCTGAAAGGGTGGGATTGGTTCTGTTAAACCGTGAAAATACTGTAGGATTTGATGAAAACAGTAATTTGGTGGAGGGTAGGAGGCACAGATGGACAACAAGCCCCCTGGAGCTTTGTTTGAAGCAAACTCGTTGCTTAGGCAGTTCAGATCATTTAACCTTAGAAACAAGATGTGAGATTTTACTCAGAAGAAAAGCCTAGGCTGAGAAGAGCATCTAAAGCTTCCTATCACATAAATTACCCAACAGCTGATGAGTCAAGGGTAAGTGGCCTGGAACAGGATTGGGTGGAAATGCATTTATGGCAAAATCATTTTTGCCAAGTCCCAAACAGAAGATGAATAATTTGAGTTAGTTTACAGAAGCGAGTACAGGTCTGAACTTGCGTTTTCCAAGGGAAGATCCTCAAAGCCTGAGGTCAGTTTATCATTGTTACTGCCAGAGTTTCGCCTTTTATAAAATGCATTTAGACCTTGTGCTGGTCACCATCTTTTTGACATCTGTCCTTCAGATCCACAATATTATGTGACAATGCTGATTCCTTTGGTTGTCTCCTTACAGTGCGCCCGATTGGACACCATCATTTCTAAATACCCTGCAGCGAATGCATACACTATCCCATCGGATTTTATTTCCAAGAGAGACTTTAGTAATTCGTGTTCCAGCATGTTCCAGTTGCCAAGCTTTATGAAAGCTCTCAAGTTTGAAACTCCTGCACCAAACTATTACAATGTAAGAACTCTGCCTATGCTTGCTAAATACAGATCGAATTAATGGTTTACTAAAATAAAAGGAAGAGGGGATCTTGGGGACATCGTATTTTAATGCAGTTGTCAAGCCAGTTAGCATTTGTTGACTACCCAATGGGTGCCTAAGGCTGTACAAGACTCTTACAGGGAATTTGCAGACCCCAGAGATCAGGATGGGCAACATGGAGGCCAGTATCAAGCTGTGGGGAGGCCACTGCCCTGAGAAACACATATTCTAATTACTCTTGTCCTGTAACCTTTCTGGGACGTAGTTTTCTCATCTGTAACAATGGGTGTATTATTTACCACTTTGTCTGCAGCCACTAATGATTTACTTTTTAGGTTCTTCTAGGGAAAATAAACTTTCATATCAGAAAATAGGTGTTTTAACAGTCGTGCCCTGCTGTGCCAATTATGATCGCTTTGTATTCACTGACGCAGAATGGCATGGATGGTTAAGAGATGGACTCAGGAAGGTTTGGTTTAGCTCTCATCTGTTGCCACTTTCTAACTGTGCGGCCTTCGGCAAGTCCCTTAACCTTTCCAGGGCTTAGTTTACTGATCTGTAAAATGGTGATGTATGTTCACCTCATCGTGTTAATGCAAATATTAAATGAGATAATGTATGCTTCATGCCCAGGACAGCACCAGTCACACAAGGACCACACAATACATGGAGATTGGTAGGGCTGTCTTTGTTAGTACATGAAGGGTATTTACTTACCCTTAAATACAAGCAAGTAAGTAAGTCACAGCCCCCACTGTACAATGGAATCAATTCTACTTGCCCTACAGGGTTACCATAAGGCAACGAACGTGAAAGCACTCTGAAGTGCGCAAGATATGAATTGTACTTAAGACATTAATGTTATGCCATTTTCCAAACTATTTTGGTTTTATACATTTATTATACCATTTCCTTTTTTCCTTCATAATATTGATAATTAATAATTATTTTTCTGACTACAAAAATCCTGCCCACCTTCTATGATGGATTCAAGCTTTTTTTTGAGACGGAGTCTTGCTCTGTTGCCCAGGCTGGAGAGCAGTGGTGCAATCTGCAGGCTCCACCTCCTGGGTTCACACCATTCTCCTGCCTCAGCCTCCCAAGTTGCTGGGACTACAGGCACCCGCCACCACACCCGGCTAATTTTTTGTATTTTTAGTAGAGATGGGGTTTCACTGGGTTAGCCAGGATGGTCTCAATCTCCTGATCTCGTGATCCACCTGCCTCGGCCTCCCAAAGTGCTGGGATTACAGGCGGGAGCCACCGTGCCCGGCCTCATTTAAGATTTTCTAGTAGCCACATCTAAAAAGAAAAAGGGACAGATGAAGTTAATTTGAGTAATATAGTTTACCCAACAGATCCAAAATATTATCATTTCAACACTAATCAATATAAAAGTTATGAATTTTATATTTGAGGAAGACTATTTTCCTTGTAGTGAGTCTTTAAAATCCAGTATGTGTTTTATTCTTCCAGCACATTTTAATTTGGGCCAGCCACGTTTCCAGGGCCAATAGCCACATGCAACCTGTGGCTACTATACTGGGCAGTCCAACTCCAGGCAGTCTTCCCTCGGCATAATCAGAGCCTGAAAATGATGAGGAGGAGGAGGAGGAGGATGAAGCACTTCTCATGTACTAAGTGCTGGTCTAAGAGTTATGTATTAATCATATTTAATACTCACAAGTGAATCCATAAAGTGGATTATCTTGTTCCCAGTATAAAGAAGAGAAAGCTAAGGCTCAGAGAGGTGAAGGGACTTGCACAGTTACCCAGCTTGAAGGCATCATTTGCACTTCAGTGGGCACCAGTGGATGGCTGGGGTGGAAAGCTGGGGAATGATCAAAGTCACCTCATTCCAGCCCTGACAGGCTTCCCTCTGTGGATCCTGTTGCTCCTCTGTGCCAGGCTGGTGATACAGCTTAGATTCCAGTGGGGAATTCAGAAAAGAACAGGTAAACAAACAAAATAATTACAAACTGTGGTCAACTTTGAGGGACAGCTGGAGCTTGAGGGAGAATATGTGGGAGATATGGAGGTTGGCAGTACCAAGTCAGCCTTCTCTGACTTGGTGGTCAGAGAAGGCTCCGAGACTGAGACCCAAGGATTGAGGAAGAGCCAGGGTTGGAGAAAGAGCATGTGCCAAGGTCCTGGTATAGCAAGGAGCCCAGCCCACGAGGACCTTCAGGAAGGTTGAGTGGCTAGTGTAGGATGAGCAAGAGGAGAAGGGAGAAGGGGGCACCAGACAGACACCGGCCAATTCACACAGGGCCCTGAAGATCCCAGGAGGAAGTTCACATTTTGTTCTCTGGGTCCTAGGAAGCCCATGAGTGGGGCTGGAGGTATGGGGTGGTGTGATCTGATGCTTTTTTTTTAGATGGAGTCTTGCTCTGTCGCCCAGGCTGGAGTGCAGTGGCACGATCTTGGCTCACTGCAACCTCCGCCTCCCCAATTCAAGTAATTCTCCTGCCTCAGCTGGGATTACAGGCACATGCCACCATGCCCAACTAATTTTTGTATTTTTTTTTTTTTAGTAGAGATGGGGTTTCACCATGTTGGCCAGGCTTGTCTCAAACTCCTGACCTCGTAATCCATCCACCTCGGCCTCCCAAAGTGCTGGGATTACAGGCATGAGCCACAGCTTCCAGCCAATCTGACATATTTTTTAAAAAGTTCCTTCCAGCTGCTGTGTGGTGAATGGACTGCAGTGTGGGTTGGAGAGTGGGTTCTGGAAAACCAGCGAGGAGATTATTATGCTAACAGGAGAGATGGCAAGGTGTGATACAAGAAAGTGATCAGAAAGGGGCTTAGCCATTGCCCCTTTGTCAGTCCCAAGTGGGAACCAGGCTACTTGGGAGAAAAACACAGGCACCGACTGTCTGTGCGGATGCCCCTCTCTGCAGCCTCCCGGTTGTAGCTGAAGGATGCTGCCGTCAGTGTTTCATGCACCATTCTCCCCGAATCACTGTCTACTCCTTCACCCGGCTTCCTGTCTCCAATGCCCAGCACAGGTCCTGGGATGCAGTAAGCATCCAATCAATGTTTATGACATCAAAGGAATAACTTTCCAGTAGTATGCAGCTGTTAATCTAGAAAGGACCTCTTCCCAAGATAGAATTGTGTCCTTCTGCCAATAGATACATTTAGGCGCATGTTTTTTGTTCATTATTGTCTTAATATGACCCTGAAAATAATACACGCTCATCATAAAATATATTCAAGCCCTGTAGAAACCCATTAATTAGAAAGTGGAAGTCCCTTATAATTCTACTTCCCAAGGGAAACCACTGCATCAAAAACCAGGTGCAGGCCAGGCACAGTGGCTCACGCCTGTAATCCCAGCACTTTGGGAGGCCAAGGTGGACAGATCACCTGAGGTCAGGAGTTTGAGACCAGCCTGGCCAATATAGTGAAACCTCGCCTCTACTAAAAATACAAAAATAAGCCAGGCATGGTGGCACACACCTGTAATCCCAGCTACTCGGGAGGCTGAGGCAAGAGAATTGCTTGAACCTGGAAAGTGGAGGTTGCAGTGAGCCAAGATCACACTACTGCACTCCAGCCTAGGTGGCAGAGTGAGACCCCATCTCAAAACAAAACAAAAACCAGATGCAATTTCTTTCATATTCTCTCCTACCTCTGTCCCTCCACCAGTATTAGCATTATTCTGTACACAGCACACATGCATTTTCTTCTTAGATTTCTTTCCATGGCAATACAATAAATCTGCTTCAGTCTTTTTTAACCTGCTGAATATTTTCCTGGCCCCATGGGGAAATCTTCCAGCGACACACACTCAGCGTATACAAAAATGCTCCCTTTTTCAGTTGCTTTTCTGTCTGGGTGAAAAATAAAGCTGAAGTGCTGTTTTGTCTACAGGTGGCTTTTTTTCAGGCCAGGAGAACAATGGTTGAGTCAACTGGTGAGGAGTAGAAATGCAGTAATCCTGTTAGCCACACTGTGCTTTGAGGTCTGTCAAAGCCTTTCTCTGCCTTTGCTGCCACCATCCCTCACTTGTATATTCGAGTCCTCTTCCTTGGTAATGTGTTATTACCTTCTCTCCGGCAACCTGGCTCCTCTCCCCAACTCTCCGTGTCCAGTAATTAACCTGTCCCATCTGGTCTCTTTGTTTGCCCTCTCTGCATGCCGTCTAGCCATTAGGGCCCTGGGAAAAGCTAAATTCCTCCACCTTTGTAAACACAAAATCAAAATGCCATCTGCATTTCTCGAGAAACATTTTTTTTGACAAAGGAGTATCACAGCAAATCAAACCATCCTGGCCCCAGCAAATAGTTTCACTCATTCAGCAAATATCCCCAGCAATCACAGGTTTAATTTGTATTGCCTCTGTTCTCCAATGAATACAGGAGACCGCAAATTGGCATTTAAAATATTTATGATTCACGTGTAACAGAAGAATGATCTCAGGGTTTTTTTCCTATTATTTTTAGAGTTCTGAACACATCGCGCACTCTCAAATGTATTTCGTGAGTTGGCCAGAATTCTTAATTTCTGGTCAGTTCAGGAAAGTTGAGACAAGGGAATGCTTGCAAATGTGATCACAATCTTAAATGATACGACTTTCTTGTGTGCCCCAAATGCTGCATTTATAGAAGGGCTGTTTGAACAGTGAGCAATGCACCTAGGAATGAGGATGGGGATGGGTAGGACTACGTGTCCTGAAAACAGTAAAAATAGTAGAAAACCAGGTGCAGTGGCTCACGCCTGTAATCCCAACACTTTGGGAGGCCGAGGTGGGCAGATCATTTGAGTCTAGGAGTTCAAGACCAGCCTAGGCAACATGGTGAAACCCCATCTCTACAAAAAACACAAAAAATTAGCCAGGTGTGGTGGCGTGTGCCTGAAGTCCCTGCTATTCTGGAGACTGAGGTGGGATGATTGCTTAAGCCCGGGAGGCAGAGGTTGCAGTGAGCTGAGATGGCATCACTGCACTCCAGCCTGGGCAACACAGTGAGACTCAGTCTCCAAAAACAAACAAAAAAAAAGTAGCAACAATAATGAAGATAATTTGCGGGTGTAGCATTACACACTTAAAAAAAAACACTTTCCGGCTGGGCGCAGTGGCTCACGCCTGTAATCCCAGCACTTTGGGAGGCCGAGGCGGGCGGATCACGAGGTCAGGAGATCGAGGCCATCCTGGTTAACATGGTGAAACCCTGTCTCTACTAAAAATACAAAAAAATTAGCTGGGCGTGGTGGTAGGCACCTATAGTCCCAGCTACTCCGGAGGCTGAGGCAGGAGAATGGCGTGAACCCGGGAGGCAGAGCTTGCAGTGAGTGGAGATCTCGCCACTGCACTCCAGCCTGGGAGACAGAGCAAGACTCTGTCTCAGAAAAAAAAAAAAAAAAACAAAAAAAAAAAACACTTTCCTAGCGGTGATCTCTGCTGGGCCACCCCCACTCCCTGACAGAACTCCACAGCAAGTGGAGCTGACTGTCCAATCCGTTTTACAGATGAGAAAACTGGGTTTCAGAGAGGTTACAGAACTGATGCGGGGCCACACAGCCTGTCCTTAGCAGAAGTGAGCCTGGAAGCCACCCTGCAGCTAGCTGTGTGTTCTGTTCCTTGTTGAGTGACCAGCATTTTCCAGGGATCACAAACTCATAGACCACTTGAGCTGGGATGACAGGGAAGCCACAGCCAGTGTGACGTTTACAGCTCACATCTGTTCATTTGCTAAGAAGGACAGGTTTCGGTTTGATTTTTTTTACGTAGATTTGCCACTTGTCCAGGCATGATGACGAAGACAAAGAAAGGAAAGGTACTGAGTACATTGGGTGTATTTTCTCCCCCTAGGCCTCTGTCTCTTGCTGCAAGCAGAGAAACAACGTCTGTACTCGAGCCGGGTTTATGTCAAAAACCCAAAGAGGATCTTTCGCTTTTGCTGATAAAGGACCTCCCCCAGGTAAGCAGCTGCTTTGCACTGGCCTTGACCTAAGGGTTAAGTGTCCCAGATTTGATTTGCAGGGCACCTACTTCTTCACAGGGAGTCTTTGGAAGGATTTAGTCTTTGGGTGGGGAGGAGTAGCAGGCAGGTACTGAACAAAGAGGAGAGGTGAGAAGACAGCCAGCAATCCCCACCAGGAGGACAATGGCTGGCTCTGGAAATGGGCCTCCAAAGCAGCTTCCTGGCCTCCCCTTTTATGATCTGGCATACCTGCTCTGGGCAGCCAAGTGGAGAAGTGGCTTCTCACCTCAGAAATGTGCACATTCGTATACCCCAGCTGCCATTAGGGGCCACTGGGGAGGGGCAGGAGATACAGGGCATGACCATACATCCTGTTCCTTCAACACTGAGCTGCCACGTTCATTTTCTCCTATGCTAGAGGTGACTTCATCATCCAGTCATAAAACAGAGGAGGCAGCTCTGTTTCCGGAGCACCCACTCCACGGTGAGTGGTTTCCATGCAGTCTTGCAGGTCTGCCGTCATAGGTTCATCCACTTAGCCCTACTTTTCAGATGAGGAAGTGGAGGCTCAGAGAGTTGAAATGACTTGCCCAGTGTCACACAGCCAGTAAATGGCAGACACAAGCCCAGAGGGGTCTCACTAACGAGCCCACGTCCTCCATCATTCCATTGTCCCTTCTGGAACCTCCAAGATTCAGGAATACACAAGAGCTTTCCTGCAAGTGTTTCCCCTGCCGGCCTTGGGGAAGGGTGTTGCACCTCTCCTGTGCTCTCTGACCTCCAGTGCTGGAGCACTTATTATATTAGATTATCCCAAATAGGTCCCACAGACCACACCCCAACCCCAGAAGCCCTGGGCACCAGAGCTGCCCCAGGAACCTTGGGCCCCAGAAGCAGGAGGAGGAGCAGGGAAGGTTTGCTTCTGCAATCATGCCTCTTGCAGAGGGGTGTGGATAAAATTGTAGTGCATGTGAGATTTCAGCAAATCCAGATTAAAGTTGAAAAGATCAATCTGAAGCTGAATAACAAAACCAGCGCTAATTAGGAGGCTCAGCCCCAGTTCATGCTCTCCTGCCTTGCATCATCCATGGGCAAAACCCCACCTTGTCTATTTATACAGAAGAACAAAGCCAGCATCCCTGGGGTTGGCCAGAGTCCCTGCCAGTGAGCCCTGGGATGTGGGCACCTCCACAGTCTGCCCCTGCTCCTGCTCCCTCCCGGGGTGGGGGGATCCTGAGAAGCCCCCAGCCCCTTATAACACAGAACAGGAGGGGAAGTGTGGGTACTAGCATCTGTTAAGCTCCCCGTGGGTGCCAGGGGCCTTACATTCATTATCTCACTGAATGCTCCAAAGCCCCATGGAGCAGGTACTCACCACATAATCATGGGCTCAGAAAGTGTGAGCTCTTCTTCTTCTTTTATCCCCACTTCACAGGCAGAGGAGATAGAAAAGCAGGTGACAGGCCCAGTGTCCAACAGCTGGATTTTTTTGTTTTTGTTTTGTTTTGTTTTGTTTTTTTGGAGATGGAGTCTTGCTCTGTTACCCAGGCTGGAGTGCAGTGGCACGATCTCGGCTCACCGCAACCTCCGCCCCCCGGGTTCAAGTGATTCTCCTGCCTCAGCCTCCCAAGTAGCTGGGATTACAGGCATGCGCCGCCACGCCCGGCTAACTTTTGTATTTTTAGTAAAAACAGGATTTCACCATGTGGGCCAGGCTGGTCTCAAACTCCTGACCTCAAGTGATCCGTCTGCCTCGGCCTCCCAAAGTGCTGGGATTACAGGTGTGAGCAACCACGCCCAGCCCCACAGCTGGATTTTAATCCAGGCTCATCTAGTTCAATATCTGGTACCTTCAGCTCACCCTCCACCCCAGCTTCCTGGCGGCTGGCTCTCTCTGGTAGTGGCAGCATAAATGCCTTCTATTCCTTGCTTTTGCTTTTCATTGTTTTCTGTATTTTGTAATTCAAGTGTTGCTATAACCTTTTTAGTAGAAATATATATACAAAACAGAGAATATGAGAGATAGTTATCCAGTATTGTAAATGCTGCTGACATCTGCTTCTTTAAAAATTTAAGCATATACTGGGAACATTTTTTTTTTTTTTTTTGAGAGGGAGTCTCGCTCTGTTGCCCAGGCTGGAGAGCAACGGTGCAATCTCGGCTCACTGCAACCTTCGCCTCCTGGGTTCAAGTGATTCTCCTGCCTCAGCCTCCAGAACAGCTGAGAATACAGGTGCACACCACCACACCTGGCTAATTTTTTAAATATTTTTAGTAGAGATGGTGTCTCACCATATTGGTCAGGCTGGTCTCAAACTCCTGACCTCAAGTGTTCTGCCCACCTTGCCTTCCCAAAGTGCTGGGATTATAGGTGTGAGCCACCGTACCCGGCTGATACTGGGAACGTCTTTTCATGTTAGTAAAAATCCTTTCGGAACATCATTTTAAATAAATATATAGTATATTCTTATATGATAGTACCATAAATTAAGGAGCCAGTATTGTCTTATTGAAAATTGTGATTATTTTGAATTGATTGCTAATATGAATAGAGTGGTGGAGAACATCCATTCACAGGGCTACTGACAACTTAGGGGTGAGATCGCTTCCTCTTCACCCCAGTTTTGGTCATTCTCTTCTTCCTTAAAGCTTTGTACACAAATTCATTTTATTCTGTCACAGTTTCTTGAGACAGGGCATTGTGGTGTGGTGGGGAAGTGTGGGCTTTGGAGACAAGCAGACCAGTCTCTACATAGTGGTGCTCAACACATACATGTTAGCTGGGCATGATGGCTCACACCTGTAGTCCTAGCACTTTGGGAGGCTGAGGTGGGGGGATTGCTTGAGCTCACAAGTTCAACACCAGCCTGGGTAAAATAATGAGGCCTCATTTCTACAAAAAAAAAAAAGCTGGGCACAGTGGCTCACGCCTATAATCCCAGCACTTTGGGAGGCCGAGGCAGGCGGATCACGAGGTCAGGAGATCGAGACCATCCTGGCTAACATGGTGAAACCCCATCTCTACTAAAAATACAAAAAATTAGCCAGGCGTGGTGGTGGGCATCTGTAGTCCCAGCTACTTGGGAGGCTGAGGCAGGAGAATGGCGTGAACCTGGGAGGCAGAGCTTGCAGTGAGCTGAGATCACGCCACTGCACTCCAGCCTGGGCGACAGAGCGAGACTCTGTCTCAAAAAAAAAATTTTTTTTTTAATTTGCAGGGTGTGGTGGTACATACCTGTAGTCTCAGCTACTCGGGAGACTGAGATGGGAGGATCACTGAGCCCAGCAGGTCAAGGCTACAGTGAGCTGTGATTGTGATTGTGCCACTGCATTCCAGCCTGGACAAGAGAGCAAGACCCTATCTCAAAAAAAAAAAAAAAAGATAGTTGTTGATTGCATGATATTTACAAAGCATCCACTATGTGCTAGGAACTTAAAATATTATTCAACTGTCATAACAACTCTGTTGTCAGAAGAATTATTATTCTTAGTTTATAGAGAAGGAAAACTGGGCTCCAGCAAGGTGGAGAGATTTGTCTAAGTCCCTGGTTAGATGAATGTCCTTTGGCAAATTATTTAACAATCTCTGAGTCTCAGTTTCCCATGTGTAGAATGAAAGCAGTAATACTCATCTTGCCAGGCTAGTGCGAGAACTAAATCAGCTAAGTGTGTGCTTCCCGTGCCATCTGTTCTCTGCATGGTGAGGATTGTTTTTGGCTATCTCAGTCAGCCCTTCCACTTGGCCATCCTAGAGTGATGGTGCCTTGCAGCCATCAGGTGTGTTCTTAGGGGTAAGGTACTGCTTTTTATTTACTTGAGAAGAGTTCCTTATTCTGTCCTAAAATTTCTTTCTCCTTAGGGCATTATGATATCAACGAATCCCTTGTGAAGCAGTCGCCAAATACATTAATGTCTTGTTTTAAATCAAAAACCAACCGTGGATTAAAACTGACGTCAACAGGCCCGGGACCTGGTTATTACAACCCCAGTGATTGCACAAAAGTTCCAAAAAAGACTCTTTTCCCGTGAGTCCCAATCATTCTGGTCTTTCTTTTGAAAGGTGGTTGTGGGGAAGAAGCCCAACATAGAGAAAAGGATGGGGTGTCACTGCTTGGCAGAGCACAGTGCCGGGCCACTCTCTTCAGGGGCCCTTAGTCACACATAATGATGCTCAGTAAATGCCTGTTGAATGCCTGATACTTATTGAGCAACCACTGTGTGCCAGGAACTTAAAATTGTATTCAATTATTATTATAATCCTGTTGTAAGAATTGTTACTCTTACCCCATAGAGGAGGAAGCAAGGCTTCGGATTTGGCGGGACATTTGCCCAAGTCCACACAGCCAACTTGAGGAGCCACAGGGAATTGGCTCAGGACTAAGTCTTTCCTCATTCCCTGTGATGCTGGATTCCCCTGGTGCTGACATTGTTCTATTTTTGTAACATAAAATCTTCGCTGGAGTGGCAGGACATTCAGAAGCAGTCAAGCTCTCATAGCTTTATACCGATGGAAGTTTAAGCCCTGACTTTCGAGTTGGTGATACCTGCTGGATTTGTACTTCAGCTCTGCTGTTTTTATGCTCTGTGACCTTGGGCAGAGTTCTAACCTCTCTGAGCCTCCATGCCCTCATCTGTAAGGTGGGAATAATTCCTGCCTCGTAGGATTTTGCTTTCAGAATTAAAAATACATGTTTGGCTGGGCGCAGCAGCTTGCGCCTGTAATCCCAGCACTTTGGGAGGCCGAGGTGGGCGAATCACTTGAGATCAGGTGTTCGAGACCAGTCTGGCCAACATGGTGAAACCCTGTCTCTACTAAAAATACAAAAATTATCCAGGCATGATGGTGCACGCCTGTAATCCTAGCTACTCGGGAGGCTGAGGCAGGAGAATCACTTGGACCTGTGAGGCCCAGATTGTGGTGAGCCGAGATTGCGCCACTGCACTCCAGCCTGGGTGACAGAGTGAGACCCTGTCTCAAAAAACAAAAAAAGTAAATAAAATATATGTTTGGCATTGGCATTGCAGCTGGTGACTCAAAATTAACACAGATTTTTAAAAGTAAATACAGGGATTTTTGTTACCCTGTTTAATATCCTACACATTTTATATTACTCTCACCTAAGAGGCTCAAATACTCACAGAGCTTATTTATTTCTCGAATGGTTCTAGAACTTCTGGAACTAACTGCAGTTAGGGTTAGTCCTCCTGTTACCATCTCAGCTCTCACCCATGCGTAGCCCCTCCAGACAGAGCTGGCCACTGGGAGGGCTGGCCAGGTGGGACCAACAATATATCCTCTTGGGCCCCTCCAGAGAGATCAGGCAGGTGTTAGGAGCCATAGCCACAGTGGGTCAGAAGTCCAGGCAACCCAGGGAGGCTGCCAACATTGGGCATAGTCTGATCATCAGCCTAGGGCAAGGGGACCACAGTTAGAGAGAGGTGCAAGTTGTGAATCTGCCAAGTCGAACTTAAGATCTGGAGAGGGGATTGAGACCTCAGCTGGAATCCACCAGAGGAGTCCCTTCTGCCCTCCAGGTCTAGGGCTCTGCAGGCTGGCCTTGTACAGGCTGTAGGGCTAGGGGCTGGGGCAGGCCAGTCTCCAGGAACAGCTCTGTCTCTGGAAAGTCTCTCTCCAGAGACCTCCCGCCTCCAGGCTGGCATGCGGCATCTCTACAAGTAACTATTCCCTTACTCTGCCAGAGAAAGAGTGGTCAAGAGGACAGGTGTTGGAGTTGGCCGACCAGAGTATGAATCCCAGCTCTGTACCTTCCAGAGACTTCTCCTCTCTGAGCCTCAGTTTTATGTTATTAAGTAGAGATAAGGATCTTATCTCGTAGGGATTCCATGAAGATTCGATGAGAAGATGTTGGAAAATAGCTATTACCGGTTGGGCATGGTGACTCACGCCTGTAATCCCAGCATTTTGGGAGCCCAAGGCAGATGGATCACTTGAGGCTAGGAGTTTGAGACCAGTCTGGCCAACATGGCAAAACCCCATCTCTACTAAAAATACAAAGCTGGGCGTGGTGGAGGGCGCCTGTAATCCCAGCTACTCAGGAGGCTGAGGCAGGAGAATTGCTTGAACCGGGGAGGTGGAGGTTGCAGTGAGCCGAGATCATGCCACTGCACTCCAGCCTGGGTGACAGAGCAAGACTTGGTCTCAAAAAGAAAGAAAATAGCTATTACCCTTATAATGATAGCTGTGGTTATTGTATATCCTATAGACCTACTAGGCTATATTATACAATACAGCTGTTATTTGGCATGGCAGCTCAAGCCCCCAGCCCAAATTTGGAAGCTTCTTCAAGGAAAATGGTGAAATAACATAAGAGTGGAGGATGCTCAATTTTTAACTGCTTTATCTGGAGAAATATCTTCTGGCTTTTGCTCAAGTTTGAACAGGTGGTTTGAGATCGTTCTTATTTTATGGCGTTTGCATTTGTCAGTCAGCAGACTCTATAGATTTCTAGTTCTGTACTGGAGGCTCAGGTGAACAGGACACCACGCCTCCAGCCAACCTCATCTGGGAACAGCCTCGAAGCCAGGTGGAGGAGCCTGCAGCAAAATGCCGGGTTAGGTGGCCCCAGGGGTGTATGGCCATGTACAACCCATGGGGCCGTCTTCCCACTGGGCAGTGCAGCGGGACTGCGTGTCTGGGGCTTCTAGGGCTCGCTGGCTCTCTGTCAATGCTTCACAAATAAAAGGTCTTTGGTTAATAAGTCTGAGAAGCACTGCATCGTAACCCTCTGCCCCTGAGAACATCGCAGTCTGCACAGGCATCTTAAAGGCTCTGAGAAGGCCTGCAGTAAAGGAACCTATTAACCCGCTGTCTCCTAAACTTGGGTTCACCCTGATGAGGGGATGGTGCCCCAGGCTCTATAGCACGACATTTGTATAGCTGGCTCTGTGGTCTGGGGCTGCTCTGGGCACCTCTCTGGGTCTTCATTTCTCTATAAGCGAAAGAAGGGTGTCTGCATTTCTGACACATCAGAATCCCAGGTTTGCTCACCATGGACTCAGGAGAGCACACAGGGGACAACGAACGTGGAGCCAGCCTGGACCCACAGAGGAGGTCCAGATTATGTATTTTAAAATTAACGTGGGAAAGATGAAGCTAAGAAATTTATCATTTTATTTGGAAAGCAAGAAGATAAGACTGGTAGGCTTTGGACTATTCTAAAAAAAACATTTATCTGTTCCCGATGAATGATGAAGAAAATGATGTAATGAAAAGAAAAGACAGCTGAATATCAGAGTGTTGAGGAAATATCCAAAATCCAGTTTCTCAAATTCCAGTTCTGTTTTCTCCTGTGTCCCTGGAGGGAAGAGAGGGACAGGAGCTACACGGGTTCCTGAGGTCAGTAGACCCCTGAGGTGACCCCATCTGCATGCACCTTCCCTTAGGACTTTGTCCACATCAGAACTAATCCTCTTTAGCTCTCCACGGCTACGTGGAGCGGCGGTGACTTGCCGCCATGTTTCTTTCTCGGGAACACACGCGTGCCATGCAGGGGGAGACCTGCCCTCATCTGTCTTGGGTTGGAGTTGATGGGCTTCCCATTCTTGGGCAGAGTTACAGCTACAGAAATGCTTTTCTGGATCTGCTTTCTTCAGGGTGCAGGAAGCATCAGTGCAGATATGAATTCTCCCTGGAGTTTTTAGTCTCATGTTACTGGCCAAAAAATGTAAAGCCCAGCCGTGAGAGGATGGCTGGATATGACCAAAGCTCAGGAGGCCACCATTAGGGCAGGGAACGGCTGATCACGTCCCCTGAAGAGGCCATGGAGGCAGCGTGGGCAGTGGATTGATTAGCGTAGGCCCCAAAGTCAGTACCATGGAACCTCCACTTTCCCTGCTCACCAGCCCTGTGGGCCTGGGGGAAGGGAGGTCACTTAACTCCCAGTGGGTTCAAAGTCATCCTTGGTGAACCAGGATAAGAACACCTCATAATGTGGTTGTAAGGATAAAAGGAGATAACCCACAAAATTCACATGGTAACTTGTATTTTTATCAAAGCAGGTGAGCGGGTCCTCTGTGTCTTCCTAGGGTTTCTAGTGTGGCCCCGCAGGGCGGATGCTGTGCTTGGGGCTGGCTGTTTGTTAGCACTGGCATTTCTGAGCTCCTTAGCTAAAGGTCATGCCATCGGGTGTTCCTTGGCCATGGCCACCTTGCTGACTCAAAGCTAAGAGGACTTCTCAGCTTCCAGGGTGTCTTCAGAAGCAAAGTGAAGTATCAGCCAAGGTTTCGCTTCTGAGGTCTTCAATATCCGTCACAGTGATGACTCAATCACTTAGGGTGAGTCAGGGTGAGAGTTTTGGAGATCAAAATAGTTCCTCCTAGGCAATGCCTTCCAACTCATGCTCCCCAGCAAGGAGGTGCAACACTCAGGGCCATTTTTCTAACCCTTGATCTGCTTCCTGGAGTTTTAAGCCACTGGATTTGCACAGACACGCTGTCTTGTCACAGCTAGAGCTGAAAAATCAAGCCCCGTTGGCCCCACTCCAATTTTGGTAATTAGATTGGACCCACCCTAACTTCCCCTGGGATTTTCAATTAGATATGGGATGCTTCTTCCCAAGCAGCTGTAATCTGTCACCCGCTACCCTGTTAAACAGATACTGCATTCCACCCCAGAGGCAATCGGCTGCCCTTTAATGATGAGAAAAATTGCCCCTTTATCCCTCCCAACCCTGGGAATCCCTGAGGCGAGTGAATGTGTGCCTGGGAGTGTCTGGAGGGTCTCAGATGCTTTCCCCAAGTGGCCTGCTGAGTCCTCTAAGACATTCATTATTCTTAGGTGATTTGCAAACAGCTCACATTGGAAGCTGCAAACACACTTAATCCAGTTGTGGCCAACTCAGAGCCTTTGATAGATGTTTTCTTTCCACGGGGCAGGGCCAGGTTGGCTTTTATAACTGAGCAATGAGGCTCATAAAAGCCCTGGTCACAATGCACTGTGGGCTGCCCTGGGTTTGATCCAGCCTGACCTTTGTGATTTGTCAGCCCCACCTCGACATGGAGGGACCAGCCCTGGATGAGGATGAAACTGTCATGTGGGCCTCAGATGCCTGGGCTCCTTTACATGCTGCCAGCCCTCTGCTTTTCTCTGCACTTCAGCAAATGTTCCCGGGATAGGGCTAGGGGCCTCAAAGCTGAGGAAGACACAATACCTTCCCTTAAAGAGCTAGGCAAGTAAAAGCCATAGAAAATGCAACATTTTAAATGCAAAGTAATAGCCAGAATGTATTCAGGGGCCACATACTCTGAGCTGAGAGCTCTCAGATGTGACCTGCCGTCGTCCTTCCACCTCTCCTCCAGGTGGGTGTGTCATTCCGAGTTTACAGTGAAGTGCAGGCTGTTGACGGTGGTGGGGCTGGGATTTGAATCCAGGTCCCTCTGCCTCCAAAATCCATCTCCAAAACCCATGTTCCTCACTTGAGTCACAGGATGGGAACATTCAAGACAGTCAGGTGGGGGGTGGCGAGACAGGCGTGGGTGGAGGAGAGAAGTTTCCCTGGAAGAAAGTGAGAACGTCAAGAATTGAATTCGAGTTTGCAGGGAAAGTTGGTGTTTCTCACAGAAGGAACAGCAGGGACAAAGGCATGGAGTTGCTGAACTGTGTTGTGTTGGGTGTTTCTGGAAGGTAAAACGGAAGCAGCAGGACATGGGAGATTAGGCTGGATTGAGAGGCCATAAATAGATCTTGCCTTTAAGTTTTCA
Organism: Homo sapiens; assembly: GCF_000001405.40. Lineage (NCBI taxonomy): Eukaryota > Metazoa > Chordata > Mammalia > Primates > Hominidae > Homo > Homo sapiens. The sequence goes on along the minus strand of NC_000001.11, from coordinate 24,363,978 downwards.
TCAGGGTTTGTAAGTGGGGAGTATCAGAAGCAAGTGAACAACCCAGGAAATCACTGGTGAATGGAGGGTTGAAGGCAGTCTAGGTGCTCAGCGTCTGTCTCCTTGTGTCCCAATTCCTGCCATAACAGCTACAGCTTTCCCCATTCCATGCTTTTGCTCCTGCTGTTCCCTCTGCTGGAAATGCTCTTCCCCACCTGAAGATTTTCTGGATTTCTGGATGGATTTCTGGATTCATCTTGTTGGAATTAATGTCCCTCTGTCTCTGTCTCTTTCTCTCTGCTTTCAATGCAGTTTTTTATTTTAACCTCTATTCGAACAGATTTCATGTTTTTAAACAAATGTTACAAGTAAAGCACAATCTTCCTAACAATCTGGGTAGTAGGTATTATTTCCACTGTTTTACAGATGAGGAAATTGAGGCTTAAGGAGGTTAAGAGCCTTTTCTAAGAACACATAGCTGTTGAACGGGGAAGTGGGGATTCAAACCCAGCTCTGTCTGAGTGCAAAGCCTGTACTGCCTGAAGTTGTCACCAGTCATGGCTGTTGCTGGCAGCGGATTGTCAAGCCCTTAAGGACACTCAAGTCCGTGTCTTAGTACAGAACTGCCTGGATTCCCAAGCATGCCTGGCCCAGAATCCCACACATGGCTGGTGCTCATGAAAGATCCATAGTGCTAGGCTGAAGGTTCTGAGCCTCTCCTGGGCATACTGAAGGAGTGGAAGACAAGAAACCTCTCTAACCCATCTTGCCAAGAACACTGGTGAGTCATTAACTCAGCGTGCTCCAGCCTTCTGCAGGCTGTCCTTGGCTAAGAAAGCAGACACCTCATGGTTTTCTCAAAGAACAGGGTGGGAATCTTGGGCTTGGAGTGACCCAGACCAGTGATGGGGTGACCTCATATAATGGTTGATTTGTTCCAGCTGTAATTTCCAGGAATCAAACCTGTCTCTCCATGATGCCAGCCACAAACTCATCAAATGTCTGGAGGTGTTTTGAAGGGGGAGCCACAAGCCAGAACAAGGAGAAGCCAGCTTTTATTTATAAGGGGAGAGGTTGTTGATTACACCCTGTAACCAGTTCTTCCATGCAGATTCATAGCAAACAGGGAGGCAGCATGTCCCCCCTTTCCCTGTGGGTACCTTTGTTCTAAATATAAGCATCCACGCCAGCTGCTCCTCCACCACAAGATGTGAGCCCAAGCACATTTATGATGGCTTTCAGTGTCCTCTCTGACCAGGGGGGTGTCCCCTGCCTCAGCATGACTCTGGGGTGGAAGGGCCCTGTCAGTCTTTTACGAGGCTCAGTTGCCTGTCTGTCACCAAGCAGCACACATTGATGCTGACACAGGGATCATCAGAAGAATAACAACTACCTTTATTGAGCACCTACTATGTGCTGGTGCTCTACTAGGTGCTTTACATACCTTTTCTCTGTTCATTGTAACTCCTTTATAAAGTTAGTGTCATTGTTCCTTGCAATGCTGTGTATACTGACGCTAAGCTATAGAGAAATCAGGGGCCTTGTCTTACAGCCAGTAAGTGGCATGACTAGAATTCAGCCTCAGGTTTGTGTGTGACCCTTAAACTCAGTCCCCTCCGCCATCATGCTTTCTCCATATTGCTAGGTGCCAAACACTTGAGTTCTATGCCAGCATTCCTACAAAGGTGCCTATAACTGGATCGGTTACTTTGTCTCTCCGGACACCAACATTTTTAGAAAACTAAGGAGGTTGAAGAAGACATCACTTGGGTCCCCTCAAGCTCTCTGTGTTTAAGAAGTTGTTGGCTAAAGTGCAGTAGTGCCCCAGTGGCCAGGAATCCCAAGTCCCCTCCTTTGCTTGGATGGGCTGGCTCCCTTGGTCATTGAGTGCTGGGGGAAGCTGGGGAAGGCTCCCTTGGCCATTCAGTGCGGAGAACCTCCTCTCCCCTTTTGGTGAGAAGCCTTTTAGAAGAAGCCTTGGGTGTGAGCCAGAAGGAGGCGGCCCTTCTATTACATGGTTGGGAGAGTAGCATGATTCCTGTAACAAGCGCAGAAGTCTCTGACAACCCAGTGGAACTTTGAATCAAGGCCTGATGAAAGGTCACAGCAGGAAGGGACCTCAGAGGTCATCTTGTCCAACCCCTTCCTTTTACAGATGGGGAAACTGAGGCCCAGAATGAGTTAGTGACCAAGCTAGGACTCAAGTACAGGTCCGGTCTTTCATTTCATGTCTCAATATCAGAGATAAAAGATAGACTCCCTTTCTGGAAGGAGGGGAAGACAGACTTGAAAACAATGGCGGTGTGAGTGGTAAAGGGTTATGCAGAGTCTCTTGATTTCCAGCCCGGTGCTTTTCCACTCCTGCCTCCTGCCTCCCCAGGATGATATTTAGTAGGATTCTGGAATGTCAATGTTACAGTGGCCTCTAAAGACCTGCTGGTCTTGGGATGGCAAATCTGTGGAATGTGGGATGCTTCTTTCTCTTCCCTGACCATGGCAGGCATCACAAGTGGGTCACTAAGGCCTCTTCCCATTGAGTCCATATGAGGCCTCAGTTTTTTTCACAGAACTCCAGCCAGGCACTACCAATCAATCAGAGTTGGCACATGAGATATACACGGCCTGCCATTTCTGGTTAGCTCCACATCTCCAGCAATGCACACTGAGCTCTCACTGTGTGCCAGGCCTATCCTGAGTACTGTGTTTTAGGTACGTCATCTCATTTATCCTGACAACCCTGACCTCAAAGTAGGTCCCATCATGATTGCCATGTGCAGATGAAGAAACAGATCCAGGGGTCCCCAGCTCACTACCAGTGGAGCTAGGGCTCTGCCCCAGTGCCGTGACCAGTCCTCTTCCAGACAGCTTGCTGCTGTGCAGGTCTTGGCTGTGTCTAGAAACTGTGCCTTCCCCACTAGACTGCCTTAGTGACATCTTCCCGTTTTATCTTTCCCAAAGGAAAAACCCCATCCTGAACTTCTCTGCTCAGCCTTCGCCTCTGCCTCCGAAGCCACCTTTCCCAGGTCCTGGTCAGTATGAGATCGTGGACTACTTAGGCCCCCGCAAGCATTTCATCTCTAGTGCATCATTCGTGTCCAATACCAGCCGGTGGACAGCGGCGCCGCCTCAGCCAGGCCTGCCTGGCCCAGGTCAGAGGATTGTTTTAAATGATTGTAAAAACCAAATCTTCTGGAACTGTTTGTCATTCTTGGGTCATCAAATGCCATTGATTTATAGGTTGTTTCCCAAATAGGTTACAGGGATGAGGGTAGATTTGGAAGCATTATCAGTTCACATTTTCACAGTACAAAAATGTTTTGTTTTTTAAGGTGAAAGGGCTCTTAGAGATGGTCCAGGCCAGGGATTCATACTGAGGACCATGAACATCTAAAAGATTCAAAGATAGTCTTGAAGGGGTCTGTGACTCTGCAGTTGGCTGAAGAATTGGCACATATAGACATTATTTTCTGGGAAAGGAGGCCATAGCTTTTGTCAGAGTGTCAGAAAAGTTCTTTTTCTTTATTATTATTAATTTTTTTTACTTTTATTTTTTTGAGACGGAGTCTCGCTGTATCGCCCAGGCTGGAGTGCAGTAGTGCGGTCTTGGCTCACAACTTCCGCCTCCCAGGTTCAGGCAATTCTCATGCCTCAGCCTCCCAAGTAGCTGGAATTACAGGTACATGCCACCACACCCAGCTACTTTTTGTATTTTTAGCAGAGACAGACAGGGGTTCGCTATGTTGGCTAGGCTGGTCTCGAACTCCTGACCTCAACTGGTCTGCCCGTCTTGGCCTCCCAGAGTGCTGGGATTACAGGCGTGAGCCACTGTGCCCAGCCAGAAAAGTTCTTTTTCTTAAAAATATTTAAACTACTGGTCTAGTGTGGCCAGGTTATTTTACAGCTGAGGAAGCCCTGGAGAGCAGGTGGGCCACAGGTCCGCAGCGAGTTCGTGGCGGGCAGTGCCAGGTGTTTCCCCATTTATGCCTTGTTTGTTCATGAAATTAACCAGGGACTGTCCAACGGAGCAGCTCTTTTGAACCTTCTAGCGCCACACTCTTTTTACAGGCAAGCATAAGTAGGGATCCCCTGTTACATCTGGGATCTACCTGGGAGCTAATATCATGAGGGACTCAGTCCAGTGGGCGGCCTCTGTGCTTCCTGACCTATTTGTAGCTCTCTATAGAGCGCTTTCGCTATTACCACAGCCTGACCATGGCCAAAGCTGGTGGCACTGGGGACTGACATGTGTGGCAGGTGGCATGGGAGGATGAAGGCAGAGCTGTGATGACTGCCAGCTTGGTTACACCCAGCCTTTCTGTGAGTGTTGACGATGCTCCCGTGCGAGGGAGCCAAGATGACCTGGGCCCCAGGTTTGCCCCCAGAGGCCACAGTCAGGTGGGGAGATGCCGTCAGCTCCATACTCACAGGTGAGACTAACATAAGGCAGACTGGGCCAGGAGAAGGTCATTCTCCTAGCTTTGGCCTTGCAAATGTGGTGATAATCACACCAGCAAGGCTGTAGAGGTTTGATCTGGGGCTCATCTAGTCAGTCGAGGAGAACTCAGCATTGCAAACATGCAAATGCTCCATACAAGGGGTGAGCTCCAGAGAGGGTAGGGCATAGGCAGGGATCCTGCTTTGACCCTGCTCTACCACATCCTCTGGAAGCATTGCCCGAATGACTTTTCCATGCCGTATGTGGTGCTAGGCACCTGGCACACAGAGACAGGCAGCTCCTGCCGCTCTGATCACCCATGCCAAGGTGGGCTTCTGCGAGGGGTTTCCTGGGCACGTGCACGTGCCGGCATCTGCCTGCTCAGCTTCCAGTAAACTCAGGTATACCTGGACTACCATGGGCTCCCCTGAGCGGCTTTCCAAGTATAGGAACAGAGAGGCTGTGCACGGGACCCTCATTAACCAAGTCAGTATCAACATGAGTTTCTGGTCACCTGGGGCTACAGTTCCCAAGCCCTGCTCATCTCCTATAGAACCATGTCCGCAATTGTCATGGCTTCTGCTTTTATGGAAACCCCTGAACTAGATCAAAACAAGACCCCATGAAGCTAACACCTTGCTTCTTTAAGAATATTGCTTTACTCAATTTCTTTTCGAATTTCATAGAAAATAGTTTTGTAAATTTTGTTCTGTTAAAGAAGTTGAAAAGAATTAAAGAAGGCAGGAAGTCAGAGTTTGACTTCCCCTGGGCCAGTTAAGAGCCAAATAACCTCGGGCCAGTTCCTTCCTCTCTGTCTCCCCACGTGTAAGATACAGGGGCTGGCACAGGGGTCCCCAGGCCTTTCCAGCTCTGAGGTAGAATGCCAGAGACTGCAGCAATGGGCCTTTTCTCTCTTAATGCCTCCGCCTCTCTGTCCCCTCACAGCTACGTACAAGCCAGAGCTTCCAGGAAAGCAGTCCTTCCTCTACAACGAGGACAAGAAATGGATCCCGGTTCTGTAGGGATGTCACACAAGGTCAAGGAGAACTCCAGCCACCAGCCCACCCTGCCCAGCGTCCCCAGGACATTCCTCAGGAGGAGACCGATCATGAGTGTGGCAGCTGACAACTTGGGGGGTGGCTCTACCACTCTGGCCTGGCATCCTAGCCGGACTGCTGCCATTGCCTTTGTCTTGAGCTGGAGACATTGCTCCCTGGAGACTTCACCCCAGCCCCACAGACTCCAGTGGCTTCCTGAGCAGAAGGGAGGAGTGGACAGAGCCCCCTGGCTGCTTCCCCACGCACCCATCCAGGCTGCCTTCCGGCACGACTCCCTGCCGCAGACTGAAGGGACTCCTGAAGCGCAGACTTCAAGGAGGATCAGTCCACCCTGAAGGTGGCCAAGCCTGGAAGCCCCACCCTTCCCTGTTTCATTCCTTCATTCATTTACACATTCATTCATTCCCTCACTCCTGCCTTTCTCATTTGTCCCTTTCTGACCTCACTCACTTACGGTATGTCTACTGGGCGAAAGCTACCTGCAGGCAGGTGATGCTTTTTCCACCAGTCCACAGCTTCCTTTCTAAAGTGACCACCTGTTTGGAAAGACCTCTCTTTACTCCTTTTAGACCTTTTTCTCTTTGGAGTGGGAGATCATCTTGGAATGGCAGTGGCCGGGCCCGGGGGCTGCGCTTTTCCCTGACTTTCTCTGCTGGCGGGACTGAATTTTCTCAAGGCTTACAGGCCCTTCCATGGAGTCCACATGGCCTGTCTAGGCCTGATAGCTTTCGTCTCTCTATGTGGAGGGAAAAAGAAATGTGCCCTAGTGGTTTTGGTGGAGGCTGCACAGATTCGCGGTGGGTGGGGAGCTGCCAGGCTCCTTTTCTGATCTCCCAGCAGGCTTTGACTGACGCTGTTTAGTCTTTCTGTACATTAACCCCGCCAGATACCGAGAGGTTACAAAGCCTCCAAGGCCTGTACAACTGTGGCCTCTCCAGAGAAGTGGTTCTCAGCCTTGACTGCACACTGTAATCACCTGGGGACTTTAAAAAGTACTGAGGCCTGGGGCCCACCCACAAATGCTGATTTAACTCCTCCAGGGTGGGGTCTGGGCAGTGGGGAGGCAGGAGCCACCCAGGTGATTCCAATGATAGGTGTAGGTTGAGAAGCGCCACCTTCCAGCTTCCTAACTGGCTCTGGGAGGGGAGCTGGGTGGGAAGTTCAGGAGGTGGGAACTTTGTACACGCAGAGCACCTGGAGCACCTACAGCATGGCTGTGGTTCCACACTCCTCTGTCATTTAACCTTCACACATCACCTCGTTCTGACATCAAGGGTGCGTCACAGCCACAGTGAGGCCTCGCCTGGGCAGAGCAACTCTGGGTGCCCCACTGGGTCCCTCCCACAGGGGCAGGCAAGCCTAATGGGAACCCGAGGCAAAAGGAAACATCAGTAATACGAATCCTGTCTTTAAAACTGTGATGTTTTGTTCACCATGGATTTTTTTTTTGGGGGGGGGGGCCTTAATTTTAAAAATATTGCATTAAACTTATTTATCTTGCTTATTGAGCTTTTGGGTACCCCTTAATTTTTGTGCCTTAGGCTAGAGACTCACCTGCCCATAGCCTTGACTCTAGGTAGGGGCTTGGGAATTAGGACCACAGACTGTCAGCGCTGGGAGGTTCTTAGAGGGATCATGGTTTTCACACCTTTTTAAAAAAAGTTTTACTCAGACAGATGTTTACGAGAAACCCAAATATTTAAGTGGAGAGAAGCAGAGCTGCAGTGATGGAGTTAGGGAGGGTACGCAGGGACTGCTGCAGCCCCTTCCTCGCATTGTAGTGGCCTTGGAGACCCACCAGTGAGCCCTGAGGCTCTGAAGATGATAATTACAAACAACCAACAGAGATCATGACCTGCATTTTATAGCCAAAGAAACTGAGGGCTACAGGTAGCAGTGGCTGGTAAGTCTGCTCTCCCAAAGGAAGAAAGACCCACTTCAACTTGGCAGCTTAAAAAAGATAAATGTGGCCGGACACGGTGGCTCACGCCTGTAATCCCAGCACTTTGGGAGGCCGAGGTGGGTGGATCATGATGTCAGGAGATCGAGACCATCCTGGCTAACACGGTGAAACCCCATCTTTACTAAAAATACAAAAAATTAGCCGGGCATGGTGGTGGGCACGTGTAATCCCAGCTACTCAGGAGGCTGAGGCAGAATGGCGTGAACCCGGGAGGCGGAGCTTGCAGCGAGTCGAGATCGTGCCACTCCACTCCAGCCTGGGCGACAGAGCCAGACTCCGTCTCAAAAAAACAAAAAAAAAGATAAATGAGGCAATGGAGGAACTGATCTAAAAGAGACAAAAACTGGCCAGGTGCAGTGGCTCACGCCTGTAATCCCAGCACTTTGGGAGGCTGAGGCGAGTGGATCACAAGGTCAGGAGTTCGAGACCAGCCTGGCCAATATGGTGAAACCCCGTCTCTACTAAAAATACAAAAATTAGCCAAGCGTGGTGTCAGGCACCTGTAGTCCCAGCTACTCAGGAGGCTGAGGCAGGAGAATCGCTTGAACCCGGGAGGCGGAGGTTGCAGTGAGCCAAGATCATGCCACTGCACTCCAGCCTGGGTGACAAAGCGAGGCTCCATCGCAAGAAAAAAAAAAAAAAAAAGATAAATGAAAAGAAAGCAAGCCTGAATCTGTGATTTGTTCTCTAAGGAAAATAAAGGCCTTGATTTGTAGCATTTGTCAATTTCTGACTGTCACCATGGCTGATTTCAATGTGCCAACATGACCACACTCCTTCAGAGTTGGGAAGAGATACCTGCAATTGCTTCTGTGAGCTGTAGGAGCTGGCTGCAGGGAACGTGGCTTGGCCTAGAGAGTAGGCGCAGAGCTGGCACAAGACTCAGGTCATGTGGCTCCCAGCCTTGGGTGCTGCCTGATGGCCTCAGCTGTGAGGTCCTCTTCAAGCTCATTCTACACCCTTCCCAGGACTTTCTCTGCAGAGTCAATGATCCTGAGGCTGTAACATTCAAACACAAACATCTGGGCATCAGGAATCTGCTGCCTTCCAGAGGGGGCACCTCTGCTCCACCGGTGCCCTGCACGTCCCAGCATCCTTCAAGTCCAGGGCAACCCGTTCTCCGCACAGAGCCAGAGCGAAGGGAGAAAGAGGAGCGAGGCCCCGACCAATGTAGCCATCTCTTTCCAGCAGACTCTCCCAAAAGGAACGAGAGCAGCATGTGAAGTAATGTGACGTAATACATAGATAGATTTTTATTACTAAATACCACGTGAGTATACAAAATGCATCACTGAATAACAGCTAAAAAAAGTCCAAGAAATGTGAAATACACATTTTTTGAAATGATAAAAACATATCCATGAAAAATATAAAATGTTGCATATATATACAGTATATTTATATATATATATAACAAATGAAAATCGTAAATAAGAAATGTATACAACAGTGAGTGGCAAGGCAGTAGTTTTACACAGCGGTCACTTTGTTCCAGTCGATCGTTAGTGCTATTTACATCCTGCGCTGAGGAAGTCTGAGAAAGAGACTCCAATATAGTGTCTTTTAAAAGTCATTTGCACTGAAAATCAAGAGTTTTCAAGTTAACTGACCAAAGGTTGAGAAATCCTTTGTCTGAAGTTGAAGGAAGACAGAGAGTGGGGGCCGCACCAGCTGGCGTGGTGCTGCGGGAGGGAGCGTGTGCCGCCACCATCTTAACGGGCAGCCTGCAGGAGCACCACTGCAGACAAGGGTCTTGGGAGGAGGGAACAGTCTTCTGGGTAGGTGGTAACCATGGTGACATTGTTTTGGGGTACGGGGAGGCACTGGCAGGAAGTTCAGGGAGCAGATTCAAGCATACCATGGGGATCCAGGCCAGGGGACCCCCTAGGTCTCTCCCTGGCCCTGACGTCTGTGGGTCTGTGACTCAAGGGCCTCTTCCCTCAGGGAAGGCATTCAAGTAACAGCGCTGAGGCATGTGGAGAGGTTGTGTGTGGCGTGGGGCCACGTCCCTGCTGGCCCCTTGCAGGTCGTGAGGGTTTGGATGCTCGAGAGGCCTTACAGCTCCTTAAGGATGATCTGAATTTTGCCGTCCAGCTCCCCCATGTCCAGCAGGAAGGCGACGTGGTTGCTGTAATGCTGAATGATGTTGTTGTCCATGTTGACTAAGATTCTGGAATGGAAGAGGGGATGTGGTTGGAACACAGCAGGCGCCCTGTTTTCAGGCCTTCTGAGTGACCAGGATGAGTGATGGGTCATACCCAGTGGGTACCTGCCACATTTTAGGCACCTCACAAACCTTCCCTCTGATCCTCACAACAACCCCACGAGGTGAGGGAGTCACAGTCTCCTTTACTGCACAATGCCCAGTGGCCGAGCCACAACCCAACCCAGGCCTGCTGGCCCCCACACTCACAGCTACTGCGCCGGATTGCCTCTCTCCTGGTACACCCGAGGATGGACACTCAAGCAACTAGTATGTAGATCTGGGGGAGACGCAGTGCTCCCTTAGTCACCATATTGAGGACTCGGACATGAAGTGTGAGTTCAAGCCCCGGAGGGGTGGTGGGTTGGGTTCAACAAGAGGCTAGGATGTGTCCCTCAGGCATGCCTGAGCCAGAGGCAGGTGCCACACAAGCCCCTCCCAGTTCCATTCCCAGGAAGCTGAAATCTCAGGAGGATTGTCCGATAGACTTGAGGGGCTAGGCCCACTCTCTCCCCATATTCTCCAGGCAAGGACCTGGGTCAACCTGAGAGAGACGGAATCTTCATGGCTGTGGGCCCCTGCAGGGAGTCAGAGCCATTGTTTATGCCAAAGAAAGAGCAGCCCTCTAGAAGCTGCTCCTGATGAAGGACCCACCAAGATGTGACTTGAGCTGATCACATCAACCTTCTCCTTGCCCCTTCCCTGCTGTCTTCTGAGCATGTAATGGAGTTGGGTATATCCACCCACACATTCACCATCCACCATTCATTCACATACACACACTCCCCATCCATCATCCACCCACCCAACCACACCCCCATCCACCATCTACCCACCCATACACACCCCCATCTACCCTCTACTACACACCCACACACACACCTACCTGGCATCTACTCGTCCATCTACCCACTCATGCACCATCTACCCACACCCCCACCCATCCACCATCCTCCATCCACCTGCCCACCTGCCGTCATCTTCCCATTCATCCCCTATATTCACTGAGGCCTTTCCATGTGCAGGGCTTTGCTCAAAAACAAGGACCATATGGAGATGAATTAGACCTAGTTCCTGCCTTCCAGGAGTTTTGAATCTAGTAGGGACTGGGAGGATGAATCCTCATATTACCCCAGTTCATAAATGGGGAAGCTGAGGTTCAAAGAAACAAAGTTATTTGTCTAAGGTCACACAGTTCATAGATGGCAGGGCTGGGATTTGAACCTTTTCTCTTTCTACTGTATCATTTTTAGAAGGAAACAAAGCCCTATAAATACAAGTTAAGAAGCAGCAGATAGAAGGAAGGCAAAATCCAGGGCTATGGGAGAGTTCTTTGAAGTGGCGCAGGAGCGGCAGGCACGAGGACCCCCCGAGGGCAATGGAGACAACATGGACCCGAAGGCATGGCCCACATCCAGTTGTCTCTCCCTGCCGCTCTCAGGAAGAAGGTCCAGGCTTGGGCTGTCAGTGGTTTGAGCGCTGACTGCCAATGTGTAATCATAGGCTCCCCTTTCTTGGGTCCTGCCTGGAGTTCCTTCATTTCACAGAGGGCTCTTTGGGCACGGGAGGTCGGAAACAGACCAGGGGAGACCAGAACTGGGCAGAGGGGTGGGTCCTTTTTCAAAATCAGGGTTGTTTTGTCTGCCATTGATTGCGTGCTTCTAGGTGCCAGGCACTGTGAAGTAACTGATATGTACCAGCTGGAAGGCTGGATCCGTCCCACTCCCTAGCAGGGCCTTCCAGCGCCCTGAGCTCACACCTGCTCACATCTGCCAAGCTCACACCTGCTCACACCTGCACAAGAGGGCTTCCAGATGGGCCCACAGACCCCTCTTCTCAAAAGTTAATGACAGCGGGCCCCTGAGAGGCAGTACCACTGTCACCAAATGTGGGCCTCTTGTTACTTGCCACCTTCTAGCTGTCTTCAGTCCTGAGTCACATTAAACCCCTGGCCAGCTGCCAGCAAAAACAATGTATTTGCTCATCTTTGCAGCACTTAGTGGGGCCTGTAAAGCTGACTCTATCCACCTTCATCCAGAGGACTTTCGGGAGGGTTTTATGAAAATAAACCAGGCCTTTGATCAGAATTTCCTGTTTCTCACATGAGGACTCAGAGGGAGGCAGAAGATGAGCCTGGCCTCTCCTCTCCTAAGATCTATTTTGGGGAACACTGTCATTCAGACATTTCAGACAGTCCTGGGGCTGATGTTTTCACGGCCGTGGGGGTGTGTGGGGTGCCTGTGAAGGGCTGCTGAGTGATGCCCTGGCTATGGTGCTGGGCAAATAAACTGGCCAGCCTGGCTGCATCCTTTATTTGCACATTGCGTAGTGATTAGAGGAACAAGCAGGAGGCAGGATAACAGAGTGGATGCCTGTACAGGCTTTAGAAGTCCAAGATGCTTCTGCCAGTTCCTAACTCATGACCTTGTAACTACTGCAGACCTCAGTTTCCCCATACGTACAAACAGAGATAATGATACCCAGCTCAAAGGGTCAACGAGATGATGCTTGGGAGTGATGCAGCCCAGTGCCTGGCATGTAGGAAGTGCCCCATAAATGGAAGGTTTTAGAATTATGATTTCAATAGCTGGCTGGGGCTTAAGGGGAAGCCTCTGGCAACTCAGCCAGTGGGGCTGGGGAACATCCTTGTACACACACCCCACCCTCCCACCCCCCCATGCAATCACACAGCCTGGCCTGGAGTGGGATTGGTAAGGGAGGCCTGCCACAGGTGGGGCTGGAGCCAGGGGGCATGGGCACTGGAGCTGAAGGGAGAGTGGGGCTGGGCTTGTCTGGGGAAAGCAGAGCCTGCCCTTTGCCGTGAAGTGGATTTCACTCTACAGAGCATGTGAGACTCAGATGGAAACCGAAACTTGGAAAAAAAAGACACACGAAAAACTCTAGACATGCATGCAGCTAAAACCAAAAAAAACCCCCTTCCCAGGGGCTGCAGGGATGGACACCTTCCCCCACCCTCAGCCTTCTATGGAAGGCTAGGAAGGAACCAAGGAGGAGGAAGGCAGGCAGGGCTGGGCCTGTGAGGAAGGCGGCCAGGCCCCTAGGCCTGATGAGATGGGGATTCAGCTTGAGTACAAAACTTGCCTCGCTTTGCAAAGTCTTCTACAAAGGAAGATCCACTTGCAGTAGCCACGGGGCAAGTGGCTGAGCACCTCCAAGGGGCTACTAGCAAATGTCGCTCGAGTTAGACTATCCACAGCAAGAGGATCAGATTGGAGCTGTGGGCAGAGGGGCTAGGAGTGCATTTCCCAGGGCTCTGGTTCTGGGGCCTCTGGGCTGGCAACAGCAATGACAATTCCTCACTGTCTGGGGGCCCTATGCCAGGCTGGTGAAGTCACCTACTCAGGAAGGGCTGCAGAGGACAGGCTCACTAGCTCTGACCAGGGGACTGATGTCTGGAGGACAGTTACCATGTGACCCTACCTCCCTTTCCCAAGGGATCTTCTGAGCAGACAACAAAGGTACTCTGGTGCCCAGGAGCCCATGGTAGGCAGCCAGGCACTGCCTGCCCCCTGGAGGGTACAGCTTTATTCCTGGCCTAGTCTGTCTAGCAAAGATGGAGGAGGCCTGTGGAGCATCCCTGGCTGGATTCCCTCAAAATGACTCCCAATCACAACTCCTTTTCCAGACTCATCGCCAGCCACTCCCTTCCTGCCTACGGCTCTGTCAGTAACAACTTTGTTGGGCCTGCCTGCCTCATGCCTTTGATCCACTTCTCCTGCCCCTGAACACTGCTTATTACCTCTGAGCCTCAGTTTCCTTATCTGTCAAATGAGGACTATGGTATTTACCTCTTAGTATGGTTGTGAGAGTTAAGTAGTGTGTGCTTAGCCTCGTGTCTGACACATAGTGAGTGCTCAAGGGGATGGTGGTCACTATAATCATTATCTTTATAATCAAATGGCTTGGTTTCCCAGTGGCCTTGAACCTGGGTCTTCTGACACATGACCCTCCACTTCTCCCTCCACCCCACCCAGGAGGTCATATATGTAACAACCCTTCCACTTGTCTCCCACTCCCATCCTTCCCAGTTGTGACCCATGTCTGGTCTCTGCAGATGGAGAGGTGACCAGTGGCTTTGGCCTGGCTGGGGAGCTCTCCACCCCAACTCCACATCCCCTCAGCCCCTCCACAAAGGCCAAGTACAAACATTGCTCAGCACTGAGCAACCAGCTGGGGGAGGGTGAACTAGGCACTCACCCTCGCTTGCATTTCTTGTAGACTTTGTAAATGTTCTCTTCAGGGAACCCATACTTCTCAGAGATCTGGAAGGAAAAGACAGGTGATTCATTGCCTGCTGCCCACGCTAGATTTATACAAGTCTTTTATGCCATCACTTTTTTTACTTCCTGATTACAAAAGTAAAACATATGCATATTGTGGGCAAATATGAAGAAGAAAATTACAATCATCTATAATCCTGTTTCTCAGAGATAGACACCATTAACATCTGGGTGTGCATCTTCCCATCTTTTGGTCATGTGTACGTACGGTTGTGTGTATAAATGTTTTTAGGTTCCACATGGTTTTATATATCTTTTTACTTATCATCCTAGTATAAGCCTTCCTATGTCACAACAAACACTTGTCAAGCAGCATTTTTAGTGGCTGAAAAATATCCTGAAGAGCATCTACCATTTCCCTGAACTTGCCCATGAGATATTGAAACTGTCCTAGTGCTGAGGGTGCACCCATGTACCAGCTGGCTGGCCTCGTGCAAGCTACCTGTGGAGACAGGAACAGTGCCCACCTCAGAGGGTTGCTGGAAGAATTAAGTGGATTGATCCACATTAAACACTTAAGACAGCTCCTGGCGCGTACTGAGCCCTGAATAAGCGGTCAGTGTTGTTTTTTTCAGAAGCAGAGCAATGAAGATGCTGCTTGCCCTGCTGGGACAGGGGAAAGCCCAGACATCTCCCCCTTTTAGGCCGGAATTATTAAGCCCATTTGTTGGGCGAGCATGCGGAGCTCAAACAGCATAAGCCACGCGCCCAAGGCCTAGACCCCAGGTTAACTGACTCCGTCACATCCGAAAATGTTGGAACTTACTTCCCTGCATGAGGAGACTGTGGGTCAGAGGCTTGTTGAGTGACCTGCCTGAGATCACACAGCCAGTGTCAGCCTGTCTCCCCAGAGCTTCTGAAGTTTCCTCTGGGGCA